>NC_000001.11:104553835-107053835 GCF_000001405.40 Homo sapiens | reverse complement strand
GATCCAGATATAGATAGAATGTGGAATGCTCCCAGAAATGAGAATAGTATAAATTTTAAATACTGTTAATGCTTCTAGATAGAATAGTGGTAAGCACCAAACATTATCCCTAGAGCAGATTAAAAAAGGTCTGTGGCACTTTCCTTTCCTGCCCTTTTATTTGATATAGAGAAGGAGTTCTTTACTGATCTTTTGTACCACAGTGAGATGTTTTAAGTAGGAAAGGGACCTAGATCATAGCCCTTCCCTAAGCCGTGCGGCTCAGCAGCAAACCACCTGCATGGGAGAAGAGTTGGAGTTCTGCTGGCAGAGCATTCTTAGTATTTTCATTTCAGCGATCTGCTTGCCACGTCTATTCAATGCTCAAACCCAGTTTTTCAAACAAATGATCTTGAAATTTTAATTTAGTGCAACTTGACCACCATTAAGAAGAAATAATAGATCAGAAAATACTAAATGTGTCAAATGAGTAAAGGTGGGTATTATTTCATAAAACTTGTTTCGTGGCTCACACCTGTAATCCTGGCACTTTGGGAGGCCGAGGCAGGCAGATCACGAGGTCAGAAGTTCGAGACCATCCTGGCCAACATGGTGAAACCCTGTCTCTACTAAAAATACAAAAATTAGCTGGGCATGGTGGCACGCGCCTGTAGTCCCAGCTACTCAGGAAGCTGAGGCAGGAGAATCGCTTGAACCCGGAAGGCAGACGTTGCAGTGAGCAGAGATTGTGCCACTGCACTCCAGCCTGGTGAAAGAGCGAGACTCCGTCTAAAAAAAGTACTGTATGTATATTTCTTGCTTCAGGTTATGGTTAAAAGTTTGAAATATACAGCTTACTGTTCTCCAAAAACACTATGAATTTTGGGACTTCTGTACTTTTGCTTTGCGTGCCTCTACTCTTCCCTCCTCTCACTCATCTTTTTAGCTAATGCTCAAATGATGTTTTTTCAGCCAGTCTATGGCCCTTTAATACATATAACTCTTTTTGCACTTGTATCATTGTATCAGAACTATTTATATATCTGGCTTTGGACTGTGGACATTTGAACACCAAGATTTTGTATTTTTCATTTTTATGCTGAGAACCTAGTGCATTGTGCTGGAATCTGGACCTTTCCATATTCCAGATTGTTGCTCCCAAGTATACTGAGGTTCACAGATGTGCTTTGGATGACTGGGAGAATCATGATCTCTTTTCTGTATCAAACACACTCATTTATTTGTTCAACCATTCATTTATTCAACAGGCATTCTGGACTTTTATCATTCTAGAAATAAGGAATAAAGTAAACAAAAAGCAAACATTCTTATCTCTGAGGAACTTATATTTTTGTGTTAATGTTATGTTATCTATTATTATTATGCTTTTTTACTAGCAATTTATTATACCACTTTTAAGTCTCAACTCTCATGTATTATTTTATCTTGGATGTGCTGATGTGATATTCTCCCACAAATATTTATTTCTAAATTTCTTTCCCTTTTTAATTCAAAGGTATATTATTTAAAAATATTTTTTAAAGCCTAGTGTAAGGATTGAAGATAGTTCTTTCAGGATTTCAAAAATTCACTGTAATTCTCAAAGTGTGTTGAGGAAGGGTAAAGGAGCAATGGCATGAAAAATGTTATAACTGTCTCTTTGATATGAATATTCGTTAAATGATGTAGTTCTTGCCATTCTGCAGTTACTTGGAAGCTGCCAGCATAGAAAGAAGTACTACTGTTAAAAAAAATTTATATAAAATAAAGACACAAGTGGTGACTTTTATGTCTAAACAAATTGGAACATCAAACATAGAAAGCCTAGGTATATGTTATTATCTTGATATGTATAGTGTCTTTTAGATCCGTGGTGTATTGGCCCAGCTATTAAACCCCATACTGAAACAGATGAATAGCAAATTCACAGCTTCTTGATGATATTATTATGAGTGGGTGTAATTCTTTAAGAAAAGTTTGTATTGAATTGTTTAGGTAGTATAAACAAGGATATTATACACTTAATTAATAATTATCAATTCAGTTTCTATTTATTGAGCCCTCTTAAAATACAGAATATTGAACTGTAACAACTTCAGGTATAAATATTGATTATGACATTTTAACAATTTCTACTATAAATCAGGCCAACCATAATAAAAATAGTAAAGAAAAATGTGAATGTAAATTATAATGTGGGGAAAAGTTATGTCTCAGTGCATCCATGGAAATGTACACCTGCTTACCTACCTAAGGCATAATGAGAATCGGGTAGCTTAATGAAATTCAGATATTAAGCCTAATGAATATCATTTAATAGAACTTCTGTCTCTTTTTTATTCTTTTGTGCAAACCTTTAACATGAAAGAAAGCCAGCTATTGGCTTTTTTTTGCTGTGTCATGCTTTTTTATTTTCTAACTTTTATGGGTACATATTAGGTGTATATAATTATGAAGTACATATGATTTCTTTTAAATTTAATTTAATTTTATATTAAGTTCCAGGATACATGTGCAGGATGTGCAGGTTTGTTACATAGGTAAACATGTGTTGTGGTGGTTTGCTGCACCTATCAACCCATCACCTAGGTATTAAGGCCCACAAGCATTAGCTATTTATCCTGATGCTCTCCCTCCCCCTGTTCCTCTGAAAGGCCCCAGTGTGTGTTGTTCCCCTCCCTGTGTCCCTGTGTTCTCATTGTTAACTTCCAATTATAAGTGAGAACATGTGACGTTTGGTTTTCTGTTCCTGTATTAGTTTGTTGAGGATAATGGCTTCTATCTCCATCCATTTCCCTGCAAAGGACATGATCTCTTTCCTTTTTATGGCTGCATAGTATTCCATGGTGTATATGTACCACAGACGACATGAACCTATATCTAGAAAACCCCATAGTCTCTGCCCAAAACCTCCTTAAGATAAGCAACTTCAGCAAAGTCTCAGGATACAAAATCAATGTGCAAAAAGCACAGGCATTCCTATACACCAACAATAGACAAGCAGAGTCAAATCATAAATGAACTCCCATTCACATCTGCTACAAAGAGAATAAAATACCTAGGAATATAGCTAAGAAGGGAAGCGAAGGACCTCTTCAAGGAGAACTACAAACCACTGCCCAAGGAAATAGGAGAGGACACAAACAAATGGAAAAACATTCCATTTTCATGGATAGGAAGAATCACTATTGTGAAAATGACCATACTGCGCCAAAGTAATTTGAGATTCAATGCTATTCCCATTAAACTACCATTGACATTCTTCACAGAATTAGAAAAAACTACTTTAAAAATCATACAGAACCAAAAAAGAGCCCATATAGCCAAGACAATCCTAAGCAAAAAACAAAGCTGGAGGCATCATGCTACTCAACTTCAAACTATACTTACTACAAGGCTACAGTAAACAAAAAAAGCATGGTACTGGTATAAAAACAGACACATAGACCAATAGAACAGAATAGAGATCTTACAAATAAGGCCACACATCTGCAACCATCTGACATTCAACAAACCTGATGAAAAGAAGCAATGGGAAAAGGATTCCCTATTTAATGAATTGTGCTGGCAAAATTGACTAGTCATATTGAAAAAGTGAAAATTGAAACTGGATCCCTTACTTATACCTTCTACAAATATTAACTCAAGATGGATTAAAGACTTAAATGTCAAACCCAAAACTATAAAAACCCTAGAAGAAAATGTAGGCAATACCATTCAGGACATAGGCACAGGCAAAGACTTCATGACAAAAACATCAAAAGCAATTGCAACAAAAGCAAAAATTGACAAATGAGATCTAATTAAACTAAAGAGCTTCTGCAAAGCAAAAGAAACTATCATCAGAGTGAACAGGCACCCTACAGAATAGGAGAAAAATTTTGCAATCTATCCATCTGACAAAGGTCTAATATTTGGCTTCTACCAAGAACTTAAACAAATTTACAAGAATAAATAAACAACCCCATTAAAAAGTGGGCAAAGGACATGAACACACACTTCTCAAAAGAAGACATTTGGCTGGGCGTGGTGGCTCACGCCTGTAATCCCAGCACTTTGGGAGGCCGAGGAGGGGGGAACACCAGGTCAGGAGATCGAGACCATCCTAGCTAACATGGTGAAACCCCATCTCTACTAAAAATACAAAAAATTAGCCAGGTGTGGTGGTGGGCACCTGTAGTCCCAGCAACTCAGGAGGCTGAGGCAGGAGAATGGCATGATCTCAGGAGGCGGAGCTTGCAGTGAGCAGAGATAGTGCCATTGCACTCCAGCCTGGGCGACAGAGCGAGACTCTGCCTCAAAAAAAAAAAAAAAAAAAAAAAAAAACCAGACATTTATGCAGCCAATGGACACGTGAAAAAAAGCTCAATGTAGTTACATTACATTGTGATCATTACAGACATGGAAATTGAAACCACAATGAGATACCATCGTACGCCAGTCAGAATCCTATTATTAAAGTCAAGAAACAACAGATGCTGGCGAGGCTGCAGAAAAATAGTAATGCTTTTCCACTGTTTATGGGAATGTAAATTAGTTCAACCATTGTGGAAGACAGTGGCGATTCCTCAAAGACCTAGAACCAGAAATGCCATTTGATCCAGCAATCCCATTACTGAGTATATACTCAAAGGAGTAGAAATCATTCAGTTTTAAAGATACATGCACATGTATGTTCACTGCAGCACTATTCACAATAACAAAGACATGGAATCAACTCAAATGCCCATTAATGATAGACTGGACAACTATTGGTCTTTATCAGATTCTTATGTTCTCATAGTAGTTTGCTACTGATGGCATTTGAAGTGCATGGAAATAATTATACTCACATTATACTCACGGTAGTCTGGTGGTTCTCAAAGTGTGGTCTCTAGACCAATAGCAGCAGCATCACCTGAGAAATTGTTAGAATTACAAAATTTTGGACCCCATCCTAGATCTAATGAATTGGAATCTTTGGGGAAGAGAATCTGCAGTCTTCCTTCTTAATAGGCTTTCAGGTGATTCTGATGCACACTGAAATTTGAGAACCACTACCTACCTAGATAGTTTGAAGAGTACAAGAACCAATGTGAGGCCATGTAGAGTTTATGGAATGGAGCATCTATTATTTTTTTCTACTGCTGTATAACAAATTACTACAAATTCAGTTAGCATCTTAAAACAATATGATTTTTATTTTTATTTTTATTTATTTATTTTTTTGATCTCACAGAGGCAATGGGTCAGAAGTTCAGGCACAGCTTAGGTGTGTCCTCTCAAAGCTGCAATCAAGTTGTTGACCTGGCAGCCTTCCTTTCTGGAGCTCAAATTATCTTCCAAGCTCATGTGATTGTTGTTGGCAGAGCTCAGTTCCTTGCATTTGTAGGACTGAGGTTCCCCTTTTCTTCCTGATTGTCAGATGGGGGCTACTTGCAGTTCCTTGAAGCTGCTGGCAGTTCCTTGCTATGTGGTCCTCTCCCAGACTCTTTCACAACATAGCAGCTTACTTCTTCAAGGCCAAGAGGAGAAGCTTTCCTATTTCAGGAAGGTTCCTGGTCCAAGTCCACACTCCCTCCTACAAGATAATTTTGATTAACTCAAATTCCACTAATATGGGACCTCATTTATATCCATAAAATAATATTTTCAGCTGGAGAAATGACTGAGGATAGAGACTAATGGTATATTCCCACCAAAGCTTGATAAACTTAAAATATCTGCCAAGAAATCTATGTCTCAGAAGAATATGTGTCTGGCTCATGGCATGTAGAGATGGAGGCAGGACAATATGGTCTGGAGGCAGGGAACCTAAGGACTTCCTAGAACTAAATCAAACTGAAAAACCCCAACTTTCTAAGCCCAAGTAAATGACATTGTAACTTCACTTCAGCCTCTTCATTTGCAAAGGGTGTACACCAAGTAAATAACTTTGTAACTTCACTTCAGCCTCTTCATTTACATGGGGTGTACACCAAGTAACCAATGGAATACCTCTAGAGGGTATTTAAATCCCTGAAAATTCTGTAACCAGCACTCTTGAGCTGCTTACTGGAGCCTGCTCCCACTCTGTGGAGTGTACTCGTTTCAATAAATCTGTGCTTTTCTTTCCTTGCTTTATTTGTGCATTTTGTCCCATTCTTTGTTCAAGATGCTGAGAACTTTGACACCCTCTACTGGTAACAGAAATGACTGGGTCAAATAGACAAAAAACAAAGTTTTGAACAAGCTGTATGTACTCTACATCTGAGCAGAAAATTTTAATACAGCTGCATAGTTTGCCTCTGTCACCCTTGAGTTTCTAAACTCTGCCATATGAAAAGCATGCCACAAATAGTAGCTACTTTTCTAGCCTGGGTCACAGAAAGGAGATTCCTGGAATGAAGTGAAACTGAGCTGAGCCTAAGTGAACCCAGGAGAACATAGCAGGCCACGGTTCTCATGTAATGGAAGCAAGGAACAAAATACATTTTGTTGTGAACACCGAGATATTGGGGTTGTTACGATAGCAAAAACAAATCTGAGAAATAATAAACATACAGAATGAATTATTGAAACTGACCCAATAGTCTCATCAATAGATAGGTTTTGTTTGCTTTTTTGTTTTTGATAAACATAGAAATTGACCCATCTGGTCTTAAGGCTTGAAACTTATATTTAATTTATCTGAGTTCCTTCCTCAGGAAATGACCTTCAGGCTTCTAAAAAAAGAAAGTATCAAAGAACTGAAACTCACCAGATCACCAGTCCAGGCAATGAGATGCCAGACCCCTCATTCACCGTGATTGCTTCCTTACCCCTCCTCCTACTTGTTTTCTTACACATTATTACATTTCTTCCCTGCTATCTAAACCCCTAATTTTAGTGGGTCAGGGAGATGGATTTAAGACTGATCTCGGCTGCAGCACCAAATTAAAGCCTTCTTCCTTGGCAATAATCCTCTCAGTGATTGGCTTTCTGTGCAGCAGGACCTACACTGGACCTAGACTGAACCCTGGGTATTTCAGTAACATCGTTATTGTGGAATTATTACCCAAGTCACTACATAAAACATTACTAACACTAGAGTCCTCCCTATGTCCTTCCAATCCTATACTTTCCATCTTTCCCAAAAGTAAGTATTCTAAATACTACAAAATATTTGGTGACCTGGTTTGAACTTCATATAACTGGAATAATAGAGTATATGCTCCTGAGAGTCATCTATGTGACTATGTATGGCTTTTTTTTTCACTTTCTGTGGTTTATTTTAAATTATGAATATACCATAGTTTATTTAACTGTGTTTCTGTTGTTGCACAGTTCCTCTTAAATAAAAATTATCATTCCTGTCAGGAATTTCATAGTGTTTTGGGTTTTTTTTTTGCACAAGTCTTTTAACTCTTCAAATTTTCTACTTTATGTAAATAAATGTTAGTTTTTCTTACCATATTATATATTAAGTTATTAATGATAGCTAGAACTTACTGTATGTTTTTCATGTGCTAGGCATTTCTTAAGTGTTTTATATGCTTCATTCATTCATGCATACATTTATTCAACAAATATTTACTAACCACCTAATACCATGTAGGCTCCAAAAGTATAAGGGTAAACAAAACAGACAAATCCTTGTTTTTATAACATTTATATTTTAGGAAATAATTTCCAATTACCAAAATCCATTATATAAGTATGATTATTATTATCTTTATTAGAGACAGTGTGTCCGGAATTGGTGGGTTCTTGGTCTCATTGACTTCAAGAATGAAACCGCGGACCCTCGCGGTGAGTGTTACAGCTCTTAAGGTGGTGCGTCTGGAGTCTGTTCCTTCTGATGTTCGGATGTGTTCGGAGTTTCTTCCTTCTGGTGGGTTTGTGGTCTCGCTGGCTCAGGAGTGAAGCTGCAGACCTTCACGGTGAGTGTTACAGCTCTTAAGGCGGCGCGTCTGGAGTTGTTCCTTCCTCCTGGTGGGCTCGTGGTCTCGCTGGCTTCAAGAGTGAAGCTACAGACCTTCGCCGTGAGTGTTACAGCTCACAAAAGCAGTGTGGACCCAAAGAGTGAGCAGTAGCAAGATTTATTGCAAAGAGCGAAAGATCAAAGCTTCCACAGTGTGGAAGGGGACCCCAGCGGGTTGCCACTGCTGGCCCAGGCAGCCTGCTTTTATTCTCTCATCTGGCCCCACCCACATCCTGCTGATTGGTAGAGCCGAGTGGTCTGTTTTGACAGGGTGCTGATTGGTGCGTTTACAATCCCTGAGCTACCCACAAAGGTTCTCCACATCCCCACCAGAATAGCTAGATACAGAGTGTCCACACAAAGTTCTCCAAGGCCCCACCAGAGTACCCAGATACAGAGTGTCGATTGGTGCATTCACAAACCCTGAGCTAGACACAGGGTGCTAATTGGTGTATTTACAAACCTTGAGCTAGCTAGAGTGCCGATTGGTGTATTTACAAACCTTGAGCTAGACATAAAGGTTCTCCAAGGCCCCACCAGAGTAGCTAGATACAGAGTGTGGATTGGTGCATTCACAAACCCTGAGCTAGACACGGGGTGCTGATTGGTGTGTTTACAAACCTTGAGCTAGATACAGAGTGCCCATTGGTGTATTTACAAGCCCTGGGCTAGACATAAAGATTCTCCACGTCCCCACCAGACTCAGGAGCCCAGCTGGCTTCACCCAGTGGATCCCACACCTGGGCTGCAGGTGGAGCTGCCTGCCAGTCCCGCGCAGTGCGCCCGCACTCCTCAGCCCTTGGGTGGTCGATGGGACTGGGGCCCTGAAGCAGGGGGCGGCGCTCATCGGGGAGGCTCGGGCTGAACAGGAGCCCATGGAGGGGGTGGGAGGCTCAGGCATGGAGGGCTGCAGGTCCCGAGCCCTGACCTGCGGGAAGGCAGCTAAGGACCGGTGAGAAATCGAGCGCAGCGCTGGTGGGCTGGCACTGCTGGGGGACCTAGTACACCCTCTGCAGCCGCTGGCCCGGGTGCTAAGCCTCTCAGTGCCGGGGCCGGCAGGGCGGGGCCGGCAGGGCGGGCCGGCTGCTCGGAGTGCGGGGCCCGCCAAGCCCACGCCCACCCGGAACTCCAGCTGGCCCGCAAGCGCCGCGCGCAGCCCCAGTTCCCGCTCGCGCCTCTCCCTCCACACCTCCCTGCAAGGTGAGGGAGCCGGCTCCGGCCTTGGCCAGCCCAGAAAGGGGCTCCCACAGTGCAGCGGTGGGCTGAAGGGGCTCCTCAAGTGCCGCCAAAGTGGGAGCCCAGGCAGAGGAGGCGCCGAGAGCGTGCGAAGGCTGTGAGGACTGCCAGCATGCTGTCACCTCTCAACAGGGTCTTGCTCTGTCACCCAAGCTGGAGTGCAGTGAACTGATTAGGTGGGTGTTATTATCTATTTTCACAAATGGAAAAACAAAGGCACACAGTAGCTACATCCATCTCTTATTTATCTTTTCTACCAGATTGTAAACTACTTTCTGACAGGATACAATCTCTCCACAGTGCTAGGGGAGCACCACACATATAATCATAACATTAATAAATTTGATGATGATTAACATTTATTTTATGATTTTTATACACAAGAGACAACTCAATCTTCAGAAAACTTATGTGGTTGGTATTATCAGCCTCATTTTTCAGACCACAACACAAACCAAAAAAAATGCAAAGTGACTTGCCTTTGGTCTAGGTTCTCTGTGTGTTGAAATTCATCCATGTGGTTGCATATAACAGTAGTTCCTTCATTTTCATTGCTGTATCATATTCAGTTCTCAGCTTCCTGTAAAGCCACTATGTTATACACTATGCTTTACATATAAATGACTTTGAATAGACAAGGTAAGTGAGCTTCTCGTTTCTTCCATCTCTGTCCTGTAGCTACTCTATTTCTATACACAAAAGGAAAAAAAAAACACTTTAGACATTGTGCTTGTATCTAATCCTACATGTGTTTGACTCAACAGAGTTGTAGTATGGGTATCACTAGTTATTCTGTAATAGGCTGTATTTAAGAATCTTAGCTGGTTTATTCCCTTAAAATTGTTAAGCTCCTTGTATATAGCTAGCACTGTGCTAGGCTTTAGGAAAGAGAGGATGAAGCAGTCTCAGTCCACCCTAAGGAGCTCACAATACAAAGAGCTCGTAATCCATTTGGCAGTCCTTTAATCCAGGTTTGTCTGTGTTTTACAAATGATGTTGAGTGCTTTTCTCAAAAACTTGAGGATAATTCTTAAGCTATTCAAATATCTTTCCTACATGACTCTGCAGATATGTAATTTGCACTGAATTTTGTTGCTAGTTTGAACTACTGTGTTAGTGTGATTAATACTGTTACGTTCTCTACTTCGTTTTCTAATCTATATGCCTTAGGATATTATTGGACAGTGTAATGGTCACACTTAAGAATTCAATCAATTTTCAGTTTCATGTATATAAAGGCTTCTGTAAAGTGCTGTGAGATGACATTATAATTATTGTTGTTATTGTTGGGTTTATGCTTTATCAACATAGCCAATATGAAGAAATACCTGAATGACTGAAGGTGTATGTGTTTGTGTGTGCGTGTGTGTATGTGTGTCTGTGTGTGTGTGTGTGTGGTGTGTTTAATTTCCACTGAGTTGAAGGCTTTCTCCAAGGACAGAAAGAAAAATTTAACATATGCTTCCAGGCTTCTCTTTATATTTTCAAGTATGGTTTACAGCCTCAAGCATCGTTGTTCTTACTGACAGAACTATCTTTTATCTTCTTTTTACAAGATAAGATTAATCTATTTTTAAAGTTAATACACCACTGGCTTTATATCCTTGTCGTAGGCTTCGTGAATAGGTTAACGCCTCTTTGTGTTGCATTATTTACTGTGCAGCTACATTCAAAAATTCAATGAATAAACTGAAATTAATAACTCTAGAAGGGTGAAAAGTGATAGTATTCACACTCAATTACAGAAATGATCCATTACATTAATATAATAGTGATGCTATCCAAATGCAATATGTTGAATAAAAATAAAGTGACAGGCTAACAAAATTTTAGCTTTTGAGTCTGGGAAGGAAGATAAATAGTTAGAAGGCATGGTTAATAGCTCAAATGAATGTGCTATAAGCCCTTATTTCAGTGTCAACTCTTTGCAAAGGACACCAGGCAAGTGAACTTGAATATCCATTTGATTAACTAGCTTCTTAAGAACTGAAATAAGCTTTTATATGCTTTGGAAAGAATTGCTGGCAAAAAGGCTAAGAGGGTGGGTTTTAACGGAGGTAATCCTCTAATAAATTATGCCTTAGCAGTTAGAAATATAGAAAAGCAAGATAAACTTGAAGTAATCCTGGTAAGTCCTGTTTTATTCATTGTCTTCACTTAATAGATACTCTGGATTTGGATTAAACTGTGTTCAGTCATTACCCTGAGAAATCCTATTCTTTATGTATTCTTTTTCCCTCTTCTTACCCAGTTAATGAGTACTTTCTTACCTGTCAGTTGTGAATGAAGTCAATGAATGGGTGGAGTCCTGATTATTTAATTAAGATCATAGATCTGTAAGGAGCCTTTATATGTTCTATAAGTGGTGACTACGAGCTTTGCTTGGACATCAGATTCACCTGTGTAGCAAGTTAGAAATATGCATACCTAGATGTCTCTCTCATAGATATTTGTTCTGCATATCTGAGAGGAGCCAGGACAATAGTATCTTTTAACAAGCTTCACTGTTGACTATGATGTAGGAACAAGGTTAAGATCCCTATGCCATTGTTGATTCAGAAAGAGGTGGGGATTTTCTTAAAGTATATTTCAGTATTGATTTGAATTTATATTATTATATATATATAATTAATTTTTATTATCCAAGTAATACCTGTCTACTATAGAAACATCAGAAAATATAGAACCAAAAAGAATCTTCAGATCTGACTACTGTTAATGTTTGAAAGTATGTGAGTGGGAATTTGGAGATAGTAACAGAGCATTTGCCTTTGCAATTGGAAGGAGAAATCCATAGGTGATTCATAGAGTTATTTTTCTTGTATATAATTAGATATTATTTGTTCAAATGGGCATTCTTTACTGAAGAAAGGATCCTATCCTTCTTTTCTTTCTCTACCTAAGCATTTTTCTGTTTTTTGTTTTTCCTCTGGAAAGTGGCATAGCTGATTTCAGCATGGGAGTTCAGCAAAGCTGATAATGGACTTTTGGGATTATCAGTCCTGGTGACATACCAAACTAGTGTGACAGCATTTCACTCATCCATTCAATTTATTCATTCAACAGACGTTTATTAAGCACATACTAATATGTCAGACATCATGCCATGTGTTGGTGATACCCGGTCTTTCCCTGGAGGATCTTCACACTCTGTGTGGGAGATGGACAACTAAACATAAAAATTTATGGTATATTGTATATGGCTATGAAAGATATATGCACAGGATATGTTGTACAGTCACATAAGGGACATTCAAACCAAAATAGGGAATCAGGGAAGATGAATATGAATAAAGGATGTTAAAGCAGGATGTCAGAGCTGAATGATATTCACATGTGGCCTTTGTGTGATTTTGGAAATCATACGGGGGCATATTAACTCCACTTACTGTATCACTGCCTAGAGTGGAAATCAGGAAGCCCTTCTTTGTTTTCTAATGTTTCTCTTTAAAAATAGTATTCTGCTCTCTTTTTCATAGATGAATTATCTTGTATTAGGTTTCCGAGTATCTTAATAATAATATTTTGAAAATCTCTTCTCTCTGGATAGTTTATGTTTCTCTGGGAAGCCTTTTCATTTTGTTTTGATCCTATTTTTCAGTGTACAGGTCAGATTTTTTGAGTAATTGCTTCCAATCTCTTGCTGGAAAGGTTATAGGCCTGGCTTTCAACCTCTGTGATGTGCATGGGGTAAGAAGGCAAAGATCTTGGCATTCAGGATGTAAATGTTCAATGGGGTGAAACAGCCATCCAACTGGGTAATTTACAAAAGAAATAGGTTTAATTGGAATTACAGTTCCACTTGACTGGGGAAGCCTCACAATCATGGAGAAGGCAAGGAGGAGCAAGTTCCATCTTACATGGATGGCAGCAGGCAGAGAGAATGATAGAAGATTCAAAAGCAGAAATCCTGATAAAACCATCAGATCTTATGAGACTTACTCACTACCATGAGAACAGTATGGGGGAAATGACCCCCATGATTCAATTATCTTCCACCGGGTCCCTCCCACAACACATGGGAATTATGGGAGTAGAATCCAAGATGAGATTTGGGTGGTGACATAGAGGCAAGCCATATCATTCATCCCTGGCCCCTGCCAAATCTCATGTCCTCACATTTCAAAACCAATCCTGCCTTCCCAACAGTCCCCCAAAGTCTTAACTCATTTCAGCATTAACTTAAAAGTCCACAGTTCAAAGTCTCATCTGAGACAAGGTGAGTTCCTTCTGCCCATGAGCCTGTAAAATCAAAAGCAAGCTAGTTATTTCCTAGATACAATGGGGGTACAGACACTGGGTAAATACAATGATTCCAAATGGGAGAAATTGGCCAAAACAAAGGTGCTACAGGGCCCATGCAATTCTGAAATCCAGCCGGGCAGTCCAATCTTAAAACTACAAAATGATCTCCTTTAACTCCATGTCTCACATCCAGGTCACACCGATGCAAGAGGTGAGTTCCCATGCTCTTGGGCAGCTCAGCCCTTGTGGCTTTGTAGCATACAGCTTCCCTCCCACCTGCTTTCATGGGCTGGTGTTGAATGTCTGTGGCTTTTCAGGTGTACGGTGCAAGCTGTAGGTGGATCTACCATTCTGGGGTCTGGAGGACGGTGCCCTCTTCTCACAGCTCCACTAGGTGGTGCCCCAGTAGGGACTCTCTGTGGGGGCTCCTATCGCACATTTCCCTTCTTCACTGCTCTAGCAGAGGTTCTCCATGAGGGCCCCATCCCTGTGGCAAACTTCTGCCTGGTCATCCAGGAGTTTCCATACATCTTCTGAAATCTAGGTGAAGGTTCCCAAACATCAATTCTTGACTTCTGTGCACCTGCAGGCTCAACACCACATGGAAGCTGCC
This sequence comes from Homo sapiens, assembly GCF_000001405.40. Taxonomy (NCBI): domain Eukaryota; kingdom Metazoa; phylum Chordata; class Mammalia; order Primates; family Hominidae; genus Homo; species Homo sapiens. The sequence continues at coordinate 107,039,841 of NC_000001.11, read as the reverse complement.
CAGGCTTGGGGCATGCATCATCAGAAGCCATGGCCCAAGCTCTACATTGGCCCCTTTTAGCCATGGTTGGAGCAGGTGGGATGCAGGGCACCAAGTCCCTAGGCTGTACACAGCTCGGGGCCCCTGGGCCCAGCCCATGGAACCACTTTTTCCTCCTAGAGCTCTGGGCTTGTGATGGAAGGGGCTGCTGTGAAGATCTCTGATATGCCCTGGAGACATTTTCCCCATTGTCTTGGGGATTAACATTTGGCTCCTTGTTACTTATGCAGATTTCTGCAGGTGGCTTGAATTTCTCCTCAGAAAATGGGATTTTCTTTCCTATCACATTGTCGAACTGCAAGTTTTTCAAACTTTTATGCTCTGTTTCCCTTTTAAAACTGAATGCTTTTAACAGTACCCAAGTCACCTCTTGGATGTTTTCTGCTTAGAAATTTCTTCAGCTAGATACCCTAAATCATCTCGCTCAAGTTCAAAGTTCCACAAATCTCTAGGGCATGGGCAAAATGCCACCAGTCTCTTTGCTAAAACATAACAAGAGTCATCTTTGCTCCAATTCTCAACAAGTTCCTCATCTCCATTTGAGACCACCTCAGCCTGGACCTTATTGTCCATATCACTATCAGCATTTTGGGTGAAGCCATTCAACAAGTCTCTAGGAAGTTCAAAACTTTCCCACATTTTCCTATCTTCTTCTGAGCCCTCCAAACTTATGCAACATTTGCCTGTTACCCAGTTCCAAAGTTGCTTCCGCATTTTTGGGTATCTTTTCAGCAACGCCCCCACTCTACTGGTACCAATTTACTCTATTAGTCATTTCCATGCTGCTGATAAAGACATACCAGAGACTGGGCAATTTACAAAAGAAAGAGGTTTAATTGGACTTGCAGTTCCATGTGGCTGGGGAAGCCTCACAATCATGGTGGAAGACAAGGAGGAGGAAGTCCCGTCTTACATGGATGGCAGCAAGCAAAGAGAGAATGAGAGAAGACACAAAAGCAGATCCCCCTGGTAAAACCATCAGATCTTGTGAGACTTATTCATTATGATGAGAACAGTATAGGGGAAATGGCCCCCATGATTCAATTATCTCCCACTGGTCCCTCCCACAACACATGGGAATTATGGGCATACAATCCAAGATGAGATTTGGGTGGGAACAAAGAACCAAACCATATCAGAGCTCATCTGACAATATCGTGGTGAGATAAGTGGTTCTTAAAAACACTTTTGACCAATTTTCGTCTTCTGGATTTAGTTTCACCTACACCTCCAGAGGAGGGCAGTTACCTGCTGTAAATAGATAGGGTTGCTTCTCACTTCTCCCAGTACCAGCTTTGTATTTTGCTTTCTTGGGTTTGCTGTCAGTTACCATTAGTCAATTATTTACTTTCTGGCTTTGAAACTTTTGCCGCTCTTCTTCCCTTCCCTCCCCTCCCCTCCCCTCCCCTCCCCTCCTCTTCCCTCCTCTTCTTTTCTCTTCTCGGCTTTGCATATTGAAAAAATCAAAGTAATGCAAAACAAAACAACAGAACAAAACAACGCAACTAATATCATATGGTTTCAGGAAGGAGGGAAAATAAATTCGTGTATTCATTTGGCTCTTTTGTCTGTATTGAATTGCTTTCTTTTAGTAGGACACTGTGCTAAGAACTTAATTCATGATAATTCTAGGTAATAGGCATTATTATCATACCACTTTTGCAGATGAGGACACTGCATTTCAGACAGCTTAAATGGCCAAAGAGCTAGTAAGTGGTAGAGCTGTGATAGTGGTTCAAATCTGTAAATTGGTTATACAGGTTTTGAGGTCTCTTTTGCATTAACATTCTTGTCAAAGATAAGCTCATTCTTTTCCTGCATTTCTCAGAGCAAATGCTGATTCCAAACCCAGCTTCAGGGACTCTGATGGTGAGGTGAAGACCTCTAAAGGGAAAGTTGTACATGGAGCACTAAGAGGGAGCCCCTGTTTTGCTGATTTCATTGGCTCTAACACCAGTATAATTTGGACCTTATTCTGATGTAAGTTTATTCTTTTAGGATCTTGACAAAAGTTGCATTTTGATGCTCTATTTTACTAATTATGAAATTCAAGCCACCCGCTTTCAAAGAAAAGAGCTGCAATGGAGAATAATGTTGTAAATATGGTGATTATTATGGACAAAAGCAAATCTTAACAGGATGTTTTAAAATATTAAATATTTAACGGCAGTTTTACAAAATAAGTGAAATGCTTCTTTATTATTAAAGAATGTGCACAGGTAATTAATTTTAAAGTAAAACATTACCTTATTTGACTCTCTTTAGCATCACTGAATTAACTAATTTTATTATTGACAAGATTCTAAATCTCTACTAATTAAAAATATTATTTTGTATGAAAAGCAAATATAAATTAACAAGGCAAATTTTCTCATGTGGTTTGTGAAATTGAGCTCATGGCTTTATGTATATAACTGGTATGAAATGGATTGTACATTACCTTGGCTAGAAATGATAAATAGGAGTAGGAAGGGGTACAAGATAACATTTTGGGGAATAATATTTGTATTGTAAAATAAAGGGTGAAGTTTGGAGTAAAGAAAGATTATTAAGTATACTGAATTTAAAATATAAAAGAGTGATGATATGAGATTATTGAAAAGTCATGTCTTTTCCAACAAGGCTTTTATTACATGCAAATCTATTATCTAGCAAGTGGTTTACCTTAGCTCCTTGTTATGGACTGAATGAGTGTGTCCTCCACAAATTCATCTGTTGAAGTCCGGACCCCCAGTGTGATAGTATTTGGAGATGGGTATTCTCAGAGGTAATTATAGTTAGATTAGGTCAAGAGGGTAGCATACATGATGGGATTGGGGGCCTTATAAGAGGGTAGAGCCTTCATGATGGGATTGGGGGCTTCTCTCTGCATTATTTGAAGACACAGTGAGAAGGCAGCTGGTTGCAAGCCAGAAAGAGAGCCCTCAACAGGATCTGACCATGGTGGCACTCTGATCTTGGGTTTCCAGTCTCCAGAAGTGGGAGAAAACAAATTTATCTTGTTTAAGCCATTCAGTCTATGATATTTTGTTGTGGCAGCCCAAGCTGACTAATATACCTCTCAACTTTGTACTTCATCTTGCTCTGCGCTTTATAGGCCACAGTCCCCATCAGTTCATACATGGTGCTTCTTTTGTCTTCAGTGCAAAATATATCCCATGGTCCCTGAAACACTTCCTCCTCTCAACACTCAATAATGCTCTGTGTCCTGGTTTTGAAGCAAAGCTGAGATCCAAAGTTTTATATGAAATTACCTAATATTTTAAATATTAATGTATCATTCTATAATATAACATATTTCTGTGCTGGATTGACCCAAAAGGAAACAGTTTACAACTTTTTTTTTTTTTGAGTGTATATGCCCTATCTCCTAAGCTCCTTGAGGCAAGGTTTATTCTTTTATTCTCTAATTCCCAAGACCTAAACTGGTTGGTAATCAAATAATATTTGTTCTGGTTGATGCTGATCATAGTTGGTCTTTTTCTTACTGAAACTGACCCAATAGTCCCATAGATTTTTTTGTGGGGGTAGGGGAATAAACATAGAAATTGACACTTCTGGTCTTAAAGCTTGAACACTTAATTTATTTTACCTGAGTTTCTTTCTCAGAAAAGGACTCTCATGCCTCTTGAAAAGTATCAAAGAACTACAACTCACCAGATGATCGCATTCAGACAATGAGACTCCAGGCCCCTCATTCCTTATGATTGCTTCCTTACCCCTCCTGAGTTCCTGTTTTCTCACACATAGTTACATTTCTTCACTGCCATCTAAATCCCTAGTTTTAGTCAGTCAGGGAGATGGATTTGAGACTGATCTCCCATCTCCTTGGCTGCTGCACCCAATTAAAACCTTCTTCCTTAGCAATACTTCTTGTCTCAGTCATTGGCTTTCTGCTCATGGTAAGAGGCGAGGCCTAGACTGAACCCATGGTGTTTTAGTAATATTACCCCTCTCTTCTATAGGTAAAATACTCCCAATTATATTCATTGTTATATTCTTCAATTATGTTTTTAATTAATGTGGCTACACTCCTTTGATCGTTCAGATTTTGGTGAAGAGTCTTGTTAGGAATCATGGTGGGAGAAACCTACTTGTCCCTACATATCACTTTTTAATACTATACTTTGAGACTAAGAGATGGGAGCATTAGGGTGCAGGCTTCTTTTCAACTGTTGGCCTTGAGCTGTACCTAGAAAGGGATTGACTGATGCTAAATGTATGGAGGGTTTCCTCACTGTTTTCTTTCTGTTTTCATCACCTACTAACTTGATTGTTATTTCAACAACAGTGCCATTTTACTGCTCTGTGGTCCAATTTTTCTCAGTCTCAGTGGGGTGGCTTCTCTTTTATGTACCTATTTGCTTCTATTATGTGGAAATTATGCTTTAAGTGGCTATACACCTGTTTATTCATTCTGCAAGTGGCGTTGCTCACTGCCAGTGGTTGTTTTTTGATGCTAATAATGCTTTTTGCTTTGTTTTATTCAGATCCCTGACATGCTTGCTGGCCTGCAGGTTCTAATAAATAACAGTGACAAATTCTTTCCCAGTTCCAGTTCCTCCCTCACTACAATCTTCCTGGAGCCAAAACGGAGGAAACTTCTATTTCTCTGGCTCCATATTTAGTGTATGTAAACTGTTCAATCAAGGTACTGATCAAATGAAGTTACTTGTGTTTCAATAATGTAGTACTGAGGTAATTTTATGAGTTATTTTTCTGCAACAGTTTTTATCATTCAATTTTTAGGATAGATAATATCTTTTTGTCATTCAAAAATAATATTAAAAATGCAAAATAGTACAATGAAAGTCTTGCTCCCACCTTTTTCTCTCTTTTGCCCAGTCCTATTGTCTGACTCCACATGTAACTACTTTAATTAATGTTTTCTATATCTTTCCAGTGTTTGCTTATATACAGGTGCCATGGGCTGAATGTTTGCTTTCTCCCCAAATTTATATATAGAAATCCTAACCCCGAAGGCGATGGTATTAGGAAGTGAGTCCTTTGGGGTAGTGATTAGGTATAAGGATGGAACACTCATACATGGGATTAGTGCCCTTATGCAAGAGACCTGAGAGAGACTCTTAGTTCCTTCCACTATGTAAGAACACATTGAGAAGGTGCCATCTATGAGGCAGGAAGCAGGCTTTCACCAGACACTGAATATACCAGTGCCTTGATCATGGACTTCCAAGCCTCCAGAATTGGGAGAAATAAATTTATGTTATTAATAAGCAACTCAGTTTGTGATTTTTTTCATAGCAGCCCAAATGGACTAAGGCAACCTGTAAGGTAGTGCAAATTATATGACTTTTTTTGACCTGCCTTTTAAATACAAGACACCATTGTTCTTCACTTTGAAGTTTTTAGTTAACACTATTTCTTGGAGTTCATGCCATACCAAAATACAGAGAGCTGCATTCTTTTATACAGTTGAATAGTATTTCATTTGATGGAGGTACTGTCCTATGATTTATTTAACCAATGCTTTGCTGATATACATTTGTTTTGTTCCTATTATTTTACTACAACTTGCAATGTTGTGACACATAACTTCTTACAGACCTCATGTCACATGTGCCAAATAGGTTTGTGTAGGATACATTCCCAGAAGCAGTATTACTAGGTCAAAAGATGTACGCATTTGTAATTTTGTCAGATATTGATAAATTGCTTTCCACAGGAGCTGCACCAGTTTATGTTCTCAATGTGTGAGAGTGATATTATCAAGCTTACCTGTAGAGAGCTTTATCAAGCCTCTGGATTTTGTCTTTCTGATGGGTAAATATAAAATCTCAGGGCAGTTTTAATTTGTATTTCTCTTATTATGAAAACAATTGGGCATCTCGTTATATGGTTAAAACCATCATTATTCTTTCTATATGAATTTTATGCTCATAGCCTTTGCCTATTTTCCTATTGGACTGTTAGATTTTATTATCAGTTTCTAAAAGGTCTTTATATATTACAAAGATTGGTCTTCATATTTGATATGTGAGCCTTTTTTTTGTGTGATTTGAGATTTGTCTTGGCTTATTGCGTTTTTCTTTCAAAATTATTTTAATTCAGTTTTTTTTTCGGATTTAGAATTTCGAGGTACAATAAAAGGCCTTTTTTTATAGTTGCCTCTCCAACACACAAAAGTTTATTCCAGCAGTTTATAATTTCATTTTTTTAACATTTGAATTTCTGTTTGATTGATTCATTCATTGAATAAATGTTTGTTGAGTGTCTGTCACATATAAATGGTCCTGACTGAAGATGCTTTGACTTTGGGTTTCTGACTTCACAGTGTTGTGAAAGTGAGGCACATCCAGTAGAAACCATACTTTGAATTTTCATCTTTCCTTGAGCTAGCAATATGGAGTACAATACTCTCTCACAATGCTGGCAGGGCAAAGAGCTGCAGCTTCTAGTCAGCCATGTGATCACGAGGGCAAACAACCAACACCCTGCAGTATACTGTGTTGTCAGATAATTTTCCCCAACTGTAGTTAATGTAAGTGTTCTAAGCACATTTAAGTTATGCTAGGCTAAGCTACGATGTTCAGTAGGTTAGGTATATTAGAAGCATTTTTAACCTATGATATTTTTAATTTACTATGAGTTTAATGAAATATAATCCCATCATAAGTCAACAGGATTTGTAGTCTAAACTGCTTTAAATACTTGGAATATTTCGGTGATCAAGACAGGAAAATATCCTTGCCTTTGTGGAGCTTACATTCTGGTGGAGGGAAACAGACATATATTCCTGTGAAGGGGAATAGATTAAAAGTAAATGAAATAAGTAAACTATATAGAATGTTAGAGAGTGATGGGTGCTCTTAAAATTAAGAGAAAAAGCAGGTTAAGGGGACTGGAGTATCAAGCGGAGTATATAAGTTGCAATTTTAAATAAGATAATCAGTGTAGGCCTCATGGAGAAGGTAATAGCTGAGCAAAGCCAGGAAGAAAGTAAATGACTTTCATGCAAATATCTGGGAGAAGAAAATTCTAGGCAGAGACCCTAAGTCAAGAGCATGCCTGAGAAGAAGCAAGAAGCCATTGGGATGGAAGGTAATGAATGAGGAGGAGAGTAGTTGCAGAGGAATCCAAAGAGGCAATAGAGATCCGATCATGTAAAGCTTCCTAGACCCCTGTCAAGACTTTAGCTTTTACTTTGAGTGAAATGAGGGATCATTATTGACTTTTGAGGAGAGGAATAACAAATATGACATGTCTTAAATGGATCATATTGGCTGCTGTGTTGAGAATATAGAAGAGCAAGAGTAGAAATGAAAAGATCAGTTAAAATTATATTGCAAAATTCTAGACAAGAGGAGATGAAGACAGAACAGAGTGGAAGCAGTAGAGATGGTCAGATGTGCTCACATTAATATACTCTATAGGGCTTACCAAAAGAATTTCCTAATGGATTGGATATGGGAAAAAGAATGCAAGAGGATGCCAAAATGATTGGAAGGCTTTCCTGAGAAACTAGAAAATTGGAGTTACCAGCAATCAAAATGCAAATGCTATCAGTGGAAGGATTTGGGGGGAAATCAGAAGTTTCATATGAGCTTGTTTTATCATAGAGTTTTAGGAGGTTTCTGAGTAGTGATGTTGAGTGGGCACCTGACTGGATGCAGTTGCCAAGTGAATGAGTATAGAGAGAAGAAGGACCAAACAGCATAATCTGGGGCATGTCATTAAGACTCTGAGGACAAGAGAAGGGATTAGCAAAAGAAGCTAACAATAAAGACAGTGTGTCACATGTTGCTGATAGCAGTAAGCATTGAGGATAATGAGGACTGAGAATTGATGATAGGATTTACAATGTGGAATTACTGAGTGACCTTGTTAAGTACTTTTGATTAAGTGGTGGAGATGAAACCCTGATTTAAGTAGGGTTTAAAAGACATGATAAAAGAGAAATGGATGACAATCAGTTTAGTCAACTCTTTCAGGTAATTTTATTGTGCAGGAAAATGTTTGTTGTAGCTGATAGTAAAAGTGAGGCTAAGAGAATGACTTTTTTCTTGTAATTATTATTGTTTTAAGTTGGGAGAAATAATAGCATGTGTGTATACTGATAGAAATGATACAGAAGAGATTAAGGATTTGACGATGGAAAGCATGGTGAAAAGTGCTAAATTATGGTCTTGATTAGGCAGGAAGGATGTGATCTGGTGCACAAATGGAGGGACTAGATTTAGATTATGAAGATGGATAGTTAATCTATGCCAGTGGGAAGAAAAGTAGACCCTGTGTGTGGAGATGGGTGTAGATGCATATGTATTATGTGCCAGGATCTATGGAATGTTTCAATATTTCAGTGAGGTAATTTCTTACTCATTTTGAGAAGTTATAACAGATTACCATAGACATGGTGGCTTATAAGTGATAAATACTAACCTCTCACAGTTCTGAAGACTGGGAAGTCCAAGATCAAAATGCTAGCAGATCTGGTGTCTGGTGAGGATCTGCTTCCTGGTTTATGGATAGCCAACTTCTTGTGTCCTCGCATGGCAGAAGGGGCAAGGGAGCTCTCTTGGATCTCTTTTATAAGGGCATTAGTCTCATTCACAAGGACTCCACCTGCATATCCTAATCACCTACAAAGACCCTACTTCTTAATACCATCACACTGGGGATTAGGTTTTCACATATGAATTGGTATTGGAGCGTGGGTGGCACAAACATTCAGTTTATAGAAGATAAGTGGCAAGGCCTTTAAGAATGAGGATGAGGGAGGAGGTGTTGGGGTGAGGAGAGAGACTAAGGAGTTATGGTCACCTTGGAGTGTGGGAGACTGAATGTACTAGAGGCATAAAGTATGCTGGTAGCATTAAGGGCCCTCTTGATGTTCATGACTGTGGATTTAGAGTGACACTAGATAGCATGTATTCCTTCAGCTATGTTCAGCAGAGACACTGAAGGTACAGAATGGTGAGAGTTAGTTTGACCAGTTTTGGAGCATTTCTAAATCAGTTCAATGATGTGAGAGAAGGGGTACAGAGACCAATAATTTATGCTGTGTAAGGAGGGGAATGAGGACACCAAGGCAGGGAAAAGATGGTAGGATTCATGTTAATGGGGTTGAGGAATTATGGAGACCGAGATATTAGTAGGAGTAAATTGTGAGGAGAAATGGGGGAGACAGAATGGGAAGTAAAGTGAGGTTATGGAGAGGTTGCAGTTCTGACAAAAGCTATGATGTGATATTGAGAATGAGTAGCTGAGATAGGGTAAAAAACATCATATGACATATATTTTAAAGGGCATAGCTTTAATGATGGATCATTAAAAGGGATGAAGTTAAAAAAAAGAGAAGACAGATTATAAGATGGATCATCTGCATATATTATGGACTGAATTGTGTCTCCCCCAAATTCATATGTTGAAGCCCTAATTTCCAATACCTTAGCATGTGACTGTATTTAGATGCAGGGAATTTAAAGCGATAATTAAGCTAAAATGAGGACATTATAGTGAGCCCTAAAACAACATGGACTGGTTTCCTTGTAAAAAGAGGATATTAGGACATAGAAAGAGAAACACCAGAGATGCATGCATGCAGAGAAAAGACCGTGTGAAAGCGGCAGCAAGAGGGTGGCCATCTGCAAGTCAATGAGAGAAGCCTCAGAGGAAACCAACCCTGAAGGCATCTTAATCTTGGACTTTGAGCCTTCAGCACTGTGAGAAAAGAAATTTCTGTTATTTAAACCACTCCGTTTTTGGTTTTGTTATGGCAGCCCAAGTGAACTAATATGGCATGCCTATTAAATCACCATGGAAGAAGGAAGAAGTTGTATTGAAGAGAGTGATAGTGAAGAATCAGGGGCTAAAATTGTTGAGAAATTAGGAGAAAGGATTCAGAGCATATAATATGTCAGCAAAGGTAGAGTATTTGGTGATATTATCTGATGACAGTATATCAAAGCTGGGTTTTTAGGGAGGGGGGATGCTCTGAAAGCAGCAATGAGGAGCAAGATGACATCTAAGTCACAGGCCCAGTGACACTAGGACTATGGATCAAAAAACAGCCACTGTAGGGAAAGGAGAGCCCATAGGGAGAGCCAGGTTTCAGTTAGGAAAGGAGATGAAGGGGATAGAATTTTGCTACTAATGGACCCACAAATTTCAGGGAGTACAGTGGAAGAGTTTCAGCAATTGGATGACTTGGGAAAAGATGACAGAATGAGGATGTAGGTATTCTTACTATGATTAAAGGGTAGATTTTCCAAGAGTGTGATCATGGCCATAAATAGAGGTAAAGGTATAATGAAGTAAATCTGGGAGTATTCAAGGCAGAGAACCTCTTCAGGCCTTAGTGTATTAATTGGAGGGTGTGCGTGTTTCGGGGATGGGGGAGCTGTGTTTCTGATTAAGAGGACAGAAGTCCTAGCAGGTATGGTTTTAGGTTCTCAGCCTTGAGTGGAGTGGTGGTAATCTTAGAATATGCTATCTTGACTCCATGTTGATGGCCTTGGGGACTTTTGGGGAAGCAGAGTGTTACACTAAATGTGTTGACTGCTTCACTCTTTAATATTCAGAAATTTATCTTGTTTTACTGTATGAAGTATTGAACCAAATTCATTTTGTTCTGTACAGTTATCCAGTTGGCTCAAATCCTTGTTTTGGATAGTCCTTCTCTTCCGCTTGGATTTGAGATGCCACCTTTATAAATGCTAAATTTCACTATGTATCCTGTATTTAGTGCCTATGTGTATTGTTTTTAAAACTGTTGTGGTTAATAAAAATAAATATTCTTTAAGAAGTGTTACATCATTTATAGAAGCATTTTGTTAATGTGATTTTCTCAAAAGGTAAGTCATAGAAGTATGGAACTGTCATTTACTGAAGAAGAGGGTATAAGTTATTAAGGTGTACTTATGTTATAGAATAATTCTTGCACGAAAATGTTGTGAGAACAACCTTCTTCATTATTATTCTTCACTGGGATTGTAATTCTGCAGATGTTGGTCACTGTTTTCTTCTCTGCTAACCTGGCCTTCACCATCAAACAATGACATAGCAACACAACGTAACTCCCAGGAGTAACATTATCACAAATTGCCATCTGCCATAAGGTAAGTTAATAATGCAAGGTTGAGCAAGTCCTCTAAGTTGCCAGTACATCCTGGCAGGGTCAGGTATTATAATTTCATCTGGGGAATATGTTGTTGTACTGCTGTCGACAATTGAGATTTACAATTGGTTAGTAATAGTGATGATGAGGATTAAAACAAACTACTAATATGAATTGTTAGGAATAACGCTTAAAATCCTAAGGAAATTAAACACTTGAACAAAAGATTCTTAGCAAAACAGTTTTACTTCTGCACAAAGGGGTGCCTCCTTGGCCAGTTGCCATAAGAGTACACCTGAATAAAGGGCACAAGAGCCTTTATTTCTGACGCAAGTCCTGCCCCTGTACCCTTTCCCCATTGGCTCGGGTTGTATAATTTCAACTAATCCCGGTTGGCTAAACGTTTAGTTTTTTTAGGTAGGGTGGGTACGTAAAAGAAAGTGGAGAGAAAGGGGAAGGGGGTGTTTATAATGAGCTAGAAAGTTAGTCCCCTTTTTAAATAAGGAAAGGAATGTGAGCTGGTACTAATAATGCTTGGTACTGAGGCGTGCCTAGGCATCTAACAAAGGCAAAAAAGAAAAAGGAGAAAAAGAAAAAGAAAGGAGGGGGTACTATAAATTAAAGAATAAAAGATTGATCAAATTATTTTTTTAAAAAGCCATTATATCCCACATAATTAAATAAGTGCCAATTTTTGAGCACCTTACTAGTTGTTTGATACTGTGCCTATAATTTTGATAGTGCATGTTTGAAAACAATAATAAATTATCTTGGTTTTACAGAACAGTATGCTAAGGCTTAGGAAAAATGAGAAACTTGCTGTCACACAGTGAGTAAGTGGCAGAACCGGGATTTAACACAATGTCTTGGTCTGTGTTCTACTTGAAGTAGTAGATTTCTTTTTTGCTTTCTTCTTACTTTACTGCTAAATATTGTTTAGATTAGTTATATGACAAAGAAAATCTCATAAAAGATAACTTCCAGAGCAAATAACATAAGAACACCTTAATTATGTTATTTTACATAATTATCATTCCCATTTAATGTGCACATAAAATCAATGCATACATAGTTTATCAGTCTATCATCTGTTTAATGTTGCAGAATAAATTTGTATGAATAATTATAAAGATAGAAACACTTATATAAATTAAAACAATTAAAAAAACAAAAAAACATAGTGACTTGTGTTAATCTCATAAAATCCAGGATTATGGAAAAAAAACCACACTACTGAGATAGATTTATAATCTATCTGTAGTGTAGATTTATAATTTGTAGTATAGATTTATAATCTATCAGTAGTGAGATAGATTTATAATCTCAGTAGTAGTTTTTTTTCCTTTAACACAAGTGTGGTCCACATACTGATCACATCATTTCTTTTTACTAGTATGTCTGTGGATTTTATTCAAAGGTTGTTATTGTTTTGCATTGTGTTGGGTAATAGACATTTTAAACCATTATGTGGAAATCTAACAGTCACTGTCACAAGAAGTCTAATAAAAGATGGATTTCCTATTGTGTTCCAGCTACACACACCTCAATTCTGTTTTTTAAATGTGCTGAGCACCATGATGCCTCAGGGCCTTTGCATGAGTTTTCTTGTCAGAATGCATTTACACCAGATATTCACAAGTCTCTCTGCTTTACTTCAATCCGGTCTTCTTTCAACTTAGTTTCTTGGGTCCTTCCTAACGGTCCTCTCTGAAAGAGTGCCTCTTTCACTCTGCAGCCCTGGATCCTGCTTTTCTGCTGCACATTTTAATTTACATTTATTTATTCATTTTTTGCTGTCTCTTCCAAGAGAATATAAATTACATTCCATCAAAGATTATTTTTTGTTCACTAATGTGTCTCCAGGACCTAGAAGAGTGCCTGGGATCTAATGAACACTCCAAAAACATTTGTTAGTGTATTGAGTTTTTAACATATAAACACTCTTAGGTTGTCTTCTTTTATTTTCACATTTCTCAAAATGTCTGATCTATAAAGATCAGCTTTTTATTTATTTTTTCTCTCTTTAAACAAAATTATCATATATTTTATCTTCTTTAGATGGTATTATACCAATAAATGTCTTTCATGATTTTTTTGATTGTAATTCTTCTGTAGCAACATATGGAATAAAATAATTCCCCTTTAAATAAATTGTCAGAATTTCCACCAATTTTAATGCTCTACCTAATTTGTAAAGAATGTAAAAATGTTTATCAAAAGAAACAGGAAGAGAATACTTATCTCCAAGTAAGAATCTTTAGAGCATCTGTATTCCATCATTTATTGAAACACTTAGGATGCATTACTATAAATAATGCTTATGAAGACACTTTGAAGTGCTTTTCAGGTATAAGATATTGTTATTTTTTAACATTTTGACTACAGTGATATGGAAGATATTTCTTGAACCAGCATTAGACATTTTATTTTTATTTTAAAAAAGGCACATATATTTAAACTGTTGAAAACTCACTGCTAAATATTTAAACTTATAATCACGGAAAAATGTTTTCATAAGACATTTGAAATTTTACTATTAATGTATTTTATGTGCTTGTAATTGGTAAATACTCACCACTAAATATTTGAACTGAAAATCATGGGAAAAAACAATCTAAGATTAGTAGTATTTTTTACTGATATCCATTCTACCCCTATTGAAATTTGGTCTTCATGGAAAGTCATTTAGAGTATTTAACAAGAGAGCAAACCCATTAAAAATATGCAAGCTCTTGGAAAACAAAATCCAGTATACTAATTAAACCTATTAAGGCAGTTACAGAAGACTATAAATGATGCAAAGTTCTGTTGGGCTCCTCATGGTACCAATGACAAAAAGCAAAGGAGTATCTATTTTTCTAAATAGAGATAAAGAGTATGGGTGATTAATTTCAGTGCCATTGAGTTAATTTGCAATGAGTCAACAGCAGAAAACATTTCCATGGGCATAGAATAATGGTAGAAGAGAGTTGTTTTACCACTCAGTGGTAATATGGCTTTTTGTCAGGGAATGCTTTAGTAATCAAGGAAAAACTACCACCACCTGTTGACAAGAAAGAAGAAACATAAAAAGTTTCCTGAAACAGTCTGTAGTCTTCAATTGTGGCCAAATCTCTGAGGTTTCTCTCACTAGCATGCATGTTTGAGAAGATTCTTAACTGCTGCCTTCATATCTTTTAATGGATGATCAAAACATTATGACTTCTGTTTCAGAAGACAATGTCAGGCTTATGAGCTAGTAATAGAAATTTCAAACCTGTCACCTGAAAGGTGCTGATTATTATGTAGTGGCATTGAAACCCATCTCATTTAAGGAATATGAAAATCAAGCTAAGTTGAATGAAATCTTAAAAGATTTATGTACAGACTCGTGAGACTGTTGTTTGTTTGTTTGTTTGTTTGTTTTTTTCTGAGATGGAGTTTTGCTCTGTCACCCAGGCTGGAGTGCTGGAGTACAGTGGCGCTATCTCGGCTCACTGCAACCTCCGCCTCCCGAGTTCAAGTGATTCTCCTTCCTCAGCCTCCCATGTAGCCGGAATTACAGGTGTGTGACACCACAACTGGCTAACTTTTGTGTTTTTAGTAGAAACAGGGTTTCACCATGTTGTCCAGGCTGGTCTTGAACTCCTGACCTCAAGTGATCCTGCCTCAGCTCCCCAAAGTGCTGGGATTACAGGCATGAGCTACTGCGCCCAGCCTAAGCCTCTTTTTTTAAGTACTTAAGAAAACCCTCAACTAATATTTATAATCACTCTGTGCTGCAACAGCCACAGGTAAAACTAGCCCTGCTCTTCAGATGAATAATTGAAGAAGAAAAATTAAGAAATTTTTCCCAATACCTCTCATCAAAGGAGGAATAGAAGTTTGGGATCAGAATTCAGCTTTCCTAAATTCTAGTTTGGCAAACAAGGGCCACAAGGAGGTGGCTCATGATACCATGTGATTATTTTCCAATCTTAGCTGCCTGATGAATTTTCAGTTGTTTGTGTTTCACACATTGCAAAAGTGTATTTATTATTATTCTTCAAATTACAACAGATGTGCAAAGTCAGCCAGGGCAGAATAAGCGTGAAGGAAGGGCAATGAACAGCATATGTGCAGATATAACATCTATTAGAGAGTCATCCTCAGTGGTTTTGCCAGGAATGGAAGCCATCAACAGAACTGCTTGAGGCTGCAGAATTTCATACAATGCTGTCCTCCAGAGCTAATCACAACAGAACAGTTTAGTTGTTTTGGTGGTGTTAGTGATTGTCACCCCTATTTAATGTGTCCATTAAAAACAATGTGTATATGTTTTAAATGGCATTTACCCCATGACAGAATGGAGTGAGTAAGAAGATGAATGAAAACTGAACATAATTAATGTCTTATTTTAAGTTCACGAGATTCAGAATTTAGGAATCTCAGTTACAAAGGCATAGCTAATTGAATTGTGATATGATTTGGCTCTGTCCCCACCCAAATCTCATTTTGAATTGTAATCCCCTACTTGTTGAGGGCGAAACCTGGTGGGAGGTGATTGGATCATGGGGGTGGTTTCCTTGATGCCGTCCTTGTGATAGTGAGCGAATTCTCACAATATCTGGTTGTTTGATAAGTGTGGGGGCTCTTCCTGTTTTATGCACTTCTGTCTCTTGCCTGCTGTGAGAACTGTGAGTCAATTAAACCTCTTTTCTTTATAAATTTACCCAGTCTCGGGTACGTCTTTAAGGCAGTATGAAAATGGACTAATACAAATTGCTTTTACCCAATTGTTATAAGACACATTCCTTAAAAGTGGGTATTTCTTAATCGAGGTCTTATTAAAATGAACAACTTTCTTTTTGTTTTGACAAGGTATAGATTAATAGTAATGTGGAATAAGTTCCTCAGGGATCTCATAATCTGTGGACTGAGAAGTTCAGTTCTTGGACTTTCGTCAGATGGCCTGTCCCACAGAGTTCATCATCTTAACCCACACTGATTATGCAAGGCCTTTTGTTGAGTTCCATTTTAGGCTAAGAACTCAGTGAGGGCAGAAACTTTCTCTTCCATCTTTTTATTATTATTATTATTATACTTTAAGTTTTAGGGCACATGTGCACAACCTGCAGGTTTGTTACATATGTATACATGTGCCATGTTGGTGTGCTGCACCTATTAACTCGTCATTTACATTAGGTATATCTCCTAATGCTATCCCTCCCCCCTCCCCCCACCCCACAACAGGTCCTGGTGTGTGATGTTCCCCTTCCTGTGTCCATGTGTTCTCATTGTTCAATTCTCACCTATGAGTGAGAACATGTGGTGTTTGGTTTTTTGTCTTTGTGATAGTTTGCTGAGAATGATGGTTTCCAGCTTCATCCATGTCCCTACAAAGGACATGAACACATCATTTTTTATCATGCTTGCTTAATATTACACAGGCATTCGACAAATAGTGCATGAACCAATAATTTTATGTCTGATCAAAATATCTCAGTCAAAATATTGACTGAGAGAGAGCTATGTAAAGTCCTGAAATGGCTAACTGGAAAGAGGACTCTCTTCAAAGCAATTAGACAAGGTAACTGGTGAAAGTTATTGAACATGATTCAGACTTTACTATTTTTATTTTTTTTAAATTATATTTTAAGTTCTGGGATACATGTGCAGAACGTGCAGGTTTGTTACATATGTATACACATGCCATGGTGGTTTGCTGCACCCATCAACCCATCATCTACATTAGGTATTTCTCCTAATGATATCCATCCCCTAGTCCCCCACCCCGTGACAGGCCCTGGTGTGTGATATTCCCCTTGCTGTGTCCATGTGTTCTCATTGTTCAACTCCCACTTATGAGTGAGAACATGCGGTGTTTGGTTTTCTGTTCCTGTGTTAGTTTGCTGAGAATGATGGTTTCCAGCTTCATCCATGTCCCTGCAAAGGACATGAACTTATCATTTTTTATGGCTGCATAGTATTCCATGGTGTATATGTGCCACATCTCTTTACCCAGTCTATCACTGAAAGGCATTAGGGTTTGTTCCAAGTCTTTGCTATTGTGAACGGTGCTGCAGTAAACACAAGTGTGCATGTGTCTTTATAGTAGAATGATTTGTAGTCCTTTGGGTATATACCCAGTAATGGGTCTCAAACTCCTGACCTCAGGTGATCCACCTACCTCAGCCTCCCAAACTGCTGGGATTACAGGCGTGAGCCGCTGTGCCCAGCCTCAGACTTTACTATTTTTAAAGGATGAATGAAACTTCTGTAAATGATCTAGAGAGCATATCTAGGTCGTATGTAGCCTTGAGTTCCTCTTTGTCCATATAAGGTATACACTATGAAAGAGAAAAGATAATATGTTCAATTAAGAACTTGGTTGCTAAATGATGTCAGTGTTTCCTAGACAATGACTTAAGATTGCCAAAATGTTGAGCTCATGATGGAGCTTTAAGGATTGAGAAAATTCACTTGCTAAGAAATCTGCCAGATTGATCATCTGAAAATAGATCATGGATTCTAAAAAACGTAAATACATTTACCTACCCTGATCTGATCTGGAAATAGGAATAATAATGGAGAAAGTTCCCAATAGGTCATACTGGAAATGAAAAAAAGAGAAACAACTTAAAATGGCAGAAGATGGCACAACTTGGTTGTATGAATTTAAATATATGACTAAGATTCAGTATGATGGGATTCACTGTAAGAAATTTGTCTACGGAAAGGTATCCATAAGTGCTGTCTAATAGAACCATAATGTGAGCCACTTATGTAATTTAACATTTAACATTTTCTAGAAGCCACTTTGTGTAGTAAAGAATTTGACCTTGTCTGAAAAGAGGTTTAGCTTAGACCCTGTAAACAAAGACACTCCTCTCAGGTATGACATACATTGACTGGTGCCAGTTAAACTAGATCTTATTAGCGATGCCATCCATACCCAATAGCCTTAGAATGGCGCTGTTCATGCCATAAATAGCATAAATAGCAACCATGTGATTTAGAGTAGGGGGTTTGGGTTGTATGGTATCTATCGGTCATCCTAGAGGTTGAGTACAATCTTGTGGGAAATCAATCAATCACACCTATGTAATAAAGCCTCAATAAAAACTCTGGACATTGAAACTCAGGTGAGCTGCCTCGATTGGCAATACGCTGTGTTTGTTGTGACACACATTGATGCCAGGATGGTGATATGTCCTGAGAACAATGGATGCTTCATGTTTGGAACTCTCCTAGACTCTGCCCTATGAGTCTGTTCCCTTGGCTGATTACAGTTTGTAACCTTCGTCTATGATAAAGCATAACCAAGAGTAGAATAGCTTTCAATAAGTCCTGGAGTCCTAGCAAATTATCAAAACTAAGGGTGGTTTTGGAAACCCCACAAACTTGCAGTTGTTACCCGAAGAGAGAGTGCTTTTCCTTCTAACCTTGTAGTTGGACACTAACTCCAGGCAGTTGGTGTCAGAGTCTTGGGTGCACTTAATCTGGAGGATTGTGCTGTCACCTTTGCAGTTCAGATCACTTAAACTACATATTAATAAAGTAAAAATAAACAGGTGAGTTAGTATTACTAATATATTTTCTTTAACAAATATATCCAAAATATTATCACTTCAACAAGTAATCCAATAAAAACTATTAGTTAGCTATTTTACATTCATTTTTTTTCATACTAAATCTGCTGACTAGTGGCTACTATGTTGGACAGAGCAGAACAGATATATATTTCTGCTTAGAGCTCTAAGCAGAAGAAATCAAGTAATGGCATTCGTCAAGACAATATTCACCTATCGTAAAAACTCATGAACCGGAAGGTTGAGGCAGATTGAAGAACATTTGGGTACCGAGTAATAGGACAAAAGAATTTAACAGAGGACTGCATGTCCAGGTTAAACACAGGGAATGTATGTCCATGAATCTGATCATAAAATGGATACAGAAACACTATATGGCAGCAGCCTTGGGGAACATTAGCTGTCAGTTCATCTGCTGGTATTTCCATTCAACTCAAGGTGGTACATAGGATACACTCTGCCATTTATTGTGGGAAATACCTTCTTTCCTTCCTTCTTTAATCCCCCTTTCCTTCTCCCCTCCCTTCTCTCTCTCCCTCCTTAATTCCTTTTTTCCCCATTTGTCTTTCTTTCAAGAAATATTTATTGAGTTCTTGTTTATTTGTCATGTATTACTTTTCTCCTAATAATTTTGCCCTCCACCTGCAGGGGACATTTGACAATAAGTATTTGGAGACATTTTTAGTTGTCACAACCCAGGGTGAGGGTATTACTGGAACAGGGTCAGTAGAGGCCAGGGATATTGCTAAACATCCTGCAATATATAGACCTGTTTCCCACCATAACTGTTTATCTAACCCTAAATGTTAATAGTGCTGCAGAAACCCTGTTCTAAAATGTAGAGATGAAGGGAGCTACTCTTCTAGGCATAATTTTGATTAAGAAGGAAAAATGGAGGTTAAGAAAAATCTTTAGAGAAAGGAGTAATTAAAAATCACAATGACAATAATATAACAGCTGACACTGGTGTGCTTACAATTTTTTATTAACTATGATAAACATTTTACACACCTTAATCTACTTTATCTTTGCAACCTATGAAACAGATATGCTGTTATCTTCACTTTATGCATGAGAACATTGAGATCCTTTCTATTAGCTGAAGCTATGAAACAGTGGAGTTATCATGTTAGAATAATGGGCAAGAGGAACAATTGGCTCCATACTGAGAAAAAAACAGAATTGTGTGTGTATATATATATATATATATATATATATATATATATATATATATATATATATACACCTTCCCCTAAACTGAGAGGAAACTGAGAGACCAAAGAATGAATCAGACAAGTCTAGCTTGGTGAGTAGGTGAGTTTATTAGGAATTGATTATGAGACACTCCTGGATGGCAGCGAGACAGCTTTAAGGGATCCGTGCCACCTCCCATCTCTGAGCCGCTTTTAAGTTTCTGGCTCTTTGTCTGCTGTGTGTACACAATGGGACTATTTTTTTTGGTATGTTCTCAGATCCTCTCTAGGATGTTTGGGTTCTCAGCTGGGCACTGTGGCTGTGGCTCACTCCTCGGCCTTCAGGGTTCAAGCAGCAGACATACAACCTTAAGTAACCTGTTGGGGGACCTGTCACACTACAGTTTCACTCCAGTATTTACCATATACATCAGGGAAATGAGTTTCAAAAATTAAAGGAAACATAGTAGGCCTATGTGATTTGAGGCTGTAATGGAGAGGATGGGTTAGTAGGATTTGGAATTTCTGAAAACATACTCTAATAATGATATAAGAAATGATCTCATCACGGTAAAGAATGAATGTTTTCCAAAGGGATATATTAGTCACCTTAGTGTGCTGGAGCTGATGAACTCAGTATCCTGTTTATATCCATTGGACACATATGGTTCCTGAACTTGCATACCTCACCGAAGAACTTCCTACAGTAAACACCTACAACTCTTCGCTTGAGATGTTTCTTGGGAAGGTGGAGAGTTCTCAGCCTGCAAGGGGGAGCCAAAGATGTTAATATTTCTGAGGAAGACTCTAATGGTTGACAAGAGTTTTTGCATGAAAAGCCAGCTTCCTTGCCCCTCTGAGATGGGCTCTCTGCAGTCTCCGTAAGCTCCTCAGCAGATCTGAGCCCCTGTTGGCCACAGTGGCATCCTAATTTGTAACATGCCTTGCATTGGCTTCCTTCTTTCCTTGTCTCACTCACTTTACTGTGGGCGCTGCCTAGGATAACCTACCATTTATAAACTTGCATTCAAGATTTTCTAGTGGAAACTAATCTAAGACGGGTGGTCTCAGATTGGGTCAGATTTTGAAAGTAGATGGCAAAATAAATTAGGGAAAGCTTAAAGATGAATATGGATAAACCAAAAAACTGTAAACCTGGAATAAACCAATGCCCCTGAAAATTTCTGGAGACAACGCAAATGGCTATCTTAGAAAGTAAAGTATGAATAATAAAGATATGAGGAATGTGCATTAACCAATGTCAAAAACAGAACCAATGTTGCTTCTTCCTCCTCTGTCAAGAACAATTATCCGTACCTTCAATGAAAAGGGTAGAACAAATGTTAATGAAGAGGAACTGAAACCCAAATTTCTTAATTTTCAAACCCAAGTTTGAGAATTATTTTTTTTTTGAAAGAAATCTTCGACTAATGATGGACAAGAGTTTGTGCACAACCGGCTTCCCTGTCCGTCTGAAGTATATATTCTATGCAGGCTCTGAGATCTTTGGCAATCTAAACTATTTACATATCTGAATTCAGACAAATTGCAGGAAACTTGAAGATAATATTACTGAACTTATGTAGGAAATGTTGAAAGAATCATGAAAGATTTGTAAGGATAGATAAGATCTACATTTTCAGTAAGTATCAAGATATTTTATTTATAAACTGTAGTTCCCTCAATAGATCTAGGCAGGATTCTAAAATCAATTATGAAATAATAGTTTGTGAGCATTTGTGAAATAAAGTTGCAATCATTTGGAGCCGGTATGTGTTCTTGGACTATTCCTGGTGGACCTAGACGTGTAAGCAGTAAAAAGTCTCAGAACTCTCCCAATCTAGTGTCAGAAAATTTGGTCACACCAATTATGACCCTGACTTTTCTAGTTACTAAATAGTGAGAATATTATATATTTTAAATCATATACCTGATTTTTAATCTCACAGCAGAATTACAGCACAACTCTTAACTATATGGACATGGCTAACTACCTTTAAGAAAAGCTGGCCGGGCGCAGTGGCTCACACCTGTAATCCCAGCACGTTGGGAGGCCAAGGCGGGCGGATCACGAGGTCAGGAGATTGAGACCATCCTGGCTAACACGATGAAACCCAGTCTCTACGAAAAATGCAGAAAATGAGCTGGGCGTGGTGGCGGGCGCCTGTAGTCCCAGCTACTCCAGAGGCTGAGGCAGAAGAATGGCGTGAACCCAGGGGGCGGAGCTTGCAGTGAGCCGAGACAGCGCCACTGCACTTCAGCCTGGACGACAGAGACTCCGCATGAAAAAAAAAAAAAAGGCTTCATGCAAATTTAAAATGGTGCATGCATTTTGAAATAACTTTATTATATTTCATGTCATATCATTATTTTCCCCATTGATTGCTCAGAGCTTGCTATAGTCTAAAAAACCAAAGGAAATTAACAATAAGAGAGCTATGCCAATTATAAAATAAATAAATCGAAATTATTTTAATTGTATTAAATTATTAACATAAAGACACAAGTATGAGACTTTTCGGTCTTGTAATTGTGGAATGATGATCAATATTTTTCAGTATGACATTAATGTTTGGAATGTCTGGTAGCAGAAATCATAAATAAAAGTATTCAATTCTATTGTTACTTTCGTGTCCTGGTTTTTAACTCATTTAATTTAGACATCTTTGCATTTTCTTTGAACTGTGTGGAAGTTTCCTTTTGCATATTGATGATTAGTATGAGCCCTCTATAAATATTAAAACATTAATCTATTTAAAAAACAACACACTGTTCTCACATCTCCTCAGATATATTCTGAAATAGCTGATCTGATGGTTGAAAACATCAATGATTCTCATAGATACATTCTGTTTTTCCTATGAATTAAATCACAGTTTACTCATCTCTAAATGCCAGCATTTTTTATATTTGATGGTGGTGGTGGTGTGTAGAAGAACACTGGTCCTGGTGCACATGGAAATGGTTAGGTCTATTAGTAAGCTGCTCTAATTTTAAAAAATAAGTAGAGTAAATCAATAATTTAAGTTATGAAGAGTTTAGATTTCTGCTTCTCATCAGCAAATAACTAGGAAGTAGGGCTGTGGCCGCATCAGTACTATACTTTCACTTTAAGTCTCTAGTGGCTGAAAATTATCATCTGATGAATACCTACTAGTGGTTTTTAAAGCTCCATATTGCTCTTTAAGCCTGTCTCGAGACAAAGTATGTGTAGATATTAGAACCTGATTGTAAGCAATTCAACAATTTAACTATCTCAGTCAGTTTTGTAGGATCTTCTTCTGATGTAAAATTGTTGAGCCATCAGAAAGGTCTTACTTTGTCAACACATTTCAGCTAATTAAATGTTTGTGTGCCCAGCAGACATATTAAACACTGTGTGGGTCAGTTGTTTTCTGTTTTACTTTCATAACTTTTGTCAAAGCTCATTCTCAAATCTGCCTTGCAGCAGTTTTCTAACATACACAGAGGACTGCAGGCTATTCAGAAGTGTTAGAAAATGGGGTGTTCGGATTATATGAGGAGTCTATCCAAATGAAATTAACACAACTATCAATTTACAAGTAATACAAAAACATTGAACACAGTTTTCTTTTTTAAGTCAATGTTGCAGTTTTAGAATTTTTACCAAAATTATACAAATTTTAGAACTCAAATTATTAATTTTAATAATCAAACAAATACGATTTGGTATGAGCAAATAATAATCTTTCTCTCCCTTCTTTTGTCACCTTTGCCTTCCCCAGAGAAACCGTTTTTGCTCCTTTTAAATCTCTCTCTCTCTCTGAATGTGTGTGCATGGTATTTATCTTATGTTTCTAAATAACATATTGTTGCCTTTTGATTTTTTTAATTTTAAGCATTATCTACTGACTCCCTGCTATGGAGAGCAAGGTTTTAGCTCTGTCTTCTCTAGTTCCCCACCACCCCCTCTCCCACACACTCAGTATTAGAGTCTGATTGTAAGCAATTCAACAATTTAGCCCTCTCAGTCAGTGTTCTGTAGGATCTTCTTCTGATGTAAAATTGTTGAGCTATCAGGAAGGTCTCACTTTGTCAACACTCACACTCTCCTCCTTTCCCACTTTCTTATTCACTTTCCTTTCTTATTCAACTCAATATTATAATTTTGGCTGGAATAGTTTTCAGCATTTACCTTATTAAGACTGGGGGATTTTTTCCAGAGTCAAGAATTCCAACGCTACTCTGATCCTTGTTTCTTTGTATATGAACTCTTTTTTTTTAAACAAACAAACAAACAAACAAAAAACTCTAGAAGCTTTTGCCGTTGGTGTTTAGACATTTTCTGATGAAGTTCTGTGATATGACTATATTTTATAATTTTTGCTGGCACTCGGTGGGGAAATTTTTCGTTTTTTTCTTCCTGGGAAATTTTTCTCTGTGTTCTCTGTTCTTTTCCTTCAGTTATTTGGAGATTGGATCATCTGGATTGATCCTTTTATTTTCTAATCTTTTTCTTCTATTTCCCATTTATTTCTTTTCCTTCCATTTCTGGCAGATGTACTCAGTGTTAGCTATTAAGTTTTGCATATCTGTTATGGTATTTTTCCATTTCCAAGAGCTCTCCTGTTTCTCTAAAAATGCTTTATAAATAATACCCTATTTTTGTTTCATGGCTGTAGTACATTCTTTTGTCTCTCTGAGGATATTGATGATAGTTTTTTGTTTTGTTTTGTTTTTGAGTTCACGCTGATCTATAGTCCACTTTTCCTCCACATTTCTTTTTCTATTTGATTATTGTGATCTCAATTTATTATGTTAGATAATTTCCTCAGATGTCTGGTACCACTCAGTTGTCTCATATTCAAAGTGGGGAAATAAAACTTACTGGAAGCTGTGAGACCTGGAAGGGAATTATTATCTGTGAGCTTTGCTGTAGGGTAATCTGGCAGGGCTGGTTGATTGGAAAGACTCTGATATCTCTATCTTTGGGCTTTACCTTACGTCAGTTAGATTCTGCAGAGAATGATCCTCTAGTCACCTGTGTGGAGTTGAAGGATGGCTGCTATCATTCTGGGATTAGTTTTCCATTCTTAAATTCTTCAGAGATTCTGAGATGTAAATGGGACTGGTTTTTAGCTTTGCCTGGTTCCCATTTAGAGTTCAGTTATATATCGTTCTTCCACCTGCTTTCCAACTTCCAGACCTTATTGCTCCCATCTTTTCTACTGTACTCCTCATTACTGTGAGATAATGACCCTCAAAAGTATACTTACGATAGTTTTGGTGGGACTTCTGGAGGGAGAAAAAGTAAATGGGTGTATGCGATTTGATGTTTTCATCCTGGATCTTAATCTTTCTGAAATATTAGTAGTTATTTGGAGACTGAAAGGGGAAATCCTGTGATATCCCATATGCAGGCTATGTCCACGCTTCCTGGGAAAGATTCTCCTAAATTCATCCAGTCAGAGAGGTATTTGTCAAAATTAAAATATATTGAAACATATTCAAACAGCAAAAGTAGCCTTGTGATGGTAATGGTTGAAATTGGATAATGTCCACTTGTGAGTTCATCATACATACCCTCTATCACTGTATGTATTTGAAATTTCCCATAACACAAATTTTTCTAAAAGAGCTATTCTATAGTCCTCATAAAGGTGTTTTTTTTAAATCCAAGACTCAAGTTGTTTTTACTTAAAAACTTACATAGCATTCTGTCACATATGTTGCATATTCAAAATAATTTTAATTATATGTCTCTAGAAAAGTTACGGACTTCTGTCAAAACACTGCAAGTATTTTACATCAAGAAACAAATTAACTTCCTAATAATCTAGAGTCCTGCTATTATTGGCTTACTTAGCCACTAAATTGATCACCAGTCCACTTTTAAAATTCTTTTCTTCCTCTTCTGCTTGTAACTCTACCTTAAGGTGGTCTTCTAATCATAGCCCAGTGTACCTTTCCCTGTATGTCAGCTGACAAATGAAAAGGATTTTATTGTACCTTAATAAAATAAATTCAAAGTCACTAAATATGTTTGTCCATGACAATTTGTCTAAGAAAAGTATATCTCCACAAGAAATAAAAATTATTTAATCTTATGTAAAATATGAATTTTTGAAATATGAAATATGCATGTGCGTGGTTTTTTTTTTTTTTGAGACAGAATCTTGCTCTTGCTGCCTAGGCTGGAGTGCAATGGCGCAATCTCGGCTCACTGCAACCTCCGCCTCCCGGGTTCAAGCGATTCTCCTGCCTCAGCCTCCTGAGTAGCTGGGATTACAGGCATGTGCCACCACACCCGGCTAATTTTGTATTTTTATTAGAGACAGGGTTTCCCCATGTTTGTCAGGGTGGTCTCGAACTCCCGACCTCAAGTGATCTGCCCGCTTCGGCCTCCCAAAGTGCTGGGATTACAGGCATAAGCCACCTAGCCCGGCTGAAATGTGTTTTTAAATGCAGTAGTGCCTTAGAGTAGTGCAAAAATTTAGTTAAAATATTCTGTAACAATACTTCCAAAGACAACTCTTTAGACAATAATGCACCTGACCAAATGTATAAAATTAAGTCATGGAGATGAGGAAATTTTGGTTATTTATAGCATTTACTTAAGAACTCATATTAGAAGCAATCAGTAATTTTAAGAGAAATGTCAAATCTTTGAAAATGCTCTTACTAATCACATGAAGTCAACATTTCTTTTTTATCTTTCCTTTTTTTTTTTTTTTTGAGACAGAGTCTCGCTCCGTTGCCCAGGCTGGAGTGCAGTGGCGCAATCTTGGCTCACTGCAAGCTCACACCATTCTCCTGCCTCAGCCTCTGGAGTAGCTGGGACTACAGGCGCCCGCCACCACGCCTGGCTAATTTTTTTGTATTTTTAGTAGAGACGGGGTTTCACCATGTTAGCCAGGATGGTCTCGATCTCCTGACCTCGTGATCCGTCTGCCTCGGCCTCCCAAAGTGCTGGGATTACAGGCGTGAGCCACTGCGCCTGGCCTATTTATTTATTTATTTTTGAGACGGAGTGTAGATCTTGTTGCCCAGGCTGGAGGGCAAGGGTAGGATTTTGGCTCACTGCAACCTCTGCCTCCGGGGTTCAAGCAATTCTCCTGCCTCAGCCTCCCGAGTAGCTGGGATTACAGGCAGGCGCCACCACACCAGGCTAATTTTGTATTTTTAGTAGAGACGGGGTTTCTCCATGTTGGTCAGTCTGGTTTCCAACTCCCAACATCAGGTCATCCACCGCCTT
This sequence comes from Homo sapiens, assembly GCF_000001405.40. NCBI lineage: Eukaryota > Metazoa > Chordata > Mammalia > Primates > Hominidae > Homo > Homo sapiens. The sequence continues at coordinate 107,012,766 of NC_000001.11, read as the reverse complement.
GGCCTCCCAAAGCGCTGGGATTACAGGCTTGAGCCACTGCGACCTGCCAACAGTTCTTAATAAACATTCAGTTCCCACTGGCTGCACTCAGACCTTTATATTACCATCTATTGTTTTGTCTCTTGAATTCATTTTGATTTAACTGATCAAAACCCAAGTTACCTATAAAATGACATTTCTTCAATATGAGAAGTCTGAGAATATTGATGTTTCTATTTGAGAAAAAAATGTTTTCCTGAATGAAAGAATGGGGGCCTGTTTGGTATATGGGAAATCAAAGGATCCTAAGATTGGAAAAAACTTTTGGAAATCATCTTCTTGAATGGTTCTCAGCCAGGACTGTTTATAGCCCCTAAAAAGGAGTGTTTGGAAATGTATTTGGGAATTTTCATTATTATATGACTGAATGGGAGGGGTCTTACTGGTATTTAGTAGGGGGGGCAGGGATGATAAATAGCCTACAATGTTTAGGATGGTTTGAGATAATCAGGAATCGTCTTTCCCAACTCCTGATCAGTTCAGTCAGCATCTGATTCATGAATCCTTTAGACATTGTGGTTTTATTGTAAGAATGATGAGTAGCAAATTCACTTTTAGGATTACAACAATGCAATTCTGCGAAGTTGAGCAGCAGTTGTAACAGTGAAAAACAGCACAAATTCGTTGGAATTGGAAGGTCACAGAATAGAATCTGCCATCTTTCTACTTGACAATGAAAGTTTCCAGCGTGATCTGAACCACACTTGTCTAGGTCTAAATGTAAATTTATTCAAATATGTTAATATAATATTTTTTTTCCCAAATGAAATTTCCTTCTCTCTTGATTAAAAAAAAAAAAAAGCAAAAATACCTACCTTTTGTAAATAATCCAGAATATAGGAAAGAACAAAGAAGGAACAACAATCACTCTCAGTTTCATTATCCTGAAAAAGCATTATTAATGTTCAGGACAGAGTTTCTAAACAGTAGTATTATTGAAGCTTTAGATAGGATAATCCTTTGGTGGGGAGTCCCCCTGCTCTGCCCTTACAGGATGCTTATCAGCATTTCTGGCCACTACTCACTAGATGCCAGTACCATCCATACAGTTTTGACAATGAAAAATTTCTCTAGAGATTGCCAAATATTCCATGAGGGGCGAAATCACCCCTGGTTGAGAGCTACTGGTTTTGATGTATATGTGTGTAAGTGTGTGTGTTCAATCAGGTTATCATCTTGGATGGCATCAAAAATTCCAGTGCTTACCTAAACTAGCTACATGCCATAATGTATTTTGAAACATTTTTTATAGTTGTGACAATGGGAGTCTTGAGGCCCAGTGAATTACATGGGTTCTTCTACATAAGTAGCAGGAGGGACTTAGTCTGATTTATTCTTTATCAATTTACTCATCTTTTAGATGTGGACCAAAACCTCCAAGGATAATGATCTGCATAGGTAAATCACCTGGCCTAACCTGCTTGGAGAATGTCCTAGCCCCATATTTTAGTCATTCGTTACCACAGTTTTTCTTTTTCTCTCTCTGTATTCCCTTAATTCTGAGCTGGCATTTATTTGCATTTCAGGCTAGATATTATTTATTGGTGGTTCTGTGTAGTGTTTGCATGGTGTGAAGACATTTTTAATATAGCCACATGCATTTTCTCCTGTACTGTATAGGCAAATTTGAAATCATTTCTGCTTAAACTGGTCACTAGGCTAGCTGATGAGAATTCATTTCCTGAAAGAACAGGATAACTATTTTCTACTTTTTCCTAGTGAGTGAGATTGTGAATACTGTTTTGTGATTTATTAAAACATGAAAAATATATGTTGGCAAGTAATAACATGTAGTAGATTTACACCGGTACTTTCCAATGGATTCATCAGAGCTTTCTCTTTTTAACTTTCCTGCACACATGGAACTAGATTCACATGACAAATTCTTTAGATAAATTAAAAGAGCCCCTCCATACCTGACTGAGTCCCACATTTCATTTCCCTTTTCTATGACCAAAAGAGGCAGCTAGGCTTCTATTGACAAGCTCTTCACCTCCTGCCTCCAGCCTAACTCAAAGACCCTGACAGAGTAAATAAATGTTTACGAAAAACTGTGTTACCAAGTTGCTGGAAATTTAATGTACTCCCAAAAAAAGAGTTGCTAAGCTTGGAATAAAACCACAAAACGTTCTTTCATGATGAGCAAAATTGTAACATTAGAAACTCAGGGAAAAAGAGAAAGCATGAGCCTGGTTTTAAAAGTTCACTCTTGAGGCAGAAGTGATTAGTGCTCACCAACTACCTATGTGTTCTTCTACATTTCCTAGCCTCCCTTATATATGATGGCTCCAGACAGTACAATGTAAGTGTACCCATTGCAGGGAAGAAGAGCCAGTAAGCTACGTCACTCACACCTTTTCCTGGTATTTTGACTTTAGCACCTACATGTTCCCACTGACATGGATACACAATGGAAGAAGCCTAGATCTCTAAGTTTCCACATAGAGGATAATTGTGAAAGTCCTGACCTGTGAACCAAAAAATAAATTATTTGTTACTGCAGTGTGGCTTTGCCTTACCTAAGAAATCAGCCAGCCTTAAATGGCTGGGAAATGAAAAGGAGTGTGAATCAGACACAGACAAGCAAATGAAGTGGAGCAGAGATGCAATTAGCTCAATTTGAGAACTGCTGATACGTTTTAATAATTATTTTCTTTGGAAGCAGAAAGAGAAATTTTATCTGAACCATTGGTTTGTCTATGGTGATTAAATATGTCAGCAAATATTTTTGGAGGAAAATCTCATTGCACTGATTTTCTACTCTGCCATTTAAAGTTTAAAAAAAAATTTAGAAAGACCCAGTTGTGGCGACTCTTTTTAAACTTTGTGGTTATATTCTAAATGTGAGACCCAAACAATCAGCTAAATTGATAGGTTTTTCTTTTTTTACAGTGTATTAGCAGAAAATTCACTGTTATTGTAACACTTGGATCCCAAATAATTGCAGAAACAGTCAGAAGATTGGCAGAAATTTAGAGATCTCAAATCTTCATTTCAATCCTAAAAAACACCTCCTAAAAATCAGAAAACAAAGCCCAGTATCTTACAACATTTCTAAAGTTACAAGAAGATAGGATTCCCCTATTTTGTCCTCTTCAAAAAATGACAGAGAGAATTGGCAAATAAATTAAGTCTGGGAAGAAGGCCACCTGGCTTTTACACATCAGACAAGAAGGAATGTCAAGCCGAAGGGTTTTCCCCGTAAGGAGACAGTGGTAGTGAGGCGGACTCTTGAGGGATGGAAAGGGATAGGGAGTATCAGAACCTGGAATTCAGCCTAGTTCCACACATGATTTGGAAAGCTTGATTTCACACCAAAATTGAGCCAAGGCTTAGTGGAAGCTTTACACTCTAGCAAATGTCAATTGAGTTTCTGATTTCAAAAAAGAGCCTAAAAGAAGAAGAAACAGAGCTTTGGCAGTGATGGTAGATGACTGGCAATTGCTGCTGGTAGTGTTGGCTACACAAATTGCACGATCCTACCCCTCTCACTGACTCAGTCCAACAATGTGGGGGTACATTTTTAATTTGTGAAAGTTTGTAGTAGTAGAGAGAATCATGAGTTCTTAGCTAGTTGGATATTGCTCATGTTGAAAATAGCAAATAATATATCAGTAACTTGAAGAATATAGAGGAAAATACATTTTAAAAAATATCATAATGGGTAATTTTATGTGTCAACTTGACTGGGATAGGGGATGCCCAGATAACTGGTAAAACTTTGTTTCTGGGTGACTGTGAGGGTGTTTCCAGAAGAGGTTAATATCTGAATCAGATTGTGTAAAGATCAGCTCCCATCAGTGTGGGTGGGCATCATCCAATTCATTGAGGACTCAAATAGGACAAAAAGGGAGAGAAATGGTGACTTCTCTCTCTCTCTCTTCTCAAGTTGGGATATCCTTCTTCTCTTGTCCCTGGACGTTGAAACTCTTGATTCTCAGACATTTGGGCTTCAGAACTTCCGACAGCAGATCCCTGGTTCTTAGGCCTTTGAACTTGGATTGAATTACATCACTGGCTTTCCTGGCTCTCCAGCTTGCAGACTTCTCAGCCTCCATAATTATATGATAAGCCAATTCTTATAGTAAATCTCCTTCTCATGTATCTATAGATATCCTATAGGTTCTGTTTCTCTGGAGAACCCTAAGTACAGTAGGCTTCCCTAATCCATGGGGAATTCATTCCACCATCCCCAGGGGATACCTGAAACCATGAATAGAAACAAACTTTATATATACATATGGTATATCAACATGCACATGTACCATATATATGTACATGTACATATTCCATAAGTATATATAATGATAATTCAACTTACCTTTTTTTTTGACTTTCTGGTGATGAGAGTCAAAAAGTAAAAAAAAATCATCTATCGATGATACACATTCAATAGAAACTGTACTTTGAGTAGCCGTACAACTGTTCTGTTTTTCATTTCCAGTGCAATATTTTAAAAATTACATGATATATTCAACAACATTATAAAATAGGGTTTGTGATAGATGTTCTGCCCAATTGTAGGCAAATGGACGTGTTCTGAGCACATTTAAATTAGGCTAGGCTAAGCTATAGTGTTTGGTAGATTAGTTATACTAAATGGATTTCGATTTATAACATTTTCAAGTAGTGGTGGACTTATAGGGACAAAACCTCATCATATGTCAAGGAGCACCGTACTGTTTTTTCCAATAGATACACACCTATGATAGAGTTTTCTTATACATACATACTTATGATAGAGTTTAATTTATACATTAGGCACAGTAAGAGATTAATGGCAATAATTAATAATAAAATAGAGCAATTATAACGATATGTCAACATCACTACTTTGGTATAATGACTTTGGGGCCATGATTAAATAAAATAAGGATCACTTGAACATGGTCACTGTGATACCATGATGGTTGATCTGATAACTGAGCCAGCCACTAAGTGACTAGTGCTGGGTAGCACACATGGATACATTGGACAAAGGGATGATTCAAGTCCCCAGCAAGATGGAGTGGGATGGAATGAGATTTCATCACACTACTCAGAATGGCATGTCATTTAAAACGTATAAATTGTTTATTTCTGGAATTTTCCATTTTATATTTTTTGACCACAGTTGACCATAAGTAACTGAAACTGGGAGAAAGCAAAATCAAGGATTGAATAACAGGGGGGAATACTGTAATACAACCACCTATTTAGTTGCCCATTTATTTTGTTCAATATCTTGCAGTCTGAAATCATATGAGTAATTAACATAAAGATAAAATCAAGGCTGTGCGTGGTGGCTCACGCCTGTAATCCTAGCACTCTGGGAGGCTGAGGCAGGAGGTTCACCTAAGTTCAGGAGTTCGAGACCAGCCTGGCCAGCAAAGTGAAACCACGTCTATACTAAAAAATACAAAAATTAGCCGGATGTGGTGGCACATGTCTGTAGTCCCAGCTACTCAGGAGGCTGAGGCAGGAGAATCACTTGAACTCTGGAGGCAGAGGTTGCAGTGAGCTGAGATCACACCACTGCACCCCAGCCTGGGCGACAGAGTCAGACTCCGTCAAAAAAAGTAAAAAAAAGATAAAGTCAGCTCTTGGTTATTGGGTATAATGTCTTCCCTGACAACAGCCTTCTTATAATAGGTAAATTAACCAATTAAGGACTTGTTTCTGGGTCATGTGCTGCAGTGGGAGATCCAGGAGCTGGGGAGTCAAAGATTAGAGGAGGGCAGGGAAAAGTCCAATTGCAGGGTGGCAAGCAGATCATCAGCTGAGAGAGGGACCCACTCTGGTAAGAGATAGGGAGTGCTTTCAGGCTCATCTCCTGTGTCTTGGCAGAACCTTGAAAAATACACTGGCAAAAAAACAACTTTCTCCTTATTGTCTGTATAGTATTTGATATTTAGAGCTTATGAGGTACACCCTTCAGCAGCTAACTAGGACAAACAGAAAGAAGAAATAGTAAGAATATTAGATTCTGATGAACTATGCCACATTTTTCATGTTGGCTAGAGTAAGTTGCTGTTCTTCAGTGTATTAAAACATTTGTCATCACATTTTAGGTTTTAGTTCCAGCGTTTTTTAGGTTCCACTCTTTAATTAAATGTTGGGCCTTCCGTGTTGCAGACACATAAATGTTGGCACTTTCTCTAAAGTGGCAATTTTGTTAGTTTCTCAGGGACTTTTCTTCATGGCCACCTCCTTCTCTTCAGGCTTTAACATGGGAAATGCTCTCTTGAGGCATCATGTCTCTGTCTCAAGCCCTGATTTCTGACAGTTCATCCTACACAGAATTTTCTCTATTAGGTTACTTTGCTCCTTCTGGGTTTCTTAGGTGAGACGGGTTTGTTTAGAAACAATATGTCTGTCTTTACATGTATTCTGAGACCCAGTGTCAACTTGCTGCACTGCAGCCCTCTCTACTTGCCCTGTTGTCAGGGTGGACCCACGTAGCACCCATCTTTCTAGACTGCTCCAGGAGAGAGTCAGGTTCCAGTTACTTTGTGATCTCCAAACTCCAGGTAGTACAAGTCAGTTTCCAAACGTTTCTCGGAATCCCCCAGTCCCACCTCACTTGCTTGGTGGAGACAGACAAAGAGAAAGTGCACTGCTGAGACAATACCTTCCAGTGAAGTTTCTAACCTACCTCTGATGAATCCTTAGCCTTTTCTTATATGGCCTGGTGGTGGCCTGTGCTGTAGCAGAACTAGTTTGGGTCTCTAACTTTTCTGACTGTTCTTAAATGATCTAACACACTTATTTTTGAATATGGAAGGTACTTTTATCTATTTGTTGTGGTCTTGGGGTTTTAGCTGAAACTCCAGAATAGAAAGCGTCCCATTTTAACAATCTATTACACACATCAAATAATTAAAAGGGGATTATGAATGCTAAAATAATAAAATGGAGGAAATAACTCCCAAAGAAATAGGGTAGGGGGAATGGAATAATAACAGGTATAATAAAATTTAAAGCTGATGAATCCAAAAGAAGGCAAGAAATAACAAAATACCAAAGTACAGAAAAATCAGGGCAAATAGAAAGAACAAAATAAGGCACATATCTAAAGATATCTACAATCACAATAAATGTGAATGGATTATTATGTTAGTTGAAAGAGAAATTATCAGACTTGAATTAAAAAAAATCTCGTTACTGTTATTTGAAGGAAAAACCTCACATGTTTAAACAGAAATAGAAAAATTGGAAGTAAAATAATTAAATGTGGAACAGATAATTTTAAAAAAAAAATGAAGCTAGTATGTTAAAATCTGATAAAACAGACTTTGAGACAAAAAAATTATAAAGTAATTAAGGCATTTTTGTGTATAGGTAGAAAAGCTATAATAGGGACTTCAGAATCATATTCAGAAATTTTATGTATCACAGAGGGTTACATTACCTATTAGGAGAGAAAGGTGGATCTGGTTATAAAAACTGTTGCTCAGACAACTCTTGAATAAAATATATACTTGACTCCTACCTCTTGCCGTATCCAAAAGTTACTATTAGACATATTAATAAAACCTACCGTGCAAATTAAGTCTTTAGATCTTTTAGAAGTTGTAAAGAATTTCTGTTAGAAAATATCTTTTAATACATCTAGAGGGGGAATATGACTAATAGGATCCAGAGAGCATATAAAGAAAAATTTAATTTTGATTATACAAAAAATTAAAATGTAAAAAAGTGTAGGAAAAAGAGATGCTATAAACAACAACAGAAAAGTTAAATGAAATATAAGTCATAGACTAGAAGATAATTTCAATGCATAAAAGCAGGAGATGATTAGAATGTGGAATTTATAAACAGTTCCTATAACTAATATAGAACAAATTAAAAGCCCAATAGGAAACAATGGACAATACATTTAAACGTAAGAGAAAGTTTACATTGCCAAGAAACAATTAAAAATATGTTCATACTAAATGGTAATCAAAAATATATGTTGAAACCAGAATAAGATAATTTTGCACCTATCAGATTGGGAAGAGTGCAAAAAAAAAAAAAAAAAAAAAAGAGAGAGAGAGAGAGAGAGAAAGAATACCAAGCATTGGCAAGAATGTTGAGTAATGGGAATTCTCTTACATGGTGGTGAGAGTATACTGGTGAAACCAGATAGCAGATCTATTTCACAATGTGTGGTCAAGTTTAAGATGCATGGATGCTATGTAGTGGATACAAAAAAGGAGCCTCAGCATCTATTTCCATATCTGTGGAAACTATGCCATTCTGTCTTGTGAAAGACTGAAGGCCAAAAATAAACATTTCTCTAACTTTTATGAAGTTAGATCTCTGGAAGCAAATGATGTTCTGTTAGTTAGAAGCATTTTGGCAATATTTTGAAGGCAGAAGTGATTTGGGGCGATTCCTATACCTTTGTTATGGCTGGCAGGCAAAGTTATGGCAAAAGACATTGTTTTTGTTTTTGTCCTAGCAGCAGTGACTGTAAAGTCACTCATCAGAGTTGAGAGGTAGTCATAGTTCAGAGGCTGTGATTTCCTGATCCTGGGATCACAGTGACAGTAGTTTATTCTTTAACTTAAATAGCTACAGTATTGGCCTCCTGACTTCTTACCTTCCTGCTTGTGGCAAAGGTGGAATTCTCCTGTTGAGTTCATTTAGTGGCATTATTCTGAGTCATTCCTTGGTGTGTGGAACTGACTCTGCCAGCCTCTTTAATGATTTTACAAGCACCTAATACTCTATATCAGATCCCCTTCTGCTTAAAATGGTTGAGGTGGTTTCTGCTTTCTACAACTGAACTCTGATACACCTGTCACCTAGGAATTCTACTTTTGCATATATACCCTAAGAAAACTCTTGTGCCTAAGCAGACATGTGTGAGAATGTTCCTTGTGGCATGATTAGTAACAGCAAATGTGTGACTTGATAGGAGAAGGGGTTTGAAAAGAGAATAATTATGAATCTCTGAAATAGTCCATAACAAATTGAAAATAATAATCAAACACATAAATACAAAACATAGTATCTGCCCTTGGTTATTTTGACAGAATAGTTATAGTTTTTAAGTGCAAGACTTTTGGAACTAGATGATTTTTTTAAGATTCCTTTATCAGCTTTTCTTCTTTTCCTTATACACTCTTTCAAGGCTTTCTCACACTTTTCTATAATTTTAAGTAAGATGTATATGTTGTATATGTTGATGATAGTCAAAGTTATAGCCCTGAGATTCTGACTCATGTCCAAAGGACTCCTGGGTATCTCTTCAGTTAGGTGTGTTGAAGACATTTCAAATTCAGTGAGGCTGCAAATAAACTAATCTGTGCTCCCAAACCAGCTCTTCACTCTATGTTCCTTCTCTCAGCTTATAGACAATTCCTCCCTATTTCCCCAGGTTAGAAACCTGGATATCAACTTTAACTACTTTCTCCCTTTCACACTCTGCCCCAACATACAATCACCATGTCCCATCAGTTCTTTTCCACTTATATTATTAACAATTTTCTCATCAATTATACTTCCTCTTTCCTCATATATCTGCTATTGGAAAGCGTTTTACTTATTGTCACCTTGTCTCCAATCTTACTCTACCTTTCTATTCCACATACTATAGTCAAAGTGACTTTTCTAAAGCAAAAACATCATGGTGTCTTTCTGTTGCTTGAACTTCTTCAATGGTCTCTGTTTCTCCTAAACATAATGTTCAAAGCTCTTCATGATGAGGCTTCCGGTGACCTCTTAGTTCTCCAATTTACCACGTTCCCTTTCAGGCTCTGCAATACCGTTATACTGTGTCTTTCAGTTTCTTGGATACACTATGGTCTTTCCGATCTTCAGTATGTTCCATGTGCTATTTGTTTTGCATGGAATGCTCTTTTCCTCTCCTTCCTATCCATTTCCATTAGGTCTCAGCCAAGGAATTAATATCTGCCAGTGGCACGTGTTCTCTAACATCTGCCTCCTTCCTTGCCTTACATCCCCTCATCTACAAGTCTGCATGATGTCTAACACATAAGTCTTTTAAAACATACATAATTACCATATCATTATGACATCTACTATATTTAACAATTATTTCTTAATATCATTTAACACCAAGTCTGTGTACAAATTTTCTTGATTGCCAGAAAACAATCTTTATAAGTTATTTGCTTAGATCAGGATCAAACAAGGTCCACACATTGCAATAGGCTAAAATGTCTTAATCTGTAATACTTCCTTTTCTTATTTTAAATGCCATTTGTATTTGAAAGAAACCTGTTGATTTGTCCAGAGAATTTTCATATATCAGATTTCAGAATTTCAGTTTTATGGTGATATTTAACACATTCCTCTATCCACCACATTTTCTATTAGCTAATAGTTTAATCGAAAGTCTTGATTAGATGCATATTTCAATTTTACTAAGAAAATTTAGCAGATGGTGCTGTGTACTTTTTCTTGCATCTGTCAGGAGACATATAGAGCTGGTTGTTTCTCTTCTGGGGCTATTCAAGTTATCAGTCAGTTCAGACAGTTCCAGCTTAATCCATCATAAAGCAGCCCATTAATCTTTTACTTAATGGTTTTAGCAGTCATTGGATGATTGTTACCTAAACTCAGTATTCCAATAGGTTGCAATATGATGATTTTTCTCATTCTTTCATTTTGTCTGCAATTTGTTACCTGAGAATATAATTGATACAGAAAGGCAGCATGAATGTTTGATTCTTTCTTTCTGTTTACTAATTTTAGGAATAATGGCTCAGTGCCCATTATGATCATCCCACAGGAGATAGTCTCAACTCCACACCCACAATTTGGTTTGGATTTTGAGACTGATGATGCCACAAGTGCAGCAAGAGGATATGAAGATATTTGTTATTCATATAATGAGCCTTTGTGAGGAGCACAGGGCAGGCTCTTAAGCAGGTCTGAAAATGTCTTTAGAGAGCAAAGAAGGGATAACTGGCTTTGAGTTTTACTGTGGTTAGAAAGTGGGGTTGGAATGAGGGCTCCTGCACTCAGGCTGGGGCTTGCCTGCTTTAAGCAGCATGGTGGTGGCGGTTGGGGGAACACATGGGCTTGCTCACAGTGGGGTAATAGGGGATGAAGGAGGAATGGGATTTAAAAGAAAGTTGTAAATAGTCAGACATAAATAAAAATGGAATTGGACCATTTACCGTAATTCACTCTTGATGTTTCTCTGATGATTGAAATGTATCATGTTCACTTAAGTAAGTCATTACGGCACTTATGAGACCTGCAACCTGTATCTGCTAAGGGTGGTGAAAGTTATATTAAATGCTTTATTCAAGAGCCCAATATTGTATACTCTGAATGGTGAAATCAGTGTCTTTCATTCTGTTCTCTAAATAGGTCTAGTTTAATGGATTTTTAACCCTTAAAAACTCTGTTTTATTTATATTGGACCATATTAACTTTTAACTGGGGAAGTGGAGGTACATGGAGCCCTTGCTCATCAAGCTGATTGTAAGGGCCAAAGATTTAACTTGAAGATAGTGCAATATCAGGAGACTAGATAGCACTTGTTTTTTTTAAAGCTTCACTTTTTCTTTCAGAATATCACAAGACTGGAATCAAGGTTTTGGCTTGGGCTGTGGTATGACATGAGGCTCAAATCAGGAAGTATCTGCTTTCAAATTCAGATCCAAACTCACATGGTTTGTAAAAGTATTTAGTTTTTTTCACGGTTGCAGGGCAAGTGGCTCAATTTCTTGTCGGCTGTTGGCTGGAAGCCCTTTTCTGTGTGGCCTACTCCATATGGTAGCTCACAAATTTGGCAGTTTGATTATTCCAAGCCAGCAAGGAAGAATGTCTTTTAGTAACAATGATGCTACAATCTTATGTAATATATGTAATCACATACATCCTTTTACCTTTGCTGTGTTCTATTGATCAGAAGTGAGTCACAGGTCCTTCTCACACTCAGAGAGAGAGGATTAAACAAAGTTGTGAATATCTAGAGGTGAGGATCATGGTTTTCATCCTAGAGTCTGCGCAATACTGCAGGGTGGTTCTGTCTTAGGTCTCAGGTAGCTTCCTCACACATTGTTGATCTCGAGTTCCCTCTCTGCAGATTTCTTTTTCAGTGACTTTTCCTGTGAACTTTAGCTTTTTTGATATCCCTGGACTCCCAAATCTGTACTTTCACCTCAGAGAATCATTATTCTCTGACTGGGCTTTTCCCCATTCACCCGGTGCCAGGCTTTGGAAACTTCTCAAGGCAGTAAGCTGGGACAATTGTAAGAATTATATCTTTTGAATTGTCCCTCGGAGATTATTGTCCCTCATTGTCTGATGCCTCCAGTGTCTTGAAAACCATTGTTTCATGTATTTTACCCAGTTTTTCATTGCTTCAGGCAAAGGGGCAAATCCAGTCTACGTTACTGGATCTTGCCTGAAAGTGGAAGCCTGATAGATTTCTTTTAGTAATTAAACAGTATGTTAAAATACATTTTAGTATAATGCTCCATACATGTACTCATCATTTCCAGAACAATGTGTAAAAATTCTCTTATTTTTTTCAAAAAGCAACCACAAAACTTTTATAAAAATTTTTTATTATAAAATCATATTATGCTTATACATTTTTTGGAAAACAGAAGCACCAAGAAGAATATTAAAATCACCTCTAATCAAATCATACTGCCAAGATAAAATTACTGATAATATTTTGGAAGGTATGCTTCTAATTCATTTTTTAAAAAATTGGGGTCCTTTCCCCCAGTATTATATAATGAGCATATTCTGGTGACATTAACTATTTTTCAAAATACAATTTTCAGTGGTTGGATGAAAATCTATTTGTAGGTTCATTACTCTTAATTTGATCATTACTCTTTCCTGGGAGCATTTAGATAATTTTCAATTTTCATTATTGTAAATAATATCTTTTAAATAAATCTTTGTCCATATTTCTGATTATTTCTTTAAAATAGATTCCTAAATATATAATCACAAGTTCAGCCTTCTTTGTTAAAAACAAAGGAAGCTGTTAACTTTTGTTTATGAAAGATATTTCTCTCTTTTCTAGTAGATAGAATACTTTATCTTGTAGGGTTAGAGTTGATGGATGCTAAAGATCATTTTGCCATATTGCATTGTAACCCTACAAGTATAAATAAACTTCATTTAGTGAAGACACCTCTCTATATTCATGCTAGTTAATTGAAAAATTCTATAATCAGGAGGAATATTCTGAAAGATTAATGAAGGTTGTCAAAAGAGCAAGCAGACAGGGATTCAGATGCTGAGATAGTTTCTTATTTTCCCTTTTAAACTTGCATTATATTATAATAGATACATATCAGTGAAACAAGAAATTCATTACAAAAATGCATGAAAAGCTATAATGCATGAAGTTATAATCCGTGATTAGACCATTGGTGTTCAAATTTTGGCTTTTCCATTTATTAGTTTTGTGGGTTAAAAAAAAACATTTTTTGGTTCCAGTTTTTGCATCTGTAAAATGGGGATAGTGTCATACCTTAAATGATTGTTATGATGATTTAATCAGATATTAAATGTATAGCATTTAGAATCATGCTTGGCATACAGTAAACAAAAATGTAGTAGACACCATTAGTGTAAATCCTCTATAATACCTTTATAAGGAATTTCCTTTTCCTTAGTAAATAATCATTAAGTTCTTTTTTTGGATAAAGCAATTGGTTAATTTCTGGTACTAAAGAAAACAGAGTTTAAGTTACAATCTTATGAATCAGTGGATTTAACTCAGTCTCCTAGCCATAGACTTTACTGTGAATCAAAGACCTCTATAAAGGAATTTTCAATTTCCTGCTTAGCATGAAAATTCCTCTTAAACTCTCTCTAATAGCTGATTTCACTACCTTCTTCGGAGAATCCTGATTACCAAAGCTGATTCTATTCCTAAAATGGTATGATTCATTTTGGGGGAGTCCTATGTAGGGGTTCTATGAGGACAGGTTCTCAGAGAGCCTTAGCCAAACCAGCTCTTCCTCCTCCCACTTGCAGTCCATGGAATAACTGCAGAATGTACTGAGAAAGTGATAACCTGAGATAAGGGCGATGTGTCTGGAATAACCCAGGCTGTATCCTCATTCCTCTGAGAACAGGAAGTTTTTTAATGTTTGTGCTCAGCAAGTTTAGTCATGTACAGTGTATATACACTCAGGGTGGAGTGCTTTCAGAGTCCCTCAGCTGTGGTATGATGTGGGGCATGAGCAGACAATGCTCCATCCAACTTACGCAGCCTTCCTGAACCTTGGTGGACTAGCTCTCCATGGAGTCTAGGCTTTTGTTTATCCTTGTTTCCTATCTGTGAGTATAAATCTCCTTTGATGAATTTGTTGTAAGACTGTTCTATCTCACCTGACTCATGCAATTGGTAGAGATAATGAGGTTCCTTTTGCTTCTCACAGCTGTTCTTACAATGTTGAAACTGTTATGGCAGCTGGATCCACAGGGAAAAGTAAGTGCTCCAGTCTTTTCTGTCTCTCTGACAAACTATTCTTCTCTCCACTATTATCAGCTTTCTTACAATTAATATATTCATTAAAAATTCATTTTATTGGATGAGTAGATTACAAAAATTTTCTCCCATTCTGTAGGTTGCCTGTTCACTCTGATGGTAGTTTCTTTTGCTGTGCAGAAGCTCTTCAGTTTAATTAGATCCCATTTGTCAATTTTGGCTTTTGTTGCCATTGCTTTTGGTGTTTTAGACATGAAGTCCTTGCCCATGCCTATGTCCTGAATGGTATTGCCTAGGTTTTCTTTTAGGGTTTTTATGGTTTTAGGTCTAACATTTAAGTCTTTAATCCATCTTGAATTAATTTCTGAATAAGGTATAAGGAAGGGATCCAGTTTCAGCTTTCTACATATGGCTAGCCAGTTTTCCCAGCACCATTTATTAAATAGGGAATCCTTTCCCCATTTCTTGTCTTTGTCAGGTTTGTCAGAGATCAGATGGTTGTAGATGTGTGGTATTATTTCTGAGGGTTCTGTTCTGTTCCATTGGTCTATATCTCAGTTTTGGTACCAGTACTGTGCTGTTTTGGTTACTGTAGCCTTGTAGTATAGTTTGAAGTCAGGTAGCATGATGCCTCCAGTTTTGTTCTTTTGGCTTAGGATTGTCTTGGCAATGTGGGCTCTTTTCTGGTTCCATATGAACTTTAAAGTAGTTTTTTCCAATTCTGTGAAGAAAGTCATTGGTAGCTTGATGGGGATAGCATTAAATCTATAAATCACCTTGGGCAGTATGGCCATTTTTATGATATTGATTCTTCCTATCCATGAGCATGGAATGTTCTTCCATTTGTTTGTGTCCTCTTTTATTTCATTGAGCAGTGGTTTGTAGTTATCCTTGAAGAGGTCCTTCACATCCCTGGTAAGTTTGATTCCTAGGTATTTTATTCTCTCTGAAGCAATTGTAAGGGCTAATATCCAGAATCTACAAAGAACTCAAACAAATTTACAAGAAAAAAACAAACAACACCATCAAAAAGTGGACGAAGGATATGAACAGACACTTCTCAAAAGAAGACATTTATGCAGCCAACAGACACATGAAAAAATGCTCATCATCACTGGCCATCAGAGAAATGCAAATCAAAACCACAATGAGATACCATCTCACACCAGTTAGAATGGCAGTCATTAAAAAGTCAGGAAACAACAGGTGTTGGAGAGGATGTGGAGAAATAGGAACACTTTTACACTGTTGGTGGGACTGTAAACTGGTTCAACTACTGTGGAAGACAGTGTAGTGATTCCTCAAGAATCTAGAATTAGAAATACCATTTGATCCAGCCATCCCATTACTGGGTATATACCCAAAGGATTATAAATCATGCTGCTCTAAAGACACATGCACACGTATGTTTATTGTGGCACTATTCACAATAGCAAAGACTTGGAACCAACCCAAATGTCCATCAATGATAGAATGGATTAACCTGCACGTTGTGCACATGTACCCTAAAACTTAAAGTATAATAAAAAAAATGTGGCACATATACACCATGGAATACTACGCAGCCATAAAAAAGGATGAGTTCATGTCCTTTGTTAGGGACATGGTTGAAGCTGGAAACCATCATTCTCAGCAAACTATCGCAGGGACAAAAAAGCAAACACCGCATGTTCTCACTCATAGGTGGGAATTGAACAATGAGAACACTTGGACACAGGAAGGGGAACGTCACACACCGGGGCCTATTGTGGGGTTGGGGGGTGGGGAGGGATAGCATTAGGAGATATACCTAATGTAAATGACGAGTTAATGGGTGCAGCACACCAACATGGCACATGTATACATATGTAACAAACCTGCATGTTGTGCACACGTACCCTAGAACTTAAAGTATAATCAAAAAAATTTGTTTTATTTTATAAATCTTCAGTTTAAGATTTACAGAAACAATGATAAAGATAGCACAGAGAGTTCCTGTGTATTCCCCCTTTCTCCTTGTTGTGACTTGTATTGTTATGGTTTCTTTCTAATTTGGTTTTGAGGTCTACCACATAAGAGTGGTCATAAGACCTGATAACCACTTACCAGGAGAGCCCTGACCAGGGGAAAATGTTAGATTCAGGTGTGTTGGTCAGGTGAGACACAATGAGGAAGTGAAACCAATATGCATGAAACCAAAAATTTATTACTCACAGGTCCCAGAGAGGTTAGGGGGGCCAACAAGAGACCAAGAGGAAGTTCAAAACTCAACCAGTAGTGAGGAGTGAGAATAAGAGAGAAGGCATCTGTGGGACTACACCTTTATTAAAGTCCATGAGTGTTATCCCTTAGGTTTTCCCTTGAGGGTTGTGGATTGGCTAGTTTAATAGATACACATACCAAGAAGGAACTTATTTACGTTCTTGTATTGACTCTTAAATTTTCGCACTGCTCAGCAGCTTTAGGGTGTGCCGAGTTTTTGGTCAGTAGGATGAGGAACAGTGGGTTATATTACAAAAACAAAAAACAAAAAACAAAAAACAAACAAAAAAAAACATGGGAAGGGGAAGTTTTAATTAGGCCAAAGGTGATGAGGTACAACTGGGTTTCAAAAAACTTATGTTGGGCTTAAAAATGGGTGCTGAGACAGCAATTACATTAAATGAATTTATGATACCCAGCAGTTTCTACCATTATTAGCATATTAGTTTAGTGTATTTGTCACAATCAATGAATCAATATTGCTACATTATTATTAACTAAAGTCCATATTGTATTCAGGTTTCCTTAGTTTTCACCTAATGTGATTTTTCTGTCCCAGGATCCCATCCAGGATGCTATATTACATTAAGTTGTTAGGTATTTTTAGGCTTCCCTTGGTTGTGACAGTTTCTCAGACCTTGACAGTTTTGAGGACTGCTGGCCAGATATACTCATATTGTAGAATGACAATTTATTGGAATGTGTCCGATCTTTTTCTCATGATTAAACTGTGGTTATGGCCTTTCTGGAGAAAGATTACAGAGGTAAAGTGCCCTTCTTATCATGCCATCTCAAGGGCATACACTATCAACATGATTTATAACTGTTAATCTTGATTATGATCACCTGGCTAAAGCAGTGTTTGTCAGGTTTCTGCACTATAAAGTTATTTCCCCCAAACTTTTCATTCTGTACTCTTCATAAGGAAGTTACTATGCCCATCCCATGGAGTTAACGCTCTGTCTTATTTAAGGTAGGATAGCTACATGATTATTAGAAAATTTTCTGCATAGGTAATTTATCTCTTTTCCCATAATTATTAATTTATTTAACAATTTATTTATATCGATACAGACTCATAGAAATTTATGCATACATTGGGTTGCAATCCATTACTGCTTTATTCTCTTCCTCAAAGTGCTCCAGCTTTGGCTATTGGGAGCTCTTTCCGTTGGTTCATGTGCCCTTTGGACATACATCTATCAATGCATTTTGTTTGTTTGCTTTTGTTCACTTGCTTACTTTTTGGTACTTTAAGGTGCTCCAGGTCCATCTTGTATATTTTCTGCCTCAGTTCTATAATTCTCAATTTCTCCAAGGAGCTTAGGTTCCTCTTGTTGGAGAATGGTATTGGAAATCAATGTCCAGGCTGTGAGTATTCTTGTTACTGGAGTGTCAATTATTCTAGGTCTTCTAAGCTGACAGAGCAAATAAATGTACATGTATACTAACCCATATGTATATACATACTTATAAACATTTCTATATTGTAATCATCTGTATCTATATTAAGTTAAATATGAGCTCTTACTGATGTCTCTTGCTCTAATCCATTACTACATAAATCATTCTAGCCTCCTCCCTGGCCAATACGTAAATTTCTACTCCAACAGCAAGAAACCTGGCTTACACAATCTGCCATCCATTTAGTTAACTTTTCAATTCCAGTATACATCTATAATAGTATCAAAATTGATAACTATGCCCCCTTGGAAAACAACTTCTATTGACTCACATTATAGGCAGTTTCTTTTGCTCTTAATCTACAGACTTCATTTATTTCCCAAGTTACTTAGGTTGGCACATACGGTAGATGATTTTCATATATTTTTTCTTTCTTTCTTTTTTTTTTTTTTTTTGAGATGGAGTCTTGCTCTGTCGCCCGGGCTGGAGTGCAGTGGCACGATCTCGTCTCACTGCAAGCTCCGCCTCCCAGGTTCACACCATTCTCCTGCCTCAACCTCCCAAGTAGCTGGGACTACAGGTGCCCGCCACCATGCCCGGCTAATTTTTTTTTTTTTTTTGTATTTTTAGTAGAGACAGGGTTTCACCGTTTAGCCAGGATGGTCTCGATTTCCTGACCTCGTGATCTGCCCTCCCTGGCCTCCCAAAGTGCTGAGATTACAGGCTTGAGCCACTGCGCCCGGCCGAGTAGATGATTTTCATCACAGATCACAGTCTGCATTATTTCTTGGGATCCCCTCACCTCCTAAATGATTTTTATTTTAATTTACTCCCACTAAGGATCACTCTGTATGCTATAAAGTTCTACAGGTTTTGACAAATAGATAATGTCATGTATCTACCCTTACTGTATCATACAGAATGGTTTCACTGCCCCCAAAGCACCCTGTGCTTCACGTATTTATCTCTCTTCTCTCTAATTTCTAGCACTCCCTGACATTTTAACTCCATAGTTGTGTCTTTTCTATAATGTAATATAATTGGAATAATACAGCATGTGAGTATTCAGATTTCTTTCACTTTGAAATATACAGATGCT
The DNA here is from genome assembly GCF_000001405.40 of Homo sapiens. Classification (NCBI taxonomy): domain Eukaryota; kingdom Metazoa; phylum Chordata; class Mammalia; order Primates; family Hominidae; genus Homo; species Homo sapiens. The sequence continues at coordinate 106,993,576 of NC_000001.11, read as the reverse complement.
CCTCAACTTACAATGGGGTTATATCCTGGTAATCCCATCACAATGGAAAATATCCTAGGTCATAAAATGAATTTATAGTAAATGCCTAACCTACCAGACATCATAGCTTGGCATAGACTACAGTAGTCTAGACCACTTACGTTAGCCTACAGTTGGGCAAAATCGTCTATCACAATACCGATTTCATAATAAAGTATTGAATAGCTCATGTAATTTACTGAATATTGTGCTGAAAGTGAAAAACAGAATAGTTGTATGGTACTGGAAGTATGGTTGCTACTGAATGTACCTTTTTAGCATCATCATAAAGTAAAAAAGCTCATAAGTTGAGCTATTGTTAATTGGGGTCCATCTGTACATTTAAAACTCTATGTCAGGGAATATATATATATATTTTTTCTTTCTTTTTTTCTTTACTTTAAAAATTTCAATAGTTTTAGGGGTACAGGTGATTTTTTTGTTAAATGAATAAGTTATTTAGTGGTGATTGATGATTTCTGATATGTTGATGCATCTGCCACCTGAGCAGTGTACACTGCTTGAGGTACCCAATATGTAGTCTTTTATCCCTCATCCGTCTCCCTCCCTTCTCCCTTGAGTCCCCAAAGTCCATTATTTCATTCTTATGCCTTTGCATCCTTATAGCTTAGCTCCCACTTACAGGTGAGAACATATGATATTTGGTTTCCCATTCCTGAGTTACTTCACTTAGAATAGTGGCCTCCAGCTCCATCCAAGTTGCTGCAAAGGCCATTATTTTGCTCTGTTTTATGGCTGAGTAGTATTCCATGGTGTATACATACCACATTTTCTTTCTTTTTTTTTTTTTTTTTTTTTTTTTGAGACGAAGTCTCGCTCTGTGGCCCAGGCGGGAGTGCAGTGGCGCAATCTCGGCTCACTGCAAGCTCCGCCTCCCGGGTTCACGCCATTCTCCTGCAGGCGCCCGCCATCACGCCCGGCTAATTTTTTTGTATTTTTAGTAGAGACGGGGTTTCACCGTGTTAGCTAGGATGGTCTCGATCTCCTGACCTCGTGATCCGCCCGCCTTGGCCTCCCAAAGTGCTGGGATTACAAGCGTGAGCCACCGCGCCCGGCCCATACCACATTTTCTTTATCCACTTATTGGTTGATGGGCATTTAGGTTGGTCCTATATTTTTGCAATTGTGCTGCTATAAACATGCATGTGCATGTGTTTTTTTCATATAATAAATTATTTTCCTCTTGGTAGATACCCAGTAGTGAGATTGCTGGATTGAATGGTAGTTCTACTTTTAGTTCTTTAAGGAATCCCCATACTGTTTTCCATAGTGGTTGTATCAGTACACATTCCCACCAGCAGTGTGAAAGTGTTCCCTTTGCACCACATCCAATAATAGATGCTGACATCTATTATTTTTTGATTTTTAAATTGTGGCCATTCTTGCAGGAGTAAGGTGGTATCTCATTGTGGTTTTAATTTGCATTGCTCTGATAATTAGTGATTTTGAGCATTTTTTCAAGTTTCTTGGCTGTTTGTATATCTTCTTTTGAGAATTGTCTATTCATGTCCTTTGCCCCTTTTTTGATGGGATTGTATTTTTTCTTGCTAATTTGAGTTCCTTGTAGATTCTGAATATTAGTCATTGTCAGATGCATAGTTTGTGAACATTTTCTCCCACTCTATGGGTTGTCTGTTTACTCTGCTGATTATTTATTTTACTGTGCAGAAGCATTTTAGTTTAATTAGGTCCCATCTATTTATTTTTGTTTTTATTGCATTTGCTTTTGGGTTCTTTGTTATGAATTCTTCACCTCAGTCAATGCCTAGAAATTTTTCCAATGTTATCTTCTAGAATTTTTATGGTTTCAGGTCTTAGATTTAAGTCTTCGATCCATCTTGAGTTGATTTTTGTGTAAAGTGAGAGATAAGGTTGCAGTTTCATTCTACTACCTGTGGCTTGCCAGTTTTCCCAGCACGATTTATTTAATAGGGTGTCTTTACCCACTTTATGTTTTTGTATGCTTTGTTGAAGATCAGTTGGCTGACAGTATTAGGCTTTATTCCTAGGTTCTCTGTTCAGTTCCATTGGTCTATGTGCCTATTTTTATACCAGTTTTAAACAAATCTTGCTGTTTTGGTAACTACAGCCTTGTAGTATAATTTGAAATCAGGTACTTCGATGCCTCCAGATTTGTTCTTTTTGCTTAGTATTGCTTTGGCTATGTGGACTCTTTTTTGGTTCCATATGAATTTTAGAATTTCTTTCTATTCTGTGAAGAATGTAATTATATTTTTATGTGAATTGCATTGAATCTGTGAATTGCTTTTGCTACTGTGGTCATTTTCACAATATTGATTCTACTCATCCATCAGCATGTGATGTTTTTCCATTTGTTTTTTGTAGTCTATGATTTCTTTCAGCAGTGTTTTGTAGTTTTCCTTGTAGAGGGCTTTCTCCTTGGTTAAGTGCATTCCTAAGTATTTTATTTTCTTTCTTTGCAGCTGTTGTAAAAGGGATTGAGTTCTTGAATTGTTTCTCAGCTTGATTGTTGTTGGTGTGCATCAGTGCTACCAATTTGTGCGCACTGATTTTGTATCCTAAGACTACTGAATTCATTTATTAGATCTAGGAGCTTTTTGGATGAGTCTTTAGGGTTTTCTGGGTATATGATTATGTTGGTGAATAGTGACAGTTTGACTTCCTCTTATCCAATATGGATGCCATTTATTTCTTTTCTTGCCTGATACCTCTGGCCAAGACTTCCAGTACTATGTTGAATAGAAGTGGTGAAAGTGGGTATATTTGTCTTGTTTCAGTTATCAGGGGGAATGTTTTCAACTCTTCCTCATTCATTATGATGTTGGCTGTGGGTTTGTCACAGATGACTTTTATTACTTTGAGGTATATCACTTCTATGCCAATTTTGTCGAGGGTTTTTATCATAAAGGGATGCTGGGTTTTGTCAAACATTCTTTCTGCATCTATTGAGAGGATCATATGATTTTTGCTTTTAATTCTGTTTGTGCAATATATCACATTTATTGTCTTGCATATGTTGAACCAATCCCTACATCCCTGTTATGAAATCCACTTGATTGTGATGTATTATCTTTTCCATATGCTGTAGGATTTGGTTTGCTAATATTTTATTGAGGATTTTTACACTTATGTTCATCAGAGATGTAGGTCTGTAGTCTCCTTTTTTTGTTATGTCCTTTCCTGGTTTTGATATTACAGTGATTCTGGCTTCATAGAATGATTTAGGGAAGATTCTCTCTCTATCTTTTGGGATCATTTCAGTAGTATTGGTAGCAATTCTTTGAATGTTTGATAGAATTAAGCTGTGAATCCATCTGGTTCTTGACTTTTTTGATGGCAATTTTAAAAGTTACTGATTCAATCTCACGTGTTATTGGTGTGTTCAGAGTTTTTCATTTTTCCTGATTTAATCTAGAAGGGTTGTATATTTCCAGGAATTTATCCATCTCCTCTAGATTTTCTAGTTTGTGCATGTGAAGGTGTTCATAGAAGCCGCGAATGAACTTTTGTATTTCTATGGTATCAGTTGTAATATCTGTCATTTCATTTCTAATTGAGCTTATTTGAATCTTCTCTCTTCTTTTCTTGGTTAATCTTGCTAATGGTCTATCAATTTTTTTTATCCTCTCAAAGAACCAGATTTTCGTTTCATTTATCTTTGATTTTTTTGTTTCAATTTCATTTAGTTCTGCTTTGATCTTTGTTATTTCTTTTCTTCTGCTGGATTTGGTATTTGTTTGTTCTTGTTTCTCTAGTTCCTTGAGGTGTGACATTAGGTTTTCTATTTGCACGCTTTCAGACTTTCTGATGTGGACATTTAATGTTATGAACTTTCCTCTCCTTCAAGCCACAAAATATGACTTGTTAACATTTATTTTTATTGCTGAATTATATTCTTATTTTTGTTTTAATTTACAATTTTCTTTTATTTTTATTGCTGAATTATATTCTTATTGTTGTTTTAATTTACAATTTTCTAATGACAAATGATGTTGAGCATCTTTTATTAAGCATATTTGACATCTGTATATCTTCTTTGGTGATGTGTCTGTTCATATCCTTTGCTCATTTTAAAACTTCATTCTTAAATTTTAAAAGTTCTTTGTATATTTGGATGAAAGTCCTTAATCAGATATATCGTTTGAAAATATTTTCTCCCCATCTGTGTCTTGTCTTTTCATTCTCCTAACAGTGTCTTTCATAGAACAGAAGATTTTAGCTTTAAAAAATACAGCATATATATATGGATTGTACTGTTGGTGTTGTATCTAAAAACTCATTTCAAACTCGTTTCCTAGATTTTTTTTCATAATTTGGCTTCCAAATATTTTATAGTTTTGCTTTTTATATTTATGCAAATGACCCATTAGGTTTTGCAGAAGGTATAAGCACTATTCCTAGATTTACTTTTTTTTGTATATTGACAACCAACTGTTCCAGCATCATTTGTTAAAAAGACTATCCATTTTCCATTGAATTGCCTTGCTCCTTTGTCAGTGATCAGTTGAGTATATTTGAGGGGTCAGCTTCTGGGCTTTCTTTTCTATTCCATTGATAAAGGTGTCAGCCCTTTCTCCAATACCACTCTGTCTTGTTCACTGTATCTTAAAACAAGTCTTAATCTTGGATAATATCGGTGCTTCTAATGTGTTCTTCAATGATGTATTGGTTATTTTGGGGTTTTTGCCTTTCTGTATAAACTTTAGATTCAGATTGTCAATATAAAAAATGTTTGCTGGGATTTTGATTGGAATTGCATTGATTCTATATATCAAGTTAAGAATAATTGTTATCTTAATATTGTATCTTCAACCTATGAACACAAAATGTATCTCCATTTATTTAGACCTTCATTGATTTATTTCATTATAGTTTTGTAGTTTCCCACATATAGAGACCTTGTACATATTTTGTTAGATTTATATTTAACTTTTTTTGGCGCTGTTTTAAATGGTGGTGTGTTTTTCACTTCAAATTCAAATTGTTCATTGCCTGTAAGAGAAAGCTATTTACTTTTATATATTAACCTTGTATCCTGCAACAGATGTTTTTGTTGATTCTTTGGGGTTTTGTATATAGACTTTGATGTCATCTGCAAACAGACAGTTTTGTCTCTTTTCTCCCTATCTATGTAGCCTATATATTTTTTTCTTGCCAATATACTAGCTAGGACTTCCTGTACAATGTTGAAAAGGATGGGTGAGATGTGACATCCTTGCCTTATTCTCAATCTTAGGGGAAAAACGTCCAGTTTCTCATCCTTAAGTATGATGTTAGTTGTAGATTGTTTTATAGATGTTCTTCATCAAGCTGAGGTTCCCTTCTATTCCCTATTTGTTGAGAATTTTTATTACGGATGTGTGTTGGATTTTGTGAAATGCTTTTTCTGTATCCAGTGACATGGTCATATGATTTTAATTCATTAACCTGTTGATGTGATGGATTAAGTAATTGATTTTTGAATGTTACACCAGCCTTGCATACCTAGAACATATCTCACCTGATTGTTGTGAGCATTTTTCTTATAAACTGTTGGATTTGATTTGCTAATGTTTTGTTGAGGATTGTATGTCCATGTTAATAGGAGATATTGGTCTGTAGTTTTCCTTTCTTGTAATATATTTATCTAGTTTTGATATTAGGACATGCTGGCTGCATAGATTGAGTTAGGAAGTATTATTCCCTTTGCTTCTATTTTTTTTGGAAAATTAATATCATTTGCTGCCTTGACATCTGGTAAAAATGAGAGGGTCCTGAATGGCCTAACCACAAGTTATTCTTTGATTTAAAGGTAGCAGGGAATTGTTTCAAACAGGTATGGTAAGACATGCAAACATTACTGTCATAAAGGAAGACTTTTTATATTCACAGAGCCCTAGAAGCAGGAGGCACAGCTTGCCAGGCAGGGCCACACAGGGAAGCACCCAGGTCAGTGAGGAGGAGACAGACAGAGAGGGAAAATTGTGGGCAAGAGCCTTTATTGTGGTGTTTGTGGGAAGAAACAAGTGAGGCAGGCTTAGAATTAGCTTATCTGAATAATTTTAGTGGGTTTTGGGGCATGGCATAGGAATTGTCCTTTGTTTTCCGGTAACAAGTCCTGGGGTAATAATGGCAGGGAAATAGTGGCCTGGAGTGTAAGAGCTCAGTAAATGGTGGAGTTTGGGATGTGGGCTTTGGATTGGTTGGTTTGCATAAGAAGGGTGTGCACAGCCGGGCGCGGTGGCTCACGCCTGTAATCTCAGCACTTTGGGAGGCCGAGGCAGGCAGATCATGAGGTCAGAAGATCAAGACCATCCTGGCCAACATGGTGAAACACTGTCTCTACTAAAAATATAAAAATTAGCTGGGCATGGTGGCTCCTGCCTGTAGTTCCGGCTACTCAGGAGGCTGAGGCAGGAGAGTCGCTTGAACCCAGGAGGAAGAGGATGCAGTGAGCCAAGATCGTGCCACCGCACTCCAGCCTGGCTACAGAGTGAGGCTCTGTCAAATAAAAAAAAAAAAGAGAGAAAGAAAGAAAGAAAGATTGTGCGCAGAGCTGAGGGCTTTACTATCTCTAGGAATTGGCTGGCCCTGGAAGGGATTCCCCTAGGATCAGCAAGGTGTCAAAGCATCAAATACAGAAGCATGGTTATTATACCTGCCAACTGTGCTCCCTTGGATGAGGTTCCCTAGTCTACCAGCCCTCCTTATCAAATAGACCAAATGCAGATCCCTCTCATCAATGAGTGTCAGGTTTCAGTTCCCTGCCAGCTTGCAGAATTATTCAGACAGGCCAATCACATTCCAACATGGGACCTGAGGGTGCTCTCCACTCTTGATATTACAAAGCCTGCCTCCCACAGTCCTTGATTGTTTACTGTGCTCCCAAGTGCAATCCCATATGTCTCTGTATTGCCTGTGGTATCCTCCTCCCTGTGCTGTGAGTCTGTTTAATAAACTGCTGTCTATCTCATTTGTCTGATGTTGGATGTTGTGTGCTTAGTCATTCCCATAATGCTAGTGTGGACTCTCTTCCTCACCAATGGGATGAAGAGGAGGTAATCAAAACACTGCCGCTGAAAGAGTCAGGAAGGAGTTTTTATTCGATCTTCACCAGAAAGGAGTCTGTGGTATTGTGGAAGCCCCCACAAGACTGGCTCCCGGGTGTTTCTCACATTCACTCCAGTCCATCCTCATTCCCCAGTAATTGGCCAAAATTACTATTTGAGTGTTCATATCAGTCTATGGCTCCAGTGGCTTTTCCACCAGGTAAACAGATCTGGCCTCTTTCTTCTGGGATGTTCCTTTTCTCCGGATTTTGAGGTGATGATTTGCCCTGAAACTTCAGTTCTCTGATGGGTGTGAGAAAGTTGTTTATTTTCAGCTTGTTTAACTGTTCCTTGCTGTAAAGACAAGAGCGATAAATTCTAAGCTTTTTACATGTTGCAGTTCTAATTCATTCATTTTTTTCATACTGTAATCTGACTTCTTTACCATCAAAATTTTTCTTAGCAAAGGTCCAACTATCTTTATTACTAAACTTGATGGACACATATATCCTTACCTTAATCTCCTTGTGACATTTAAAATAGTTGACTACTTTACACTTCTTGAAACTCTTGCCTTGCTAAATTTCTAAAATACCATAATTATGTTTTTTCTTCCCTAGGTTTTGCCATTAATCTGTTCTTTAAATGTTAGTGTTTTCTACGTTCTACTTTCAGTTTTCTCTACTTCTCAACTCTCCTTGGGTGACTTCTTTTGCTCCCACGATTTTAATTAGCTCTTCAACTTTAATCACTCCTAAAATCACTTTTATCATAATCTTTTTTTCTACATTCAGATCTCTCTATTACACTACCATTCTGGATGTCTGCATTTGAATGTCCAGTATTTCAGATTTGACACATCCCAATGAGAAATAACCATTTATTTTCTATGCCAACCACCCCAAACTTAATATTTTATTCCTAGATCTCTGAAAGACTCTAGTAGGCATCAATCACTCAAATCATAAACCTTGAAATTATATTTTACTTCCATTTTCATCTAATCTGTTATCATGTCTTTCAGTTCTATCGCATCTGGAAAGCGTATCTCCCACTCTCCAAACCCATTGTCACTCATCTTGTCTCCCACCACTAGTATCCTAAACAAGTGGTTCACAAACGTTACTATGCACCAGCACCACCTGGAAAGCTTGCTAAAACACAGGTGACTGGGATGGAACCTACATTTTGTGATTCTGTAGGTCTGGATTGGGGCCTGAAAATTTGCATTTCTAACAAGTTGCCAGGTGCTTTTGATTTTGTCGGTTCGGCGACCACATTTTGACAACCATTGTTCTAGTTTATTACAATGGCCATCTAATGGATTCCCCTGTTCAGGACTTTTTCCAAGCCATATTCCACTCCATTGTCTTGATTCTAAAACACAAATGTCCTTAAACTGTATAATTGCTCTTCATTGCTTTTTGGGCCAAGCAAGTGCCTGGCACATGCTTAGCATTCAGTGTTTGTATACACTAAATAGGCATTAGAAAATGAATGGGATTTGCATAGGAAGAGTTGACACAATGCTGGCATGAGGGTGAGGAGAGAGGAGGGACAGGATACAGTATAACATTGCAAGGAAGCAATGCCTTTAGTGGAAATGCATTTTATGTAAAACTTATTTAGCAATTAAATTTCATTATATATCTGAAATATATATATATAAATTATACTTGGTTTAATATATATATATTATACTTGGTTTAATATATATATATATAAATTATACTTGGTTTAATATATATATATATAGAAAATATAGGCCAGTGAGGAAATCAGCTTTATTAAAGCAAAGGATTATACTAGACTGTGACCTCCACAAGGACAGAGAGAAACTCAGTATCTTAAACATTTTATTTTGCCTCACAGTGTTAAAAAAAATCTAGATTTACTTTTGCACTTTCTCTCACACGTCTTGTATAGTTTGAATATTTGGTTTAGTTTTCCTCCATGTAGCTTTTTAGAGCTCAAAAAACATATATTTATAGAGTATGTCTACTTATTTGGTTTATGTGTAGAAACTTTCTCCATTAGAATTAGCTCAAGGACTTTATTTAGCTTGCCACCACAGTCAAGAATATATTTGTTATATCCCTAGAGTTTTAATATTATAATTTCTTTATGAAGAGAGCTGTCATTTGATTGAAGTTTGTCTGTCAAAGATCTTTCTACATGGAACATAGAAACTTGTTTCCCAAAATATTATTCAACTTATTTATGAAAATCCTTTGTAAACTATTTGTTTCCTGTACACAGAGGTGAATAAAGTCAAGGAAAATAAAAAGAATATTTGGGTCTTCCAAGGATGATAGTTGACAATTCTCCCCCAAAAGCAGTGGATATTAATTAACATTTGTATTAGATTCTTCCTCCTCCTTCTACTTTTCTTCCCTAAGAGCTCACACAGGAGAGTAGGGACAATGCCTGTTTTGAAACTGCTTCCAAGGTAGTTTTGATCCATCCTCTGCAAGCACATTGACAGTTTGTTGGGTCTCAACTTTTGTTTTTCACAGGAGAGAACATTTTTCTTTTTTGATTTGGGGGCAATGTAGTGTTGCTGACCTTTAATTTGAGGCAGGGACATTGAAATTAAACAATAATAAAAACTACCACATGTTATCACCATTCCTTCCAAAGAGAGGATGTTTTAATTCCAAAATGTAAGTAGAACATACTCCCAAAATAAGAAATAATATTTTAAATTGGATACATTATATTTAACAAAAAAATATCACTTTGTCCTTACTTTGCAGGGGACAATTGAAAACATTATTGGACCAACACTTTTCTTAGCATCTGGGGACCATTGTCCTAGATAAGTTAGCCGCCTCTAGGAGAGAAAGTTAAAATCACTTTGCTTTCTTTACTCTTTATTTTAATTTGTCATTTTAAAGCTTTGATTTCCATGTATGTCCTAGCAGACTATTTTGGTTCAATTAAGTATTTCCTTTCCTGTTTTTCTCTGTTCTGCTCCAGGGGAACCATTCTAACTGCTAAGAACTCGTGTCATTAGATCAGATGGTTCTTTCTTTCTGTCCTTCATCCAGTGGCAGGTTTAAAACCCTTTGATGATTCAGCTGTATAATATTTAAAGTTCTATTTCAAATCCTTCAAACTTAGAGTTTTAGGAAATAGCTAGCTGTGTGGGTAGGAAAGAGAAGAGTCTATTAAAATCTCCAATCCTCTTAGTGACCCATTCACTGAGTCTCTCGATAGATCTATTCAGTTCTTCCTTTGCTGAAAACAAAGGAAAAAGCAAATGGGAAAGCAAAACCCTACCAAGACAAATCTAAGAAGAGCCCACCCAGAAATAAGCCTTATTAAGAGAGACTATTGTAAGGCCTACTTATATTGCACATTCTGAGCACCAGTATATCAAATCTAACAGCTGAGTGGGGTCCAGCTGGTTCAGGAAACTTTCCTTTACAATACTGGAAGAGGCTCTTTCATTTAGGATTCTATGAATATGGAAAAACAACTAAGGGTACATTCTTTACTGAGAGCTATACTCTGTTTACATACATAAACTTTTAAGGCTGTACAAGAGTTCTGAAATCAGTTTCCTTTTGCTCTTCACTCACTGATTATTGAAAACTTTGAACAGGTGTAGCCAAGGAAATATTTCTGTTCCAGCCAGCACTTCCTTCTATATGTGACACTGTTCTCATTTATCCAAGTCAAGTTCAGTCAGACTTATTCCATTAGATTTTAGAGGTTTTTTTTTTTTTAAGTACTTACAGACTAGTTATTAGGCACTCTATCTTGAACAACTGGTTTCCATGGAAGGCTTTGCTTCCTTTCAATGTTCTTGCTTATTGTTAGTTGGGCCTGTATAATCTCCAGCTGTCTGTATCTCTAAGCTGAGTATTTTAAGTGTTTCTTCTTTGGGGATCAATGTCCTTCTACACACTGAAGCATTACTTTGCGAGGAGGGAGGATTAAATCCCTTTTGACAGGAAGAGTGACTTTCTGTTTGAATAAAAGCTGGAAGCACATTTACCCATTTCTGTAGGACCATGATTACATCTATGTAGTACCAATAAAGGTCTCTCCTATAATGCACCCCCAACCCTCCCACATAGTAGTAGGAGTAGTAATAATTGTATTAGCAAGAAACATTTCCATGGTCCTTCCTATGCACCAGGTACCGTTCAAATGCTTTATTTTTATTAATTGATTTAATATTGAAATAATTCTCTAAATTAGATACTATTATACTCATTTACAGAAGAGGAAATGGAAGCACAGAGAGATTAAACCCAAGGTCATTGATAAAAACATAGGCAGTCTAGTCTAGACTCTAGACTCTGTTTTTTTATTTGTTTGTTTTTCTCTCACTCTGTTGCCCAGGCTGGAGTGCAGTGATATGAGCATAAATCACTGCAGCCTTACACTTTTGGGTTTAAGCAATCCTCCTGACTCAGCCTCCTAAGTAGCTGGAATTATAGGCATGAGCCACCACGCCCGGTTATTTTATAAATTTTTTTGTAGAGATGGGGTCTCACTGTGTTGCCTAGGCTAGTCTTGAGCTCCAGGCCTCAAGTAATCCTCCCAGCTGGGTCTCCCAAAATGCTGGGATTACAGGTGTGAGCCTCCCTCCCCTGCTGAGACTCTGGTTCTTTAACTGCTTTTCTTTATAGTGAGAAACTAAACCAGAGGAATTGCTTTTTAATCACTTTATTACCAAACATCATGCTTTCTCCAAAGAGAAAGAATTAATTGGATGGATGGATGGATGAGAGGGAACTTATTCGGGGAAATGGCTCATGAGATTATTGAAGCTGAGAAGTCTCATGATAGGTCATCTGCCTGGTGGACACCCAGGGATGCTGGTATGCGGTGATGGCTCAGTCCAAGTCTGAAAGTCTCAGAACCAGGGAAGCCCCTGGTGAGGTTCTCAGTCTGAGGGAGAAAGCCTGAGAACCTGAAGAGCTGCTGGTGCAATTCTGGGAGTCCAATGACTGGAGGACCTAGAGATCTGATATCTGAGGTCAAGAGAAGGAGTGTCCCAGCTCTGAGACACACACACACACACACACACACACACACACACACACAGAGAGAGAGAGAGAGAGAGAGCCAGAGCTAATTTTTTTTCTCTGCTCTTTTGTTCTATCTATCCGAGTCCCCAGCCCGCTGGATGGTGCATGCCCACAATGAGCAAAGATCTTCCTCACTCAGTCCACCAATTCATTTGCCAGTCACCTCTGGAAACACCCTTATAGACACACCTAGAAATAGTGCTTTACCAGCTATCTAGTATCCCTTAATACAATCAAGTTGACACCTAAAATTAACCACCACACAGATTTTTGCAGACAATGAACTCAGGACCGAGACATATTATAACAGGATAATAACCAGCTTGCAAAACCTCTGGGAACTTTGGGGAGATTGTATTTAGAGAGCACAGATTTGAAACCAGACGTACAAGGATTTAAATGTCAGATGTCATTAACTGGGCAAAACTGTGAGCATGTTTCTTAACCTCTCTAATCTGGTTTCTCATATAGAAAAGAACCTATTTCTTAGGGTATTATGAGATGGAGTACAAAGAAAGAATAGCAACTGAATGAAAAAGTTAGTAGCAAATTTGAACTCCTATGCTGTCCTTTTTAATGTGTGTTTATTTAATCAATACATACATTAATTTACATTAATACATATATTAATTTACATTACATTCTGTGCTATTTTAGGTGCCCTCTCTCTCTATATATATGTATATATATATGTGTATACATTCAACTCACTGAAGCCTCATATAGCAACTCTGTGAAAAATTATCATTATCATCAAGTCTATTCTATAGATGAAGAAGCTGAGGCCGAGAACAGAGTGATTAAATATCCTCCCCAGGGTAACACAGAGTTGGGATTAGCAGAGCTGGGATTCAAATCCAGGCACATGGTACCAGTCTGTGTTTTTAATTGCTAGGCCATTTTGCTTAACACTAGCTAAACCATGGAATGAGAGGGCTAATTGGTATTTTAGCATCCATGTATTTGCATAAAAAGGGAGAATGAGACTGCTATCTCAATTGTTTAAGAGACATTTTAGGTCACACAGTGAGTGGTAGAGCTGGAAGTAGAAGTGTTCTTTTAAACGTCCACAGCTTTTTCTTTCATAGTCACAGTGATTATAACTTTGGAACCTAACACGAAGGACTACTGATCAAGTAGGAATTTGGGGCTTTTCCAGAAAGTTCAGAACCTATATCACATTGCAAATGATGTACTCATTCCATTATCACATCACTGTGCAATGATGGATAAGCTAAGCTCACGTTGCATTATACTCTTAGGTAGAGAGAGAGAGGCAGTGGATAAAACTGAAATGGGATTTTCTGCTTGGTTTGTTAATGAAATATCTGAGAGCACTTTCCACAACAACAAAATGCTCCTGTTCTGGTAATGTAGACAAATTCAAGCTGAGTGATTAAATTCCACCTAATTAAAAATTCTTTCTCTAATTTCAGATTCTCTTTGTTTACAAGACTCTTTACCTGCTGTCCAAAATTGTTGTTTACTATGTTTTCCTGCTGCTCAGTTTTTTATTGCATTTCTCCCTGGAGGTAGCTGTATACTGGCAATGGTTAAAATAATTCTATATGTAAAGTTTGCATGGAATATGTAAATATTTGTACTTTAACTCTGGAACAAATCTAAATTGAAATGTATAAATATATTGTTTTCAGAACTCCTTTCAGATGTCTCACCTATTCAAAACTCCTTTTGAATATGAACTGAAGATTGGACACACAGTTGTAATTATTTATTAATCTTACATTTAATATTCCCCATGCTGCCATAAAATGTCTGAGGAGACATGCTGCTGAGAATAAACTTGCTCAGCATTGCAGTACAATGCAGACAATTTTCCACAGGGAAAGAAAAAAAAAAAGAAACGTATCTTTTCACCTATTGCAGAGCAAAACACTAACGATTTTGCCCATTTGAGCTGAGAAGTAATTAGTGGTATGGGATAGAAGCCAAGCATATCAAGAAAATGTGTTTTACTTATGTACTGATATGCCCATTTTGGATTTAGCTGTAATTTCTGTACATTTTGTAAATTTCCTTTACTTCTGTCACAACCTTAATATTAATAACTTGCTTCCCTGAATACAGTGATTTAAAAATAATGACCATATTTTATTTAGATGCAAATTGTAACTATATAAATTTTTAAACACCTAAGCTAGTTTGTTGTATATTTTATTATTAATTTTTTTGTATGGCAGCTTAGTATGACTTTTCTTTCTTCTACAGTCACTTAGCTCAAAGCAGTATGGAAGCTCATATCAGCCTCAGAATATCAGCCTGCTAACAGTCAGTGGAGATAACTTAATGGATTAATTCCTTGTTTCAAAAATTCAGCCATATTGCAGGGCTCTAAGTGGCTTCAAGGTCATCTGATTTTCTTTCTGATGTGATACAGAAGCATTCAAATGATGGCCTAATTTGATCTTTCAAACCTCCAAGATATTAATGTATAGGCTTCTTAGGCAATTTTTTCTGAAGTTAACTGCTTTGAAAATGGAATAAATACATAATTCACTGCACAATTTCATCCTTTGTTTCAGGCAGGTTGGCAAGTTATCTAATGGTTACTTCTGGGTTTATGTGTAATATGTCACATGGTATAGGTCATTGAGCAATCACAGAATCTGAGAAGTGGGAGTGTTAGAGATGAACTATTTTGTGTACTTGAAATGCAATCAGCCAGCCTGGAGGAAATGGGACAGGGGCACAATGGAAAGAAGTGGCCATGATCTTATCAATCAGCCTTGCTTATAGTTGTTGCCATTATATAATTGTATGTTCTTGGCTCCGTCTGCTGCTAATGGTGAGTCATTCTTGCAAAAAAAAAAAAAGTAATAGGTTTATACTTATAAAATACATTGCGCAAATTTTATGAGGGATGTTCCAAAAAATATAAGTGGTGTTCCAAGAAACATGTTCTGAAAGCAAAATAAGTCATTAAATCGGCAATTTTGACATGTGATTCTACTTAGTGCTGTTATCTTGCCAGGATATACAAATACTGTATTATTTGACTATTACTCAATAATGTTCACTCTCATTTTTTAGTGTTTGAATTTTCAGTGTAGGCCATGTTTTAAAATATACTTTACCAGAGGAAATGCAAAGAAGAAAAGATGTGAATGTTGTTCTGAAATACTACAAGTGAAATCAGTAATTGATTTATAATATAAATGAGCAAAACCAAAATTGACTTTAAAGGCAAAACTAAAATAAGAGCAGGGAGACAAGACATTTTCATCACTATAAAAGGAAATGAGCTTATATAAAATAACACATACCCTAATGCCCAACTTGAGGATGCTTTTGGAACCATTCTTAAAAATTTGATTAAGGTAAATGCAGAATGAGAGAAAGTGTTCTATGTCTTGAATGTATTTCAATTTTTAAATGATTTTTATTTATTTTTTAATGTTACCTTAATTTAAGGGTTTCTGTTTTCAAAAGTCTATGTAGCAGAGACCATTTTAATATGTTTATGTATATATAACAAATTTATGTATACATAGCAAATTTGAAATATATAATCTTATAAATTTATATTTATTTGAAATATATAATCTTATAATGATGTATTGCATTACAGTAATAAGGAAAACCATGCATTCATTATTATTGTCTTCTTAAAAGGTAAAAATCTATGAAAATTTTAGTATAACCATATCACAGAAGAATAATTTGCTGTTCATTATTATGGCCACTCATTATTTATTAAAATAATGTAAATGATATATTATGAAAAATGCAGAATAATTTATAACTTCAGGAATTTGTAAAAATTACCATGATTTCTGATTTTTAGTTCTCGAATCCCAAAGATTAGTATCAATTAGAAATTTGGAAACATTATTAGAGAGTATTCTGTTCTTTCTATAATGGATTTTCATTCACCAAATAGTTTCAATTTATACATTTTTACTGGTTTTAGTTTTGGTAACTTTTATTTGGCACTAGAAACTTTTGGCATCAATGATTTAAATATATACATACATGCATACACACACATAAGAGACTTTATCCACTTTTAAACATACATACATACGTACAATTTCCATAGTATAAGCTCATGTAGATTTATGCCAATATTGTGAAATTTCAAATTGAAAAATTAGTTAAATTCCAATAATGGTTTGATTTCTTTTGAATCCAATTCGTGGAATTTAAGTAAATCTTTTGGAAGTTCATTCTGTTGAAAGCAAAACATCTCCATTATTTTGAACATCTTTGTGAATTCATTTATAAAGGTGAACATTGAAGATATATTTGCTTTCATGGTGATATGACTGCATATTTTGTGTAGTCAATGTATAGCAAAACATTGTTTCTTCATAAATTAATAAACTTATAAAGCAGATATATACAGGAAACTTGTTATAGTACATGTATAATTTATAATCCAAATAAGCTACAGTATTTTGTAAGCTATAATGATCTAAATTTACAAGTATCCTATACATACTCAGAGAAATTCGACTATAAAATTTTTGTGAAAGAGCTGGTATTGGATGCACATACACAAATTTATCATTACAGCAATATATATTTTCTCTTCTTGCAGCCCATCAACAATTCAATTTTAGAAATGTTTGAGCTGACAAAGAATGATTTTGTAAATTATGGCATTTTACAATTATATTGATTTTTTAATAACCAAGTTCTTTAATACATAGTTTCATGTTATTAAAATAATTGAAAGTATTTAATCATAGAATATCAATGGAATTTTAACTTTTGAAGCTTTTGGAAGACTTGCAATTATTGAAGACAAAGCATACAAGCAGGTAGACACTGAAATTGTTCTTGCAAAATATAGAACTGAAAAAATTAAAGCATATGAATGTAAATGTTCTACATAATTTAATTTTAAAATCCTATAATTGCATTTTAGAAAGTCTTATTTGATGGGAAAAATGCTTTACTGTAGTTTTTGGTTTTACTTGTATACATTTATTTTCAGTATCATAAAAAGAAATTGAAAGGATTATTGATTTTGGAGAAACATTCAAAAGAATAATAAAAATAATCAATTTATTGACAATTTTACTTGTAAATATATTTGTTCAACACTGATACTTTGAATGGTGGTAAAACATGTTACCTGTGAAAATATTTGGACTGAAATAATTTTGTATTAAATATAAAAAAGCAAAAATTAAGATTATTCTACATATAGCAAATTGTTCTGAACATACCATTCATAGATAACATTCATTGTTTTTACTGGATATATTTGCTTAGAGATTCTTTGTAATTTACTTGTTGAATTTCTTATATTTTTGTCCCGCTAGATCACTGCCTCCTGTTTGACACTAGATGGCTCCTTAAGCCAAGTTTGCCTCAGTTTTAGTAAAGGATCAGCGTGAGACCCATCTGGAAAGACAGAGGTTCCAAAGGGACTCTCCTGGCAGTGGGTTCCTGCCCAGGGGACCTGTAGAACATACATTTCATGAGTAGTGCTGCTGAACAGCCACTCTTTTTTGGCATCTCCTTTGACTGAGTTATACAGCAGGATTTCCAGGAGTGGGGACCATAGTCCTGTTTCCTCTCTTTTGTCTTTAGCTTTCCTCAGAAATATGTCTTCCTTCAGGCACTCACATTGCTTCGTGTGGATTGAGGCATGGACAGAACTTCTGACAAAGAACCTGACAGTGAAAAAGCCAGTTGTCCACCTCAATCTCACTTTTTCTAGTGTAGAAACTGAGTTAGGGGAAATTTTTCACATGCTTGGTGCCAGGAAGATTGCGGGGAGGGGCATCTAAGACATGCAAAGCCTATTCTCCTACCACTGGCTCAGAGTTTTTTTTTTTTTTTTTTTTTTTTTTTTTTTTTTAACTTCTCTGTGGCCCTGAGATCTGACTATCATATTTGAGTTCTGGGATATTGCTGGAGATAATATTGGTGCTGTATACTTATTTTTAGTTTTCTGTGGGGGAAAGTGAAGCCAGCTTGTGTTTAAGCCATGATTTTGGACCTGCAAATACTTCTCAAAAAAATTTTGAAAAATATGATAAGAACTTCACCTATTGGCCATCTCCTATGGGCTAGGGAGCATGCTTGATGAACAACATGCATTAATTATTTCTTATGAGAATTATTTCTTATGAGAAGTAGCTTATGATTATTTTTACCCTTATTTTATAGACAAGGCAATCGAGGCTTATTGAAGTAAGAAAATGTGCCCACGATCAACAGATAGTAAGTGAAAAAAAAGGGATTTCTTGCTTCTGCCTGATTTCATGCTCATAGCTGACACTCATTCTTAATGTAGGTTTTAAAGGATTTTCATGAAAATGTTAGACATCCAGAAAAAAGGGCTATAATCACTACCTTGAAGCTAAAAAAACCAAGGTCAACTATAATCTAAAAAGGCAAAGATGGTCAGTATTACCAACATGTTAAGAAAATGCGTTTTAAGTACACAACTTAAAAAGTTAAAATTTCAGATGAACAACCTACCAGCTGAGTAAACTTGGGGTCCATCCAGTCTTCTGGTCCATGAAATTCAGCATTTATTATTATAAAGAAATGATAAAATGATGTCTATATTAAAGAGGGGTTCAAGAATAAAATAAGGTAGCACTTTAAAAGTTTAGGATAGTGCATTGAGTTTCGTAAGTACTCAGTAAATGTTATCTATTATTTTCTTATTAATAATAAAATAGAGCAGCTGTTTGAGAAATGGCTCCATGTGAGTCTACATTTGATAATACTATAAATAATCTACTTGCATTATCTAATAAATACGTTTTTCTGCTTATATGTTTAAACTTGGAAAAGAACTATCAAAATAAAATGTGGATCACCTAATTATTGGATAGGTTTGTGAAAGTCATTAGCATTATAATAGATTGGCCAAACCAGCTATGACTTTCTTAACTTCCTCTCCTCAAAATTAGGGGGATTCTTCCCATTACCACATTATTTTAGTTTTAACTAGTGGATGAAACCAGAAAAACCAAGACAGTATAGTTTGTTCCTAGATAGAATAGTTTCAAAGGTTTTCGCTTTGCTGACAAAATTATTTAGCATTATACTTGGTGGGAGTGGTGAAGGTAAATTTCATAATTTGATGTTATTAATAAAAACAAAGTTAATATTTCTTGCAATTGTCTTTCAAGGGAATAAGTGGCAGATTAAATTTGTGTTTCTGGGCTGGGCACGGTGGCTCAGCCCTGTAATTCTAGCACTTCAGGAGGCCGAGGCGGGTGGATTGCTTGAGCTCAGGAGTTAGAGACCAGTGTGGGCAACATGGTGAAACCCCGTATCTACAAAAAATAGAAAACTTAAACAGGTGTGGTGGTGTGCACCTGTAGTCCCAGCTACTACTTGGGAGTCTGAGGTGGGAGGATCGCTTGAGCCTGGCAGGTTGAGGCTGCAGTGAGCCA
This sequence comes from Homo sapiens, assembly GCF_000001405.40. Taxonomy (NCBI): domain Eukaryota; kingdom Metazoa; phylum Chordata; class Mammalia; order Primates; family Hominidae; genus Homo; species Homo sapiens. The sequence continues at coordinate 106,974,094 of NC_000001.11, read as the reverse complement.
AGATCACATCACTGCACTGCAGCCTGGGCGACAGAGTGAGACCCTGTCTCAAAAAGAAAAACAAAAAGGAAAAACAAAACTGTGTTTCTGACCTATTTCTCCAAGGACTTAAAATTTAATTTTGGAGCAGTCTTATAAATGTAAAGAATATTTGAGATGAGATTCTAAAGATCTGCTCTCTTACTAGAAATGTGAATTTTAGCAAGTCTTATCTTTCTATGCCTCATTCATTATCTGCTAACAAAAATAAGTTTGGAATATCAAATGCAACAACAAAATGGGACATTCTGTAAACTGGATAACTCTCTAGTTGGTTAGGACATGTCTCAAACCTAGTGTAAATTCAGGTATTAAATGAGACAAAAACATGAAATGTTTTGTATTTTGAATAGACATGGATAGTATATATAGAATTATTACAAGGTTAAGTAGCTTCATCTGCTTATGTAGCCAGTCATGAACTTTTATTCATTTGGTTGAGGAACTCATGTATGTTGAACACTTGCTGCGGAAAAAGCAGTGTGTTATAATGGTGAATAAAACAAAAACTGGTTTATTAAATGAAGTTTATTGTCTACTGTTAATAGAAGAGTTGGACATAGCATACATATGATCTTAGCTAAGCATTGTGATAATTTATGTGAAATAAATTAACTGAATTCTATAAGAAAGAATAACATCTGGGGAGTGATAACTATCTTGGTTTGGAGAGTTGGAGAGTACAATGCTTGAATTGGACCCTGATAGATGAGTTGATTTTAGCCAAGTGAAGACTCTTACTTGATGGGTGGGAAGAAGTGAAGAAGCTGTCCAGATAAGAAATAACATATTCAATACCCGAGGGAGGCAAGAGCTTGGTGTTTTCTAGGAACTGAAATTGGTTCAATGAGGTTGCAATATAGAAGCTTGGGATGAGTTTGAAGATCTGGACAAAGTCCAGATTATGCAGAGTTTGAGGCCATGTTAAAGTGGTTGGATTCTATTCTAAATGAAATGGAAAGCCATTGAAAGAGAGGAGGGAAGAATAAGTGTCCCATATTGGACACATTGGTATGCAGGGACCTAGAAGCATGTAAGTGACTGAGTGAAGTAGTTAGTTGGATATGAGCCTGTAACTCTGGGGATCCAGACTAGTAATATCAGTTTGGGAGTCATTGGCACAGACTGTCTTTAAAGTCATGGGAATGGATGATACCTTTTAGGAAGAGAACCTAATGCGAGAAGAAAAAGTACTATCTCTGAAACCAAGGAACTCCAACATTGAAAACTTTAAAAGAGGAGTTGTTAGCAAAAGAGACTGAGAAAGAGTTGTCAAAGAAATAGGAGGAAGTGTGGTGTCAGCGTCAGTGAAGCCTGTGTTTTGAGACATAGTGGCCAACTGAGTCAAATGCTTAAAAACTGTATGGAGGTCAGTACAACTTTAGCAAGAGTGGCTTGGGTGGAGTGTTGCAGGCAGATGACATGTCTGATGTTGAAAGGTAAACAGGAAGTGTAGAAGTGAAACCAGGACAAGAAGAATATTCTAAAGTAAGTGTTGGATAAGAACAGACAGAGAAATCTAGAGCAGTAACTATTGGGAGATCAGACATTTTTATTTTGTTGAAGATCAGAAATAAAACATGCTTATATGTTAATATAAATAATCCAACTGAGAGGAGAGGTTTAAGATGAAGGAGAAAGAAAGAATAGTCAAAGAAGTTATTCCTTGGGAAGGCAAGAGAGCCTGGAACTCAGAATACGAGCCAAAGGACTTTGTTAAGAGAAGAGATTAATGGTTGTAAATTTGTGGTGAAACAGATCTGCTCAGTTATACTAATCTCTTCGTTGATGTTCACCTTCAAGGAGACAGCCTAGAGGCACATAACTGGGTTTATACAGCTTAGAGTTTTCCCAGAGCAGTTACAAGACAGTGAGAGGAGACCAACAGGGGTAGTTTGCAAGGGAGTGATTATAATTAGTTGAGCTTAGAACTTTTGGTAATAGACTGATGTAGATTTTGTATTTGTAGCAGTAAGCTATTTGTGGTCTCACTAACTCTGAGTTGTGCCCTGTGACGTATATTCAGTTTGAAGGCTAATATTGGTTTCTTTATTGCTGTTTCTAAAATATGTCTAGATTTGAACATTTTAGTAGCTAATATGTAGTGCCAATTTTCTCGCTGGCATTCTTCTCTTCAACAAAGTCAGTAATCCAAGTTGTAAGAATAAGTATTTTTATGGATCGCTATAAAAGTTATTTTATTTTGAATTCTAAAATGCTGTTTTCTAAACATCACTTGATATCACAGATGTTTTCTTGGCCTGCTGGGTGAAAGATGCTCTAAATTTGCTTCAAGGAGTTTAAACATATGAGTCTAAATAGGAATATATTAGGTAAGTTTTTTAGATAAACCACACACACACACAGACACACACACACACCACACAAACACACACACACACATACGCACATGCACACTGCTCCTGCAAAGCTCCCTCATTTCCATCTATGGAAATCCATCCAGCAAATACCTCTCTGCTATATTAGGCTTGCCTGTGAGCTTCATCTCTGCCATCATTACCTTTTAGTTTTTTGAGGTGACAGCATGCTGTGTACGTGTAAATGCATCAGTGAGGATGCATTTACAACAGGGCAGGCCTCCTCATGTAACTAGCTTTTCCAAATGTCTGTTTTTTAATAGGATGTTTTTTTATTTTCCTTTCCTGCCAATTATAATGAAATGTTTTAAAAAAGAGATTGTCTCTGGTTGCTCTAAGATTAAGATAATTCTTCTCCATCAATAAATTCATAAATAATAATCATTTATAAAAATCAGCACGTTATCAGTAGAAACCTGCAAGCAATTTAGTCTTTAATTACACATATACAAGTATTTCTATCTTAACTTTCCCCATTCTTTTCCCCAACTAATCTTGATGTAATACATTTTTGGAAAGTGTAAGACAGCTATTCACAAATTCTGGGAGAGTTACTTAAAGTATTGAATAACTGATCCCTTGAATAACACTGTATGTCATCCTCCCAAAATTATCTCACTTAATTCTGACAATAACCCTTGAAAAATAAGTGTATTATCATCATAACTATCTCATTATTACAAATGGCAAAATAAAATTATGAAGAGTTTAGGGGCTTAAGTAATTAGCCTAAAGCGATAGAACTGGTAAGTAGCGAAAAGCAGAACTCAATCTCAGGACCTCACATTATGATTTCTGTGTTCTTTCTATTATCCACACTGCCTTTCCAAACTGTGCTTCAGTAGCTGGGACAAGTCATGTGACTGGACTTAGGTGGAACTAGAGAGATAATAGATAAAAGCTGGGGACTCTGGGATGTGCTTCTCTTTGGAAATACTTTTGGAGGAACTGGACCTTCATAGAGAATGCAAGCCCATGATTTCAGCCATGATTGCCACACTTCTTGGCAGAGTCTTGCTTGTTCTGTCACTTATTTTATAGGATTTTATGAGATTTTAATAACAATACTTTTAATAAGATATCATGAAGAAAGCATGATATGATGAAAGAAAAAGGAATTATAATGTAGTAGGTTAGCCCTAAATTCATAACCCTAACTATAAATATTATATCATTTACATAAGATTGTTTTTTCACCAGAGGAAAAGTATTTGTGTTTGTCAGATAAACATGTGTGATGTACATAGTTAGTAAAACTGATAGTATTAATAAAAATCTTAATAGGCTTCATGATTAGAATAAAATGATATTTTGATCCAAATCCCTAATTAGAACAGTACATTTACCAACTGTTCTCATGGGAAATGGAGCCAGAGTTCATCATTTAAAATGATACCTAATTAATCTTTCTTTGTAACAGATGTCAGCCTTATTTTCAAATCTTTTGTAGACAATAACTCTCTGTGTGAATCTTTTAATTGTCTATCTGGGGTTATTTTTTTAACACTATAATATATAGTTAAATAAAGAAGGTAGAGATAATCAGTTTAACTGTGATTTGAGTCTGTTTAGCTACTATGGTGGGAATATGAGATGTTTAACACCACAAATACATTCATGATTTTCTATCAGAATTAATTTAAAATGAAGCTCAGTAGTAAGTGTGTTAATGACAGTATAGTGAGGAAACACTGGCCTGGGAATTAGGAGACCAGAATTCTCTGCCACATATGATTGCATTATCTCAAGCAATTCATCCCACCTCTTCAGACCACAGATGCACTTATCTGCATAACAAAGCCACTGGGCTTTGATTCTTAGGATCCCTTCCAGGATGAAGATTTCTTCATTATCTTTTAAAAAATTCCATTTTTATAACTTACATTCCATTTTAATTTATTCTGTGCATATGTATGTGTATATATGCATATACCCACACACATACATATAGCTCTATCTTTATTTAGTATTTAGACTTCATTCCACCGTGTCTTTTGATGAAGAATAGCAAGATAGTGACAGCTAATAAAGTTATTTATGTTTTTTTGACAATATTGTCTGGTATAGGTAAAAAGAGAACCATTATTCAGTAACAGTTTTCAGCATATACCCGTGGAAGCATAATATTACATTTTGAATGCTTTTGCATCGGTGAGTTAGGAAAAACAATTATGATGAAAATTTAAGATATTCATTTAATTTCTATCAATTCTTCCTTATTATAAAGTAATGCATATTTTAATTCTAGGAACTACTTACCAAAAATGACAAAAGTATAATATAAAGAACAGAAAAAAATATGGAATAGAATGTGTCAAAAATGGTGTCAGTACTTGCTACGATAATTAAAGGTAACAGCCTATTAGTAGGAACTTATGTGTTACTATTGTTGAAGATTTGAATGATATGATCTGTATTTGGATGAAGACTGAAATAGTTTGACCTGTAAGTCTGTTGGCTTTGAATGAGCTCTATACTGTTAAACAAAAACCCATGAAGTTGATAACCTTTATAATGCCAAAAGGGCTGATAGCAGATAGGAACCGTTAACATCTAGTAAGAGCTCATTCTATACAGGCTATATTTTATACATATAATTAACTTCACTTTAGTCCTTTAATTGATTTCATTTTGCATTTGTACATAGTTAGTAAAACTGATAGTTTTATTATCAGTTAGTAAAACTGATTACTGATAGTTAGTAAAACTGATTTTCCTAGTTGGACAATGGCCCCATCATTCATCTCTATGAGAATACCAAGACTTGCAGATATTAAAGTACGTTAGTCAAGATCTCTCAACAAAAGTGGAGGGGAGCCAAGATTCCAACTTAGGCAGTTTGAATCCAGATTCTTATCAATACACAGTGACAATAAAACTGACAAACAAAGGTGTAATGCAGAAACAGAAGGCCAAATACCACGTGTTCTCACTTATAAGTGGGAGCTAAATTTTGAGTATGCATGAACATAAATATGGGAAAAATAGATACTGGGACTACAAGAGGGGCACAGAGAGAGGGAGGCAAGGGCTGAAAAACTACCTATTGTGTACTATGCTCACTACCTGGGTGATGGATTCAGTCATACCCCAAACCTCAGCATTACACAATATTCCTTTGTAACAAATCTGTACAAGTACTCCGATTCTAAAATAAAAGTTGAGGCAAAAACTTAAAAATAACCAACTAATCAACAATAATGCATGCAGATCATTCCTAAATGTTTATCTTTAGCTTGACCTACCTGTATATCCATGTGTCTTTTAGACTTATCCCCTAGAAAGTCTCAGAGTTCCCTCTAATCCACACTGCCAAGCTGAACTCACCATCCTGTACACTAAACCCGCTCCTTCTCCAGTGATTTTCCTAGTTGGACAATGGCCCCATCGTTCATCTATGGCTCAAGCCTGGGAATCAACACTGTCTTCTCTCTTCTCACTTGCTACATCCAATTATTCATTATATAAATTCAATCCTATTACTTAAATACTTTTAAATCCAGTTGCTCTTCTCTATTGCCATGGCCTCCCTCCTGGTCCAGGAGACTATCATTTCTCATGTGGTCAACTGTAAAATTTCCCAGTATTGGCTACTCTTCTTCCAGTTTTGCTCTTTTCCTATCCATTCTCTATGCTTTAATAAGAATGATGTTTTAAAGTTGCATATTTTATTATATAACAGAGCTGGCTTAAAACTTAATATATTTTCATTGTTTTGGATAAAGTCCGACCTCCTTAATATGCTTACAAGTTCAGCTCTCTGCTTACCCTTCTGTCCCCAAGCCCACATCATCTTATGCCATGATCTCCTCCCATCTCATGTGATAGTCATGCTGTTTTTCTTTTGGTGTTTGCTTTTACCTTTACTGCTTCAGGATCTTTACACAGTCATTTGGAAGTTACTTATCAATCACTTCCTAAATGATAGTGACTGTTCTGAGCACTATGGAACAGTGGTGAGCAAGACTGACAAAGTCCCTGCCCTCATGGAAATTTTATTTTAATGATTTTGAGGGACAGACAGTCAACCAAGAGAATGATGTATTTCCGAAAGGTGGTGAGTTCTATTAAGAGAACAGGGCAATGGGACAGAGTGAGTGGAGGTCTGGGGTGGTGGATTCTAGGATACACATGAGTTTCTAGATGCCTGGAATATTCTTACAGTCTTCTCTTGCCATCTCACCCTGCTTTCCAGACCATGCCTGGCTAACTCCTACTTATATTGCAGTTCTGAGCTTAATCATCACTTGATTGAAAGGCTTTTCTTGACTTCTCCTCTATCCAGACTAGAATGGGTCTATTGTGCATGCCCCAAGTTCTCTGCTTGCTCTTTTGTAATATTCATCATGCTTTGAATTATTTAAAATCCATTTCCTATACTCTAAATTTCATGAAAAAGAACTATTTATTTCTGGTTATACTTCAGTACAAAAGACAGACCCATAAAGCTCTACTCAATGAGCTTGTATTCTTATTAATGTTTGGGAAATCACATAAATAAATAAGGTAATACCAGTTAGTTAAAAGATATCAATATTTGACTGATTATAAGTTTAGCAAATACAAAGTGTAGTTTTTTTCTTTTTTAAACAATCTATAAGTAATGAACCTCCCCTGTCTGGAGTGTTAGGGATAGCTTTCCTAAGGAAGTGACAATTAGGCTGAGGCCTAGATGAGAAGAGTTAGCTAGGTGAAGATCTGACTTGGCTACATGAGAATATATCTCAGCACACCATGGTGGGGAGGCATAGGGATCAAGGAAAGGGTGATACTTAAATTGGGAGTCAAAGGAGTTTCCCTGAGGAGGTAAAATTTGAGTTGAGACCTCAATGGCAAGAATAAATCAGCCATGTGACTATCAGAACAGTGGACTTTCAGAAGGAGAGAAGATACAAAAGCCCTGTGACAGGAATGAGCCTGGTGTAGCCTAGGAAAACCAAAAGGGCTATCCTGTGTGAGTGTGGTAATGAAGGTGGATAAGGGTGAGAGATAAGGTCTGGTCTGAAGGCAGGCAGAGGTCAGATCACAGTGGGCCTTGCTGGCCACTGCAAAGAACTTAGACTTTATTCTGAGTGCACTGAAAAACCTGTATGATTTAAGGTGGGACAGTGGTGTGACATAATTTATATTTTAAGTATATTACTCTGGCTGTGGTAGAGAGAAAGGATTTTAGGAGGCAGGAGAGTAAACAATAAGAACAGTTAAAAGCTCACAAGTAACATAAGTGATCACCTCTGTAATATGAATGAAGGGTCAGAAAGAAAGGAATGTTGTGCATTCTGTCACAGAGATTATTTTTTTGGGGAACAAAGAAGCAAGGTGCAGTGAAAATATTTAGGATTCCGGCCGACTTGGTTTTAAACTGGAGCCTAGCTATGGGACTTTGAACAGGTAATTTATAAAATGAGAACAATAATCCATACCTCATAGGGTTATTAAGAACACCACTAAGGAAATGTTTTTGATCTCATCATAGTACTGGTACCTGAAACGGACTAAAAAACATGTTTCTTTTCTTCCCCTTTTAAAGACAAATATTCCCTGTGAGGAATAATATCTTACGGGACCAGTGACTATTAATTTAACAGCAATGACCAGCATTTCATGAGGGCCCACCATTTTCCAGGCACTGTGCTGGGTGCTGAGGCCACAGCAGGAAACAAGACAGACTAATTTCCTTTTCACAAGTATCTAATAGTACAGCAAGAAAGATAGACATTAAACACGTGGTTACACAAAGAGTTATATGATCGTAGTCGTGATGAATCTTGAAAAGAACAAAGTTCTTTAAAGCGTATAATAGTAAGACCATCTAATCTTAAGTTTTAGGGAAGGCTTCTGGAATGGCATTTAGTTATATGTCTGAAGGTTGAATGTTAAGTAGGTGATGATTTACTTAATCTGGGCTTTTCAAAGGTGACAGCTTGTACAATTAGTTTTGATAAGGATTGGAAAGAGAAACCAAGAGATGAAATCTGACGTGAGGTAAGAAATCCTGTACCAGGGCCCCAGAACAATGAGATGTGGGGATATGTGATCTGTGATGGGGAAGAGGATGTTGGCAAGTTCAGAGTTCAGCTTAGAAGGTGGACAATGCATATATCATAGAAAGCAGAGGGAAGATCATGCTTATAAATTTATACTCATTCTTTCCAGCATTCAAGACATTGGGAGCATAAATAAGAAGGAGAAATTAGACTCAGGGAAGGTGAGTTAGTATATGGTTTGGGAACCTGGACAGTCTTGTGAGTCAAGGTGAACTGAGCAGTTTCAGGTATTACAATTACAATTACAATTGTAATTACCATTACAAATAAATAAATGGTAATTTCTCTTTCCTGGTATTCATAAAGATAAAAGATCAATTCACAGCTCACCTGCAACTGCCTTAATTATGTTGTGAACACCAAAATATAAATCATGATCCCAAATCTAAATTGATTCCTGAACAAAAGATCTAAAATTACATAAAATAATTTTATCTATTTGTGCAAAATTATCCCAAAAATAATTTACCTGAAAAATCATTATATATGTTTCCGAGGCTAAAAATATTCAGAAGGTAGAAGGCCACATCTATATCTCAATTCTGCTTTTTTCATATTGTTAAGATTGAAATGAAAGTAGCAATTGCTGAGAATGCAGTCTTTGATCAAATATCTTTTTGTTTTAGAAAAATAATATTAAAGGGAAAGTGTGAAGTTCATATTTTCACTTGGTAAATCCATGGTGAGAACATTGAAACACACACACACACACAAAACAATGACAAACAAACAACACCCCAAGTCTATCCTCAGTAAAATTATTTTTTCTATTCAAAAACTCTTCACTGGAAAGAACTTTTCATTAGTTTTTAAAACTACATTCATTTTCTCTTCTTGCCTATTGCATTTAGAGATGGCCGAGTTGACAGTGTTCCTTCCGGTATGTGCTGATGTGGCTGAAAATCCCAGCGGCCAATCAGCAGTTTTTGCACACCATGGTTTCCAGTCCACTCTGTCCTTTGAGCAAGGATTCTAAGTGCTGCTTGCCAAGCCTGCTCTGTTGGTGGTCTTGGCCTCAAAGTCGGAGTGTTGTCAAACTGAATTGTTTCATCTCTGATCATGAAGCTTCTACTTGTCCTACAGGATGCTGTGACTTCTCTGTGCCCTACAAGGTTATAGTCCTTTAAATTGGGTCATTGGAAATATTTTTCTTGCCTGCTGCCACAAGCTAAATCTCCATCAGTTTCCTCTAGTTATTCTTCTGCTCATCTGGAATATTCCATTCTTTAGCTGGGAGAAAAAGCTTAACTTTTTAAAAAATGTGCAACAGAATGGAGCTCTGCCATATGGGTATGTTCAGCTTTAACAGAAAGAGTGAGCACCCAAGAGCTTTTCTTCATTGCCCTCACACTTACTGGGAAAGTATAAATTATTACAAACCTATGGCTTAATTGACTCAGTATAGGGGCTCACCTTTTCCCATGTGCTTTCTGAGGACAGTCTATAGCCTTCTGCCTGTGGACTTGGTGCATACATTATGTCTACTCACATGAATGCAAGAAAGAGCATTCTTCAAAGGCAGTGTTGAATTTTACTATGATCTTGTGCTTTCTTTTACTTACCCCCAATCCCTGTGATTTAGACTCTTTCAACCTCTTAGAGAGAGCATCAACTTCAAATGAAAGTTTTTTCCTTTCTTAAGTTCAATATGTGAATGTAACATGCCTAGAAAACTGTCTAAGCCACAATAGACGATTTCATTTCTTCTGATTCACTGATCTTTTAAAAATTATTAAAATATTAATATATTTTCTCTTTTTCTCTTAGTGATCTCCATAACATATCCTTAACCTTCCAAATTATTTTAAATCAGTGGACTTAAAATAACATGCTTAATATGGAAAAATCTAGAGTTCATCAGAGAATAAATTTAGGACTGGATATTTTTGTTTACAGTTTTTATAAAGATAGAGAAAAACATGCCTGAAGAATGGCTTCATCATTTTTATTATTAAGAATAATAGTTGTTTGCTGTTTAATGGGAGGAATTTTTGAATCCATAAATGGGTCTTCACACATTTTAAGGTCTTGAAGTGACAGCTTATGTATGGCAAATGCCATCTAATGGTGTGTGAGTTTTGTCTAAAGAAACATGAATAGGTTTGTAACTGCCGTATCTGAAAAATTCATTTACTCTTTTGATTCTACTGCTTCAAGACAAATTCTTCCTTCCCAAACGGAGAAGGTGTATTTTACAACCTGCAATGGCCAAACCAATTCTTTTGATCAATGCTCTTTGAGGCAAAAACCACGTTACTCTCCTACCACAGATTCTTCTACAGACATTTTATAAAGAATAGAATGTCCCTGTGCTTCCAATTAGGAAATTTGGGTTAAAGATTTTAAAAGGAATTATTGGGAAACCCTAGGAAGGAATTAGTCTTAACCTATCAATAACGTTTAGTAAGAAGTAAGAGGAAGAAAGAAAATGTCATTAGGGAAGCTGTCTGCATGGAGAAAAGGGATGAGATCTGGTCCTCTTCTGCTTTCTTCCAACTCCAATTCTCCAAAGCCCTAATACCTGCTAGTATCATATATTTCTATTCAAGAGTAGGAAGATATATAAAATAAATATTTTTAAGCTCTAATCATAGATTATTGAAATTCGATAAATTCATAGAAAATTTGTATATATAAAGCAGATTTATTTTCATGATGTGAGCATGAAAACTAAGGAAGAAAGTTTCTATAACCTTAAAGAGCTGAAATGATTTTCTTCTCTAAAAATTGTGTTCTCAAGTTTCATTGCCTTGTGCCAGTTTTGAGCCTAGAGTGAATTTTATGGTTGAGTCATAAACCTCTGAAAATCATACCACAAGTTTATAGTGGAAGGCTGACACCACTTTAATTACAGTGTGGCAAGCAAGGGCTGCAGTGAGAAGCGTGGCATTAACTCCTTCACTCACTCAATGCTTCAGATGCAAGTGGGCTTGGTGATGCAATCCTGAAAGTGCGTAACTCCAAGTCATCAAGTTTGTACATAGATCTGTTTTATTTATGTTTCTTCGCCCCTTCCAAAAAATACTATCAGTAGAGTTATAATGAATATGTCAGTTTGGATCAAAGCGACCTGACACTCTGAATAAACCAACTTCTCTGGGCTGTTGTAGCAAACATACCTCAGACTTAGATTTGCAAGCTGCATTTGATAACTGTTATCACTGGGATCTTTTTTTGGCTAAAAGACAAAAAATAAGGGGCTTGGTCTTCTAATTTGAAACTGAAAAATGGATTCAAAACTCATGCCACACAAGAGGAAATTCCAAGGCTGTTGGGTACACTGCTTCTTTGGCAACATTGCCCATATTTTGATGAACAAGCAAATGATCAAGCAATTGATTAAGAGGATCAATGAACCATAAGTGGCCTAAAATAACTGACTCATGAAAGCAACAAAGCTTTTCATGGGCATCTTAGGGATCTCGAATATGGAGGCTGCTTTTGTATTCACTGATAGGGCATATTTAGAATATAAACTGCTGAGAGATTACAGCCATACATTATATATAGTACTTAGTACATTGTGAACCCTTAAAAACACAAACCAGTTATAATGAGATGTTAAAAATAAGGGGAAAAGGAAGATAGGCATTTTCTTTGTAGTAAGATACCTAAGAAATTTTATCCTAAAATGGCTGAGGAAACAGCCCTAATGAAATAAGCTAAACTGGGACAGATCCATCAAGTCAATAACTACATTAGCAATTACATCCTTTTAGTGAAAAAGCAATCTGGGCCATGTCTCCACAGCTATTGAGGGGATGTCTCCTCAGCTGTGCTGGGAGAGTCCAATAACTTTGGCTGCCTCAGCTCTCTAGAGCTTTCAGTTAAAGCAGTTGATGGATTAAGTTGGCAGCTAACAAGGGCCAGCCACTAGGGTGTATTGGGACTGTGTCTGAAAGCTCATGGAAAATTCTGAGAGATTCTATATCCAAACAAAGTATAGAAATGGATTTGATGGCCACTTCCATGCTGAGAAGTTTCCTTAAAACATTAATAAACTGGTCATCCTGTTTTCTGTGAAAGATTGACAATGACAATGTAAACAATGATATTCTGCTAGGGCTAGAGATGTGGATAAAACATGTTTTCAAGGTGTTCCTCACAGAATCATAATCTGCTAATTCTGTAAGGGCTTTTAGGGAAAAACCTTGTCCAGTGTCTTGCCCAAGTCCACTTACAGAATTAGTGGAGAAACTAAGTGTAGACCTCAAGATTTGTGAACACCCATTATTATTATAGAGTAATATTCCTTTATTCTGCCAATTCATTCTGCTTGGGCAGTAGCCACCAACTGAATAAATTCTATTCATGCCCAATTGCTTATTCATTGTGGATGGTTTCTTCCTTCCCTCATTCTTTTTTTTCTCTCTTTCTTTCTCTCTTTCTTTTCTCCTAAGACTGTGATTTTCAGGTCTTTAGCAGATTAACTTTCCAACAGGTGCAACATCGTGGAAGATGCACAATAACAATATTATGAAAAATCCTTTTGTGTAAACTCTCTTAGAGATACATTATTATTATATTTAGGATGAAATTTTCTCAGTATCTTATGACAAAGAAAAGGGTTGTCTTCCTTTTTCTCATTTTTCAACATGCCATAATAATCAATTTATGTTGATTAATGCCTCACAATGTATATAATACAGGGAAGTGGGTTGGATGGCTACACTGTGTAGCAGAATGAGAATAGAATTTAAAGTCAGACTTAGCTTTGAATGTGGCCTCTGACCCTTTCTAGGCATGCAGCATTGGGTAGTTTACAAGCATCTCAAATGTTAAGTCTTTTTTATAAGGTGTTACTAATTTCTACCACAGGACTGTTGGAAGAATTGCATAATATAACATGCGTAAAGTGTTTAGAACTGTACCTGAATTCAAGTGTCTCTGATCCCAAATCACTCATTCCAAACCAGGAATTTTTAAAGTGTGGTATCTGGATCAGTAGCACCACCATCACCTGGAAACTTAGAAATGCAAAGGTTGTGGCCCCACTGAAACTTTCTGAATGAGAAGCTCTGGGGGAGGGGTCTAGTGAAATGTGTTTTAACAAGCCCTAAACGTGACTCTGATACACACTCAGGTTTCAGAACCGCTGCTTTAAGGCAACTGATATAGGGACCACGGATTTTTTTTTTCATAGCTGTCCTTGATGTTCACTTCTTTTCTAATCCATGGTCTTGCAATTCTTAGAAAATGGACCTAATACAATGAGTATATTGGTCATTATCTAACTAGTTTTATTTTCCACTTACTATTTTATGCTGTATACGTAGCCCATTTTTACAAAGTGTGTTTCACAATGAACCAGAATTAACTTCCATTTTGTTCCCAGACTATTTTGTGGATTTATAATTTTCAAAATCCAGTAAGATACAATGAGTTTAAAGCCAATATAGACCATCAGAGTTGAAAAGCCATTGTTTAGTTGTTTGGCCAGCTAATGCTGTGAAAACTAGATTAATCAACCTTGACTAAAAGTGGTTCCAGCTGATCCTTGCACATTTAGCCCTGCTTAGAATTGTTATTACATCATTTAAACTGTTGAATTCTCAACGATTTAAATGGACAGGTGTTTTCTTCTCCTGATAATATTCAAGCATGTTGCTTGAATAGCCCCAGTCTGAAGTTCTTCTGGGCAATTTTCCTTTAATTAAACCTGACAGCTTTTTTTGGTATGGAGCTTTTAGAAACATCCTAGGATGGCTTATGTCCTTTCCACTTATTAAAAAAATAAGCTCCTGGGTTCCACAGGATGATATAGGTGGAAGTGTTTTGAGGAAGTTAAAAGCATCATATGAATATAAAGTACTGGTATTTCTCATTTGGGTAAGTTAACATGGGTGAAGTAGGTTTTGAACAGCAAAGTGGTTCAACTTTTGCTCTAGGTCTTCCTTCCTTGCTTCCTTTCTCCTCTGAAGTACTTTAAGACTTTCTCTTTTGGATCCCCGCATCCCTAAAGTTGCTTTTTAAAACTAGAACCGTAATAAACAAAGCAACAGTCTTTCAGAGCTAGCATTTTGGAGAAAACGACCTCTGACATCTATCTGCTTTTGGAAATAGACAAGTCAACTTATTCAACTTTAGGGTACTGGGGCAGCTGGACTATGGGGGTCTTGAATAGAAGGTCATAGACAGTGGCATTACCTTTGACCAAGATACTTTCAGATAGCTGATTTCAGAAGCCAGGGGAGTGGGGTCACAGAGTTCTTGGGATTTAGGTTGGTTCTATAGGATTGTCCGCTTGATGTTATACTTTGAGTAGCTTTATAGGTTTACTTCTATTGAAATACATAGGTCCACTTGCAAATGGAGGCATCATGTAGGAAAAATATACTTAAAACTTATATAAATTAATTTTATATTTCTGTCTCCTACAATTTTCTAGTACTTCTCAATGAGGGTTTCTTCCACAATCAAAAGATGTAAGTAGCTACTATATAAATAACACACTGTAATATTCAAAGACCTCTCTTAACAAGTTGTGGCAACTGGGTGAAATTGCTAGTGACAAATAAAACTTATTTTAAAAAATATGGCAGTAAAAAGAGTAAGCAAGCTCAAAAATCTCGGTTAACAAACTTAATACCATGTTGGCTAATGCACAAACAGATTCAATTTTCTGTAATTAGTTCAGAGTTAGGTGACAACATATTTAATCAGTGAGCTAACAAGTGCAGCTGCTGATTGCTCTCACCGCCCTGTGTGTGTGTTGACTTAAAAAGTAAATAAAATTACTTACACTGCAATAATAAAGTGGTATTCTAATTTTATTACAGTAGCAACCTTTCAGAGTACCATATAGCAGTGAAAATTGATTATTTCCTAAATACATTTCCCCCCACTTTAACATGTCACCGTTGTTTAACCCTTTGGAGAAGCGATAGCGAAATAGAAGTTTGTCTGTCAAGGAGACAGACCACATCTTCCACATATTCTGTGTCTCTTCTGCAAGATACTGAGACAGTTCTGAGTGCACTGCTTGAATTCACATTAGCAGCTATATTCCTACGTGGTAAAACATGGCCCTTGGCAGACAGAGGGATCTATTCAAAATTCAGTGTTGTTCCAATTAGTTAAACACACCTAGAAGCCACCAGTGTGTCTGCTTGTTTTCTTTAAAGTGTCTTTGTCAGTGAGATAAGGAATACGTGACATTTTTCTCACCCTTTTCATGACCTATATGGGGATATTAATTTATTTATTTTGTATTAATTAGCTTGGATTTTGTTATGATTTTTCTAGGTTGACAAAGGAGAATTCTCAAAAGCAACGCTACTCAGGGAACATTTCTTCCTATATACTTGGTCTTTCGGGTTCTATGGCGTTTAGAAAACTCTGTTTCTCAAATAATTGTACCATTTGAACAGATAAGCTGTGATAAAAATTGTTAATAGTAACCTGTTCCATTTGCTATTATTACATACATAATGTGTAGGACTTCATTTGTTTTCTTGCCTTTAGCTATCACCAAACATACTAAGACAAAGATCTTATTGGAAAGCCTTTTGGTACTCACTTTTAAAAACTCCTGATCCAGCATGTCAGGAGGAATTTTAATTAAAAGGAAGCAAAATCCATACAAAATTATGCTTTAAAGTAGTTACCGTAATCTTAGTCCCACAGCACCCCTAGAGGAATTACATGCTAGTATCGAGGACACTTTTGTTCAACTCAGCAGGAGGGATGATTTTGTATATCACCCTCTTAATCATTCACCTTGTTTGATGCATGCATACCGGGTAATCTAGTTGCATTGCCTCATTTAATTATCACAACAATTCTGGGAAGTAGACATTATTATAATACCCATTTTTCAGATGAAGAAACAGAGACACAGACAAGTGGATATTGCAGTTGGATCTGTGCCCAGTCTTGCACTGTGAACTAACGGCCCTCAAGATGATTTAATTATATTGCTTACTCCTTGCCCTGTTGGCTTTAGAACTATTCCAATTAGTTCTTGGTATTCTGAATGCTATAGAAAAGACTCAAGAGTTCTCTTCTTTATTTGGTCAGTGGGGCTCATAGTTTTCCATATAAAACAGATTTTGCACAAAGCCTTCTGTTTTACAGACTGACTTTCTCTCAGGATCAGAGATTGATTCAAGGGAGAAATAATTGTTTTTCTTCTCAGAATGGCCTACCTCCTCTCCTTTGAGCTCATTTCGAAAGACAGGTAACCATAGGCCTTGGAGATAGGCAGGCATGGGTTCAATCTTTGACTCTGTATCTTACTGTCCACGTGACTTTTGGACAAATTACTTAACTGCTGAACCCAAGATTTCATCTTTTTAAATGGATATGCAAATGTCAACTACATAGTCTCATCATGATACTTAAAAGATATCATAGAGGTATTTTATATAATTTAAGATACCTATGAAAACAAAAACCCTTGAACAACAACCAAAAAAGCCCAATCCACAATTAAATAGAATCAACACAATGTTATATAGTATAAACTTGCTCCTCGTGTTTGTAGTTTATATAACACTTGTATTAGTAATATTTGGAAGACTGGGAACAGGTTCAACTGAAGAGAAGCTAATAATGTTTGTACTACTTGTAATGCAGATATATGCGGGAGTATCCTGATTTTTGAAATGCCTCTATTTCTATGGAGTGACTTGGATAGTTTATGTTTCCTTTAGCCTCTCTTGGCTCAGGATTTCTGCCTCCATTGAATTCATTTAATTGAGGATGATCTCATCATCACAAATATGTTGCAGCTGTTTTCCAATAGCTTTCCCCAACTGGATAATGCTCTGACTCCTTCAGGTCCCAAGGTATCAGTGACCCAAGGCTCTGTGGTTAAGCAGTCATTTACTGAAATGTGTAGGCAATGGATTACATCACAGTCCATATGCAAAAAATTTAAAATCAAGATTTTACCACATTTTCAAAAGTCCCTGGGTCGTTATCAATGGCTCACTCATATAAAACCTCAGTTTTCACACCTTGCTGAGTTTCTCTATCCTCTCTTTCTCTCTGGAAACCCATTCTACTTTCCTAATATTCCCGGAAACACCCAAGTTTGTACTTAATTATGCAATAAATTTAATTCTCCTTTTTCTTTTCCGCCTTTGAGTTCTACCCCTACACATCAACACCCAAATGGCCCATCAATGTGTCTTGCTAAACCGAGAGAATTTATGCCATTCTCTAAGGAGGCAGAAACTGCTGCAGTCAGTTGTAATTTCAAATCAGCACCCCTTCCTCACCCCACTATATGTTCACTCACAAAGTTTTTATTAAGCACCAATTTATGAAGAACCCATACCCATTGTAATGGTACAGAAATTAATAAGCAAAAAGTAAGCAAAAATAGTCAAGAATATCTCTCACCCTAAATTGGTTACTTTGGTCACCTTTATTGTTCTTGTCTGTAACTGTTGTGACTTTGGGAAACATCAATAGAATGAAAACTGAGATAAAATGTACTCTTTCTCCATAATGTACAGTTATCAAAATGTTGCTTCTGAGTCACTGCCTTCACTATTGGAGAGTCAAAGTACTATATTAGCATTGCTACTCTCGATAGCAATAAGGTTAAAAAAAAAAATTAAAGACATCAGAGCATAACCTGAGAAAAGCCAGATTCTAACAGCTCAACATAACAGGGCCAAAGACATGAGAAGCAGAATATGGGTTAGAGTTTAAATTCTTTCCTTTTTTTAATTCCTGGATGCACAATTCTTCTTTCATTGCCACTAATGACTCAATATCTCAGTGTTTCTTTGTCCCTCCTGCAATATTTATTTAGGGAACATTAAGAGAAAGGCAGCAGGTGATTACTTATTGCAGGATTTTTAAAAGAAGCTGGAAGAGTCAACAATGCTGATAATGCAAGTGGGAAAGGAGCACAAAAACTTTATCAGGTAGCACATTGATATATGAATCTGAGGCTTTAAGATTTTAAATTTCATAATAACCCAAATTTAGCATTCTTATATGGTATACATGAAATCTCAAAATCCTGCTTTTAATGATAGCAATGATTGAAGTGAATAAGGCACCTAAAATAAGCTGTTAAAATGCAACAACTGTGATGCTAAAAGATTTAATTTAGAAGGCTAACCATATGTACCAGGTGCATACCTACCTAAAACACTCCATGCAAAATAATATAGGATTTTCAGAACCATGGCCAAAATGGACATTAAGCATTAGGATATTTTGTTTGCCTCCTGATAATTCTTGTAAAAAGCATGAATAGTTTTAGGTGGACATCAATTTTGTTTTTCAGCCCCTGTGGACTAGGCTATTTCATCATCTGTGGGAAATCAGAGAAAAATAATTGTATTGTAAAAATGATTTTGGCTAGCTTCAAAGTTTTTAATTGCTTTATTTTTGCCTCTTGGAACACCTGATATTTAATAGGCAGAAAAAGGTACACAGAAAATAAACATTTTTATAAATAAACAATAAACACCAAAGGTATTGCTGACTGTAGTTTAAGTCTCCCACAAAAGTAGATTTATTAAAAAAAAAAGCCTCTTTTTAATAAACTGGCTAAATAGGATATGCAGTCTAAAGGTTCTCTCCAGGATTGTGAAATACTGTCACTTCAGTGGTGAAGGGAGGTTAATTGTAGTCACTAATGACATTTTTGTGCAATGCAGACATTCACTTCTACTTGCTCAGAGTCCAGACACAGAGCAGAACTAGCCAAAAAAAAAAAAAAAAAAAAAAAAACATGGAAATGTTTCTCCCAAGCAACTCTATAGCACAGAATGGAGCTTTTCCTGCTTTACAAGAAAGTTCCATTTTTTATCCTCAGGAGAGCCATGATTGCATCCTGTTTTTAATGCTTCAAAAAGAGCTGAAACCTTTCTTCAGATTAAAGTCAGTGTCTGAGTGACATCAGGAAAGAATCCATCAGTTATCACCCAGGGAACAGACTTGTCACCAAGGGAACAGTTTTGGAGGAGCAAAGGCCTGAAGGTACATTTATACAACAGAGAGTTGGCTATTACCGGGATTTTTAATGGATAAAGTTGAAGGTTGAGATAATCCTATGGTAGGAGAGTTGGTTGTCCTTCAAAAAAGTAATTAAACAATATCCTTCACAATTTAAGTTAAAGCCTAACTAGGGTGTCTTTAATTTCCCTTGGAAACATCACTGTATTCTTTCCCATGGTGTGAATTCTGGCACATATATACCACTGTTTCTATTACCTACAATCCTTAGCCAGCATGTATGCTAAGCACGAAAACCAGTGTTGAGGACAGTAGAGGAGAAATCTTTCATGTTCATATTGAAAAACAAACCAACCAACAAACAAACTCAGCCAGCTAAAAGAGGCAGGCTGCAATTCATCTCTACCTGTGGCTTAGTATCTCTGGAAACTGGGAACACATTTTCCCCCTTCAGTATGGTGTAGTAAGAGGGGCTGCCGATGGAAATGACAAATACAGAGAAAAACAATGTCCTTGGGTTAGTGTGAAACAGTAACCGTGAATAGCCAAAATGCCGGTAACTTTTAACAAAACACATGCTTCCTGCTCCCTTCTCTCACCCTATGCAGTTCAATCTACCTGCACTTGCCAGGGAGCAGTATAGTGAATTGTTTAAGAATATGGGCCAGGAAGCCTGAAAAGCTTTGCTTTGAATCGCAGTTTTACTAATCTGTCACTTGAAGCAGCTCAGTTTCCTAAATAATAAAATGGGGATGATAACTGTACTACACTGTAGAGATGCCATAAAGAATACATATGTGAAATGCTTATCACAGTGCCTGCCATATAATAAATATTCAAACAGTGATAGCCATTGATTAGTATAGCAGTATAACTGTGTGGGAACACAGCTGCTTGATTAAAGAGAAGTAAAAGAACTTACCAATGAATTAATTCAACAAAGCGCTGACACACTCATGCTGGATATTGTGATAGCCTTGGGGATACGGTGGCAAACAAAAGAGTCAGTCCCTGTTGTCATGTTGATTAGAGCAGAGTGGTAGATGCAGGCATTAAGTTGATAATCATACAAATATCTGTATGACTGCAATTACAAGTGCCTTAAAGAAAATATAATTAGTGCCATGAAAGAGTATAATAGAGACCTTAAACTAAACTCTGTGGCTAGGAAAGATCTACCGAAAAAGAAGCATTCAAAAGCTGGAAGACTGAGTAGGAGTTAGCTAGATAAAGGGGCTAGGATTGGTGGCATTTGCTTCAAGTGAAGAGAACAGTGTGTAGGAAAGGGCTGATGTAAGAGTGAAATTGGCATATTTGAGGAAAAGAGAGTAGGCCAGTGAGAAGAAGCAAAGTGAGAGAGGGGGACAGTGAGAGAAAAGAAAAAGTTAAAGAGAGAAGTAGTGGCCAGGTTTTGTAGAAATGTATAGGTTCTTGTTAACAATTTTGACATTTTTTTCCTGAAAAAATGTTGGGAGTTAAAGGGATTTTAGGCTAGTAAGTGACATAATCCGACTTGCATTTTATGAGATCATTCTGGCTACTTTTGGAGAATGGATTGGGAAAGGAATGTATGAAAAGTGATTAGACATCCACTGGAAAAGTCCTAGTGAGAGGCAATGGAGGCCAGGACTAGGCTGGGAAGAGTGAGGACCAGGAAGATTGAATGGACTAGAGATGTATTTGGAAAGTAGAATTGAGAGGAGTTGGTGATGAATTGTGGCAAATAGGATGAGAGAGAGGCAAAGCTCAAGGGTGACTCACCTACATCTTGGCATGAGCAAGTGGATAGACATGGGTGTCAATTACTGATGAGCCAGTTCAGTTAATAGCATTGCTGTTGATGAGACTTGCAGTTATCCATTAAGGACTTGCTGGTTTTTTTCTTTTTGAGACCGAATCTTGCTCTGTCTTCCAGGGTGGAGTGCAGTGGCATGATCTCTGCTCACTGCAAACTCTGGCTCCCAGGTTCAAGCAATTCTCTGCCTCAGCCTCTTGAGTAGCTGGGATTACAGGCACATGCCACCACACTCGGCTAATTTTTGTATTTTTAGTAGAGACAGGGTTTCACCATGTTGGCCAGGCTAGTCTTGAACTCCTGACCTCGTGATCCACCTGCCTCTGTCTCCCGAAGTGCTGGGATTGCAGGTGTGAGTCACCGGGCCCAGCCAACTTGCTGCTTTATTATATAAATAGATTAACGTCATTTGGTGCCAGAATTGTAAATTTAAATTTAGGAAAGCATAATAAAAAATTTCATGATAACATTTTGTAATAAGTTGCCAAATAAATAGATCTCCAGTGCAAAAGCTCTTCCTTTTTCTGTACACTTGCTACAATTCTGGTGTTTTTGATGTACTTTGCAAATATAAATATTTTTCTGGTATTTAAAATTTTTTCTGTCTTCTTTCATATCTTCCTTCTTCTTTCTTACCCTCCTTCTCTTCCTTTTTTTTTTTTCTATCACACGGCATTTAGCCCTGCATCATTAACACTTATTTTCATAACAGCAGCCTTATATGGAGACAATAGCACCATGGAAAGAACTGGAGCATTGATAAGGCACCAGCTGCTGATACATAAACAGGAGAGGAGGTTTTCTTAGTGGGCTCTTGTGTGACTTGAGGGACAGTAGTAAAGAGGATATTTCTGAAATCCAGAAGCTGGAAAACTCCAGGACATTCAACCTTGCTAGGGGTAGATGTGGAAAACAGTGCTGTTTAGTTAAGCTTTCCTGATAGTATTTGTAGTTTTGGGGGTATTTTAACATCATTACCCAAGGTAATGGGGAATATGGAATTGCATTTTATTATGCAGTGTATTTTTATTTTCTTTATTGCTCTTTGTCTATTGTGTCTCTATTATTTCTGGAACAAAAACTAAGTTAAAAACTAAATTAGAGCAACCTCCTAATTTGTTTTATGCTGCAAAGCAAACTTTGGTACTCTGGGTTTTAGTTTATAAGTTAAGGGTTGAAGAAACAACTTCAGCTTTAAAATATTGATATGATATTACTAATAATGATAAGAAATAATAAACTATTGAAGTGACTGTTTACTGTTAAAAAAACACATAACACTTTCAGAGTCATGAAACATAACAGGGTGACTACATTTTGCAATTTTTTTGTTTGTTTGTTTTTGAGATGGAGTTTCGCTCTTGTTGCCCAGGCTGGAGTGCAATGGCACAATCTCGGCTTACTGCAACCTCTGCCTCCTAGGTTCAAGTGATTCTCCTGCCTCAGCCTCCTAAGTAGCTGGGATTATAGGCATGCGCCACTACACCTGGCTAATTTTGTATTTTTAGTAGAGACGAGATTTCTCCATGTTGGTCAGGCTGGTGTCGAACTCCCTATCTCAGGTGATCCACCCGCCTCGGCCTCCCAAAGTGCTGGGATTACAGGCGTGAGCCACCGCGTCTGGCTCATTTTGCAGTTTTATGGGCGATACTTATGTGACATGGCTCTGACACTGTTGTGCGTTTGTGTTCTTTCTAGACTGAAAAGATTCTGATAGTGTTAAAACAAGCCCTTCATTAAGTGAGATGTATACTTTTTATATTGCTATTGGTTTTAACACTTTTTTTTTTTTATCTGTCCTTCGATTGCTGGGCATTATGTTTGTGTAAGACTCTGTGTGAATGAATGTATATTAACCCAGAGAGAGAGAGAGAGAGAGCAAGAGAGAAAGAGAGAGAGAGAGAGAGAAAGATTCTATAGGTTCTGGTCTTTTTACTTGATAATTAAAAAAGGAAATGGGAATTGACAATTTATAGAGTCCTTACTATATACCAGGCACTGTGCCAGAGTCTCTATTTTTCTCTTGGTCCTCACAAAAACTTCCCAGAAACGTTAAATAATTTGTCCACAGGTACACAACTGGTAGAAGTCAGAGTTACAATTTTAAGCTTGGTTTTGAACTTCAGATTTCAAGTTTTTTTTATACTTCTTATTGCCTCTGTGAGGATTTCTTATATCTTTACCCAATTCATCAACTGTGGAAGTTACCAGAGAGCTGATATTTGGATCCCGTCTGATTCAGCTGGGGATATAAGACATGAAACAACCAGATGACACTGTATACAATGACCAGATGACACACATACAGCATGATTGTGTATCGTGTAGACGGTAGGCACATTCATATTTGGAGTAGAAAAGTACATTGTGGTTAGTGTTAGCTGAGAATACCTTGTGAGGGACACACACACACACACACACACACACACACACACACACACACACCTTAACAGGAGCTCAGTCGTCTGGTGACATTTAGGTTGCCAGAGTGCATGATTAAATGCAGAGGGGATTATCAGCACTGAGAGTGGCAGAAGCTTGTGCATAGTGACCACACTGTGAAGTAAAGCAGAGCCCTTGATGGAGCCCGTGATGGACAGCCAGGTTGAGGAGTCTGGCATTGATAACATTACTGCTCATTTTTGCACAACTCTCAGCTCAGCTCAACACTTGGAGTGGGGTCTGGGAGCTTCTTGGTCAAGTCCCCAACACTATGTTTATACTTCTGTTTAAAGAAGCAGAAGCAGTGTGGCCAATCATGCAAAGCTTATGTTGGGCTTACAGTGCAAATAAGACTAAATCCTAAATAGTTATTTTGTTTTCTGGTTTGGTTTGGGAGAATGAGAGCTCTGTTTTTTGCAAAGCTGATGATAAATTAAGCATGTTTTCTGTCACAAAAATTGACAAGATTAAGTGTCCCGTGGTCATCACTTTTCTGATTATGGAAGGATCATTAATGAGCAAACATCTGGCCATTATTCCTGATGAATCTGTTTCTTGATATTTCTTGACAAGGAGAGAGGGAGGGGTCAGTGAATTCAAGCACGGATGAACCATGTTGTGATGACCCTGGCCATTGACTCTAGTGGTTATTGTTAATGAAGCATTCTGCATAATTAATTATTTGATACTGAAAGATATATCCATCATACTGTGCTGTAGGGCACATGCATTGGCTCAGAAGCAGAAAAACTACCCAGAAGATTGTGCGTTTGGAGCTCTGGTTGGTGCCTTGACACAGTGAGTATAGAATATGTTAGGGGCTGAAATAAAGTACTGAGTAGTCACAGGTTCCTGACATGAGCTATGGATAATGAAGTGAAAAGTAGAAGGTCTTCTTCAATAACCAGAAAGCCTTACACTCAGTGAGGTGTTCTCTCAAGCTGAACACAATTCCCTGACTGCCTACCTGCCATGAAGCTGACATCTCAGTGACTTGCTTAGCATACTTTCGAGAAGGGTACACATCAGGGCAAACTCCTGCCTGGGGTGTGCTATTCCTGGACCCTGCTGCGTAGAGGCAGGCTGCTAAGCTATTGCACATCTTTCTGGCACCTCTCCTGCCATCTCATTAGTCCATGTGTTTAACTTCAGAGTTCAGGGAGGATGAAGCACAACTAAACAGAATTCTCCTTGAACTCAGACTAGAGAACAACTTCTTCCTCAAACCCATGCCCGTTCAACCCCAAAGATGTGTATACTAATTTGTGCCAGGTGGCAGCCCTCGGCCCCTGTGTTTCCTCTCACATCTGAGATACAACCACTATCATAAGAGTTGGAAGAGGCCTTAGGTATCATCCAGGAAATGCCTCGCATTACAGAATTGTAAACTGAAAGATCAGAGTAGTGACGTGCTACGAGCTGTGAAGGAGTTGGCCGCAGATCTGGGATCAAGCACCGTGTTCTTTCTGCTATACTCTTTCTCTTTTGTGTACAAAAGGGTAATGTATTTGGTCTGCAGAGATATAAAAATATGGAGAATAAAGGCAGAAGCAATTGCTCTTTAGTACTTCATATAAAGGACGCGCTCAATAGGTATTTGCTAAAATCTTTGGGGTCCTATTTGACATCTTCTCTCGTTTCTCTTCTCTACTTATTCTCTCAGTCATTTTGGTTCTCCTTTCACAGTGATCCTCTTATCTGTCCCATCCAAGGCATTCAGTGCCACTGCCTTAGTTCAGGCCCAGAGCAATTGCAGCAGTTTCGTCTGCCTCCCTGCCTCCAGCCTCTTCCCTCCTTGGTTCCCCTTTCATGGCGCTGCTTAAATCAGATTTTTATATCGTTGACTATTATACGCTGCTGCTCAAATTTTTCAGTGTCAAATCACTTCTTGCAGAGGAAAAACAAAAACCTTAGTGTGGTATTCAGTTTCATCCATTATCTTTCTCCAGCTATTAGGTAATGGAAAGTGAACTAGCCCAGGAAGCTGGGGAGCTGAGGTGCATTTCAGCTCAGCCATTAGCTGTGTGACACAAGAAAGGCACTTAATCTCTCTGTGAGATTCAGTTTCCTCACGTGCTATGCAAGAGGTTAAGACTCGATAAACTCTCACTTATTTTCATTTTGTTCTAATTCTAGCCTTAGTACTCACTACCCTCAGTCACGACTCCTGTGCTTTGGTCAACTATACCTCTAACAATCTTCTAACATCATAAACCATTCTTCTTATTATGTAATTTCATCATGGAAAGGCCATTTCATCCTGTTGAAATCCTATCCATCCTTTTAGATGCAGCCAAAAAGCTACTTGGAGACATTTCTGATTGCATTTCTGAAGCAATACAAACTGTGTTTTCTTATACCTCATTTCTGCACCTCTTCTACAGCACTTTTTATACACTTGCTTTGGCACTTACCTTCTTTTTTCCTTCCTCCTTAAAGACAGATCTGTGTCTAGTTCTTCTTTGTTTCCCCTATAATGCCTGGCTCAATGCTTTTCACAAAGTAGATGCTCAATAAATGCTTGTTGAATTGAAAAACTGCAGTCTGTGCCAAGAGCAACTGTTCACTTTCTCACTGGAAACTGATGGGGGTAGTATGTAAGATCGGGAGGAAATTAAGTAATGAGATTTAGCTGTAACTCACCCCAATATTTTTGCTAATTGGCTCATTTAGGCATTGTTGGAGCATTCAAAACTGAACTGGTCTGTTTATTGTTGAGCAATCTGATGCACACATATTAATTGGTGATATCCATCTTATCTATCATTCTCTACTTCCATTTTTGTAGGAGGAGTCTTAGCTTATGTCTAAGCACATTTCACAATGCCACTAAACACATCTGGGCAAATCAGGCTGATGGATGGGAAGGTCCCTAAGGATTCTATTTGCATAATGGAACAAGAAAATTCCTGGAAGAGAATTTATCCTAAAGGCAGAGAGAGTCAAACAAGCTTGATCTGTAATAAAGACCCAGTGGTCAGGGAGGATACATCCTTTTGAGAAATAGTAATAATAGATAATTTATTGAGTGCTTACCAAGTTTCAGGCATGATGCTGAGAGCTTCAAAGGTGTTATTGTGGTTAATTTTCCTTCTATCTTATTAAGATAAGAACAGTTATCCACCTTTCAGACATGTGGAAACTTAGAGAGATTAAACATATCTGTTATGTATTTAGTAAATGTCAGAGACAGAATTCAAACAAGGTTGGCTGGAATCTAGATCAGGATTTGGCAAACTACAGGCCAAGTCTGGTTAGTGGCCTGCAGAAATGGGCCTTCAAACTAAGAATTATTTTTTTCATTTATAAAGTGTTGTAGAAAAGCAAAACAAATCAATAACAACAAAAATAGAAGAATATGTGACAGAGGACATATGAAGTTCACGAAGCCTGGAGTATTTACTATTTGGTCCTTTACAGAACACTTTTACTGAAGTCTGGGTTAGAGCACCAAACCCATTTGCCACTCAGTATATTAAGGCCTTTAGAATTATCCCTGGGCTTGGTTCCCTGTGAGACTTGTCTTGGATAGAGTGTACTGAATAATACCTGAAAAAGTGATTTTAGCAAGGATTCTTTAAGATATTGAGGGATAAGGGCTCTACTTTTACCCATATGTGATAAAATATAACACAAAGAAAGGACAGAGGCACAAGGCACATGGCAGCTTTTACATCTTAAAAATTACAGAGGTTTGGATGAGCCCTGGTGTGCAGCAGGCTCAAAAGCTTCAGTTGTGCAGGGTGGGGGCGCATGTGGGCACTTGACATTTGTGGTGTGAGGCAACCAGTGACCATGGACTTCCTGGAGCAAAGAGGAAAGAGGAGAAGAAAAGCCAAGCTTGGAAAAGCCAAAAAAATAATCCAAGCTGTCACATGGTAGCTGACAATCTATTTTTATAAACAAACATTATTTAAAACCTAGACTCTGTCTAAGAGGGAGGGATGAATAGGCAGAGCACCAGGGATTCGAGTTCTCTCTGCATGCCAGCTTTTGTGTTGACCATGGGAGATAAGTCAGATTGAGCCTTTCTTTGAGCTTTGCTGTTACCAATCACAGGGTGAGGGATAGGAAATCCCACTTCAGCCTCAGGTGTAAGCCTCATTAAACACTATAGCTTATCAATGTACTTTATACAACATAGTTTGATAAATTAGAACTTTGTTTCCTATTTGGCTAGTAAAACTTTTGCGTATATTTCTGGAAAGGAGGATTGGTAAGTGACACCCTGAGTTCTGAGAAATAATAAAAGGTATTTTACAAAAGCAAGCAAGAAAAAGAAAACACTGACAGGAAAAGAATGATTTGGGAATTATAGGGCACATCTTCCTATTGTCTGAAAATACTTTATTGACACTGCATTAACCTTCATACATTATGTTTACTATGTTATAAAATATGATGATACCAATAGTGTACTCTGAGAAAAATCTGGTCTTTTAAAATGCCTTTTTAAGACCACAAACTGAATTTAGACTGGGGTTTCCTATTTACTAGTTGTGTGTGTACAAACTACATAACCTCTCTGTATTTATTTTCTATTAACAAAATGAGGATAACACTGCTATTTTGGAAAATTACTCTGAGGACTATAAATTGTGAAAATTATCTAAACATTGCCTGACACATTATGTCTATTCAATACATGGTAGTTGGTGATGTGTTTTCAAAAATAGGCTCACAGTCCACAACTCATGAATATGTGGACTCTACACGTATTATAAAGATACACACCACTTGACTGGAGTAGAGTTTTAGACACTATGTGATATGGTTTGACTGTGTCCCCACCCAAATCTCACCTTGAACTGTGGTTCCCATAATACCCACATATCCTGGGAGGGACCTGGAAAGGAGGATTGGTAAGTGACACCCTGAGTTCTGAGAAATAATAAAAGGTATTTTACAAAAGATGTCCCCCAGGAGGGACCAACATGGAGGCAATTACCTCCATGTTGTTCTTGTGATCATGAGTGAGTTCTTATGAGATTTGATGATGTTATAAGGGACTTTTCCCCACTTTGCACTGCACTTCTTGCTGCTGCCACGTGAAGAAGGATGTGTTTGCTTCACCTACCACCGTGACTGTAAGTTTCCTGAGGCCTCCCTAGCCACACTGAACTGTAAGTCAATTAAACCTCTTTCCTCTATAAATTACCCAGTCCTGGGTATGTCTTTATTAGCAGCATGAGAATGGACTAATACACTATCACTCTACAGACATGCACAGACCATCCATTCATCCATCACACATTAATTAATTTATTCATTTAGTAAATGATAAGTATCTACTAAGGGTGTGGAGATGCAAAAATAAAGAAGGCTTGGTCACTTTTCTCAAGGAATTTCTAACCCAGAAGAAAAGATAGGATATAAACAAACAATAATACAATGTAGAATGCAATAAGAGTTTTAATAGGAAGATTGAACATGCTGTGGGATATTTGAAGACAGGAAAGCAGTTTCTTTGTGGCCACCATCTGCAGCAACAGTTAGGATTTGTGATGGACTACTGTGTATTACACAAGAGGATTAGGCATCCTCTGTAAACATTCCTGTGCTGAGGTAATCCTGGTCCCAGTCCTAGAGGTCAGAGTATCAGGTTCCCCTTGCAGCACACAGATGTTCAAAACAAAAGGAGCCATGATGTCTTCTCTCCACCTGACTGTTATGCTATACTCGATTCCAATTCCTCTCGAAGCTGGCATCAAACTAGGAATCCTTGAGAGTCTCTGGGGATTTTGTACCAATAAAGTTCTAAATTTAAATACTTTGTCCTGTTATAATTTCAAGCTTTATTTTATGGGTAATTTATTACAATATGTGTTCTGGCTTGACTGTTTTAGATAAGTGAGCTATATAAATATAAAAATGTTATTTTCAAGAGTGATTTATTTAATAACAAATATAGAAGACACTTCCAATTTCTTAGGTTTTGAAAAGTGACAATTTTAAATGAAGTTGAATTTTATCTTTAACTTCTTATAAGTCATGAAGAAAGAACACTTTGAAATGAAATTGTATTTGGAAAAAACAACTCACTTATTGAAAACTTCAGTTATTGGATTTTTTTTCATATCACTGAAACATGATTGATTTTAGTAATTATCCCTATGTTAGCATTATTGTTTACATAGTTTTACTTTAAAAGAAAACAATTTTAAAATTATCCTGTTGGGTTTATGGAAAATAATTAGTAGGATAAACTGAGTCTGCAGGTAAAATTTTAGTTGTACAAATCATCGTTGTCATCATCATCATCATCATCATCTTTATTGGAAAAGACAAAGAATTTTGAACTCATATTTTCTACTGCTGATACAGACTCAGAGAATTAAGCCACAGCATGGGTCTGGGACAAATAATTCATGAACGTGACTTAGGTTCCCATTCTGTAACGCAGAATGACTTTTGCCCAGTGGGGATGTTTTAAGTGATTCTGAGTGAATTAGCTTCAATTCTCAGTATATAGCTTGCTGGTTGAAAGTGTAATTTCTGGAATCAGACTGGCTGGATTTGGAGTTTGGCCCTGCCCATGCTCTCACTATGACCTTTGGAAAGTTACTTTTTTGTGAATTACTTTTCTCATCTATACACTGGGAGGTAGGGGGATAATCATCCCCATTTCATGCAGTTTAGGTATTTAATAATTAAATGACTAAAATTTCTGAAAACAGTACCTGACACATAATGAGTGTTAATTCCAATAATCTTTGGCAACTCTGTATGATGGTTATCATTACCCATATTCCACAGAGGAGAAAACTGAAGGGTGTAGAGGTAAAATAGTTTGCTTCTATTCACAGGATTTCGAAGGTAGCAACAGATAGACCTAGAAAAAAGGCAGAAAGATCAATATGCTTGAGTTTTTAAAGTTGCTTTTAATGTAGTGCTGGTTCCCATGTATGAAACAATCCACGGATGTATTATATTTGTGAATGTACATCTCAAGCTGCAGTTGGAAGAGGAAAGTGCTGGAATAATACAAATGGAGGAGAAAAAGTGTCAGGATGTTATTTTAGAAATATAGCAATGTAAACAAGGGAGAGAAGTGGCTGTATAGTACAGCACAAGAAAATATGCATGCCAGCATGGTATATTATTGTATGCCAGCCCATCTGAGCTAGAGAGAAGACCAAAAGGTAAGTAATGTATTTCTTTTACTGCTAGGTTTGGGATAAGTTTTTATTACAAACTTGGAATTTTATGAATTGTGTTTGGAATTCATCAATTGGAATTATTTACTATGTTTGTGCCATAAAACCTGCCACTTGCCCCTTGCTTACTGAAGACCTTTCCAGGATGTATATTGTAGTATTTCCAACAGCAAGGATTACTGGTGTTTTCCTCCAGTCACTTGGCCCAAACCTAGAGAGTCTAACCAAAAGAAGAAAAAATTGATGAGCTTTGTAATAGAATATTATTATAAACAAATTAAATGATTTTGATTATGATTTTTTAGGAGCAAGTTAGGGGAAGAAAAACAGTGACTTAAGATCAACAACAACAATAAAAATGCATTTTTTTCAATCATTTTGATTGTGTTTTTTGCATGTGCACATTTCCTAAGTTCTGGCATTCGTCTCAGTCAGTCATTGGGCCTACCTGATCTCAAAGGTGCCATTTACTACAAAGGAGTTCACATTTTCTGAGTTGAATGGCCTGGAAGGCACATTGCTTAGTACAAAACAAAACAAAAGACATGAAAGTATGTATTAGAAAGAAAATTCTTTTGTCAAAGACTGGCTATTTGTTCCAAAACATATCTCTCTTTTCTCCTGAGTACATGTATTGACTACATTTCCTACTTTCCCTTTCTGGTGAGTGTGGCCATATGACTGAATTCTGCCCTTTGAAAGGTGGGCAAAAGTCATAATGTCACTTCCAGGCTTGGCTTGTGAAAACTTCTATGTGATCCTCTACTTTCCCTTTCCTTTCTACTGAATAAATGGAGAGGATGCCAAGGATGTAAAGGTGAAGGGAGCCACCGATAGAAGGACCCTATGCTCCTGAATGATGCATAAACAGAGCAACTCTCAACTAACACCAACTGGACTTTATGTGAGGAAGAAATAAACTTCTCTTAAATTAAGTCTTTGAGATTTGGGGATTAATCTGCCACTTGCTGTGGAAGCAGGGATGAGCCTTCTTGAAGAAGGTCCTTGTTTAGAAGTGAAGAACTTTTTCCAGGAGTGCTCCAAGCAGAGTATCCTCAGTTGTCAGCCACCTTTAAGAATGCCTGGATACTAATTTACATTTCCACCAGCCATTATGGAAAGCAATGTGGCAATTTCTCAAAGAACTTAAAACAGAACTACCATTTCACCCAACAATTGCATTATTAAAAAAAAAAAAAAAGAATGCCTGGATAGAAGAGTCTCGTCTTATCCGAGGTCATCCTCCTTTCTAGGAGTGAATTTCTTCCAGTGACTGGTGAACAGGCCAGTATAGAGGCTGGGCCCCCTCAAGTCAGCTGGAGATGTCTCTCAGGGGTCACTCGGTGGCAGAACTACCCACGATGTGGACTGAGGAGTTTGTTGAGATTTTATTGCAGAACAATTTTTCCACCCAATCCCACTTTCTTCCTCTTTCCCACAGGTGTTGATGTAAGAACACTACCTTTATAGGAATGTACTGCACCGCAATGTCATCGCAGAGTCTGCAAGGAGTTAGTGTTAATGAAAGTATCTCAGATCTACACTCCTTTCATATGGGCCTGGGGCCTTATTCAAATGGTATCTCTTTGTAAAGCAAGGATTTTTAACATTTGCTTATTTAAAACTCAAATCTTTCTTTCCATAGCTTTAGTTGCATAAAAATAAAAAACCCTGATGAATTTAAAATTAATTCTGAGCGGCATCTTTTTGTCTTCAGTTGAGCCTTTATTATTCATGTGACCTGATTCATAACTCTGATTCTCATACTTGTCATTGTGGGAACTTATGAATCTAACTTAACATCTCTGACCTTCAGTACTTTCATCTGTAAAATGGGGCCATACTAGTCCCTACTCACAGAATTATTGTGAGCATTAAATATGATCATGTAATTAGAACAGTCAGCAGAGCACCTGAAGCATAATACATACTTAATGATGACTGGTTGTTATCCTCTGGTCTTAGTTTCCTTGCAGTCGTACTTGGCTAACTTGCTGCCCAAAGGCATAATCCTGTGTTCTCTCATTGGAATAGCTTTCTTCTTTTGCATGTTCTGCTGGTCCTTCAGAGTTTACTTGAATTGCAACCTTCTCACAAATTCTTGGCACCTCTATCTGGGCAAAATATCTCCCTTTACCAAACTCCTATAATAATTCACCTTTACTTCCCTTATTGTATGTATATGTCATCTCCACAGCTAGATAGTAAGCAGCTGAAAGTCAAGTCCCAAGTTTGATTTATTTTTACATTTAAAAAACTTTGTGCAGTGCATATATACAGCTCTTGCATAAAGAGCTCAACAAATATTTATTGCATAATTACATGAATGAATTCAGTCAGTACAATGTCCTTACCTGAAATTTGCATATATTCAAAATAAAACTACAATCCATAATTACCAAGAACAGGATCTTATACCAGAATTTCCATGTTGGATAAAATATCATGGTTTCCAAAAGCAAAAGTTCTCACAAAAAGATTGCCAATAGATAATTATTAGTAACTTTTGGAGGGTATCAAAATGTAGCTAAAGTTAGAAGCAAAAATATGATATGAAATATCGGTAAAACCATTTATTTATCAATTATTGACATTGGCTTGTATTATGGGACAGACATTTTCTAAGAACTTATTAAATTATTTAATCTTTATAACAATCCTGTGAAGTAGGTGCTGTTGTTAGTCTCATTATACAGATGAATGAACTGAGGTACTCAGAGCTTTTATAACTTGCTCAAAGAACACTCAGACAAAAAGTGGCAGAGCCAGTTAAAAAAGTCTGTGTCCTTCACTGTTACACTCTGCTGCCTTCTACTTTTTTGGAGACAATCTCACTAGAGATGTCAAAGGTGGCTGCTGCTTTCCTTACTTTTGTCTCACGCTAAAATCATGTCCTATTGGCAGGTGAGAATACTGTTAATCATCGTACACTGGGTTCGTGATATGCAGAGCTCAGCCCTTATGTGATTGGCTAGTAAAATATAAGTCTGGAAAATGACTAAACAAAAGGAGAACCTGGCATTATAATCAGTGCCAGGCACACAGTAGGCAGGCTAAAAAAAATCTTCTTGAATGAACTAGTTAGACAAGAAGAGATTAGACGGCTCTTGTTAGTAAGCCATAGAGTATTCCCAGATATATTTGGGTAGTTAGTTGCAGACTCATATGCATGAAATTTTATGCCTTATTAAAAAATAAATCAATAGGCAATGTGCTTAGAGTTTGGATATGTCATTTTTAAGTCTCAATCTAAAAATATACTAATTGTATCACTGTATAAGTGTTTAAAAATCACTAGTCTGAAAGGACCCAGACTCCTCAGAGAGGAGGCATCTCTCTCCTGTAAATGACAGTGCAATTAAAATACAATAGACTTTTGCCATTCCCAAAGAGAACATTACAGCTACAGGAAAAACAAAAATGGGCTGATTCTTTTTAGTATAATGCTCAGGGAATAAAGGGATTCCCAGAAGAATATATGCAGTATGGCATACTTTTTATGCAGTTCAAAGGCAAATATGTGATAAGGGAAAAGAAAACTAACAAGGGAATGATAAAAACAAAATTCAATGTAGGTTACTTTGGCACAGCAGGGAAAGAGGTGCGCAATAAGAAATAACACAGAAATTGCCATAAGTCATTGATAATATTCTATTCTTAGGTCGTTTGATGGGTTTATAGACATCCATTCAGTAAAATAAGCAAAAATATAAACAAATAGAATTAAAAAGGGCATTAATGACCAAGAATGTTAATGTTCATTAACCAAAGGTTGTAATTAATTCATTACTGTGCCCTGGATATAATAACAATGAAAATAAACTATCATAAAATATATTTGTAAATATATTGCAAATAATATTTAACAGATTTTTGAGAGTGTCAGGGACCCATAAAGCTAAGAGAAGTCAGTCTCTTATCAATTTTAATGGCTAACAACAAACCCCCATAGAAGAGGGTGTGATTTGACAAAGTCTAGATGAAGGAAAATGGAAGCGCTCATTTATTCATTTGCCCACTTATCTACTAAAGACACTTTTTGAGCACTAACTATTGGTCTGAAACAATTATGTGGGTAGTGGATGAAGTGGAAGGCATGCAAAGATAAATACAATTAATATATTCATTCATTCATTTTTCTACTCATCCAACAAATCTTTGTAGACTATCTGTTACAAAATAGGGAGTGAGGACTGGGCATGTTGGCTCATGCCTGTAATCCCAACACTTTGGGAGGCCAAGGCAGGCAAATCACTTGAGGTCAGGAGTTCAAGACCAGCCTGGCAAACATGGTGAAAGCCCATCTCTACTAAAAATACAAAAATTAGCCAGGCATGGTGGTATGCACCTGTAATCCCAGCTCCTCGGGAGGCTGAGGCAGGAGAATCGGTTTAACCCGGGAGGCAGAGGTTACAGTGAGCTGAGATTATGCCATTGCCCTCATCCTGGGGAACAGAGGAAGACTCCGTCTAAAAAAAAAAGGGAGTGAGTTAGTTGCTGGCGATACTGTGGTTAGTAAGACAGTTGTCTCTTGCATTCCAGTAGTAAAGGCAGATGTTCTTTAGGTAACTACCATAAGATGTGATGAGTGTTATGATAGCAGAAGTACAGGGTGCTAACAGAGGGCCATGAGAACAGAAAGAAAGTGACTATTTACCTTATTACCTGAGAAAATCACAAGACAGATAATATGTGAGAGGGTTCTTAAAGGGTGACTAAGAGTTTACTAGGTAGAGACAAGGAAATTGGAAATTCTGGGTAGATACACAAAAATGGAAAGCATAAAAATAAAACAAAAGGGTAGCAGGTTGCTCTCAGGAAATGCAAATAGTTTGATATGGCTAGTACTTAAAACACATGGGAAAAGAGAAGGATGCTGGTAGAAGATGAAACAAAGGAAGAGTTGGAAAAAAAATAAAAAAAGAAAAAAGAGTTGGGGTAAATTTTTGAAAGATTAAATACTATGCTTTGCTAAAAATTATATGCATGCTAAAAAAATAAACTTTATTTTATAGGCAATAGAGAAACAAAGATACTTGTGTTGTAGAAAAAGAGGAAGTTGGAGCAGGGAGGAATAATGGAGATGTAAAATTTAATTAGGAAGCCATGGAAATTATCCAGGGAAAATTTGTAAATAATTCATATTTCTATGTCTTTGATATTGGGAAGGATATGTCCACAGAGTGAATGAAATTGTCTCTAATATTGTAACAAAAATTGGCATTCTAAGAAATCAATTGTATGTATCCCCATGTGTGTGCGTCAGGAGGTGGGGAGCAGGAAGGGTTAAACAATTACCCAGTGTAAAAATGTTAAGTCACAATGCAAGATGGTATTTGTCTAAGTGTCTCATTTAAGAAATATAGTCAGTATTTAGATAATGGAGAGAAAGACTGAGGATGGAAGGGATGATTTCAGTGCAAAGGTTGTTTTCAAGATGAGAGAAGACCTAGGTATGCTTGAAAGAAGAGAATGGACCTAGTAAAAAGAGAGAAATTGGACATATTCAAGGAAAGAAGATACATGTGGGAGCAATGTTTCTTGGGAATTGAAAAGTGTTTTTTTTTTCTGACTGAGATGGAAGAGTTGGATACGAGGAAAGATTTCTGTTCTTGTGAAGGTGATAAAGGTATGAATTGATAGGGATAATGACCATGACCAATATTTGGAGAATTGAGACCTATGGTAGTTAGGGAGCTCAATATCCCTAATAAAGTTGAAATGAGGCCATCTGCTAAGAAAGAAGTAGTGAGATTTTAGATGTTAAAGAATTAGATGACTATGGTATTAAGGAGTCAATTGTTAATTGTAATAATCTGTGTTGGAGCTTTTAGAGTCCACGTGGCAGTGGAAAGTAGAAGGTTTAGTGAACGCAAGGAGTTAGAAGAGCACACTGTAAAGAATTTATTAGAGGCCTATAAAAAATGTGACATAAGGCCTAAGATAATGTTCAAGTCTGTGTATGAATAATGCATAGCAGAGGAAGCTGTTGGTTGAGTCACGGAGGGCCACAAACTGAGGCTGAAAGTTGAATGAGTCATGACATGGATGTAAAAGTCAGTAAGACTGAAAGGGAACATCAAGCTGGAAGGAAAATGCACAGTTGTGCCAGAAAAATAGGCCCCATGGAGTTGTAGAACATTGTGGTTATAAAAGAACATTGTACAATGTATTGGAATAGTGGAAGGGATGCTGGATCACAAGGTGAGAGTAACTACTTGTAATCCATCTTGATATCCAGCTTCCTTGTACCTCAATCTATATTGTTCAGATAATTAATACATTTAAATGGACTCTTATTTTTAATGAGGCTTATGTTAATAAAACATATATAGGTATATAACCATAAGATAAGTAGCATGGCTAACTACTTATCTCATGGTACATTATCATATTTAGTCCATATGAAACCCCTCCTTTGTTTGATTTATTTAACAATTCCATTTTGTCTCAATTCTCAATTCCTCTCCCTTCCCTTTCCATATCATAGGCAAATTTTCTAATGTACAGAACATATGCCTTTTGGTTTGTTGTAACTTTACAAAATGTATATTTTTTGTGAGTGTGTACTTTCAATGACCATAAATGGCATTGTGTAATATATTTTGTTTTACTTCTATTTTTCACTCTGAGCAATGCCTTTAAATCCATTCATGTGTCTATAATAATATCTAAGTTGTTGCTTTTAGCTGTACATTATACTCCATGGTGTGCATTCAAAACATTTTACCTGTTACTGTCTCATTGATTAACACACAATTTTGCCTCCATAAATAACACTGATGGTAATAAGCTTGTACATGCTCCCCTAGAACTTCTGTACAAACTTCTTTGGGATCTATATCAAAAGTAGAAATTATAGGTTATGTACATATTAATTTTGACTGGGTAGAATTAAGTCATTCTCAAAAATAGCTCTTCTATTCCACAGTCTCAACAATAGTACCTGATGGTACCTGCAGACTCATATTACTACCAACACTTGGCATTGTTCACATTTCTAATTTTTGCTGAATAGGTGTAGAGTGTGTTTTTTTTAATTGTGGCTTTTAATTTGCATTTCTTTGATTATTAGAATGTTTTCACATTTCTTCATACGATTCATGAATTTTTGGATTTTTTCTTCTACAATTGTCTGTTCATTACTTGTATCCATTTTTTAATGGGGATGCTTTTTTTTCCTAGCTAATTTGCAAGGATTCCTGATATGTTCTGATTCCAAATATTTTGTAAGTTTTTGACTTTCTAAGTGTCTTATTTCATTCTCTTATCTCTTCCTTAACTTTGGGTATATTATTTGTGTTGAACAGAAATCCTTAATTTTAATATCATCATGCCAGAAGAGGAATAGATCAATAAACTCTGCTTCTGCTTCTCTATAATTTAAAATCTTGAGCTTAGGATCAAAAGACTGAGTTGTTGATTCATTAGATACATCCATGGAAGCATGAGATAATA
This sequence comes from Homo sapiens, assembly GCF_000001405.40. Classification (NCBI taxonomy): domain Eukaryota; kingdom Metazoa; phylum Chordata; class Mammalia; order Primates; family Hominidae; genus Homo; species Homo sapiens. The sequence continues at coordinate 106,935,855 of NC_000001.11, read as the reverse complement.
TTGAATTCCATGACATGTTCCTGTCCCTCACATTTTAGAGGCCTGCTTTTTTTTTTTTTCAAACCCTTCTTTGAAATCTGTGAGATACTTTAATATCCTTTCGATACATTCTCTTTTTCTTGAAGTAAGCTAGGGTTCTTTTCTGTTGCTTATAGTCAAAAAAATCTTCACTAATACAATAGATAAAAAACCTGAATGACAAAATAAGGTTCTCAGGATCACAGTTAATAAAATAGCAATATAAAGCTTTGTGATCCACAAATTTCCATCCACTGAGAGGTGTTCTCTTCTTTACTTCTTCAAATGAACAATTTGAATGATATATTTTCACATAATGATGTTTCTATTATTGATGAATAAATGAACTTCACATCCAGTTTCATAATTACATTTTGTTGTAAATATGTACAGTAATAGAAACATGACAATTTGATCATTAAGGAGCATTAAATATATTTTAAATGCTGGGCCTGAAAATAAAAATTTTAAAATCTTTTTGAGGAGAACTCTGAATAAGCTAAGTTTTCTCATTTTTTGGTGACCTATTAATCTGGGTAGTCCTTGCCTCATCAGCTGTATCTTTCTATATGTGGATATACTCAGACAGTAAATACATCCTCTTCCCAGTGCAAGCTTTGTGTCCCATCAAAGGATCACTTGCTCCTGCAAGGGGGCAATGTGTTACTTAATATCAAAAATGTGACTGCCTTAGAGAATAAAGAGAGAATAATATTTATGTAGGAAGTGCTCAAGGAATGCAGTTTTTGGGTTTTTTTGTTTGCTTGCTTCTCTTTTTTTTAGTTTCTTTTTAACTGGTAATTGAAATATGTCTAGATCCTAAAATAGAGATTCCTGAGAACAGATGTGATTATAATTTTGTCAAGGACAACTGTTTGAATTTTTGTTACATTATGGGAAATGAATCTTTTTAGGTGAGTGTGAGTGAGATTTTTTTTTTTACTTATGTATTCTGTCCTTCTCTAATTTTGTTTGTCATAAGATTTTGATTCATGAGGTGTAGGTGGGGCCCAGGAATCAGTAGTTTAACCAGCACCCCAAGCAATTCTTGGAAAAGTGGTCCATGGCTTGTCTCAGGGAACATTGTTTTAGCCTATCAGAATAACATGAAAATGAATTGATTGGAGTGAAGATCTTGGAGATGTTTATGATATGAATTACTGTGAATTTATTAAGCCTATCTAGAATTTTAGAAAATAGTATTTGCTTATATGCTGCAAAACTATCCAATACCTTGTCTATAAATATAATACATGGTTGCTGGCAGGGAGGGGGAATTAGATGCAGTGATATATATGCAGATAGATAGATAGATAGAGATAGAGATGCACTGCATTTTATTCACTTTTTCACTTTGCAAAAATTTATTGAGTTCCTACCATGTTAAAGAAAGGTTGGAAGACACAAGGCATACAGAAATTATAAAGTACAATCCTTGATTTCATAGAGTTCATAATATATTGGGGAAACAAATAATTGTGATTTTGTTGAGATGAGGATTATAATACCCATATTTAGTAGGGTTCATTGGTAGAAAAAGTAGTATTCAACTGTATTATAATGTAATCCCCTTTCATTCAGTCAACAAATATTTATGAAGTATTTGCTATGTAATACAATTGTGAAGTAAATAAAAATAACCCCTGTCCTTCTGATAATTACAGTCTAGAGGGTGACAAGCACTGAAGAGTTACAGGCAATGAAAATATGATTAAGTGCTAAAACATGCCAAATTGTAAAGACCATCAAGGCTAGGAAGAAACTGCAACTAACGAGCAAAATAACCAGCTAAAGTCATAATGACAGGATCAAATTCACACATAACAATATTCACCTTAAATGTAAACAGGCTAAATGCTCCAATTAAAAGACACAGACTGGCAAATTGGATAAAGAGTCAAAACCCATCAGTGTGCGGTGTTCAGGAATCCCATCTCATGTGCAGAGACACACATAGGCTCAAAACAAAGGGATGGAGGAAGATCTACCAAGCAAATGGAAAACAAAAAAAGGCAGGGGTTGCAATCCTAGTCTCTGATAAAACAGACTTTAAACCAACAAAGATCAAAAGAGACAAAGAAGGCCATTACATAAGGGTAAAGGGATCAATTCAACAAGAAGAGCGAACTATCTTAAATATATATGCACCCAATACAGGAGCACCCAGATTCATAAAGCAAGTCCTTAGAGACCTACAAAGAGACTTAGACTCCCACACAATAATAATGGGAGACTTTAACACCCCACTGTCAACATTAGACAGATCAACGAGATAGAAAGTTAACAAGGATATCCAGGAATTGAACTCAGCTCTGCACCAAGTGGACCTAATAGACATCTACAGAACTCTCCACCCCAAATCAATGGAATATACATTCTTCTCAGCACCACACCGCACTTACTCCAAAACTGACCACATAGTTGGAAGTAAAGCACTCCTCAGCAAATGTAAAAGAACAGAAATTATAACAAACTGTCTCTCAGACCACAGTGCAATCAAACTAGAACTCAGGATTAAGAAACTCACTCAAAACCGCTCAACGACATGGAAACTGAACAACTTGACCTGAAAGACTACTGGGTACATAATGAAATGAAGGCAGAAATAAAGATGCTGTTTGAAACCAACGAGAACAAAGACACAACATACCAGAATCTCTGGGACACATTCAAAGCAGTGTGTAGAGGGAAATTTATAGCACTAAATGCCCACAAAAGAAAGCCGGAAAGATCTAAAATTGACACCCTAACATCACAATTAAAAGAACTAGAGAAGCAAGAGCAAACACATTCAAAAGCTAGCAGAAGGCAAGAAATAACTAAAATCAGAGCAGAACTGAAGGAGATAGAGAAACACAAAACCCTTCAAAAAATCAATGAATCCAGGAGTTGGTTTTTTGAAAAGATCAACATAATTGATAGATTGCTAGCAAGACTAATAAAGAAGAAAAGAGAGAAGAATCAAATAGACGCAATAAAAAGTGATAAAGGGGATATCACCACCGATCCCACAGAAATACAAGCTACCATCAGAGAATACTATAAACACCTCTATGCAAATAAACTAGAAAATCTAGAAAAAATGGATAAATTCCTTGACACATACACTCTCCCAAGACTAAACCAGGAAGAAGTTGAATCTCTGAATAGACCAATAACAGGCTCTGAAATTGAGGGAATAATTAATAGCTTAGCAACCAAAAAAAGTCCAGGACCAGACGGATTGACAGCCGAATTCTACCAGAGGTACAAAGAGGAGCTGGTACCATTCCTTCTGAAACTATTTCAATCAATAGAAAAAGAGGGAATCCTCCCTAACTCATTTTATGAGGCCAGCATCATCCTGATACCAAAGCCTGGCAGAGACACAACAAAAAAAGAGAATTTTAGACCAATATCCCTGATGAACATCGATGCAAAAATTCTCAACAAAATACTGGCAAACTGAATCCAGCAGCACATCAAAAAGCTTATCCACCATGATCAAGTGGGCTTCATCCCTGGATGCAAGGCTGGTTCAACATACGCAAATCAATAAATGTAATCCAGCATATAAAGAGAACCAATGACAAAAACCATATGATTATCTCAATAGATGCAGAAAAGGCCTTTGACAAAATTCAACAGCCTTTCATGCTAAAAACTCTCAATAAATTAGGTATTGATGGGATGTATCTCAAAACAATAAGAGCTGTTTATGAAAAACCCACAGCCAATATCATACTGAATGGGCAAAAACTGGGAGCATTCCTTTTGAAAACTGGCACAAGACAGGGATGCCCTCTCTCACCACTCCTATTCAACATAGTGTTGGAAGTTCTGGCCAGGGCAATCAGGCAGGAGAAAGAAATAAAGGGTATTCAATTAGGAAAAGAGGAAGTCAAATTGTCCCTGTTTGCAGATGACATGATTGTATATCTAGAAAACCCCATCGTCTCAGCCCGAAATCTCCTTAAGCTGATAAGCAACTTCAGCAAAGTCTCAGGATACAAAATCAATGTACAAAAATCACAAGCATTCTTATATACCAATAACAGACAGAGAGGAAAATCATGAGTGAACTCCCATTCACAATTGCTTCAAAGAGAATGAAATACCTAGGAATCCAACTTACAAGGGATGTGAAGGACCTCTTCAAGGAGAACTACAAACCACTGCTCAATGAAATAAAAGAGGACACAAACAAATGGAAGTACATTCCATACTCATGGATAGGAAGAATCAATGTTGTGAAAATGGCCATACTGCCCAAGGTAATTTATAGATTCAATGCCATCCCCATCAAGCTACCAATGACTTTCTTCACAGAATTGGAAAAAACTACTTTAAAGTTCATATGGAACCAAAAAAGAGCCCGCATCGCCAAGTCAATCCTAAGCCAAAAGAACAAAGCTGGAGGCATCACGCTACCTGACTTCAAACTGTACTACAAGGCTACAGTAACCAAAACAGCATGGTACTGATACCAAAACAGAGATATAGACCAATGGAACAGAACAGAGCCCTCAGAAATAATACCACACATCTACAATTATCTGATCTTTGACAAACCTGACAAAGACAAGAAATGGGGAAAGGATTCCCTATTTAACAAATGGTGCTGGGAAAACTGGCTCGCCATATATAGAAAGCTGAAACTGGATCCCTTCCTTATACCTTATTCAGAAATTAGTTCAAGATGGATTGAAGACTTAAATGTTAGATCTAAAACCATAAAAACCCTAGAAGAAAACCTAGGCAATACCGTTCAGGACATAGGCTTGGGCAAGGACTTCATGTCTAAAACACCAAAAGCAATGGCAACAGAAGCCAAAATTGACAAATGGGATCTAATTAAACTAAAGAGCTTCTGCACAGCAAAAGAAACTACCATCAGAGTGAACAGGCAACCCACAAAATGGGAGAAAATTTTTGCAACCTACTCATCTGACCAAGGGCTAATATCCAGAATCAAAAAAAAAAAAAAACCAACCCCATCAAAAAGTGGGTGAAGGATATGAACAGACACTTCTCAAAAGAAGACATTTATGCAGCCAAAAAACACATGAAAAAACGCTCACCATCACTGGCCGTCAGAGAAATGCAAATCAAAACCACAATGAGATATCATCTCACACCAGTTAGAATGGCAATCATTAAAAAGTCAGGAAACAACAGGTGCTGGAGAGGATGTGGAGAAATTGGAACACTTCTACACTGTTGGTGGGACTGTAAACTGGTTCAACCGTTGTGGAAGACAGTGTGGCGATTCCTCAGGGATCTAGAACTAGAAATACCATTTGACCCAGCCATCCCATTACTGGGTGTATACCCAAAGGATTATAAATCATGTCTCTATAAAGACACATGCACACGTATGTTTATTGCGGCACTATTCACAATAGCAAAGACCTGGAACCAACCCAAATGTCCAACAATGATAGACTGGATTAAGAAAAAGTGGCACATATACACCATGGAATACTATGCAGCCATAAAAAAGGATGAGTTCGTGTCCTTCGTAGGGACGTGGATGAAGCTGGAAACCATCATTCTCAGCAAACTATTGCAAGGACAAAAAACCAAACATCATGTGTTCTCACTCATAGGTGGGAATTGAACAATGAGAACACTTGGTCACAGGAAGGGGGACATCACACACCAGGGCCTGTTGTGGGGTGGGGCTAGGGGGGAGGGATTGCCTTAGGAGATACAGCTAATGTAAATAACGAGTTAATGGCTGCAGCACACCAACATAGCACATGTATACATATGTAACAAACCTGCACGTTGTGCACATATACCCTAGAACTTAAAGTATGATAATAAAAATAAATAAATAAATACATAAATAAAAAAATAAAAAAATAAAAAAATGATAAGTGCTATGATTGGATAAACACTGTGTTATGAAAACATACTATAGGGACATTTGATCAAAAATTGGGGGTATAGGTAGATTAACTGAAAGTTGAAAAGTGGTCAGGCAAATGAGGAGGAAAACAACAGTCGTGCGCATGGAAAGAACAGCACCTTAGGAGACCCGGCAGTAAAGGAGAGGATGGCGGATTTGATGATCTGAATGTATAGCTAAAGCCTGCAACGGGAGAAGATGCTGGAGAGGTGAGCAGAGGCTAAGAGTTACAGGTAATGTTGCATGATCTGACCTTTATTCTTCAAGTTGTGGGAGACCACCGAAAAGTGTTACACAAGGGAGGGATATGATCAGATCTATGTTTTAGAAAACCACTCAGGATCCAGTATAAAGAATAGAATTGTAGACGGTAAAACTGCAGGTAAAGGACTGGTTATGCTGGTACATTCACGAAGTTGAGAGGAGATGGAGGCCTGAATTAGAGTAATTGTTTGGGCATAAAGAAAATTGGGCAGATCAGAGAGATATGAATCAAATAGAGTCAATGGCACTGAAAAATTTGTATCCCTGAGTCTCATGCAGTGCTTAGCGCATAGACAGCACTCAAAACAATGTTTATTGGACACATCTTTCTGAATGTTCAGACAGGTTTTCAAACTCATTGTTTCCATAACTGCATTTATCTTTGCCCATGAAATCTACTCCTCTTATTGACTTTCTTTTACTGGACCTGTCATTAACTCCTTTCTATTCACCCAAGGCTATGAATCATTTATTCCTCATATCCCATGCCTAACACATTACTTTGCACAAATAGGCATAAGTATTCCGTAATTTTTGTTTAAATAAATAACTATTAATTTATTCAAGCTCAAAACTCCAATGTGAGTGAAGCTTACCCAGGCACATTAAATCAGTGGACAGAGTGGAGCCAATCTTGGAACATCTCCTGAATCCATCTCCTCTTTCTGCTAGTACTTTTTTTTTTTTTTTTGGACAAAGGCAATATTTTCTCCTCATATTTCACTCTGTCTCCAAGCTATGTCCTCTTCAATTCATTCTACTATAGCTGCTAGATAAATATTTTCAACAGACAGTTTTTTTCTGTTGTCATAGTTTTCTTCTCAGAATGTTCAGTGACTTCCCTTTGCCACTATAACTTGACCCTTGCAATCCTCCTTGATTTTCATTCTGATTTTTTCTTTATTTCTCTCACTTCCCCACTCACTCCCCATCCCCAGCCAGGCTATTTCAGCCATAATAGCGCTATCATGGTTTGTCAAAATACCATACACTTTGCCACATCTTGACTCATGTTGCTTTTTTTTATGGGAATTCTCTTCATTTTAGATTTTACTTGTCTAAAGTCTACTACACTTCCTTCAAAATTTAGTCCTGATCCCTATCTTCTCCATGGAATCTTTGGGGTCTTTCTCCAGCTAGCAATGACTACTCTATTCTGAGCTCCAAGAGCATGTTAATTTGCACATGTCTTGTGGTACATGTTGCTTTCGTTTAAATGGTTATTTCTACTCATGTCTTACCCCTTTAATACACTGTGAACAAGACATGGATTGTGTGCATCTCATCTTCATGGCCCAGTGACACCTATTGTGCTGCTTTACAAAGATAATACGTCCAATAAACATATTGAATTAATGGATTATAAACAGACATTCAAAATCCATTCCTGGCTAAACAAAAGAACTATTTTGCCATTCTCCCTCTAATTTAATTCTGAATAAAGAGTAAGCTAGTACTTTAAATAAGACAGATATCGGTAGAAAAGCTTTAGCTGTCATGGGGTCTAGGAAAAGGCTACTACTGACATTTAGTAGTGAGGGATGCTAATTGTCCTGAAGCACCCTGAACAGTCCCACCCAATTGAAAAACATGTATAAAGTTTGAATTTTAGTGTATGACAGTCCTGTCCTGGGGCCCTTTTTTTCCCCTTTTGCATTTTGGTCACAAAATTATGCTAACAATTTGATAAAATAAAGGTCATATAACATCTAGGTGAGGAATTGGCACATAATAAGCTTTTACTCAGTGCCAGCTGTTAATGTCAGTAGCTTCTTTGAAAAATGGAGAAAATAACGCCTATCTCATAGTATTATTATGAGGGTTAAATAAATGACAACATATAAAGCTCTTTGAACAACGGCTGGTATATTGTAAATGCTCAATAAATATTGACTATTACTATTATTGGTTTCGCTATTATCAGTATTATTTGCAGATGCTTCGCAGAGAAAGTTTATATTGAATTTGTAGTCAACTAAAAGCCTCAGGACTTTTTCATATGAAAAGCCAAGTCCATTCCTTGGCAAGCCTTACACCTATGAACAAAATAAGCTCAGTCCTTGCTGTGATTTGCTTCTTTTTGAAGGTTTATGGGAAAGTCAAGGAGAAGTCGACTTAATACCTGTGGCCTTTTATCCGTAGCACTGAGAAAATTATATCAAGGTGAAGAGAAATAATAATTTGATTCTGGGTTTTGCATTCAAATGGATCTGGCACCGTGTTGATTTTTATGTAGTGCAGTAGTTACCTTTTCACTCAGCATTTGGTTTTCTGAGGAAAGAAGTGTATGAAGGCAAACATTTTCTTAGGAGCTAATTTTTCCTTCCTTCCTTCCTTCCTTCCTTCCTTCCTTCCTTCCTTCCTTCCTCCCTCCCTCCCTGCCTTCCTTCCTTCCTTCTTTTTCTTTCTTTTTGCACCATGTTCTAGTGGAGCTTTAGGATCTGTCTACCTCTCAGTTTAAAATTAGCTTTCTACTTGCTTTCATGACAATTGTTACCCTAAGTAGCTCACAAAGTACATCCATATATATTACCTAATTTGATTTACACAACAGCCCATGGGTTAAGGATTTTGCTAATGAGGAAATATAGCAAACTTGTGACTCATACAGAGAGTACATGACATTTTGAAGATTCACCTTTGGATTTGCTGGCTCTAAAACCTAAAATTGACAAGTGTACTATTTATTATAATGACAAACAACTTCAAGCAGCCATCCGTTTCAAAGATTCTTAGAATCTGGTTGGTGGGGAGGACAATGAGAGACAAAAGAGAGGAAAGTCCTGCTTTGTGGACTGTTTCCTATGAGTCAGGCATGATGTTAGGCAGTATGAGTTAGTCGTTTCATGTAATCCTCTATATGGAAAGCATAGACAGGGAGAACTAGAAAAGTTAAATAACTTAGCAGGCCCCAAACTGTGCACAACCTGTGTGCAAATTTTTGTAATTTTGTTTAAAGCCCAGAATGCTTCCAGTATTAAAATTGTTCAAAGTGATGGTTGATTTCTCAGTCATCTCACAAGCCCTGCTATCAAATACCATTTTTAACATTGGTTCTGAGGAAGGTGAGTTAGTTATGCCTTCAAACCTATGATATATGGAAGAGGATTTCCCTGTTAGTATTTATAGGGGCACAAGACAGGATGGCCTCAGCCGGAGACATTTGTACCTAATGGTAACTTAAAAAATCTAGTACTGATGAGTCTAGGGCTACATGTTTTCTATCTTCTTTGTTAGAACTTAGAGGAATCAGAATGTTTCTTGAAAAATACATTTTTTTCCCCTTTCATTAACTCTAATTATAATGATCTGGGAAAAGAATTATTATAGACCAAATTTACTCACACTTATTTTCAGCTATTTAAAACACTTACTAACTAGAATTTAAATAAATATTTTAATGGTTCTGATTAAAGCATGAGTAAGAAAACATTTAACTGAGTTATTTCTGCCCAAGTTAGTATAAAAATTTAAGAAACCAAACGTTGTGAGATGAGCAGTCATCAAACATTTTATGCAAACTCTTTGTTTATGTATTTCAGAGCTATAAAATTTTGTATTCAGTAGGTATGCATACTTCCCCATTTCATCACAAACTTACCAATATTTTGTATTTGTGATTATTTTCTAAATAATAAAATTATTCTGTTTTACCTTTCAGTTATATCATTTCTGTATGCCTTGGTTTTTACTCTATTTAAAAAAAATCTAAAGAAAAGAGGAAGTGCATCTGCTATTTGTGGGCAGATGGCATTAGATGAATATTTTAAAAGCAAGTTCTAGAAATCTATCAGAAACTTATACAACAGGTATATGTTTATTATTCAATGCTTTCATGAAAAAATAGATTTTTCAACTCCTGAGGTTATACTGGTGAACATAATTTAAAATAAAACCTGAGAAAAGTAAAAGAGATTAAATAAATATTCACGAAAATGCCCTCTTCAGGAAATAGGGTCATTTGAACAGTCTATTCCATTAAAAATCGCTTTATTTCACCCAAATTGGTTACTACACAAGGAAGGAAGACATAAGAAAACTAAGGGATTGAATCTGAAATCTAGACCAAAGAAATGACTGAACTCTCTCCACTGCATTAACCACATGGAATTTAGCACACAAAAAATCTAGAACTGATCATTTTTTTAACCTGTATACTCAGAGTAATACCAAATATACATTTAAGTTCTATGTCAAAATTTTATTAAAAATTGATATTTATATTAATATATAAATACTGATAAACTAAAAAGTAATTTGAACTCTTATAGCATTTTGGATGATCTAAAATAAGAAATTATCTAAAGGTGACATACTAACAATCACTTATAATGATCATTAAAGTTAGTTCACAAGCCTAATAACAGAATAGACTGTGAAATCCTTAGCATCATTTGATTATTTACAAATATCACTAGAAATTAAGCCAAATGATCTTTACCTAAAATATAAATAAAATGGAAATTTTAACATTTTAAATCAAATACTAATAACCAGACTTACTGATTAGCCATTTTAATGTTTGAAAGTTCAGTCTAAACAATTTATAACTATTACATGGATGATTTCTCAGAAGTTTGCTTATCCTACCACATAATTTCACACTCTGTTTCTCTCTTTCTTTACTCTTTAACTGTTCCTTTTAAGATCCATACATTATCCCAGACCCTTAGGAGCTGTTGAAAAAATTATGGAAAATGCAGGAGGTTGTTCTAGACCAGCAAGTATCAGCATTACCTGAGAGCTTGTTAGAAATACAAATCCCGGACCCCATCCTGGACTTATTAAATCAGAATCCCCGGATAATTCATATGCACAATAAAGCTTGGGAAGCAGTTGTTCTAGGGGGTGCATGAATACTTCAGAAGCTCAATTAGTACCAGATAACTTTCCATTTCCAACCAAGCCTATTCTTGGTCATCTTGAGTTAGAAGTGCTTTGGGATGGAGTCTGGAATGTCCTGTGCTTATTGCCCAGGAGAATGCCCCTGTATTTGAAAATCTGCTGCTCATGCAGTCTCCTAGCTGCTAGAATGAAGGGCTAAGGCATGCAGTCTTGCCCCTTCCCCCAAGAGCCAAGGGAGCAGACAAGATTGAATGAATCATTACAGGAATGCGCTGACCAGGAATACTGCTCTGGTTCTCTCTCCTTCCAGCCACACTGGAGCATTCCTGTCAGGACAGAGGTAGAAAGCTGGAGCTGGGACAGAGTAGTGGGAGTCATTGTTGGGATGCAGGCAGTCACCGGCACATTGGCTGTCAAAACAAAGAAAGAGAAGCCGGGCTATTTTAGTTTCGTTATTCTACGTGACCCCTTATAGTGTTTATTTGTGTTTAAAATTTAGGACAGTGAAACAGAGCACAAACAAGAGTAATATTTTACTCTATGTGTTTGGAAAGTGCAAATATTAATCTATACATTAAATATTTTATGGAATTTGAATAATGTATTCTAAAAATGAAATTTATTCTTTTAAAATTATTAACCATTGTTTTAAAAGTAGAAAATGCTTTAAGTTTTAGGGTACATGTGCACAACGTGCAGGTTAGTTACATATATACACGTATCATGTTGCTGTGCTGCACCCAGTAACTCGTCATTTAACATTAGGTATATCTCCAAATGCTATCCCTCCCCCCTCCCCCCACCCCACAACAGGCCCTCGTGTGTGATGTTCCCCTTCCTGTGTCCATGTGTTCTCATTGTTCAATTCCCACCTATGAGTGAGAACATGTGGTGGTTGGTTTTTTGTCCTTGCGATAGTTTGCTGAGAATGTACCCTAAAACTTAAAGTATAATTAAAAAAAACAACAACAAAAAAACAAAACAACAACAACAAAAAAAGGAAATGGTTTTGGAAGACATTTACAAGAGTTTATTTCCTAGGTCACATTAAAAATGAATATGAAATGAAAAAAATAATAACAATGAAAAATAAAAGTAGAAAATAAATAAAGAAAAATCTTACATTGTGGTAAATTGTGAGATATTTTGATTTTATTGAATATACTTAATAAACATTACAACATTATTATCCGTTACTGCTACAGACTAATAGAAGTATTTTCCCCTTAAAATATTAATTCCTTATTTTTTATGCTGTAATATTTATTTTATTTTTAAAAAAATGTTTTTACTGGTGTAATTTTACATACAGTTCAATAAAAGAAAATTCTCATCTGATTTCTCGATTGGCTATTATCAGTATTCCTTTCATTGCATGATTATAAGTGCTATAATTTTGTCCTGTACAGGATGGGGTATTAACAATTGGCCTACTCTGGTTCAAATACTCTGGGTACATCACTTATTCCAGACATTGATGTCAGAAATGGCTTTGGTACAGTGCTTGGGTTTCTGTTTCTTCCAATTTCCTGAACTTGAATACTAGAATGATCCAGGTTTTACTCAGTGCAGAGCCATCATGGCCCCAGGAAATTATTTTTTATTGGAAGTGTGTCATTTTTTTGCTTTTTCAAACAAGACATTATCTAATTACATCTGAAAAGCAACACAGGACTTAAGAAGAAGATGGGACCTTAAGGGATTCTAAGATTTCACCATGTATTATATTAATTTGCATCCAGCACTTACCATGAAGGTAGGAATGAATTAAATATTTTTTAACCCATATGCTGTTGGCCAAAGACGCATACCAAAGACACTAAATGCTTCTAACTGATTATTTTAAAACTTACGATTTTCCAGATATTTTGGACTATATGGGGCTGTTTGGAGTTGCCTATGTTGTTGTCGTTTTTGTTGTTGTTGTTGTTGTTCTTCTTCTTCCTCTTCCTCTTTCTCTTCCTCTTCTCTTTCTCTCCTCCTTCTCCTGTTTTTGGAGATTGAAAACTTTTGAGTTTTCTAGTTGCTACTTCATTCTCTGCATTTTGTTAAGATTGAGGAGGAGGGAAAATTAATACATTTTTGAAACTTCAGTAGCAAAAATTTAGTACATCATGACCAGCTAGAATGGATGGATGAAACAGCAGTGGAAAGTATAGCTGCCTTTGAGAGGCAGACAATAAGGCATTGGAAATCAAAAGGAACCAGGGTAAACTGGAGAGAGCATGTCCAATCTATAGGGGACAGCTAATGCTCATCTCCAGCTGGTTGTAGTCAGCTAGTTACTTGAGCACAGGGCTACCAGATCATTTGAGAGAAGCATAAAATCAGATTTTTTACATGATATGTCTCAATGTTTTAAAATATTGTGCAAGCAAAGAGGAATATATCTGATGACCAGATTCAGTCCACGGGCCACCAGTTTGCCACCTCCAGAGAAACAAATTTCCATAATACATTCCAGTAATTATCAGTTGCTCCTATAAGGAACTTACTCCTTTTAGATGCTATAAAACCAGTATGTGTTAACTCTTACTCTGTTTTCTTTCTGTTTTGTCCTTAAGAAGAACAATGGCTGTGATCTGTTTCCCGTATAAAAATACAATGCATTAAAAAACTTGAGCAATCCCACTGAGAACCTATTAATCTCCCAGTGAAACAGCAGCAAAATATAATATTTCTTACATACAATTTGCTTAGGACTTTCACAAAGGAGATTTGATGGGACCTTATTTATGATAGGAGGAGAGGGCCATATCTTCTCTCAATGGGGTGTCTTTAAAGCACTGAAAGAACTCCTGGTGGAACTGAAAGCATTTATATGCTTAAATTTGCTTAATTAGACCTAATACGGAATGCTTAGTCAAAACATATTGTCAAGGCGTGAACAACCTCAAAGACTGTTTCTAATAATAGCAATTGCTATGTATGTCTATACTGATATAAACAGAAGTATTCAGAAAATGAACTTTGATTTTTGTAAACTGATGGGACTCCTAACCTGATGTCCCCTTGCATCAAATATTTTATCTATACAATATATAATACTGGCCTTTCTGTTAAAAGATATTATTTATCTGAATCTGATATTATTTATCAGAATCATTAGTCCTATTCAGCCTTTTCCCCTGTAACAGCTATTTAAAGTTTCTTATATACAATCAAATAAAAATGATTATTATTTCAAGGTATCATGGCAAGCTTTAATATGCACTCTGTTAAACAAGAGTGCCTTAAATTCGTATCTGAATCTAAAATGCCCCATTTGTAGTACTCTTTTTATTTTACCTTTTTAAAAGAATAATGTAAATTTTAAAGTATCTTTTTAGCTGTTGGGAGAAGTTGTTAAGTCACTATGGAAAGGTGAATATTTTCTTTACTCATATTTGTGTTTGAAGAAGCTAGTACAATGTTTAGCACTCTGTAGTGACCCAGTGAGCTGCTGAATGAGTCATGAAACCCTTGGCAAGGTTCTTGTGAAGGCCTAGTTGAACACAAGATTGGTGTAGAAAGCCCAGTAGAGGCTGCCTTTCCAAACAGGGAGCATCCTTCATCTTAGTTGACCTTTTCAATTCCAGAAAAAGCAGAAGAGGTGTGAGGTTTAGTTAAGATTAAGTGTGGAGAATGTCTACATTCAAGGATTCTATATTTTATAATTCTCGTGGGAGTTTTTTTTTAAAGAACATATTCAAACCCACTCACACATTTGTATTAAAAGTTATGTTAATTGCCAAGCAAATAATATTTCAAATTTAGAAATCCTACTCATTCCTAATTATAGCTGCCAGAATGGCAGGACTTTGTGAACTAGCAAGCAAACATGGAAAGGCCTTCTCAGTACAACAGTAAGTGGAACATTTTTAGAGATATGCGATTAATTATTTAACATGAGGGAACACTGCAACTTGTACTGTGTCTATGTACAATTAAACAGAGTTTTTTTCTAGTTGAAAGCTAATTGTTCTCTTTTAAGTACCTATGGATGCAAATCACTTGATTTTCTGAGTGAGATGTCAAACTAACTTACGTAGTCAGTGTCTACTTGTGAATACACTGCAAATATGGCTATGGAAATAAATGGAATGGACCATTTATAGTCTTCTTTATAACACCTCAAAGGCATCTATTATGTAAGCAAGCACAGTGGATTCACGATTTTGTCCTCTACTACAAAGGCTTCTTATAAAATAGCCTATGGCCAGGCACAGTGGTTTATACCTGTAATCTTATCACTTTGGGAGTTCAAGGCAGGCAAATCACTGAGCTCAGAAGTTTGAGACCAGGCTGAGCAACATGATGAACGCTGTCTCTACAAAAAATACAAAAATTAGCTGGGCATGGTGGCATGCACCTTAGTCCCAGCTATTTGGGAGGCTGAGCTAGGGGATCATGTGAGCCCTGGGAGGTCAAAGCTATAGTGAACAGTGATAGTGCCACTGTACTCCAGCCTGGGTGACAGAGTGAGAACTTGTCTCAAAAAAAACAAAAACAAACAACAGCAACAACAACAAAAAGCCTACACATGATATGTTGCTCATTCTGTAATGATTTCTGTCAGTTTATAGTAGAACATAGGGAACCAGGACAATGATTTATAGCAAGCTATTAAAGTCGTTGCAATGTGCCATTAAAGTATTTTCTTAAAATTTTGACCTAGAAAAAAAAAGGTGTAGACACAGAAGCATGTTACTTTGTGAATAATATAATGGGCATTGGAAGAAAATTTCTGGGTTCAATTTTTCCTTCCACCACCTGTTTTTCCACTACCTATTACCTGAGTGAGTTTAGTCCATTGACTAACTTGTTGGAGCTGCAGTCTCTTCAGTTTGAATATGGGCCTAATGATAATTACTATACTGGTAGAATGGTTGTGAAAAGCTGATCAAACAATGCACATAAAATGCTTAGATGGGGCCAAGCATGAACCACTCGACTGCTGTTAGCTATTATTGTTACAAAATTAAACCAGAAATTGGGAGTATTTTCTGCATTCCCAAAAAATATTTAACCATCATTTGAGAACCAATTGTTTCTATCAGCCTCGGTTTATAAATATTCACGATAAATATCATAAAATACAACTGTTGTATAATGAAAGGCTAACATGGAAACGCTTATTTTTTTCTGAAGAAACTTACATTATGGAACATCATATCACTTCTGCCTATTAATCCCTTATTTATATCTTTGTCCTTGTTTGAAATCCCTCATTGATACAACTAACACTGTAGCTATCTAAAAATTTAGCTCTCTTGCTAACTCCCTTCTTTAGCTTATGCTAACTTGGCTTAGTACAAGAAAACAAATAGGCCTTTATAAGCAGAAAATTAGATGTCACAAAATCTATATCCTAAATTTTCCCACTTTAATTTAGAGGTATTTTTTAGGCCTTCACTCAAAGTTTATTTGTCCATATTTTACACGTAGTTCTTTAAGAAAAAGTCATTATCTGGATTCATATAAATGATATTTTTGCAGTAAATTAGAAATGGGAAGAATGACCATATGTCTATCATCAAGAATATAGCTAATGGCTTAATGACAACAAAGGAGACAGAAAAATTATAAAAGGCAAAAGTGATGTAAAAGAATAAATTCGTGGATGATGGGGATTACTTGTATTGAGAAAGACCTTTTGTACCTCAATAGATTCCAACAACATACAAAGTTATAAAAATATGGAATAATAATTAATATTTATAAGTAGCCTGAATTGTCAAGAAATATTCAATCTGATAAGATTACTTTATTTAAGAAGTTAAGGAAGTATGTAATGCACCAAAATTATCAAATCGGTGGCCGTGGGAAGATTCTGGCTGGTTAATATATCTGCTTAGGTCACTTTATTAGAACAATGCATTACTCACTAGTATTTAAAAATCAGTAACTTTCACCTATAAATTGGAATTTCTGGATTTCTTGGAACAATTAGAAGATATGGTAATAATGAACCCATATTCTCACTTTTCAACATTCAAATATATAAGAACTCTCATACATTATTATTTGGAATAAACATGTCATCATTTTGGAAAACTGCTTGACTGTGTTTCATAAAGTTAAATATACATCTAAAGCATGACCCAGAAATTCCACTCCTAATTTAACCAAGAGAAATAGATGTACATATCCACAAAAATACTCATTGCAACTTTAATCATAGTAGCCTCAAACTGAAAGCAACCTAGACATTGATTAACAGAAGAATGGTTTAACAAACTGTTATAGCCATACAGAGAATACTACCTAACAGTATTGCTTATTGTCTTATAAAACAATTTTACTTTTGAAACAAAAATTATTGATACAACATTGATAGATCTTAAAAATATTATAATGGGACAAAAGAGTCCAGGCAAAAAAAGTACATGATTTCTTTATAAATAAAGTTTAAGAACAAAAAAATTGATTTTATGATACTAGAAATCAGAATAGCAGTTGTTGGGGTAGGGGAGGAGGCAGGGGAATTGACTGGGAAGTAAAATTTGTGGGCAAATGGGAATATTCTTTATTTCGATCCAAGTGATAGTTATATACATTTGTAAATATTAATCAAGCTATACACTTAAGAGTTCTATATTTTGCTGTAAGCATCTTATGTTTCAGTAACTACTTTTAGCATAAAAACAAACAAAACGCACAAACAAATAATTGAGACTGAGTAGCCGTCGTCTTTAGCTTGCATGGCTCTTGCAGGTATTAACTTCATAACTATTAAAGAAAATTTTATAGCTTAAAGGAGTACATTTTAGCTATATAGAGAACTCAGCTGTTCATAACTAATTTCTTGAGAGTTGTAGAGAGCTGCAATTTTTGGCTGCTTTTTTTTCTTGCAGGTTTTGCTCAATGTCATTTTCTGAACTTGCTTTATGTAGGGTATTTCTGTTGCATATCTGTCTTTATACAACAAGTGACTAACTGTTAGCACTCATAACATTTCAAACATTTCTTTTCTTTTCTTTTTCTTTTTTTTTTTTTGAGACGGAGTCTGGCTCTGTCGCCCAGGCTAGAGTGTAGTGGCACAATCTCGGCTCACTGCAAGCTCCGCCTCCCGGGTTCGCGCCATTCTCCCGCCTCAGGCTCCCGAGTAGCTGGGACTACAGGCGCCTGCCACTACGCCCGGCTAATTTTTTGTATTTTTTTTTTTAGTAGAGACGGGGTTTCACCGTGTTAGCTAGGATGGTCTCGATCTCCTGACTTCGTGATCCGCCCGCCTCGGACTCCCAAAATGCCAGGATTACAGGCGTGAGCCACTGCGCCCGGCCCATTTCAAACATTTCAAATAAATAGAAGCACTGCTTTACACTGCAGGTAACAAACTTATGGTAAAAGAACTCATTACCCAAATACTTACACACATTCGAAATAATAATAAAAAGTAGCTACATACTGGCAAATATAATTATGTATTTCAAATCTTAGATTTTATATCATAGCTCCATAACAATTTTCTAAAAGAAGCTATGAGTAAATTCAAGTTAATAACAAGGAGGTCAACCAGTTCTCTTTCATAACACATTCTTTATTAATTCTATCGGGAACTAAATTCTGAGCTGAAGGGTAATCCTTTTCAAGCATGGGTTTTCATATTAAATCAATTCAGTCCTTACCAGTATAAAGAATTTCTTCATAAAACCATAGCATAAATCTTCAAATTTTTCAGAAATTTAAGAGTAAACACACAAATATAATCCTTTTATCTGTCAAATTCATTTACATCTAGAAGAATATTGCCATTTGGCAATTCATAAAAGATGAATCTATTCAAGGTCAACTGTTGTACTTGATAACAAGCATTAAAAGTAGTTTATGAGCAATGTATGTTATTAATTAATAATGCACACACAAGTGTTGAGATTAAGCAATATTTCTGCAAGTAATTGTGACTCATTCTTTTCTCAGTGATTTATGAGACAGAATTTTTATCTAACAGACATTTCCAGGTATCTAATCAACTGGAAGGTATTGCATTTTCTTCACAAGGTAGAAATGTTTCAAACTTAATTACAATTCATTGACCTACAGTTGTGCTTTCAGGTTTGATTTGCATAGCCATCACCAGTAAGTTGAAGCTGACCACTGATTAGAATAATTATGAGTCTAAAGATATATAAATAGACTGTAAAAGTAGGCTTTTAATTTTCTAGGTTTTGGAAAATGCCTCAAATTTGAAGATGTAAACCTGACTTCACATTGCTATCTGGTCAATGCATATCGTCGTTTATGAATTATGCCTGCACACATCTCCAGCATCCCCTAGTATCCAAGATATTGTAGTATATTCCTAAGTGACAGGCTTTCAGGCTCTTTTTACTCAGCACTGCTCACAGGAAGTAGATTCATGTACCTCAAAGACCATTTTTGCAAGTTGTCCAGCTATTCAGAATGTTTCTAATATAAGAAAGCAGTATAAAGAAAGCAGTGTAAACTCCTTCTAAGAGCATAGGTGGAGACTCCATGTCAGGATCTACCATTATCCAGCCATGCGACCTTATGTCAGCCATTTTTACCTTTTTAAAAACTTTTATTTTAGGTTCAGGGATACATGTGTAGGTTTGCTAGATAGGTAAATTGCATATCGCAGGGATTTGTATACAGATGATTTTGTCACTCAGATAATAAGCATAGTACCTAATAGGTAGTTTCTCAATCCTTTCCCTCCTCCCAATCTCCAGCCTCAAGTAGGCCCAAGTGTATGCTGTTCCCTTCTTTATGTCCATGTATACTCAATGTTTAGCTCCCACTTATAAATGAGAACATGCAGTATTTGGTTTTCTGTTTCTGCATTAGTTTGCTTAGGATAATGTCCACCAGCTCCAATCCATGACTCTGCAAAGGACATGATCTTATTCTTTTTAATGGCTATGTAGTATTCTTTATCCAGTCTAACGCTGATAGGCATTTAGGTTGATTTCATGCCATTGCTGTTGTGAAGAGTGCTGCGATTAATATATGTGTACATGTGTCTTTATGGCAGAACAATTTCTATTTCTTTATGTGTATACCCAATCAGAGATTGCTGGGTCAAATGGCAATTCTTTTTTGAGCTTTGAGAAATCGCCAAACTGCTTTCCACAGTGGTTGAAATATTTACATTCCAGCCAGCAGTGTATAAGAGTTTTATTTTCTCTGCAACCTTACCAGCATCTGTTACTTTTGACTTTTTAATAACAGCCATTCTGACTGATGTGAGATGGTATCTCATTGTAGTTTTGATTTGCATTTCTCTAATGATTAGTGATGTTGAGCATTGTTTCACATGCTTATTGGTCACATGTATGTCTATTTTTGAAAACTGTTGATGTCCTTTGCCCACTTTTTAATGGGGTTGTTTGATTTTTGCCTGTTAATTTGCTTAAGTTCCTTATAGATTCTGGATATTAGACCTTTGTTGGACGTATAGTTTACAAATATTTTCTCCCATTCTGCAGGTTGTCTGTTTACTCTGTTGATAGTTGATTTTGCTGTGCAAGTGCTGTTTAACTTAATTAGGTGCCATTTGTTAATTTTTGTTTTTGTTGTAATTGCTTTTAGTGCCTTTCAGCAGCATGAGGGAGGCGGTGGTACAGGCAGGATGTGGGTGGCCTGGTGCACATCAGTGGACGTTGCTCTGCTGGAGCTCTCCAATGGTCAGGAGTGGTCTTCCGATGAAGGAGCTATAATGAGGGCACCCAGGAAGAGACTTTGTTGAGAATCTGATGCTGCACTGCCAGTGGTTGTGGCCAGGCTGGAGTTCTTGGAAAGGCCAGCAGATAGGAGGGGAGCTCAGATATGACTGGTCTCATCTCATAGGCAAGGCCACCCTGCTCTGTCCAGGTCTGACAGACACCTTGCGGCCAAAGTCTCCTACGGGATCATGGTGAGCCTTGGTGGATAGGTGTTCTGGCTGTGCTCCACTGCAGATGTTCCTGCATCAAACACTCTGGGCTCTGCCCAGGCTGGAGTCCCACACCTACAGCTCTCTAAGCAGTTCTACCTGCCACCTAAAGTGTCCATGCGGATTGTGGGGTTTCCTGCTGCCAGGACTCTAAAGGTCCATGGTGGGAGTGGGACACTCCTCGCCTATTCAACTCACACGTACCAATGAATATAGTAAGTGTTACCTGCTCTACTTACCTCATTGGTTCATCATTCGATGCAATATTCTCCACTTCTGCTACACGTAACGAATACCCGGGAAACACTTAAAACTTACCAATACTTGTACCTGAGATATTGACTGATAGTATGTAAATCTCCACAAGTAATGCTAACGTGCAAATAGATTGAGCGACCATTATCATTGAAGAAATCATAGACGAGCCTTCTGAAGTGGTAAATTCTCTTTAAAATTTTAAGAATTTTTATCAAATCACTTGTGAATTGATAAGCTGCTTTCTTCCACATTTTTTTCTGAGCATATTGCCTCTCTATTCGGTATTTTCCTGGCATAAAATCTGTTCTTTTTGTGTCCCTATATCCATAATGGGTCCAATGCTGTTATAGCACTTCTATGGCGTTATTGTAACACATTATATAGACATTATAAGTGTATTATTATACTATATTTTATACATATATAAAGGATCTGTCTCTGATGATCTCTGAATCATCTCTGTGACTTTTGGCATGTAACTTTGTGTCCTTACCAGTGGTTAGTTTGATGCCTGGCTGTTATTAAAATACGGAACCTGATTGACATGCCCCAGCTCATATTTTATTACTTTATCTTTTTCTTACGTTACCATCATTCTCATCTCTGTTCCTTTCTCCTCCTCTTCACCCACTTATTTCTATCATTTTCTCAAGTGGGACCCAAAACTCTTTTCTTCCTATGACATTGTGTACACGCTTATGTTCCATTTCCCCTAAACATAAAGGGCACATGTAAAACATCAAATTATCATTACACATTGCTTTGTAATTATCTAGTTACTTTACATGCGCAAGTTTTCCTCTTAAAACTGTAAGCACCCTGAGGGAGTCACCATATTTTGGACATATTTTAATATTGAATGCAGTTCCCAGGAGATTAGTGAAGGGCCTCTGTGAAGTCTTCATAAAGGAGACTTTGGGACACATTCTTTGTGGTCTTTTTGATACCTTAGTGTACTTTGAGCTTAAACTGAGAGGTCACCGTGAGTTTTGCCAGTTTTATTTCTCTATTTCACGTGGCAACTGGACTGCCACTGATGATACAGAGACATTTAATCATAATTAGATTGAAGCCAATTTATTTCATAAGGATGATTATGTTTTATGTTTTTCATTTATATATTCTCTACAGGATGATTTTTTTCCCAACTGGATTTGAACTGCAGGAGAAATGTCATGTGCTACAATTCCAACATTTCTTTAAATAAATTCATGGTGATAGGAATGTTCATGATGATTTCTGTTCTTAAAAGATCATGAGCTAGTGTAGGCCATGACTTTCTTTTGCACTAGTATAGAAAACATGAATCTGTGACCAAGAGGTAAGATATTTGAGGGAAATGTGTTGCATGTAGAAGCGATTCTTTCATTATAGTCTCTACACAGGGGAGAAAACTAAGGCAACGACAAGCACTCTTAAGACTTCTCGTTGTTATAATACAAAATTCAAAAAGAAATAGCAAAAGTCAGCCTGTCTCTCTCTATGGGACTCAGAATATGCATAAGTTTTGGTACAATAAAAAATTTCCTGGACTATAAGTATTCAGTGACTTGATGGATGGATCATCTTTCAGGGTCTCTAATTCTCCATCATTAGGGGCTGGGGTTTTCAGAAGTAATGCTGTAGGTTGTATCTAATCAAGAAATGCAAATCGGAATAAGCCAGACTGCATGCACATTGGGATAATAGGAGTTGAAAGGGGTGATAAGTGTGGCACGTTTTTATGGCCTCACCTTGACAGACAGAAATGCCTCAGAACTGTATGAGTTAATTCAGACATGAGATAGGGACAAATCAGATTGGATATTTGACAGCTTCACTGCAGTCGGCTGCAGATATGTATCTTATGCTTTTGTTTTTTCTTTCTCTTGGGATTTTACAAGGAAAACACACTGTAGAGTGGATTGTGATGCAGGAAAACTAACCTTATTAGCTATTGACAGCTGTAGGTTTCTGTCATCCTCAAGAAGGAAAGATATCTGGTAATAAAGAAGCTTATTCATAAATCTGTATAGGATGGGCAGACATTCTCCTAGAATTCTGTACAGATGAGAGTATTTCAACAGGTAGCAGGCAGAGGTTGTCTTTTTTACTTTTTCTTCTAAACATAGTTCCTTTCCCTCAAGGGCTTCAGAATTTTGTGTAATATTAAAAATGTTAATTGAATGCTGTAACTACAAAGATAATGTAATTACTTGACATCATTACAAAGTATTTTTCTTCTCTTTCATGGGTGGTGAATCTGCATCAAGCCGTTTACTTCTGCTCACTAGTTTTCCCAGTAATCAAAAGCAGGTACTTCTGAAATGATTGGTTGGGATTACAGTTAACATCTGGAATGGAAGAGAAGAGTGACTTAGTGACTTACTCATCTGTTTGGCACTTGAGACACACTTCTCTCTTTTAATGCCAAACTTATTGAATGAGTGGGGTCTGTCTGTTGCCTTCATTTTCCGCAATCTAATGATTTCTTTCGCCACCCTAGTGAGATTGCTCATTGAAATCACTTCCACTGACCTCTTCATTTGTCACATACAACAGTCCTTTCTTTGTTCTCATTTTTCTTGATGTTTGGGTACATTTAACACAATTGACCACTTTATCACAAAACTCCTCCCATGGTATTTATGAAATATTATGAACTATGTATTTTTATTTCTTTTATGTTTTCCATTCCGCTTTATTTTTTTCTTTTCCAGAATATCTGATGCGATATTTTCCCACCTTGTCTCTTATCTGTTAACATCACCTTCAAAGATTTTATCCACTCACACCTCCAACCATCATTACTACGAAAACAACTTCCAAAAAACAATGTAAGAAAGAAATAAAGAAGGGAAAAGAGAAGAAGGCAGGAGGGAAATCACAAACCACCCATGGAATTTATCTACTAAATTTTCACCTGAATATTCTATTGCATTTAAAATAAGAATAGAATCTCCTCTGAACTTCGACATTTTCACATTCAATCAGTCTCTAATTCTTACAATTATTTTTCTTTTCTATCTTTCTCAAATTAAAACCTTTCTTCCTAGTCTCACTGTCTCTAGTCTTATACTGAATTTCCTTCCATTGACCTTGCATCTTTACAGTAGCATTCCACAAGAAAACTCTGGTCCCTGTATGCATCCATGTCTTCTGATTATAACTATCTAATTAATATTTCTAAAGTATAAATTATATTACATTATGTCCTTATTCAGAGCCATCAATATCTTCACTTCATATAAGATTCATAAAGACAGGGTCTTTATTCATCTCAGTTACTAGTATATCCTCAGTTATTAGATGACTGTCAGAAAAAGAGTAAGTTTTCAATAAATATTATGGAATAAATAATATAATAAAGGATCCACTCTAAATGTAGGCTGAATTCAATGTTTCCCAGAGTTTAACCCCAGTCTACTAATTTCACCCTATCTTTCTTCACTGCTTTCTGTGAGTCTTTCCTTTTATAGGTTAATTTACATCTTGCTTCCCAAATATATTGTATACATCTTATCAATCACTTCCTTCTGAGAATTCTCAAAATAATGATCTAAGATTTCTGGCTTTTAAATCTTGTTTTGACTTAAAATTCTAAGGGCAAACTGATTTCAAGTTGCGGCTCACTTTTGTTTTTACATTTTCTGAAGGTTTTCACTGTGTCACACACTTTGCTATGTGCCTTCCATGCATTACTCATTTACATTTCACAACCACACCCTGTGACATAGGTATCAATTTCACCTACTTTATAGCTGAGGACATCACAGCTTTGAGAAACGAAGTCATATAGCAGTTAAGCTGCAGAGTTGAGATTTGAGCCTTGGGCTGACCCACTTCAGAGCCTGGATTCTTAATCCCTATGTCCTTCACGCTCATGAGATTCTCCACTGAATTCCTGGCATGTGTGGTCTGTTTGGTAGTATTCATATTTACTTACATTATTGTTTAGTTTGTCATGTATATTAACCTTGTCTCTTAAGTACAGAGAACATATGCTATCATGCATCAATTGATGGGGATACATTCTGAGAAATGTGTCATCAGATGATTTTGTCCTCGTGTGAACATCATAGTGTGTACTTACACAAACCTGCATGGCATAGCTTACTACACACCTAGGTTTATGGTATGGCTTATTGCTCCTAGTTGATGCACCTGTATAGCACATTACTGTACTGAATATTGTAGGCAATTTAAACACAATGCTAAGTATTTAGTATCTAAACACATCTAAACATAGATCCTCAATCATCTAGTGGCTAGGAAAAGAAAATAAACATCGTAAAGGTACAATAAAAATACAGTATAAAGATTAAAAAGTGCTACACCTATATAGGGCATTTAGCATGAATGGAGCTTGCTTGTCTGGAAGTTGCTCTAGATGACGCAATGAGTGAGAGGTGAGTGAACTTAAAGGCCTAGGACATTGCTGTACACTACTGTAGACTTTATAAACACTATATTCTTAGGCTATACTAAGTTTTTTTCAATTTTTTAAAAATTTATTTATAGGCCAGGCGAAGTGACTCACGCCTGTAGTCCCAGCTATTTGGGAGGCCGAGGCGGGTGGATCACGAGGTCAGGAGATCGAGACCATCCTGGTTAACATGGTGAAACCCCGTCTCTACTAAAAATACAAAAAATTAGCCGGGCGTGGTGGTGGGCGCCTGTAGTCCCAGCTACTTGGGAGGCTGAGGCAGGAGAATGGCGTGAACCTGTGAGGCGGAACTTGCAGTGAGCCGAGATCGCACCACTGCACTCCAGCCTGGGAACAAAGCGAGACTCCATCTCAAAAAAAAAAAAAATTTATATACTTTTTAAACTTTTTTATTATAAACTAAGACACAAACACAACCTAGGTCTAAACAGGGTCAAGATCATGAATATCATTGTCTTCCACCTCCACATCCTGTCCTGCTGGAAGTTCCTCAGGGGCAATACATGCATGGAGCTGTCATCTCCTATGATCACAATGCTGTCTTCTGGAACGCTTCAAGAAAGACTTGCCTAAGGCTCTTCTTTCATTACAGAAATATGTCCATCGTGGTCTGCTTGGTTTGTTTCTCCATTTTCATTATAGATTTGCGTGAGTAATGCATTGAGCTGCAATGTTATGATGGTTATCATGTCACTAGGTGATAGGAAATTTTCACCTATATTATAATCTTTGGGGCCACTGTTACCTATGTAGTCTGTTGACCAAAACATCACTATATGGCATATGACTGTATTACCTTTTATCCCTCACCATGTGTAGCATAGATTAGAATAGAGATATAAATAATAATTACTGAAAAATAATTGTCACCTCAAGGGATTTCTTGTGAATCAAAATGTACAGTTTTTGGCTGGGTGAACTAACCACTGAGTAGCTATTACCTATTCAGTGCTTTAGACTAACTTGAACATTAAATTCACTTGGTAAAAGATATTTTCAGAACTGCAGTTGTCATAAAATAAGAACACCTCTTTATTTATGTAAATAATTAAAAATAAATATCAGGCATGCCCCATTCCTACTCATTTAAGTCATTTTAAAGATACATGAAATATAAAAGGAGACTTTGCTAAAGGTCTCTAAGGAGAAAAGGGCAACACCACTAAATAAAGAAGGATGATCATGCTGGGGCAAACTTGAAAGGAGATGGCATTTATACAAAATGCAATTTACTTTGACAGTAATTTTCTGAATTTCCCTGGTTATTATTGAAGATATATGTGTGTTTGAATAAGAATGCTCCCTCTTCCCTCCCTAGCCAGCTGCTCTGTTTGATCCTGCAGTGAAGTCACCATCCTGTGTTAATGGCTTCACAGTTTGTTCCTGGAGAAAAAAAATTATTATGATGTCACGAATTTGTCATTTTGACTTCACTGCAGGGTCAGGCTGGGTGAGAATGTAGGTTGTAAGGGATAAAATCTTTCAGGCAGAAACTTTTCTTCTCCTCATAACAAGAAATAGATAGTGTTAGGACAGGCACTTAAAATCAAATAGATGAAAGGGTACATGACTTTAAAAGTTCACAGGTATCGCTTTAGAAATAATCCATCTGATATTCTCTTACTTTTTAATGATGTAAGGATAACTTTTTTGCTCTACATCCAGGCCAGTCCTTTCTCTTGACTTCTCTGTTACACACCTTAAAGGTCCCAATTTCAAAAAGGAGAGTTTCTTTATTTGGGATTGTACTTTTTTCAACCTCCTAAACTATTTAAGGAATCACAATAATGCAGTACTTCTTTGCATAATTATCGAAGTGCCCCATTGTTGCAGCACTTTTAAATCAATGCACCCAAACTTCAGGTTTAAGATGGCAGTGCTGAGGCATTTTTATTCTTTTTGTTTTCTGAAATCTGTGAAAAATAATGAAAAGAAAGTTAAAAAAAGAAAAATTCCAGCTAAAATGAAACAAAGAAATAGCTGTAATCTCAAACTACAAACTATTTCCCCCAAATGATGTAAAATCTGGACCAAATCAGGGCAGGATGCTGAGAGCCAACACCTGCCTCCTTGAATATGGATGGATATAGAATGTCTAAAAGTAAATATTACAGTCCAGGAAGGCATTTATAATGCTTCTTTGATAAAAAATGATAAGATTCAGGGAGTACAGTGGCTGCAGAAAAGTGCAGATCATCCCTGTAGAACACAAGTTTAATAGCATAGAATGGAAGAGGAAGTGGCAACAAAGTGAAAACCAAACTGATACTCCCTGTTCTATTAACTGCAGCCTACCCTGCTATGCAAGGGTGAGTGCCAAAAGTAAGGCAGGTGTTGAAGCAGCAGCCTAGGGAACATTTAACATAAAATGATTTTCTGTGAGTCTCAGTGACTACTTGAATAGCAAATAGTCCTGCACTCAAGAAAAAGGAAACAAATAGTTTGGTATGAGAGTGTTTGAGATCACAAATTTAGTCCAGACTCTAGAATTCTGTATCTTATAACTCATCCTCCCCAACCCTTTTATGTATTATTTTTCAGCAGATATCTAATCTCACTCAAACTTGAGTAAAACTTAGAAATCAATACATAAACTATGGATGAAAATGAAGGAAATAGACACAAGCATAGGGAAAGTTAAGTAAACACATATCATAAAAATATTTACCATCAAAACTACAAAAAGAATTTAGATACACAACTTTGTTTCTATTTTCAAATAAGTCAAAAATAAATGTACAGGCACAAATATGTGAACATATAATACAATAGAAGAAAGTTAAAAACAAGCTGTTAGTGCTCAGAAAAGAAATGAAAGATAAACATATTGAAAATAAAGCCATACTGTAAATCAATTTAAAATATAGTAAAAGTGACTGAATGCATAGCCAAAGATATGGGGGTTTTAATGGTGTAAACACAAAATCAGGTGACAAATAACAAGGATGTAAAAATAATAATCAACCAGATGAGAGAGAATGCAAAAAAATCTAATTTTAACGTATTTCATATTCCTGGAGAGGAGAACAATAGGGCAAAAAGAAGAAAAACATTCAAATATATTTTAAGAAAATGTTATTGAACAAAATAAAGACTTCTATTTATAGCTCAAAAAGGTATTTTATGTCCTAGGAAAAAAAAAGATGCAGAAATATCAATGCCAAACTTGGTAAAACTATGGAATTTCAATGTCAATGAAAAAATCATTTAAACAAACTGGAATAAAACAGGTTAAAAATCATACTTTTCCCAAACTCCTATAACAGAAATCAATGATAGAAGACAATGGGAAATCACGTTAAAGTTTTAAGAAAAAGATATTGTGGCACAAGATATTATACCCAGCCCACTTGTCCTGTAAGTATAATGACAATAGGTAGACCACCTCATGTATGGAAAAATTCAAGAAATGAAACAACAACGATTTGTTTTTAAAACTACTGGCTGTATATTGCCAGCCAGAAAGTGAATCAAAGTGTACCTGAGAATAGAAAAACAATATCAAAAAAATAAAGAAAGTAAGCCCTGAATTTATTAAGACATAAAATTATGACCAACTAGTGGGACTTACAGATAAAAGATGGAATATACATACTATCAAGTAGACGACAGAAAAAAAAATAGAGAAAAATCACGTAAGGTATAGGAAGGGAGATAATAGAAAGCCCAAGACTAGTTTATTCATTTACCATGATGGGTACAATAGATTTGTGTAAATTTGAAATTTGTAGTTAAAAATATAGGATTACAACTTTTTAAACATTTTAATTAAACCTTTATTCAAATAAGTGAACAATTTTAGGAGCTAATATCTCTTTATTGAAGAAACATTTATGTAAACTCTAGCATTACCCCTCTTAAATTAAAAAATTGAATTTTATATTCATATAAAAACAGCTGTATGATATAATTCCATTCTTCCAAAATCATTATTTAAAGCATTTGTATCTATCTATACCTAGCTGCCTAAGAATCAAGCCTCATTGGTCTTGTTAGATAATAAGTTCTCTAGCATTCAGCTCTAATTTTATACATCCTTATAATCTTCTACCTATGTACAGATATAAAGAGATGGCTGAAATTACTTTTACCTAAAATTATTGATGATCATTTCTGGTTGGGGAGATTTGGAGTCATATTTTACTTTCTATCATAATTTTTTTTTCAAAACCCATTCTGGATAAGACAGCAGGAGAGTGTGTCATCCACATTTCTAAAATATACTAACAAGAAAATCTTTTATTTAACTTGAATAAATAGTTCTTGAGTGGTGGTAATTGCAAATAGAGCACAACCTAACAGTTTCTACATGTTGCTCTGGAAGTCTTCCTTCTCTCTAAAACTCACTCTTTCCTTGGTTTTAACCTTATTGCTCTACCTCCGCATTGGACTACTCTTCTATGTCTTCATTTCTAGACTCAAGATTCAGCTCTAGTTTCTCCTTCTTATAAATAAAATGTCACCAAGGCTTAATGTTGGGTTCCTTTTCCTTCTTTGGTCTCTCTTTAGACAAAACTCATGTAGAACATTGATTCTCACCACTAAGATGATTAATCAATTTCTCCAGCCCTGTCCTCTCTCTTTCTTTTCTTGAATCTTTTCATTATAAGTGTCTGCCATCTCCTCACAAAAGTTGGTTAAGACTAACTTATCATTGTTTCTTTAAAAACGAACCACACACACTCTCTCTCTTTCTGAACAATAACAATGACAAAATATTTCTTCCTTTCAAAATTTGTTTTTATTAGTCTGCCAACTGCCAAATGTTTCACATGGAATTGTATATATTAATACTCTAGTTTTTCATCTCCCACTCACTTCTCATTGGACAATAATTTGGATTTTATTCCTTTTCCTTTTTTCAAATTACTT
Source organism: Homo sapiens (assembly GCF_000001405.40). NCBI lineage: Eukaryota > Metazoa > Chordata > Mammalia > Primates > Hominidae > Homo > Homo sapiens. The sequence goes on along the minus strand of NC_000001.11, from coordinate 106,905,402 downwards.
TCTCCAAGGCAACCAATGCCCATCATGTAACTAAATCCCATGGCAGGTATTTTTTAGCTGCTAAGCAACATTCAGTACTGTTAACCAATTCCCTAGCCAGAAGCAATTCCTTTCTTAACTCTCACACACAAACATCCTTATTATTTCTTTCTTTAACTGATTAATGTCTATCTTCCTTGGAAAATTTTAAGCTCCATTGGACCCCCATGCCCTTGTAGACTATATGGCAAATAATGTGCCCTCAACAGACATTTGTTGAAAGAATAAAATTCTTGGATAAATGAATAAATGGTAGAGCATTCTTTCTGACACCCAGCCTTTAAGCCTTGCCATCTTTGTTTTTCCCTTCAGCCTCATACTGTATAATCAGCCGTTATCAAGCATCTTTGAGATAAAACATCTCTCCTGGTTGTCCTTTTTTTTTTTTTCAACTTCTATTGATAACATTGTGGTCTAGGTCTTCATCACTCTAGGTTTAGTCTATTGCAAAAGTCAAAATTTGATTCCCCTTCCTCTAATCCATTTTCTTATAATACTGTCAGATTAAACATCTAAGAATTATAGTTTGTACCTATATGCTCTTAATACAAAAATCTTTTAACACTTCTGATATTCACAGAAAGATGGTTTGGAATTGAACTTATGTTTAAAAGGGAAGCAGAGCCTAAAAGTTTGGAAAATTTGCAGCCTGCTGGTGTGATAGAAAAGAAAAACCCATTTTCTGAGGAGAAATTCAAGCCGGCTGCAAGCTGCAGAACTTTGCATAAGTAACGAGAAGCCAAATGTTAATCGCCAAGATGGTGGATGTGAGACATGGAGTCAGAGGAGATTATTTTGGAACTTTAAGGTTTAATGACTGCCTTGTTGGATTTTGGACTTGCATGGGGCCTGTAGCCCCTTTGTTTTGGCCAGTTTCTCCCTTTTGGAGTGAAAGCCTTTACCCAATGCCTGTAGCCCCATTGTATTTAGGAAGTAACTAACTTGCTTTTGATTTTACAGGCTCGTATGTGGAAAGAACTTGCCTTGTTTCAGATGAGACTTTGGGGTTAATGCTGGAATGAATTAAGACTTTGGGGGACTGTTGGGAAGGCATGATTGGTTTTGAAATATGAAAGAGTCATGAGATTTGGCAGGGGCCAGGGGCAGAATGATATGGTTAGATTTTGTGTCCCCACCCAACTCGAATCTTGAATTGTAATCCCCATAATCCCCACCTGTCAAAGAAGAGACCAGGTGGAGGTAATTTAATCATGGGGGTGGTTTTCCCCATTCTATTCTTGTGGTAGTGAGTTCTCGGGAGACCTGATGGTTTTATGAGGGTCTCTTCCCAACTTCAGTTGGCACTTCTTCCTGCCGCCTGGTGAAGAAGGCGCCTTGCTTACCCTTCACCTTCTGCCATGATTGTAAGTTTTCTGAGGCCTCCTCAGCAATATTGAACTGTGAGCCAATTAAACCTCTTTCCTTTATGAATTACCCAGTCTTGGGCAGTTCTTTATAGTAGTATGAAAATGGACTAATACAACTTCTAATTAATTATCAAATAAAACCCACACTTCTTAGCTTGGAACATCCAGGTTATCTCCTTGTTGTCCCTTAAAAATTGTTTGTAGAGTTTAGTACCTTTGACCCCACTGTTTCTCTTCCTGAAATATAGCCCCCATCCCACCACCACTGTGTACAAGTACACACTATCCCATACCTGAGATTCCACCCAAATGTTAAGGCCAGCCAAAAAGTTGCCTCCTGCGAAAGATTCCCCAATTACTCATCTAAAAATATTTCAGCCTTCATGTGACATTCAGTGTCTACCCCACGTAATACAGTATACTATATTAATTCTGACTTTTAATCACATACATATATGATTTTTCGGAAGCTCTTGTGTGTATGTATGTGTATTATAGCTTCCCAATTAGATTTTAAGTTACTTCAGGGTAATTCTAATGTCTTCTACTTTATTTCTAAGTGCCTAAAATTACAGTAAGTGCCCAAACATTTTTTGTTGACTTTAGCAATAGAAGAATGACAGGCAAAGAACAGAGGCTGGGGAAGGGCTATGATTATAATGGTGTACTTTTTTTATTATTGTTATGATTAATAGCAATACAAATATTTGTAACAAATGCATATTTCTTTATACTGTTCCAAATGATTTTCTAATTAATCATTTCATTAGATGTCATGGAGGACTAGCTTAACACTAATAATAAGAGAACTGAAACAATCTATTCTTCAAATTTATGGAAATAAAATTAAACCCAATATATTTTGCTACCTAAGTCAGAAATAATAATTTTATTTATTTGTAGTGTCATACTTGAAGAGGTGAAAATTTGAAATGCACATAGTAGGAGCTTCTAAAATAAGTTTGGAAGCTAATGAACATGTAGCATGTGTACAGAAAGTTTGCATTGGAGTTCATGCTGATTTCAACATTCAAAACTAATCCTTAATTTTCAAACAGCCTTTAAATTTGAGCATTCTAATAGAAAAGGGTTTGGAAATAAATTATAAATAAATCAGATCCTAAATTTAAACATAGAGAGAATAAGTGAGAGACAGAGAGAGAGAGAGAGAGAGAGAGAGAGGAAGATAGAGAGAGAGAGGAAAACTCCCCCTGGCTTTTAGACCAGTGTCATAAAATTAAATAGCTCTAATAAAAATGTTTTAAGACTACATGCAAACGAGTTCTTTTTGCTCAAATCAAACCAGTTCAAGAAAATTTAGCCCTTTTAAAGTTGACCTCATTAATTTCATGATCTTTGGATTGCACATAGCATCCCAACTGTGCAGATTAGTTTGGACCTTTGAAACCCACCAGCATCATATATCTCTGAAGATTAAAAAAAATACAACATAGAACTCTGAACTTGTGTGATTAAAATGCAGGAATTTGTTCAAATAGCTCTTGCATGCGAGCTATAAATAATCATTTGAAAATATTCAAAAATAAAATAGGTATAATATAGAACAGTAACTAAGGGCTTCTTTTTTAGACATGGCTGCTCCTAAAGACTGGACATGGGGAATACTTCCTGTAAGTTTGCTGGGATAAATGTGTACATCTTTTTTCCGATGACCTTGACACTAACACAGACTAACAACCATTTTAAAACCATGATTACCAGCCTAGACAACATGATAAAACCCTGTCTCTACAAAAAATAGAAAAATTAGACAGGTGCATGGTGGTGGGTGCCTATAGTCCCTGCTACTCAAAAGGCTGAGCGGGGAGGAACACTTGAACCTGGAAGATCGAGGCTGCAGCAAGTTGTGATCCTACCACTGCACTCTAGCCTGGGCAGGGCAACAAAGACAGACCCTGTCTAAAAACGACAACAACAACAACAACAACCACCAAACAAAAGCAAACAAACCCAAGATTAGTTAATATCAGTAATCTCTCCTCATTTCTTATAAGCAAAAATGGTCATTTCTGCTGTTTTATTTTGGGAAGGCAGTGATAGCTAGATATTTACTGTCACCCACTGAGTTATACCAATTTGATTGATGCTACACCTTCTGTCCCTTTATTCATGAGAGTTCATTCCAACTACATGAGAAGTTTTCTATCTTTAAACTCATATTAGATTTTACATTTTTTCTCTAATATGCAGTTTTAATAACTAGATGAAAGGATAGTTTTAATTGAACTATTTTGTGTGTAGCTCATCAGAAAGACTGACTCTACAGCAGGTGGATTTACAATCTCTAGTACCAGACTACTTGGGCAGATCAAACTTTAAAACATCTTTTGCCTTTCATTTCAGAAATGGATTTGGATATTTTTTCCCCACCGTACGTTGGATGTAAAACTAGAAACCAACAAGAAATGTAAACAACATTCATGATTTGAGGTTTGAAATATTTGGGGGAGGTTCTCTGATTTATTTTGCTGGAAAAGTAATGTCACTCTACTGAGCACTACATCTCTTATAGTCATAAGAAGCACAATTTGTCTTCCTGGACTTATTCCTTTCTGATGGTTTCTGTGCTCCATGAACGATTACAGAAACGAGCAAATAGGTTTGGTATGTATAGAATAATGATGTAAGGGTTCAACTTCTAAGCTATGGCTTTGGATGCTGTGAATATTAAAGTCTGATGAATCTTTGCTAACAACTGTATTGCCAGAGCTCTGACTTCCTCTCTCAGAAATGCATCTTTTGATGAGAATTTCCTGTTTCATATGGAAGTCTTGATTTCGGAGCTATAGGGATTTTTTTTTTTCCTAAGATAGAAAATCATCAAACTGTGTTTACTGGTGTGTATGATGATAAACTAGTACTGTGGTCCCATGAAGAATAAATCCAATTTGTCTTTCAAGTATAGGGAACTATTTCACTTATTTTATTTCTTAACTCCTAGCTAAACAGGTAACTGGAAACACTTCTCATTGATTAAAAGAAAGAAAGAACCTCAGGCACAGACTTAGCATCTTGCTAAGATGTCCTCATACATGAGGAGGTGTTTAATACTTTCTCTCAAGCAAGCTAAAAGTTGTATTTTTTTCATGATTCAACAAAATGCCATATTGTCCTCTAGGTATAAAACTGATACTACATGTCATAAAATTTGCAAAACACGAATTAAACACCAAAGGAGTTCAGATACTTATATTTTTATTTTTTAAAAAGCCAGTCATTTGTGATAAGGATATGATAGTGTAGAGATTGAAAACAAAGGTCACTGAGATAAGTCAGGCTTATGGATCTTGTTAGGCCCTTTGGCTCTTGACCCGGAGAATTCTCTAATATTTTATAAATGTCTTTTCAGCCTTTTATACATAAATCCGGATTTACAGCTTTTCTTGAAAAAACAATTGGAGTATTTGGCAATACTTGGCCCACATTTCTGCATGGAAACAGGAGGTTGGAGCCGAGTGGGCCCCCTGCTCCATGTCTCTCTTGGCCTCCCCTTTCCCTAACATAGTCTTAAGTCCAGGATTCTTCACTTGTTTCCTTACCTGGTAGGCTCCTGTTGGCACCTATGTATGTGGCCCTTATGTTAAAGTGTTTCCTTATTTGGGATTTTTCTTTTAATGTGTGTGCTATTTATAATAGTTCTCTAAAAACCTTAAAATGATGGCAGGTGATTGAGATGTTTTCTACCATCATTTGTGAATAGACCGCACCCTACATATGGTATATGAAATGTCAAAGTCAGAAAGAGTCTTTCCAGGGTAGACTGGAGTATCATGCAGTGGAGTGACGTCAAAAGTGGGGATGATGTCTAGAGTCAGCAGGTAAGGCAAATGTTTGGGTAAACTTACCCTTGAAATGCTCTTAGGAAGTATTGCAAAACTGATATGCATCTCTCAGTAAGTCCAGGACAGCCAGTTTTTCCCTCCAGCTTTGGAACAGATAGATTATTTTTCCCTTTTTCAGTGGAGCACTAGATAATGTAACTGCATTGAATTTAGGTATGATATTATTATGTGCAATACATATCTCTAAAGACTAGAATACTCATAACTGCAGTGAGATGATCACTAAGAGAGGTGTGTGGGAGGTGAACTCAACAGAGGAAAAGACAGCGTCCCATTTTTCCACGCCGTGCTCACTCTTGGGCATATGCTCAGTGAGTGGACTGACAAGTGAAACAGTCATTCTGTTAAATTTTCTCTCTCTCTCCCTTTCCATTTCTGAGTGCATGTACTTGGATCTGAGGACATTTGAGTTTATGACTATGGTGGAAATACACTGATTCACACTATAAGATCCCCAGGCAAACATATACTTTGGTCACTTACTAAGTCGTTAGAACTAGGAAAAAACAAAGTAAAGACTGGGGGTTTGATTTCTGGTAAGAATTATTCACAGATAGAAAAATGATTAAACTAGTTAAGATATTTGTTGAGCCTCCCTGTGTGTGAGATACTCTGATAGCTATTTAGAATGAAAAGAGATATATTGGGACCATTTTTATCAGTGTTTTAAAGGCTCATACATTTTACAATCTTTAAGAAAAATTGAGAATCTGACAGAGAATTGCCAACTGTTTTATTTTGGCCACCGAGTGCATTTAAAAGAGAAAATATATTTAAACATAAAAGAGGAAGAAGGAGATAATCTCATAATAAAATATGTTTCTTTAAATTTAAAAGTAGCTTTACAAAAATCACTTCTGCCTCCTACCTTTTGGCTGTGAGAAACGTCTTCAAGAAACCAAAAACTTAAATGTGAAAATATGGCACATGCGTTTGAAAAGTTAATCAACTCGACAAGACAAGGGAAGGTTAAAAGTCAAATGCGCAGTAGAGAAGAGGCTTTTAGGAGCCAAAAGGAGAGTGAGTGAGCACTGGAGGTTGATGAAGGGTTTAGGTTTTCAATCATGATAACAGGTGCTCCCTAAATGCCTGCTGACTGACTGAATGCATCTATTAATGTATTGGGATGGCCTAATCTGGGAAGGCTTCAGAGAAACTGTACAATTTGGGCTGGACTTGGGGAATTCATGAATGATTTGGACAGGAGACCAGGGCAAGGAGGAAATTCCAGTTTCTGGCAAGGATGAAACCACGGGTGCAAAAATGTTCAAAGAAAGGTGCCTAAAGAGGGGTCATGTCTCTCTTCTCTTCAACTCTTTCTTTGTCCTAAAATGGCAGTGATCTAATGAATAAAGTGAATAAAAATTTAGCAATTATTTATTACATGTTGAGATATACTACAATTATGGACACGGAATCTTCAGGTAAAAGAATCTGTAGATAAACAAACACACTTATGATCTCAAATGTTTCACAATTATGGCTTTGCATCATGGCTATATTCATGTAGATAACTGTATACATAGGAGTAGGGAAATTATATCAATTGGTGTTGTTGTGCTTTTTGGCGATCCTCAGGCAATGTCACCAGCTAAGGATATGTGTATGGGGAGGGGTGTTGGTGGTAAGGAGAAAAATATATGGTAGCATAAGAGAAAAAAGAATCCCAGAACTGAATTATGGGTAGTTATACATCTATATAGAGCATCTTCAAAATAAATTTTAGTCTTACTGCTTTATGAAACAGATCAGAGGATTTGAGAGAACTTTCACTACAATTTAAGTTTCTTAAGAAACTTAAGAAGGCAATTGTTTTTAAATATCCCTGATCTACTTTTAAAATTCTGAATTGAAATACAGAGGAGAAAAAAAAATGTTCTGAAATTGTTCAGTTAACCACAGCCAGGTCTGACAGAAATAGCAAAGCCACACCCAGAGAGTTCAGAGCCTGCTAGTAAGTGATTGAAATTTTCATGTTAGCTATCACCCCTCTTCTGATTGGTGGTATTGTCAGTGACAAGACAAGCAGACTATGGTATTTAGATGACTTTATGACTAATTGTCTCCTTATGAATTTTGCTCACTTCTTTTTATTATATCTTTACACCCCACCCTTGTCTAAGGGGTCTATGCAATAGCTTGGTTTTTCCAATCCAATCTTGAAGCCCCTCTAATTCTTTTTTTGCTTAGCAGCCAAAGCAATTTTTTAAAAAACATATAAACTGGATCATGTCTCATCCCTATTTCATGTCCTTCAAAGGGTTTTCGAGATTCTTAGGATAAAGCTCAGCCCAATTATCCCTACTCTGAGTGACTCAAGTCCTACTTCTACTTTGTTTCCTAGCCTACCACTCTCTTTCTACTCAGGATTTATTGAAGTGTGGTACTTGATTGACCATATCATAATTATGTTGTCATTTTAGATCTACTGTCTAAGAATTTTTATATGTAGACAATTAAGCAAAATTCCTAGGCAATTCTGATATAAACTAGAATTAGAAAACCACTTCACAATTCCCTATTGACATGGCCTTTTCTCTGTTCTTCAAATATGTCAAATTTTTTCCTATTTTGGAATCTTTAAATGTGCACCCTTTGTCTGCAATGTGGACTTTTTTCCTCTTGTTCCCAGATTAATTTCTAATTATGATTAAGCTTGCAATTTATGTTACTCTCTCAGGAATGTTTTCCCTTAGGCTCCCAGAATAAATTATATCTTCTTATGGCTTCTCCTTGCTTCCTGTAAATTTCTTTCATGTTATTTGGAATGTCGACAATTAAATAGTTATTTATGTATTTATACGTTGTATTTCCTCTACTAAACAATATGCTCCCTGAAGGCTACAATTTTATCTCTTTTCTTTTTTTTCTTTTCTTTTTTTTTTTTTTGAGACGGAGTCTCGCTCTGTCGCCCAGGCTGGAGTGCAGTGGCGCGATCTCGGCTCACTGCAAGCTCTGCCTCCTGGGTTCACGCCATTCTCCTGCCTCAGCCTCCCGACTAGCTGGGACTACAGGCGCCCGCCACCACGCCCAGCTAATTTTTTGTATTTTTAGTAGAGACGGGGTTTCACCGCGTTAGCAAGGATGGTCTGGAACTCCTGACCTGGTGATCCACCCGCCTCGGCCTCCCAAAGTGCTGGGATTACAGGCATGAGCCACCGCGCCCAACTAATTTTATCTCTTTTCTTATAAGGGGTGACTAGGTTTTATCATTTTGTATTAAGCGTTCTGTTTACACTCCTAGTGCAGCTGGTGACTGCCTTAATCTTAATCCTCATATCACATTGTGCTACAATTTTCTATTTCTTCTTGTCCTATGTTAAAATGTGTACTTCTTTAGGGAAGAGACCAGCCACTTTTTCTTTATTATTCTGATAACATATGCATAACAAAATGTACCATATTGATAATTTTAAGTGTACAGTTCACTGGTATTAAATACATTCATAATGTACAACTATCATCACCATCAGTTTCTATAACTCTTTTTATCTTGCCAAAGCTGGAACTTTATACCCATTAACTAATAAAGCCCAATTCCCTTCTGCCACCAGCCCGTAAAAACTACCATTCTACTTTGAGTCTCTGTAATCTTGAAGTACCTCCTCTAAAGGGGATTGTCTAGTACTTGTCTTTTTTGTGACTGGCTTATTTCAGTTAGCATCATGTCCACAAACTTCATTCATGTTGCAGCATATGTCAGAATTTCCTTTTTTCCTAAGGCTGAATTATATATATATAAAATATGTGTGTGTGTGTGTATATATATACGTATATATACATATATACATATATATGCACACATATATATACACACATGTATATATACATATATAAATACATATATAACACAGCTTTGTTTGCTGTGGGCTTCTCATATCTGGCATTTAGTGGGTTGAGATAGTTTCCTTCTATTCCTAATTTGTTGAGTTTTTTTTTCATCATAAAAGAGTGCTTTTTTTTTTTTTTTTGCCAAATGTTCTTTCTGCATCAATGGAGATAATTATATAGTTTCTGTCTTTCATTCTGTTAATATGGTGTATTATGTAGATTGATTTTCATATGTTGAACCCTTTTTGCATTCCAGGAATAAATCCCACTTGATCCTCGGGTACAATTCTGTTAATGTGTTGCTGAATTAGGTTTGCTGATATTTTGTTGAGGATTTTTGCACCAATTATTATAGGGAATATTGGTTTGTAGTTTTCTTGTAGTATCTTTGTGTGGCTTTGGTATCAAGAAGGTATTGGCTCATAGAATGAATTAGGAAGTGTTTCCCCCTCTTCAATTTTGTGGAAAAGTTTGGAAAATTGGTGTTAGATATTCATTAAGTGGTTGATAAAATTATCCGTGAAGCCATCATATCCCAGGCTTTTTTTATTGGGAGGCTTTTGATCACTAGTTCAATCTCTTTACTAGTTATAGGTATATTCTGATTTTTAATATTTTATAATTTGGCCTGGGTAGATTGTGTGTTTCTAGGACTTTGTCCATCTCATCTAAGTTATACAATTTTTGCCATACAATTGTTTGTAGTACTCTTTTATAATCCTTTTTATTTCTGTAGAATCTGTTGTAATGTCCCCACTTTTATTTTTGATTTTAGTAATTTGAGTCTTTTCTCTTTTTTTAGCTCATCTAAGTGTGAAACTTTTGTTGATCTCTTAAAGAACCAGTTTTGACTTTTATTGATTTTCTCTACTGTTTCTCTATTATTTATCTGTTTTATCTGTGCTCTAATCTTTATTATTTCCTTACTTAAGCTAGCTTAGCCTTTAGTTTGTTCTTATTTTTGCAGTTCCTTAAGTTGTAAAGTTAGGTGTTGATTTGCTATCATTTTTTTTTATTGAGTTTATAGCTATAAATTTTCCTCTTTGTCCTGCTTTTGTTGCTTTTTATTATTTCTCTTATGCTGTGTTTTCATTTTCACTTGTCTGTATTTTTAATTTTCCTGTGACTGGTTTTTGGATCCATTGATTGTTTAAGAATGTGTTGTTAACCTCCACACATTTGTCAGTTTTTCAGTTTTATTTCTGTTACTGATGTCTATCTTTATCCAGTTGTTGTCAGAGAAGATAATTTGTATGATATCTATCTTTCAAAATCTATTGAGACTAAGTTGTGGCCTAATGTGTGGTCTGTTCTGGAAAATGTCTCAAGCACACTGGAAAATAATGTGTGTGTTATTTTTCTTGGGTAGAATGCTCTGTATCTACTTTGTAAATCTAGTGGATTTATTGAGTTGCTTAAATCTTCTGTTTCCTTACTTATATTATGTCTGTTACATCGTTATTGAGAACAGAGTACTGAAAACAGTACAACTATTTTGAGAGAAATGTCTATTTCTCTCTTCAATTCTATCAGTTTCTGTTTTATGTATTTTGATGGTCTCTTACTAGGTGTAATAATGTTTCTCATTTTATATCTTTTTGCTATATTAAATCTTTTATTTATATATAATTACCTTGTCTCTTGTAAACTTTTGAAATTTAAGTCTATTTTATCTGATATTAGTAATAGTCACCCTTGCTCTCTTTTGAGAACTATTTGTACATCTTTTTCCATCCTTTTACTTTCAATGTTTTTGTGTCTTTGGTTCCAAAGTGAGATTCTCGTAGACAGCATATAGTTTGGTCATGTTTTTAATTCATTCTGCCAATCTACAACTTCTGATTAGAGACTTCAAACCATTTACCTTTAAAATAACTGCTAATAAAGAAAGACTTACTTCTATCATTCTGCCTTTTGTTTTCTATACGCCTTATAGCTTTTCATCTCTCATTTCCTGCATTCCTATATTGTTTAGTTGATTTTTTTATAGTAAAACATTTAAATTTCTTTCTTATTTTTTATGTATGTTCTATAGCTATTTTCTTTGTTTATGATGAGAGTTATATTTAACAATGTAAAGTTATAGCATCCTAATTTGAATTTATAGCAGCTCAACATCAACAACATACACAAATTCTGCTTGTTAAACAGCTCTATCTTCACCCCTTTCAGTTGCTGATATCACAAAATTATATCTTTATACATCGTATGCTTCTAAACACAAACTCATACTTCTTTTAAATGCATCAATCTATTAAATAATGTAGAAAACAGCATGTGAAATTAAAATCAATGTTACAATGGTACTAGCTTTTATAATTGCCCACGTATTTACCTTTACTGAGGTCTTTATTTTTCCATATGGCTTTGAATTATTGAGTTACTGTCTATCATCCTTTCACTTCATCTTGAAAGACTCCTTTGATCATTTCTTGCAGGGCAGACAGAGTAGATATTGAAATCTCTCAGCTTTTGTTCATCTAGGAATATCTTAATTTATCTCCTACTTTTAAAGAAGAATTTTACCAGATATAGGATTCTTAGTTTTTTTTTCTTTTAGCACTTTGAATATATTGTCCCATTGCCTTTGTCCCATTAAGTTTTGAGGAAAAATCTGCTGATGGTCTTATTGAGATTTTCTTACTTGTGACAATCACTTCTCTCTTGCTGCTTTCAAGATTCTCTCTGTGTCTCTGGCTTTTAAAGTTATATTGTGATATGTCTTGATGTGAGTCTCTTTGAGTTAATCTTACTTAGAGTTTGTTGACCTTCTTGGATGTTTCTATTCATGTCTCATCAAATTTGGAAAGTTTTGTTCCGATATGTCTTCAAACATTCTCTACTCCATTTTCACTCTCTTCTACTTCTGGAACTCCCACCACATGTATGCTGGCCTGCCTGATAGTGTCTCACTATTCCTTAGATCTCGTAGGTTCTGACCACTTTTCTTCAATCCTTTTTCTTTCTGTTTTCTGTTTTTTCTCAGACTTGATAATTTCCATTGTTATTTTTAAGTTCACTGATCCTTTCTTCTCCCTTCTTAATTCTGCTTGTGAATATCTGTAGTGATTTTATCATTTCACTTTTGTTCTTTTCAGCTCAAGAATTTCTTTCTGGTTTCCTTTTAGGTTTTCTATCTTTTTAATCAATATTTGCATTTTATTGATACATTGCTTTCCTCACTTTCTCTACATTTTCCTTTAGCTTTTTGTGGATCTACCACCATATTTTTTCAAGGACAGTTTCTGTTGCTTTATTTTTTCCTTCTGCATGAGCCATATTTTCTGTTTCTTTGTATATCTTGTAATTTTTTCTTGAGAACTAGATATTTGAATCTAATAATGTTGTAACTCTAGGAATCATCTCTAAGGCTGGCTGTTTTTTGTTATTGTTTTTATTTTCTTTTATTGTTATAGGCTGTATACATGCCAAGGATCAGCTGGAGATGTAAAGTAAAGATTTAGTTAGGGTATTTCTGAGCTTACACCTTTCCCTGGGCATGTGTGGTCACTTTCTAATTTTACTCATTTGTGCAGTGGCTTTTGACTGTTGTTGTTAATGTCTGGGCCCCAACAAGGGAAAATGGGTGAGAAAGAGCACACTGGCCCTTTACATTCCCTGAAAGTCACTCCATCTTGAGGAGGAACAGCTTACTAACAATGGGAATATATGCAACAAAAATGCCTGCTTTCTTCTCTGACCATACCTCTATGATCAAAAGCAGCAATCACAGATGAGAGCACAGATTACCAGTATCAGAAGACAGCATCCTTTGGAAGACTTGGTCTCCTGAAAGGTGTGTGAAGGTTGTTCCAGAAGCACATACACAGCTGCTTGCTGCAGAGGTAGGAGTAGGAGCTGGGTAGCTGCTATTGTCTTAATCGCTGAAATTAACTGCAATTTACTACTCAAGCCTTTCCCTGGAAGTTGTAAGCCTTCAACAGACTCCATAGTTCCAAAATAGTTATATTGGACAGATTCTATTGTTGTCTAGGTGAGGAGACATATTCCTGTTTCCTACTTTTCCATCTTTCCAGAATCCTTTCCTGAAAGCAACCATATTTTTTTCTTCAACTTTTAAGCTCAGGGGTACAGGTGCAGGATGTGCAGGTTTGTTACATAGGTAAACGTGTGCCATGGTGGTTTGCTGCACAGATCATCCCATCATCTAGGTATTAAGCCCAGCTTCTGTCAGCTATTCTTCCTGGTAATCTCCCTTCCCCTACCCTGCTGACAGGCCCCAGTGTGTGTTGTTCCCCACCATGTGTCCATGTGTTCTCATCATTTAGCTCCCACTTATAAGTGAGAACATGTGATGTTTGGTTTTCTGTTCCTGTGTTAGTTTGCTGAGGATAATGGCTTCCAACTCCACTCATGTCCCTGCAAACGACAGGATCTCATTCCTTTTTATGGCTGCATAGTATTCTATGGTGTATATGTACCACTTTTCTTTATCCAGCCTAACACTGATGGACATTTAGGTTGATTCCACGTATTTGCTATTGTGACTGTTTGGTATATAACCAGTAATGGGATTGCTGGGTCAAATCATATTTTTGCCTCTAGGTCTTTAAGGAATCACCACACTGTCTTCCACAATGATTGAACTAATTTACACTTTCACCAACAGTGTAAAAGTGTTCTTTTTCTCTGCAACTTTGCCGGCATCTATTGCTTCTTGACTTTTTAATAATAGCCATTCTGACTGAATGAAACCTTATGTTCACGCAAAAACTTGTATGTGAATGTTTATATTTGCTATATTAGTAACTATCAGTCATCATTGGATTAGTAATTAATACACACTGAGATACATCCATATAATTAAATTCTACTCAGCAATAAAGAGAATGTACTGCTGATATATACAGCAATGTAGATGGATCTCAATCACATTTTTCTATGTGAAAGAAACAAGACTAAAATGCTAGATACTGAACAATTCCAATTATAAGACATTCTGAAAAAGACAAAACTATTGGGATGGAAAACAGATAGTGGTTCCTAGGGGCTGAGGCTGTGAGAAATGTTTCTTACAAGAGGGGAAGGAGATTTGTGCGGATTACTGAACTGTTCTGTATTTTGACTATGGTTATGTGGCTGTAATGTGTTTGTCAAAACTCACAGAGGAGTACACTAAAAAGAGTGAATTTTACTGTATATAAATTATACCGTACAAAAATGAAAAGAAATGTCAGCAGCAGAACCTTTTTCCTGAGTAATTCATGTGTTCAAAGCCCAGGTGCTATAACCACTTACCTTCCTTGTTCTGAATATAAGCAATGCCAGCATGTATAGTTTCATGTCTGTTTAAGAAGAAATATAGGACAAATTATAGATTTAATAACCCCAACTGTTGTCTAAAAGTTGAAGTCATTAAAAGCTATTTGACTAATAGCAGCTTTAAAAAATCTAAATTCATGCTAGAGTATTACATTGCTGAATGACTAGATTTCAGAGAAAGTGATTGATTGCATTATTGAGGTACACATGTTTTACTGGTCTACCCATAAATTACCTTTAGCTCCAGAACTATAGTAATAGATTCTCATTTTAGAATAGTTTACTCCATTTAAAATTCCATAATTTTTTTGGTGTGATCCTCTGCTTATTTTTATCTTACTCATTTGTGAAAATAATTTTAGTTTCATCTTATTCTGTGAAAAACTACCTTCCTGTAGAAGTTCGTAAAAGCTGGTAGTAACTATTTTGAATGACTGATTTCTGAGGAAATAGTAAAGAATGTGGAGGTCTTTCTTGGCATATTCTCATTTCGAGAGAAAAAGTCGATAATTACAGACAAATCCTATTTCACATCTCTATTGGGGGGGTCACAGAGGGCCATCTAACTTATATACTGAGAAAGTCTTACTCCATGCTGTATTAAGGAACCAAAATGCTCACATATAGATATGACCTTTAACATTTGAGGTTAAATTATTTAATTACACAATTACACACCCACTACTATTTATAAAATAGAGATAATTTGCTTTCTAAATGACAAAGTTTCAGTCTTCATTTCCCTTCCCTACAAAATTTCTACTGATGTATGTGCACAATAACATTTGGTTATTTGAAGGAGGACTAGTGTTTTTGAAACTACATTGACAAACCTGTTATATACTGAACTACTAAAGTAGTAGTTCAGTTATCTCCACCAGACCATTGGACACTGATGGTGGCTCTTTTGTCACAAGCTCTGCTTCTTTCGGTAATTTCTACAATTACTGAACCTGCACCCTTCTGCCCTCTGACACCTACTTATTCACAGACATTTAAAGTAATTTCCTTTATGCAGATCTTGATTTGTTATCAGAAATCAGTATTTTGAAGACTTTTTCTTCACGGATTACTATCATTTCAAAATCAAAATATTTAGCAATTGCTGAAAGCTCTCAGAAATATTCCGTGCACGAGCTGACAGGAAACTGTAATCAAATTGTCAAGCCATTGCTCTGACTGTGGCAAAGTGAGAATGTTAGATTACATGTGTCAGCATGGGAAGATAATGGCTGCACAGTGAACTGCATGCTGAAGGCTTGATAGCAGAAAGGAAGTTTATCGCTGTAAACTGCAACCTATTGTAGACAGTAGTGCCACCTCAGCATTCCTTCCTTTGCATTAGGAACTCTTGATGATCAATAATGTGTCTCAGTTTAACCATTTGGAAAGCCTTCTGAAAATTCCCGGCAAAATGTGTTCTGTCAATTAATTTGTGCTAATCTGCAAGCCAGGGTTAAACAACTAATGGTTTTGAATAGATAATTTTGGTCTGTCTTTCTCAGACTGGATCTAATATAGCATTCATACATTTATTTCAAATGAGTGGCTATGATAACAAGAGAACAAATGCTCTTCTGGCTAAAATGCATACTTTTTTAAAAAAAATCTGGTAGCCTGTTTTCTTAGGCATTGAAAGATTTATTGCCAATCTCTTCTCTGGTTTTTCCCCCGGTCACTGCAAGACCTTTAAGGTTCTTGGGCATCCTCCCCTCCCCCTGTGGCAGTTTTGCAGCCTCCACCAAGGGCTTCTCAGGCTATCCATTATTCAGTGCCTCAGAGTGCTGCAGCTATCTCCAAGGCCTAATCACTCAGCATCCAGTGTGCCTTCTCCTCCAGAGGCAGGGGAAGGCTGCAGAGTTTGAGGTCAGTATGTGCTGACTTCTTTGCTCTTTTATCTATCTTGGCAGCCAGATATTTTAAGGCACTGTATTTATTATTCACTTGCAAGACCAAGGTGGTGATTTTTGTAACTGATGTTGTGGTGTACTTGGTGTTTACTAAATAAATACATACTTTATGATGTGCATTGTTTATTAAGTTAAAAATTATTCTACTTGAGTGTACTTTTTGATATTTTCCTTTTCTTTCTTTCAAAAAAATACTAATTTCTTTTTTTCAGTTTGCTTTATAAATGTATTTCTGCATTGGGTTCAATATTCTGAACACCTAAGGTATTTTCTGGGATGATTTTGGCATTTTGGGAAGTAACATGAGCTCCTGGCCCTTTGGCTACCACTTCATAATTACCTATTTAGATACCCTGAAAAAGACATCAGCCACCAGAGAGTTGATGCAGCTCCTCTGAGCATTAAACTTTCTCGCCAAAAGCAGTTAGGCTCTGTGAGACAAGTTTTTTTTTTTTAAGCAAGTATCTGCAAAACTTAGAGAAGATTTGGATGGAGTCACTTTTCTTTTGGAGCACACGCTATAAGACATCTCATCACCTAAAGGGGAAAAATAACTGGACACTCCTAGGGCTTATATTTGGGTATATTGGCACCAGTCTCCCCTCCACTTCCATCCCCTACATGCCCCAAGCCCATGATCCATTCAACACTCCTCCAGCCTTGCAGCAGCATAGGTAGCTTTCCGGAGTAGATGATTAAATTTTCTGTGTCTGTTTTCATATATATTTTAAAGTGATTGAGGGGCTTAATTGCCCTTTCAGACCTACAAATAGTAAATAAACTGGCACATGATACGTGTCCAACACAGGCTCATGAGTTTTCAAATACTTATAGTATTTTAAAGTATTCCAAATACTTATGGAAGATGAGGTATCTTACTCCTTTACTCTAAAATAATTTTTATGTAAGAAAAAATACATTCTTTAGTAATTGTTATCTAAGCAGTACCTGTGATGTTACTAGGGGACATCAGATGAACTGAAGAGTCAATCCTTTCTTTCATCTTTGTTTTTATAGCCTCCTTCAAAGCATCCCATACAGTAGAACAGTTGGGGCTCCTGCTTCTTAAGATGGGTCACAAGAAATCCTTGGGCAACTGCGTTATGAGTCTCAGGCCAATAACAGGCCCACACCTAATATTTGTGGTTTCTACCTAGGACCAGACAACAGAGGACCCTGGATAGCATCCCAGGCCCTCTGATGCAGAAGTCTGTGCAAGGGATATCAGCTTTAGCCTGGATCAATGGACAGTGAAGAAAATCAACAGCAACATTTAACTCTCTGTTGCCTTGCATTGTCTGCCTTATGTATCCTGTAGTATCTTGTCTTTACCTTCCCAATGTCTAAGGTCTTCAAGGCAGCATTCACAGTGCTTTTGCAAACTTTACAGTGCTTGCCATAGGGCTGGGGACACAGCAGTAATGATGTAATTAAAATTTTAGTATTTTAGAACTGTATAATGATTTAGGTTTTTATAAAACTCCTTGAACACAGCCTGCAAGATAAATATTATATACAGACATGAAGCAACCATATTTAAAGAATAATGCATGACTTGGAAAATGCATTCCTGCAATTTAAATCCATTGTTTCTTACACAGCCTTACTGAACCCTCTTCTTTTTAATTAGGCTTGATATCAACTTCTTCTGAGGTTAGCAGCCATTAATCTCTATTTCCTCTATGTTCCCTTAACAATTTTTTATACTTTTTTTTTAGCAATTCTTGCATTTTATTTATATTGCTGTTATGTCAGTGTCTCTTAGCTCCCCTTCTGGTTTGTGAAATATTAGGGCAGAGATCAAATTGTACTCACCTTTGCATTATCCTATACATTGCATAAAGGTTCATTTCTTGCAAGCACTAAGTAAAAGTTTCTTTGAAATGAATTCTAGGAAATACCAAATGCAGTGTCTCTTCATTAATTTCACTTTAGGGTGAGAAGAACTATTGCACAAATAAATTGTCTTTTATACTCTGTAGACCTTAAGGAAGGCCATACCCTCAAAAATACACTATTATGTAGCCATGGGTACTGTCAATAAAAACAACACTTTTGGTAAAGAGTTATTTTAAATTTGAAAAGTGACTCATTTCATTACATATCACTATCCATAACTTTGTTAATTAAGGCTCTAGTTAGATTTACTTGATAAAATTGCTAATATAAAAATAATACTTTATAAGTTATAAATTGAGGAAGGTAAAAGTTTACCCTCTCAAAATATGGTTTAAGAAGTATTAGAATGTGACTCACAAGTTACTATCAGTTTTCAAGAGAGCATTTGTTTTTTAGGCAAAGTTGTTCAGAGTTGAGGAAGAGAGTGGAAAAACACATATACATATATATATATATTTTTTCCAAAACTGGGATGATTTGTTACTTCAGTAATACAATGTGAACAGCTTTTAGCTTCACAATTATGCAGGAGATTTCCTGTCTCTTATAAAAAGCCCTTTTCACATTACAATAAGAAGTCCCATTCTACCTTTCCACCCACTCATTGTATTTTTTAACTTATTGTCAATTATATTTTGACAGTACCGCCCAGATGATGATTACATATGCTATCTTTTTCTGTATCACCTTTACTAGCTGATACTCAAAAAATCATGTGATAGGGTCTTATAGCTACCAGTAGAGGAATTATAAATTAAAAGTGGGGATGCGAATGATGTTTATGAGAACCCTGATGATTGACATATCATTTGTGCTAAATGATTCACTCCCCAGGGGTGTCTTTATTATTCTGGAAACTGCATCTCCTTATATTCTTTTTTCCCTAAACACCACATTATGCTTCTCAATCATTCTTATGCTTTTCATTTTCCTTCTCCCTGATAGGGCCACACACCTCCTGAAGTGATGTGCCTTCTGAGAGATACTTTATAGGCTATTGTTTTTCCTTTGGCTAAGTATTAAAACATAGTCAATAATTAAATACCACAAACTGTCTCCATAAGCTGGGAAATAGCACTGAGTAGCCATGTTATTAATTTTGCTTTTGAATTGTGCTAGTGCAATGTAAACTAGATGATACTTAGCAAAGGTTACTTAATTATGTAAACATTTCTTGTTTCGCTTTTATTTTTTGGAAAATCTGGTCAAAGTCAACTATCTAATATGCTGACTACAAAGGTTGATGAATTTGGACCTCTATTTTTATAATGAGTCTTAAATATCCTACCACTTTGCGCATTTTCTTCCAACCTCAAGCCTAATAACTCGTTCTCAGGTTTATCCTCTATGACCTCTTAGCAAAGCATTACCTTGTACTATTTTTTCTTTTCTTTAAAGCTAAACTCTTACTTGCCTCTAGGCCTTTAAAAGTACATTTCCCTTTCAGTCTGAAATGTTCTACTTTTATTTTGTTTTTTTCTTTTTACCTTTGCCCTTCTCCATCTTTTTTTTTCTGTCTGTATAATATTCTACTTTAGAGTCCTAGTTTAAAAGTTATTTCTTCAAAAACTTCTCTTAAGGATGGGTGTTAAAAAGGTAGGGGGCGGGGGGACGTTTAACAGTAATAACACATAAAATTAATATTTACTAAGAATTAGGGTAAAAAAAATAACTGACCAAAAAGATAAAAGATATTTGGACCTTCCAGGCTGCCCACTCTACTTGGGAATTCTTCTTCTCTCCCCAGATCTAGAAAGCTCTGCCTCTTTTCCTGACTTTCCATTCCCTCTTATTTCCAGCAACTACTTTGATCATCTCAGCTTTCTGACCTTCTTCTGAGAGAAAGCCACTCTGGTGTGTAAATTTTGGTGGAAACAGAAGGGTAATATGTAATGGTTGACTATGTTTTAATATATTTTAAAATATTTTTGTCCTTTTCTCTCTCTGAGGCAGGCTGAGAGAGTGACATTGCTTATTCCCCAAGTAATCAAAACAATCTCCTTTAACTCTCAAAGGTAAATGATCCCTGCCTCCTTCTTCCATGTTAATTATTCTAGGACCACAGACAGATTCTCTAAGGCAGTGGCACATATTTTGGGGAGAGTTGGAAGGAGTGCAGGGTGGTGTGGCTGGTGTAGGGATTATGGGTGACTTTCATGGAGCTCCAGTAGTAGAAGAGAAGGTCTTGGTATCAAGGTGGTGGAAATAGACTAGATAAAGAAATGGTGGGCTATGAGAGAAATGTAAAGGACTCTCTCAGGATTTTATAATCTGGTTTGTGACACCAAATTGATCATGAGGCCACTAAATATCTAATATCAGTATACATGATTAAGTGTTCAAAAAAGCACTATAGGGATTGAGGAGAAAATGAAATCAACATGACCCAACAAGCTAAAATGTGGAACTTTTAGACATTTTCCTTTTTTTCCAATCGTTTTCACTTCTTTAAATGTGTACTAGTTAGTGGCTGTGGAATAGGGGTTAAACCCCACTACCCCATAATCTCCATCAGAATTTTAAACAAAAATGAAAAAATAATTAAAAAAATTTATAATAGTGCTTGCTATGGAAATACCACTGCAAGAAAAGTGCCTTATCCTAGGTTTCCCAATTGGTATGTCATGAATCCTACAAATGAGCAGTGGTGGTAAATTTTTATGTAGTGAAAGAAATATCAGCCATTTAAAAGTATTATACATTTACTTTTTTTTTTTTAAGATTGGCATTATAGCTGAATAGTATTCAAATGCTGACATGGTTTTTCTCTGTGTCCCCACTCAAATCTCACCTTGAATTGTAATCTCCATAATCACCATGTGTCAAGGGCGGGACCAGGTAGAGGTAATTGAATCATGAGGGTGGTTTCCCACGTGCTTTTCTTGTGATAATGAGTGAGTCTCATGAGATCTGATGGTTTTATAAGTGTCTGGCATTTCTCCTGCTTGCACTCATTTCATGCTGCCACTCTATGAAGAAGGTGCCTTTTTCTCTTTGCCTTCTGCTATGATTGTAAGTTTCCTGAGGCTTCCTCATCAACACGGAACTGTGAGTCAATTAAACCTCTTTCCTTTATAAATTACCCAGTCTTGGGTATTTCTTCATAGCAGTGCAAGATGAACTAATACAGTAAATTGGTACCAGGAATTGGGTGCTGCTGTAAAGATAACCAAAAATGTGAAAGCAACTTTGGAATTGGGAAACAGTCAGAGGTTGGAACAGTTTGGAGGGTGCAGAAGATGGGAAGATGTGGGAAAGTTTTGAACTTCCTAGAGACTTATTGAATAGCTTTGAACAAAATGCTGATAGCAATATAGATAGTGAGGCCCAGGCTGAGGTGGTGTCATAGAGATGAGGAACTTGTGGGGAACTGGAATAAAGGTGACTCCTGCTCTCCATTAGTAAAAGACTGGGAGCATTTTGCCCCTGCCCTAGAGATCTGTGGAACTTTGAACTTGAGAGACATAATTTAGGGTATCTGGCAGAATAAATTTCTAAGTAGCAAATCATTCAAGAGGAAGCAGAGCATAAAAGTTTGGAAAATTTGAAGCCTGATAATGCAATAGAAAAGAAAAACCCATTTTCTGGGGAGAAATTCTTAGGGAATAAGCAATGTCACTCTAAACCTGCTGCAGAAATTTGTATAAGTAACAAGGAGCAGAATGTTAATCACTGAGGCAATGGGGAAAATGCCTCCAGGGTATGTCAGAAACCTTCATGGCAGCCCCCCCCCATCATAGGTTGTGAGGCCTAGGAGGAAAAAATGGTTTTGTGGGCCAGGTCCAGGGCCTTCCTGCTTTGTGCAGCCTCAGACATGGTGTCTTGTATCCAGGCTGCTTCAGCTTCAGCCATGGCTAAAAGGGGCAAAGGTTCAGCTCAGGCCATTGCTTCAGAAGATGCAAGCTCCAAACCTTTGAGGCTGCCAAGTGCTGTTGAGCCTATGGGTGCACAGAAGTCAAGAATTGAAGCTTGAAAACCTCCACCTAGATTTCAGAGGATGTATGAAAACACCTGGATGTCCATGCAAAAGTTAGCTGTAGGGGCAGAGCCCTGATGGGGAACCTCTGCTCGGGCAGTGAGGAAGGGAAATGTGGGGTCAGAGCCCCTACACAGAGTCCCCACTGGGACACTGCCTAGTGGAGCTGTGAGAAGAGGGCCACCATCTTCCAGACCCCAGAATGGTAGATCTGCTGTCAGCTTGCACCATGTGCCTGGTAAAGCCAGACTCAATATCAGCCTGTGAAAGCACTTGGAAGGGGAGCTGTACCCTGTAAAGGCACAGGGGCAGAGCTGCCCAAGGCCATGGGAGCCCACTTCTTGCATCAGTATGACCTGGATTTGAGACATGGAGTCAAAGGAGATCATTTTGGAACTTCAAGGTTTAATGACTGCCCTATTGGATTTCAGACTTCCATGGGGCTAACAGCACCTTTGTTTTGGCCAATTTTTCCCATTTAGAATGGGTGTATTTACTCAGTGACTGTACCCCAGTTGTATCTAGGAAGTAACTAAATTTCTTTTGATTTTACAGGCTCAGAGGCAGAAGGGACTTGCCTTGTTTCAGGTAAGACTTTGGACTTGGACTTTTGGGTTAATGGTGGAATGAGTTAAGACTTTGGGGGACTGTTGGAAGGGCATGTTTGTGTTTTGAAATGTGAGGATGTGAGATTTGAGAGGGGCCAGGCATAAAATGATATGGTTTGTCTCTGTGTCCCTGCCCAAATCTTACCTTGAATTGTAATCCCCATAATCCTCATGTGTCAAGGGCAGGGCCGGGTGGAGGTAATTGAATCATGGGGGTGGTTTTCCCCATGCTGTTTTTGTGAAAGTGAATGAGTTCTGATGATATCAGATGGTTTTATAAGCATCTGGCATTTCTCCTGCTTGCACTCACTCTGTCCTGCTTCCCTGTGGAGAAGGTGCCTGCTTCTCCTTTGCCTTCCACCATTATTGTAAGTTTCCTGAGACCTCCTCAGTAATGTAGAACTGTGAATCAATTAAACTTCTTTCCTTTATAAAGTATCCAGTTTTGGGTATTTCTTCATAGCAGTGTGAGAATGGACTAATACAAATGCTAACTCTGTTAAGTTGATGAATAGAGTAATTGTGTATTGGTTCTTAAGATTTTATATGTGGTACCAATAGCTAGAGACTGCTGTCTAGGAGCCATAGCACCATATCACTTCCCTCTCACCTTCCTATTGAATCACTCCCATTTTGTCCAGTTAATTCTCTAATTGGTGTTTTGTTTGCTTTTTTAGGAGCACAGACCCTGACACTATACCCCTTGGGTTCAAATCTTCACTTTACCACTTGCTAGTTGTTTGACCTTAGGCAAAATTATTAAATTTTCTTTTTACTAAATTTTTTCTCTTCTGTAAAATGAAGATAATAGTATTTGCCTCACAGGATTATTGTGAAGATTATTTGTTTCTTTTCCCTTGCTTCATTTAGAATCATTTCTTTATCCTTGACCTCTGGGAGTCTGATTATTAAATGTCTTGAGGTAGGCTTCTTTGGGCTAAGTCTGCTTGGTGTTCCATAACCTTCTTATACATGGATATTGATGTCTTTCTCTAGGTTTGGAAAATTCTCTGTTATTATCCCTTTGAATAAACTTTCTACACCTGTCTCTTTCTCTACATCATCTTTAAGCCCAATAACTCTTACATTTGCCCTTTTGAGGCCATTTTCTAGATCCTGTGGGTATGCTTCATTCTCTTTTATTCTTTTTTCTTTTCTTTCCTCTGACTGTGCATTTTCAAATAGCCTCACTAATTCTTTCTTCTGCTTGATCCATTCTGCTAGTATGAGACTTTGACTCATTCTTTAGCATTTCAATTGCAGTTTTCAACTCCAGAATTTCTGCTTAAGTTTTATAATTTTAACCTTCTTGTTGAATTTGTCTGATAAAATTTGGAATTCCTTATCTGTGTTACTTTGAATTTCTTTAAGTTTCCTCAAAATCCCTATTTTGAATTCTCTGTCTGAAAGGTCATACTTCTTCAGTTTTCCAGGATTGGTCCCTGGTGTCTTGTTTAATTTGTTTGGTGAGGTCCTGTTTTCCTGAATGATCTTGGTTCTTATGGAAGTTCACTGGTGTCTGGGCATTTAAGAGTTAAGTATTATAAACTTTGCAGTCTGGGCTTGTTTGTGCCTGTCTTTCTTGAGAAGACTTTGCAGATATTTGAAGGGACTTGGGCCCTAAGCTGTGGTTTATGTAGATTCATAGAGGTACTGCCTTGGTGGCCTTGGGTAAGATCCAGAAGAATTCTTTAGATTACCTGGGAGACTCTTATTCTTTTCCCTTACTTTCATGGAGACTTTCTCTGTGCTGAGCCACCTGGAACTGGGGGTGTGATGATGTAATCACTCCTGCAGTCACCAGCACTGGGACTGTTCTGGGTCAGACCTGAAGCCAGCACAGTACTGGGTCTTGCCCAAGGCCAACTGGAACCACTACCTAGCTACCACTGATATTCACTCAACACCCTAGGGATCTATACTCAACAGATGATATAGCCAGCCAAGCTTGTATCCCTCCTTTCAGGGCAGTGAGTTCTCCCAGACCCTGGGTGGGTCTAAATATGCTGTCTGGGATCCAGGGATTGGAGTCAAAAACCTTAGTAATTTGTTTGATATTCTATTCTACTGTGGCTAAGCTGGCACACAAACCAAACACAAAGTTCTACCCACTCCCCCCTCCTCTTTCCACAGGCAGAGGAGCCTCTTCAAGTGGCCACCACCGCTGCCCATGGGGAGTTCAGCCAGGCCACTGCTGAGGTTCACTTAAAGCCTGAGTGCTCTTCCATCAGCTTGTGGTGAATGCTGCCAGGCCTGAGACTCACCCTTCAGTGCAGTGGGTTCCCCTCTGGCCCAGGCCAGGTCCATAAATGCTGTACAACAACCTAGGCCTAGACTTGGGGACTGCAAGAGCCTACTTTTTACTTTACCTCCCTATGGTCGAGCTGGTCCCCAACGTGTAAGACAAAGTCCTCTTTGTTTTTCCTCTGCTTTTCTCAAACAGTCTTTCACTGTATCCAGCACAGCTGGGAATGTGCTGGGTTATACCTGAAGTCAGCACATCTGGAGCCCAAGGCGTATGGCATACTACCTGGGTTTGCTGCTGGTTATTCAGGGCCCAAGAGCTCTTTAGTCAGCAAGCGATAAATCCTGCCAGGACTGGGTCCTTCCCTTCAAGGCTGTGGGTTCCCTTTTGGCCAAAAGTGTGTCTAGAAATGTTGTCTGTGAGCTATGACCTGGAATGGGGGCCTTGTGACTGTGCTAGGTGCTGTATTCTACTGTGGCTGAGCTAATATTCAAGATGCAAGACAAGGTCCTCTTTGCTCTTTACTCTCCTCTCCTTAAGCAAAAGGAAGGAGGTAATTTTGTTGCTGTAAGCTGCACTGCCTGGGGTTGGGGGAAGGGTAGTGCAAGCACTCCCTTAGCTGCCCTGGCTTGTGTCTCCCTAAGTCACACGCCACCCTAGTTCTCTGGCTCTCAGCCCAGCCCAGCACTAGGTGTTGCCAGGGAATTGCAGTCCTTGTGTCCTCGACTGCCTTTCAAGTTTACCCAGGATCACTTTGGCCAATGGCGGTGAGGCTTGCTGAGAAACTCAAGTTCCCACCACTGATGGGCAATTCCCCTCTAGGTAGGGCTGGTCCAAATGCTCCAGGGGTGCTGACTGAGCCCAGTGTGGCTTTGCTCTCCACTATCACAGGGCAGCACTGAGTTCAATGTAAACTTCCCAAGTTGCTGCACTCTCCCTCCCTCAAGTACACAGACTCTCTTTACCTCTCTTTACCTCTCCTCCAGGAGAGGAGGGGTTCTGTCAAGGAATCCAGCTGTCTCTCTGACACTCTTCAATGCCTCTTTCAGTGATGTGAATTTAAAACCAACACTCTGATTGCTCAGCTAATTTTTGGTTCTTTCGAAAGTGCTTTCCTGTGTGTAGATAGTTGTTAAAATTTGCTGTTCCTGCAGCTGGGATGAAGGGTGTAGGCTCCCATTCTGCCACCTTGTTACACTTTCTATCATGAAGATTAAATAAGCCTCATAAAGCAGTTAGAGCAGTGCCTGGAACACAGTCATGCTCAGTAAGTGTTAGTGATTATAATTCTAATTATTAACAAGTGTACATAAATCAAACTTAATAGACCCCAATTTTTTGAGTATATTTTTTCTTCTTTATATAATAAATATATTTTTGTGTTAACAATGAAACAAAGTCTTCTCCTTGATTAAATTTTATAATAAATTATATTTGTTTCTCAGAGTTAAAATTTTGATTATTCATAACAAATATTAGATTGGTACAAAAGCAATTGTGGTTTCAGACCATGAATTTTAAATCATTATAACTAGGCTCAAACACGTCTTTATTAATCAAAATAGGAACTATTACAATCAACACATTTTTGCCAATGAGAAATAAGTTTATTTACTCCTGTAGCATAAAAATCCATGCTCTGGGATTCAGTGAACTCTTGGAAAGCATTTTCTGCATCCTTCTGGTTGTGGAAGTGTTTTACCTGCAAAAAGTAATGGAGATGCTTGAAGAAGTGGTAGTTCGTTGGCAAAAGGGCAAATGAATATGGTGGATGAGGCAAAACTTCATAGCCCAATTTGTTCAGCCTTAGAGTGCTTTGGCGCTTCTTCTCAGTCCAGCCACTAAGCTGGCCATTGATGGTTGTTATATAAAATACATTTTTTGTCGCATGTCACAATTTGATCGATAAATGGTTCATTGTTGTTGCATAGGGTAAGAGAAGACAACACTTCAAAATGATAATTTTTTAAAAAAATTTTTGCTCAGCTCATGAGGCTCCCACTGTAAGGGATAATTGGAAGGACAGCCAAGAAAGGAATGAGGCCAATAGACCCAAGTTCAGGCAAGCTAATTTATTGTCAGTCCTGCCGGGCTACCTCCTGACAAAAGCAGAGGAGGCAGCCACACTTACAGACTACAGCAGGGCTTTATAGGATGAGGAACTGGGTCAGGGTCGGGGAGCTGATTCGGGGATGCAAGTGTCTTGTCCGCATCCTGGAGATGTTTTTTGCCAGCTTTGTTATGTGAGGTGAACAGACGTTAATGGCATCCTGTAACTGCCTGGACAAACAGTTAGTGGAGGGGTCAGTGAAGTGGGGGGTTTGTCTTTTGCCCTGGGGTGACTGTGTGGAGAGCGCAAGAGACTGTATTGTAAGGCCTGTGGGAGGGGAAGGGAATGGTCTGCTTAGGTGATCCTAACACCCACTTATTAAGCTTTTTCACCTTTCCAATTTGCTTCAAATGCCGAACAATCATAAAATGGTCAACGATGAGTTCTTCGGCAACTTCTCGTGTAGTTGTCAGAGGATCTGCTTCGATGATTGCTCTCAACTGGTTGTTGTCAACTTCAATGGCCGACCACTGTGCTCCTTATCTTCAAGGCTGTCTCCTTTATGAAACTTCTTGAACCACCACTATACTGTAGGTTCATTAGTAGTTCCTGGGCCAAATGTATTGTTGATGTTGCAAGTTGTCTTCACTGCTTTATGACCCATTTTGAATTCAAATAAGAAAACTGCTGAATTCACTTTTTGTCTAACATCATTTCCATTGTCTGAAATAAACATAAAATAAACAGCAAGTAATAAGTCTTTAGCAAAAAAATAAAATAAAGCGAGAAATGCCCATTATAATAATGTATAACATAACTACATTTATTTAAGAATGTATTCCAATATCAAATGGCAAATTCCAACAATGCAAAAACCACGACTACATTTACACTCACCTAATAGTAGCTAAATAAAATTCAACTAATTCTGTAAAAAGGGACTATAAGCCACTACATGTACAGAAGCTAATATATGTGGTTATACATGACTATCAATAATATTTCCATAATGTAATATTTCCAGAATTGTAATTGTTTAAATAAGTAAAATTAATGTTTATTACTTCCTGTTTTGCTTAGTGTATGTTTAAGTCCTCATATTTTAAATTTTCTTAAAAATACAGATGATATAATGTAATAATTTTAAAGTAAATCATTTGGAGTTTTTATAGCCTATATTCCCTCTAAATATTTTAAGTTGATTTTTATAGACATATATTTTTGCATCTTAATAGACAACTTTTTGATTAAAAGTGGAAAACAATCATACTCCCAAAATAAACACAATAGTACAAAAATAAGTTCTCATTAAGTAATATAATGAGAATTTTCTTAAAAACGCATTAGAGAGGTTCTATATTTCTTTCCTTCCTCACCTGAAATATTTTTGCATGAAATAGTGGAAAGTGAATCAATGTTATAAGAAAATTTTTGGCATCTTACCTTAAGGCATTTACTTTTCTCAATAAATATTTGTTACTTTAAAGAAATAGTATTTAGCTTATTTATTGTTGCAGACAAATTATGCCGAAATTTAGTGACTTAAAACAACAAACATTTATGTTCTCACAATTTCTGTGGGTTGGGAATTCAGGCATGGCTTAACTGAGTTCTCTGGCTCAAGGTCACTCATGAGCTTGACTGAAACCAAACTTTGGATCAGGGCTGTGGTCTTTTCTGCAAGCTTGATGAAGGAAGATTCACTTCTAGATCTACTCCGTGGTTGTTGGCAGGATTCACTTCCTTGTGGTCTGTTAGACTAAAGCCTCAGTTCCTCACTGGCCCTTAGTCAGAGGCCTCACTTAGTTCCCTACCACCTGAGCCTCTTGAGAGCAGAGCTCGCATAATGACAGCTGGCTTCCCTAAGAGGGTGAGAGAGAGTTAGAAAACAAGGGAGAGAGAATCCAAGACCAAACTCACAGTATTTTTCTAACTTAATATCGGAATTGACATCCTATTACTTTGCTGTAATATATTCATCAAAACAGGTCACTAGATGCAAGCCACACTGAAGGGGAGGATATTATAAAATCACTTGGTTTCCATGAGGTGCAGTCATTCAAAATTTTTTCAGAGGCTGGCTAAACAGAAAATGCTGCATACCTGTGTCACCAACAGCCTTCCCT
This sequence comes from Homo sapiens, assembly GCF_000001405.40. Lineage (NCBI taxonomy): Eukaryota > Metazoa > Chordata > Mammalia > Primates > Hominidae > Homo > Homo sapiens. The sequence goes on along the minus strand of NC_000001.11, from coordinate 106,876,205 downwards.
CACTGAGTTGATAGCAACCCCTTCTTTCCAGTTGCACACTCAACAACCACAGGGTTATCCCTGAATTGTCTTTTTTATTCACATGCAATTATAATCTGTCAGGAAAGCTTATAAGCTCCACTTCAAAAATAAACACAGGCTTCTATGACTTTTCATGCTTCTATTGCTGTTAATCTGGTCCTAGAATCCACCATCTTGTGTTTGAATTATTTAAGTGGCTCCTAACAGATGTTTCTGTTGCTGTCCTTACCTACCAAGAGTCTAGTCTCTCCACAGCAGTCAGAGTGGCCCTTGTAAAACAAGGTCAGTTGATGTCACTCTTTTCAATATCTACCTTGACTCTCTATTACTCAAAGTAGGAGTAAAAATTTACAGGGGCCTGCCAAGCTTTACATGACTTGGCCGTTCATTCTCTTTCTGACTTCCTCTTCTGCTTCTCTCATCTGTCACATGCTCCACTACAACCACACTGGTTTCCCTGCTATTTCTCAAACTTAGGGAAAAGCTTTGGCCCAAGGTACTTTTCCATTGCTTTTCCATGTGCCTGGAAGGCTCTTTCCCTAGATACCTGCTTGGCAAATTTTCTCTACTACATACGTCAGTTCTTTCTTAAATTTTCCTTGTAAGGCCCAATCAAATCATTCTGCTTGACGTTGCAAACTGTCTCTCTCACCTCATCCCTTCATTCTGATCTACTTTTTCTTTTTTCCATAGCACATATCATCTGTTAACAGTTGAATTGTGCCCCTCCCAAAATTTAAAAGTTGAATTTCTAACCTCCATTGCTTTAGAATGTGATATTATTTGGAAACAAGTTAACTGCAGATGTAATTAGTTAAGATGAGGTCATAGTGGAGTAAGGTGGGCTTCTAATCCAATGTGGCTGGTATCATTATGGAAAGGAAATTCAGACACATACATACAGAAAAGAACATCATACAAAGATGAAGACAGAGATTAAGGTGATGCATTCTCAGACCAAGGAATGACAAAGATTGCCAAGAAACCATCAGAAACTAGGGAAGAGGTAAGGAACAGATTCTTCCTCATAGCCCTTAGAAGGAACCAACCCTGCTAACACCTTGATCTTGAATTTCTAGAGCTGTTAGAAAATACGTTTCTATTGTTTAAGACACCCAGTTTTGTGGTACTTTGTTATGACAGCCCTAGCAAACTAATGTATAATGTTTAAATGTATAAGGTAATTTAATTTCCATTATTTATTTAGTTTACTGTCTACCTTGCCCTGTTGAAATATAATCCTATCCAAAACAGGGATCTTTGTATGTTTGTGTTACTGAGAAAGAACTGTGCCTGACACATACTAGGTTCTCTTTAAATCTGTATTGAATAAATGATCAAAAATCAAATTTGTTTTATAAAATCATTTATACAGTATGTGATTATGCCCAAAGAACTAATTACAAAGATCTGTAATGTCCTAATATAGAATTCCTCACACAATCGCAGACTTTTTGTTTTCACAGCCTGCCTCTAAACTGCTAATGCAATACGTGGGATCAATATGCAAAGGAAAAAGAAAATGTGCAATTTTTTGATTAATGCAATTAATAGACACTTTGATGACATGTTTGATGACAGGGAAATAACTTTAATTCAGAATATTTTTAGATTAAAAATGTTTCATTGCAGATTGAATAGTACTTAAGTAATGTTAGTAGTGAGAATCCCTCAAGAGAAACTCTTTGAAGAACTGTATTTGTTCCATAAAATACAAAAAAAAAACCTACTAGGGATGAAATATTTAAATTGATAAGTTAATCATTTGATATAAACCAGATATTACAGAAACTCTACATAAATCTGTGTGTCCTGATAGTGAAGAAACAGTGATAGCAATTGTAAAGGCTTTTGGATATGGTTCATATTACAAACCTTAAGATTCAAGAAATACATTATTTTCTTCACAGAGACATGGAAACATTTGCTGTAGATCAGAATTCCACATTAAATGACGTTATCAAAATAATAAATCTAATAAAATCTGAGCTATCCCATCTTATCTCTTTTTAGCTTTATATGAAGAAATGAGATCAGACACCATTCTCTGCTGTTTCATACTGAATTGTGTTGCTCATCCAAAGAAACACTTTTGTCAAGAACTTGTAAGCTTGAAGAATCAAGAACACTTTTTTTGAATGATTCTCACCTTGGATATTTTTGAAGCATAGTTACTAGCTTGCTAAACTTTACATTATTGATCTCTTAAAGGAACTTACTAAAAAATGGCAAGAATCCCATGGAGGTATTAACATATATTGAGTTTATGGATTCAAAATGAAAATTAAATATGGAAAACATAGAGGGAAAAATTATGTACTGATGATATTTATTTCATACTGCAATTTGAGCCATAATAAAGTCTGGTAGGGCAACATTTGGCTGTACATAGCAACAGCTTTATCATTATTTTGAAATACTTAATATGATATTAGGATGATGCTGGCCTAATAGAATGAGTTAGGGAGGAGCCTCTCCTTTTCAATTATTTGGAATGGCTTCAGTAGGAATGGTACCAACTCTTCTTTGTACATCTGGTAGAATTCAGTTGTGAATCCATCTGGTCCTGGGCTTTTTTTGTTGGTAGCTATTTATTACTGTTTCAGTTTCAGAACTTGTTATTGGTCTGTTCAGGGATTCAGTTTCTTTCTGGTTGAGTCTTAGGAGGGTGTATGTGCCTGGAAATTTATTTATTTCATCTAGATTTTGTAGGTTATGTGCATAGAGATGTTAATAATGTTCTCTGATAGTTGTTTGTATTTCTGTGGGGTCAGTGGTAATATCCTCCTTATCATTTCTGATTGTATTTATTTGAACATTATTTCTCCTTTATTAGTTTAGATAGCAGTCTATTTTATTAATTTTTTCAAAAAAACAAGCTCCAGGATTTGTTGATCTTTTGAATTTTTTTCTGTCACTTTCAGTTCAGCTCTGATTTGGACTATTTCTTGTCTTCTGCTAGCTTTGGGATTTGTTTGCTCTTGGTTCTCTAGTTCTTTTAGTTATGATGTTAAGTTGTTAACTTGAGATCTTTCTAATTTTTTGATGGAGGCATTTAGTGCTATAAATTTTCCTCTTAACACTGTCTTAGCTATGTCCCAGAGATTCTGATAGAATGTAGCTTTGTTCTCATTAGTTTCAAGGAACTTCTTGATTTCTGCCTTAGTTTTATTATTTACCCCAAAGTCATTCAGAAGCAGGTTATTCAATCTTCATGTAATTGTATGGTTTTGCATGAGTTTCTTTTGTTATTTTTATTTTTTCAGATGGAGTGTCACCCTGTCACCCAGGCTGGAGTGCAGTGGCATGATCTCGACTCACTGCAACCTCTGCCTCCTGGGTTCAGGCAAGTCTCCTAACTCAGCAACCTGAGTAGCTGGGATTACAGGTGCCTGCCACCATACCAGGCTAATTTTTGTATTTTTACTAGAGGTGGGGTTTTGCCATGTTTGCCAGTCTCGTCTTGAACCCCTGACCTCAAGTGATCTGCCCACCTTGGCCTCCCGAAGTGCTGGGATTACAGGTGTGAGCCACTGTGCCTGGTTTTCTGAGTGAGTTCCTTAGTCTTGAGTTCTAATTTGATTGTACTGTGGCCTGAGAGACTGTTTGTTATGGTTTTATTTCTTTTGCATTTGCTGAGGAGTGTTTTACCTCTGATTATGTGATTGATTTTTGAGTAAGTGCTATGCAGTGATGAGAAGAATATGTAATCTTTTGTTTTGGGGTAGAGAGATCTGTAGATGTATATCAAGTTCATTTGACCTAGGGCTGAGTTCATGTCCTAAATATCTTAATTTTCTGCCTTGATGATCTGTCTAATATTGTCAGTGGGGGGTTAAAGTCTCCCATTGTTATTATATGGGAGTTAAAATTTTGAAGGTCTCTAAGAACCTGCATTATGAATCTGGGTGTTTCTGTGTTGGGTGCATATATATTTAGGATAGTTAGTTCTTCTTGTTGAATTAAACCCTTTACCACTATGTAATGTTCTTTGTCTTCTTTGATCTTTGTTGGTTTAGAGTCTTTTTTGTCCAAAACTAGGATTGCAACCCCTGCTTTTTTCTGTTTTCCACTTGCTGGGTAGATTTTCCTCCATCCCTTTATTTTGAGCCTATATGTGTAATTGCATGTGAAATGGGTCTCTTGAAGACAGCATATGAATAGGTCTTGGTTCTTTATCCAGCTTGCTACTAAAAAAGAAAACTTCAGGCCAATATCCTTGATGAACATCGATGCAAAAATCCTCAACAAAATACTGAAAAACCAAATTCAGCAGTACATCAAAAAGCTTATTCACCATGATAAAGTAGGCTTCATCCCTGGGATGCAAGGATGGTTCAACATATACAAGTCAATAAATGTAATTCATCACATAAACAGAACTAAAGACAAAAAACATATAATTATCTCAATAGATGTAGAAAAAGCTTTTGATAAAATTCAACGTCACTTCATGGTAAAACTTTCAATAAACTAGGTACTGAAGGAACATATCTCAAAATAATAAGAGCCATATATGACAAACCACAGACAACATCACACTGAATGGGGACAAGCTGGAAGCATTTCCCTAAAAAAAACAGCACAAGACAAGGATACTCTCACTGATTCTAGTCAACATAGTATGGGAAACTCTGGCCAGGGAAATCAGGCAAGAGAGAAAAATAAGTCCATTCAAATAGGAAGAGAAGAAGCCAAATTATCCCTGTTTGCAGATGACATGATCCTATATCTAGAAAACCCTGCTGTCTCAGCACAAAAGCTTCTGAAGCTGATAAGCAACTTCAGCAGTCTCAGGATACAAAATTAATGTGCAAATATTGCTAGCATTCTTCTATACCAACAAAAGTCAAGCCAACAGCCAAATCATGAACAAACTCCCATTCACAACTGCCACAAAAAGAATAAAATGCCTAGGAATCCAGCTAACTAGGGTGGTGAAAGATGAACATTGATGTTCTCTACAAGGAGAACTACAAGCCACTGATTAAAGAAATTAGATATGACACAAACAGAATAAGATTTCGTGCTCATGGATAAGAAGAATCGATATCATTAAAATAGCCATACTTCCCAAAGTAACTCGTAGATTCAATGCTATTCCCATTAAACTACCATAGATATTCTTCACAGAGCTAGAAAAAAAAAACTATTTTAAAATTCATATGGAACCAAAAAAGAGCCCAAATATCCAGGCAATCCTAAGAAAAACAGAAAAAGCTAGAGGCATCATGCTACTCAACTTCAAACTATACTAAAGGGTTACAGTAACAAAACAGTATGGTACTGGTATAAGAACTGACACATAGACCAATGAAACAAAATAGATAGTCCATAAATAAGAAGAAATGCCTAAAACTATCTGATCTTTGACAAACTTGGCCAAAACAAGCAATGGGGAAAGTATTCTCTATTCAATAAAAGGTGCTGGGATAACTGGCTAGCCATATGCAGAAGATTGAAACTGGATCCCTTCCGTACACCATATACAAAAATTAACTCCAAATGGATTAAGGACTTAAATGTAAAACCCAAAAGTATAAAAAACCTTGGAAGACAACCTAGGCAATATCATTCAGGACATGGGCATGGGCATGGGCAAAGATTTCATGAGGAAAATGCCTAAAGCAATTACAAAAAAACCCCAAAATTGACAAATGAGATCTAATGAAACTAAAGACTTTCTGCAGAGAAAAAAAAAATCAACAGAGTAAACAGACAGCCTACAGTAGGAGAGAACATTTTTGCAATCTATCCATTCAACAAAGGTCTAATATCCAGCATCTACAAGGAACTTAAACAAATTTACAAGAAAAAAACAAACAACCCCATTAAAAAGTGGGCGAAGGACATGAACAGACATGTCCTTCTCAAAAGAAGACATACATGTGGCCAACAATAATATGAAATAAAGCCCAACATTACTGATCATTAGAGAAATGCAGATTAAAACCACAGTGAGGTACCATCTCATGCCAGTCAGAATGGTTATTATTAAAAAGTCAAAAATAACACATGCTGCTCCATTTGTGGAGGAAAAGGAATGCTTATACACTGTTGGTGGAAGTGTAAATTAGTTCAACCATTGTGGAAGACAGTGTAGCAATTCCTCAAAAACCTAAAGACAGAAATACCGTTTAACTCAGCAATCCCATTACAGGGTATATACCCAAAGGAATATAAAGAGTTTTATTATAAAGACACAGGCACATGCATGTTTATTGTAGCACTATTTATTGTAGCAAACTCAGGGAATCAACCTAAATGCCCATCAATGATAGACTAGATAAAAAAAAAAGAAAAACACAAAACAGTGGTACATATACACCATGGAATACTATGCAGCAATAAAAAAGAATGAGATCATATCCTTTGCAAGGACATGGATGGAGTTTGAGGCCATTATCCTTAGCAAACTAACACAGGGACAGAAAACCAAATATTGCATGTTCTCACTTACAAGCGGGAGCTAAATAATGAGAACACTTCGATACGTAGAGGGAAACAACACACAATAGGGCCTATTGGAGGGTGAAGAATGGGAAGAGGGAGAGGATCAGAAAAAATAACTAATAGGTACTAGGCTTAATACCTGGATGATTAAATAATCTGCACAACGAACCCCCATGACACATGTTTACCTATGTAACAAACCTGCACATGTACCCCAGAACTTAAAAGATGAAAGAAAGAAATACTTGATATAAGAAGCTGTATTGGTCTTAAATCCAATCACATTTTCATAATATTTTTCTAAAATTACATTGGTCAACGAATAAAAAAAGAACTATTAGATTTTATGATGTATAAGTTAAAGAAAGTAAATGACTTAAATTTTGGCAATGGTGAGAATTTTATCCATCAGTCATAAAGCTATTAATAATCTTCGATATTTGCTACCTTTACTTGTGTGAACTAAGTTTCTCACCAATGACCAAGTGTAAAAAAAAAAAAGACATCATATTCTGGTCATTTATTTTTCCATAGCAAACTACTCAAAAACTTTGTGGCTTAAAGCAATAATTTAATAGTATTGTTGATAATTCTGTAGATTCACCAGATTTGGTGTGCAGTTTTTCCTTTGAAGCTGTCATGAGGTGGCATCAGATGTCAACTGGGTCTGCAATCATTAGGGGTTTGATTAGCTTGGGAATCCAGGAGGGCTGGAAATTGATGCTGGCTGTCAGCTGATAACTCAATTGGAGCTGTCAACTTGTAAGCCTTACGTTTTGGTCTCTCCATGCAGCTTAGGCTTCTAAGGCATGACAGCTTAGTTCTGAGAAGAGTCATTTCCAAAATAAGTGTTCCTAGATACCCAGGTGTAAATGCCAATGCTTCTTATAAAACTTAGTTTTGAAAGTTTAAGAATGTTACTTCTGCTACATTCTTTTGGTTAGATAAGTCACTAACAAAGTTCCAAATTCAGGGGAAGGGGAATTCGATTCTACTTTTTAAAGTGAGAAGTAGCATACATATACAGTTAGAGGAGGACTTTATGGAGGCCATCTTGGAGATGCTGTAACACATACTGGTTTTTTTAAAAAGGCATACTTTTTTTTTTGAAGCAGTTTGAGGTTTATTGCAAAACTGAGCAGAAGGTACAGAGATTTCCTAAAACCCTGCTCCCACACACGCATAGTCTCCCCCGTTACTAATATTCCCCACCAGAGTGGTAATTTGTTACAACTAGTGAATTTATATTGACACATCAATATCACCCAGAGTCCCTAGTTTATATCAGAGTTCACTCTTGGTATTGTACCTTCTATGGGTTTGAATGAATGTGTAATAAAACATGTACCCACCATTATAGTATCATTCACAGTAGTTTTACTATTCTAAAAATCTTGTGTACTCCACCTACTCTTAAAGATTTGATGAGAAATTGAATATAAACATGAGATAAAATATAGTTTAATATGTGCATACTAAAAAAAGTAAGATAAAAATTAATAATATACATTTTTTAAAAAAATAAGATATACCTTATAAATAGGATTAATGAGTGTCTTTCTCATAAGACAGGCTCAGTAAGTGTTGGCTATTATTGGATGTTGCCTTTTCAGTATCAGAATTCTGGTTAAAGTTGTCAGAATAGCAATCATAACAACCAGTATTTACATAGTAATTACTGAGTTCCAGGCACCATTCTAAGTACGTTGCAAATAATAACTTATTTAAACTCTCACAATTGCCGGGTGAGGTGCATACTTTATTACTCATTCTGTTCTCTAGATGATAGAACTGAGGTACAATAAGATAAAGAAACTTGCCCAATGTCACACGTCAAATAGGTGAACCTTGACTCTGGTTTCAGAGTCCAGGCTCTTAAGCAATACACTATGGTGTGCATATTATACTTTTGGTGAAGAAAAATTAGAGAAACACAAATTGTAGGTCAAATCAAGCAATAGGCTGTTCAATTTCATGCTTGCTTATGCTAAAATAAACTTGGTGAATACTTTATTGGGTTACTGGATATTGTTTCCACTTAAAGGATAATATAAAACCCAGAACTCAGATCTTAAATGTCTAATACCATTCTTTGATAAAGAAATGGAATGAGCCTAACTTATGATGCTCCTTGGAGAAATGGCTAATTCGAGGGTTGGGGTGACAAGCATGAAGCATCGCGTAGTGCCAGAAAGTAAAGAAATAATCATAAACCAAAAAAATGTGGAAATGGGACATTTCAAAAAGACACAAGAGCCACATGAAAGAGCTCTCAATGGCCAAATTGGGATAGTTTTGAGCAATAAAATAACACAATATAACCCAAAGTATAAAATAAACCTTTAGGTGTCCACATTGATGTTAGTAAATAATAGAAAAAATATATGAATGGGAGACAAGAGGCAAAAGGCAAATCATCATTACAGAAGAATTTCAAATAATATGTGTAGCTACTCCTCTAGGATATGCAGCTTTATTAAGCTCACCTTTGTCTTTAGGGTAAGCTGGCTGTAGTGACTCACTAAAAACAAAGGATGACAAAGGAAGTTTAGAAACTGACACACACTACCTTGACCAAGTGATCAAGATTAACTTCACCAATGATGAATTATGCTACTATCATGTACTCTCTGATATACTGGTGGTTAGAAGGGCTCTAATCATGAGAAAACATCAAAAAAGTCCAAACTGAGGGACACCCTGGGTAATACCTAACCAGTCCTCTTCAAAGATGTCAAGACCACAAAAAACAAAGAAAGACTGAGAAACTGTCACAGATCAGGAGACAAAGGAGACATGTAGCATAGTTATGTGAGATGTTAATTTTAGGCGAAGCTAGGTGAAGGGTTTATAGAACACTATATTATCTTTGCAACTGTTTTTTAAATATAAAATTATTCCAAAAAGTGTACTAAAATATTAATATAGGGTAACATATCTGTTTATAAAAAGTGTATTTCCTAAGAAAAATACACATACAAATGCAGAGAAACAGAGGGAAAATGGGCTAGAAGGAAATATATCATCAAATGTTAACTGTGGTTATTTCTGGGTTTTGAGGATATGGATTAATTTTTTATCCCCTGAATATCTGTCTATATTTTTCAATTACCTATAATGAGCATATTTTACTTTCATAATTAAAAATGTGAAAAAAGGAAAAGCAATGTAGTATAAACACAGCTTATGAACAGCATTTGTTAGAGTTCTCAGAATGTTAATTGATGCAAATGAGAATGTTAACTAATTTTTTCAAGTAGTTAAGAACAAGTACAGTGGGAGCTAGGATGAAAGTTGTGTGAAGCATCTGGAGGGTGTAGAATTGCTTCCTGTTTTCTATTACTTCATCACTTTTAAGAAAGCCATATCAATGATATTGATGTTTTCTTATTATTCGTAATGAACAAAGAATTGATTTTGCAAATTGTTGAGTTTGAACATCAGTTTCCTCATTTTGCACTAAATGAAGAATGATGACTACAAGTTAGATTTAGAATGAAATGTGTAAATCACTATACACATGATACGGACTATTATTTTTATTAATATTAGTAATAGTAGTGACAGTAGTAATACAGTGGTAACAGTAGTAACAATGGTTGTAATTTGCTGGTGATATTGTTCAGTGCAATGTGGTATCCTGTGTTGGATGCTGAAACAAAGAACATACATGGACTATCCAGTGTGCGAGTTGCATATAATGAACCCTTCACAAATTCATTCATTTTAGTTTAGCTGCTGTTGGTTCTTGCAGTAAGGTAGAAAGTTCACGTAATGCTGGTAAACTCATCTGCTTAACAGTTTCACCTTCTGTAAGGTGCCTTTTCTGTCTACTCTAGGAACAACAGACTAGTCTTTCCTCTGTGTCTTCACTAAGCCTTGTGGTTTTGACTATGACGGTAGTCATTATACTATAAAATGTTAATTTGCATGTCTGTTTCCTTCACTATTCTGGGCCTTTTGAGGACAGGACCCCATCTTAAGACGTCCATGTATGCTCTACAGCATCCCAGATAAAATTTTTCCAGCATATATCAAATATTAAAAAATATTTACTATATTGAATTATTTGTATATTATTCAGACAGGTTTAGAGTTTTGTTTCAAGGGTTTCGAAAAACAACCAGATTTTAAAAGGGTACCATCATATTCCAACCAAGAGATAATACATTTCAGAATATCTGTTTGAATTGTAAAATAATTCTTCTTCACATCATAAAGAAAGAAACGCAAAGTATTTCTTAATGTGCAGTGAGGTACTGGTAGAAATAAGGAATGGAACTTGCAGCCTATTACCTCTTATGGAAGTGATGGGGATGGGCTCAAATAATCAACCTTAATTTAGATTTTGCTACTTGCCAGATACTCTGTGAAGATTTTGCTTCATTTTGTTTGAACTTTCACACACTAGAAGGATGCTGGTGTTGTTATTCCCATCTTTTAGAAGAAGAAGTAGGTTAAGACAGGTTGATAACTTGCTTAGGGTTATTCAAAGGTAAGGCCAGTCTGCTCTCTTCATCCTAAACAAGAAAGCCTGTGTGTTATATCAGTTTCTTATTGACTATGCATATTATTAGTCTGCCTAAGTTGCAGTAACAAAATACTATAGACGAGGTGGCTAAAACAAGAGAAATATATTTTCTAGAGACTAAGGAGCTCAAGATCAAGTACTGGTCAATTCAGTTCCTGGTGAGGGCTCTCTTCCTGGATTGCAGAAGCCTCCGTCTTGATGTGTCATTTCGTGGCAGATGGAGAGATCTGAGAGAACATGCTCTCTGGTGTCTTCTTCTAGGGGCACTAATCCCATCATGAAAGCCTACCTTCACAACCTTATCTATCCCTAATTACCTCCCAAAGGCCCAATCTCCAAATACCATCACACTGGAGGTTAGAGATTTAACGTGTGAATTGTCGGGAGACACAAACATTTAAGCTACAACATTATAATAATGAATTTAGGGTGTTAGCCTTTTGTTTTGAGATACATAGCCCAAAGTTTTCTGATAGGTACTTATAAAGGCCTTATTCTTTCAAAAGCCATCTTCAGTTTTCTAGTCTAAGATACAAACGTTTAAATCAGGGTAAAAAAGCCCCTAACAGGATAGTAAAACATGAACAGGGATTTGTGAATTGAGTTAAAATCAGACAAAGGAAAACAAAGTTTATAAAATCAGGTTTTAAAGTTTTTTTTCCTAATTCTTCTAAAACTTGAGGTTATTACCAACTTGTAGCTGCTTTCATTAGTCCTTGTTGATTGTCTTTCAGTCCCCTAGGAGTTCCAGGCTCTATTGTATCTGGCAAATGCCCTCCTTTAATGAAAATGTGTTGAGTGTTGTGCTTGACAACCATGGCGTTTGACCACTTTCATGTATTTTCTATGATTAGGTAATTAATTCCCATTGGTAGGTCTCTTTGTTTACTGATGTTAGATGCAGAATAAAGTAAAATAAAGGAACTAACATGACTGCTTTAACTCTGGGCTGGAGACTCTTTACTGAGATTTTGTTTTGTTTTTTTTTTTACATATACCTATAGTTTCTGCATAAAACTTCTGGCTAGAAATTGAATTCTGAATTCTGCGTCACCACTTAATGTCACATTTATTCCAGAGGCTCTCAGGGAATGCATGTGTGTGTGTGCACATGTGTGTAAACAAGAGCAATGACAGAAAAACTCTTCCTCCTCACTTTTGTATATGCAATGAAGGAAAGAGTCTATACATAATTCCCTCGCCTGTTCCTACTATACTTTAAAGCAAATTTACTTTCATGTCTCAAAATAAATTTAAAGTGGCAAACATATTGCAGGAAAGAATCTCAAATATGTCTCTTATTCTTTCACTAATACCCCACAAATAAAATTCAGTTTAAACTCTTCAAATACATGCTTGCTTTTTGCATTTTCTTTAAGAAGGAGGCTGGGCATGGTGGCTCTTGCCTGTAATCCCAGCAGATTGGGAGGCTGAGGTGGGAGGAACACTTGAGGTCAAGAGTTTGAGACCAGCCTGGCCAACATGGTAAATCCCTGTCTCTACTAAAAATACAAAAATAAACTGGGCGTGGTGGCGGGCATCTGTAATCCCAGCTTCATGGGAAGCTGAGGCAGAAGAATTGCTTGAACCTGGGATGCAGAGGTTGCAATGAGCCAAGATCATGCCACTGCACTCCAGCCTGGTGTGATAAAGTGAGACTCTGTCCCCTGCCACTGCCCCCCAACCAAAGGAAGAAGGAATTTTGTCTCTCATTTTGTAATTTATTGAACTTTAGATACTAGAATTCCATAGGGTTAGAAAAAATGGCTCAAACTCATAATTAGTTTGGAGGGATTTGATGCAGATTTTATTCATTTTTCAACAATCAAATCAGTCTTCTATGTTCACTACTTGTGAAGCAGCTCTACCGAAGTACCACTCAGAGAAAGAACATCACCAAATCTTTTATAAAATGACTTCTCTTAATTAAATCTTACAACCCAGATTTCCATTCTCCCAGATACACAAACAAAAGCCTATTATAATGCCCAGTTCAGAACAACCAAATAAAGCCCCAGGTTGTTGCCTATACATTTGAAAATAGAAGAATTCCAACAATGACAGAAGACACAAAACTATTTAATTAAGGTTAAACGAATCATAAAAAAAGAAACAAATAACTGGTTCATGCTCAAACCATATCAGAACCAGATGAAGTTTAAAACTGTTTCCACACTGGATCTTAAGTGACATACATGTTACAATCTGGTTTTTAATCTTTGCCCAAATATTATATTTACCTCAAGTAATTAACCAAGGTTGAGGGATAAAAAGAAAATAATGAACTTGGTTGCATGTTTATTGGCCAAAATACAAGCTCCTCACTTACTTTGATATGGTTTTATAGCTTAATATTTTGTTGTTTGCACTGTCTTTACTGTCAGTTTTCCTGAATATTCTTTCTTTTAATACTTTTAAGTGTCTTGGTCCAATTCTCCATAAAGGAAAGGAAACGCAGTGTTCCCAGTCTTTCCTTTGGTTTGTAGGTCCTGGAATCGCTTTTGTGTATTTTGCTTAAAAGTTATTGGGTTGTCACTGGCCAGGTGCGGCGGCTCACGCCTGTAATCCCAGCAGGTGGGAGGATCATGAGGTCAAAAGTTCAAGACCAGCCTGGCCAACATGGTGAAACCCTGTCTCTACTAAAAATACAAAAATTAGCCGGGCATGGTGGTGCATGCCTGTAATCCCAGCTACTCAGGAGACTGTGACAGCATAATCGCTTGAACCTGGGAGACGGAGGTTGCAGCGAGCTGAGATCGTGCCACTGCACTCCAGCCTGGGTGACAGAGCGAGAGCGAGACTCCATCTCAAAAAAAAAAAAAGTTACTGAGTTGTCACTGGATGAGTAATGGTTTTGAATAGGTGTCTCACACTGGGTTTTATGGAGTAGACAGAGTTAACTAAATGACTATTACTTCTAATTTAGTACAAAAATGGAGCTCTTTATTAAAACAGTAAAACGTTAACTGGGATTCCTAAGAGCCATCTTTAAAAGATTATACAAAGAAATGAAGACCTGGAAAAAAAATCCCAAACATCTAGGTGCAATTAGATACCATTTTCATTATCTGTAATTGTTACCTACTTATTCCGAACTCAATCTTATCAGACTCTGATGAGAATGCTCCTTTAAGACTCACCAATTTCTCTTAATGTAGAAGCAAAACAAGCCTTTCTAGATTGGAAATGTGCACAGAGATTAAAAGTAGCTTCCCTCAACTTGCTTGATTTTATTTTCCTGAGGTGATAATTGTATTTTATAACTTATTTTTTGGTTTTACAAAGGCTTCTGTTTGCCTCACCAATATAATGAATCAGTTGTTCAGCTAAGAATTTATTCAAAAGCTAAGAAAAAAAAATCATAGTCATTGCTGCATGAAGTTATTTGATTACCACCTTCCAATTTCTCTTAAATCTTATCTTTGCTATTTACTACTTCTTTCTCAATCCCAAATTGTTTACAAAAGTGTAACGCAAAAGTGCACAAGAAAAAAAAGTCACATTTGGATTTTTAAGAAAAATTGAGTATACTGTATCAGGTTTTGAAGTTTATCAGCAAATAATTTCTATAGAGTATAGAAAACATTATAAAGTGTATATTGAATACTAATTTTAATATCATTTATTCTCATCATTTTCGAGACAAGTCTATCATTGGACTATGACTCTGCCAATTGTCTAAATTTTTTAAGCCCCAAAATTTCATTGCTTCACAGTAAAAGCCAAGGAAATACATTGTAAAGAGAAGCTGTTATTAATATTCAAGCTCTCTTCCTAAGGATTAATGAAGAGCAAAAGAACAAACAATCTAATAAAAGTACCAATCTTTTTCCTTGGATGATTAGATAAGTTGAGATCTTAAATTCCTAATTATAGTTGATACAAAAGTAAACATGTTACAGACATATATAGAAATTTAGAGCTGTTTATGAAGCATTTCTCTCCCTCCCTCCCTCCCTCCCTCCCTCCCTCCCTCCCTCCCTCCTTCCTTCCTTCCTTCCTTCCTTCCTTCCTTCCTTCCTTCCTTCCTTCCTTCCTTCTTCTTTCTTTCTTTTTTTCTTTTACTTTAAGTTCTGGGATACATGTGCAGGACACGCAGGTTTGTTACATAGGTATACATGTGCCATATTGGTTTGCTGCACCTATCAACCCGTCGTCTAGGTTTTAAGCCTCACATACATTAGTTATTTGTCCTAATGCTCGCCCTCTCTTTCTTTCTTTCTTTCCTTCTTTCTTTCCTTCCTTCCTTCTTTCTTTCTTTTTCTTTCTTCCTTCCTTCCTTCCTTCCTTCCTTCCTTCCTTCCTTCCTTCCTTCCTTTCTTTCTTTCTTTCTTTCTTTCTTTCTTTCTTTCTTTCTTTTTCTTTCTTTCTTTTTCTTCCTTCCTGCCTCCCTCCCTCCCTCCGTCCCTCCTCTCCTCTCCTCTCCTTTCCTTCTTTCCTCTTTTCTCTTATTCTCTCTCATCTCTATTTCTTCCTATATGGAAATTTAAACAAATGGATATAGTAGACAGTGTAGATTGCTTTTCCAAAGGCCATTACTTCTTTCTCCCCATTCCTGGTTAACAGAGTCCTGATTTTGTTCTGCTGTCATCCAGAGGTCTCCTGATGTCAGGAGAGTCAGGCATAATGTAGGGGTGAAAATGAGATAAAGGAGAAAGCTGATGGGTGTCTCTGAGAAGGGAGAGGCAATGCCCTGTGTTTCCTACCTTTGAAAATAGTTATGTGGTCCAAGATTCTTGGTGCTACTGTAGTCTCCTTAAGGCCAAAATAGAAAATTGTAAAAATCCAACTCAGGACCTTGACTGGGCTGAACTTTGGAACCAAACTTGGAACTGACCCTCTCTCTAGAAATATTTTATTATGAGAAAAACTAGTCTGCTATTTACTAGTCCGTATTTAAAGTAACGCTATTCTTTCTCAAAAATAAATCAATGATTCATTCTTATTTTAACTAAAATAATGATATTATTGTTTTAATAAAGCTCATGTGATATGGTTTGGCTGTATACCCACCCAAATCTCATCTTGAATTCCTACATGTTTCTGGAGGGACCTGGTGGCAGGTAATTGAATCATGGGGCAGGTCTTTCCTCTGTTGTTCTTGTGATAGTGGATAAGTCTCATGAGATCTGATGGTTTTAAAAAGGGGAGTCCCCTGCACAAGCTCTCTTCCCTTGTCTGCTGTCATGTGAAATGTGCCTTTTACCTTCCGCCATGATTGTGAGGCCTCTCAAGCCATGTGGAACTGTAAGTCCAATAAATGTCTTTTTTTTTTTTTTTTTTTTTTGTAAATTGCCCAGTCTTGGGTATGTCTTTATCAGCAGCATGAAAACAGACTAATATATCATCTTGCTGTAACAAAATTACACATCATTAAAATGTGTAAAAAACTACTTAAATTATCCTACTACCCAGAGATATTTATTTAAAATAAATAAAAATCATTTACATACGTGTGAGTACATATATTAATATATACATTTTGATATTTCATAAAATTTTTTCAGTTGACTTTTTTCTGAAAAAATGAAATTAAACTGAAATAGAAGGAATTCAAAACTTTTTAATGTATGTTTTCACCTAAAGAGACATTGCTTTCTTCAGTACATTTTTGGGTAGTTAAAAATTTAAAAACAAAACAAAACCCTGATTTTAAAAACTGAGAGTGTGAAGTCTTCCTTTTTAAAAAATTGAATTGGCTGTCAAGAATGGTATACAGTATCCATTGGCAAGGACAGAGATTCTCTGAACAGGGTGTTCCTGGGCTTTCCCTTGGCTGTGTTTCCAGCTGTTTAGATTTCAACGATCCTTGCCCATTTTCTTTATTGTTACTATTATTTATTATACTTTAAGTTCTGGGATATATATACAGAACGTGCAGGTTTGTTACATAGTTACACATGTGCCATGCTGGTTTGCTGCACCCATCAACCGGTCATCTACATCAGGTATTTCTCCTAATGCTATCCCTCCCCTAGTTCCCTACCCCCCAACAGGCCCCGGTGTGTGATATTCCCCTCTCTGTGTCCATATGTTCTCACTGTTCAACTCCCACTTATAAGTGAGTACATGCAGTGTTTGGTTTACTGTTCCTGTGTTAGTTTGCTGAGAATGATGGTTTCTAGCTTCATCCATGTCCCTGCAAAGGACATGAACTCATCCTTTTTTATGGCTGCATAGTATTCCATAGTATATATGTGCCACATTTTCTTTATCCAGTCTATCACTGATGAGCATTTTGGTTGGTTCCAAGTCTTTGCTATTGTGAACAGTGCTGCAATAAACATACGTGTGCATGAGTCTTTATAGTAGAATGATTTACAACCCTTGAGTATATACCCAGTAATGGAATTGCTGGGTCAAATGGTATTTCTGGTTCTAGATCCTTGAGGAATCACCACACTGCCTTCCACAATGGTTGAACTAATTTACACTCCCACCAACAGTGTAAAGGTGTTCCTATTTCTCCACATCCTCTCCAGCATCTGTTTCCTGATGTTTTAATGATCGCCATTCTAACTGGCATGAGGTGGTATCTCTTTTTGGTTTTGATTTGCATTTCTCTAATGACCAGTGATGATGAGCTTTTTTTCATATGTTTATTGGCTGCATAAATGTCTCCTTTTGAGAAGTGTCTGTTCATGTCCTTTGCCCACTTTTTAATGGGGTTGTTTTTTTTTCTTGTAAATTTGTTTAAGTTTCTTGTAGATTCTGGATATTAGCCCTTTATCAGATGGATAGATTGCAAAAATGTTCTCCCATTCCATAGGTTGCCTGTTCACTCTGATGATAGTTTCTTTTTGCTCTGCAGAAGCTCTTTAGTTTAATTAGATTCCATTTGTCAATTTTGTTTTTTGTTGCCATTGCTTTTGGTGTCTTAGCCATGAATTCTTTGTCCATAATTACGTCCTGAATGGTATTGCCTAGGTTTTCTTCTAGGGTTTTTATGGTTTTAGATCTTATGTTTAAGTCTTTAATCCATCTCAAGTTAAGGTTTGTATAAGGTATAAGGAAGGGGTCTAGTTTCAGTTTTCTGCGTATGGCTAGCCAGTTTTCTCAACCCCATTTATTAAATAGGGAATACTTTCCCCATTGCTTGTTTTTGTCTGGTTTGTCAAAGATCAGATGGTTGTAGATGTGTGAGATTATTTCTGAGGCCTCTCTTCTTTCTCATTGGCCCACATATCTATTTTGGTACCAGTACCATGCTGTTTTTGTTACTGCAGCCTTGTAGTTTAGTTTGAAGTCAGGTAGCGTGACACCTCCAGCTTTGTTCTTTTTGCCCAGGATTGTCTTGGCTATACAGGCTCCTTTTTGGTTCCATATGAAATTTAAAGCAATTTTTTCTAATTCTGTGAAGAAAGTCAATGGTAGCTTGATGGGGATAGCACTGAATCTATAAATTACTTTGGACAGTATGGCAATTTTCATGATATTGATTCCTCCTATCCATGACCATGGAATATTTTTCCATTTATTTGTGTCTTCTTTTATTTTGTTGAGCAGTGGTTTGTAGCTCTCCCTGAAGAGGTCCTTTACATCCCTTGTAAGTTGTATTCCTAGGTATTTTATTCTCTTTGTAGCAATTGTGAATGGGAGTCCACTCATTATTTGGATCTCTGTCTATTATTGGTGTATAGGAATGCTTGTGATTTTCACACATTTGATTTTTGTATCCTGAGACTTTGCTGAAGTTGCTTATTAGCTTAAGGAGATTTGGGGTTGAGATGATGGGGTTTTCTAAATATGCAATCATGTCATCTGCAAACAGTGACAATTTGACTTCCTTTCTTCCTATTTGAATAACCTTTATTTCTTTCTCTTCCCTGATTGCCCTGGCCAGAACTTCCAATACTATGTTGAATAGGAGTGGTGAGACAGGGCATCCTTGTCTTGTGCTGGTTTTCAAAGGGAATGCTTCCAGCTTTTGCCCATTCAGTATGATATTGGCTGTGGGTTTGTCATAAATATCTCTTATTAATTTCGAGATACATTCCATCAATACCTAGTTTATTGAGAGTTTTTAGCATGAAGCAGTGTTGAATTTTATCAAAGTCCTTTTCTGCATCTATTGAGATAATCATGTGGTTTTTGTCACTGGTTCTGTTTATGTGATGGATTATGTTTACTGATTTGCATATGTTGAACCAGCCTTGCATCCTAGGGATGAAGCTGACTTGATTGTGGTGGATAAGCTTTTTGATGTGCTGCTGGATTCGGTTTGCCAGTATTTTATTAAGAATTTTCACATTGATGTTCATCAGGGATATTGGCCTGAAATTTCTTTTTTTGTTGTGTCTCTGCCAGGTTTTGGTATCAGGATGATGCTGGCCTTATAAAATCAGTTAGAGAGGAGTCCTTCTTTTTCTGTTGTTTGGAATAGTTTCAGAAGGAATGGTATCAGCTCCTCTTTGTACCTCTAGTAGAATTTGGGTGTGAATCAGTCTGGTCCTGGGCGTTTTTTTTGGTTGGTAGGCTGTTAATTACTGCCTCAATTTCAGAACTCATTATTGTTCTATTCCGGGATTCAACTTCTTCCTGGTTTAGTCTTGGGAAGGTATATGTGTCCAGGAATTTATCAATTTCTTCTAGATTTTCTAGTTTATTTGTGTAGAGGTGTTTATAGTATTCTCTGATGGTAGTTTGTATTTCTGTGGGATCAGTGGTGATATCCCCTTTATCGGTTTTTATTATTTCTATTTGATTCTTGTCTCTTTTCTTCTTTATTAGTCTCGCTCCCAGTCTATCTATTCTGTTAATCTTTCCAAAAAACCTGCTCCTGGATTCACTGATTTTTTGAAGGTTTTTTCATGTCTCTATCTCATTCACTTCTGCTCTGATCTTAGTTATTTCTTGTATTCTGCTAGCTTTTGAATTTGTTAGCTTTTGATTTTAATTATTTTAATTGTGATGTTAAGGTGTTGAGTTTAGATCTTTCCCACTTTCTCTTGTGGGCATTTAGTGCTACAAATTTCCCTGTAAACACACTGGTTTAGCCTTGTCTCAGAGATTCTGGTACATTGTATCTTTGTTCTCATTGGTTTCAAAGAACTTATTTATTTCTGCCTTAATTTCGTTATTTACCCAGTAGTCATTCAGGAGCAGGTTGTTTAGTTTATATGTAGTTGTGCAGTTTTGAGTGAGTTTCTTAATCCCGAGCTCTAATTTGATTGCACTGTGGCCTGAGAGACTGTTTGTTATGAATTCTGTTCTTTTGCATTTGCTGGGGAGTGTTTTACTTCCAATCGTGTGGTCAATTTTAGAATAAGTGTGATGTGGTGCTGAGAAGAATGTATATTCTGTTGATTTGGGGTGGAGAGTTCTGTAGTTGTCTATCAGGTCCACATGGTCCAGAGCTGTGTTCAAGTACTGAATAGCCTTGTTAGTTTTCTGTCTCATTAATCTAATATTGACAGTGGGGTGTTAAAGCCTCCCACTATTATTGTGTGGGAGTCTAAGTCTCTTTGTAGATCTCTAAGAGCTTGCTTTATGAATTTGGGTGCTCCTGCATTGGGTGCATATATATGTAGGTTAGTTAGCTCTTCTTGTTTCATTAATCCCTTTACCATTATGTAATGTTTTTCTTTGTCTTTTTTGATCTTTGTTGGTTTAAAGTCGGTTTTATCAGAGACTAGGATTGCAACTCCTGCTTTTTTTGCTTTCCCCTTGCTTGGTAAATATACCTCCATCCCTTCATTTTGAGCCTATGTGTGTCTTTGCACGTGAGATGTGTCTCCTGAATACAGCACACTGATGAATCTTGACTCTTTATCCAATTTGCCAGTCTGTATCTCTTAATTGGGGCATTTAACCCATTTACATTTAAGATTAGTATTGTTTTGTGTGAATTTGATCCTGTCATTATGATGTTAGCTGGTTATTTTGCCCGTTAGTTGATGCAGTTTCTTCATAGTGTCGATATCTTTACAATTTGGTATATTTTTGCAGTGGCTGGTACCAGTTTTTCCTTTCCATGCTTAGTGCTTCCTTCAGGAGCTCTTGTAAGGGAGGACTGGTGGTGACAAAATCTCTCAGTATTTGCTTGTATGTAAAGGATTTTATTTCTCCTTCACTTATGAACCTCAGTTTGGCTGGATATGAAATTCTGGGCCTATTGGCCCCCACTATCCTCTGGCTTGCAGGGTTTCTGCAGAGAGATCTGCAGAGAGACAGGCTTCCCTTTGTTGGTAACCGGACCTTCTCTCTGGCTGCCCTTAACATTTTTTCCTTCATTTCAACCTTGTTCAATCTGACGATTATGTGTCTTGGGGTTGCTCTTCTCAAGGAGTATCTTTGTGGTGTTCTCTGTATTTCCTGAATTTGAATATTGGCCTGTCTTGCTAGGTTGGGGAATTTCTCCTGGATAATATCCTGAAGAGTGTTTTCCAACTTGGTTCCATTTTCCCTGTTACTTTCAGATACACTAATCAAACGTAGGTTTGGTCTTTTCAAACAATCCCACATATCTTGGAAGTTTTTTTCATTCCTTTTCTTTTTTCTCTAATCTTGTCTTCCTGCTTTATTTCATTAAGTTGATCTTCAATCTCTGATATCCTTTTTTCTTCTTGATTGATTCAGCTATTGATACTTGTGTATGCTTCACTAAGTTCTCGTGCTGTGTTTTTCAGCTCCATCAGGTCATTTATGTTCTTCTCTAAACTGGTTATTCTAGTTAGCAATTCCTCTAACCTTTTTTCAAGGTTATTTGCTTCCTTGCATTGGGTTAGAGCATGCTTTTTTAGCTTGGAGGAGTTTGTTATTACACACCTTCTGAAGCCTACTTCTGTCAATTCGTCAAACTCATTCTCTGTCCAGTTTTGCTCCCTTGCTGATGAGGAGTTGTGATCCTTTGGAGGAGAAGAGCTGTACTGGTTTTTGGAATTTTCAGCCTTTTTGCACTGTTTTTTTCTCATCTTTGTGGATTTATCTACCTTTGGTCTTTGATGTTGGTGACCTTCAGATGAGATTTTTATATGGACATCCTTTTTGTTGATATTGATGCTATTCCTTTCTGTTTGTTAGTTTTCTTTCTAATAGTCAGGCCCCTCTGCTGCAGGTCTGCTGGAGTGTGTTGGAGTTCCACTCCAGACCCTGTTTGCCTGGGTATCACCAGCAGAGGCTGCAGAACAGCAAATATTGCTGCCTGTTCCTTACTAAGGAAGCTTCATCCCAGAGGGGAATCTGCCAGATGACAGCCAGAGCTCTCCTGTATGAGGTGTCTGTTGACCCCTGCTGGGAGGTGTCTCCCAGTCAGGAGGCACGGGGGTCAGGGACCCACTTGAGGAGGCAGTCTGTCCCTTAGCAGAGCTGGAGCACTGTGCTGGGAGATCTGCTGCTCTCTTCAGAGCTGGCAGGCAGCAATGTTTAGGTCTGCTGAAGCTGCACCCACAGCTGCCCCTTCTCCCAGGTTTCTGTACAGGGAAATGGGAGTTTTATTTATTATCACCTGACTGGGGCTGCTGCCTTTCTTCCAGAGATGTCCTTCTCAAAGAGGAGGAATCTAGAGAGGCAGTCTGGCTACAGGGGCTTTGAGGTGTTGTGGTGGGCTCTGCCCAGTCTGAACTTCCCAGTGGCTTTGTTTACACTGTGAGGGGAAAACTGCCTACTCAAGCCTCAATAATGGCAGACACCCCTCCCCCAACCTAGCTTGAGCATCCCAGATGGACTTCAGACTGCTGTGCTGGCAGTGAGAATTTCAAGCCAGTGGATCTTAGCTTGCTGGGCTCCATGGGGGTGGGATCTGCTAAGCTAGACTACTTGGCTCCCTGGCTTCAGTCCCCTTTCCAGGGGAGTGAATGATTCTGTCTCGCTGGCATTCCAGGTGCCACTGGGGTACGAAAAAAAACTCCTGCAGCTAGCTCAGTGTCTGCTCAAATGGCCGCCCAGTTTTGTGTTTGAAACCCAGGGCCCTAGTGGTGTAGGCACCGGAGGGAATCTTCTGGTCTGTGGGTTGCAAAGACTGTGGGAAAAATGTAGTATCTGGGCTGGAATACACCATTCCTTGGGGCACAGTCCCTCACAGCTTCCTTTGGTTAGGAGAGGGAGTTCCCCAACCCTTTGTGCTTCCTGGGTGAGGCGATGCCTTACCCTATTTCTGCTTGCCCTCCATGGGCTGCACCCACTGTCTAACCAGTCCCAATGAGATGAGCCAAGTACCTCAGTTGGAAATGCAGAAATCACCCGCCTTCTGCATTGATCTCCTTGGGAGCTGCAGAAAGGAGCTGGTCCTATTTGGCCATCTTGCCCAGGTCTCTTCCTTGCCCATTTTCATTGTTTCATTCTTTAGTCTTTTTGTAAATTCTGTAAATGATTGATATTCTGTCAATAAGTTGCTTTCCTATTTAAATTTCAGGACCCATTTCTCTTATTACAGCCCAGAATGCTGACTGATACAAAGGTTATTTGTATTTTTAATATATATTGACATTATTTACCACAGGGAAAAATTATTTTTCTTTTATTCTGTTCTGTGTCCATTCTCACCAGAAAGGTCTTTAGCTCTCCTTTGGTTTTAATTTTGCCAGTCTGGTAATTACCAGAAATGTCTTAATGATATTAGCTTATATTTCCTTGCCTACTGATGAGGTTATATGTCTACTGACTGTATATTAATTACATTTGGATTTGTTCTCCAGTTATTTATGTGTTCGTATTATTTGATTATTTCTCTATTAAGTGGTTTGACTTTTTCTTATGAATTTGGAAAAAGTTCTTTTTGTACTATGGTTAGCAATTTTTTTTTCTGTTAAATATGTTGAAAATATTTTTTAATCTATTTTTTACTGTTTTGTGGTATTATTTTCCATACAAAAAATGTTTAATTTCTACATAGTTAAATATAGCTATCTTATCTTTTAAAACTTCTGGATTTTTCATTTTGTTTAAGAAGTTTTCCCTATCCAAAGTTATATTTGCATATCTATCTTTCTTTATGTATTTCATTTTACATTTAGTTTCTTAACACATTTGGATTTATTTTTGTATCTCTTCATGTATGAGGTACCAGTTCAGCTTTATGTATTGCCAGATGGATGGCCAGTTGTTCCAACATTCTTTATTAAATAAATTATATATTTGCTGATTAATTAAAACCACCTTTGTCAAATAGTGGATCTCCACTTATGCTGTGTTATATTTCTAAACTACTAGTTTTGTTCCATTGATCTATTTTTTCTTCCTATGACAATACAATTGAATTGCAGAAAATATATAATAATTTTTAATATCAGGTGGAATGAATATTCTTCCATTACCTGTTTCTTTATGAGTTCCTATAATTCTGATATACTAACTTTAAGATACTTTATCCATATCCCTTTAAAAAATCTGTGGTGTTGGAACTAAAAAATATATATTAATTTTTGGGGAAACTTACATTTTAATGATACTAAGTTTTCCCATCTAAGAATATAGTATAGATCTTCATTTGCTTGTTTTGGTTTTGTGCCCCTTAATAATAAGATTTCATGTTGTTCTTCACTTAGATCTTGAATTTTCTTGTTAAATTAACACCTTAGTATCTGATAGTTTTTGTTGTTATTGTAAATGTATAATTTCATACCATTTCAATTTCAAGCCACATTGCTAGTATAAAAAAGCCATTGATTTCTGTATTATATCTTGCATTTGTCCTCCTTACCAATCTGCTTAATCTTACTGTTCTCTTACTGAAGAATTTTGTTTCTGCTTTTTGTTCCTTTTTGTTGTATGTTTGAGGGGCTTGAAATGGGCATTAGGATTGCTATAAAAGAAATTCCTAGAGAAATAAAAATTCAATATTATGTTATAGCAGGTTAAACAGTATTTTAAAAGTAAAAAGTTGGTTTGTTTTATTTTTCTATTTGTTTTTTAATCCTTTACCTCCTATTTGAAATATAAAGCACTGGGCTTTTGGATCACATCATAGAATTTATTCCATAATGAAAGGAAGCTACCTCAGGATGTAACATAGAAGCAGTAAAAGGGAACTTTACTCCTTTTTCATCCAGGGATAATTATGAGTAGAGACAACTGAAGATGAGAGCGAAGTTGGTGAGATATTGGATTGAAGATACAGATTCATGAGAAATTGATAGCTTGAAAATCGTAGATGGGGAGGACTCTAGCTGTAGTCCCCATTAGTGATCTGAAGAGGTCACCATACAGAACAAATCCATGCTAACATGGGAATCATGGTCAACCACAAAGAGGGTCTATTTTGTAATTTAGCGGGTCCCTTTGCTGGTGTGTGGCATGGACACAGATACGAGAACTGGTAAGAATCCTATGGAGCCATAGTGGAAGCCAGGTGTCATTATACAATAGTTCTTGGTCATGCAGGTATTTTTCAGAGGCAGAGATAAACCAGGTGCCAGATGAAGTGTTTCATAGAAACTCAAAATGTCTTCAGAACTACTGAGAGCCTAGCAAAGGCTTACCCAGCAGAGAGGGGCCACCGGGTCTGAATCAAGCTGAAAAATAATAGACCACAATTTTATCAGTCAAAGAGAGGTTCCTAACAATCAAAGATAGGATAAAGCCTGCAAAACACTGGTGGACTCAAGTTGGCACACATGCAGAGATTAGCACAAGGTCAAGTAAGGCTCTCCTACACACTCAGGCACCATTCTAAGGGAACATAGGAAGAAGGGAATAAACAAAAAGATTCACTAAAGAGAATATTTAAATTGTTACATTATAATTAGTGTAAAAGAATTTGACTAAAATTGGATTTTTTTCTTGCCACTGTTAAAGAAAAAAATTTTCGCCCTGGACACTTAGTAAAAATTGCAAGGAATATTTTTTTCAAGACTTGTAGTAAGGGTCAAAACTATTGTAATAAAGAGAGATTGAACTCAGCTCCTAATACAAAAGAACAAATAGGGATTTAACGCCAACTGCGATGAGGGAGTGGATGGAAAATTACTAAGAGGAACTTGGTTAGGTATCGATGATGGAGGAAGAGAAGTTTGATTGAATATCAAGGGCAGGGGATTCTTGCTAAGTTGGCTTAGCAGGATTCTTTGTTAAACTGACTTACAGGAAGCTGTCAGTAATGCTGAATTGACGATGTACAACCTCGCCTGCTGATCCATAGCAATTTTTTTCCTTTAATGTAAAATAAATTTCTCTCTTTTGTTGATATAATGCTTTTCCTGTAATTATCACAAAGCCCTCTTTTACTCATTCTCTGAATTTTTAATAAATGATGACATAACATCCTGTATACTTTTTTCTAACTTAACTTTAACTTTTAAGTTTTACATACATAGTTTAAAAAGTCAAATAGTTCTATAAGGTTAATAATGAAAATAATGATTCCTACCTCGTCGCAACACACCTTTGATCCATAGATTCTTTAACAAAGTAAAGTCCATATTGCCAATATTAATCGAATGATTTTTTGAATAATGATGCAGTTGAAATAATTTTTCTTCCAAAGCTTAGATTTATTTAGAATTCACAAATAAGAATTGTAGGAATTTCTTAGGGATGTTGTGTTCCTCATGATTATTTTGGTAAACATTCCAAATATTCCTTTTCTTTTTCTGGGTTGTTGTTGTTATTGTTTGTTTTTTGTTTTGTTTCTAAAAGAAACTGCTTTCTTGAACTTTACTGGCCTATTCTTTCTCTCCTTTCCTTTTCTGTTTCTTCTATTAACTCTTCTTGGTGCAATTCAAATAGCACCTCTTCCTGTAGCTAGTCACCTTCCCTTTTTTGGTCTCATTTGGCACTTACTTCATTATATTACAACTGTTAGTCTCCTCTTCTACCTTGTGAATTCATGAAGGACAGAAGCTGAATATGACTGACTTTTGTACATACAACACTAATACATGGCTGAGCACAGAAAAAGTCCTCAAAGACAATTTTGTATGTAAGTGCTGTAGAATAAGCAGAAAAAAAAAAACTTGTGATATTTATAAACTATATCAAGAAATGACACATGGAAGCCAGTTTACTTTTTTATCTTTGTCACAGAAATAGGATCTCCATATTATATTTTTTTTAAGCAATGACAAAACGTTGTCTACTTCTGTATGTTGTTATTTAGTTACATGGCTATTGGGAAAGAAAAAAAAAGACACTTAGAAAATATTTAAGGAGATGGAAAAGAGAGTGATTAGAATACTGAGAGTCAGGGGTGAGAAGAAGGACTAAGGATTGTGTTCACACTAGGAAGAATTTTAGTTTTATACTTTTTAATTTTTAATTTTTGTGGGTACATATTAGGTGAATATATATATATATATTATATATTGGGTAAATGAGATGGTTTGATACAGACATACAATGTGAGATAAACATATCATGGAGAATGGGGTATCCATCCCCACAAGCATTTATCCTTTGAGTTACAAACAACCCAATCACTCTGTTTAATTTATTTCAAAATATAAGATTACGTTATTGTGACTATAGTTGTGTGTTTTTCTGTAGTGTTGTTTAAACTCCTTATACATTCTATCCTTTGTCAGATGGGTAGGTTTTATTCATTCTTTCTAACTATATATTTGCCATTTGTATGTCTTCTTTTAAGAAATGTCTATTTGAATCTTTTGCCCATTTTTTCATCAGATTATTATAATTTTTTCTATAGAGTTGTTTGAACTCCTTATATATTCTATCCCTTGTCAGATGGGTAGGTCTTATTCATTCTTTCTAACTATATATAATTTTTGTACCCATTAACCATTCCCACCTCTCCCATACCCTTCTACTACCCTTTCCAGCCTCTGGTAACCATCCTTCTACTCTCTATGTCCATGAGTTCAATTGTTTTGATTTTTAGATCCCACAAATGAGTGAGAACGTGTGATGTTTGTCTTTTTGAGCCTGGCTTATTTTCATTAACATAATGATCTCCAATTCCATCCACGTTGTTGCAAATGACTGCATCTCATTCTTTTTCTCTCTCTCTCTCTTTTTTTTTTTTTTTTTTTGACATAGTCTCACTCTGTCAGTGAGGCTGGAGTGCAGTGGTGCAATCTCAGCTCACTGCAACCTCTGCCTCCCGGGTTCAACTGATTCTCATGCCTCAACCTCCTGAGTAGCTGGGATTACAGGTGCCTGCCACCACGCCCAGCTAATTTTTGTATTTTTAGTAGAGATGGGGTTTCGCCATGTTGGTCAGGCTGGTCTCGAACTCCTGACCTCATGATCCGCCCACCTTGGCCTCCCAAAGTGCTGAGATTACTGGCGTGAGCCACTGCACCCAGCCTCGTTCTTTCTTATGGCTGAATACTACTCCATTGTGTGTATGTACCACATTTTCATCATTAATTCATGTGTTGATGGACAGTTAGGTTGCTTACAAATTTTAGCTATTGTAAACAGAGCTGCAACAAATATAGGAAAGCAGACATCTCTTTAATATATTGATTTCCTTTCTTTTGGGTATATACCAAGAAGTGGGATTGCTGGATCATATGGTAGCTCAGTATTTATTCTTTTGAGGAACCTCCAAACTGTTCTCCATAGTGGTTGTACTAATTTACATGCCCACCAACAGTGTACAGTTGTTCCCTTTTCTCCACATCCTCACCAGCATTTGTTATTGCCTCTGTTTTGGATATAAGCCATTTTAACTGGGGTGAGATGCTATCTCATTGTAGTTTTGATTTGCATTTCTCTGATTTTCAGTGATGATGTTGAGTACATTTTCATATTCTTATTTGCCATTTGTGTGTCTTCTTTTAAGAAATGTATATTTGAATCTTTTGCCGGTTTTTTGATCAGTATATTAGACTTTTTTCTATAGAGTTGTTTGAACTCCTTATACATCCCTTGTCAGATGGGTAGTTTACAAATGTTTTCTCCTATTCTGTTGGTTGTTGCTTCACTTTTTTGATGGTATCTTTTGCGTCACAGAAGCTTTTTAACTTGATGTGCTCTCATTTGTCCATTTTTGCTTTGGTTTCTTGTGCTTGTGGGGTATTGCTCAAGAAATTTTTGCCCAAACCAATATCCTAGAGATTTTCCCCAATGTTTTCTTGTAGTGGTTTCATAGTTTGAGGTATTAGATTTAAGCCTTTAATCCATTTTGATTTGATTTTTGTATATGGCAAGAGATAGGGGTCTAATTTTATTCTTCTTCATATGGATATCAAGTCTTCCCAGTACCATTTATTGAAAAGACTGTCTTTTCCTTAATGTATGTTCTTAGCACCTGTGTCAAAAATGAGTTCACTGTAGGTGTGTGGGTTTGTTAGTTTTATACTTAATCCAACAATTATTTAATTATGTCAATACACAAGCCTACAGAACTCTAAGGGAGCAACATATTACTAGTAAATAAATAACTACATCTCAGTAGCAAAGGCTATTTATAAATGAGAGATCTCATGTCACTGGTAGCATTTAAACTGGAGCCGAATGACTATGAGTAATATTATGAAAGGCTTGGTCTAGGTCAATCATTTCCAGCCTCTGGTCCTTACTGGAGTTCCTCAGTAGTTCTCAGGTTTTGAGAGAAGGGGAGCTGATGAGGTGTTTATCATTCCCTTCAATTAGAACAGTTGTGCTTTTATTAGTTTTATATGTTGGGGTTTCAAGTAAAGAATTAAAGGAGTGTTCCACTGATTGAACAACTTTTGAAAACTGCTCGTCTATATTACATTGCTTCTCAAACTTGGCTGTGCATCAGAATCCCCTGGAGAGATTCATAAAAGCACTAGTTTCTGGGTACTTTTCCATACCTACTAAATCCAAATCTATGGAGTTGGATTGTGATGTCTGTATTTTTACCAAGCTCCCCAGGCAAGTTTTATTCAGCTGGCTTTGAAAGTAATGTCCTCTAAGGATCTTTCCAAATTTTGTTTCTGTAATTCTTTTTAAATTTAGTTAGAGTTATAACAAGAAAAAATATTCACAATCACAGATAGTATCTAATTCCATACTTGTGGATTATCAGGAAGACTAATAAAAGTATAAAAACAACTAAATAGATACCTAACATCGCAGTAGCCTAAACTAGATTTATGAAGTACACACAAAAAAAGGATTGCTGGAGTAAATATAGAAATGCCTAAGCAATACACAATCTTTATATATACACAATCTTTTTATATGCACAATCTATCTATCTATCTATCTATCTATCTATCTATCTATCTATCTATATGCGCTATATTTAGAATACTGAGAAGGAAAAATATAACCTAAGGGAGAAGGCTCCACATTTTTGTGATGATTTTAAAGGTGCCCAACACATTAGCATTTCAAAGTACAAACTCTCATTTAGGTTTTCCAACACCGATATAAGGTAAATGATATTATTCTCATTTTAGAGATGGGAAATCTGAGGTCTAGAAAGAGGAAGTAACTTGCCCAAAGACACAAAGCTGATGCATGTTGATGTCAATATTGGAATTCACATTTTCTATGTTCATATCAATGTTTATCATAATAAACTGCCCTGACCCCAGGTAACACATAAGGAGTTGGAGAAAGTTTTAGCTGATTACCTCCAGAAAATGTAGCAAATTTTGGAAACTGCCACAGAAACTACTTTTTCTCTCTCCCTCTCTGCTCTCTGTCTCCTTCTCTTACTCTGTGTGTGTGCGTCTTTCTGTCTCTCTGTATCTGTCTCTCCGTCGCTCTCTCTCACATACATGCACATGCTATGGCTCTTTCTCTCTCCCTCTTTATCTCTCAGATATACTTCTAGATACATAAAAGCCAGGAGAAAGAAAAACAAAGGCAAAAGGAGATTAGTGTACAACCAACATTTGTATTTCTTTTATTTCAGTACCACAGATACTGAGAAGCTAAGAATTTAGTTTGGAGGAAAGAGCAAGAGATTTAGAGATAGAAAATCTCAGTTCATGTCCTGTTTGTAACTTTCCTCATCTCCAGGATAAGTAATAACACCACTGCCACAGAATATCATGAAGACTAAATGAGGCTTTTTGCAGCAATAGAGCATCCTTTATATGGCAAGGGATTCCAGATAGTTGAGGATGGAATTGATGCATTGCATTATCTTCTATTGAGAGGAACTGTGTCTAATCAAGACAAATTTGAGAAGAATTCGATTATATATGTAGTGTGCATGCCAATGTCTATACAAGGGACGTATGAATGTCTTCCTTCCTTCCTTCTTTCATGCCACAGTATTTCCTGGGCACCTCCTTCGTGCATTGTCATATTATATTCTGGTCTGTGGGGATGATAGAGAAGGTCCTTGATCTTATAAAACTTAAAAACCATTCAAAAAGAGGTAAATAAAAGCAAGTAAAATTCAAAATAAGATAATTGAAGATGTGTTGTAGCTATGAAAAAAGGAACTGGCAATGATATAAAGCAAGTCTTCTGTACTGACAGTATAGTAACAGGGTTGTCGGAAAAGGTCTTTCTGAGGAAGTATTTGAACTGAGAACTGAAGAATAAAAAGGAGATTCATGCAATGGTGTAAGGAAGAACATTCCATGCAGAGGAACAGAAGTGCAAAAGCTCCTTATCCTTCCTGGCTTAGCTCCAGTATCGCCTCAGCTCTCCTGAAGTTCACAGTTCTGGTTACCGAGTCCTAGGTTCTTCCGGACTTGACCTCTTGCTCACTTATTGCATCTTTGGTACCAGAATATCACTGTCCACTTATATCAATGGGTATGACATTCTTATTTGGACTTTGTTCTTTTCCTAATCAAAACCAAATTCTTCTTGTTTGAACTATGTTCTCATTATTCTAGCCAGACAATACTTCTACAGATTCATAGGAATGTGTATCTTTTATTTCTATAAACAGTTTACCTAACAATGTACACAGTAAGTAATTTTCACAAGCAATTTTTACATCTAATTGTGGTGTCTTTTCAAGGCTGGAATATAGATATACAATGCTGGATAGAAAAGAGCCTTTAATTTTGGAGTAAATCATTTGCTTCTAAGGGTCCTGGGGATCATGTGATTTAATTAGAGTATGTGATAGTGACTTGCTAATTACAAAAGATACTAGTAGCTTCTGGTTCCTACTCTAACTCCTCAAAGCTGGAATTTCCTGGGTGAGGGGACATATATTCCGAATTTTGTTTCAATGGCAGACTTGTCAATGGTTAGCTGTTTATTGATGATATGTGGCAGGGGTGGTCCAAGAGCTAGTTTTCATTACTATTTGTCAATACCTTGAGTGAAGGAAAAGCAAATTAACTTCCTGTGTTAGCAGAAGATCCTAAATGTGATGTAGAAAATGTCTTCAGAGAACCAAATTGCACTTTAAATAACCATGATAGGTTTATTTGATAGTGAAAATGAATAATCCAAAGTTTATTCTTTTTTGTTCTTTATAGAATATCCTGTAGAAGTAACAGTGGACTAACAACAGTAATAAAAAGTCTGAAAGTTAGTTCAAAATGGAAAAAATCATAAAAGCAAAGACCATGACTCACTATTCATCTAACTGTTTCCAGCCTCCCTCCTGACCCAAAATGACAGATTATCCTCGTCCCCAGCAACCTGGCAGCACGTGAATGGAAACAGCACAGCAAGTCTCTCACTTTCGATAGATTGGATGTCAAGAATAAAGAGTAATATGATAATAGCAAGAAGGTAAGAGCAATACAACAGGGCTTAATGGGTGAGTGTTTTCAGGATATGGGAAAAATTGCCACCTTTTAAAGATGTAGCTATACAAATGACACCTTCAAAGGAGCAACTAAAGGTTTTAGCGTGTTGGGGGTTTATAGGCACATCTGTAATTTCAGGCATCTGCGGCTGCCATAAAACACAGAGGTAAAAGGGAAGCTCAATTTCACTGTGTATGAGCTGTCATTCTTATGTTTGTGTTTCATTTCTCTAAAAAAGGCTTTAACAGTTTCATTGCATACATTCTTTTTACTCCAAGTTCCTTACTCTCATATTGAAAGAAGGGACCATCAATAACTATGAAATAAGTATCTACATTATTAAGGAAAGACCACAGAGAAGTAAAAAGGCACAGGATAAATATGAAATTAATATTTATTCTAGGCTATCTAACAGTATATGCTATATATCTTTTAATTTGAAGTTGTTACTGAGGTAGCTCTGTGTCTTTATTCAGTCATCATTCATTCATCCATTAACAATTTTTAAACATACAATAGTGTCTTCTGGACACTCTGATAAATCCTGGAGATTTTGTGGTGAGCAAGATAAACACTTTCTTCTGAGATTATAACTCAGTGGGGAAAAAATTAAACAAGTTTTACAAATAAAATAATAAATGCTATCTTAGAGGAGTATGTTTTTCTCTTATCACAGACAGAGGTCAAGTCAAAAAAAGCTTGCATGTGAACAACATTTAAGTTGATCCATAAAGGAAGGGAAGAATGATCAGGAGGGAAGGGAGGGACAGATAGCATAGTCAAATCTTTAAAAATGTGAGAGCATGGAGTTATTGGTATAAGTGGAAAGTGGTGGTAGCGGCAGTGGGGGTTGTGTGTGTGTGCACTGCTACAACAATTTTTGGAATTTCAAAAACAACAATTGTTATGAATTTTAGATTCAGCAAGGACAACTCTGCTCAAAAAATAATGCATATGCTTTATCGTGTTGTTGTGATAATTGTTCTCTGGAATAGTAGCTTTTATTTAACTTTGACCTATACTAAGAAATTCATTTACTTCATTGGTAAGTGCACATATATATGAAATAAATGTTTCGTAAAATAATACCTACCTTACTCTAGTGTGAGGCACTCATATTTTTAACGTATTCTGATTTTTGTCCATTTTTTCTTCTTTTGTTAAAATAACATAAAATTGACCATTTTAACCATGTTTAAACACACAGTTCAGTAGCATTAAGCATATTCATATATTGAGCAGCTACCACCCCATCCATCTCTAGAATATTTTTAATTTTCCTAAATTGAAACTTTGTACCCATTCAACAATAATTCCCCATGACTCCATTCCCTGGCAACCACCATTTTACTTGCTGTCTCTGTGAACTTGACTGCTCTTGACCTCATATAAGTGGAATCATATAATATTTATTCTCTTGTGATTGGTTTATTTCACTTAATATAATGTCTTCTAGATTCATACATGTTGTAACATATGTCAGAATTTCATTCCTTTATAAGGTTTTCTTCATTTTGAAAATTTAGTGTTCTAATGATTTACATATACAAACTCATTTAAACCTAACAACAAGCTATACATATATATATATATTTTTTCTATTCCATTATAGAAACACATTTTAGATTCACTGAAATATCCTTGTCTCACCCACGAGTCAAAACTCATATTTTGAAATCTCTGATCAATGGCATGTCCTGAAGCTAAGTCTTA
The DNA here is from genome assembly GCF_000001405.40 of Homo sapiens. Classification (NCBI taxonomy): domain Eukaryota; kingdom Metazoa; phylum Chordata; class Mammalia; order Primates; family Hominidae; genus Homo; species Homo sapiens. The sequence continues at coordinate 106,841,945 of NC_000001.11, read as the reverse complement.
GTTAAATGCAAGGCATGGATTCAGGGACAACATAAGATGAAGAAAAATAAAGATATTAAAAAAGCAACCAATTGATATGAGTCTATATTGTGTGCATACTAAAAACGAAAAGCAATACAGTTTGCATTGGTTAGGATCCAAGATGATGGTAACACTATAAAGTCTGAGAACTGATGAAAGACTCTGAACCATGATGTATGAAAAAATGACAAAAAGAATGCCTAGTCCAGCAAATATGACATTTTAAGTATCAAGAACTATTTTAATTATAATTGCTGTAGTTACTATTAACACATGGCGTGGTAATAATAATAACCCACACTTAACAGTGTGTGTTAAAGTGTTAGGCACTCTTCTCAGTCCTTGTGGCAAAGACATATATATATTTCACTTAATATAACGTCTTTTACATTCATATATGTTGTAGCATGTGTCAGAATTTCCTTCCTTTATAAGGCTTTCTCCATTTTTAAAACATAAGATAAAGAACAATAAAGATATTGAAAAATGAACCAATTGATATGTATCTATGTTGTGTGCATACCAAAAACTAAAACAATACACTTTGCACTGGTTAGGATCCAAAATGTTGGTGACATTATCAAGTCTAAGAACTGATGAAAGACCCTCAACCATGATGTATGAGGAACCACCAAACCAAACCCACTTACTGTTCCTTATGCCTGCTATTTAGAACAGAGGTCTAATAGCAGCAATCGAGTCTCCACCTGTGACTGGCACCAAATCTACTTACTACTTTTCCTAGGCAAATCACTGGCCTTCATTTTCCAGGGCTTTTATGTGTGAACGTTGCACATGACTGATGACTGGTTGTGGACAGTAGGATGTGAGTTGAAGAGGTGTGGGACAGTTTTAGGCCATGGTGGCTAAGAGCCTGTGTCCTTCTTCACTCTTCTGTGTTGTGATTACCTGTATCGAAAACAGAGAATACAGTGGAAGATGCCAAGGTCCTGTGGGACAATGATGCTCCCAGGTAGAAGAAGACTGTATCCTTGAATTGTCCAGTTTTATAGTGACAACAGCAAGAAATAAGTCTTTTTTTGTCATAGGGCTCTAGGATTTGGGGCTTTTCCTTTGATACAGCAGTTAGCTTACCCTGACTGAAACTGGACCTAACATATTAACTTATGAATCTTCCAAACAACCCTCTGAGATAAGACATGTTACTTTCCTTATAGCTATTGTAAATATGATAAAAAGGAGACCAGAGTAAATATGATAAAAAGGAGACCAGAGAGCTTGAGTAGCTTTCCCAAGGTCACACAGCTAGTAAGTGTTAGGGGCCAAAGTTCAAACCAAGCAGCCTGGTTCCAGACTTCATGCTCTTTACCATTCAAGTCTACCCATTGGCACTAGGTAGCATTTAACTCTTTTAAGTATAGCAGCAATTCCATGAGGTGTTATCCTCATTGTACAGGTGAGGGAATTGAGTTTGAGAAATAAAAAATGTTTCTTACTTCCAGAATTAACATTTGAGCTCATGTTTGTAAGATTCCAGAACTCTTTTTAGGATGCCATGTTTTTTACAACATGGCATACAATGTAGATGAAGAATTGATGAAATTCTGTAGAGCAGAGGAAGCCACGGCAGCAGAAGGCCACAAAGAACTCGATTTTGGTTTAACCACAGAAGATTTTTCTAGCGATTTTACCTATCCTAAAAACAGAATGAGGTTGCCTCGTGAGGTGGTGACTCCCAATCACGGGATTGTAACACAGGCTGGATGAGATTTTGAGACAGATTTTTTTTTAAAGAGGATTAGTGCGTGGGCTGTGTGTTCCACTTGGAAATCGAAAATGCCTTTGATATGTGAAATTCTGTGATAAGGACCTGTTAGAAGGTTGGGTACTAAGGATTCCACAGTGCAAAGCCTTGACTGCACAGCCATATGGGAAGTGACAATCTGTGGAACTTGAATGTGGCAGGTTAGATAGAGTTAATAATTAATGACCCATAATTTCCATTATCTATTTGATAGTGTTAGAATTAGGTGCCAGTTGCAGGTGGAGACTTGATCGCTGCTGTTAGACCTCTCTTCTAATTAGCAGGCATAAGAATCTGGTTGTGAACCTGCGATGTTGCTGAAGGCAAGGGAAACAACCTCAAAGAGAAGTGACAGAAGAAGAACAGATGTAAATGTTTTATGCCCTGATAGGCCATTTCCTTGCCCCTGCCTCTGTCTGGAGACTCAATGTCCTGAGACACATCTACTCTCTTCAAGGAGGCTGCCTGACCCTGACCAGACGCTTCATCATTTAATGTATTCATTATGTCTGAGGTCGGCTTCAATTTTTCAGGTCCTCCTCTAGCTGCCTGGGGATAAGTGCATAAAAAGCCTATCATCAAAACTTCATGCCCTCAGCTCCACAAGTCTTCTGGTATCCTTTCTGAATTTCAGAAACATAGATAAAATGCAAGTCACATTTTACATCCAATGTGGGATAATTTTTTTCTTGGCTTTACAGTATGTGCCAAATTTGATTCCTGTGACAATTCATATTGTACAAAGTGAAAGGAAGCTTTTTAGCCTGCTCTTTTTTTCCTCCTTCCATATGGCTGATTGATTCATCTCATACTACAAACTTTTTCTCTCCCTAAAATGTGATCTCTGGTGCTTTAAATGAATATATCATTGCTTAAATGGTGCAGCGTGGCACAATGTTTCCATTTCAAAGCACAGGCTATGGAGTTGGAGGGAACTGGGATTAAAATACAGCTCTGACAACTTATTATCTATGAAACACTGAGCAAGTCACTTAACTTCTCTGGGTCTCCATTTCCTCAACTGAAAAATAGACATGAATCTGAAGCTGCAAATTGCTTCTCTCATCTAAGATTTTTCATATTCCTTAATTACATTGTTTACTATGTATTAATTTACAACAAATATTCATTTCACGATTTCTGTGTTTCAGTCAGTTTTAAGCACAGAGCAGATATCAGTGAATAGGGGCAGAGTGGTACCTGCTCTCATGGAGCTCAAAGTATGCTAGAAAATATAAATTAAACAACCAATTACCCAGTTTATAACTTAATTACAATGGTGAGTGGTGCCATGAAGGAGAAGAATGGGGACTTAAAGGTGATTAATAGGGGACATGACCTATTATAAGGGATTGGGGAAGGTTGATATGAGAAAATGATACTTATGTTAACTTCATTCAGTAATGTATTTATTATTTATTCAACAATAATTTATTAAATACTGATAATATCCCCAGCATTAGAATACGTTTTAGGGATATTGTGGAGAAAAAAGGTAGGCAAAGTTCTCTCGGAGAGCTTAAAATCGAAAATGATTTTTTTTCCTAACTTCATTTTCAGTACCAAAATAGACTATTGGAGATGAGGAGAATTTCTTAAAAGACAATAAAATGGAGAAGTCACTTCGAGGTGAAAGTACTGGCATTTACTTTATGGAAGAAAAGAAAAACAGGAAAGAAATTTAAAGTAAGTTGGAATAAAGCTTTGGCTGAGAGAAATATGGAGAAGAAAAAATTTATGTGTAAAACTTAGTAATTTGTCTGGGGAACTTAGTTTGATGCCAGAATGAGTTCTGATGAGAATATTACTGGAGCCATTACTCAGCTCTCTGATTTGGTTGGGTGCTTATTCCTTTTAGAATAAATGATCACATTGTTCACTAGCTTGCAGACTCAATGACAGTGCAAAGCAAGTTACATAATCTGTGAATTTTGTTGTCAAATTCACATAATACCCTGATACCTACCTATTTAGAAAATCAGAAGACTTCTTCCTCATTATGAACATTCCATCTCTTCTTAAGGTTGAGGGAAATTCATGCTGTAATTTATTGGTAGTAATTTGTTAGCGTGTAAATATGACTACAGCATCCATACACACACAGATGCAATAATCATCAGTGTGTCTACTAATCAAGTGAGGGTCACATATGAAATGTTCAATGCATCAACAAGATTTTTGACTTTGCTTCTAAATATCTCTTATGCACTTACTGTTCTCGTCATCACTACCTTTTCTAATTTACAATCACCTCTATCCTGCAATAACTTTTCTATTGGTCTAAATTCCATTTATTTTGGCACCCCCTCCACATTAATCTTCACATTGCAGACAGAATGACCTTTTCAAAAATGTAAACCTGATCAAGGTAGTTTCTATTTATTATCTTCTGATTTATGACAAAATTTCCCTATGACCTGGACTGATTTGACCCCTATCTACCTCTATAGCCTCATCATGGAAGAAGTCCCCAATAACATTTTTAGAAAATTTATTTGATATATTTTATTTTTTTAGAGTAGTTTTAGGTTCATAACAAAATTGAGACATTTCCCATATATCCTCTGTCCCTACACATACATAGCCTCCCCTGTTATCAACATTCCCAATCAGAGTGGTGCATTTCTTACAACTGATGACCAGCATTGACACATCATTATCACCCAGCACACATATTTTCCATTAGGATTCATTCTTGGTGTTGTATATCCTATGGGTCTACACAAATGTATCATACAGAGTAGTTTCACTGCCTGAAGTAACCTCCCTACATTCCCTAAAATCCTATCAACCACTGATCTTTTTGCTACCTTCATAGTTTTGCCTTTTTCAGCATGTTATATAATTGGAATCATACATATGTAGCCTTTCAGATTGGCTTCTTTCATGTGGTAATATATATTTAAAGTTTCCTTCTTGTCTTTCCAGAGCTAGACAGATCAATTTTTAGTCCTAACTTATATTTCACTGGTTGGATTAATGAAGGATATTTGGGGTTGCTTCTAAGTTTTGGCAATTATAAATAAACCTGCTATAAAGTGCAGGTTTTTGTGTGGAAATACTTTTTCAACTCCTTCAAGTACATATCAAGTAGTGTGATTGCTGGGTTATGTGGTAAGAATATGTTTAGTTTTATAAGAAACTGCCAACCTGCCTTCCCAAGTGGCTGTACCGTTTGCATTCTTACCAGCAATGAATGACAGTTCCTTATGCTTCTCATCCTCACTAGCATTTGGTGTTGTCAGTGTTTCTCGGTTTTGGTCATTCTAATAGATGTGTAGTGGTATCTTATTCTTGTTTCAATTTGCATTTTCCTGATGACAAATGATGTGGAACATCTTTTCATATGCTTATTTGCCATCTGCATAGCTGCTCTGGTGATGTCTGTTAAGGTGCATATATATATATATATACCCACCATATATAGGTTATATATATATTATATATATAATTTATATATATTTTATAAATATATAATTTTTATATAATTCTGCTTCTCACAGAGCAGAATTTTATACATATTATATTTATATAATTTTATATATATTATATATATAATTTATATATATATAATATATATATGACTTTTTTGAGACAGAATTTTGCTCTACTGCCCAGGCTGGAGTGCAGTGGTGTAATCACAGCTTACCACAGCCTTTACCTCCTGGTATCAAGCGATCTTCCTAGGCTCAAGTGATCCTCCCACCACAGCCTCCTCAGTAGCTGGGACTACAGGCGCATGCCACCATGCCTGGCTAATTTTTTTGATTTTTAGTAGAGACAAGGATGCACTATTTTGCCCAGGTGGGTCTCAAACTTCTGAGCTCAAGAGATTTTGCTTCCTTGGCCTCTCAAAGTCCTGGGATTACAAACATGAGCTACTGAACCCAGACTGTTAAGTCTTTTTTTTAAAATCAGGGTTTTTTTTTTCTCCTTCTTGTTGAGTTTTAAGAGCTCTTTGAATATTTTTGACAAGTCCTTTGTCCAATAGATGTGTCTTCTGCAATATTTTCTCCTAGTCTGTAGCTCATTTTTTTGAATTTTTTATTATCTTGACTGCCTCTCACAGAGCAGAAAATTTTAATTTTAATGAAGTCCAGTTTACCATTCTTCCATAGATTGTGCCTTTGGCATTGTATCTACAAAGTCATCATCAAAATCAGTGACATCAACATTTTCTCCTATGTTATCTTCTTGGAGTTTATAGTTCTGCATATTATATTAAGATCTGCAATCCATTTTGAGTTTTTGAGAAGGTCATAAGATTTGTGTCTAAATTCTCTCTCTCTTTTTTTTTTTTTGCATGTGGATGCTTAATTGTTCCATTTCCATTTGTTGAAAATACTTTTTTTCTCCATTGTATTGCCTTTAACTCTTTGTCAAAGATTAGCTGATTATATTTATTTGAGTCCATTTCTGGGCTTTCTTTTTTTATTCCATAGATCAATTAATCAATTCTCCAATATCACACTGCCTTGATTACTGTAGCTCTATAGGAAGTCTTGAAATCTGGTTGTATTAGTCCTACAAATTTGTTCTCCTTCAATATTTTGTTATCTATGGAGGGTCTTTTGCCTCTTCATATAAACTTAAGAGGCATTTGTCAATATCCACAAAATAACTTTCTGTGAATTTTGATTGGGATTCATTTAATCTAGAAATAAGCTGGGAAGAACTGACATGTTGATAATATTGCCTTCTATCTATAAATATGAGCTCTCTCTCCATTTATTTAGTTTTTTAATTAAGAGATTTAGAGTTTTTTCATGTGCTTCTTATATGTTATTTTTTAGATACTATTAATATAAATAGCATTGTTTCCTAATTTCAAATTCTACTTTTTTATTGCTGGTATACAGGGAAGTGGTTGACTTTTGCATACTGACCTTACATCCTGCAACCTTTTTGTAATCATTTATTGATTCTAGGTTTATTTACTATTTTTGTAAATTCCTTCAGATTTTCTACATGGATAACCATGTCATCTGTGAACAATTTTATTTCTTGTTTCACTTTTCTTTTCTTGTTGACTCTGAATTATCTAGAACTTCCAATAGCATATTGAAGAATCAGAGTGAAATGGGACATCCTTTCCTTGTTCCTGATTTTAGTGGGAAAGCTTTGCGTTTGCTACCATTAAGTGTGATGTTAGCTGTAGGTTTTTTTTTTACAGATGTTCTCAATCAATTTGAAGGTGTTTTCCTCTCTTCCTAATTTACTGATAATTTTTACTGTGAATGGATGTTGGATTTTGTCACCTGATTCTTTTTCTGTATCTATCGATATGATCCTGTGTTTTACTTCTTCAGCCTATTGAAGTGATAAAATTACATTAACTAATTTTTGAATGTTGAACCAGGTTTGCATACCTGGGATCAGTTCCACTTCATTATGATATATAATTCTGTTTACATATTATTGAATTTGATTTGCTAATAATTTGTGAAGATTTTTGGATCTATCTATGTGTCTATCATGAGAGATACTGGTATCTAGTTTTATTTCTTGCATTGTCTTAGTCTGGTTTTGATATTATGGAAATACTAGTCTCAAAGAATTCATTAGAAAGTATTTCCTCTGCTTCTATCTTCTGAAAGAAATGGCAGAGAATTGATATAATCTTTTTATTAAATGATTTCCCTGACTCTTCAAAACCCCTGGCTTTATCTTCCCATACATCACTCTCATATTTCCTTAAAGAACTTATAAATGTTAATGTTTTACATTCATTTATGCCATTATTATTAATATCCTGTTCCCCCATTCCCCTTTCACATAAAAAAGGCTTATAAGGTTAGAGGTTATGTCTACTTTCGCTCATCATTCTAACATATCATTAGGTTTGAAGTAACTACTCAAGAAGTCAATGAATACCTACTGAATTGGATTGATGGATGAATGAATACATTTGATGGCAATCCCAAAACCTGAAATGTCACTGTGGAACCTCCTACAATTAATTTCTCCTACTGATATATTTTAGAAATCTGTATTCCTTTACCTCTACCCCATAGTCAAAACTATGCCACAGCCTACTCTCATTAGCAGACTTGGAATCTGAGAAGACATGCTCTAATAACAGCATTTCATATTATGGCAGCTGATTCAATAGGTTTTTTTGCAACTTCTTCACTTTCAGCATATTCTCTCATTATTTCTTTTATTTCAAGTTACCAGTGTGAAGTTCTTTTACCTTCTCTATCAATTTCCTGCTTCAATGGGATCTTCATACATTGAATTCCCAGACTTCCATCACTTCCTCCTGCCTATGATTTGTCCAAAGATAACCTTTCTACCTGCTTTACATCATTCTCCTTCCATCTCCTCAGGGACATTACTTTATCTGTTAGTATATTTTGTTAATTAAATGGTAAACACATTTCTAATTTATCATCTTCTCTAATCCTTCTGCAGCATTCAACCCTTTTCATTTCTTCCTCCTTCTTAAAACCATTTCTCTTCCTATTTTTTCTTATACGAACTCTCCTGGTTCCTCTCTTATCTGTCACATGCATTTTGTGTCTTCTTGTATTTTTCAATCCCCTGAATATATATAATCCCCACAAACAAAGATATTGGACCACTTTACTTTCTTCTATGCAGTTTCTCTCTTAAAAGTATCATCAACTTAACTATTTAAAATTGTCTTTTTTCCCTGTGCTTAAAAACAAAACACCTGCTGTTATCTTAAAGGAAGCTCCCAGAACCACAAGCTTGAGAGGGGACTGGACTCTACAATGGGTATGTAGCTTCTGATGCACAGCAGGAGATAATGACAAGATTCAGTCTGCTATCCCTTTCAACCAGACACATCGACATGCTAGAATTTGACAGTGATTTTCTATGCTTTAATATTTAAATGCAAGAACTCTGATGCATATCACTTTGTGTGTGGTGCCATTTTCCATGCGTTCCTTGGCATCTTGCATGACAATAATTGTGAGCCTGGGAAATATGAGAGTATACCAAAAGCTGAATATAACTTACCATCAAACTTCTCGCCATTTATAATGACTTTAGTTGTTTTCATTTTCTTCTCTCTTACCTTATTCTCTTCTTACTAATTCACTGACTAACTCATTCATTCAACACATATTTATGAATTACCACTAAGATACAGTGGTGAGTAAGAACAGACAATAATCAAATAGCTTCCTGCTTAATGGTGGGACAAATAATAGTAACTTGAATTTTCTTAGGCATTTTCACCGTACAGATATAGATTGGATCACTTTAATATTTACAGTATATTAATAATTTTTTTGTTATTTCCTGCAATCTGCAAAGGACACCTAGGAACTTTCAGAATCTCCCTCAAGTAATTGAGAGTTTTCAGGGGCTGTTTCACATGTGTTCAGGAATCATCCTCTCAGCACTGGCTTTATCTCATACCTGGGCTACTTTTCATTGATATTCTTAGTTAGATAAGCTATTTAAAAGAGATTCATCTTACTAAAAGAATGTGAAAGTCCACACCAAAATTTATGTCCCAATGTTCTCAAGGCCTCCAAATGCTTAAGGTGCCAAAGTGATTTTATATTCACTTCAGCCTCCTCATGTCAGTTTTATACTTTATGAAAATATGTCTTAAATTTCTTATGTAGATAACTCTACTTTCTTCTATAGCAACTCCTCTCCTTAGGTAATTGGTTGGATGGACAGACAATTCAGTGTATGGTGCTCAGCTGCTGTTCAAGCAGCAGTCCAGAAGTTACTGTCAATGTATTTGAATGTATTTTTTAGATTTAAATCAGTAGACTGAATAAACCACATTACTCTCCATAATGTGGGTTGGCCTCATCCAATCAGATGAAGACCTTAAGATAAAAGACTGAGGACTGAGGTCCTCAGAAGAGGAAAGCATTCTGCCTCCCAACTGCCTTCTACTTAAGCCTGCAGCATTGACTCCTGCTGGAATTCCCAGCCTGCCAGGCTGCTCTGCATATTTTGAACTTGCCAGCCTCTAAAATTATGTGCACTAATCTTTTAAAATAAATATTTTTCTCTTGCTCACTTTCTTCTCCCATATTCTTCTGTCTCCATCCTATTGTTTCTGTTTCTGTGGAGAACCTGACAAATACAGTCTTCTCTGTTAGCTCACTCCCATGGCCAATTCATACAATTTCTCCCTTCCTGCTTAATTTAAAATCCAAAATCTTCACATAAATAGATTCTTGTGTGATTTTTACACAGATTGCCAAATGTAATAGGCTGAAAAATTGTTCCTCAAAGATGTCCAAGCCCTGACTGTCAGGTGAATATGTTATTTTACATGGCAAAAGGACTTTGCATGTGCAATTAGGTTCTTGAGATGGGTAAATTATCCTGCATTATCTAGGTGGTTCCAGTGTAAACACAGTGTCCTTATAAAAGGGAGGTAGGAGTTTGAAAGTATGAAGAATGTGATGTCACAACAGAAGCAGAGATTGGAGTGACATGGCTGTGAGCCAAGGAATGTGGGCAGCCTTGAGAAGCTGGGAGAGACAAGGAAAGGATTCTGTCTAGAGCCTCCAGAAGGAACTGTGCTGCCAACACTTTGATTTTAGCCCTGCAAGACTCATTTCAGACTTCTGACTTCCAGAATTCTAAGAGAATAAATTTGTGTTGTTTAGAGTTACTAAATTTGTGTTAATTTGTTACAGTACAACAAGAAAAACTAATACATCAAACATGCCTGAAGTTCAGCCCTGAATGTAGCCTGTGCTCAAACTGCGATTCCTACTACACAAAAATGAGCAATTAAAATACAGTGTGATAGACTCCCACTTCTAGCCAACTGGTACCAGACTTGCCTTCCTGCCATAAATAACTGGAAAAATGGACCAGATATATTAAACAGCTCTTTTCAGGCATTGGACAGCTGGCATCTGAGCAATGTGATCCTTTGGAGAAGGGAAACAAATGAGGTGAGTCCTATGTTTGTCCCAGCTTTCTTTTTGTAGGCATTTTCTGTGCTGTGGCAGAGAAAGGGAAATCTAAGCAAAGTATAGTAGACTCTCTGACTTGAAGAGACAGAGATTAGAGTTTGAGGAATCTGAGGTGGTCGAAATCTGGAAACTACATAGAAAAATAGTCATAGAAATATGTGCATAGACCTTTGAGTTTTTAGCTGACTACTAACCTGCATATGCATAGAGTAAAACTCAATGATGTAGAACAAAGAAAAACTTGGAGTTGTAAGCTGAGCAATTTGCAGAGCTTATGTATTTCTGTGAGACATTTGAGTCCCAATCATGCAAAGTGGAGGGTGAACCACAGAGCACTTAGTAGATACCCCAGAATGGCAGTAGGGCTAAAGCAGGCTTAGAGGAAAATCTAGTCTAGTCCCACCTTTAAAAAGCTTATGAAGGGGTCTGTAAATAATTAAGCCAACCTGCAAGTTATGTAAGTGTCTGTTAGAACAAAGCCCAACATTATTTAAAAGAAATTAATGAACACCTTCATTGTCACTCATTCTGTGTCTTATATCTTCAGAATGTATTTATCTTACAATATATTAACACTTTGACCAATATCTCCCCATTTCTCCCAACTCCCCCACCAACCCCACCAGCCTTTGGCAATCACCATTCTACTCTCTGCTTCTATGATTCTGAGTTTGTTTAATTCCACATATAAGTGAGACTGTGCAGTATTTCTCTTTCTGTGTCTGGCTTATTTCATTTAGCATAATATCCTCCAGGTCACAAATGTCAGGATTTCCTTCTTTTTTATGGCTGGATGATATTCCATTGTTTGTATATGTGTGTATTTATTTATTTATACATACATAAATACATACTGTATTTTCTTTATCTATTCACCCATTAATGGAAACTTAGATTGTTTCAATATCTTGGCTATTGTGAATAATACTACAATAAATTTGAATGTGCATTTATCTTTTCAAGTTACTGATTTCATTTCCTTTGGATATATACCTAGAAGTAGAATTGCTAGATCATACAGTAGTTTTAAAGTTTTGCAGAAACTTCATACTGTCTTCTATAATTCTTCTACTAGTTTACATTTCCACCAACAGTGTACAAGATTTACCTTTACTCTACATTTTCATTAACACTTGTTATCTCTTATGTTTTTGATAATAACTTTCCTAACAGATGCGAGGTGATATCTCGTTGGGGTTTTGATTTGCATTTTCCTGATGGTCAGTTGATACTGAGCACCTTTTCATGTACATGCTCAACATTTTTATGTCTTCTTTGAAAAAAAAGTTTGTTCAGGTTCTTTGCCTATTTTTAAGAATAGGTTTTTTGTTTGTTTGTTTGTTTGTTTTTGGCAATTGTGTCAATTCCTCATTTAACCCTTATCAAATATACAATTTTGAAATATTTTAGTTCATTTCATAGGTTGTCTTTTCATTTTTTTGAATTTTATTCTTTGCTATACAGGCGCATTTTAGTTTGATATATTTCCATTTGTTTATTTTTGCTTTTGTTGTCATATATAAAAAAATCAATGCATTAAAAATTCAAGGAGTTTTCTATTTCTGTTTTCTTCAAGAAGTTTTATATTTTGAATCTTACATTTAAGTCTTTAATCCATTTGGAGCTAATTTTTGTATATGGTGTAAGACAAGGCTCCAATTTCATTCTTTTTCATGTTAATACCCAGTTTTCCCAACAACATTTATTAAAGAGACTATCTTCCCATAGTAATCTTGGCACTCATGTCAAAGATTAGTTGAACATGTATGTATGGGTATATGTCTGGATTCTTTGCTCTACTCCATTGGTCTATGTATCTGTTTTTATGTCAGTACCATGTTGTTTTGATTACTACAGCTTTGTAATATAGTTGAAATCAGGGAGTGTGATGCCTTCAGCTTTGTTCTTGCTCATGTTTGCTTTGGCTATTCAGGGTCTTTCGTGGTTCCATATAAATTTTAATTTTTTTTCTATTTCTATGAAAAATGTCATTGGAATTTTTATAGAGATTGCATTGAATCTGTAGATCACTTTGGGTAATATATACATTTTTACAAAATTATTCTTCCAATCCATGAAAAGAAGATATATTTTCATTTATTTGTGTCTTTAATTTCTTTCCTCAATGTCTTTTCAGTGTACAGATCTTTCACCTCTTCGTTTAAATTTATTTCTAAGTATTTTTTTTGATGTTACTGTAAATTGAATTGTTTTCTTAATTTCTTTTTTGAATACATATTTTTTCATGTATAGAAACCCAGGTAATTTTTGTGTGTTGATTTTGTATCCTAAAAATTTACCAAACTACTTTATTTGTTCTAAAATTTTTTTGGTGAAGTCTTTAGGGTTTTCTATATATAAGATTATGTCATCTGTACAGACAATTTTACTTGTTCCCTTCCAATTTGAATACCTTTTATTTATTTTTATTGTCTAATTGCTCTGGCCAAGACTTCTAGTACTACTTTAAATACAAGCGGCAAAAGTGAGAATCCTTTTCTACGTTCTGATGTTATAAGTAAAAGTTTTTAACTTTTCAACATTGAGTATAAGTTCGCTATAGGTTTGTTAAATATGGCCTTTACTGTGTTGAGGTATATTTCTTCTATATTTAATTTGTTGTGAGGTTTTATTATGAAAAGATGTTGAATTTTGTCAAATGCTTTTTCTGCATCTATTAACATAATAAGTTTTATTATTCATTTTGTTAATGTGGTGTATCACATTTATTAATTTGCACATACTGAATTATTCTTTCTTTTCTTGGTGTCCTTATCTGGATTCGGTATGAGGGTAATTCTGGACTCCTAAAATTAGTTTGGCAGTGTTCTGTTCTCTTCAACTTTTTGGAAAGGTTTGAAGGATTGGCACTAATTCTTCTTTAAATGCTTAGTAGAATTCACCAATGAAGTCATCTAGTCCTGAGCTTTGTTGTTGTTGTTGGGAGGCTTTTGATTACTGATTCAATAACTCTATTTGTTATTGGTCTGTTCAGATTTTTATTTTCTTTATGATTCAATCTTGGTAGACTGTGTATCTCCAGGAATTTATTATTTTTCTCTAGGTTATCCAATTTGTTGGTGTATAATTATTATAATTGTCCATAATAATCTCTTTTGATCCTTTGCATTTCTGTGATATTAATTGTAATGGTTTACCTTTCATTTATAATTTTATTGGAGTTCCCTCTTTTTTTTTTGGCTAGCATAACTGAATGTTTGCCAATTGTATTTATATTTTCAACCAAATTTTTAGGTTCATTGACCTTTTCTGTTGTTTTTCTAGTCTATTATTTTATCTATGTTTACTCTTATTTTTATTATTTCCTCTTTTCTTCTGCCCTTGGAATATTTACTTTTCTTTTTCTAGTTCCTTGAAGTGTGAAGTTGAGTTATTTGAAGTATTTTTTTCTTAATATAGGCTTTTATTGCTAGAAACTTCCATGTTAGTACTCCTTTAGTTGCATTCCCTAAGTTTCGGTATGTTGTAATTTCCACTTTTGTTTTTCTCAAGATACTTCTTTTTAACTTCTTTTTAGATTTTTTTTTTTTTTTTGGCTGGGAGCGGTGGCTCACGCCTGTAATTGCAGCACTTCAGGAGGCCGAGATGGGTGGATCTCGAGGTCAAGAGTTTGAGACCAGCCTGACCAACATGCTGAAATCCCGTCTCTACTAAAAATACAAAAAAATAAATTAGCTGGGCGAGGTGGCGCACGCCCAGGAGGCTGAGAGAGCAGAATTGCTTGAACCCAGGAGGTGGAAGTTGCAGTGAGCAGAGATAGAGCCACTGCACTCCAGCCTGGGCGACAGAGGGACACTCTGTCTCAACAACAACAACAGCAACAACAACAACAACAACAACAACAACAACAACAACAACATTTTTTTCTTTGATGCAATGGTTGTTCAGAAGTGTGTTGTTTTTAATTTTCACATATTAGTCTATTTTCCAAAATTTCTCCTGTTACTGATTTCTAGATTTTACCAATATGATTAGTAAAGATATTTGAGATGACTGTTACATTGGTGAAGACTTGTTTTGTGGCCTAACATATGATCTATCCTGAAGAATGTTTTTTGTATGCTTTAAAAGAATGCGTATTTCACTGTTATTGGATGGGATGTTCTATATATATATGTGTGTGTGTGTGTGTGTGTGTGTATGTATATATGTGTATACATATTTATGTATATATGTGTGTGTATATATATATATGTATGTGCATATATATATCAGTGAGATCTATTTGGCCTATACTGTTATTCAAGTCCACTATTGATTTTCTATTAATGATATCTCTGGTGTTGAAATTGGAGTATTAAAGTCATTTACTGTTATTGTATTACTGTCTAGTTCTCCTGTTAATTCTTTTAATATTTGCTTTACATGTTTAGGTGATATGATGTTCATTTAAAGAACATAATAATTATAAATATAAATGCACCCAACATTGGAAGTCCAACATTCTTTATATTTTAAAAAAATTTCAACAATTTAAAAACACAAAATTTACATTATCCAGAATTTGATTTAAAAACAAGAGAAAAAGCAGAAAAATGTGTCCCATTACAAGGAGAAAAATCTGTCAATGGAAACAGATCCAAAAATGGCAAATGATAGAATTATCAGACAATGACTTTAAGATAGTGATTAAAAATGTATGTAAAGATTTAAAGGAAAACATAAACATAATTAAGCTATAAACTGAAACTCTGAAGCATAATGAAATGATTAAGAGTTGTAAATGCAATAAAAGAAGTGGAAATTTTAATGGTTGGTTAATAGTAGATTAGAAACTGTGGAGGAAATAATTAATAATCTTGATATGGTTTGGATTTGTGTCTCCACCCAAATCTCATGTCAAATTGTAATCCTCAGTGTTGGAGGATGGACCTGATGGGAGGTGATTGCATCATGGGCGGGGGTGAATTTCCCCCTTGCTTTTCTCATTATAGTGAGTGAGTTCTTACAAGATCTGGTTGTTTAAGAGTGTATAGCACCTCCCCTTCTCCCCTTCTCTCTCTTTTCTCCTGCTTTGCCCATGTAAGACAGGCCTGATTTCCCTTCTGTTATGATTGACAGTTTCCTGAGGCCTTCCCAGCCATGCTTCCTGTATAGCTGGCAGAACTGTGAGCAAATTAAAAACCTTTTTTTAAAATAAATTAGTTAGTTTCAGGTATTTCTTTGTAGCAGAGTGAGAACAGACTAACACAAATCTTAAAGATATATTAATAGAAATTACTTGAATTGAAACACATAGAAAAAGAAACCAAAGTGTCATAAAGGGTCTCATTGATATGTGGGACAAATATCAAGTAGTCTAATATACATGAGAGTAAAACTAGCGAAACTGAAAGAGATATAGACAAATTTACAATTATAGTTATAAATTTCTAGAATCTTCTCT
This sequence comes from Homo sapiens, assembly GCF_000001405.40. NCBI lineage: Eukaryota > Metazoa > Chordata > Mammalia > Primates > Hominidae > Homo > Homo sapiens. Next base: position 106,825,825 of record NC_000001.11, on the reverse strand, counting down.
CAGTAACTGGTAGAAGAAAAACACATATCAACAAACATCAACCAACTAGACTAGATAGGTCAAAGTGCCCACAGGTCAAGTAGAAATTACATGAAGATTTAGAAAATGTTTCTAATTGAGTGACAATGAAAAACATAACATATCAAAATTTAGGTGTACATGAAGAGAAATTTATTCTCTTACATGCATATTTTAGAAAAAAAGTGTCTAAAATTAAGTCTAAGCTTCTTTCTTAAATGCTACCAAAAAATTATACTCAAGGAAAGTAGAAAGTAATAATAAAAACAATAAAGATAAATAAGTACAATAAAATAATTAGATGGTAGTAAGTACAAGGTATTAATAAGGCAGAAAGCAATAAAAAGAGAGATCGAAATGTAGTAGAAAAACTTAAATAAATTTTTTTTCCTTCAAATTATCAAAAAATGGCAATCAAGCTACATTGAACAGAAAAAAAAAAGACACAAGTTACCAATTTCAAAAATGACAGAAGTATTGCTGCAGACTCTACAGGCATTAAAAGGGGGAATGTTATAATATGATATCGATAAATGCCAAGAAATTGATTACTTTAGATAGCATAGATACATTTCTTAAATGGTACAAATTACAAAAATTGAATTAATAAGAAGGAAAATTTTTATAGCCATATATATATGAAAGAAATTAAATATACAATTAAAAACTTTCCCATGAAGAAAAATACAATCCAGAATAGCTTTGCTTGTGAACTCTAGACAATCATTTAAGAAAAGAAATACTAGCTATTGTTTGAAAATTCACAAATACTGAAAGGAGAAATAATTCCAAACTGATTTATGGTACTGGCATTACAGAATGCATGTAAAATTACACATGAATATACTTTATGAATACAAATGCAAAATCCTTAACAAAATATTATCATAATTAAATCCAGCAATAAACACAAAATATAACACACCATGAGTAAATAAAATTTATCTCTGGAATGCAAAGTTGGTTTATAACTTGAGTATCAATCAATGTATTTTGTCACATTAATACAACAAAGGAGTTAAACTATATAATAATTTCAATATGTGAAGAAAACTAATTTAACAAAACTCAATATTAAATAATTTAAAAAGCTATTAAGAGAACGGGAATAAATAAAAACTTACGCAAACTGAAAAAGAGTATATCCAAAACCTTCATCTGACATCGTATTTAATAGCTCTAAGGTTGGGAAAAAAGATTACAATTTCTCTCATGTTCCTCTTCCACATTTTAGTGGAAGTTCAAGCCAGTGTAATAAGAAAAGTAAGAGAAATAAAAGACATATGCTTTGGAAATAAATAGGTAAATGTGTCTTTGTTTGTCAATGACATGATTATGCATATAGAAGATCCTAAGAATCTATAAAAAAGCAAGTAGGACTAAAAAGTGAATTTAACAAGATCACAAGATACTAAATCAATATAGAAAAAGCTATTATATTTCTCTATATTAGCAATAAATAATTTAAAAAATAAAATTGCCATCTACAAAGCTAGCATAACCCTGATACCAAAGCCAGACAAGGACACAATTTAAAAAAAGAAACTACAGGCTAATATCAGTGATGAATATAAACACAAAAATTCTCAACAAAATACTAGCAAACTGAATCCAACAACACATCAAAAAATAATACACTATGATCAATTGGGATGTATATAGATCAATTAGACCCATAGATCCATTAACATCATACATTACATCAATAGAATGAGGGACAAAAATCATATAATTTTCTCAATATGTGAAGAAAAAGCTTTTGATAAAATTCAACATCTCTTCATGATAAAAATTCTAAATGAATTAGGCATAGAAGGAAAATAACTTAACATAATAAAGACCATATATGACACATTCTGTTCAGCTAACATCCTACTGAATGGAAAGTTTTCAGGTTTTCCTCCAACTGGAAGAAAAAATAAAACAAGGATCCCCACTCTCACCAATCCTTTTCAACATAGTATTGGAAGTCCTAGCTAGAGAAATTAGGCAAGAGAAAAAATAAAACACATCCAAATTGGAAAGGAGGAAATTATATTTTCCCTGAAGACAACATGATAGTATGTATAGAAAAACCTGAAGACCCTACCAAAAAACTGTTAGAACTGATACATGAATTCAGTAAAGTTGCAGTACATGAAATTAATATACAAAATCAGTAGTGTTTTTAATACAGTAACAACAAACTAGCTGAAAAAGAATCAAGAAGGCAATCACAGTCATAGCAGCTATAAAAGTATAGTACCTAGGAATAAATTTAATCGAGGAGGTGAAAGACCTTTACAAGGAAAACTACAGAACACTGATGAAAGAAACTGAAGAGGCTGGGAGCAGTGGCTCACACCTGTAATCCCAGCACTTTGGGAGGCTGAGGCAGGTGGATCACTTGAGGTCAGCAGTTCACCAGCCTGGCCAACCTGGTAAAACCCTGTCTCTACTAAAATTACAAAAAAAAAAAAAAATTATATATATATATATATATATATATATATATATATATATATATATATATATGTATTAGCCAGGCGTGATGGTGGTAATTCCAGCTACTGTAATTCCAGCTACTCGGGAGGCTAAGGCAGGAGAATCATTTCAACTTGGGAGGCGGAGATTGCAGTTTGCTGAGATCACGCCACTGCACTCCAGCCTGGGTGACAGAGGGAGACTCTGTCTCAAAAAAAAAAAAAAAAAAAAAGAGAGAGAGAGAGACATTGAAGAGGGAACTAACAAATGGAAAGATATCCCATGCTCATGAATTGAAAGAATTAATATTGTTAAAATAACAATACTACCTGAAACAATCTACAGATTCAATGCAATCCTTATCAAAATACCAATAACATTCTTTATAGAAACAGAAAATAATCCCCAAATTTATATTGAACAACAAAATACCCCAAATAACCAAAACAATCCTGAGCAGAAAGAACAGAGCTGCAGGTATCATACTACCTGACCTCAAAATATACTACAAAGCTATAATAACCAAACAGCATGGTACTGGCATAACAACAGATACATAGACCAGTGGAACAAAATAGAGAACCCAGAAATGAATCCACATATTTACAGTCAACTGATTTTTTTTATGAAAGTTATAAGAACTTTCACTGGGGAAGAACAATCTCTTCAATAAATGGTGCTGGGAAAACTGGATATCCATATGCAGGAAAATGAAACTAGACCCCCATCTCTCACCCTATACAGAAATCAACTCAAAATGCATCAAAGACCTAAATGTAATACTTGAAACAGTAGAAATACTAAAATAAAAAAGGGAAATAGTTCAGAACATTGGTCTGGGAAAAGATTTTATAAATAAGACCTCAAAAGCTCAGGCAACAAAAGCCAAAATAAAGAAAAATGGTTATGTCTAACTGAAATGGTCTATGCAGCAAAGAAAACAATAAACATTTCCAGACAACCTGCAGAATGGGATAAAATATTTACAAACTACTCATCCAACAAGGGACTAATATCCAGAATATACAAGGAACTGACACATCTCAATAGCAAAAAGTAAACAAATTAATTTAAAAATGGCCAAATAATCTGAACAGACATTTCTCAAAAGAAGACATACAAATGAACAATAAATACAAGAAAAAATTTTTAGCATTACTAATCATCAGCAAAATGCAAATCAAAACTATAATGAGCTATTGTCTTACCCCAGTTAGGATGGCTACTATCAAGATACAAAAATAAAAAATACTGAGGAGGATGTGGAGAAAAGGGAACTCTTACACACTGTTGGTGGGAATGTAAACCAGTATTGCCACTACAAAGAACAGCATGGAAGTTCCTCAAAAAAACTGCAAATGTAACTTACCGTGTGATCTAGAAATCCTACCATTGGAAATTTATCCAAAGGAAAGGAAATCATTACATGGAAGAGACATCTGTACCCCCATGTTTATTACAGCACTTTTCACTATAGCCAAGATATGGAATTAACCTGGGTGTCCAAAAACAGATGAATGGGTAAAGGAAATTTTGTATATGTACACATGGAATACTATCCAGCCATAAAAAAAGAATAAAATCTTTTCATTTATGGCAGTGTGGATGAAACTGGAGGACATATGTTAAGTAAAAGAATCCAGCAACATAAAGTTAAACACTGCATGTTCTCACTCATACGTGGAAGCTAAAAAAGGTTGATCTCATAGAAGTAAAAAGTAGAACAGAAGATACCAGAGGCTTGGAAGGGTGGGGGAAGAGAGGGATAAAAAGAGATTTGTTGAAAGATACAAAATTACAGCTAGGTAGGAGGAATAAATTCTGATGTTCTATACCACTGTAGGATGTCTATAGTTAACAATAACATATACTTTCTAAATAGCTAGGAGGATAGTGAACATTCCCAACACAAAGAAATGATAAATATTTGAGATGATGAATATGGTAATTATTTTGATCTAATCACTACACATTATATGTATTGAAATATCACTATATACTCCATGAATATGTACAATTATTTCTTGTCAATTAAAAAAGGATAAATAAGCATATAAGAAAAAGCAAAATATTAAATTAAATTAAAAAGTACTATGTGAATGTGTTGTAAAATTGACATAAAATGTGTAACATCTAGTAATAAATTTAATTAAATATATATAAGAACTATATATTGGAAATGACATAAAATGGCTGAAAGAAATTAAATATCTAAATTAATGAAGAGATAAACTATGCTTAAAATGCATGGCTCATATTTTAATGTAAGTTATGATTCAGTAAATTTGCTTTAATATATATATATATATATATATATACACACACACACACATATAGTGTGATAAATGTTATACTGAGGGTAAGGATTCCTAATTCAATTTTGTGTGTAGGCAGTGTGTTCCAGAAATTCTTCCCAAATTTGCCAGCTGTAGGAAGAGTAGGATTTAGATAAAGGGAGGAGGGTGTTTCTGATAGTCATTTAGGAACCACCAAGCTGTTAAGTAAACTTGGGGTATAGTATGTGAGGCCTGGATTCTAAGAGATGAGACTGGGAAGGATCAGAACATGAAAAGCCTCATAGTATGAACTTGAGAATAAGTACCTTTTAAAATTTTGTACCATAGGTGCCTCTCTGGCTTCATCCTTGTTGTCACGCTGCTTGTAAGCAACGCTATGGGATTTGAGACTTCCCTTGTGAATCCTGCGTTGTGTAGAGACAGATTAAAATGTTGATGCGATGAGGGGAAGAGACAGATCTGAATGGTTTCCCACTTGAATCTTCCAAGATACTCCTAGATTGGGTAGTAGTGTCCCTCCTAGCAGGAATAGAGAAATTAGAAATCTAGGAGGTCTGGGAGGAAAATGACTTCTGGAAGCCTTTCTGAAGGTAGTAGAGACTGGCTAAATTTGTGGTTCAGATTCTTCTGTTCGAAGTGTGCCTTTGACTGAAGTGCTAAGAGGAACCAGGGTGGGGATGTTGGTTACCAGCACTTTAGTACTTATTTGCATTTGCAGAGATATGTTTATCTGTGAGTTTTCCTCTATATTAATCACTTAGCTCCCAGTTTAGGAAGAATGACAGAAACCATCTCATAGAAATCTTTTCCAGGATTTGGTTTTAGTAGATGAGGTGCAGCAGCCCTGGGGAAAAAAGGGGGATTTTGAAGATCATCTCATTAAGCATAATCTCTCTTTCTTCTTTTTCTACATAACGTTCTCAGCATCTTTAATCATTGCTCATTATGTTGATCATCATTCAATTACCCTAGTTTGCCAATGCTCTTTAGAAATTTTCTGTGCCTTTGTTTGTTAGTTAAGTAAATAGTACCTGGTTCTCAGGGGAACACCATTATCACTGATTAGAGTGTCCTGTGCAAGGCAGAGTAGGACTAGTTCCACTGTTGAAATGAATCTACTGTAGCCCCTAAGTTTCCAATAATTTTTGTTTTTCCCCTCTACCTTTCAAAACAAACTTCATTCCACATACCAATTCCATGGTATAAAACAGATTTGAGAGAATAGAAATATGGACTGTTACCATTTATAATGGAAATGTAGAAGATTCAATTAAATGATCAAATGTTAAAATATTTTTAGCAGTACATACACTTATATAAACTATGTTACTAAAAATTAAAATTAAAAAGTTTTAATGATGGATTTGGTTTTTCATATTTACTTAGTTCAATAAAAACAAGCAGAAGCCAAAATAGTTTTCACCACCATGTGAGACAATAAAGAAGTATCAGCATATATGGCAGGATTAAACACCATCATGAGGTTATCACTCAGCTGGAAACAAATTGAACATTACTTTCTTTCGCTTCTTTTATTGTTGTAAAAAAATAAAAGCCTATCTTTTTTATGCAGATTAAGAAAACATTTAGTTTAGGAAGCCTGGCACTTATTTCTTCTACTGAATTTCAGTAGTATAAAAAGTTGTATTCTTGACTCAAAGATACATTTGCTTTTTTCCTAGAAAATAATAACAAAAAGAAAATTATTAAGCAGAGAATAGTGTTCCTGAAATTAGTGTGTTCTTTAACAAATGTGAGACATCAGATCATAATAATCAGTGATGAGTAAACCACTGTAGATTATTTGATATCCTGTGTTATTTTACTTCTTTGATAAGTAAGCTTCTAGCAACAATTTTCATATGTGAATTTCCTTTGAAGGATGCCTCTATTAATTCAATAAGGTTTTGAATAAAGCCCCATTATCAGGGGCTATGTTACCGAGGCCAGTCTGCCCTGATGGAAGACCCTCTTAGAACCAAAAAATGAGGTCAATCTCACACTGGAGAGTCAGACAGTCTAATGGTCAGAAAACACCTGAAGAATAAAAATTACTAAACTGACACTGGTCAAGATGAAATTTACCTTCAACCTCAGAAGTTGGAGACAAGCAGATCTCCAAAAGCCCAGTAAGAGGCAAATTAATCAGTCTTTAGCTAGGCATCGTGGTAGAAGGTATTATTTTGGGAAAAAAATCTGGTAAATTGCCACTCGAATTCTAGAAATAGTTTAAAATGTCAATCCTTAATGTGCCATAAAGCATTGGAGGTTTTTGTTCTGGTAGACATGAATGGCAGTCTGCAAATCCAGTTGATTAAGTTTTAAGTCATATAAAGGACATGCATAAACCTTTATATGACCCATCAAAGGCTTTCTGATTTTATTAAAACAACATCTTGACTACACTCTGCAGTGATGGTAAGAAAAGTTTTGAAGGTAGCACCCCAAATTTCAAGCATTTTCCAACCTTTTGTGGCTCAGTCACATGGGTACTACCCGGCTATTGGTTACTGCTATCTCTCGTCCCTGCTCCCCCTCCATAACGTCAGAACACTTGCTCAGTTTGGAGACTAATCAGTCAGACATGAGAGTCTAAGAGGATGCCCTATTGACCACAGTAAGTTCGTTCCAAGATTGAGTGAAGTTATTGCAGTCACAGGCATTGAAGATAGGGGTTGAGTGACTCACTAGATCACATCAGATTTCCACTGTATATTTAGATCAGAGCAAGATCCTCCCTGGTGAACTCCATCGAGCCATTGCTTTGGGTTTAGATGGCTTTGTCCAATTGCTTAGCTTCCACTGAGCTGAGCTTAGGGGTTCTGGAATTCTCTTGCAGTTACTGTTCTGTGGATTTCTACCACACACATGCACAAACACACACACACACACACACACACACACACAAATCATTAGCTTAATCTTCCATCTTCTGAACAGATTTCAGGAGATTTTCTTTCATGGCAAGTTTTTTTTTTTTTTCCTCTTCCAAGAAGGTGGTTCTTTTATTGGTTTAATTCAGATACAGTTCAGACTCTTGCAGAGACATAACAGAGGCTCATTCTGCTTGTTCCATGGAATCACTTGTTTGCCCAGCTCTCTGATATATTTTTGTAATTCATCTGCAATTCTTTTAGTTTTTACTAGGCCATTCTGTACTGCAGAAATCTCCTGGACGATTCCAGAATGTTGCTTTTTGGAAAGATTCTAACTCCATCAGGAGGTGGTTATTTTCTGACCAGAGAATCCCTGTTCCTATTTTTAATGTGTTGCAGCTGTGCCTCCCTGTCATTTTTTTGCTTCCCTCTGGGGCTTTTTTGCAATTTCTCTGCATATTCTTTGACCTTTGCTTCTTTGACATAGCTAGATCTTTTCAACAGCAAGCTTCTTCCTCCTGTAGAACTAAAAATATTATCTTCCTTTTAAAGTGGAGGAACAGCTTCACACTTCTTGTGTCCTGGTATATGAGTTCTGATGGTGATGGTGGGCTGGTTCCTGGGGTTACAAGGCCCCCCGGGTCTTTAGGCCACAGTCACAAACCTGCATTAGTTTCCAAAGAGGCTGTTTCACACTGGTTCATTTTGATGTTGTGAACTATAATTCCTGAGAGTATTTTTTATGAATTGCAGTTTTGTCAATTTCCTTTCAGATCTGTATTTGGATATTTTATTAAAAAGTCTGAATAAAGGATTTGAAAATGCCACTTATTAGATTTTAGCTTGATTTTAGAGATAACTTGGATTATTGATTTTGTACTCATCCAATGTATGAGCTGCCCATCTCCCTAGCTTTATGTCATTCACAGATTTTATGAGCTTAATTTTGTATATTCTCTTAAAAGTATTTATTGTGGGCCATGCATGAACTAAATATTTTGTCAAGCACAGTACAAAGGCTCGTAAAATAAAATTCTTCTCTTTGAGTTGATAACAGGCTGGTGGAAATCAGGTTAAGTAACCAAATAATTGTAATGCTGTGTGATATAAACCATAATAATGATGCAAGTTTTCATTGTTTTAGAACTGCTGAAATTAGAGATGACTCCCTTCTTTGGACAAAACCTCATTCTTGGCCGGGTGCCGTGGCTCACACCTGTAATCCCAGCACTTTGGGAGGCCAAGAAGGCAGATCACAAGGTCAGGAGATCAAGACCAACTTGGCTAACCCGGTGAAACCCCGTCTCTAGTAAAAAAAAAAAAAAAAAAATTAGCCAGGCGTGGTGGCGGGTGCCTGTAGTCCCAGCTACTCCGGAGGCTGGGGCAAGAGAATGTCGTGAACCCGGGAGGCAGAACTTGCAGTGAGCCGAGATCGCGCCACTGCACTCCAGCCTGGGCGACAGAGCAAGACTCCGTCTCAAAAAAAAAAAACCAAAAAAAACAAAAAACAAAAAAACAAACAAAAAAAAACCATCATTCTTATTCTTTGTTGAAAGAAAAACTTGACGTTTTAGGCTACTAAGAGAAAGAAGCCAGTTAAAAAAGTTAGTGTATTGTATGCTCATTCTCTATCTATAAGATGATGTTAACAACTTTAGATATCAGCCATTGATTTTCAGCCCTATGCCAGAGTTATATATCCGAGCAATTCCAGATTCCTTGCTGGCAGAGTTTACTTGAAGGTAGAGGAGTGATACAGAGGTATTTTATCACAACCACAGCCAAGCTCTGTGCATGACTGGATGACTTCTGGATAGGTAGAAATATGCCCTGATTTTATCACTTCTGAGACAGAGATAGTGCACCATAATGCAAGCTCATCACATCTTCATAACAGCTACTGAGTGAGCTTTACCCAGGAGTTCCTTCACTGTTTAATAAAAGGGAATTCTTAGAATTGTTCAAATGTTATCTGCAATATGTATAATCTGTTTTGCAGACGTACACAGTAACTCTCTTAATAATAGTATGTAATAATCACACTTCCTTCATTTCATTTTTTTCTTGAAAGAGAAAAAAATTATTAATTGCATAGTGAGTGATAAGGTGCTCTCATATCCTTCAAAAGGTATTTTACCAAAGTTCTCCCAGATCAGTGTTTAAAATTCTACAGAAGTGCAGAGGAGGTAGTGACATGATTCCTAATTTTTTATCAATGTTGTGAGAAAAAGAATGCATTGATCAGACCTACAAAGAGAAAAAAAAATATGACATGACATCAGAAAATGCCTTTTGCTTTGACAAAATTTATCAACCATGTAGAGAATACTTATGAAATTATAGATTTTTGATTTAAATTAATTTTCCAGGTTGGATACTTACAAAAAAGTAGTGATCATTCAATGTCTTTGGCCTAAGTGAGTATTTTCTGTTTTTCCTTGTTTATTTTATTTTATTTTATTTTTCTTTTTTTATTTTATTATTATTATACTTTAAGTTTTAGGGTACATGTGCACAATGTGCAGGTTTGTTACATATGTATACATGTGCCATGCTGGTGTGCTGCATCCATTAACTCGTCATTTAGCATTAGGTATATCTCCTAATGCTATCCCTCCCCCTCCCCCCACCCCACAACAGTCCCCAGAATGTGATGTTCCCCTTCCTGTGTCCATGTGTTCTCATTGTTCATAAGGTATAGTAATGATGGTTTGGATGATTCAAGGGTGAGAAGGATATTGATAGGATCATTTTCAATCTATTTGAAAATTAATATCTTTTAAGGATCACATTTTGAAAATAATCAAAGTTTTTGAAGATGCGAAAGTGAATCTTCAATATAGTATTCCTTTACCGTCAACCTTCTTTATTTTTCTCCTAGTTCCTCTTAGTCAAGCGCAAGCTAAATTTTATACTTCCGTTGTCACCTTATCTATGTAATATTATTTTCTTTATACAAACTCATGAATTCATTTTATTTTAATACCATTTATATATATGGTATTATATAATGTGTATTGTATAATAAAGTACATTTACATGGCATTTGATTTTGCTTTTTTGGTTTGTTTTGCTTACACTTTCTTTTGTGTTTGGTTACTCTGTTACTTGCTTAATGAAGTAGTAGTTTAAAAATAAATATAAGTTAAATGATTCCTTAGAAAATGATACCTAAAGAGGAGAAGAAATATAATGATGAAGAAGGATGGGAAGCAGAGTTAGGGGTTAGAGGTTTTAGATAGAGTGACCGAAAAGGACTTCATTAAGAAAATGATGGTTGAGTAAAGAAATGATGGAAAAGAGGGGAGAGCCATGTGGATATCTGCAGGAAGGGCATTCTAAGTTAACTAAAGCAGTATGTGCAAAGGACTTAAGTTTAGAGTGCTCTTCGTGTGTTTAAGAAGCAAAGGGTTGTCAATGTGTCTGGAAGTAATTGAGCTAGAGAAATAATGGGGTACCTGATTCTGCAGAGATTTATAGGTTCTCAAAGAGTTTGGCTTTTACTCTAACAGATCTGGAAATACACGGGGGCTTTATGATTGACATGATTGAACTTGCATTTTAATAGGATTACTGTGACTGCTCTGTTGAGAATGGAATGTATGGGGCATGAGTAGAAGCAGGGAAACAACTCAGAAAACTACTCTAATTATCCAAGTAGTTAAAGAGGAAAGAAGTAGTCTGAGCCTAGAAGGTAAAACTGTATATTAATTCATTAGTACTTTCTTTGTCTGAGCCCTGGGATCAATGATCAGATCCTAGAACCAGGATCCCTGGCTTCTGTTAATGGAGAAGGGTATGTAGAAATCAAGATCTGGACACTAGGCATACTTACTGCTACTGAGCTATTTCAATGAACAAGAAACAGATTATTATTACCTTTTTAAAAATGTCATGAGTACCTACTGAAACTTTTTTTAAAAATTCCAACCACAGAGGTTTTTTTTGCCTTTTCACATTCTTAGTTTGTGTTTCCTTCTCCCATAGTGAGAAGTAAGGGCCCCCAAAAAGATCAACATATTTACTCATTGGCTCAAAATTAAATACACACAAAATAGTTTTAGAACTGATACATCTATACCACTATCAAGATAAAAGTTGAAGATTTTTTTTGCAATTCTCATTGTCTTTAGACTAAAGGTATATAATCAAAGTAATGTTTACAAAATATTATTTGGATTATATTTTTTCTGATGTTATATAATCCATTTGATACACAGTATAACTTATTTTTGTTTATTTGTATTTAAATTTAGTTTGTGTCAGTTAATTTTGATTTGTTTTTTGAATATATAAAATGATAATGTGATATTTAAAGTCAAAAGTACACAAAGGACCATTCTAAGAGAAGTGCTGCTTCCTACCATCCAATTCCCATTTACTCCCTAGAGGTAGCCAATTAAATTAATGTTGAGTGTATTATCCCGTATTTCTTTTTGCAAAAATAAGCTAATACATGTATATGCCTCCTCCTACTTTTTCTTATCCAAGACACAGTAAATTATACACACACCATTGTACATTGCTTTATAACTTAATAATACACACTGAATATCATTCTATATCCCTTTATAGAGCTTCTCTCCACTCTTCTGTAGAGATTCAGGTACTCCATTGGGTGCATGACTCATAGCTTACTCAATTAATTTTTATGTTTAGTTTTTTTGTTCTTAATATTTTGTAGTAACAAAAAAATGCAACAATGAAAAACCTTCTGCATATATATTTCTCATATTAGAGCTATGTCTTCAGAAAAATTCCTAGTAGTAAGATTTCTTGGTCAAATTATAAATTAAAGTATAGGTTTTTAATTTTTATTTAATTGACAAATAAAAACTAAACATTTATTGTGTACATTTGATGTTTTCAAATATGTATATATTGTGGAATGGCTCTATCAAGCTAATTAATGTATGCATTATCTCACATCTTTTATTTGCAGTGAGAACAGTCAAAATCTATTATCTTAGTGATTTTCAAAATGCAATACACTATTATTAACTACTGCCACCATGTTGTACAATAGATCTCTTGAACTTACTCCTCAGAATAAGTTCTAACTGAAATTTTGTATCCCTTGACTTTATCTCTCCAAACCCCAAATCTTCCCAGCCTCTGGTAACCAACATTCTACTCTCTACTTCTATGAGTTCATCTATTTTTAGATTATACATATAAGTGAGATGATACAGTATTGTTTTTCTGTCCCTGGTTTATTTCACTTAACACAATGTTCTCAAGTTTCATTCATGTCATTGCAAATGACAAAATTTCTTTCTTAAGACTGAATAGCATTCCACTGTGTATATACAACAAATTGTCTTTATTCATTCACTTATTGATGAAGATCAACATATTTACTCATTGGCTCAAAATTAAATACACACAAAATAGTTTTAGAATTGATACATCTATACCACTATCAAGATAAAAGTTGAAGTTTTTTTTTGCAATTCTCAATGTCAAAATAATGCATAGAGTTAGAAAAGGGAAGACACACAAAGACTTAGCCCATTGTCTCTAACATTGAGAGGTTTAGGAAACAAAGGAGAACCAGGTAAGGAGACTAAGACCTGTTCAGAGAGGTAGGGGGAAAATGTAAAGTTGATATCCTGGAAGTCACACAAAGAACGCATTTTAAGGTGGAGAGACAGATGTTGCGAATAGGTCAAATTATTTGAGAACTGATCATGGGATTTAAGAACATAGATGTCTTTAGTGACCGTGATAAGAGCAGTTTTTGTGGTTGTTGGAGTAAAAGCCTAGTTGAATTGGGTTCGAGAAAGAATAGGCAGAAGAAAATAAACTGAACCGGAGACTGTTGTTATAGACTACTCTTCAATTTTTTTCCATAGACTGAAGTAGAGAAATGGGCAGCAATTTAAGTCTCTCAAGAACAGACACCATATGTTTATTTTTTTTGTATGTTCACAGCACTTATTCATGTAAATATATTCATAAAAAACATACATTCCTAGTTAAAAATATTCTCCAGTGTATGAATCTCCTTTATACCTTCAGAGAGAAACTAAAATGTTTTTTTCAGAAGGAAGTCCAGTATTCTCAAGATTGAGAAAGATACAAATGCAAGTAATTCCAATCTAAGACAAGCTTGAATATGTTGCCTACTCACAAGGTTGACATGATTGCTTATTTTTGGATTGATCTTCCGAACCATCATGTCATTTTTAGTCAATTGTAGTCTCAATCAGAATATATATATTTTTCTAACTTATTCATGGGAATAATGTATAACTTATTGAGAAGCCATACATCATTAAGTAAGAAAAACTGAACATAAGGTGTGGGACATTCAGTTTCTCTGAATAAAATATAGACAGAACTATAGTTGTCATGCTTGCTCAAACAAATTACTGTTCTTTTTCCTTTTTTGATTCATTAACACATTTCCATAGTCAGGCTTATTGGATTGTTGAGGTAGAATGCCTCCCAAATAGAGATGCCTTCTATTTTTTCATTCAGTTTCTTTTTTTGAATGGAGCAATTACCATAAATTACTGTATCATCCCCACCCCAAAATTATCATCCAAGTGAATGGTTGTCTTTTTGGAGATCTTGCCAAAGACACATTGGACGATGGGAAGGATCAGGTACCTCATGTTTACAAGGTCAATGAACCCTACTTATTACTAACAAATGCCTTTCAACTGAGAGGGGGTCAATGTACCTTACCGAGTTTCATTATTCTTATTTGGTAGATGGAAACAGAAAAGTAATGTAAATTTTAGTAGTGTCATATTTCAAACAACTAAGCAAAAAAAAATGCTTAAAAGTGGGAAATTTTTCAATTAAATAGAATTGCTTTATGTTCATGTAATTATTTCATAAAGGTGAGAAATTGTATTTATTGTTTATTTTTATATTTCTCCTTTGAAAATAAATATTTATTCCATGTACTTTATTTTTAATTGGAACAATTAATTAATTAGAGATGAACTCCTTGACATATTTGGCTATATTGTGCCTGTTTAGTGAAGGCAGATGATATGGTTTCGTTCTGTGTTCCCACCCAAATCTCACCTTGAATTGTAGTAATCCCCACATGTCAACAGCGGGACCAAGTGGAGATAATTGAATCATGGGGGTGGTTTCCACCATGCTGTTCTCATGATAGCAAGTGAGTTCTCATGAGATCTGATGGTTTTATAAGGGGCTCTTCCCCCTTCACTTAACACTTATTCTCTCTCCTGCCACCCTATGAAGAGGTGCCGTCTGCCATGATTGTAAGTTTCCCGAGGCCTCCAAAACCATGTGGAACTGTTAGTCAGTTAAACCTCTTTCCTTTATAAATTACCCAGTCTTGGGCATTTTTTCATATGAGCATGAGAATGAAATAATACTGTAAATTGGTACCAAAGGAATAGGGTGCTGCTATAAGGAAGGATATATGAAAATGTGAAAGCAACTTTGGAACTGGGTAAAAGGTAGAGATTGGAACAGTTTGGAGGGTCCAGGAGAAAACAGGAGGATGTGCAAAAGTTTGAAACTTCCTAGTGACTTAAAAAGCTCAGAAGACAGGAGGATGTGGGAAAGTTGGAACTTCCTAGAGACTTGTTGAATGACTTTGACCAAAATGCTGATAGTGACATGGAAGATGAAGTCCAGGCTGAGGTGGTTTCAGATGGAGATAAGGAACTTGTTGGAAACTGGAGAAAAGATGACTCTTGTTATGCTTTAGCAAAGAGACTGGCAGCATATTGCCCCTGCTCTAGAGATCTGTGGAATTTTAAAACTTGAGAGAGATAATTTAGTGTATCTGGTGGGAGACATTTATAAGTGGCAAAGCATTTAATAGGAAGTAGAGCATAAAAGTTTAGAAAATTTGCAGCTTGACAATTTGTTAGAAAAGAAAAATCCATTTTCTGAGGAGAAATTCAAGCCTGATGCAGAAATTTGCATAAATAACGAGGAGCTGTATTAGTCTGTTTACATGCTGCTGATAAAGACATACTTGGGACTAGGCAATTTACACAAAAAAAAAGAGGTTTAATTGGAGTTACAGTTCCACATGGCTGGGAGGCCTCACAATCATGGTGGAAGGCAAGGAAGAGCAAGTCACATGTGGATGGCAGCAGGCAAAAAGAGAGTTTGTGCAGAGAAACTCCCATTTTTAAAACCATCAGATATCATGAGACCCATTTACTATCATGAGGACAGCATGGGAAAGACCACCCTGATGATTCAATCATTTTCCACCTGGTTCCTCCCACAACACATGGGAATTAGGGGAACTACAAGATGAGATTTTGGTGGGGACACAGAGCCAAACCATATCAGGATCCAAATGTCAATTGCCAAGACAATGGGGAAAATGTCTCCAGGGCATATCAGAGATCTTCATGGCAGCCCCTCCCATCACAGGCATGGAGGACTAGGAGGGAAAAATGATTCCATGGGCTGGGCCCAGGGCCTTACTGCTTTGTGCATTCTCAGGACTTGGTCCCCTGTGTCCCAGCCATGGCTAAAAGGGGCCAAGGTACAGCTGGGGCCATGGCTTCTGAGGGTGCAAACCCCAAGCCTTGGCAGCTTCCATGTAGTGTTGAGCCTACAGGTACACAGAAGTCAAGAATTGAGGTTTGAGAACTTCTGCCTAGATTTCAGAGGATGTATGGAAATGCCTGGATGTCCAGGCAGAAGTTTGCTGCAGGGACAAGCCCTCTTGGAGAACTGCTGCTAGGGCAGTGCAGAAGGAAAATGTGGGGTTGGAACCCCCAGACAGAGTCCCCACTGGGACATTGCCTAGCGGAGTTGTGAGAAGAGGGCCACTATCCTCCAGACCCCAGAATAGTAGATCTACTGACAGTTTGCACCATGCCCCTGGGGAAGCCACAGACACTCAACATCAGCCCATGAAGGAAGCTTGGAGGGGGGCTGTACCCTGCAAAGCCACAGAGATGGAGCTCCCCAAGGCTATGGGAGTCTACCTCTTGCATCAGTGTGACCTGGTTGTGAGACATGGAGTCAAAGGAGATCATTTTGGAACTTTAATGTTTAATGATTGCCCTACTGGATTTGGGACTTTCATGGGGCCTGTATCCCCTTTATTTTGGCCAGTTTCTCACATTTGGAATGGTTGTATTTACCCAATGTCTGTACCTCCAATTTATGTAAGAAGTAACTAATTTGCTTTTGATTTTATGGTTTCATAGGCAAAAGAGACTTGCCTTGTCTTGATGAGACTTCGAACTTGTACTTCTGGGTTAATGCTGGAATGAGTTAAGTCTTGGGGATGTCGGAAGGGCATGATTGTGTTTTGAAATGTGAGGACATAAGATTTGAGAGGGGCTGATCTGGAATAAGATTGAGAGGGGCTGATTTGGAATGATATGGTTTAGCTCTGTGTCCCTGCCCAAATCTCACCTTGAATTGTAATAATTCCTACATATCAAGGGTGAGATGAGGTGGAGATAATTGAATCATGGGGGCAGTTACCCCCATGCTGCTGCCCTCATGATAGTGAATGAATTCTCACATGATCTGATGGTCTTATAAGGGGCTTTCTCCTGTGCTTGGCCTTCATTCTCTCTCTTGCCACCCTGTGAAGAGGTGTCTTCTGCCATGATTGTAAGTTTTCTGAGGCCTCCACATCCATTCAGAAATGTGAGTCAGTTAAACCTCTTTCCTTTATAAATTACACAGTATTGGGTATTTCTTCATAGCAGTGGGAGAATGGACTAATATAGCAGAAATTTCTGATTTTCTGTCTATAGTTTAAATATTCAGGATAGAAGCAATAATATAGTTAAAATATCACCTAGCTGTTTTGGTAACTATTAATTTTTTCACTTATTAATTCAACATGCTATTTGCAAGCTTCCTATATGAAAAACACTAACAATGTAAAGCAAGCCAGTAATTATTAGAGGCTTACTCTGTGTGAGGTACTTTGCTAAGTGTTTTCTTTCTCACAATCCCATGAGGTAGGTACTGGTATTATTTCTTTTGTAATGATTTGAAAGCTGAGCTTCCTGAAGGTTATGAAACTTACTCAAGATCAACCAGTCACTGTACAACAGAGCTGAAACTTATACTAAGCTCTCTGACTCTATAGCTCATGATCTTAGCCATAGATTCTGGAGAAAAAGGTAATAAATTGTTGCTTTTGAGACAATTGTGGTTTGGAGATGAATGTCATGGTGGCAGCCTGACATACTTGTGTACAGTAAGGAATTATCTGTTGGTGGAGGTCAGAAGATGACGGAACAGTTTTTGCATGTTAAATACTGCTTTTATGGAATTATGACTGTGTGACTGGCACCTGATGAGCGCTAGAGAAATGGTGGTAAATAATCTGCTTGTAAGGTGCTTAAGTCAAGTGCTCCATAGTATCTTTGAGCATTTGGACATTGTTAAACTTCAATTTCAGGTCTTATTTTCCTCGGAGGATACTGTTTGGCCTCCTCTAAACCAAAATGTTTGGTTTACAAAGACACAATCATCAAGATGGCCTTAACATTTTCCTCAGCTTAACCAAATTTTCAACAGGTTTCTTTAGGACTATAGTATCCTGACCTTATCTTTCTTAAAGCACTTGCTTTAGAAAACTTGCAATTGTAATTCTTTCTCTACCTATTTGAGATGTGAATCTTCTGTAACTCAGGAATGTCTTTCTTAAGGACCTGGAGCCATCTCTTTGAAATACAATCATCAAGAAAGATAGGGTCCCTATCTTTCAGTCTCTGTGGAACGGCAAAATCCTAACTTTGATAAGTTACAATTAGCAAATGCAGATGGCCTAATCACTTTGACCAACTTCTTCCTAACATCCTCTACTGCTTTTCCATTAATCCCAGTAATTAAAAATCCTTCTGTTTTTGTTTTAGCAGAGTGAGGTTAATCTCTCTCATCTATTGCAATAGCCTTAAGTAAAATATTCTTCAATGTTTAACCTATCTGGTGCAATTTTACTTTGGCCCATATGCCACAGGTATGGTGGAATCAGAAAAACCAGGACATGACAACTGTAATGAAGACACTCAGGAAGAAATGGTTCACAGCATGTGCATGACTTAAGTTGGAAGCCAGAAAATCCTGTTTATACCCCTTCTAGTAAAATACATTTCTATTCTTAAAATAATTTTATTTGTAACTAGACAATGTTAGATTTGAGATGGATACTTGATATCAGTAACTTCAATCCCTATGGGTTACCAGTGAGAAAAGAGGTCATTTGCCCAAAGTCACCCATATGGTCAGCATTGGTATTATAAGGCCTATCTTCCAAGAGACATCTCAGCCAGTTTTGGGCAGTCTTGTGTTTTACATCTGCTTCAGATGCAGTCAAGAATCTTCAGGCTACCAGTAAAAAAAAATGCATCTCATCTATGTAAGATATTATCACTTCTCTGGCAAAGAGTTTGATAACCATTGAGGGAGGACTACATAAGTTGTCATAATCCACTTTTTATTCCACAAAATATCTGGGCTCATGAATTGGATTTAATATGAAATACTATATCACATAAAGCCTCATTATTTGAATTAAGACCTACCAGTCAATGCCCTATATGTTTTTAATTTTAAAACATCCAATTTTGCTTCAAGCTGTTAGGAAAATTAAAATGCATTATTTTTAGATTTTGCAGCATTTTCAAGTAGTCTGTTGTCATGAGATGAATATTACAGTCTATCAGGTTTTTAAATTCATGATGCTATTTAAACAATACCAGGTTTTTGTATGTGCTATTCAATTTCTCATTATCACGCAACAAAACTTTTTCCAAATTGCCTGAGGTTAGTGCCTTTGCTAGAACCCAGGAGATTGGAAAACATAGCTTACATCATGAGGACGTTAACTGGCATATATTTGAAAAGATATATATAATTTAAAAATATTAACATCAAGGTCATATCACCAGATTTAGCCATTATCAGACTTCAGTCACTAAAGATTAAAATTCATAATTTTGACACAATATAATGTATCTGTGTGGTCATCTGCATTTAGCACCAGGCTCAAAAAATTCGGCTTTGGAAATGTCCTGGGTCACAGAGAGTGTTTGGGATTGCTTAGCTTTAAAGGCAGTTTAAAAAAAGAATAAATGAAGCACATAAATACACAGATTTACAGTCTAATGCTTACTCAGCCATTTAACCTTTTTCCCCACTTAGGTTCATCAATCATTGATTGTTTTCAAATAACCACAAAGATATCGGAACACTATACCTGCTATTTGGCTCATGAGCGGGGATAGTAGGCCATCACCTTAAGCCTTCTAATTCGAGCAGAATTGGGCCAACCAGGGACTCTGCTAGAAGATGATCAGATCTACAACGTTATTGTTGCTGCCCACACATTCGTTATAATCTTCTTTATAGTAATACCAATCACGATTGGGGTTTTGGCAACTGCCTAGTCCCTCTGATAACTGGTGCACCCGATATGGCATTCCCTGGATAAATAATATGAGCTTCTGACTTCTCCCCGCCATCTTTTCTACTCCTACTTGCGTCCTCAATAGTAGAAGCTGGCGCTTGAATCAGCTAAACAGTTTATCCCCCTTTAGCAGGAAACCTAGCACATGCAGGAGCCTCTGGATCTGATCATCTTCTCGCTCCACTTAGCAGGTGTTTCTTCTATTTTGGGGGCCATTAACTTTATTGCCACAATTATTAACATAAAACCCCCAACCATATCCCAGTATCAAGCATCCCTTTTTGTCTGATCAATCCTCATTACCGCAGTCCTTCTACTCCTTTTCCCCCAAGTCCTAGCTACTGTCATTACTATACTATTAACTGACTGTAACCTCAACACTACTTTTTTTGACCCTGCTGGTGGGGGTGACTTTGTCTGGTACCAATCTTGTACCAACATTTATTCTGATTGTTTGGTCACACTGAAGTCTATATCCTTATCCTACCAGGCTTCAGGATAATCTTCCACATCATAACATATTATTCTGGAAACAAAAGTAACCATTTGGTTACATGGGTATAGTAGTAGTCATAATATCAATTGGCTTCTTGGGATTTATAATATGAGCCCACCATATATTTACAGTAGGAATAGGTGTAGACACACGAGCATACTTCACCTCCGCTACTATAATTATAGCTATCCCTACTGGCATCAAGGTCTACAGCTAATTAGCTACACTGCATGGTGGTAATATCAAATGACCTCCTGCAATATTCTGAGCCCTAGGATTCATTTTTCTTTTCAAAGTAGGAAGTTTAAACGGCATCGTACTAGCTAACTCATCACTAGACATTGTCTTACATGACACATATTATGTTGTAGCCCATTTCCGCTACGTCCTATCAATAGGAGCAGTATTCACCATTATAGGAGGCTTTGTCCACTGATTCCCCCTATTTTCAGGTTATACACTTAATCAGACCTACGCTGATCAAATCCACTTAATCAAATCCACTTCACCATTATATTCGTAGGTGTTAATTTAACCTTTTTTTCCACAGCACTTCCTTGGCCTATCCAGTATGCCTCGATGTTACTCTGATTATCCTGATGTGTATGCCGGATGAAATGTTATTTCATCTGTAGGCTCATTTATCTCACCAACAGCAGTTATACTAACAATCTTTATAACCTGAGAAGCTTTTGCTTCAAAACGAAAAGTACTAACAATCGAACAATCATCTACTAATTTAGAGTGGCTTTATGGCTGTCCACCACCTTACCACACATTCCAAGAGCCAACCTACGTGAAAACCTAAATGACAAAGGAAGGAATTGAACCTCCAGAAACTGGTTTCAAGCCAATCCCATAACCTGTATGAGTCTCTCTTGATAAGATGTTAGTGAAATTATTACATAACTTTGTCAAAATTAATTTATAGGTTAAACTCTATATGTCTTAATGGCTGATCTAGTTCATTTAGGCCTTCAAGATGCTACATCCCTATTATAGAAAACTACTCACTTTCCACGACCATGCTCTTATAATTATTTTCCTAATTAGTTCCCTGGTCCTATACATTATTTCCTTAATACTCACAACAAAATTAACTCATACTAGCACCAAACATGCTCAAGAAATCGAGACTGTCTGAACTGTCTTACCTTCCATTATCTTAATTGCCACCCCCACCCCTACGTATTCTGTACATAACATATGAGCTTAACAACCCTTCTCTTACCATCAAAACAATTGGCCACCAATGATATTGAAGCTACGAATATACAGACTATGAAGAATTAGACTTCGATTCCTTTTTAGTCCCAACAGCAAACTTAAAGGTAGGAGAACTTTGACTCCTCGAAGTTGATAACCGAACAATTCTCCCAATAGAGATCCCCATCTGTATATTAATCTCATCCGAAGATGTCCTGAACTCATGAACTATCCCCTCACTGGGCCTCAAAACAGATGCAATCCCCGGACTCTTAAACTACCTTAACCGCTACACAAGCAGGCCTTTATTATGGATGGTGCTCAGAAATTTGTGGGTCTAACCACAGTTTTATACCTATTGTCCTAGAATTAATCCTTTTAAAATGCTTCAAAACTTGATCCATGTCTGATCTATAATATCACTGCAAAGCCATCCAGCATTAACCTTTTAAGTTAAAGACTGAGGGGATCTGCACTTCTCCACAATGAATGCCTCAACTAGATATCCACATGATCCATTGTCATTCTGTCAATAATCATAACTTTATTCTCCATCATCCAGTTAAAATTATCAAATTTCATTTATTATACCCCCTACACCAAAAATAATCAAAACACAAAACCATAAAACCCCCTGAGAATTAAAATGAACGAAAATCTATTCACTTTCTTAATACCCCAACAATTCTAGTTCTACCTGCAGTAGTATTAGTCATTTTATTTCCCCACGATACTATTTCCAACCTCCAGTCATCTAATTAGTAACCGATTGATTTCCATTCAACAATGACTAATTCAACTTGTAGTAAAACAATAGTTATCTATAACTTTA
This sequence comes from Homo sapiens, assembly GCF_000001405.40. NCBI lineage: Eukaryota > Metazoa > Chordata > Mammalia > Primates > Hominidae > Homo > Homo sapiens. Next base: position 106,803,240 of record NC_000001.11, on the reverse strand, counting down.
AAGGATGAACTTGATCCCTTATACTGATCTCCCTAATTCTCTTCATTGCCTCAACCAGTCTCCTCGGACTTCTACCCCATTCATTTACACCAACTACCCAATTGTCAATAAACCTAGGTATAGCAATCCCCCTATGAGCAGGAGCAGTAATTATAGGCTTCCACTTTGAGACAAAAACCTCCTTAGCTCATTTTTTACCACAAGACACACCTATACCACTTATCCCTATACCAGTGATCATTGAAACTATTAGCCTATTCATTCAACCAATGGCATTAGCTGTATGATTAACAGCCACCATTACAGCCAGACACCTACTAATGCATTTAATTGGAGGAGCTACATGAGTACTATCAACTATCAGTCTTCTCACAGATTCAATTGCTCTCATTATTCTAACCATACTGACCATCCTCAAATTCACCATAGCCCTTATTCAGGCCTCTGTCTTTACACTACTAGTAAGCCTTTACCTATATGACAACACATAATGATCCACCAAACACATGTCTACCATGTCGTTAAACCCAGCCCCAGACCACTGACAGGAGCTCTCTCAGCTCTCCTAATAACATCTGGCCCGGCCATGTGATTTCACTTTAACTCTATCACCTTTAACTCTATCTCATTTTGAATGTGAAAAAGAGACAAAAATGGAATGGCTATACCCCAAAGCTAGGCTAAGCTGCTCTGCTTCCGGGCTAAAAGGTTTATGGCTCATTTAAAAGTGCCTGTTGGCAATGTCTAGAGCTTAGTGGGAAGGACATTTTGATTATCATTTTCAAAGTGTCAGTTCATCTATTTAGTTTTGTAAATGGAGAGAAAATGCTATGAAACAGCTGTTCTTATGTGAGTAACAAATGATTTAGTACTTATTCTATCACTTGGCCTAATAAACCTTTGCATTTAGAAATACAAAAAGATCAAAACATTTAAGTTGTTAAGGAGTTAAAGCACATAGTTACTGACCAGGCACATTTGACCTCCTTTCACTTGAATGAGAGCTCTTCTACATGCTGCTAGCAGCATCCAAGTCCTTCTCTTATGATTTTGTTGAATGATGTTTGTGTCTTGATGTAGGTTCACAATTTCTTATTAGCAGTTCGAACCTAAAAGTTTGTTCATCACTATATGTTTTTGGAAAGCCCCTTTTGTAGCTTCAATTGATGTGACATTACTTATATTTTCATTTATTATATATATTAATTATTTCTGTATCACATTATTGTGAAAATTAATTTGTTTCACTGCAGAAATATTGCTATGTTTGAATATAGGGATCTTTTCTAGACTCTAATGTGGGTGTTATATATAACATGGTGCAGGGACTGTATTATCTTCCTACAATCTAAATTGTTTTTAATCTTCTATCTAAAAAATTTTTTTTATTATCTTCCTATAATCTAAAACCCAGCTGGCTCCAAAGGTTTTTTTTTAGGGAATTACAAATCCCTATCACTTATGATATGTAGCATACTCTGGTAACTAAGGCTAATATTTGCTTCCCCGCTTACTATAGTGGGGAAATGTGTTCCTGAGATTGAGTGATCATCTAGCCATTACGCTTTCTAGCTCATCTTGCCGCAGTTGTGATCCTATGACTAAATATAACCAATAGAATATAAAAATGGTATATTCATAATTTTATCTCATTTATTGTCATAATAACTTCGGGAAGTCACTATGGTTAGCAGTATTATTTTTGAAATCAGAAATATAGAGGCTTAGAAGTTCTTGAAGCTCATAAATGAGAACCTTAGAGGTGGAAAATAATTCTTCTGATGTCAAATCCCATGCTCCTCCTACCACAATAAAATCTTAAAATATATAGTTTCTCTTTTTTCTCTTCTATTCTTGGGCAGGTATTTGCAAATATGCTTCTATGTTTTCTTTTTTTTTTCCTAGATAAGACCAGACATACTGCATAGAGTGGGTACAAATCTTAAGCACATATTTTTTTTATGGCTCTAGGCATAAGTTTGCTGGGTCGGCCTAAACAAATCTATCAGTCATTTTTTGGGAGTTTATTAGAGCAGTTCTATTGACATTGTGAAGATATATAGTAATAATTATTACATCTTTGAGTGTTTAACCATATACCAACTATTCTCTAAATGTTTTTCATACATTAATATATTTTCTACTCACCACAATCCTATTAATTAGTTGACCTAATTATTCCCATTTTACAGATAAGAAAACTGAGACACAACACAATGCAACAGTTTTCTCAAGTTCACATGGCTACAAGTGGCAGAGACAGCCATTGGATCCTGTCTGCCTCCAGAGCCTACATTCTTAAACATCGTGATATCGTGTCTCTCAACATGTGTTAATATTTACCTAATTGATAATTATTTATTCAACTGAATAAATGATATTTAATTTAAAACTTACTATCATAATTAAGTACCTAGGGTGGAATTTTTAAAATATTGAATGTTGACTTTTGATCCAGAAAATTACATTTAATTTTGTTTTTAATACATCTTTCATAACACAGATTCTTGTTTCAATGAAGTTTGGAGACTCACATTTAATAACAAGTTCTAACAGAAGGAGAGGTATTTAAATGGGGTCTAGAGGAGGAATATGAGGGGAAGGGCTTACGTTCAGAAGAAAAGAGATACTGAGTTAAGAGATACTAAGGAAAAGAGATACAGTATAGAGAATTCCTGAGAGACCCCAGATGCCAGAAGAGTCAGCAGAAGGAGTGGATGACATATGGTGCTAACAAGACTGGAGGGAGAGGGATCCTGTATGCCCAGATCTTATTAAGGACTGGGTAGATGGGAACAGAGAAGCCAAGCAAATATAGACAGGGACAAATATTGAGTGCATTAACTATCCTGTAGGAGAGTGCCCCTTCAAAACCAACTTGAATGTTAGTTACTTCAACTGACTTTTATCGGCTTTGGCTATTATCCCATTCCATATTCCCATGAAGATGTCCGCACAGTGCGATCCTTAAGAAAAACTCACAAAATCAAGATCACTATTATAGTAATACATTTCTCCTCTGGAGATTTCAGAGTCCTTTTAAATATTCAATCATCATGCAATTTTGAAGGTACCTTGTTCATCTTTTAAAAATTGACTGTCATTTATTTAGTGCTTTGTCTCTTTTAATGCACTAATATGTGAGGCATTGTAATATATTAATTAAAGGACAAGCTCTGGGAGCTAGACAGATATGGAATATAATCTTTGCTCATCCACTTCCTAGCTTTGTGACCTTGAACAAGTTACATAACCTCTCTAAATCTTAATTACATCATTTGTAACCTGGGGAATAATAAAAATACCTACTTCATAAAACTGTAGTGATAGTTTAATGAAATAGTTTGTAAATCACTCAATGCAGTGCCTGGCCCATAATTAGTGTTCAATAAATATAGACTGTTATTAAACTGATGGTACATTTTGTGAAGTTGATTTACCTTTCCAAAGTGAGCAATGTCACTCTCTCTTCTTCCTAGCAGGAATAAACTTAACAATATTTCTAACAGTGCCGCTGTTGCTTTGGCCTAAGTGTGGAACAGCCTTTGAAAGATTACAACAGCAAAATAAGTCTAACATGGCTGACTGTATCTTGCCTTTAGCCTCACAGGCTGGCTGTCCTTGCTCATTCCTAGGCATAGGCCAAGCTATCCATGGGAGAAATTTAGTGTATAGTTTAACTTTGAAGCAACAATTATAGTAGTTCCTCCCTAAAACGAAGCCCCTCTTTGCTCAGAGACCAAAACTGCCTTTGTAAGACTAATGGAAGGCCACAAGCTTAGGATTATGGGATAAGTCTGAATTCTGCTAAAATGTAGGAGTAAACAAACCCAACCATTGTCCCTGGCTTGCCTTTCTATAATCCCTTGCTGTTTGGGAGTCACGTGGCCAGAGGTTACAAGATTTGTGACTTCCCTAATTGGACCTATAGGTAACATCATTATTGTAGAAACTAAGATTGGTCTTTTGAGATGTTTTTCAGACTTTGGCAGTCTGGCAATCAACTGACTCCTTCCAGACCCGGGACTTATGACTCACTCAGCCAGTACTGGAGTCTCCATCTAGAGGTAAACTCAGTGCACGAGGATCATTTTCCACATCCCTATGATTTCCTCCCCCAACCAATCGACAGCACCATTCCCTGGCCCCCTGCCCACCAAATTATCCATAAAACCCTAGCCTCTGAGTTCTTAGGGTGGCTGATTTGAGTAATAACTGCAGTCCAACTGCTTGGGTAGTTCTGTGTTAATTAAACTCTTTCTTTACTGCAATACCATGATCTCAGTGAATTGGTTTTGTCTGTGGAACGGACAGAAAGAAATTGTCAGGTGATTACAAGTGGAGCGACTAGAATGAGGATGAAGGAAAGTTGACCAAATTGGCTGAGAGCACAGTATTGACAATGGATAGGTGAGATCTGTGAAGATTACCCAGGTTGACACTGAGGAAATGCCCTCCTTGCTGAAACTTGTCCCAAAAAAGGAAGAAAAACCAAATAGGTTTGACAATAGCAATTAAATCCAATGAGAGATGTGAGCCTGAGGTTGCAAGCCAATTTACCAAAAAGTCTCAGTCAAGGGAGGGAAGATCGTATAGAGTCTAATTTAAACAGGAGGAACTAGTTACCAGAAATATCCTAAAGCCTATGGCATACAGAAAAGCAAAGTGATGAGAATCTTTATTTCCCAAGCCTTGAATGGACTGAGTATAGTTTTGGAGAGAAATAAGGTAAAGGGAAAATCTTTTTGGCTTTGTTTCCCCCTTCCTCTAATTGTTAAATAACTGAGTCCTCAAAGAGAAAATAATCTCTACTTTTACTTTCTGGCCCCGTGGTGGATATGAGACCAAGAAGTAATTATTTGTTAAATATTTACGTCCTTGGGCTTCATGTGAGCTACTACAATCACTTCAAGCCCACAGGCCTCCATCAATTTTATGAATGTCATTAATCTAGTCACTTAACCATCTTGGCCTTTGCTTTTTGCTCTCCTCCACCTTGTTTGTCCTTGATGTTAAAGAGCTAGGTGTGTTTGTCCTCAGAAGGGGAGATGTGTCTCTTTCCTCCTCTTGATCAACACAACTCAGCTGGGTATATCATTTGTGGGTCAGTTTTCCTGTGAATTCTCATCACCTCTGTTACTAAAGTGCTTGGAGCTAAAGCACTTTTATTTCCTTTTGTGCAAGTATTCTATTTTTAAAAAATTTCAAAGTGATATCTCAGGGTTTTCTTGAGCATCAAGGGATCACAGAGCTCAAAGAAAAGGTTTAGGTGTGGATTAGAATAAAGTGGTTTGAAGAGTGAAGGTTAGAAACAGGATCTGCAAGGGGATATTAAATAATTGTTGCTAAGTTTATAGCCCTGAAACCTAAATGGTGAAAACCAAAAATTCAGAGAGTCACAATTGCTGGTTAATCTAGAAGCTGTGCTTTAATCGTTCTTTCATTTATTATTCATCTGTTCATTCAATAAACATTTGGTGAGCTCCTACTATGTGCAGAGTTCTAAGGAGGAAACAGTGATGAATAAGATAGAAACTCTACCTTACAGCAGTTTTCAGTCTCACTGGAAAGGAAGATATGCAAATTACTGCTATAAAACAGGGAGATATACATATATATATATATTTGTGTGTGTATATATAGATATATACTTACATACATAAAATACGTATAAACAAAGATCTGAGGAAATCTCGAAAAAGAAGCAATGAATTCTCACTAGAAACACTGATAGCTTTATATCAGGAGAAAGAAAGAAGCAGCTGGGGGCCTGGTGGCTCATGCCTGTAATCCCAGCACTTCGGGAGGCCAAGGCAGGCGGATCACCTGACGTCAGGAGTTTGAGACCAGCCTGGCCAACATAGTGAAACCCCATCTCTACCAAAAATAAATAAATTAAAATAATAGCTGAGTGTGGTGGAGCACACTTGTAGTCCCAGCTACTCGGGGAGGCTGAGGCATGAGAATGAGGCACAAAAACTGCTTGAACCCAGGAGGCAGAGGTTGCAGTGAGCTGAGATCACACCACTGCACTCCAACCTGGGTGACAGAGTGAGACTCTTTCTCAAAAAAAAAAAAAAAAAGGTGAAGCCTATTGAAGTAATGAGATAATTGGTGTTCAAAGTGCCCTGTGGTGACTGGTGGGATTGTGGCAGTCTCAAAGTCACCACTGGAGCAACAAGAAACTCTCCCTCATAATTTGATCACACGTACTGTCTCGCCTGAGGATGCTTCTGGTTTATAACTTTTGTACTGGTGTAATTGTTAATCCAGCCCCCTTTCATTGTGCAGACTGGACAACTGGTTACCTAGAGCTCCTTTGCCCCTTGGGACCAAGAGTTCTCCCATCTATTTCTGTCTGGCTCTAAGTTTTACCCTAACTCACAAAGAGGAAAGGAGTTCAGGACACAGCCCTCAACCCTGAAACCCTAAGGCAAGAACTGACAGAGACCTGAAGAAGAATGGTTGTGAAGTATAGGTCTAGGGATAAGGAGATGCCTTGAACTGAGCAAAGGGCTGAGGTTATGGGCAATGTTGGATCTTCTGTGGTTTGGCTTTGGGCCAGGGTTTCCCAATATATGTTATAAGGAACCATTCTACAACATATTAATAGTTCATGAATTAAAAGAATTTTGGGTTTATTTCTGCTCAATAAATGCTGTATTAAGCATGGATAAACAGACTTCTTTACTCTGGATTTCTTATGGCCTTTAAAGTATTCAGCTATCATGCAACCTCTGTAAAGTGCTATATATATTATGCTGTGTGTCCAGCCTTAGATATTTAATTATGGAGCCCTCTTTTTTACAGAACATTTCATAAGACAAGCACTAATTTTAGAAAACCCGGCTTTAGGTCCTGAACTCCATATGTTGCTTCCTTTAGAGAAGATGAACTTTTCTTTCATAATTTGCCGGGTGTCCTTAGTAAAATTATTGGACTTTCCAACTGGGCTTCCCACTCGGCTGTCACATATATTTTGTTGCTGTTGCATTGCTGGTTTTTCTGAATGGTCACTGGATTTGAAAAATATTTGTATGAAGAATTCATAGCATAATTGTCTCTTTCTACTAAAGAGGTAATACAGTAGGGTGGTGAAGAACACTGACTCTGTAGCCAGACTGCCTGGATTCAAACTCCACCACCCCCTAGCTATGCGACATTGGACAAGTTATAAAACCTCTTTGTGCCTCAGTTTTTGTTTTTTAATCTACAAATTAAGCATAGTAGAATGGACTCCCCCTCATAGGGTGACAGAGAAGGTTAAGTATATGTGGACAGTGCTGCGAGCAATTTCTGCCACATAATAGGTGCCATGTATGTTTTCTTTCTGTAGAATGTGGATGACAAAGTACTTATCTTGCCGAGTCATTGTCAATTTTAATGAGCTCATCCATAGGAAGCAGAATTGCCTGGGCTTCACCAATGAGGGTGCTCATGGAGCTTGGGAATTGAGAAAGGCCAATGAAGATTATCCAACATTTCTATGCTTCAGTTCTTCATCTATCCAATGAGAGCAATGAGTGTCCCTGTCACTGGATTTCTCATAATAATAATGTATGATAATATATGTAAAAGACAAAAACAATGGGCTTAATATACAGTCAGAGCTGGATAGATGTTAGTTTTTATATCATTACTGCTAATCTAGCCTCCTGATTTTCTAGTTAGGGAAATAGAAGCTCTGAAATATGAAGAAAAGAGCCCCCAATTTTTCATAAAAAAGCTACATTTATTTATTTTTATTTTTATTTATTTATTTTTGAGACGGACTCTCACTCTGTCTCCAGGCTGGAGTTCAGTGGCGTGACCTTGGCTCACTGCAACCTCTGACTCCTGGATTCAAGCGATTCTCTTGCATCAGCCTCCCGAGTAGCTGGGACTACATGTGCGTGCCACCATGCCCAGATAATTTTTTGTATTTTTAGTAGAGACAGGGCTTCACTATGTTGGCCAGGATGATCTCGATCTCTTGACCTCATGATCCACCCACCTTGGCCTCCCAAAGTGCTGGGATTATAGGCATGAGCCACCACACCCGGCCTACATTTATTTTTTGTCATCATAAATTCCTCATGGGCTGTTTGGGCTGATGGCCAATACAGGGTAACAGAAAAGCACCTCACGTAGGAATGCCAGATACCTGGACTTTTGCACTCCATCATTCAAAAGTTAGTCATATGACTTTACAAAAGCCCAGGGTGTCTAGTGTTTCTTTCATAAAATGATGACCTTGTAGGGTTAACTGCATCCTTTGTTTTAGTTCCAAAATTCCGTGTTTCAATAATGTAAGTTTAACTTTGTTTTCAGTATATAGAAAAAATTTCTGGAACAATAAGGATTAAACAATTTGACTTGGAGTAAATTGGATGTCAGGGTCAGAGATGGAAACCTGGAGGTTGTATTTCCAGTCAGTTCCTTAGCCCTCTAGCCTCTTCTGATAGTTTCTCTGCCTTCATTTTTATGTTCTTTGAAGTTTTTCAAGATACAAAATAACTTATGAAAAATTAAGTCTAATACTCTGTATAAGCATTTCTCTCATATGTAGTTCTCAAATTTTACTGAGGATTGGAGATTAAATTTCATAACATCTCAGTGACCCACCTCCCCCCACTGCCCCAGATCTGAGAAATTCGGATCAGAATATAATGAAGCTTTTGGGAGGGTGGAGAGGAAATACTGAATACATTAATGAGCAGTCCTCTGTATTCCAAAGCCCTCTCCCACTAAAGATCAAGTAATTAATGAACTACTTTCAAAATTTACACAGATAAATAAATCACTCAGAGAATATGAAACACTGAAAAAAAAAAGTGGCAGCATGACAAACCCAAGCCTTGCAACTGCTTTGATTCATTTTGTCTCTGTGCCCGAGGGACAAAATAGGTAATTTTCCTGTGTGAGGGTAATTATCCTAGGCTGGCCAACCTGGGAAAGAACCCCTGGAGCTGCTGGCTAACCTTGGCACTTTTATCTTTTAGTTCATTCTAACATCCCACAAAAAGGAGATAAATCTTATATTCCAAAGGGTTGGTCTCTTATTTCTCCTACACTTGCTTGTGGTCACTTGATTTGTTTCATTCTCCATAGTTTTCTCCTTACATAATTAAAAGCCACTAGTAAAAAGCAAAGAATCTGAAACAATAGTGCACTCTGTTAAGTTAAACTTCAAATTCTAATGATGTATTTCGGTCATAGCTAAGATCTAAGTTCTGTTTAGATCTAACTGAGGGCAGCTTTTAAACCTTAAAATTGTCATGTGTCTGGTGCTTGAGGTCTAAGTGGCTAATAAAAAGTCAGCTTGGATTAGTGAGAAGCAACTGCCTAATAGAGCTGACATGCAATCAAGCGGATCAGTAGAGGGGATATGAAATGATCTTCTCTTACCAGCTGAAGGGGCATTTCAGAGAGAGCCAAGTGCTTTAGTGAACTTTCAGAATGTTGCATCTTCCAAACACAATTTAATGTTTTCTGTAATTAGTTGGGGATGTGCCAGAGAGTTTTAGATTGCCTCATTTCCTTTCTTCACTCTTGATTTTGTTCTACTCACTCTTTCATTGTCGCTTTACATTTGTAAAAATAAGACAATTAGCATAAATATTGTTCAATGACCTGTCAATTTCACATAATGGTGAGTTCTGGCCATCTCACTCTTATTATAGCTCAGTGCATAAGTATACAACTGCCTGAGTTTGAATCCCAGTTTTTCCACTTATGAGCTATGTAATGTAACCTTGAACAAGTTATTGCACATTTCTGTGGATTTGTTGAATCACCTATAAAATAGGGATGATGTTAGTAAATTACCCATAAGATGGTTATGAGAATTAAAATCATGCGAAGTCTGACACGAGGTACATGAATGTGTGTGTGTGTGTGTGTATGTATTTGTATGTATATATTTTTATATTTATATATATGTGTATATATATACACATACATACATATTTCTAGTAACTGAGTGGTCTTACATTTTATGGATACACCATAATTTATTTAATTATTCTGGAACTGGTGACCGTTTGAGTTGTTTCATAATATTGTTTTCTTTACAGGGAATATCTTTCTATACACAATTCTGTGCACACTGGGGATTCTAACCATGAGGATCTTTCTCTCTCATTGCATTTTCTCATCCTCTTTTCTTATAATTATTAACTATATTTCTTCCCTTTTCATCTTTCCTACCTCATAATACTTTCTATCTCTAATTAAAATAGCAAGTTACTTTCCAATGATAGAGACAGAGATCAGTTTACATATTTGCCCTTTTGAAAGATCAGTGTCTAGAGGCTTTCTTTTTTGGTATTGCCATAGATGTATTTAATGATTCCCTAGTGAATACACTACATTCTTTTATTCTGGGTTTGATTGCACAGGTCATAAAGACAGAGCAGCAATGGGCATCCTTTTAGCAGTTTGTTTTTATCATCAGATAATATCATCATCTATCCCATTTCCAGTTGACTTTTTACATTCAGCTGACTCCGACTTCTACAGCTTTACTTGCCGAACTCTTTCTTGACCAACCTCCCCTCCTCTATATGTGCTGGGAACAGGGTTACAGGAGATAAATGAGAAACAGTCCTTGACCTCAATGAGCTCATGTAGAGGAAAGACAACAAATATGGCCTAGCATGTCACAAGCCTGGCACAATTACTGTTTGAAAATGAACAAAAGAAGAAAGTGTGTGATTCCAACATAGTATGTGAATCCCTGTGACAAAGAAGATGTAGAAAAGGAAGTGGAAAAATGGAGTGATTACATAATTGCTCATGGACTCTGGGCATATGAGGTAAAGGACCTCAGGATGCAGGTATATGTTGAAAATGTCACCTTCTATGGAATAGGAAATTTGGGCTTGATTTTTTTAAGAAGAAATAAATAGGAAAAAATAAGGGTAGTATAAAATCAATACAATGAACACCTTTTAAAATGTGAACATACACTGACTACCCACTGTTTACAAAAAAGGAAATGTTTACCGAAATATCCATCCGCTTAAAGCAGGTCATTGCCATGTTTAAAACGAAAAGTAAAAGTGTATTTAAGCATCAGTATCTCCAATTAGTTTTCCAATAAAAACAACATTAATGATATGGTCACTAATAATTGCCTTTCAAGTGTTTTTTCCCCAAGAGATATAAAAATGTTGCCTCCAGGAAAAATTCTTTAATTAAATTATATAACAGAAAAGTAGAAAAAAAGAGAAAGTCTAGATGGTCAGGCAACCATGGGTTTGAATTTCTGACTCTATATACGTGTTCAGGCAAGTTATTTGACGTGTCTGAACCTCTGTTTTTTTTTTTTTCCCAAAAGAAAAAGGAGATTGTGAGAATTAGACATAAAACAAACAAACAAAAACTCTGTATTACCTGGCACTTGAAAATATTGATTTTTCACTTCAAAATAATTCTTTGAAATGGCCAAATTTTCCACAATCATATGCATCAAGTGAATAGTAAATTCACTTGATTTTTAATTTTTCCACAATAAAAATTATGATTTGTTATCAATAAATGCTTAATTTCCATCCTGTCTGTAAGGAACCAAAGAAAATTCCATTTCCCATATAAAAAAAAAATCACCAATCTAGAATAAAGCCTTAACAAACATTTCCATGGCTTTTCTTTTTTTTTTTCTTCCGGAGTCTTGCTCTGCCATCAGGCTAGAATGCAGTGTCGCAATCTCGGCTCACTGCAACCTCCGCCTCCCGGGTTCAAGCGATTCTCCTGCCTCAGCCTCCCGAGTAGCTGGGACTACAGGGGCGCGTCATGGCCCCCAGGTAATTTTTGTATTTTTAGTGGAGACAGCGTTTCACCACGTTGGCCAGGATGGTCTCCATCTCTTGACCTCGTGATCTACCCGCCTTGGCCTCCCATGGTGCTGTGATAACAGGCGTGAGCCACCGTGCCCTGCCCTCTGTGGGTTTTGAGAATTCCACCGACCTAGGATAAAAGACTACCGGAGGCGTATATCAACTTTTATCGTCCTCTTCACCAAACTTCATGATTTGCAATCCAGTAAGTATAAATGCACCTGTGAACCAAAACTATGTATGTTATTGTGGCATGAACTGTCAATTGCCTACTCAATATCCGTGCTCCTTCCTTCTAGCTAAAAAGATCCTGACTTTGTACCCAGACTCTTCTTTGGGAAGGGGGTCATGATTAGCCTAAGGAAATCATTACAGTTGCATTTCCAACTTACATAGACTACTTTGCCCCTTGGGTTATCTGGTGAGTTAATTATGGCCTATGATACCTAAAGAGAAATCTGTTTTGGGAACAGTTAGGGGACTATCAGGAAAGCAAGTGAAAAATGCATTAAATGCATTCCTCTCCTTCCTTGCATATAGCAGCCATCTTATGACCATGAGATGGTAATCAGGATGGGAAGAGCAGAGAATTACAGAGCCACAGGTCTCCAGGTGATGAGCCACTGAACCGATAGCCCCAGAGGCCACCCATTTCCAGATTTCTTCTGTGTGAGGAAAATTAATTCCTATTTATTTAAAAATTTGAATTTTCTATAACTTGCCATGAAAGCATTCTTTTTAGATGTAGTTATTTATAGTAATCATATCTGAATTTGAATTATTTTTATATTGCTTATAATTGCTAATTAGTAATGCATTCACTCAGTGGGCATTGAGGGATTACCATTTATCTATCTATCTGTCTACCTCAGGAACTAAGAAATTTTTATTTATTTAACTTGCCATGTTTAAGGCTGCAACTGTACTCCTGCCTACACTGTCTGTCCGTACCTCAGCTACATCCTTAGTTTTTTCAGAGAAGTGTCTCCAGATTTCTTAAAAACAGTAAATCTCTCTTTGGCATTTGCCACGTTTGCTCTTCTACATGGTCTTATATAATTTTTAGACTTAAGTTTTAGCTCTAGGAGAACAGAGAACATGCCTGTTTTTGCTCACATTTGTGTGCTCAATTTTAGCTCATGAATTAATAAACAAATATTAGACATGTAAAACATATTCACTGAATCCCTAATATGAGCCTAGCATTGGCATATCAAGGAGAAATAAAAGGCTTTCACCTTAGTGCCCTTTCCTCTATCTCTTTCATGCATTCTTTTCTTGCCTTGTGATGATCCATCATGATATATTCAAGACTTACATTCTTCCCTGGAATCTTCCTTTCCAGGTCACTCTGGAGAATAAGCCTATCAACATTCTTTTTCTCCCAGTGTCCAGCACTCAGCCAAATGTTTCAGAGAAAGACATTTTTTTTGTTTCTTTGATGTTAATTCATTTATGATTATGCTGGATGACCTATGCGTGTAAGTACAAAGAACAACAATAACACTATTTCAGTACTGAGTAGGTGTCAGGCATTTTTATAAACATTTTAAACGTATAACTCATTTAATCACCAAAAAAAAAAACAACTCTATGATGTAGGTTGCTATTATTATTCCTAGGTTTCAAATAAGAAAACTGAGGTTGGAGGTTAAATATATTGCCCTAGGACACATAGCTTGTGGTGCTGAATTTGAGTTTAAACTTAACCTTTACACTAGTGACTCTCAAAGTGAGATCTTAAACTAGCGGTATCAGCATTGCCTGAGAACTTGTTAGTAATGCAAATTATTGGACCCCGTCCTAGACCTACTGAATCAGAAACCTGGGGGTGGAAGCCCTGAAATCTCTTTCAAGAAACCATCTAAGTTATTCTGTTTTGCACACTACATTTTGAGAACCACTGCATTACACCATGCAGCCTAACAAAGGGTGATCTAAACTAGGAAACTTCTATAAAGATTAACTCAAAGAACTAAGTACCTTCCTAAACTCCAAGGAAATTAAATTTGGAATTACTGTTAGGTAGGAACTGGCTTTCTTCCAGCTTCTTTTAATCACGGGAGATGAATGCATGAATCTTTATTGTGATATCTGTGAGGATAATTTTTCCATATGTGTTGGACATTGTAGGATATTAAAGCAACATTATGGGGAATGTCTAACTACAAACATACAAAAGACGAATTTGAAAACAGAGAAGAAAGAGAAGACTATCACCAAATCCTTAAATTGTAGGCTTGATTTTTCCAGTGCCTGTTATGAAGCTGGACCTGCTTTCCCTTTCATTACCTGGGTGGAATAAGGAAATGCAAGGTAATTGAATTATTAAATTAAGCAAAACATAATAAGGTAACTTAGCTGTGCCACAAATATATAATGCATTCATTAATTCAATGTACATGGGATTTGAATTTTTTGCTTATTTGTATTATTTGTGCCATGCATAACCACTTCTTTTAGCTCAGATAATCAAGTCTTGAATGCATGTACATATACAGTTGGGAGTAATTGGTGTAATTAATGTATGTGTAACAACTTTAGCTGGCTAATGTCTGAAGGGAAAAGAGAAAAATAAGCAAATTCATGAAGTAGGCTTTATTTAGATTGGCATCATACCCAAGATGACTTTTTTTTCAACAAAAAATTTAGCGTTCGTAATGGCCTTTAGTTAATAAAGATGAAGTTGGATTTCACAAGTGAACTTGCTTCTTCCTAAGGAGTCCAGTTTGGCAAATACATTTAACATAAACCATTAGCTGCACAAGGCAGAAGACTTCAGTTAAATGAAACTCTGATAATATAAGGTAAACTAGAAATGTAACTACAAAAATGTTTTTACCAGTTTTCTTTTCTCCTTCTGTGAAAATGTTGAATTAATTTTCTTTCATCATTTTCCCCTGTTTTTATGTTCTGCTTCATTCCAGAAAGTTTTGAGGCTATTTATAGAAGTAAGTGCTCAATAATAATAACAATAATAATAATAATAATGAGAAGAAGAAGAAGAAGAAAGAAATTGAAGAGAAAGGAAAATGAGGAGTGGTTTAAAAATTGATACCTTTGCACTTGTTCTAAGTAAACTTGGATGTTACAGTAAAATTCAAGTTCAAGAAACACATTTGGAGCCTGTAACCAATGCAAGGTATGGCTCCTACTCCTGTCCTGCAGAACCTTACAGTTCTACATGAAGGCGAGGTGGTACTGGGAATAAACACTTAAGAATCTGGTTTTCTCCTCAGTTCTTTGCAAGTGTCTATGAGCATGATCAAGGGTTAACCGATAAACCAAAAGGCACAACTGTTTATATGTTATACAGGGAGGTATTAGAAACTGTCCTTAAGAAAACAGGATTCTTTTTCTTGATTATCAGCTTTGCATTTTATTTACCATGTTCTTCCTTTTTAAATCTGCCAAAGCATGTGTTAATATTGTGTTAATATTTAGGTTAATCTAAAATCTTGTAACCCAGTGTTCCTACTAGCACATGTTAATCTTTCTTTCTCTATATGAAACCGACAAATTTATCTGAACATCAATCACCCTCAATAGGATCCTGGGGAAAACAATCACGGAGTAGAAGATAGGAGAACAACAATTAATATACAGCATTAAATCAGAAGGGTATGGAACAGAACACTCAGTCATTCTACAGGATTTAATTTGCTCAGAGAAACAGCCTTTAAACCTGAGTCACAGTCACAGCTTGGTTTTCTCTCAATTAAACCCATGCTTGTCTGAAGCAATGAAGGCTTGGAGGACAAGATCAGGGCACATGCTAATTAAATTCCCTGCAGAACAAGGGCATTAGGCTGAAAGTGTTGCAGAGGAAGAATCGTGTAATCTGTATTTAAAATTCTTTATTAAGCAAGCATTTAAGACTTCATTGTACATTAGGTATGCCACACAAAACCAGCCATAAAAATCAGGGACTATTACAGGTTGTGATCTGAGTGCAGACCATAGTAAGATTATTGTAAAATATATTTTTTAATTAAAACATGGAAATTAATATAAGGTTTCAGGTTTGCAGTAAATACGGCTTGATCT
The DNA here is from genome assembly GCF_000001405.40 of Homo sapiens. NCBI lineage: Eukaryota > Metazoa > Chordata > Mammalia > Primates > Hominidae > Homo > Homo sapiens. The sequence goes on along the minus strand of NC_000001.11, from coordinate 106,787,374 downwards.
ATCAATTCTCAGCTTAGTGTTGTGCAAGCTTATGTTTGTAAATCACATTATTTTGAAGGACCAACCAAATGTTAGCCTGTGGTATAATGTACAGCTTTATAAGGCCAGAGTATTTAAAACAAGTTTATCTCTATAGCTATTGAGAAAGGAAAAAAAAAAAGCTACTTACCGATGCTTTGTAATGTTCCTCAAGAACCATGATTACACCTTTGCACCTGCTGAGCCCTGGATTACCTTCTGATACATGACATTTTTAATAGAAATAGAATTTCAGTTCCTGCCAAACTAATTTAAAATTGTGTTCTGTTACTACTCTTTTATTTTGAGCATCATTGCTTTGTGTGAAATATTTATTACTGTTAATGACACATTTTTGTGAATAAATGCTTTATTTAGTAAATGTATATTGAGTAGGTACTACGCCAGGTGTTGGTTTATACGCTAGGGATGTCAAAATAATCTACTAAACTGTCTCTGCTATTAAAGCTCTTGTAGTCTGGTTGAGGAGATCCATGAACATAACCAATGTGGCAAATGCTGAGAGAGAAGCATGCAGAAGAGTCCACAGAAACACAGAGAGCATTAAGAGGGAGTGGGAACACTTCCAACATTTTTGGAGGAGCACAGAAGGACCAGCAGGAAAGTCTAAAAGAAGGAAGAAGCATTTAGCAGCAGCAGAAGGACACGGGGAAACAGAACTGGTAGAGAGAGGCTTTTAGGCAACGGGAATAGTTTGTACAAGGTAGACTTTGTGAACCACCATGATACTTTTAGGGAACTCTCAGTTTCAGATTATGAAGTGTGAAATGTGTGTGTACATGTGGCGTGTCTTTCAGGGTGAGTGTGATATTTGGTAGAAATAAAGCTAGAAGTCCATAGTGGTTAAATGATTAAAAATGACAAGAAACAAAGAACTCATGGGCTTCTTTAATCCATAGCTAAAGAATTTAGGCTTATTCTTTGGGTGATAGGAAGCCACTGATAATATTTAAGCAGGGGAATGATCATATGGCACTTAAGAAATGAGGGTAAGTGAATGAAAGGAACAGGTGAGTTTGAAGATCCTTTCAACAATTTTCTTGCTCAGTGAGAACATTGCTGAGGTTTTTAGAGTTAATAGAGTCTGTTAAGATATTTAAAGTCACTTTTTAAGGGCAGAATATTCAATCATCAAATCAATATGTTAAAAACTCTTGTCCTTTATGCTGTCATTTATTTATTTTGTGTTATACACTGAAAGTTTGTGTCCCTTCAGAATTCATATGCTGAAACCTAATCCCCAATGCTACGGTATTTGAAGGAAGGGCGTTTGGGAGATGATTAGGTCATGAGGGCAGAGCTTGTATAAAAGAGACTCCAGAGATGTCCTTCATTTCTCCTGCTATGTGAGAAGACAGTGGGAAGATGGTCCTCACCAGACATTGACTCTGTCAAGGCCTCGATCTTGAACTCCCCAGACTCCAGAATGTGAGAAATACATTTCTGTTGTTTATAAGCTTCCCAGTCTATGGCTTATAGCAGTCTTTTTGTTATAGCAGCCTGAACAGACCAACCTATTCAATAATTAAAAGTCAGTTTTATTTCCCTGCTAGACTGTAAGGAATATGCAGGTTGGGTCCATATATTCTCAGAAATCAGTATAGTACCTATTTATTGAAATAACAAATATTTCTTGAGATGATTGGAACTGATTTATATTTTGGTCCCCAGATTTTCATTGAAAGGTATTGTTAGGTCACCTTCAAGAAAAACAGAATTAAATGGTATATATTTTTATCCCATATAGTTATTACACAATTCATACTGAGAATAATTGGGAGGTTCTCTTCCTGGCTATCTCTAAAAAAATTTAGCAGCAAACCAGTATAGATAAAACATCATTCACTTCCTTGGAAGTGGGACCCATTGATCTCTTCAGTTCACTTTGAGGTTCTTCAAAGAGTAAACTGTTCACAGTACTCATGCTGGGAAACAAAGTGTCACTGATTTATGTGCTGAGCAGTGTTCCATAAGGCAGTGGGACATTTTAGGGCAGGAAGCCAGGAGTGAGGGAGCCAAGGAAAACTTGGAAACACAAATTAGAGGCATATAAGAAATATGCTGATTATGGGAAGTTTCCAGAAGTTGGTGGTCAGACAACCAGGGAACATTGCATTAAAAGTCAAAATTAGGCATTTACTCTTTTTTTTTTCTCTCTCTCTCTCCTTAGAAGCCCTGTCTCACTATGAGCACTTGACTGATGAGCTGTAATTTTTCCTAATTGTGTTTGCTTAAGTTCTTCTTCATGTACAATTACTATCATTAGGTATATTTGAGATAAGTCTTTTCCAATCAACTTCTCTCATTTCTAATCAAAAGGCTGTGAAGTGTGATCTAGAAGCATCCACAGTGTGCCAAATACTGTCCCCATTTAAAAAGAGATGTAGCATCCTTGCTTCCAAGAGCCCACATTTTTTGTTAAGAAAATAAAAAAGTAGACCTGCCATCTAGGGTATTAAATGAAATGCATGACAGAGGATTGTACAGTGTGTTATCAGAGGACAGTAGCACAGCTGCATTTTAGGTGGGTGAGCAGGTAGGCAAGAGTGAGTGTGAGCAGAGGTTAGCCAGGAAGAAGAAGGAAAATAGGTGCTTCATCCAGGCTGATAGAATCACAATTGGAAAAAGCAGGAAGAGATATTAAGCCATTACACTAGTCCTTCTGTTTTCAGTATCTCTGTAGGTTTTATTTCACTTCTTCTGGGTTACTGATTTTCAAACCATTTGTTTCTGACCTCTTTGTATTTGATGGTGTCATTTGTATCTGTTGTTCTACTTCTGCCTCTCTGTTTTTTAGCTGCTCCTCATTTCCGCTTCCTCCCCTTACTTGTAAGATTACCCAAGGGATCTGCCTTTAGTGTTCTTGTATTCTTGCCCTGCTGTGTCACTGTGGGTTGTCTCATCTGCTTCCATGATTTCAGGTAGCATAAAGTATTGATTCCCAAATTTATATAATAGGTCTGAGCATTTCCAAGCTCAGTATATCAACTGCCTCCTAGATACATCCAACAAGGTGTTCTACGTGCTTTTCAAATTTTATTTCTGTTACAAAATATAGTCTCCATCCAAAATACAGTCTGTTCAGCTTCCTATAGTCTTAGTTTGCATTGACAACATCATTTAAATAAACTTATAATCTAGAAATCTCTGTACTCCCTTTAATCCTCTCTTTGTCTCACTTCTACCATATCATTCACTAAAATCTTTTTCAGGTGATCCAGCTTCCTTTTTTCATTACTATCTTAAGTTAGACTTTTTTCTCATTCTTCCTTGCATTTCTGGACTAGCTTTCTAAAATGAACTCCCTGACACTAGGGATTGTTCTTACTGCTTGTAGAATTATCTCCTACCCCTCACCCTCAAAAAACAACACTAAGACCGCTGCTAACAAACTTGATCACGTTCCTGCTACAGCATTAAGTAGGATTGCCTCAGCAAGTATTTCTTTGCAATTTTCTTTCAATACCTTGATTACAGCAAAGAGAACCAGTATATTTACTGTTTGTATAATTTTATGCTTGTGTGACACTTGATAGTCCCCCTTCTTTTTGGTAAAGAAAGCACAAGCAGATATCAGTGGCAAAGCTTATGCAGGTAAAAATATTTAGCCATAATTAAGAAACATTACTTTGTTTTTATAATTATTTTAGGACATGCCAAAACCAGATTTGACTTCCTTCTCTGGGATAAGCCCTGCCTTTATTATTTTAATTTCAATGAGATGGACACAGAGGAGAAGAGATACCAAGTAGTCAAAGACATTTGTGTTTTTAATACCCTCCTGCCCTGCTCCTTGGGTTTTACTACCTGTACTGTCTTGGTTCCTTGGTCAAAGTGGGATAACTTCAATTGTAGGCAGGGCCGCTAAAGTAGGGAAAAGCACACACTCAATCCATAGCCTTGCTAAATGAGAAGGATCAGACAATTGCTACAAAAGGGGTCCTTACTACTTCCCTGGCGGCAGAATCCCTGAGACTGGGTGACATTCCATCCTACCTTTCGATCTTCATTTTAGTCACAGTGTCATCCAGTCTTGAATTTTGGGAATGAGTTACTCTCAATTGACTAATATAACTATTAAGAACAACAAATTGGGCCAGGTGTGGTGGCTCACGCCTGTAATCCCAGCATTTTGGGAGGCCAAGGTGGGTGGATCACTTGAGGTTAGGAGTTCAAGACCAGCCTGGCCAACATAGTAAAATGCTGTTTCTACTAAAAATAGAAAAAATCAGCCAGGCAGGGTGGCGCATGCCTGTAATCCCAGCTACATGGGAAGCTGAGGCAGGAGAATTGCTTGAATCCGGGAGGTGGAGGTTGCAGGGAGCTGAGATCATGCCATTGCACTCCAGCCTGGGCGAGAGAGTGAGATTCCATCTCAAATGATAATAATAATAATAATAATAATAATAATAATAATAATAATAATATTAAAAATAAAAATAAAAACAACAAAGTGTAATTTCTGACCTGAAAAATTCTTCAGATTATTTTCCCCAAAAGGTACATATTTTCTTTCCTGTTGTAGTATGTATAATTTATCTTTCAGAATGGAGGAATAAATCTTGGTGTAACTTTAATTCCACTGTTTTTTTTTTTTCTCTTGCAAAAAAGAAAAAAGTCTTTTTCTGTATGGAGCTTCAGGAATCTCCAGTCCCTTTTGACTCAGGGTTTACATTGATACATTCTATTTTATGTGATTCACACTTTCCACTGGGACCAGGTTGTAAATTTTTATTGCAATATAAAATTATTCATTTAAAATAATGAATATATTTAAAAACAAAATATTAAGAAGGAAATTCTGTGAGTAATACATGGATTCGATGAAAATCTTTAGGACGGTACATGAAAAATTCACAGTACAGAAAACACGGACTTAGAAGGGAAAGTATGATTTTGTAGTGTGTCCTTGACTTTGAATCACAGCTCCAGATCCAACATCAGCAATCATCAAATCTTATTTATTAGTTGTTATTCTGCAGTTACTCTTTCAGATATTTTTTCCTCTGCTATTTGTTTTTCTTCTCTAAGTTTCTACAGAAAACAACTACGTACCTCACTCCAGCTTATTTTTCCATTCTTATCTTCCACCAAATAATCCAGTTAGAGAAGAGATGTGCTTTTGACTATGTTCTCTGTTTCTCCACACCTAGGTATTGGTTACTAGCACTTGTCTGGCATCCTGGGTTGCCCATTGTCACCTCAGTGTCACTGACATCACTTCAGCCTTAATGCAGAAGTGAAGCCACCAAATATATATCCCAGAATTCTCTTCCCTGCATGGATCTAATTTAGAGTTTGCCAAGAAGAAGTACAAATACAAGATTTGGAAGGCTTAAGAGAAAGCAAAGTTATTACTCTTCAAGCATGGTTGTAGCCAAACATGTGAATGGCATACTTGAGAATTCTCCTCACCTCCATCTAATGCCAGTGGCTTCTTTATTCTTTGATTCCAGGTCTTCCATTGGCTGCAAAAGCCTGTGTTTCCTATATTAGACATTTCACACTTGATATATAGAAAGCGGCTTTTGTTTTTTTAGCTGACAGCTAACTGACTCATCTGGGATGTCTTTTCTCTTACAACTCTATCTCTCTAAGAATTACCCACTATTCAAGTCACACCCACTATTCACTCTTCCCCTTCCTGCTTTTCCAACTTATTTTCCTTCCCTTCTTTCCTCATTCCTTCCTTCATCTTTTCTTTCTTTCCCTTTCTTTCTCTTTCTTTCTTTCTTTCTTTCTTTCTTTCTTTCTTTCTTTCTTTCTTTTCCTTCCTTCCTTCCTTTCTCTCTCTTTCTCTCTTCTCTTTCTCTCTTTCTTTCTTCCTTCCTTCCTTTCTTTCTCTCTTTCTCTCTTCTCTTTCTCTCTCTTTCTTTCTTTCTCTGTCTTTTTCTCTTCTCTTTCTCTCTCTTTCTTTCTTCCTTCCTTCCTTTCTTTCTTTCTCTCTTTTTCTCTTCTCTTTCTCTCTCTTTCTCTTTCTTTCTTTCTTGTCTGTCTTTCTTCTTTTTTTTCTTTGTCTCTGTTTCTGTCACTCTATCCTCTCTGCCTCTGAATTTGTATCTCTTGCTCTTTCTCATGTTTTGTCTTCCTTCTCTTCTTTCTCTCTCTCCTCCCTCCCTACCTTTGTTCTTCTTTTCATCCCTTCCATTGTTTCTAACTTTCTTCCTCAAATACTTATCAAGGGTCTACCTTTTTTTTTTTTCTGGTTGTCTATTACTGTGTACCAAACCACCTCAAAGTCAGCAATGCAAAACAGTATCTATTGCACGCATGGATTTTGTGAGTCAGGAATTTGGACAGGGCATAGATGTCTCATCACAAATACTGGAGCCTCAACTGGGAAGATTCAAATGTCTGAGCATTCTGGAGACTTCCTTAATCAAATGTCTGGTCTCAGCTTGGACACTGTCCATGTGTTTAAATATCCTGACACATGGCTGTAGAGTTATGAGAGGGAGCATCCTAAGAATGAAAGTTAAGAGGCTGAGTTTTCCAAGAGAACTAACAGGTAGCTGATGACCCTTTATGACTTAGCCTCAGCATGTACATAGTATCACTTCTGCCATATCTTATTGGTTAAATCAGGCACTAGTCTGTTTAGATTCAAGGTGTGGAGATAATGACCCTATTTCTTGATGAAAATAGGTCAAAGAACTCTAGAATTATGTTTTAAAACTGCCACATATATACCAATTCCCAGTGAGAGACCATGTTTAAAAAATATGAATAATAGACTTTCCTTCCTCAAGGTCTTTTTCTTGCTACCATGAAACAACAACACCTTCATTAACATTTTAAACAGGTTCAGTTATTACTGAAATTGGTAATTTCTTTACTTAAATGGGGTGAATGGCTGTAGTGCAGAGTAATGTCATCACTGGACATTGTGAAAACAAGGTTGAAGAATTGACAGCTATCCCTCAGATGCAGGATAAGGTGCAGGGTTGACTCTTTCTGCATGTTATAATCAGGAAAATATGGCCACTTCTAGCTGCTTGTCTTCAGAAATAAACCTCTGTTAGTCAGGCGCAATGCCTTCTTTTCCTGGGTTTTGATCTTTACATTCTTAATGGTAAAACTGGGCTTCATTCCCAGACTAATTGTCTTGCTGGTCTGGATTATTAAGTGGCTAAGTGCAGTAACATGTTACAATAATTTTCTCTTTTCTGTAGTTGTATATTTTTATGGATTTTCTCATAGCATGCACCTCATTGTCTATTGCACTGCTATTTATAGGTAGCATTTTTCTTACTAGCTCTTTCAGGGAACTTAAGGGAATTTATACATTTGGGGGTAGCTTACACAGTGTTTTGTACCTACTATGATTTTCACAAACATTAATTGAATTGGATTTCCTCTATGCATAATTAACATTTAAAATTTTATTTCATGAGAATGGCTCCACATCAAATGGCTTATAGAATGTTAATCAATATTATTAAAATTCACATTTAAAGTTAGCGAGTCTCTTAGAAGTTCTACAGTTTATTGCAAATCCATTTCTTCAACAAGACATATTGAGCCCTTTTACCACACTGTGCTAGCCACAGGAATTAAACTGTGAGGTTGGCAGGGGTGGATCCTACCCTTCCAGAGCATATGATATTGAGGGGAAGTATAAATAACAGACTTGCAAGTGCTTTATAATGTTAAATGTGTAAAGTTCTGGGTGCAGTAGGAACAAAGATGAGGTGGCTACTAGTCTGAACACAGAAAAGAGGACAGCTTCTAAGAGTAGATGATATCAAAGACGAGGCATGTAGGACAGGTAGGAGTTATCTCTGTGAAGTGCAGATTCAGATAGGACAGAGTGCTCCAGGCAGAAGAATAACTTACAATCAGTGATCTGGAGCTGGGAGAGCTCTAGTTCACTAAGGAAATGGGAAAAAGGCATTTTGTAGCAATGAATAAGGTTTAAGAGGAAGCAGAGTAAACTTGTAATACAAGAAAATAAGTTTGATTTTATGTTAAGGGAAATAGACAATAAGGGAATTGATAGATTTTGAGCAGTTAACTGATGAATAAAATTATGTTTAGAAATATAGAACAGATAATGAGAGACAACTTGTAGGAAGATCTGTTGAAAGGTTAAGAAGTGATCACGTCCTTATTTTTATAAGCAACAGTGAAGGTATAGAAAGATGGATTAGTTTGAAAAATATTTAGAATATAAAATCAATAGAACTTGGAGATTGAATATGTAGAGAAAGAGGGTGAAGAAAATAATCAAGGATTACCCCAGCAAGTTTATATATTGAATGACCGCTATATGACATTATAACCCATTATGAGTAAATATTGGAGAAAGAAAAGTCTTAAGGGGAAAAAAGGGGGTTCACCGTTGCACATTATGGTCAACAGAATACTGGTACCCCAAAGATGTGCATGTTCTGATTGCCCCAAAAGACTCTGCAGATGCAATTAAATTAAGGACCTTGAGATGAGAGAAATTATCTTGGGCAATTCAGGTCAGCCCTACATAATCATAAGAAAGTGGAGGTAGGACAATGAAAGTCTGAAAAGGATATGTGGCAACAGAAGCAGAGGTTGGAGTGCTATGAGGAAAAAAACTGAAAGCTGGAAGAGGCAAGAAAATGAGTTTTCTCCTACAGCCCCAGAAAAATTAGCTGGGCTAACACTTCATTTTTAGGACTTCTGGCCTCCAGAAAGATAAGATAATAAATACATTTGTATTATTTCAAGCTCCTATATTTGTGTCTAACAGCAATAAAAGGCAACATACACATAAGGCTTTCTTAAAATGTATATATTTAATTAGCACATTATTATTGTACATATTTATGGGGTACAATTTGATGTTTTGATACATATCTATGCTATATAATGATGCAATCAGGATAGGTAGTATCTGTCACCTCATGCTATTATCATGTCTTTGTGGTGAAAAAATTCAAAATTCTCTCTTCTAGCTATTTTGTAATATACAATATTTTACTGTTAACCAAGTCACCCTACTGTGCAATAGAACTCTACTCTGCAATAGAACATCAGAATGTATCCCTCTTGTCTAATTGTGACTTTGTACACATTGATCAACCTTCTCTTTATTTTCCCTTGCCCGGCATTTTTCCTATACTGTCTTCTGGTAGTTTCATAGTTTTAGGTTATTACAGTGATGTCTTCAATCCACTTTGAGTTGATTTTTGTATATGGTGAGAGGCAGAGGACTAGTCTCATTCTTCTGCATGTGTATATCCTATTTCCCATCACCATTTATGGAAGTTATTCCTCACCAAATGTGTATTCTTGGCACCTTGGCCAAAAATCAGCTGGCTGTAGGTGTGTGAATTTGTTTGTTGGCTCTCTATTCTGTTCCATTGGTCTATGTATGCGTCTGATCTTATGCCAGTAATATGCTATCTTGGTTTCTATAGCTTTCATTGTGTGTTTTGAGGTTGCGTAGTGTGATGCTTTCACTTTTGTTCTTTTTGCCGATGGTTGCTTTGGCTATTTGGGATCTTTCCTTGTTCCATACACATTTTAGGACTTTATTTCCTGTTTTTCTAAAGAATGTCATTGGTAATTTGATGGGGATTGTATTAAATTTGTAGATCACTTTGGGTGATATGACCATTTAGCAATATTCATGCTTCTGTGAATATGTGATATCTTTATTATTTGTGTCCTCTTCAATTTCTTTCAACAAGTTTATAATTTTCAGAGTAGATCTTTTTAACTTCTTAATTAAGTTTATTTCTAGATGTTTTATTTTTTACAGCTATTGTAAATAGAAATGTTTTTGTGATACCTTTTTTCAGAGTTCACTATTAGTGTATGTAAACGCTATTGATTTTTATGTGAGTTCTGTGTCCTGCAGCTTCACTGAATTTGCTTACTCGTTCTAACAGGATTTTTTTTTTTTTTTTGGTGGAGTCTTTTGGATTTTCTGTATATAAAATTATGTCATCTGCAAGAAGGGACAATTTCACTTTTTCCTTTCCAATCTGGATTCTTTTTATTTCTTTCTCCTGCTGAATTGCTTTGGCTATAACTTCTAGTACTGTGTTAAATAAGACAGATGCAAATGGGCATTCTTGTCTTTTCCTGATCTCAGATAAAAGGTTTTAAGCTTTTTCCTCGTTTGGCATGATATTAACTGTGGGTCTGTCAAGTATAGCTTTTATTGTGTTGAGGTATATACCTTCTGCACCTAATTTGCTTAGAGTTTTTGTCATGAGGGGATGTTAAATTTTGTCAAATCCTTTTTCTGCATCTAGTTAAATGATCATATGGTTTTTGTCTTTCTGTGGTATATCAAATGTATTGACTTGTGCATGTTAAACCAAACCTGGGATGAATCCCACTTGAAGCATAGTGAATGAGCCTTTTAATGTGATTTTGAATTTGGCTTGATAGCACCTTTGTGAGAATTTTGGCATCTATGTTCAATTAGGAATATTGGCCTGTGGTTCCTTTTTTTTGTTATGTCCTTGTCCAGTTTTGAAATCAGGGTAACATTGGCTTTGTAAAAATGAGTTTGGAAGTGTTCTACCTTCCTACAGTTTTTGAAATAGTTTGATGAAAATTAGTTTTCTTGATCTTTTGAATTGTTTTTTTATCTCTATTTTGTTTATTTTTGCATTAAGCTTTATTATTTCCTTCCTTGTACCAATTTCAGGTTTAATTTGTTCTTGTTTTTTAGTTCCTTGAAGTACAGAGTGAGATCCTTTATTAGAAATCCTTTCTTGATGTAGATTTTTATTAATATAAACCTCTTTAACATCAGCTTTTAATGGTTTTGGCATGATATGTTTCCATTTTTGTTTCCTCATGAACGTTTTTATTTTTTCAATTTTTTTCATTTCTTTATTTGTGGTTTAGGGGCATGTTGTTTAATTTCTGTGTACTTGTAGAATTGTCAGAGTCTGTCTTATTAATTTCTAGTTTATGCCATTGTTGTCAGAGAAAAACAATATAAATCACAATTGATGTGATTTATATCTTTTAAAATTTATTAAACTTGTTTTGTGGCCTAATGTGTGATCTATCTTGGAAAATGTTTCATGTGCAGTTGAAAAAAATTTGTATTCTGCAGCTGTTGGATGAAATATTCTGTAAACAACTGTTAGGTCTATTTGGTCTGTGATATAGCTTAACTCCACTGTTTTTGTTGTTGTTGATGATGATTTTTGTCTAGATTATGTGTCTTGTTGAAGACAAAAGGTATTAAGGTGTTAAAGTCTGCTACTATTTTTGTTTTGCAGTATATCTCTCCCTTTAGGTCTAATAATATTTGCTTTATATATTCGGGCGTTCTAGAGTTGGGTGCATGTATATTTATAATTGTTATATTTGGTGGCATTGATTCTTGTTTTATTATATAATGACCTTGTTTGTCTCTTTTTACAGTTTTTGACTAAAAGTCTATTTTATCTAATATAAAAATGGTCACTTCTGCTCACTTTTGGCTTTTGCTTTCATAGAATATCTTTTTCCATCCCATTACTTTCAGTTTATGTTTGTTTTTAATGGGGAGGTGAGTCTCTTGTAGTAAGCACAGAGTTGACTCTTGACTTCATTTTTTAAAAAAATCATTCAGCCACTGTATATCTTTTAATTGAATAATTCAATCTATTTACATTCAAGGTTATTATTCATAGGTAAGAACTTACTATTGCCATTTTATTGTTGTTGTTGTTTTCTGGTTGTTTTGCAGATTCCTTGTTACATTTTTCCTCCCTTGTGATTTACCTCTGTGGTTTGATGGTTTTCTGTGATGCTAAGTTTTGTTTCTTTCTTCTTCATCATTTATTTAGCTGCAGTAATTTCTTTATTTGTGGTTACTATGATGCTAAAATAAAGAGTTATGTAGTTATATTATAGTACTTTAAGCTGAGAGGAACTTAACTTTGTCACATAAAAATATTATAGACTTTTTCCCTCACCTACACAATTTATATTTTTCTTGCCTTAATTTGCTTCTTTATCTATTATGTGTTTCTTAGTCACTAATTGTAGCTGTAGTTGTTATTGACTATTTTGACTTTAAACCTTCATACTAGTAGATTGAGATATTTACATAACACCATTACATCATGGGAGTGTTCTGAGATTGATTTATGAATTTCCCTCCACTAGTTAGTTTTGTACTTTCACAAGTTTTCATGACAGTCATGATCATCTTTCTGTTTCCAATTGTAGCACTCTGTTAAGCATTTCTTGTAAGGCTGGTCTAAGGATGATAAATTCCCTCAGTTTTTGCTTGTCTGGGAAGGTATTTATTTCTTGCTCATTTCTGAAGCAAAGCTTTGCTAGGTATACTATTTTTGACTGACAGATTTTTTTCTTCAGCACTTTGACTATATCATCCCATTCTTCCATGGCTGGAAACGTTACTGCTGAAAAAATTTGCTGATTATTTATTTATGTATTTATTTATTTTTGAGACAGAGTCTAACTCTATCACTCAGGCTGAAGTACAGTGGTGTGATCTTGGCCCACTGCAACCTCCGCCTCCTGGGTTCAGGTGAGTAGGTGGAATTACATGTGCACCACCACACCCAACAATTTTTTAATTTTTATTAGAGAGAAGGTTTTGCCATGTTGGCCAGGCTGATCTCAAACTCCTGAACTCAAGTGATCCACCCTCGTTGGCCTCCCAAAGTGCTGGGATTACAGGGGTGAGCTACTGCACCCAGCCTCTGCTGATAGTTTAATGAGGATTCCCTTATATGGGACTTGATAGTTTTCTCTTGCAGCTTTAAAAATCTCTTGTTGTCTTCAACTTTTGACAGTTTGATTATAATGTATCCTACAGAGTGTCTTCATGGGATGAAATCAATTGGGAACTCTTGAATTTTCTGAATCTGGATGTCCATACCTCTCTCAATGCTTAAGACTTTTTCAGTTGTTATTTTATTAAATACATTTTCTGTGCCTCTCTTTATATCTTTCCCTCAGCCACTCCTATAAAGCAAATATTTGTTAGTTTAATGATGTCCAATAAGTTCCATAGCATTTTTTCATTTGTTTTTATTCTTCTTTCTTGTTTTTATTTGCCTGACTGGGTTATTACAAAAGACCTGTCTTCAAGTTCAGAAATCATTTCTTCTGCTTGATGTACACTATTGTTGAAATTCTCAATTATATTTTTTATTTCATGCATTGAATTCTTCAGCTTGAGTTTTTCTGTTTGGTTCTTTTAAAAGAAATCTATCTCTTTTGGACTTATCATTCACATCATACATTGTTTTTCTGATTTCATTGAATAATTCCTGTTCTCTTGTTTCTTGCTGCATTTCCTTAATATTATTATTTTGAACTCTTTTCCAAGCATTTTGTTAATATCCTTTTCTTTCAGGTCTGTCACTGGAGACTTACTGTGTTCCTCTGGAGGTGTCATGTTTCCTTACTTTTCTATGTTTCAAGTGTTCCCATGTTAATACATATGCACCTAGTGGAATTCTTGTTTATTCTCCAATTTAAAGAAGTAGTTTTCACAGGGGGAGACAGTTTCCTGTTTATAATGGCTTAGATTATCTGTCGAGTATTATGCATTGACTTTGTTGCTGGGTGGACTCAGTGGCATGGTCTCCATATAGTTTTTTCAGCTGAAATCCTTGTCAATGATGTCTGTGATTATTTCAGTGGGCTAGGCTATAGGAAGTTGTAATGGTGGTGGCATGGTTTTCCTAAGAGTAGGAGTGCTGGGCTGGTTGTCTAGCCAGGTACATTCAGGCATAAAGGATCAATAGGCTATCTATCTGGCAGGATCTCCCAGGAGGTGATGTCCACCACTGGACTCGCTCTCATGGCAGGATTAGGTGTGTGTGGGGACAGCCCAACAGGTGGCTATGTAACTGTCTATTTGAGGAAGTACTGCTGCTATCAAACTGTCAGCTCTGCTGTGCAAACAGGCACAGTGGTGCCAGGCAACCCTGTGGCAGTCTGATTATGTTGGCAGGGCCACCACTGGACTGGCTGTTGGGCTGAGCTTGGGTATATGTGGGCTTGACGGACCAGCCAGCTGTGCAGCACATGTGCAGGCAGTTGAGGTGGCTGGGGAGTTCTTTGGTGGGTTCCCTACCATGGAAGCTCACCTGGTGTGGGGATGCTGTGTGGGTTTGAACACTGAGGTCTCAGTAGTTCTTTCTGACCTATTTTCTATGCAGCCTCATGTGGTGCAGCAGGCACTCATGTGAACATGATGGGATTATGGCAGGGCCTCAGAAGTGGAGAAAGTCAGTTGCCACCAGCCCCCAGGGCTAGACAAACTGTAGTAGTGGGTCCAATTTCAAAATGGCACTGAGCCATAGTAGCTAAGGTTGTGAAAGTGAAGGTTGATGAAGATGGGCTCCTACTTTGAAGCAATTCAGCTGTGTAAACTCACACTTAACCTCCAAACTGGAATTGGGATCTGTGAGGACTGGGGAACTACCCTGTAGCGAGGGTTGTTGGCATTTGTGGTAGCAATGGGGACTGTAAGGGATCTCTAGTTTACCTTTTCTCCACATAAAGAAGTCCCCGCTGACTTCTTCAGCATACTTCCTCAGTCTGTCTAGTTGAAATATATGGAGGGATGATTGCCAGGTAACTCTACTTGACCATTTTGCTGATATCTTATGATGAGTTATCATATCTATGGGATATTCACATCAGAGGTCTGGTAAGTTATTGGACACCTGGTTTTCATGCTCAGGAGAGAGAGTGGCCTGGTAAACAAGTTTAAATCAAATAAGTATTGAAAGAAGCCTAATGGATTGAAAGGAACCACTAAGGAAAAGTTATAAGTAGAAGATAGATAAAACACACCAAATGAGCAAGTCCCTTGAAAAAGAGGAGAAAACTGTATCTTAAGTGGAATTGGAGAGGTTGGGATCACTCCTGAGACAGCAGACCACTGCTTTTTTTTTGTTAGGATGGAGGAAGACGTGCATACAATAGCAAAGTGGAATACAGAACAATGTCTTAGAAATGGAAGAAAATTCATTCCTCATTCTGCTATAATTTTTAAATCTTTATTGTGACAGCTATTGATTATGTAAGGTTTGATGCATATAATAATAAGTAAGTGATTTATGGAGGTTTCAAATTTAAATATTCAAAGAAAAACACGTTACTTTATAAGAAAAGAAAATTGACAAAAGTGGTGTAAGTAAAGGTCTCAAAACAATAGAACAGTTGAAAATACTTGATTAGATTCTAAATGAGGTTAAAAATGCAAAAAAATCCTTAATACAAAAAACAGCCAAAACAAAACAAAACTAGCATTATACTAATTGTAAGAGAAAAAAACTAAACAAGAATATAATTCTGGGTGAACTAGTAAATGATGAAAATTTTAGTTCAACACTGAAGACAAAAGATAAGGTAATGTTTTAGAAAGTTTAGATTTTTCCATTTATTCAGTTCATTATCAATATATATCAATAACCTACTATGTATCAGGAACTTTGACAAATAAGAAAGGATAAAACATTAAGAAACAGAGGTTATATTTATTATTTAGCTCCCACCAAAGTCATGTTTGACTGTATAACAACATCCTCACCACATTCTTGGTAATAAATTTCTTTCTTTTTTTTTTTTTAAACAGAGCCCTCCTCTGTTGCCCAGGCTGGGGTGCAATGGCACGATCTTGGCTCACTGCAACCTCCTCCTCCCAGGTTCAAGTGATTCTCCTGACTCAGCCTCCCAAGTAGCTGGGATTACAGGCATGCGCCACCATGCCCGGCTAATTTTTGTGTTTTTAGTAGAGATGGGGTTTCACTATGTTGGCCAGGCAGGTCTCAAACTCCTGACCTCAGGTGATCCACCCACCTCAGCCTCCCAAAGTGCTAAGGTTACAGACATGGGCCACCACACCTGGCCCCGGTAACACAAATTTTAAGAATTGGTTTAAATGATAGGATATTTTACCTATTGAGCATAAACCAAAATACATTATATGATAAGAACAGAAAGGTACACACACACAGGTACACAAAATAGCTTAGATTACTTGAAAAATAGGTAAGCAAATGACTGAAATATAGGTAATTTTACTTACATACAGCCAGCTGAGATGGCAAATGCTTATCTATGTATCTGAATACCGATAAGGACATATAGATATGGATATAGGAAAGTATACATGAACTATGTTATCATTAATAAAATCAAAGTTTATCTTATTAGTCTGTTTTCTAAATATTATATTTGATCACTCCACATGTACAAGTATTCCATGAGAGAGAAACCAACCTGTGAATTACACTGTCAAGCATCAGAGATTAAATTGATTTGCTCTGTAATTCCAGTAAAGTACACACAGGAGAAATAATATGAAAGTATTTAGGGAGGTAAATGATAATGGGAGGGTCTTGACAGTTTGCTCTTGAAAGCAGTAAAGCAAAGCTAAGGGGAAGATTCATATGCTCTCTAGTATAAAAAAATTTTTTTTAAGTAATCAAAAGTTTAATTTTTCCCTCTGGCAAAGTAAGCAACTTCACAGAATCCTTTCTGAAATAATGATGAATTATAAATAGGTGAACTTGAATAATGATAATCAATTAAGTGAAAAGTCTATGACCAATAAAAATGTGTAAGTGGATATAATTCATTGCATTTAGCTAGTTTCTGAAACCGAATCAAAGCTCATGATGTGAATTTAAAAAACACATAAAGATTAGTCTCCTTAAAATGAGAATTGGATGTATGCATAGACATAAATATACATTCTATACATATATAAACACATTTCTATAAAAGTTGATTGTCTTTTTGTTCAGAGGTGGTTTTATAAATATAATAGCACTCTCATGGTTAATATTATATAACTGGAGCACTTAGAATTTTTTAAAGTATTTACAAATCCACCCCACAAAAACTTTTAATAAATAAACCTAATCATGCAGTCAGTCTTGGAATTTTATTTAGCAAATAATACTCATCAGAAATTTATTTTGTCAATTTTTATAGAATACCTTTACTGATAATATTTCCTAGATGTAAATTTCTTAAAAAGTAAAGTTCTTTTCAGCATTAGTCTGACTGTCCCACCAATGGCCTCTTGCCTAGGAGGAGGAAATGAGTAAGAGTTAGGAAGGCTATGCTTAAAATCAAATGCCATTTTGAAAAAAATAACTAAAAAAAAAAATCCCTTTTCCTTGAGAAATAATGACCACATTACCTGACTGGGCTAATGCCTGGAGGGGGATAATGAACTGTGCTTGAAGAGTATCTGCTCAGTTCACGTCAAGGAGGTAAGTGATAAGATAGGAAGCCTTTAGCCTACTTATATGCAAGTTCTGTACTTCAAACTAGGTCAGGTATTATTTCAATTTAAAATAAGGAGTGCTCAAGAACCAGAAATTTTCTGGAAGAATGCTTAGAAATGTGTGACATGCAGACACACTCCTGATGAATGTTGTGACGCCTTTTGGCTTTCACCTTCATTAGCAGTAGCCACATGATGATACTAGACGTTACTCTTTTAGAATTATCTCTTTCATACCAATCCTATTTTTGCTTATTGTTTTGAGATTATAATAATAGTTATCACCTTCTATGTTCTGGGAGATGTAAATACTATTATAAATACTTGTACCCTATTTTATCAAGTGTTAAAAAATGAATAATAGGATGGGAGGTAAATGTTTAAGAATGTTACCTGCACTTATCTCAGCTTTCCACTCTACGTTGTATAATGGTTTATTCCTAATTATTTAAATTCAGGTGTAGGTTAATAGAATTCATTCTTCCTAAGATTTTTTATACTACATTTACCACATACTTTCCATTTAAATAATTTTTATCTATCTGAGCCTAAAAATAAGAATATTTTTCTTATGTGTAAAAAATTACTACCCTGTAGGCTAATTAGGATGGTTTTCTGTATTTTTTTCTATGAGTTTAGAAAAAAATAAGAGTCACCGTGACAAATACAAACTCAAAAATAGTTTAATTCAAAGTGAAATTCTTATGGAAATGATGTCTTAAAAAGGAAACATTGCTTAGAAACAGATTCTCATATAAGTCTGTCTTTGTGATAATGACACTTATATGCATTCTATAGTGGAATCTATTTTTCTTTTTCTATGATATTCATTAAGATTTGTTTAAAGAAATTATTCCCTACCTTCAACTAATTTGTTAAGAATAACACATTGATTTACTGGTGCTTATATTAACTCTTACAATTCCATTGCAAAACAGCAAAAAGCATAAGTTCTGTTTTACCTTAATAGGGTTTGCAAAGTCTTAGGTATCCATGGGGTTTTGAAATGTTTTTTCTGGCAATATGTGCAGCACTTTTTGTTATATGGAGGTGCTGAAGATTGAAAATTCATTAAAGAAATTGGAGTGGAGATTAAAAAATTGAGAGGATTGGTAAATAAATTTTTAAATACAAATATAAGCTATTATGGGATAGTAATAGTAATAATAATAATAAGAATGTCTACTTTGGACATATATTTCAACAGAATTAGTAAAGCATTTGAAAAAGAAACACATGGGGCTGTTAAGTCAAGAAGATTTTTTTGATCTGAAGTTGAGCAAGGTGTTCTAACATTTTGCCTTGGTATTGAAAACAGCAGGGTTGACTACATGCTGGATAAAAATATTTCACTATTTTCCATTAGACAGGCTTCACCAGGGCACTATCAAAGACAAGCTCAACACTTTGTGGTCAAGCTTGAAAAACAGCATTGCAAAATGACAAAAATCTTTTCATAAATTCCAAGTGAATCATGGTTTAACCATTTACCACGTGGCCTTCTATAATATAATACATTATTCATATCAAACAGAGAAAATAATTCATAGCTAGTCCTATTTTTTAATTTGTCAATTGAAATGCTTGGTTTGATTTAATTGATCTCGGTATTTTTTGATGGGAGTCTAGGGAGAGCTGGAGGAAACTGCTTGGTGCGTTATTAATTCTCTGTATCTTTATTGTAGTGCCAACACTGTTTATCCCATTTTGAATTCTCCAGGTCTCCATCTCTGGCAGTGACAGTGGTCATGGCTTTTGTGGCTCCTTTTTCAATTTCTTTTTCTCCTGACTCAAAGGGCAGGGTGCAGCTGCTGTTTATTTCAAGGCTGAGTAAGGGATCAGTTTTTGGAGGAACTCCAGTGGCTGAGAAAATGTCCCTCTCTCCTTTATCATCAAATGTCTCTCCTTGAGGAAGTGATCAAGATCTAGTCACTCAAGAAGCTGAGACTTTGAGATTGTTCTTTGGCCTGACAATCTAAAATCCTTTGCCGCCTTCCTGGACAAGCCAGTCATGATCTATTTTTAAAGTCAAAACTTTAACTCTTGCTTAAATCATTCAAGCACAGCTTCTGAGTTGTAGCTTTTGGGCAATAGTAGGGTTTTGTTTGTTTGTATAGAATTCTGTGGATGTTAATGCCCATTTTTTTGCTCTGTCATATTTCATTTCTGCAAATTTCCATGATGTATATTTTTATACAAATGTAAAGGGTATAAAAGATCACTTTCAGGTAATCATGAGTAGTCAAGTTATTACATGACATTTTCATACCTAGAATAATCATTTTTCTTTTAATCCCAATAAAAATCAGCTATTCTTTTATATAAGTAAATATTATTTTATATAAGCATGTTTTCATGCTTCTTACATTTTTATTCTATTGATTTCCAGTGCCAGATTTCCCTTTTATCAAGAGACACTCCCCATCAATTGCAAACTGTCAACCAAGCTTACAAAATGTTACGTCCTTTCCATCACTGAGTTTCATTCAATTAAATACATCACACATCAGAAGTAGGAAGCATACCACAGAAAAATAATACAGAAGCAGGGATTTTGTTTTTATTGCCTGCCTTGAGAGTCAATCCAAATGAGCTAGATTAAAATGACTTTGCTGAGACATGTCTTTTCAAAAATAATCTCTGCAACTGGATGAGTATAATTCACACTTTTGGTAGAGTTGCACTTAAATATTTATTTTGTCAAAACGTATGATTCAAAGTTTTGTAGTGCTTTCTTGAAATACATTTCATCATTATTTCCAACTCCTTCAGCTTATTTGCATAGTTCTTTGTACCATAAGTCATTATAGAAGTAAATCTTTCAAATCCTCATATTAAGGCTGAATGAACCAAGCCTCATAACTGTCAAATAACTTGCTCATGGAATCATATAACCTGCAAGGGACAGAGCTGGAATTTCTATTTGGACTTCTAAATAAGCATAGTATTTTTTTTCCTACCATATTCTAACTTGTTTGCTCTAATATAAGGATCATATATCTCATGATGTTTTTTTAAATGGTTAAAAAGGAAAATAAGCAACAAGAATGGGTTCTGTTGTGGCCCTAGGGTTAAAAATAATTTGTGTGATTTTTCCCAACAAGATACAAAGTTTCATCTATCAGCTTTAAGATTTCCACATAAAACAGTCTGGAGAAATAGGTAAGCACTATGGTGAGACTTCTGATATCTATGTCTCATAAAGAAAACTATGAAGTTGAGATGTTTAATTAGCAGAACAGAAGACAAAGAAGAGATATATTTGTTTTAAAGCATTCAGAGGGCTACAATGTGTGAGAAAGAGTTATATTTTGTTTTTGTTGGAGAAATAGAACAGGATCATTGCGTAGAAGCCACAGGAGGTGAATCTGAGTTCAAATATCTGTACCATTATAAATGATAGATGATAAATAAATGGATAGATAAATAGGAGTTACACATTACAGTGAGTGTAAGTTTGAATAAGCTTCTTTTCTACCCTAATTTTCTATTATTTTATTGCTTATTGATTTTTTTTGGCAAAGCAAGCCACCTAGTCACATCTGAGTTCACAGAATAGTGAATTAAAATGCTTCTTCAGAGAGGAGGAGGAAATATAATATGAACAATTATATGTTCTAAACATGCTCATTGTAGAATTTTCTTTTAAAGTTTTTATTGCATTTATTTTATTTGATGCTAATGTTATTCACTTTAATATTAGTGTTTTTCACATGTTTTGAAATTTTGGTGTACAGACTCCCACCTTAAGTTTTTTCTTTTCTCTTTTTTTCAGGCTCAGTCCAATCTTAATCTGTGCAAGAGTTTTCAGTTGCCTGCACCTAAACACCTGGGATCTCTAGGTCAGAACTGGCTCATTTTGCTTCTGCTTCATAGTGATATTGAGGATATTGCATATTCCACTGATGAGCCAGTGTTCAAGTCTTGGTAATGTGAATAAATTTGTATTTGTCATATCTTAAGTATCAGAAAGCATTTGGTAATTAAAATTATTTTCCAAAAATGCTCCCAATTTTCTTCACATCAATCATGTTTAAGAATGCATGTCACAAACTCTACAAAATAAAATTTTTCTAAATTCTCTATTAAGAGATTAGAAAACGCACAGAGATTCCAATCAGTTCTTCTCTTCATGTCATGGTCTGCTCACATTGCTCCATGAAGGACTCTCTTGTTTTACTTGTTTCCCACTTCACCAATGCCACTCTTTTTCCTTTTCCTCTCCTTTACTACAAATGCCTTTTCAAATTGATTTGAAATATATCCTTCTGCCTCCCTGAATATGTACTTATCCTTTACAGTGTTGTTTTATGTGTATAAGTTTGTAAATAATATATATAATTTGCAGGGACATGGAGGAAGCTGGAAACCATCATTCTCAGCAAACTAACGCAGGAACAGAAAACCAAACACCGCATGTTCTCACTCATAAGTGGGAGTTGAACAATGAGAACACACGGACACGGAGGGGAACATCACACATCGGGGCCTGTTAGTGGGTGGGGGGTTAGGGGAGGGATAGCATTAGGAGAAATACCTAATGTAGATGGTGGGTTGATGGATGCAGCAAACCATCATGGCATGTGCGTACCTATGTAACAAACCTGCACGTTCTGCACATGTACCCCAGAACTTACAGTATAATATATATATGTAAACATATATATTATATATACAAAGTTATCTTTGTATATCATATATATACAGTTATCTTTGTATATACATATATATATACACATATATATGTGTAGTTATATATATATATATATATATATATATATATATATATATATATATAGTCATCCTTGTTTAAAAGGCCAACACTGTATTTTTAAGATATTCAAGTTGCTGCGTTGACTTCTCGTTCATTATTGCTGTGGAGTATTTCAGGGTATGCAACTACTGCAAAGGAAACACTGCCCTGACTACCACACGAGTAGAATTAAAGAGTTTTAGTATGTACTGTATTTAATTTAATTTCATTAGGTCTTCTCAGATTTATTTCCAGAATGGCTATACCTGAATATTTCTATCAGTAGTATGTGAAGTTTTTATCTACTCATATTCTAACATGTGATATTATCTGATATTCTATTTTTGTTATTTTTTGATAAGTTTAGGGGATACCACTTGTATTTCACATGTATTTTAATTTGTCTTCTGTAATAATCATTATAATTGGCTTTTCCTAGTCTTTGTCCATTTTTATATTGGGTTTTGATATAATTATTTCTGTTTTTCTGGAGTTCCACTTAAATTCCAGGTGTTAATATATTTTAAATTTTAGACTGCAATTATATTCTTCCAAAGTACTATTTGTTTTTTGCAATACTTATAATAACTTGCATTAAACACAAAATTTTATTTTGTTGCTATCAAATAAATCTGTGTTGTTGTCTTGTTGTTGCTGTGTATTTTGTGGGTTTTTTAAAGATTAAAAGATACTTTTCCATCAGCAGGTTACAGATATATTCTGAAATTTCTTCTATTACTTTTATTTTTTTCTACAATCAAAATTTTAATCTATCTGCACTTTATTTATGTAAAAATCTGTTTGATTTTTTTCTCTATAAAAACAAAACAACGCAGTTTTCCCCACACAAATTAAGTAACTCTCAATTTTCAATTTCTCATTACAGTTCTGTCATTGTTGTACTGGATATCTTTTGGGGCTATGGAGTTGGGTTCATAAGCATGTTTGAATCCTGTATTATGTAGATTATTTCTTTTACCAGTACCCTACATTCTTCTTTCTTTGTGTGTGTGTGTGTGTACCTTTGAGTTATATTTATTTTCTGATATTAAAATGGTTACCTTTGTTTTGATTCGTAACTGTGTGGTATATTTTTTCCTTTCTCTTTAATTTCAACCTATGACATTCTAGTTTTAATCCACACATATATGATGTATAGTAGATGCTAGTTTTATTATTCAGTATGATAGTTTATAATTTTTAATTGGTGAATTAAAAAATTATTTTAATTATTGTTATATTTGTCTCTCTTGCCATATGCCTTTTTTGTTTCTTTTTTCTCCTTTACTGCATATTTTCTATTGATTTTTCTGTTGCTATGAAAGTTACACATTCTATTTGTATTCTTGCATTAAATAAATCTCTCTCTCTCTCTATATATATATATGTTAATATCTTCATCCCGAATAAGACATCCTGTTTTCTCATTCCCTTTGCATTTTCTCCATGTTACTCTGTTTTCCACTATTCTTTCTAAAACAATTTTGAGTTGTTCTTTTTGTCTTTAGTGTTCTTAAATATTTTGCTATAATATATCTAGGCTCCATCTAGTATAAATCATTGAATTGTGTTTTTATTGTAGATTTTGCTTTTCTCAGTTATCTAGTATTTTTCTTGTTTTGTAGGAATAGTATGCAATAGCTACATTGGCTGGTAATGTGTAAATCAGGTTGAAAAGCCAAAACTCAAGCCTTAGTTTATACATCTCTTGGTAAATTTAGATTGTGTGGGTCAAAGGAAGATGTAACATGATGTAGAGAGTTTGTGCTCTTTCACTTTATATTTACTCCTACCCTATCCCCAGGAATTACATTCTCTAATCATTTTCTCTTAAGTGTATGTATGCTTACTTAGTCCTCATTGGTAGAGGGAGTGAAGGATAGCAGAGGGAATGCTCAGGGGCTTACTGTTTTTAATTACTTACTTACTATTTTTTCTCCTTTCTAGCTAGGCTTATTGTGCCATGTCTATGGTTGTATATGGCTGGTGTAATAATTTTTCTACCTCTACTGGTGATGGGAGTGAGGGAAGAGAAAACAATAATCTATACAGGATAGTTTGCAGACAGAAAAATAATAAAACTAAAATGTTACCCTAAACCCTTTCTCGTCTGTAGCACTTTCAAGGTTGGGCCATGGTGGGAGTGAGGGAACACAGGAGCTTGTGTTTATTTATCATCTTGCCAGGAACTAAAATTGTGCCACTCAATCTGGCACACTATTATATGCTGAGAAAGTCCTCTGGGAGCCAAGTAGGTCTTATGGTTTGTGAACCTCATATTTTTCACTTAGATTTAATTTGCTTAAGCAAACAAAGTGTATACAAATTCTGAGTTTTGAACCAGTTAAATTAGCGACTAGTTATTTATCTTGCAAAACAATTTGCCATAATATTCCTATAAATAGTAAATCTCCTTAATATATTTAAATGTCATATGATTCAAAAATTTCAACATATATTTAGTTTTGAGGAATGCAGGTATTAGAGTGCATTATGGAGAAATCTGGAAAGCAGAGCACTTTGATTCTAACTCAGCCACCAAGTAAATAAATATTTCACTTCTTCATTCTTTTCTCTGTTTCTTTATTCTTTCAATCAGTCTACCATTTGTATATTTGATCCAGTTGTGAAGCTGTGGTATCAGCTCTAAATCCACCCTTTTATTCTCTGCTTTGTTATGCTAGTGCTGGAACTCTTCATGTCCCATTTCTACTCTGCTAGCTGACTCTGTGTTAGGCTAAGCTAATATGGAATGTGAAAAAACAACTGGAAAGCTGGAGAAAGAAGAGATATGCTCTGCCTCCTCAAAGGTCTGGACCTCGTACCCCCCTTCATCCACCTGCAAGGCTTGCAGATTCCAGCATCAGTCAAGGAGCTCCTCATCCTCAGAGGTCCGAATGTCAGATTCATGTGCTTCTTCTCTAGCATCTGAGTTTAAGTAATTCTAACCTATTCCCTTTGAATGATGGCTACTTTTGCAATGATATTTTCCCTTTACCTCTGTGACACCTTAATGTTTACTTTCTACGCTTTTAATTCTTCACTATAACTCTGTTAAGATAACTAGTGTGGTTTATATCTCCTGACTGGAGTCTGACAGATAAAATATTCAACACATTTTTATTTAAAAAAATCAGATATGTATAAATATCTGCATCGTGCTGGTCACTATTAATGCTGGTCAGGTCACTCGTGCTCTTTGCACTAAGATTTTTAGTATATATTAATTGTATTTCTGAGAACTATTTTAGAGTTTTGTATTTTTGTGTATAGGGGAAAATGTTATATGAGGCAATGTGATTATACTATGAAAACAGAAATATTAGACATTCATATGGTATTCTACAGATTGAAAAGTACCTTTGTGTTCATTATACCTTGTAAAAGTACAAGGCAGCTATTATCTACATTTACAGATGACAAAACTTGATGTTCAGAATTTTCCTCAAACTTTTTTGAAACTTGTTTCTTTTCATTATCAAAAATACTTAAAATCTTTAAAGTTTTAAAATGCAAAAGCAATATAATACTAAAATCATGCCCAGCCTCAAATTCCAGAATTTTTGTTTCTTCTACAATATGGGAAAATGGAAGTCCTATATTTAAGAAAAAATATACATGAAAAAATTGTGGTAGGAGGTTGGAATAATTTTGGTGAGCCAGTGATATTTGTGTGTGTGAGAGAGTGTATGTAATTTTAAAAAAGACATTCAGGAGAAAAACCTGTAAATTTCAGCTCTAAAAAAACACCAGTCTTGATGATTACAAGAATACCATAATTTATGGTATTTCCTTTAATTCAGCGCAGTGTTAATATCATGGGCCTTTTCACAACACACAAGTACAGAATTTGACAATCACTTACTGCCCATAAAAACTTCTACTTTCTAGGCTTCCACCCAAAAACTAATTTTGGTTGTAAGTGGGTGTGACAAAACCTCTTAAGAATAAAAACAAAAAAAGAAAGAAAAAAACTTTTCCCCAAAATTATTCAGTTAAATTGCTTCTATATGGTGATGCAATAGGTTTATATCCCTGGCTTTGCTTTTTCCCTGATACATTGCTGCAAATCTCTTGGTGGGGCCCAGATTAAAAATGACATCCTTAATGCATTTTTTAAAAATTAGGACTCAGAAAAATTGCAAAGAACCATACTATTTGTTTATTGTCAAAATTTTATTTCAAAGAGACACTTTATAGTTTTAGTAGGGATAAATGCAGTTAGGAGTAAGGGTTCGGCATACTTGTAACACTGGCTTTCTTTGTTAAGCCATTTGTTAATAATGAAGATTATTCATTTAAGAACTGAATATCTCTAAACATGTCAAGTGTTTTTTTGTGTGTGTTTTCCCTAACAGGTGAATCAGGGTTTCACTGTCCCATAGAGCCTCAAAGAGTGCACTGAGGACATTTGAAACACTTTACCTCACTAGCTCTTACGAATGTAGCTTTTCAAATGACTTTGACTAAGTATGGCAAACTAAGATAGGGAGAGATACTAAGCTGTTTTCCACCTTCTTTTTTCTCAGATTATGTTCTATAAGTGATTTTTCTTTTAAATTGGCCAAAATATTTTCGATATTCTACATGAAACTGGATTTTTACTTTCCCAGTCCCCTTTGCTGTTTTGAACATTTTTCCTGCTTCATTGTTTAAGCCAGACTCTGACTTCAAAGGAGGACATTACTTTGACATAAATTACAGCATGCTAGAATGCTTAATCTTCTTGGTCTCATTTTATTGCTGTCCTGTATAAATAACACATAATAATTTTGTTTCATTAATACAGTGATCCATCTTTATTGCACTGTGCTTGTTAATGAAGATTGAAAATCAAAGTCCCTAACTATAAATTAGAACTGTTTAAACAACTACAAAAAAAATTTCAAGTTTTCAGGTATTAGATTATATTGACTTTAAAGCTTTTGTTTATTGGCTATCTATACACATAGAATTTTGAATCCTCTTTGTTTGAAAAGAATTGTGTTGTCATATGTCGGTATGCTCAGAAATACGGTATCCATTAGTTGTATTAATCAATCATAACATATTAATTTCAGATGAAAGGTCTAAGGTGAGCTTCGCTGAGCCACTAGGATTTGATTAATTCCGTTTCATGGGTCAAGAATACTTCAGACTAACCTGTTCAGCATGGAGAGTAATCAAGAGTTTGAATGGATTCCTTAGGGTTAGCATCTAAAAGAAAGAAATAAAAAGATCCCAAGAAACATTTTCTCCTTTATTTGTCTGTTACCATTGACCTTCTTTTACTTTTCTGTATGATGACAATGAACAACCTAAAGTTTCTGAAATTTACCAAACTTTCTTTTGCCTCACATTTTTTGCATATGCCTTTACCTTTGACCATGACATTCTCTCATGTCCATCTTCCTCTAGACACCTCAGTACTGTGAGTCCATCAACCTTAACTTGTTTGCAAGAGCTCTTTCAGACTTCAGCTTAGATGATATTTCCTCTGGAAAGTCTTTTCA
Source organism: Homo sapiens (assembly GCF_000001405.40). Taxonomy (NCBI): domain Eukaryota; kingdom Metazoa; phylum Chordata; class Mammalia; order Primates; family Hominidae; genus Homo; species Homo sapiens. Next base: position 106,759,872 of record NC_000001.11, on the reverse strand, counting down.
GTCCCAAGACTATGATAAGTTTCCTTCCTATGTGCTCCCATAATATCCTCTTCTTGTCCCTATTGTGATATTAATACTTATCAATATGTTTAGTTATATGTTCATTTATTTTTCTGGATTCTACCTTATAATATAGGCTTCTTGAAAGCACAGATGGAGTTTTATTCTGGGGTTATAGTCCTAGTACATATTATGATAGCTGACACGTAATAAATATTGAATATCTATTGATTGTATTGACATCAGAAACTGGGAAAAGCATGCAATATGTCTGAAATGCAGAACTGATGAGGCAGTACATTGTGATGGTTTTATGGTGGTTCAGATTGCAGGCTATGGAGCCAGATTGCTTGGGTTTGATTCTCAGCTCTGCTATGTACTTAGTCTATGACCTTGGGCAAGTTATTTTACTGCTGTGTGCCTTAGTTCCCTCATCTATAACATGAAGACAGTAAAGGGATTCTATCTCACAAATTTCATGTTAAAATAACTAGTATGTGTATACAAGACTCACTAGATCATAGCAAGTATTAGATGAGTGTTTAGTAAAAAGTAAAAGTCTAGAAAGGAACTTTAACTGTAGGATTGCCAAGTGAGGAATTGGAGACATTGTAGTTAGTAAGAGATGGAGAGGCTGAGAGTCCAAAATTCCAGACTATAATTTACAGGAAGTGGGAGATTACCTGAATGTCTGGCTACAGCCTGTGTTTCTCTTCTTCCTGCTCAGTGTTAGTTCCTAGGACATGTAGTTTTGTTACTTTATCCCTAGAGTGATATTTCTCACAAGATTGTCCTTCAGTCTTCTGAATAAGAATCACTGGATTGCCTTGGTAAAAGGTAGCTACCCAAGCATCACTACAGAATCCTTGCAGGAGGAGTCTCGGGAGCTGCATTTAAACAGCATCACCGATGTATGAAGTCTGAGAACTACACAGGGAGGTTCACAACTCTGGTCATATATCTAGAAGTATGGATGGCTAGAAGTGGTTTGAAAAAGACTTCCTTTGCATGCTTTTTATCCCCCTACTGCTTTCGGTCATAATATTTATGGCTTTTATAGCATTTCTTATTTATTACCTGTGCTTTGATGTTTGCAAAAAATATAAGATATAATTTTTACTTCAGGTAGTTTATGGTATAGTAAGTTGAGAGATTGGTGTCAAACGTATTAATAAAACTGTGTAAAATTTAGAAACTTAGGTTTTCATATTGACTTTAAATTCATACAGTGTAAAAGAGAAGGGCTATGTAGGCTGGAGTAGTCTGGGAAGATTTTGGAAAGTGCTTCAGCCATTAAACATGAATAGGGATTGGCTGGGCAGGAAGGGGTGGGAATACACTTGAGCAGGAGTAAGAATGTGAGCAAAGGAATAAAGATGGGCCAGAGGATGTAACACTTTGGGAAGAGTAGAGAGCCCAGACTCTGATCTTTCATGTTAAGGAGTAGAAAGAGTGGGAGTCAAAACAAACAGCATCATCTCCAATTATTTCTGATACTCTTAAAAACAAACAAACAAACAAAACATAAGGGAAGACAGAATTTGACTAGATTATAAAGAATCATAAGAAAGTCTTTTTTTAGGGATTGAAAATAAGACCTGGAATCTAGGCCGATTATGACAGTGGGATAAACCCTCCACTTCCTCTAACATAAATGTAGAATGCTTTCCTGGAGTATGTCTAAGCTAGTTGGAAAAATAAGCGTTAGTAATTGAATAAAAACAAATAACCTAAATCAGTGCAAATTACAGGAAGAGCCAGTTGCTGGTAGATTGTGGCTCTATTGATTCCTGATGAAAGGAATACAAATTGATATTTCTTAGATATGTTTGTGTTTGTTCATTCATGTGTGTGGCTGCAGGAAGAAAAGGAGCTGGTTTGAGAAAAGACTTGAGATCAAACAGAGAAATCATAGTAGTGGTTTTACGTATCAAAATGATGGAAGGAGAGAGAGAGAAACTGATAAAGCTGGTAGAATCCAGGTTTAGCTAATGGAGAATGGAAAGGTTAGGATAATCAGCTGCTAGGAACAGTATTTAAAATAATGATAGGAGAAATAAAAGGAGAAAAAGAATAAAGAGATTCCTTCTTCCTCTTTTGAAATTTGCTCTACTCACCTTTTATGTTAGAGTGTAAAATTTCTCATCCATTCAACAAGTCTAAAAATATATCTACTATTAAGATGATAAACTTGGCTCAGACAGTTTAGTCAATTTGCCCAAAAGCAAGGTTTCTGAGGGAACATGTGCACTGAGGTCTATCCTATTGTGAAGGTCTCCTATTTTCTAGTCATGCACTGGCATTAAATAACCTGAAATAACTTTGATTATCATTATTTTTGCATTTTCTTAAGCTAAAGGCCTCTTGTCTTCTTTTGTACTTGCTTGGTTCATTTCTTCAATTTTCACTATTCTCTTGCATTCTAATTTTTTTTTGCTTGGATCTTGGAATTTCTACTTTGTTCTGACACTCTGCCACCTCTCTCTCCACACCAGTAACAAGCCATTTTTCTGACAGGTGGCCAGAGACATCCTTCAAAAAGACAAATTTGATCATATCATTTTCTGAAGAAAAATCCTTTAGTGGCCCTTAGGGATTGGGAAATGTCAGCCTTTGGCTAATTCTTTACACTCATGTCCAGTTACCCCTATTTTTATATGATCCAGCCTTGCTCACTTTTTTCTTTTCTTCTTTTTTTCTTTCACTGACTCAGATAACTCAAGACTTTTATATTAGTTTTCTAAAACTGCCATAACAAATGATCACAAACTTAGTGGCTCAAAATGTTAGAAGTAGATTTTTTTTTTTTCTAATCTGGAAGACAGATATATCCAAAGTCAAGGTATCAGCAGGGCTGTATCCTTCTAGGGGTTCTCTCTGAGGGAGATTGCATTCCACCCCTTAACTCCCAGCATCTGGTGCTTGCAGGCAATCTTCGGCATTCCTTGGCTCTTATAGGCATCATTTAAATTCCTGCCTTAGTCTTCCTGTGGCCTTCTTCCCTGTGTGTGTCTGTGTTTTTTCCTCTTCTGTCTTGTATTAGGATATTTATCATTATATTGAGGGCTCACTCTAATTTAGGATTATCTCATCTCAAAATCCTCACCTAGTTTATCTGCAAAATACCCTTATACCAAATAAGCAAATATGCTGAACTTCCAAGTGAACGTATCTTTTGTAAGGACACAGTTTGACCTACGCTCTCTGTCCTCTGGCACCAGAAACTTTATAACCATTCCACATGCAAAATACATTCACTTCGTCTCAATATATTCAAAAGTCTCAGTCCACTATAGCATTAACTATAAGTTCCAAATCGCATCAGAATATTATAAACACAAAAAGTCCCAAATCTCATCACTGAAATAATCTACATCAGATATCGGTGAGACTATAGGGATGATCCATCCAAACATAAAATTCCTCTTCATCTGTGAGCCTGTAAAACTTGAAAACAAGTTACCTGCTTACAAAATACAATGATGATGTAGGCATGAGATAGATATTCCCATTCCAAAAGACAGGAAATGGAAGGAATAAAGGGGTCACTAGTTCTAAACAAGTGTGAAATACAGGAGGGCAAATTCTGTTAGATTGGAAGGCCTGAGAATAATGATTTGCCTCACCGTTCTGCCTCCTGCACTCTAAGTGGCAGCTTCCTCACCCTCCATGCCCTTGCTGGCAGCTCCATTGCCCTCTGAATCATTCTTCCTTTTTCTTGAACAAGAGCAGATGTTTGCAGTCAGGTAGCTCTATCAGCATGTTTTGTGCCTGCAGAATTTTGGAAGTCTGATAACCTTCCATCATTTCATCTGGTCTCTGTTTCTTTTGTCCAGGCTGACAGTGTTCTGCTGGTATCACATTTTCAGAAACCTTATAGGCTTCCCCTCTATATCAAGGTGATTCATGCCATTGGACAAAAGGATTCTCCACAGGTCTTTCCTAGATAATTCCATAACTACACCTGGCTTTTGTCCAGAAGGTTGAGTGGACTCATGAGTCACAAATATAATCTCTTCAGCAAAAGTTTGTTTAGCCACACACTTGGACTTTTCTCAGGAATGTAGTTTCTCAACCATGATTTTCTTAATTTTAACATCCTTTGCAATCTGGATAGGCTAAGAATCTCCCAAACCATCAAGTGCTTATTTCTCTCTACTTAACAGTTCCTTCCTCAATTTATCTCCTTCCTCTTGCATTCACCTAAAAGCAGTAAGAAGAAACCAGCCTACACCTTCTACGCTTTTCTTGGAAATATCCTCAGATGAATATTCAAGTTCATTGCTTACATGTTCTGCTTTTCACCTACCTGTAGAATACAATTCCATCATGTTTTCTGCTACTTTATAGCAAGAATTTACTCTTCTCCAGTTTCCAGTAACTTTATTCATTATCTTCTAAATGCTTACCTTTAACATTCATATTCTCACCAAAAATCTCTTCAAAGTAAGATTTTTCTATCCTGTTCCTCAAAAATTTTTCAGCCTTTATTCATTCCTCCATTCCAAAGCCACTTCTACATTTTAAAGTATTTGTTACAGTAATACCTCACTTCCTAGAGCAAAAAGTTATATCAGTCAGCGTTTTATTATGTTTATATTAGATATAGATATAGATTATATATAGAGAGAGGCTTATGGGGAAATAGAGGAATCATAATGTGTGTATATGTTTACATGTGTATCTGTGTGTACATATATATGATTTATTGCAAGGAATTGGCTTATGCAATTGTGGGGTCTGGCAAGCATTACATAGAGCAGCCCAAGGGCTGAACTGTCAGGCAAGAGTTGAAGCTGCAGTCCAGAGATGGAATTTCTTCTTCCTCAGGGAAACCTCAGCTTTTGTCTTAATGCCTTTCAACTAATTGAATGAGACCCATCCATGTTATCAAAGAAAATTTTCTTAAAGCCAACTGGTGGTAGACGTTAACGACATCTATAAACACCCTCACAGCAATGCTTAGATTAGTGTTTAATTAAATAACAGGATACTATAACCTAGCCAGGTTGACACACACAACTAACCATCCAAACATTGAATATATTTTTTCAGCTACCTGAATCTGCTCTATTCCAGCTGACTTGTATTCATACTTTAGGTTGCAGCACTAATATCATCTCTCTCTTGGAAGATAGCTTACTCTGAGCCCCAGACTAAGTTCACTCCCTGTTAAATGTCCCCAACAGTATCCTGTACCTCGGTATATCATACTTTTTACTATTTAGTCAATATCTAAGTCACCTGCTGGACTGCAAATTTCATGAATTTCCATGAGTCTGTGTTGTTCCCCACATAGTTGGCACTCAATAAAGTCTGTTGAGTGAGAAAGTGAATAAATCACAGGTTAGGCTGATCCAGATGGCAGATTCTCTCCGTCCACAGCTCTGGGATTTAGGGCCAGCACTTGCTATTTTAATAGGAGCTGAAAAAAAATTAAGAAAAGCATTTTCTTCCTCAATCTTACTTGGCTTTTAAGAACATTGTGTCTAGGGACTAAATAAAATAAAACGAAATCTTAAAAGCAAGATTTAACAGTTAAAGTTGAGCAATAGTTTCCATTTCTACTCAGTATCTACCCTTCCCTAAGAGTACAGAAAACCACTGGGACAATGAGTGGGGAGCTCCAGGATAACAAGAATTTTAGGATTTGACATTAAATCTGAAAACAAGTTTTGAAACATGTTTGAAGAATGGGCTTTGAAGTGATATAGACAGGGATTCGTGTCTTGATTACAACATTTATCATCAAGTAATCTTGACCAAATTACTTTCTTAAGCCTCCATCTCTTTACAATGTTAGTCAAGAAATTTCAGTAGACTCAGTCTGTTGGAACTGAATTATATTTGAGGTGATATCTATTTCAACAGAAGTAAAGGAGACAAACCTAGGTGCCAAAGGAAAGGGCCTCTATTTTTCCAGGACCTAGGCTGCAGAAGAGAATGAAGGTGTTCAACATTTGCCTATACATGGAAGAACAATAATCCAGTGGGGAAGCGGACACTCCACTGTTGATAATGGAAAATAGTAAAATACTGTTAAACACCATTTGCTGAACATGTTCTTTGGGCCAGGCAAAATTTACATACTACAATCTGATGTGCAAAACACTGTATTTTCTTCAGTTTCATTTAGAGAAAATAGAGCAAATTAATTGGGATAGTTATGCTTATACAACTTAAATCCCACTTATAATCTTCATTTGTAAAATAAATACAGTAATACTGTATAATAATGCTCTACTGACAGTCCAGAGCTTGTTGGAAAAATCAGAATAAAAATGAGATAATATGTTTGAAATTGGTTTGTACACTGTGAAGAAAATAAAAGGTATGATTATTAAGGAGCGTGTATCTACGTGCTTCAACAACTGAACAAATTTGTACTTAAAAAACAAATCACTCAAACTGGTTGTTATTTGGCATCATGTGGACAAAACAATTGTTGATTTGACAATCCTTCACATTTTAACTGGTTGTCATGGCATCGTGTTGACTGAAAAGAAAAGTGATTCTCTCTCCTCCACATTTTTCAGATTCCATGAAACATTAAATAAAGAGATCTGAAAATAGAGGACAGTTTTAAAGTCTCCACTTGAGGCTTAGTCATAGGATAAATTTTAGAACATGTCTTTTGTTGTGTCCTGAATAAGCTGATATTGAACATGCCCCATGCTGTTTGTCTTTTGGAGATGCCCTAATTTAGACTCTGCTTTTGACCTTCTGGACAGATGTAGGAAAGGAATGGCATGCAACTGGCCAAAAAAATGAACAATGGTGGTTTCTCTTTTAGTTATCAAGAATATAAATCAAGAATGATATAATGTTATAATTGAAAATGCCTTTAAAACATTATTTATGCTAGCTTTTCCAAAGATCACATTTCAATTTAATGTAAGAGTTAGGTCTGTAATCCTGGTATTCTGATGCCAAGTTAAGTATTCCCCACTCTCACTTCTTGCCCTCAACTGTGCTGCACTGTAAAATAAATGGAAATTGTGTTGGCTTTAATCTTCCTTCCCTTTGATTTGGATCCTATATAAAAATAGCCTGTAAAGTCTTTATAATTCTTAATAACCTCACACATGTTTTGTTTAGATAAATTTGGCAGAAGACGGCATGCACCTTCCCCATTTCTCAAAATGCTGGATGACCTGTGGTTTCAGTCTGCCTACTATGGACACAGTTGGGGTTGTGCCTCATCCACCGTTGTACCCTTTGACAAGTTCTTAAGAAAACTTCTTAGTACATTAAACAAAGAGACAGAAGGTAAGGCCTGCTGTATGCCTATCTAATGATAGGAAGGCTAATCAGTCCCCATTTCAGAGCCCATTTATCTAGGTCAGTTATTCCGAGTGGATGGATCACTTCGCTGCCAAAAGTACTTATTTTCCTTTTACCCAACATTTTCCAGAGGCAATCAGGACATGAGTCTTAATCTTTGTTAACAGAAGGAGGCATGAACCTAATTTAAACGTTGCAGTAGTAACCAGTAGACCTATATAGCTAAACAAAACAAAACAAAAATAACCTTGATATTAAACCAACCAACTCAGTATTATGAAAATAGCCAAATGGCTCTCTGTATATTTTGATGTGAGAAGGGCTGCAAAACCACTTGAATCATAGAAGTTTCAACTAAAACCAGAAATATAATTTTAATTACTGGCCATATTATGGGCTTGAGGAAATGAGGGTTCATTGAAGCTTAAACTTGAAGTTGAAAAATGGCTACCATGTTATCCATTATATAGACAATTGACCATCTTTTATCACCACTGATTAAAGTCCATTTAATATCACCAGTGTAGTTATGTGTTTTCATGAAATTATATTTGCAGAGCATTTTACAGCATACTCCTGTCCCCCAGTCCTTACTAATTACATATATGTGTTTTAAAAGTGCTTGTGGATGTTATCTCAAAAGATATTTTTATTAAAATATGGGAGAAGTTTCAGGGACTTAAATGGATTGTCTAAAGCTACATAGCTAGTATATAAGGAGACCAGACTTTCTGATTGAAGAGCTATTTCCAACATGTTACACTGCTTCTAGTAGAGCTAGTCCTGGACAACTCATGTTTTGTTTGTTTGTTTTCCTTACCAGACACTGCATTGCTTCTTCCATCTGATGTAGCATAACTCCTGATTTCATTTTCTTTCTGTGTTCTACTGACTAAGTATTCTTTCATAGTGGCCACACAACTACATAGCTTACGTAAATAAATTTTAACTTTTTAAAGGATTCCTTCCAGAGTGCACCTTGTAAAAGTAATGTATATGTTAGCTTATGGACACTTCATGGCTGGATTTAAAACATTTTTCAGAGAATCAGTGTTTAAAACATAAGCTTATTTGTCAATATTATGCATAGGATGAAGTAAAGGCTTCTGGTATAGTCCTGGGCAACCTGGAAGCTCTAGAGCTGGCATCAGCTAGAATCTAGAATGAAGAAATTAACCTTATTTTTCTTCCTGGTGTCTATGTTTAGGAGAATTAAGGTTGTTTCCCTTTGTAGAGAGTATATTCTCCACAAAGACAAACATTGAATATGTGATTAGAGTGTGAATTTCACAAAAGGGCAACTGTAGGGAGCATTCTACACTGCGTTTGGCCCACTTATTCTGAAAGGCTCATAGCTCCTCTTTCCCATTGCAATGCTATGCATATTTCATGCAGATACCCACAGCCTGTTGTAATGTGTTGGAAAGGCCCAATAGATCATAGCTACTGTTTATAGTGCCTATTCTCATTGATGTTAATCTATTTCCTGTTTTTAAACCGCAATTTCTCTAACTCTTATTGGACAACAAAATAGTTTGGGGGAATGGTTTGGATTTATTAAACCTAGTTAAAAATCTCCATTTTGCCATTTACTAGCTACGTGACCTTGGGTGAGTTACTTTACATGTCAAAGGCTAGTCTCTTAACATGTAAATTTAAGTGGAGATTGATGACTTCACTTCGTATTAATATGGGGATTGTGTGAAATATTGTACATGAGAATGCTTTCATATAAATTGCTTTATAGCAAGTTTCAGAATGTCTCAAGAAAGGAGGTTACAGAGCTTGTGTACAGTTCCCAGTGTTTTTATTTCTGATCTCTCTTTGTTCTTTGTCAATAGTAAAGTTATATTCCATGCTTGTCATAGTACAAAGGACTTGGGAATCTTTTAAAATACAACCTTAGACAGAGATACTACACAGCAAAAATAATGGTTTCAGAGGAAATGAGGCTAGAAACTCTGAAAATCTGATGCCTAGCATTAAACAGAATATGGAAAATTCATACTACCTGTTGAATCATTAGTAGGGGAAAAGGGGAAAGAATATTCTGAATTCTCACTTTAAATTCTTGGGCGAACTGGGGGAAAAGAGAACTATGGAGGCAGGCTTCCGAGAAACTGGAAGGAAAAAGTTGTTGGGCCAACATCAGAAATGAAATGCAGATCTTGAACTGGACTCTTCTTCTCCTTTAGCATTTCTTGTTTTGAGTGGCATTTGACCAAATGAACTGAAAAATCAAATCTGTGGTGTGATGTGGCTATGATGGAGACAAATGTCCATTGAAACACGTGGGACCTAAAATGAAAGTAAGGGGATATAGAATTAATCCAATATATCACCACTCTCCCATATGTCAGCTTTAAAGATTTGGTCTCTCAGAAACTAAAGAAGTGAGAGGCTAGTGAATTAATCCAATACATCATCACAAGATCCTTTGGTATCTATCTTCAAATTCTGATCTCTAAAGGTACAGGGGACAAGTCTAGTCATGTTAGAGTATTTATGGATTTTGCAAGTTTCCCTTTAGCTTATTCATTGGAAGTTTTGCATAAAAGATAAAAGCATAGACTAAATCAACAGCAGCATTAATTGGAATCATAAACTAAAAATAGGAAAAATTTAAACAAAAACTAGGAAAAGCTCCATTCCCATATTATAAGAATAAATTCTAACCCAATTATTTTCTCCTACTCAATTCAGTTACCGTTTTGTGTCCTTGGGATGATAATGAGAATTTTACTTTCCTTTTTTTGGTGGCTCTGCCTGTCAAAGAAGAGCCCCATGGGAGCAGAAAGTATTATGTCTTATATTTGTGCCTACAACCTGTATTTACTCCTGATGAGGCTGCTGTGTATGGCTCTGCTTTCCATTTAAAACTTAATTTCTCATTAAATAGTTTCTGTTTTTAATCAGCCGGTCAGCAGGCCATAATAGCTAATCTTGTAAAAGGGTTAAGTTTTTATCTGATTCACATTTATTTGAATCTCACAATTCAAATAAGAGAGAAAAACATATCCAACTTTTCTTAGGCTGGAGACACTGAGTGGGATATGAGATGTTACATAGTCATGAGACAGTTGCTCTGAATAATAAGTGAAAACCATAAAACCTACAATATTTTGGCTTGAATAATAGATCATTAGGTAGTTATAAAAGAAAGGATCTTGATGATAGATTTAAACAGGACTCCAAAAATATATAGATAATTCCCCTGTGAGAAGCTAAAGCTTCCTTTCTTCATACATGTAATCCTAAGAACAATATTTTGTTTTAATTTAAACCTAAAATTACAAAACTAAGCCATGCCTGATGCTGGAAAAGGCAACTATTTTCACAAATGCAGTTACACCATCTTGGCTTGAGAGTTTTGCAAATATTCATTTGGAAGCTGAGGTTATTAGCCTTTACTCCTGGTACCAGAATGACAGCATAAATCCTCGGACCAATGTACACTGTAGTACATTCATTAAGATACCCCCAGATTTTTGGATTGCCTAGTTATTAGGTGACAATGCTATGACATTTTGTGTCAAGGGGCAGTGGCAGCTGTCACAAAGAACAGCAGGTGGTCATGCAATTGCTGTATCTCTACTTTAACTTTTCACAGCTCTTTCAGTTAGGAGTGAACAGTAGCAAATGGGACACCCACGTTACTCTCATTTATTTAACAAATTTGAAAGGTATATTGAGGTGAATTACTATCTCTTGTCAAAGCGGTCTAATGGCTGCTACAGTTACCTTTAAGAGGGTAGTAGTCAGTGGCCTAAGGGATTGAGTGGAAACCACATTGGTTTTAGTGGTAAAAGATATTTGCCAAGAAAGAAAGGGCAGAGAAGAATTCATGGTGATCCTTTGTCTAGGACTTAAAGTGCTATAAAACATTCTTATAACTCAGCTGGCAATCACATAGGGGAGAAAATAGAACTGTTTGGTTTTCCTTGAGTGGTAACCTAAGGTAAATTATATTTTAACAAGGGCTATTTGGGATTGGATGCAATTGTATAAACCCATGAGAATTTTTATTTGTTTTACTTTACTTTTGGATGGCTGTCCAATTCCTACTTTAAGTCCTTAAGACTCAGAATACTATTTCTTTAATCACTAGCTTAGCACAGTTTTCTGTGCAAATTTTGAGTACCGGGCCACTGGCATTTCCTAATTCAGAAGCAGATATTTTTTTGAATGTGGTCTTGAATGCTTTGTCTTCTCCTTCAATTTCTCATGAGGTTGGAAAACATTTATTACATTTTCTTCTAATTTATTAGAATCATTTACTTGGAATATTTAGATATTCGGAGATACTTTCAGGTATTCACAGACTATCTCCAAATTTTGCATCAAAATTTACAACGTCCCCTAGGTCAGTGATCCCTAACCTTTTTGGCACCAGGGATCGGTTTTGCGGAAGACAATTTTTCTTCCAGAGGAGGTGGGGGGTGATCATCAGGCATATTAGATCATCAGACGTTAGACTCTCATAAGAAGCGCGCAAGTTAGATCCCTCGCATGCGCAGTTCACAATAGGGTTCGTGCTCCTATGAGAATCTAATGCCCTGGCTGATCCGACAGGAGGCGGAGCTCAGGCAGTGATGCTCCCTTGCCTGCCACTCATCTCCTGCTGTGTGGCCTGGTTACTAAAAAGGCCAGGTATGGCCCGGGGGCGGCGGCTCACGCCTGCAATCCCAGCACTTTGGGAGGCCAAGGCGGGAGGAGCACCTGAGGTCAAGAGTTGGAGACCATCCTGGCCAACATGGTGAAACCCCGTCTCTACTTTAAAAATACAAAAATTAGCCAGGCGTGGTAGTATGTGGCTGTAATCCCAGCTACTTGGGAGGTTGAGGCAAGAGAATCTCTTGAACTCAGGAGGCAGAGGTTGCAGTGAGTGGAGATCGCGCACGGCACTCCAGCCTGGGCGACAAGAGCGAGACCCTGCCTCGAAAAAAAAGAAAAAAAAGGCCAAGTATGGTAATTGTCCGCGGCCTGTGGAAGCAGAAAGGAAATTATCTTAAGATTCTGAGTTTCTTTTTTTTCTGCTGAGAACTAGCTGTTCCTTTGAAAATCACTTCATTCTCCTCAGTAAACTTGGCTGCATTCTCTTTCTGCTAGAATATTCTGTAACCATTTGAGTAGTGAGTGTAATGGGGTCAGGAACTAAGAGATTGAATCAGACCAAAAGCATTCTTCAAAAACCTACTATGTGCCAGGACTCTCTAGGTTAGTCAGTGTTACCACAAAGAGGGAAGATTCTGTTTTATCTCCAAGAACAGTTAAACGCTTATCTTTAATTTAAGTGCTGGATTGAGTGATTCAAGGTGTAGACAATACAGAGGCTCAGAGAAGGAAAAGACTGAAAATACTCAAGACCAGAATCATTTGCTTGAAATTAGTAACCTTAGCGTTTATTTACAGCCTTAGAAAAGTCCAAATAATGAAGTCAAATTGGTAACAAGATGAAAAAGCTGACACAAGTACTCCGTGTTCACATGAAAATAGTAGACTAAATAGTAGGTTGCTCTGATCCAGCTGTGACATTGAAAAATGTCACTTTTACTTGTTAAGTATTATTGCCTCTGAATTCTTTTCTATGTAAAACTCGAAGGTCACCTGACACCGTCAGGCAATTACTTCCTCTTTCATTGTGCATGTCAATGGCTGATAAAGTACACATCATTACAGTTTAGGAATGCTCTATTCTTTTCCTTTTACACTGGCACCTCCTTGGTGATATGCATGATTTGGCTGGGGTAGAGAAAGTTAGTAGGAGTAATCACACAGTTGCATGCTGTGAAGAAGAGTGAGCTTTATTTACAGCACAGCACTCTGATTTGGCTTTAAGAGAATTACATCAACTAAAAATTATACATAATAGACTTGGCAGAAACACAAGCTGGTGGTCAGGCCTGATTATATCAAATAGAAACACTTGGAAAGTAATGTTTCCAGGCTCTTACTCAGATTTATAACAGGTGTCCACAGGACAGTAATCCTCATAGATCCTTAAATGCTTTCTAAATGCTAAGGTTTTGAGCTAGAGATATCCTGTGGCTGCTTGACAAAAAGCCTTATGCTAATTAAGATCTATCCAAGTCTCCTGATCTAAGATAAGTCAGAGCCTAAAAGGAAATCATGTTGGGAATTGATTCTCTCACTGTGATATAGTTGCCATAAATTTTGGAGGAATTTTCAGGCTACAGATATAAATCAACTTACAGAAAAAATTTAAAAATAATATTAGCCAGAAAAAAATAGACATTGAAAAAAGTCACTGATAATAAATAATTAGTATATATAATCATTAGTATTGTTTGGGTTAAATTTGCCATTGTTTTCCTCAAAATAATATGCTTAGGGCTTAATGTAATTGCTTTCAAAGGACTGGTTTGTATGAGTGGCTATAACATATGAGCCTTTGTTCTAGCAAATAAATTCTAAGAAAAATAATAATTTGTCTGCTTGATTGTTTTTTGTTCTAGATTGTGAGTTTGATAATGGCAAAGAGTGTCAATTATTTCCACGTATATTGACAGTACCTAGCACAATTCCTGTCTCATATTATATACTCAGAAAATGTTGGGTGACAATGCTGAACAAAAATATTTTCAATTGTGAGTTTTCTTAGGAATAACAAGAACATTAAGGAAAGCAAACAAAAAATGGATAGGGACTAGAAATTGTTAAGGCATTTAGTTGTCTGAGCAAAACAAGACCTATATTCCATCAGATCCATTTTTAAGTAAACTAGAAATGTAAAATAAAGTAGCAGAGTTCTTGAGTTAATGCAGTAATTCTTCTGTTTTCTTTACATAGCAATAAGCAGATTTTCAAGACTTATTTAGATATGATCTTGGATTTGTTTTGGATTTATCATTTGAGCAAGTTCTGCCACCTCGACTTCTGCATTTAGACTCTAGGAAATCATTTTGCCATATGGTCAGAACTTTTTTGAGTTGGTCAATAACAACCTGAAAGGTCAATAATAATGAAAATAAATTTGCAACTGTTGAGAAGAACTCTTTCATAAGAAAAAATGTAGCCAGGGATAGGCAGTTGATGTAATCATGTATGACAAGAAGTGTTCAATGTAATTATTCTAGCAGAAAGAAAAATAGTTTATTAAATTTGCTTTGAATTTTACATTTGAGGATCTCAGAGATATTTAGTCTTGTCTGAAATATGTTCTAACCTATGAGGACATACTAAATTCAATGACTAAACTACATATACATCTTTAAATTGATAGAGTTAATTTTCATTTTCAGATCATGATATATAGTATATATAAACTTCTCAGCTATAATATGAAATATGGTATAATATGGAAATGTAAAACATATACTTGGGGAGTGGGACTGTATGTTTTCTGTCTAAATATTCTGCTTTTTAACATCAGGATTGTAATTTTACAAATTATTTGAATGACCAAGAAGCCAGCCCTGCCTATTAGGTAGGTGTATTATAAACATTTTGTAGATGAGCAGCAGAGGGTAATATATTGCAAAATTCACACAAGTAGTAAATGGCAGAGAGAGAATTTGAACTCTGGCATTGGACTTGGAGATTTCTGTTTTTAAATGAAACATTATATAAGTAGAAAAAAATGCTAAAGTTCAGTTTAATGACCACCATCCCAATCCCAGTCTACTTCTCCTTGATTTTCCTCAAAGGTAATTAGTGACCTCTCCGTGTGTTGCTTATTCTTCTAGACCTTTCACTGTGTCTTTGCATATGTATATATGTACTCTTAGAGAATATTTAGTGTCAGGTCCAGGATACTAAATTTTATAGTCTTAATATATAAGTGATGTAATACAGTTTTTGTCATTTTGAAACAACTTTAAATTCAACCATATGTTTCAGAGACACTTCAATTTTAACATATTTAGTTCTACCTCTTCTTTCTAACATGTGCATAGTGTTCTGCAGTGTGACCATATTTCCTTTATTTTAACCATTTCTTTCTGTGATGGTTAATGCTGAGTGTCAACTTGATTGGATTGAAGGATACAAAGTATTGGATCCTCTGTGTGTTTGCCAGAGTGTTGCCAAAAGAGATTAACATTTGAGTCAGTGGGCTAGGGAAAGTAGATCTACCCTTAATCTGGTGGGCACATTCTAATCAGCTGCCAGCAAATATAACGCAAGCAGGAAAACATGAAAAGTAGAGACTAGCCTAGCCTCTCATCTTACATCTTTCTCTCATGCTGGGTGCTTCCCGCCCTTGAATATCAGACTCCAAGTTCTTCCTTTTTGGGACTCAGACTGGCTCTCCTCCTTGCAGAAAGCCTATTGTGGGACCTTGTGATCGTGTAAGTTAAACTCCTACATATATCTGATTAGTTCTGTTCCTCTAGAAAACCCTGAGTAATACACTGTCTTATGAACAATAAGGTTATTTTGGTTTGGGAGAGAAAAGATGCATATTTATGGTAATAACTTGATTTCTATTAATTTCTCAATTTTTAACTATAATTGGACATTGATATTATTACTTGCTCTTCCATGTATCCATGTATCTATAGTTTTGTTTTCAAAATTGTTTTATAAATATTGAGTGATAGTCTTATTACATCAGTTCAACTTATCATGTATTTATTGAATATTTGCTATGAAGAATACTCTGGTTTAAGTATCATGAAAACTAAAATAGATATTTTATCTAAAAGCCTATGTTATAGTGAGAGTAAAAGACATTAATATAAAAAATATGAAAAATTAATATGTGACCTAAGTTATAGAAAAAAAGCAACATTCAACTGGATTGTGGGGGAGAAAAAGAATACTCTAAGGGAGCTGTGAAATGCTTCTTGAGAGAGATGAAAATCTGAGACACACATTAGTTAGAATAAAGGAGGGAAGAGATTAATGGATTGGTCTAATTCCTTCTTGTATGAAGTAGGCTTGGGTGGTTTGTTCAGGCTGTCATTCTAGAG
This sequence comes from Homo sapiens, assembly GCF_000001405.40. Taxonomy (NCBI): domain Eukaryota; kingdom Metazoa; phylum Chordata; class Mammalia; order Primates; family Hominidae; genus Homo; species Homo sapiens. Next base: position 106,743,655 of record NC_000001.11, on the reverse strand, counting down.
CTGATGGGTCCTTCTGGTATGAGGATCTTTCTAGAGTGTTACTAATGAATCTAAAAGCCCTTGTTATATGTCAGAACTGTATTGGAAAATCAAACATGCAGTCATAGTAAAGTGTCAGTCCAAGGAATCCTCAGATAAGCAAAAGGCAGCTTTGATGTAGTGCTTTACCAAGTGAGGGGCACACCGGAATGCAGGATAGGAATTCTGGAAGATGAATATAAGTCAGTGTCTGGGGAAATATCATAATACACTAGAACTCAGAATCTGGTGTCTCTTTATGGGGTATTTCTAGCTGCACCATAGATAGAAGGAGGGATTTTATTTTATTTTATTTTTTTGAGACATGGAGTATAGTGGCATGAACATGTCTTACTGTAACCTCAACTCCCTAGGCTCAAGCAATTCTCCCACCTCAGCCTCCCAAGTAGCTGGGACTAGAGGCACATACCACCAGGCCTGGCTAATTTTTAAATTTTTTTGTAGAAATGGAGTCTTACCATGTTGCCCAGGCTTGTTTCAAACTCCCGGGCTCAAGTGATCCTCCTGCCTCAGCATCCCAAAATGCTGGGATTACAGGTGTAAGCCACCGTACCCAGCCAGAAGGAAGAATTTTAAGGTCAAACCAAGGTTGTGGATTGGGGAAATTCAGAGGTTTTCATCAAGCAAGTGATATGTTTTAGGATGTATTTTGGGGTGATGCATGAAGGGAAGAAGATGTACAGGAGGTATAGGCGATCGTGAGGATGCTGGAAATGTGGATTACAGCACATTGTGACCAAATGCTAAGGTCAGTCAGGTTCTGATTTGAATAATAAATGATGAAGTATTAAATCTTTTCTTCCATGAGGAGACACATGATCAACTCTCTTCTTAAAATAATTCTCTTGCAGGACCTGTGGTTGGACTAAAGGAGGAAAGATTGGAGAGAATAACAGTTATGAGACTCTTAAAATAGACAAGGTGGTGGTACTGTAGTCTTAGGTAACAATAGTGGAATGGAAAAGAAGACTAAACAAATTTGAGAGACACTACAGAAATTGACACCTTCGGATGATTTTTCAACTGATTTGATATAGGATGAGGGAAAGGAAAGAAGTCAAAGATGGTATTAACAACCATAGTTCAACTATTATTTAGTTAGCTATGTGCAGGTCATGTATCCGTATACTTATATATTTAATTTATATTCATATTTTAATTTATTTATATATCATTACTACAAGTGCTTTTTTATTCTGAAGGAAACTGAGACCTTTTTTATTCTGAAGGAAAAAGAGGTAAAGTAACTTGCTGAAGGTCAAGATCAAAGTCCCTGGCCCATGTAACAGTATTAATTTAATCATGACCACCTGAGGCCACATGTTAATATTGAACATCTATTCACGAAGACAGCAAAATTTTGTGGAATATTTTCGTATTTAATAATTTGAGTTTATAAATTTCTTTTATTACTGTTGCAATAGCATATGCATGTAATATACAAGAATGAAACTTTTATGTCTTATATATTCTTATGTCTTAAAATGTTTTTCAAGAATCATAGCCACTAAGTTTCAAGAATATAATAGAATATAAGTCTTACAATCAATAGAGTACTAAAAAGAGACTAACTGACAATCTTTCTGATTTATTGTTTTCTTGATGCTTGAAACACTTTATGTCAGCTTTTTCAAAGAAATGGAAAAATAACAATAATGTAATCTCCTAAATTCCCTTCAGTCTTTCAAAATGAAAGTCCAGTTCCAGATAATGAAGTTGTGCATGGTGGGTTTTAAATTCTATTCAAAATGGTTACATTAATTTGCATTTATTTATTCCAACAAAGAAGAAGGATTCCTGGATAATTGAAATCCATAGATAATCAAAAAACTGCAGTTAGCAATATTTCTCAACTTCAACCCATACCAAATTTATTTATTGGCATTATAATCAAATAACAAAAGCATCTCATTTAAACTTCACTTCCTCTGCCTTTTATTCTCACTTAATGGGAAGGAAAATGCCTAAATTAATAAAGAGCAGAAAGTAAAAGGTGCCCGGTTACTATCCCGTGGAAAGTCAGAACCCAGATAGCTGAAGCATTTATATATGTAAAACAATGATAAAACCAAAAAGTTTTAAGTATAGTGGTTAAGGAAATTTTGAACACTTTGAAATTAGAGAAATGAATTTTAATTAGTTTTTATTATCAAGTAGAGGCTGAACTTGATAATTCTTTGAACTAAAAAAATTGTCATATTGGCCTTTCTGCTGCTTTTTATTAAGTAATAGGGTCTCATGAACAGAGTGGTAGGTGTATAACCTGTCACTTATTATTTGGTAAATTTCTTAACATATCTACATTTCAATGTGGTATCACAAGGTAATGAAATCTATAGCAAGTTGGCAAATATACATTATGCCTTGTTCAACCAATTAAGAGTTCCAAGGTACATTTACAATACTGAGTTTGTTGCGTATTGTGTTTTAGTAACTCCAATATTTCATTTAATCATACAATATGTATTTACCGATAACCTAATCTATTCCTGGGAGTAAAATAATGAATAATAAAGTCCTCGGTGACCCTTCTAAAACTGATATGTGGTCGGTCTCATGAGGTGAATAAACACAGGGTGCTAAAGCTCTAGGTCAATGAAAGATTCCAGAGGAGATGTCCTATAAGATCAATTAGGAAGTAATGTGGTTAAAACGTATTGGCATAATGAATGTGAGTATTCAAAATTATTCATACACTGTTTATTTGTTTATCACAGAAAATATTTTAAAGTGAAAATATAGCTATCTTAACACAAATTCAGATAGTAATGATCTCCTTTGATAGAAGCATGGGTGGAGACCTGGAGGCTTTTCTTTTCAGCTTTCCATCCTTCTTTCCCTCCATTTATTCCCTAGATAGAAATGAATTTGACTGGGGGTAGATGGTGCTAAAGTCACCACCAACTTGATAATCAGAGCTAACGCTAGATAAGATTTGTCTTTAATTTCCTATCACCTGCTTTTCATATGTTTGCCACTCTCTCCCTTCCTCTTAGAGCATGGTAAACTTACAGAGATCCATGGCTGCTTAGTGCCCCTGCTCTGTTGCCACTACCAATGGGCAAGGTGCCTTTCTCTGTTTCCTGTGGGATTTTATACTGATTCATTGATTCATTCGTTTGCCTGATCAGCATTATTAAACATGCTATGTGCTAGGCACTTAGCACTTACAATATAGGGGTTTTATTTTTATTTTCGCTTTTTAAAATAATTTTAACTTTTATTTTAGGTACAGGGGGTACATGGACAGGTTTGTTACATGGGTATATTATGTGATGCTGAGGTCTGGGGCATGCATCTTGTCACCTAGGTAGCAAGCCTAGTACCCAATAGGTAGGTTTTCAACCCCTGTGCTCCTTGCTCCTTCCCTGATCTAGGAGTCCACTGGGACTATTGTTCTCATTTTTATGTCCACATGCACTCAATGTGCACTCAACTTATAAGTGAAAATATGTTGTATTTGTTTTTCTGTTACTGCATTGATTCACTTAGGATAATGGCCTCTAGCCACATCCATGTTGCTGCAACGAACATTATTTCATTCTTTTTTATGGCTCTGTACTATTCCATGGTTTACATATACCACATTTTCTTTATCCAATCCACCATTGATAGGGACCTGGGTTGATTCCATGTGTTTGCTATTGTAAATAACACTGTGATGAACATATGAATGCATGTATCTTTTTGATAGAATGATTGATTCTCCTTGAGGTATATACCCAGTAAGGTGATTTCTGGGTCAAACAGTAGCTCTGTTTTAAGTTCTTTGAGAAATCTCCAAACTGCTTTCCATAGTGACTGAACTAATTTACATTGCTACCACCAGCTTTGAGCATTCCATTTTCTCCACAGCCTTGCCAGCATCTGTTATTTTTTGACTTTTTAAAAATAGCCATTCTGACTGGTGTGAGATAGTATCTTATTGTGGTTTTGATTTGCATTTCTCTGATGATTAGGGATGATAAGCATTTTTCATATGTTTTTGGCCACTTTAATATTCTTTTGAGAAATGTCTGTAAACAACATTGGTAAAGGTTCAGGATATAAAATCAATGTACAAAACTCAGTTGCATTTTTATGCACCAATAATATTCAAGCTGAACATCAAATTAAGAACACAATCCCATCAGAAAAGGAAAATGCTTGGGAATACAGCTAACCAAGGATGTGAAATATCTTACAAGGAGAGTTACAAAACACTGCTGAAAGAAGTCAGAGATGACACAAATAAATGAAAAAATATCCCATGATCATGGATTGGAAGAATCAATATTGTTAACATGGCCATACTGCCCAAAGCAACTTACAGATTCAATGCTATTCTTATCAAAATAGCAATGTTGTTTCTCACAGAATTAGAAAAAAACTATTCTAAAATTCTTATGAAGCCAAAAAAGAGTCTAAATGGCCAAAACAATTCTTAGCAAAAAGAACAAAACTAAAGGCATCAATCACATTACCCAACTTCAAAGTATGCCATAAGGCTACAGTAACCAAAATGCGTAGTACTGGTACAAAAACAGACATATAGACTGATGTGGAACAGAATAGCGAACTCAGAAATAAAACCACCTACAACACGTCTACAACCATTTGATCTTCTACAAGGCTGACAAAAACAACCAGTGGAGAAAGGACTCCCTATATGATACTTGTGCTGAGATAACTGGCTAAGCATATGCTGAAAAATGTAATTGGACCCCTACCTTTCAACTTATGCAAAAAGTCACTCAAAAAGGATTAAAGATTTAAATGTAGGTCCTCAAACTATAAAAATCCTAGAAGAAGACCTAGGAAATACCCTCTCAACATTGACTTTGGCAAAGAATTTTGGCTAAGTCCTCAAAAGCAATTGCTAGGAAAACAAAAATCAGCAAGTGGGATCTGATCAAACTAAAGAGCTTATGTGCAGCAAAAGAAATTATCAGTAAACACACAACCTACAGAATGGGAGAGAATATTCGTAACATATGCATCTGACAAAGGTCTAATATGCAGAATCTATAAAAAATGTAAGAAAATCAACAAGGAAAAAACAACCCCATTATGAATGGGAAAATATGGAGGTTTTAGAGACAAATGACACCATCAATCATATTTTAACAGCTCTATGAAGGTATAATTTTCATACTATATATTCAGCCATTTAAAGAGATTTTTAGTGAATTTACACAATTATGCAACCAGCAACAAAATTCGATTTTTGAACATTTCCATCATCCCGAAATGGTCTCTTGTGCCCACTTCCAGTCAATATCCATTCCCTCTCCCAATTCCAGGCAACCACTAATTTGCTTCTGTCTATAGATTTGCCTTTTCTGGACATTTCATATAAATGGAATTATGCAACATCTAGTATTTTGCATTCGGTTTCTTTTCACAAAGTTTTGAGGTTTATTCATGTTGAATGATAAATTAGTAGTGCTAATTCATTACAAAATAATATTTTATTGTGTTGTGTATGTTACATTTTCTTTATTAATTAAGGCAATCATGTTTTGTCATTAAAATAAGCTAAAGGTTTTAATATCCTGTCTATAGAAAAAAAATTAGCCCATATTTTTACATTTTAAAACATTGGAAAGTTGCTAAAAGTCATATTTGCTATTTAAGTCAGACCTTGGGGAGGCTGAGATTCTTGTTCTCCTGGGAAAATTTTGAGGGAGAAGGAAAAGCTCCAAAGCTGCAGACATCAAGATGGAGCTATTACAATTCCCTATTCTTGAAATGGTTAAAGGAAAGAATATGATTAGAGGATACAGGTACCACCTATGATAGTTAGCAAGACTGACTCAAAAACTAATAATAAGAGCAGAGGTTCCATTTCTGGAATGGCAACATGTGGAGCCCCATAAAATGTTCCCCAGTGAAATAAGTGCTGTATATATATGTATTTATGGATCCATATTTGTACGTGTGTGTACACACACTCACACGCCTCCACCACACCCCTAACTTAAAGTTTCTGAAAATTGTCCTAAGGGCATATAACAAATAAATGAAGAAACATTTATTCTGAAATTTGAGCTACATCCACTTTCTTCTTCTGCCTTCTCTCGACTCCCTCACCAGACCTTCGCCCACCAGCTCAGCTTGACAGAAGGGCCATCATTCTGGGTGGGTATGGCTAAGAAGACAGTGTTTCTCCTCCTTCCAGCTCCTATCAAGGGACAGGGCATCTGATAGGAGGTGTGGGACATCAGCATTTCTAATCCCCTCTAACTTTTAGTTTTAGAGGCTAAATTGTTGGATGAATTGCTAGGGGTTTCATTTCTCTATCCAGCCTCTAATCATAGAGCTCTAACCAGATGAGACAAGCTAAGAATATTAGGGCCCTGATTACTTTCACTCTAGTTCACTCATAGGGCAGACTCTCAATATCAGGAGAGGCAAAATGAGTACAAAGGCTACAACCCCCACCCAGTATCCAGAGCAGCAGCCTAGAGACTAATAGTGCTCTCAAAAACAATGATTTAGATGATAAACATTTAAGAAGATGCTGTTAGTTCTATGAGAGAAACTAGCTAAACTGTAAGCCAGCTATTTTACCAGAGACAACCAGGGAAATAGACAACTAAGAAAAGCCCTTCTAGAGTCAAAACAAACCTCCAAGAAAGTACTGAAAGCCCATTCCTGCCCAAATTTAATTGGACCAGACTGCAGAGTAATTTATGCCCCAAGACATTGTCAAAAACAATAAAGCAATCAGCTCACAATTAGTGGAGCCTTAACAGTTGGGTGTAATACCAATAGAGGCAAGATAGCTTAACAGAGATCAGAAAAAAGACAAAGAGAGCCCTACTAAAACAAGTGTAATCCCATGAGGACTGTGCACATAGCGGAGGCTATACCCTGGGAAGAATGAAATCAGAGTCTTCACACAGCAGGGAGAATAGTCTTCACTTAAATATTCCAGCCAAGTCACTAAACAAATAAACAAGCAAACAACAATAAAAATACACTCTAGAGAGAAAGATGAAAATCAATATTCAGAGGTGTGACAATATATCACCTAAAATATTCAGTTTTTAACAAAAATTATGAGACATGGGAAGAACAGAAAAATGTGACTTGTACATGGGGGGAAAAAGCAGGCAAAAGAAACGGTCTATGAGAGGGGCCCCATGTCAGATTAGAGAAACAGTAATCCCTCTGGAAGGAACCAACTCCTGTCTAGCCAGAACGGAAAGGCTTTCTACAGGTTCAGGTCTTTAGGTTCCTGGCGAAAGACTCCTAGAGAGGAACCAGAGTGATAGTAATGAAAAGACCTGTGATTGTGAGTAATAAGAAGCTGCAATATGTTGTGTAGCTTATCTTTTAAAAAAATTAATACTTTGCTTTGTAGATGTGCATATATGCATATATAATATAAAACTAGAAAAATAATGAAAAAATAAAATATATTTGTATCTGGAAAGTTAATTTATTCCTAAACCTCAAAAATGTTCCACCTTTTTCTAAATGCTAAGTGGAATACTAAATAGAAACATTATTAGTTGGATTAAATTTAATGATTAAGAAAATACATCACTAAAAATCCTCATCTTTATTATTATATATTGAACCCTAGATACTTTCCTGCACTTATATCAAGAATAAGAATATAAAACACAATTTATAAGATCATTTCCCACTTAAACTGATTTTTCTTCTTCCCTACCAAGAGATTGTTTTAATCTATGTTTTTTCAGACTACTACCATAGATAATTATAGAGATGCCACAACCATCTTACATATTTGACAGATTTCTTGTAATATGTTTACTGTGGGAAATAATTATATCTAATAAAATAAATTATTTGTTGCTTCATTGCTTCTAAAACCCTCTGGTATATGAGTTTCCTCTGTATTTGACACTTTGTGATGAGAATACCAGATGTTAAACTAATAAATCCATATAGAAGTTCAAGGAACACAAATTAAAAGAGATTTCCTAATTTTTCCACAAGTGACCAAATTAGTAATTAAATAGAAACATGAAGGCTGTTCACTTAAAGATTGGAAATAGTGGATTCTAAGACATTTTCGTATCTTACTGCAGAAAAAAGCCATGTAGGAGAATCTTAATGCTACCTGCACATATGTAAAACTTTGTGCACTCAGGTTGAAAAAGATAAAAAGAAAAAGAAATTTGATAAATATGTTTAGAAATTCTTCCATAGAAAAATTATAATATTATTAGAATATATTGTGTATTAATTCAAAGAATCATGTAGATTACCTGTGAAATTAAAAAAGAAAAACATTTCAATCAAGATACAACTATGCTTTAAGTTCCTATCATTCTTTTTTTTTTTTAAATCATGAAGATCTATACCGCAAAGGTTAAAGATTTTAAATATTTAGCAAAATGTACCTTTTAACCTTCTCTCTCTCAGAAGGCAATCCAAACTCTATTTAATTCATTAAATTAATCCTTTGTGGCCACAGCAGAATAAAAATTTCATTTCTTTAGCATGCAAATGATGCCATTAATGTGCGGAAATATACAGCACAAAAGTCATTTACTTGTCTGTGTTAATTTTGTTCTAAAACCCATGATATAGTTCATATACAAGAAATAAAGAGAAAAAGCAACGTACAACTGAATCTGTCAAAAAGTGCTAAACATTGGTTTTGTTTTTATGGATAAAAATTTTGTTTTAAAAATTGTTTTGGAAAGATTGTGGGTATTTTCTTTTGGCATAAAATTAGAATGGGCTGTCCACTTAGATTTACAGAATTATTTCAAAGACAGGAAAGAGTATTTGCTCTCTTTACCTAGTTTTCTCTATAATCAACAATTCGAATTAGTGTGGTCACAACTCATGAAATGATATTGGTACATTATTATTAACCCACGTCCATACTTCATTTAAATTTCTTCAGTTTTTTTTCTGTCCTTCCCAAAATGACATCTAGGATGCCACATTACAATTGGTCATTATATTCCTTTAAGCTCCTCTTGGTTGTAACAAGTTTTCAGACTTTCCTTGTTTTTGATGACCTTGACAGTTTGAGGAGCACTAATCATGTATTTTGCAGAATGTCCTTCAACTGAGATTTGTTTGATGCTTTTCTCATGATTAGTACGTGGTTGTGGGTTTGGAGAGGAAGACTTTAGAGGAACAGTACCATTCTCATCACATCATATCTAGGGTACATATTATCAATTTGACATAAATTTTCATGTTAATCTTGATCACGTGGCTTGGGTAGTGTTGCTCAGTTTCTGCACTGTAAAGTAATTCTTTTTTTCTCCCTTTCTGAAGTGTACTCTTTGGAAGGAAGTTGCTATATATGAGTTTATACTTAAGGAGTGAGGAGTGGTGCTTCATCTCCTTAAATGTGGAATAATTACCTAAATTATTTGAAATTTGAAATTCTTTTGCTCCAGAATTTGTCTGTTCTCCCTCATTAATTTATTTTTTCAATCATTTTTAATATCAGGAGGCACACATGGGTATTTAATTTATGCTTGGATTATAACCCAATGCTACCTTATTTTCTTGCTCAGTTGTTTCAGATTTGGCCATTAAGAGCTCTTTCACTTGACTCCTGGGTCCCTTTGACAAAACCCCATTTTCCCCCTCTTTTGAGCACTTCCATACTTTCTGGCACTGCAAGATACTCTAGGCTCATCTTGTATATTTCCTGTCCCATTCCTATAATCAACAATCTTCTCAAGGAGCCCTGGTTCTTTTCATTGGAGAACGACATTGAAAACCAAGATCCGTGCACTAGGTGTGCTCATTACTACTTGGTTCTTGTTGCTTCTATGCTCTCTAAGCTGAACAAATATATATATATGTATGTATATTAGTCCATGTTTATATGCACATATACAAATAGATATACATACACATACAGGTATATATATTCATCTGCATCTATATTAAAGTAAACGAGTTAATTAGATTCTCTAATTCATTACTACACAGGTCATTCTAACCTCGTTTTCTTGCTTGTATTCCTATTCCCACAGCGAGAAACCTGGCTCTCACCATCTGCTGTTCATTTACTTAATCATTCAATTTGAATATCCATGCACAGGAGTTGCAGAATTGCTAACACATATGCCAATGGGAAATAACTTTACCAAATAGAGAACAGTGCTAGGTACAGTTACTTTTGCCTTTAGTCTTACAGATTTCATTCATATCTAAAGTTATTAGGTTAGAATCTTTGTGTGTTTTACACTTTTAAAATATGTTTAGGGTGTTTTATACTTTTAAAATATATTTAGATTATTTTGTCATCTTCTCTATTCCATCTGAAGATCTACGAATTTGCTAAATATGTATTTTAGATTTATATATGTTAAGGTTCACTCTTTGTGCTATAAAGCTATAGGGTTTTTAATGAATGCAAAATGTTATGTATTCACTATTACAGTATGGTACAGAATACTTTCACTGCCATAAAAATGTCCTGTGCTTCACCTATTCAACTCTAGGTCCTACTCTGAACCCCTGTGAACCACAGATCTTTTTCCTATCTCTTGTTTTTTCTTTGCCAAAATGACATATAATTGGAATCACATAGTATGTAGATTTTTCAGACTAGTTTCTTTCACTCAGCAAAATGCATTTCAGATTTATTCATGTATTGATAGCACATTACTTATAATCATTGAATAATGTTCCCTTATATGAATGTACCACAGTTTGTTTATCCATTCATCTATTCAAGGCTATCTTGGTTGTTTCCAGGTTTTAGAGATTTTGAATAAAGGTGCCATAAACATTCATGTGCAGATTTTATGGTGACATTTTTTTCAAATCAGTTGGTTAAATGACTAGGAACATATGATTGTATTTCATGGTAAGATTATGTTTAGCTTTGTAAGAAACTCTCAAACTATATTTCAAAGTGGCTTTACCATTTTGCATTCCCACCAGCAATGAATAAGAGCACATGTTGCTCCATGTTTTAACACTGATTGCTATTTTCAAGTTTTTGAATTGTAGAATTTCTAATAGGTGAGCAACAGTCACAAATTTAAAATAAATTTAATATAAATTTGTTAATGTCTACAAAATAGCTTTCTGATATTTTATTGGAATTGTCTTAAATCTACAGATCGAATTGAATAATTGTCATCTTAACAATATTGAGTCTTCCAATACGTAAACGTTTCATATGTCTTTATTTATTTAGATCTTATTTGATTTTTTTTCTCCATCAGTGTTTTGTAATTTCCTGCATGTAGGTTTGTACCTAAGAATTTTGGGTTTGGGGATGCTGTTGTAAATTATATTTTTAAAAATTCCAAATTCCTATTTTGTTGATATGTAGATAAGCAATGAACTTTTGTCTATTAACTTTTTATCCTGTGACCTTTCTATACCTTTTTTTTTTTTTTTTTTTAGTTCCAGGAGTCTTTATTTATTTATTTTTGCAAATTCTTTGGATTTCTGCAGAGACAAACCTATTGTTTGTGATTAGAGATGTTTTATTTTTCTTTTCCAATCTGTGTGTCCTATTTATTAACTGACATATAATAATTATATATATTCACAGGATACATCATGAAAATATTATACACATAATGTATAATGATCAGATTAGGGTAATTAACATATCCATCATCTCAAAAATTTATCATTTATTTATATTGGGAGCATTTAATATCCTCCTTCTAGCAATTTGAAACTGTATATTATTGTCAACTATAGTCATTCTACAGTGATACAGAATGATAGAATGCATCTCTCCTATTTAGCTGTAAGTTTCTATCCTTTAATAAATTTCTCCCTATTCTTGCCTTCCCCTGTACCCTTCACAGCCTCTAGTATCCTCTGTTCTACTTCTTACTTTTAGATCAACTTTTTTTAGCTTCCACATGTGAGTCAGAACATGTGATGTTTAATTTTATTTCCTTTTATTGTCTCAGTGAACTACCCAGGACTTTCAGTATGAAGGGTGATGCCATGTTCTTGACCTTAATAGAGGAAAAGAGTCTAGTTTCTTACCAAGAAGTATAATGAGTATGATGTTAGCTGTTTTAATATATTTTTAATTACGTTAGGGAAGTTCTCCTCAGTTTCTAATTTGCTCAATGCTTTTATAATAAATATTTACTGAATTTTGTCATACACATTAATACATCAATTGATATGCTCATATAATATTTCTTCTTTAGATTGTTGATGTGGTGGATTACGCTGCTTGATTTTTGAATATTGAACCAGGCTGGCCTTACCTGGAACAATGTTCGCTTTGTGATGCTTATAATTCTTTGGATACTTTGTTGGTAATTTTTCATTCTTACAGTGTTTTTATCTAGTTTAGGTATTAGGGTAATGATGACCTCAAAGAGTGACTTAGGAGGTATTCTCTCTGATTCTATTTTTTGGAAGAGATTCTGTATATGTATTATAATTTTACCCTTAAAACTTTATCAATACTCTCTGGGCCTGCTATTTATTTCAGGGAGAAGAATATTAGTATTATTTCAATTTCTTTAGAAGATACATGACTTTTAGGCTTCTCCTCCTTCCTCCCCTCCTCCCCCTCCACCTCCTTCCTCCACCAACTCCTCCTCCTCCTTCTCCTCTTCTCCTTCTTCCTCTTTCTTCTTCTCCTCCTCCTCCTCCTCCTCCTCCTCCTCCTCCTCCTCCTCCTCCTTCTTCTTCTTCTTCTTCTTCTTCTTCTTCTTCTTCTTCTTCTTCTTCTTCTTCTTCTTCCTGTTCTCCTTCTTCTTCCTCCTTCTTTCTTCTTTTTTTCCCCCAAGAAACAAGGTCTCACTATGCTGCCCAGATTAGATTTGAACTCCTGGGCTCAAGCTATACTCTTGCCTCAGTCTCCTGTGTAGCTAGGACTACAGACATGTGCCACTATACCCAGTTTATTTCTTCTTATTAGAATTTTTAAAGTTTGAATCTTCCAAGGAATTGGTCAATTAATTGATCAAATTTGTGAATTATAGACTTCTTGGATTATCCCGTTATTATTCTTTTAATTTTCGTGGGATCAGTGGTGTTGACTCATACTTTGTGTCTGTTATTAACAATTTGTGTCTTCCTTTTTTGGTTATTCTGGCTAGTAGTTGTTTAATTTTATTGACATTTTCAAAGAATAAGGTTTTGGTTTTGTTGATTTTCTCTATTGATTTTCTTTATTAAATTTCGTTGAATTCTGCCTTATGTTTTATTTATTTTATTTTGCTTGCTTTAGACGTAACTTGCTATTCTTTCACTAATTTCTTCAAGTGAAGCAGAGGTTATTGATTTTAAATCTTTCTTCTTTTCTAATCTATGCATTTAATGCTATAAAATTTCCTTTAATTACTGCTCCACCGAATCTCCCAAACTTTAATAAGTTGTATTTTTATTACACATGAGTTTCAAATACTTTTAGTTGCTCTTGAGACTTATTTTGGGACCCATGTGATATTTTAAAGTGTGTAATTTCCAAATGTTTGGGAATTGTTTAGCTATCTTTGTGTTATGGATTTCTGTTTTAATTCAGTTGTGGTCTGAGAGCAAAGTTTGTATGACTTTTATTCTTTAAACTCTGTTGTGTTTTATACTTTATGATGTGGTCTACCTCGTTGCTTGTTTTGTGTGAACTTGACAGAAATGTATATTTTTCTGTTGTTGTAAGGATTGTTCAAAAAATGTCTATTCAATCAAATTGGTTGATGTTGCTATTCAGATCAACTACACCCTCATATCTATTCTGTCTGCTTGATTTATCAGCTACAGAGGAAGTTGTTAAAGTCTCCAACTATAATTTCTCCTTTCAGTTCTATCATTTTTTGCCCTATATATTTTGCTTCCTATTGCCAGGTGCACGTATGTTTAAGATTGTTATGTCTTCTTAAGGAATAGCTCCTCTTATTATTATGTAGTGACCCTCCTTTTTCCTATTAATTTTCTTTATTCTGAAGGGCTTACTGTCTAAAATTAGGTAAATATGTGAGCTTTCTTTTAATTAAAGCTAATTTTTAAAAAGTTTATTTTAATTAGAGTTGTAACTTTCTCCATCATCTCTCTTTTAACTTATCAGAGTTTTATACATATAGTGGGTTTCTTGAAGATAAATTATACTTGACTCTTCTTTTTCTATCTACTCTGAAAATTTCTGGCTTTGAATTGGTATATTCAGGCCATTAATATTTAAAATGATATATTTTATATATTTGGATTAATACCTACCATGTTTATAATTATTTTATATTCATTCCATTTATTTCTTTTTATCGATTTCTATTTTTTATTTCTCTGAATTTACTGAGCATTTAAGTGGTTACACTTTATCATTTCTCTTAGTGTATCAATTATACTCCTTTTGTAAGTTTTTTAGTGGTTGCACTGTGTTTAAAATATACATTTTTAATTAATCTAAGCCCACCTTCAAACAACACTAATCCCCTCGCATGTGGTGGCCGTACTTTTCAATAGAGTATTCCCGATTCCTACTTCCTTTCCCTTGTGATATACTTGTCAAACATTTCATTTATCCGTATGCTATAATTACCCATATATTGTTGCTATTATTGCTTTAAACAATGGTTACCTTTTACATCAATTAAGAGTAATAAAAATAAAATAATTTAACCTTGCTTTATTCGTTATCCAACACCCTTTGTATCAGGAATTATATCATTTTTTCTCTTGCCTTAAGAAATCTTTTAACATTTCTAGCAGTACATGTCTTCTGACAGTGATTTCCGTTAGTTTTTATTGTCTGAGAAAGCCCTTACTTCTCATTAACTTTTGAAAGGTAATTTTGCTAGAGATAGAATTCTAGATTTTTTTTTTGTTTCAATATTTTAAATATTGTATTCCATTCTCTTATTGCTGCAAGTTTTCTATTAAGAAGTATGCTCTAATTCTTATCCTTGTTCCTCTTTAGGTAAGTGTTTTTTCCCTTTGGTTTCTTCAAGATTTTCTGTGTCTTTGGTTTTCTGTAGTTGGAAGATAATATGTCTAGGAATAAATTTTTTTTGGTATGAATTCCACCAGATTTTCATCAAATTTCCTGGATCTCTGGTTTGAAGTGATTTGTCATTTTTGGAAATATTTCACCCATTATTACTGCAAATATTCTTCTGCTGAGATCTCTTTTTTTCAATGCATTGTATTCCAGTTACCTCTGCATTAAACCTTTTGAAAATTTCCCGCAGTCCTTGGATATTCTCTTCTTTTTCTTAAGCTGCTTTTTCTTTGCAATTAAGTTTGGAGTTTCTACTGACCTGTCTTTAAGCATACTGATTCTATCCTTGGTCATGTTGAATCTACTTATAAGCCTATCAAAAGCATCTTCATTTCTCTTCCAGTTTTTAAACATTTATATTATTTCATTTTGATTCTTTTTTTGTTTCATTTACCTGATTTTATAACTCATCTGTTCTTGTAAGTTGTCTTTTTTTTTTTTTTTACATTAGAGACCTCAGCATATTAATCATGGTTATTTTCTGTCTGATGATTCCAAAATCTGTCTCATACCTGCGTCTGGATCTGCTGCTTTTCTTTTCTATTCAATGTGTTTTCCTTTTCCCGTTTAGCAGGACTCATATTTCTTAGTTGAAACCTGGATACAATGTATCAGGTAATATAAATTAAAGTAATAGGCATCTAGTGTGAGGTTCTTTGTTAATATGGTTAGGATTTGAGCTGTTCTTAATGTTTGCTGTACTGGTAGTTCTGATTACAGCTTTTTCACCTCAGAATATGATTTCCCTTGCCTTTTGGTGTGACTTGTCTTTTTGTTGTTGTTGTTGATTTTGGAAAACCGGATGTGTTGTACTAAGAAATAGAAAGTGAATTAAATGGGACTTTGGTTTATGTGGCTATGTGTTGGGCTTTGTTTAATGTTTGCTATAGGTAGAAGTGGTAATGTCTTCACATTTCTCTGGTATTTTTGTTTCCATCTTCTAGACTCACTAAATTATTCTACTTAGAGAAGAAAGTCTATGTATTGCAACTTTTTAAGTGGCAATTCAGTATTATGCTGATGCCCTATTGGTGAGATGATGAGAGGAAAAACAACTTACAATCTTTCAATTAAGTCTTAGCCTTTTAGTGGATTTGTATTTCTGACTGTGACCTTCAAATATGTTTCTTCTTAAACAGCTTCCCATCTTTCCATCTAAGCCACCCATACCTGTTCAGACAGAAAGACTAGAAGAGGCTAGAACAAATGGCTTTCCCTCGTGGTCCTGGAACAAGGCTCTGATAAATTCGTTCCCCCTGGGAAATGGTTTTCTCATGTAGACGACACTTAGCAGGTTTCACAATGATTGCTTCTGTCCTCACTAGGCTATATTTAGAATGGCAGCTTTCTCAGATTTTCACTGGGAGAATCTGGTGTCACTTCAGACAGGAAATGAAAGTGTGAGTTTCTCTTAAGCTTGAGGCTCCCAACACTCTCTCACACTTGTGGTAGTTCACACTCAACATCCAGTAATTAATTAAAATATTTTTTATTTGACATTTTTTATATTTAATTTTTTGGGGACATAGGCATATATATTTATGGGGTACATGAGATGTTTTGATATAGACATACAATGCACAATAATCACATCATAGGAAATAGGGTGTCTATCACTCAAGCATTTATCCTTTGTGTTACAAACAATCCAATTATACTCTTTTAGTTATTTTTAAGTGTACAATCAAGTTATTATTGACCATAGTCAACCTGTTACACTATCAAATAGCAGGTCTTATTCATTCTTTCTATTTTTTTGTACCCATTAACCACCTCCACCTTCCCTTTACACTTCCCCACTATTCTTCCCAGTCTCTGGTAACCATCCTTCTACTCTCCATGTCCATGAGGTCAAATATTTTGAGTTTTAGATCCCACAAATAAGTAAGAATATGTGATGTTTGTTTTTCTGCACCTGGCTTATTTCACTTACCATAGTGATCTCCAGTTTCAAACATATTGTTGCAAATGACAGAATTCTTTTGTTATAGATGAATAGTTCTTCACTCTGTATATGTAGTACTCCATTGTGTATATGTACTACATTTTCTTTATCTGTTCATCTGTTGATGGGCATTTAGATTGTTTCCAAGTCTTATATATTGTGAACAGAGCTGCAACAAGCATGGGAGTGCAGATATCTCTTTGATATACTATTTCCTTTCTTTTGGATACATACCCAGCAGTGGGATTGCTGGATCATATGGTAGCTACATTTTTATTTTGTTTGAAAAACCTCCAAACTGTTTTCTATAGTATTGTACTAATTTACATTCCCACAATGGTGTACAAGTGTTCCCTTTTCTCCACATCCTCACCAGCATTTGTTATTGCCTGTCTTTTGGCAATAAATGATTGCCAATAAAATAAGCCATTTTAACTATGGTGAGAGATATCTCATTGTAGTTTTGATTTGCATTTCTCTGGTGAACAGTGATATTGAGCACATTTTCATATGCCTGTTTGCTATTTGTATGATTTCTTTTGAGAAATGTCTATTTGAATCTTTTGCCAATTTTTTGATGGGATTATTAGATTTTTTCCAAAGTTGTTTGAGCTCCTTATATATTCTCATTATTAACCCTTGTCAGATGAGTAGTTTGCAAACATTTTCTTTCATTCTGTGGGTTGCATCTTCACTTTGTTAACTGTATCCTCTGCTGTGCAGAAGCTTTATTACTTGATGTGACTCAATTTGTCCATTTTGCTTTGGTTATCTGGGCTTGTGGGGTATTTCTCAATAAATTTTTCCTCAAACCAATGTTCTGGGGATTTTCTTCAACGTTTTCTTGTCATAGTTTTGTAATTTGAGATGTTAGATTTAAATCTTGAATCCATTTTGATTTCATTTGATATATGCCAAGAGAAGAGGGTCTAGTTTCATTCTTCTGCATATAGATCCAGTTTACCCAGCACCATTTATTGAAGAGACTGTCTTTTCCTTAATGTATGTTTTTGGCAGCTTTGTCAAAAATGAGTTCACTGTAGGTGTGTGAATTTTTTCTGAGTTCTCTATTCTGCTCCATTGGTCTATGTGCCTGTTTTTATGCCAGTTTTATGTCTGTTTTTATGCCATGCTGTTTTGGTTACTATAGCTCTGTAGTATAATTTGAAGTTCAGTAATGTGATGCCTCCAGTTTTGTTCTTTCTGCTTAGAATAACTTTGGCTTCTTTTTGCTTAGAATGGTTTTGGCAATTTTAGGGTTTTTTCAAATTAATTAAACAAAATTAATGTAAGTATCTCTACAAGTTTGTGGTTCTACTGCTTCTGCTATAGGAAAGGAGATTTCATCTGACTATCTGAAGTCACCTGTCTCTCCCGATTTTGGAGTGGCTGTTGTTGATGAATCCAAGAAAAGTCATTGATTTTTCAGTGTGTCAAGGTTTTTCTTGTTCTTCCTAGGCTTTCACATGTTGGAGTTAAAACTGGAAGTCTCTGGTAGGTTTTTAAAGCAGTTTAATTTCAGAAAATTATTAGAAATTTTACTATTTTTTTCCCAAGTGGCCATATGGTAAAATCTATAGTCATGTAAAGACCTCCAGTTTCAAATTTGTAATAAATTCTCACCTTGGACAAGGCATGGAAGAAATTGTTAAACTCTAGTAGGGTGAGGAAGGGGGCTTCAAACTGAGTGGTTACCCTCAACATCTGAGATATTGCCTTCCACAATTCTGAATTTCAATTTTGAGTTTTGAGTTAGATATATATTAAATATTTACTGAACAGATTTGAATTCACTTCAGCTAATGCAGGGCTTCAAATAAGATTAGATTTGTGTGATGCAAGTAACCATAGAATCAGTATTTCCAAAGAATTGTTAATTGAAACAATATAGGAGGATTTTTTATATTCAAGGAATATAATTTTTATCTAAAATACAGATGTTTAATAAGGGTATGGTTTAAAAATGTATTCCAGTTGCCTTAATCCCTTATTTCTGGAAGTGGTTTATTGAAATACAGAACAAAATTAGTCCATTTCTTGATTTCCCATTTATCTTCTGAGTTAGCAAGGCTAGTAATGAGAATCCATTACTTAGATGTGACTTATGTAGCCCAATAAACCGATGACCTCTCAGATTATGTTATGCTGTTACGAAGACAATTCTCAGAAGTTTACTTACAAAATGAGTAATTATATGATTCTATTGTATGGGATTCAAGGCATTCTATACGATATCAAGGCATTCTATACTATAAACTACCTATATACTTCACTCGCGAAACATTTCCTTCTACATTCCTCAAGTGGAGCATTAAACATACACCAACAGACTTGTGCAATCAGTCCAACACCTTTCACTTACCTTGGAAAGACCTTTATAGAGCTGGCACTCATCTTTTAAGATGTGGATAATTTACATCCTAATCAACCTAAAGACTAGAAGATTGTCTGTTAGCTCAGAAATCTGTAGTAGGCATAGGAAATACTGAGCTGGAGACTCAATTCATCTCACCAGCCCACTTATATAAATTCACAGCTTAGTGGGAAAGACAGAGAAGGAACAGACAGTTACACTAATCTGAGATAAATATTTTGTTTGAGGTTAATATACAATCTTCCCCAGTCTCTATGTTTGGAATAATTTGATCATTTTTCTTTGCTTATACTAACCTTATTTTACTTACTTTATTTTATTTTGTATTATGATAAATTATTTTCATAATCTGTTAATTCAATATAACATTCATGAAGACAGATAAAATGTTTTTCATTGCGTTATTTAGTATAATGCTTTGACCAGAGAACAGCTTTGACCAGACAACAGCTGTTCAAAAAGTTTTGCGAACTAAACCTTTAATATTTTACTAGTATATAAATAACATTTCTTATCAAAATAATCTTCCTATTACGAAGCATATAAAAATTTTTGGAAGTCTTTACAGTTAGTACTACATGATATAGCTTGTAGGTAAGTATTTTATGTTTAGAGTTCAATAGCTCCTTTCAATTAAAGTTTATGATTTATTATTGGAGCATGGTTAGACATTGTATAAAAAATAGAATAATATATCAAATGTAAAATGCTTCTAAAGAATATGACAATTATGAAATCTAAAGACACCCGGTGAGAAGTTTTAAAATAGCTAAAAACAGGAAAAAGTTTAATCTGAAGTAAATATTAAGAAAACTTTGACAAAATCAAGTTCTTTTGCAAGTTAAAAATGAGTAAATATTGATATAAATTATGATATTGGTTGAATATTTAAAAAGTTATGTCAAAGCCCATATTTAATTACTGATTTTAAGACACCATTAACATTACTAGATACAGGCCAATGAAAGCTAAAAAATAATGAATTTAATAAAGATATTTAACTTCTATTCATTTTCATTTGCATTCATTTTCAGTCAAAAGAAGTAAAGTCCAATTGCCTGCATTGTATTGTTTAAGAACAGTAAATTTCCTCCAAAGTGTAAAATGTACCTACACAAATTGATTGTTGCTATGAGTTGATATTCGGCAATGGTTTGGGGTGGGGAGGGGGAGGAAGGAAAGGGAGGTTATAATTCAATTAGAGCTCCTCCTTGAAGAAGTGGACAGTCTGGTGTAAAGATAACATAAACATAACATCATTTACTTGAATGACATCCTAATTAATGATAATAGGCATGAGTGAGGCAAACCCTCTTGAAGATGTTTAGAATTAAGTAATATATGCATGTGTTTTCTTAATAGAATTGAGTGTGAAATCTCTTTTTTTTCATTTTTTCACTCAGCATATATGTATTGAATACATAGTATATACAAGGCAAGATGTCTGGTGAGAAGAGGCTTATGAAAATGTTACCTCATCCTTCTCTTTCTCTCTACTGTGTTCTTTTCCTTTGTTCAGAAAATGTGTAATGTAATATTTATTCTAGAATTTTTATGTGGATATTTGCTTTGTTTGTCCATCTTATTTTGGTAGATGAAATAACTTTGTATAGCAGATGCTACAGCATGTCAGCCAGAACATTCCCTTCAGAGAAGAGGCACTCCAGGCTATGGCTGGCAGGCAGTTTATATTCTTAACTCAGTTCTCGGATCTGGAACCCATTGACTAAAGAGGATGAGGCCCCATGAGAGAGGATCCTAAAATACTGCACAAATCATGTATAATAATGATTTCTCCAGTCTTTTTCCTGAAGGGAATTATGGCTACTTGCTCAGATAAGCATTTATTGGAGAAAGAGGACTGCCTGGACATTTAGAGAAGTATTAGGCACAACATCCTAGTTGACACTTATAACTTGATCCAAAATGCCATCACGATCCCATGTTAGAAAGATTATAGGTGTCGGTTGTGGCTGCCAAGATAGAAACTGCAGTTTATTCAACTATTTTTTGTTCCTGTAAATTTCCTTAACAAACAAAACAAATTGGAGTCCTGATTTGTCCAAATATTCTATTAGAAGAGAATTAACAGCATAAGAGTATAATAAGTAAATTGAAAGTGATATGCTTCTCTGATCCCCCATTCAGTACGGAGACACTCACTCAGCTTCCGGAAGTATGGGTTGCTGAGAGCTCACATCAGTTACCCTCATCAGGGTTTGTCTTTGGCTTAAAGAAGCTTTTCTCCCTTTTGCTTTCATTTCATTCCTAAAGCCAGAATGCAGATATGTCAATTTAGAACTTGAGAAATATGCCATTGGAATCAGATGCTGTCTGTTCCAAAACATGCTGCCACACTACTGCTGCTGTGAAACAAGCCAGAAGCCCTGGTGATGCCAGTGAAAATCAGACAGTTCAAAGAACTGCTTTTGTTTAATTCTGCAGCTGCTACTATTGATGTTGAATTGTGTGTCTTGGATGGTCTTTCTTGGCACTAGACCTGTAACTCAGACATAGTCTCTTGAGGTTGGAAGACCACCAAATTGCTACCAGATACTGATTGCTCAAGAGCCTACCTGGCTTTTTTCATGACACAGCTTAAAAACACACATACACACCATGCAGCACAACCATTTTCCCACTATTTGCTTTTAGATTTACATACTGGGCTTGATCAGAACAAGATCATTTGTCCAGGCTCTTTCTAAAAAGGAAGAGGTTGGGATCCAAATCATTTTCTTTCCCGTTGGATGTTCATGCCTTATGCTAACTTTCTCACATATTGCCCAGAAAATTTGAATTCTACATACCAAAAAATTTGGGGCGAAGTTGTTGAAAAAACAACAGAAAAAAAAACCACAAAGAAAATCTGTTAAATGTTCTCCAAAGCAATGGGTACTCACTGTCTTATGTCTGTTTTTGAAAAGAGATTACATGAATGATTCTTCCCAATGCAAAAACGATAATACCAAGGGATCTTATCTCTCTATGTTAGACCTAGAAGTTTAAATGTCAGGTTTTTACTAATAATGTTAATAAAATATTTAACGGACCACCTTACCAGACATGCTTTAAGATATATGTGAACTTTATCAGTGATAAAGGAAAGACAAAGTAGATATATGTTTGAAAGTATATTAATCAATATTGTTATGCTGTTAATTAAAAATAAAATCCAGTCTAATGGCTTGTTTCATTTAACTATTTCATACATTTGCAGTCTAATTGTCAACTAATGTTTGCTATAAAGCTGGATTTTTTTTTAAGGCAGAATATCATACAAGCAAAGTAAATAGTGGTAAGTTTGCAGTAGAAATGAAATGTTAGAACTTTGGCTATACCTACAGGTAAGTGAAGTGAAAGTTTAAATAAAGGATTTTTCCCTTGAAATACACAGATTGGTTGTCTGCATTTGATAAATATATTTTTATAATTGCTCAAGTCATATTTCAAGCTGCCTTTATGAATAGTCTCCCTGGAATAGTTTAAATCTTTCAATGCTTTTATTAGGTGCATATATTATAAAGTGTGAAATGATTATTTAATGAACTTTCTCTTCTGCTTCAGTTCCTACTATGATGCAGCCACCCACAAAACTATATTGAAGTGAAAGTAATGTGTCATATATAGAACATTCCTAAAAACCGTGATACAGAATAATTTTAAAACTTTAAGTTGCTAACTGGTGATAAATGAAGTTTCAGATGGAAATAAAAAACTTCAGTTGATATTTTATTGGGTGTCAATGGGTAGCCTATTTGATATGAGAAAGCAGAATTTAAAAATAAAGCCTGGGGCCTGGGGCGGTGGCTCACGCCTATAATCCCAGTACCTTGGGAGGCCGAGGAGGGCAGATCATGATGTCAGGAGATGGAGACCATCCTGGCCAACATGGTGAAACCCTGTCTCTACCAGAAATACAACAATTGGCTGGGCACGGTGGCGCTTGCCTGTAATCCCAGCTACTCGGGAGGCTGAGGCAGGAGAATCGCTTGAACCATGGAGTTGGAGGTTGCAGTGAGCCGAGATCATGCCACTGCACTCCAGCCTGGCAACAGAACGAGACTCCGTCTAAAAAACTAAAAATAAATAAATAAATAAATAAATAAATAAATAAATAAATAAATAAGAAAGCCTGGAGCTGCTGTATCCAGTGGGGGAGTATGCGTAATACAGGCAGTGTGAGGAGGTTCATGACTTGTGCATGGACAGAGGTGATTTTTTTGGTTCAAATACAGAATGCAAGTTCCTCATAAAAGGACAGAGACTATACAATTTTCCTATTACTTTAATGAAATTCAGAAATGGCTATTAAAGGCAGAAAACTACAACCCCATGAAAAAGACCGATGCCATTTTCTAGTAGCAACTTGGCCTTGCGTTTTGCAGAGGGTATTGGAAGAACAGTCTCCTTGATATTGTAACCAAAGTCTCTTGATTCTTATTTCTATCTTTACTTTGTAATTTTTTTTTACACGGGTGGGAATTTCAGAAAATGAAAAGCATTATACAGAGGTAAGTCCACAGGTAGCCATTGATCTGCACACTGAATGCCATACCTACATGTTTTAATGGAATACAGATAGAAAAAGAGAAGTGGTGAGAAGCATATTCTATGTAACACTCTGCCATATATATTGTCATTGGCAATACCAATAATTTACTTTAAATATTCTTTTCTCAGGTTTTTGTTTCTCTTACAGGAGAATTAACTGTCTCCACAGAATCAAGGGTGGGGGTGGGGTAGAAAGGGCATACAGACTGGGTAATTCATTTGATCCTGCTAAATCTCTGGCACGATTGATTCTCTGTGTCTTTCCCCCAAGCAAAACAAACCAGATATTTCAGGTTTACACAATGGTGTCAAAGCCAAACAATGAACAAGGCCTATTTTAGTTCAGAATAATTAATGATCTTTCAGTGTAACGACTTCTGATTTAATCTTAAAATTTTTTTCAACATTAAGGATGTAAAACTGAAAATACAAATTAGACCAGAATGATACTCATTAATAAAAGAAACACGTTTGTGAAACTATACCGCATCCCAGTTGACCCTTTTAATGGGCTTGGAGAATCAAAACTAGAATAAAATTGCTATTGAAATAAAATCACAAATTTATTTTTTATTACATTGTAAAGTATAGCATTACTGGGTGCAGGATTCATTTAATTTCAACAAACAAATATTAGGCATTTATTATATGCCAAGAACTGCACAAGTTGCTCAGGATAAAAATGTAAAAAAGACACTATTTCCTGCCCTCAACTTGCTTACTGTGCAGCTATGAAGCCAGAGATGCGTAAAACAGATCAGTAAATGGTATCTAGCATCCATCCCATATCGGTAATGCTGTGAAGTAAACTAACTGTAAATATGGAAGCAAAAAAGCCATTTTTGAAGCCATAGTTCTTGAAAATTATTAATATATAGACTGGGAAGGAAGGAATACTGCCAATTACTACCCTGAAGTTCAGGCAGAAACAGATAAAAGGAAAAAGAGAGGGACTGCCAACTTGTACCAGGTTTTAACAATGTAGTTTCATTATTTGAAAGGGAGTGAATTTTTAAGATTATTAGAAATACCTGTATAGTAAAGCTATACTCACACCCAACAAAATCATAAACATTTTTTGAATTATCTGATACTTTGTACTATTTACGCTTCAGCTCCTCTCCATTAAAATAAAGACTGTATGTTGAATACTGGTGGACTTGCTTTCCATTTCCCCTCTGTTAGTGTGATTAAAAGGTGAACACATATTATTCAGCCCCAGGCAACATCTTGCACAGGATCTCTGGCATTCAGTGGGGAATTATTTTGCAGTTAATGAACTACTGAAAACCTTTCTAGCCAAGCAAAATGTTTGATCAAATTCGTTTTTAACTTTTAAAATATATGCTCATAATTTTTGGTACATGAAGGAAATGCCAATTTTAAAAAAGTCATTTAAAGTTAAAAATGGT
The DNA here is from genome assembly GCF_000001405.40 of Homo sapiens. Taxonomy (NCBI): domain Eukaryota; kingdom Metazoa; phylum Chordata; class Mammalia; order Primates; family Hominidae; genus Homo; species Homo sapiens. The sequence goes on along the minus strand of NC_000001.11, from coordinate 106,718,405 downwards.
TTCTAATCGAACACTGTTGGAGGGTTGAGGTGAAGTAAAGAGCAAAATACTAAAGCAGCACTGCCCCAAACAGAAGCATGAGAACTCCTCACTGCTAAGTGCTCCTGTGATTGACTGAAAAAGCAGATGACTTTGAACTTCGCTTAGAAAATGTGATTGTGTATTTTTAGGAAACTAAGCATCGTTAATACTCACTGGAGAGAAGGTAATTAAAAGTGAGTAACATTATTTTCATCTTTCCAAATGTAAATATATTTGCTGTTTTCTATTGTAAAAGTACTTCATGCTAATTGCAAAAATCCAAACCATATGAATGTGTTCAAGTATGAAAAACCAGTGTCCATGAAACCTGCCATGCATGACCAGCTGGGTGTTAATTCACTCTGCCCCAGCCACCCTGGTCTGCTGGTTCTCCTGGAACCATGAGAGCATGCTCCAGCGTCAGGCTCTTTCATACGCAGTTCCCTCTGCTTGGATGTAAGAAGCGCTCATTCCCTCACTTGTGGTTTTCTTCTGAAGCCTTTGGGAGGTCTCCTGTAACCACTCTAACTGAAATACCACTTCCCATACTGTATCTCTTTATTTTCCTCACTCTATTACATTTTTTTTTCATTGCGCTCTACCACTGAGAGAGCGTGACTTGCCGAAGTCCACACAGCTAGTGAGTGGCAGACCTCAGATTCACTCCAGCTGTCTGGCTCCAGAGTCAGCGCTTGTAACTGCTATGCTATGCTATCCTTCTGTACTAGGCACTTAATCAGTATTTATGGAGTGAATTTAAGATATTTCCAGACACATTCCTATGCATATATGCTTCTTTATTTTATAAATAGAAGCATTTAAAATATACTGTAATCTAATTTCTTAAAATAGATGAAATTAACAAATTTATATGCCTATGTGTGAATATCTATCTGTATCTCTAATCTGGCTATACATTATAATTATTTTAATCAATACATTTTTGTTGGATACTTAAGTGGTGTTTATGTTTTCACAACTGTGGTTTTTTAAAAGACCGTTTTGAATAGTTATCTGATTATTTCCTTGGAGTAAATTTCTAAATATGAGATTATTGGATCAAATAAAGGATAAGCACATATTAAAGACATTTTAATCATTTTTATAAATTTCTGTTTAGTCCTTGGTCCTGTCTTGCCCCTATGGCCAACACTTTGCCATTTGTCACATGTACTGTGAGCCCTGCAGTACATGTTTTCTCAGCAAACAGTAAAATTCCAACCTTGTCATACTGCTTTCTTAGCTATATAATTTTAGGCAAACAATTTAAACTTCTCCCTTTTTTATCTTTTGTATTTTTAAATATTATATATGTATAAAATTTATACTTTATTGTACATGTTATGCATTTTTTATTCCTTCAGTTTCTTTGTTTTCTATAAATTTCTTTCTCTTTTTTAATTGGGGGAGCTGCTTTTGCAGTCTTGTTTTAGATTTTTAATAGTCAAATTTACTAACCATCATTATTTCTGCCTAGATATAAGCATAAGAACTTTTGGTTAATCTGTTTAACTTTTTGCTTAATCTTTATTTTTTTTCAACAAAAAACTGGCCTAATATCAACCTATTCTTTCTCTACTGATTAAAAGTGCATTTCATTATGTACTTAATATGAGCATATATGTGGGATTTTGGGATTCTAAGTTTCTCTCTGTTGATGGACCTGTATGTATCTGAAATCGTTTTACACTATTTTATTTGCAAAAACCTTCTAAAATGTTTTGATATTTAGTGGGGCAAAAGTCTTTTATTACTACTTTTTTTTCAGAAATTTCGGGCTATTCTTATACATGGAAATTTATCCTTTATTAATGAATATATTTTAGCATAACTTTAAAAAATTATAACAGAAGGACTTGCTCCTTATGAGAAAATCAAATATTAATCAAATACACAGAGTGGAAATTCTCATCTCCAATTTTCCTCCCTCCCTTTACCTGTTTTAGGATTGTTATTAACAATTTTTTGTGTATCTTCTGTACATATACAAACTGCAACTTGCTTCTCAATTAACTATGCAATGTGCTCCTTCTATATCAGTAAATTTGTATATAACTTATTCTTTTAATTGCCTACATTCATTTCCATATTATAAAAATATTGACAATTATTTATTCATAAGTGATAAATTTCTAGGCTAACTCTAGTTTTTACTATTTACATAGTGAAGTAAATTGTTTTACCTATGTCCTTGCATATTTTTGCCAATATTTATGAAGTATAGATACCTGGATATTCAACTGTAGTTGATATTCACTCAAAGAATATGCACATTTAACAGTTTTGTAGAAATTGTCTGTTTACTCTGTTGGTAGTTTCTTTTGCTGTGCAGAAGCTCTTTACTTTAATTGGATCCCATTTGTCAATTTTTGCTTTTGTTGCAATTGCTTTTGGCATCTTTGTCATAAAATCTTTGCCAGTTCCTATGTCCAGAATGGTATTGCCTAGGTTGTCTTCCAGGGTTTTTATAGTTTTCGGTTTTACATTTAAGCCTTTAATCCATCTTGAGCTGATTTTTTGTATATGGTGTAAGGAAGGTGTCCAGTTTCACTCTTCTGCATATGACTAGCCAGTTATCCCAGCACCATTTACTGAATAAAGAGTCCTTGCCTTATTGCTTGTGTTCATCAACGTTACAGAAGATCACATGGTTTTATGTGCATGGCCTTGTTTCTGAGCTCTCTATTCTGTTCCATTATGTTCTATCTGTTCTCATTATGTACAAAATGAGAGACAATATTTGCAAACTATGCATCTGACAAAGGTCTAATATCCAGCATCTATAAGAAACTTAAACAAATTTAAAAGAAAAAACCAAACAACCCTATTGAAAAGTGGGTAAACAACATGAACAGACACTTCTCAAAAGAAGACATATTTGTAGTCAATGCATAGGAAAAAAGCTCAATATTACTGATGATTGGATAAATGAAAATCAAAAGCACGGTAAGATACCATCTCAGACTAGTTAGAATGGCTATCATTAAAGAGTCAAAAATAACAGATGTTGGTAAGGTTGCAAAGAAAAGGGAATGCTTATACACTGTTGGTGAGGGTGTAAATTAGTTCAACCATTGTGGAAGACAGTGTGATGATGATGATTCCTCAAAAAGCTAAAAACAACTACCATTTGACCCAGCAATCTCATTACTGGGTATATACCCAAGAGAACATAAATCATTCTGCCATAAAGACATAAACACATGTATGTTCACTGCAACACTATTCACAATATATAAGACATGGAATGAACCCAGGTGCTCATCAATGGTAGATTAGATAAGGAAAATGTGGTGCATATACACCATTGAATACTATGCGGCCATAAAAAGGAATAAAAATATATGTCCTTTGCAAGAACATGGATGAAGCTGGAGGCTGTAATCCTAAGCAAATTAATGCAGAAACAGGAAATCAATAACACATGTTCTCACTTCTAAGTGGGACATAAACACTGAGCTCACATGGACACAAGTATGGGGACAATAGACACTGGGGGCCTACCTGAGGGTGGGAGGAGGGAGAGAAACAGAAAAATTAACTATTGGGTACTAGGCCTAGTACTTGTGTGATAAAACAATCTGTAAAACAAATTCCTGTGACATGAGTTTACCTATATAACAAACCTGCACACATACCCCTGAACTTAAATAAAAGTTAAAAAAAATTGTCAAATTGTCCCCCAATTTATATTTTCATCCAGAGTTAATAAGCCTGTTCATTCTTTACTCTTCCGCAAAAATTGAGTATTTTCAGTCTGATTCTCAATCTAATGTAAATAACTTATTTTTCATTCTGAATATGGTAAGAATGTGTCTTTATCTTTTGAAGTCCCAGGTTTCATGAAGATCTATCCTAGCTGTGTGTCTCTAAGTAAAATTTTATATATTATTTGACCATATTCCCTATTCTCTTATTTCTACCCTCTATTTGTGGAATATTTACACTGCTTGTGAATTTTTTATTGTATAGATATTGGATCTTTCAGATGTACTCTCTGTGTCTTAAATTTTCCTTATAATTATATATCGTTTTTTATTTCATACTGTACTGTGAGAATGGTTAGGCATATCTTCTAGCTTAATAATTCCATCTTGTATTGTTTGTTCTTCAACTTATTCTTTGTGTGGAAATTTTAAATTATTTCAATAATCATGCTTTTAATTTCTGAGAACTCTAATTACATCCTTCCTTGTGCTAATTATTGCTCATTTTCTATCATTTCATCCTTGTCTTCTTTCAACAGAATATTGGACGGCAATTTGCTCCGTTAAAAATATATACTTATTTTTCAGCGTTTTTCGTAGCTATGGCCAGTTGTGTTTTGGTAAATATTTAACAACTGGTTCTCATTTTTTTTTTCTTGACTGGAATGTGAGTATGAAACTGGAGTTAGGGACTGGGCGCGGTGACTCACGCCTGTAATCCCAGCTCTTCGGGAGGCCGAGGAGGGTGGATCCCTTGAGGTAAGGAATTAGAGACCAGCCTGGCCAACATGGTGAAATCCTGTCTCTACTAAAAATACAAAAATTAGCTGGGTGTGGTGGTGTGAGCCTGTAGTCCCAGCTATTTGGGGGGCTGAGGTAGGAGAATAACTTGAACCCAGGAAGTGGAGGGTGTGGTGAGCCAAGATTGCACCACTGCACTCCGGCCTGGCAACACAACAAGACTTCATCTCAAAAAAAATAAAAAAAGAAAAGAAGAAAGACAGGAAGGAAGGAAGGAAGGAAGGAAGGAAGGAAACGATTTAGGTCAGCAATCCTGTGATGAGGGTTGCCATTACTGAGGAGAGTAGTGCAGAAGGATAAAACTAATAGGAAATATTTGAAACATTGTAGAGTGCTATGACATTTAACTCTAAACTTCTTGTTGTGCTACTTCCTTTTAACAACCAAACCAATTCTCAAACTACTAGCAGTCTTCAATTTACACTGTAGTGAGGCTATAAAAATAATCATTAAATTTGAAACTATTTAAAGTAATCTTAGTAATCAAGGGGGAAAACTATAATTATTCCTTGTTATAAGCAGGTTCACTGTGCAGTGATTACCAACATGCTTGAGGCCAGTGAGACAGAACACACCCATATGCAATGCATTACGTGAAGAGGATTTACTACTTGCAGGTAGGCAGCAAGGGACTAAAGAAGCCAATGATTCGTTGTGAACCAGTCCTCCAGGGTCAAGAAAACTACCCAGGGTAGCATTGTTTCAGCTGCACAAGCCTTACTTGCACTGCAGCTGAGGGACCCTGAAAAACAGTCCATCCTGGGTTATATACCTCGGAGTCCACATGACTCACTGTGAAAAGCTTTGAAGGACATCCTTCTTCCAAGAGAGAGATGAATAAAGCCCGGGCTGTCCTGGGCAGGTCCTGTCTAACTCATGATATTACATATCCTTGAAGGGACAGGAACAAGGTTTATGCTGTTTTAGACAGTTTCTCCCTATCTCAGGATATTGCACCCACAGAACATTTTATATTTAATCTCTGGAACTACAAACAAGAAAGGGGGAAGAACTAGTTTGGTCCAAGGCCATCTGGAGAGCCATCCTGCACCATGATCTCTAGAAATTTTTGTCAAAATATTAAAAATTTCCTTAATGTCAGTTACAAATATATAGAAAAATTAAAAAAGAACATATATATATTTAACACATTTTAATTTAAAACATTAAAACATTGAGAATTAAAGTGTTTCATTTCTTTGTAAAAAACTTAAGAGAGTAGTTTGAGCAGTGTTCATCTTCTTGTCATGTAAGTTAAGATAGAGTGAGCATCTTTTCTATGTCTTTGTGAATTGTTATATTTTTTATTTTTAATTAATTATTGTTCTAATTGACAATTAAGAGTTGTATATATTTACAGAGTACAAAAATGTTTTGATATATATGTACATTGTAGAGTGGCTTAATCAAGCTAAGTGACATATGCATTACCTAATTTTTTTTGTGGCAAGAACATTTAAAATCTACTCTTGGCAATTTTCAAGTATAAAATACATTGTTATTAACTACAGTCACCATGTTGTACAGTAGCTCCTCTGCACCACTCCTTCTGTCTAACTGAAATATTGTATCCTTTGACGCATGTTTCCTCATTCCCTCCACCTCCCCCAATCACTGGAAACCACTTTTCTATTCCCAGTTTCTGTGAGTTCAACTTTTTTAGATTCCATGTTTACGTTACACAATTTGGTATTTGTCTTCCTGTGCCTGGCTTATTTCACTTTATATAGTGTTCTCCAGGTTCATCTACATTGTCACAAGTGAAAATATTTCTTTATTTTTTAAGGCTGAATAATATATAGAATTAAATACTATTCAGCCTTAAAAACTAAAAAAAGAAAAGTTTAAAATCTCTCTCTCTCTCTCTCTCTCTCTCTCACACACACACACACACACACACACACATTTTCTTCAACCATTGATGGACACATAGGTTGACTCTATATCAGCTATCAAGAGTAATGCTGCAATGAACATGGAAGTACAGACATTGTTTCAACATATTGATTCATTTCCTATATATACCCAGTAGTGAGATTGCTGGAGCATATGATAGTTCTATTTTAGGTTTTTTGAGGAACATCCATGTTATTTTCCATTGTATCTGTATTGATTTACATCCCCACCAACAGTGTACAACAGTTCCCCTTTCTCCATATTCTCACCAGCACTTATCTCTTGTCTTTTTGATAATAGCTATTCAACAGGGTGAGGTAATATCTCATTGTGGTTTTAATTAGCATTTCCCTGAAAATTAGTGATGTTGAGCATCACACTCAGCTTCTATGAGTTCATCTTTTTTTAGATTCCACACTTAAGTTAGATAATTTGATATTTGTCTTTATGTGCTTGGCTTATTTGTGTTTTTCTTCTTGTATTTTTGATCCTGCATTGTTAGATTGCTGTACTCCTATCTAAGTTTGAATCAGCTTCCAATATTTTATTCTCTACACTTCAATGTTTTGGAATATTCCTGAGAATTCCTTTAATATGATGTTTCTTGCTGGGACATCTTTATCTTTTTCATCACAACATTTCCTTCCTTAATGCAATAAATTTTATGTTCTTTTTTGATTTATAAAATTATGTTTAAGTTTAGTTAATTGATAATGTAATTTTCCTCCGTAACCTTAATTATCATTCTTCTACCAGGATTAATGATCCTAATTATAATAAGAATTTGGGTGGAGACTTGTACTCTGGTGGGTCTTTCCTTTCAAACACTATGGGAACACCTAAATGTGAGGGCTTCTTATTTGTCACAACATCTGAAGTTAGCCAAAGAACTCCCATCCCTCTAGTTGCAAAGTCTACTATTTAACCCTATCAAGAAATATGCTCCACATTATTTCAAGAGTTGATTTTATGATGTTCCCTGGACACAAACATCACAACAATGCACGTGGATTACTCAACTTATCAGGTATGAATGACATTGCTGACTACTTCTTTTCTTATTCTCATTCTATTTTGCAGGGACCTTGGGTCCCAGTTTCCTAAGGTAATTGCATTTTATTTAGAATTTCTCCCATTTTCCTGATGAAACTGCATGTTGTTTGGTACTCTAAGGTTCTCTTAGTAATCTGATGCAATTTTATTTATATTTTCAGATGATTCCTCAGTGTTGCTCAGTGGATTTTTCCTTCTTATGATTGTTTTTCTATTCATATTTTTTCTGTTTGTAATCACTTTTTGGTAGAGAAGAGGAACATGTTTTGCCTATATTGAACTGGAACCAGATGAACTTTAAAATTAGGTAATGACATTTTGAAAAATTCAGATGTTGAATAGAATTTCATGAATGCAGTACCTAAGGAAAAATATATTAAAGTTTTAAGTTTGCTATGGTATTGTTTTGCAAACTTCTTAGTATTCATAAACACTTAGGATTATATACTTAGCAAACATTTCCCATGTCACTAATATTTGAGAATACTCTTGCTACCACAAAAGCACAGTTAAACACGTAGCCCACAGGCACTACAAAGCAACCATGCAATCAAATCTACATAACAACCGGCTAACAATACGATGACAGGATCAAAATCATGCATATCAATACTAACCTTGAATGTAAACGGGTAAATACTGCACTTAAAAGACACAGAGTGACAGTCTGGATAAAAAGACAAGACCTAAGCATCTGTTGTCTTCAAGAGATCTATCTCACATATAATGACACCCACAGGCTCAAAGTAAAAGGGTGGAGTAAGATCTGCCATGTAAGTGGGAAACAAAAAAGAGCAGGAGTCACTATTTTTATATTGGGTACAACAGACTTTAAACTAATAAATATTAAGAAGGACAGTGAAGGGCATTAGTTAATGATAAAGAGTACAATACCTCAAGAAGTCTTAAGTATCCTAAGTATACACACACTCAATACTGGGGCCCGCAGATTCGTAAAACAACTTCTTCTTGCTCTGTGAAAAAACTTAGATAACCACACAATAATAGTGTGAGACTTCAGCCTCCCACTGACAACACTGGACGGATAATCAAGGCAAAAAACTAACAAAGAAACTCTGTACCTAAATTCAAGACTGATCGATTGGATCTAATAGACATCTATAGAACACTACAGCCAACAATGACAAAAAAAAAATACCCTTTTGATGTTCTAAGATAGACCACATGCTCAAGTCTCAAAGAATTCAAAAAAAGTGAAATAATACCAAACACAGTCTCAGACTACAGTGCAATAAAAATAGAAATCAAGACCAAGAAGAGCTCCCAAACTGCACAAATACATGGAAATTAAACAATTTACTCCTGAATAACTCCTGGATGAACATCAAAATTAGGACATACATAAAAAAAATTTGAAGTTAATGAAAATAAGAACACTACTTACCAAAATCTATGGGATGCAGCTAAAACAGTATTAATAAGGATGTTTATAGCCCTCAACATGTTTATCAAGAAGTTAGAAAGGTGTCAAATTAGCAATCTAACTTTTCACCTAAAGGAACTAGGAAAAAAAAAAAAAGAACAAACCAATCTCAAAGCTAGCAGATAGACCTCTAGCTAGATTAACAAACAAAAATAAGGAAAGATTCATAAGCACAATCAAAACTGACAAAGGTAATATTTCAGCTGATCTTATAGAAATACAAAAGATCCTCAGAGACTACTATGAACAACTCTATGCACACAAATTAGAAAATCTAGAGGAGATGAATGAATTCCTAGAAGCACACAATCTCCTAAAATTGAATCAGGAAAAGATCGAAAGCGTGACTAGACCAATATCAACTTCTGTTATTGAATCAGTAATAACCTGTCAACCAAAAAAAAAAAAAAGCCCTGCAACAGATGGATTCACAGCCAAATCCTATCAGACATTGAAACTATTCCAAAAAATTGAGGAAAGGGGCCTCCTCTCGATTTCATTCTATGAAGCCAGCATCAGCCTGATACCAAAATCTGGCAGAGACACACTGAGAAAAGAAAATTTCAGACTGATGTCCCCCATGAACATAGAAGCAAAAGTCCTGAACAAAACACTAGCAAATCAAATCCAACAGGACATTGAAAAGTTAATACATGATGATCAAGTAGGCTTTATTGCTGGTATGCAAGGCTGGTTCGATATATGCAAATCTATAAATGTGATTCACTACATAAACGGAATCAAAAACAAAAACCATGTTATCATCTCAATAGATACAGAGAAAGCTTTCAATAAAATTCAACATCGCATCATGATAAAAACTGTCAACAGACTAGGCATCAAAGGAACATACCACAAAATAATAAGAGCCATTTGTGACAAACCCACAGCCAACATCATACTGAATGGGGAAATCAATGTAAAAAATCAGTAGCATTTCTGCACACAACCAATGTCCAGACTGAGACTGAAATCAAGAACACAATACCACCTACAATAGGCTCAAAGGAAATGAAATACCTAAGAATACAGCTAAACAAGGAGGTGAAAGATCTCTACAAGGAGAATTACAAAACACTGCTGAAAGAAATCAGAGATGACACAAATAAATGAAAAAACATTCCATGATCATGTACTGGAAGAATCAATATCATAAAAATGTCCACATTGCCCAAGCAATTTACAGATTCTATACATTTGATACAATGCTATTTATATCAAACTACCTATGTGATTCTTCACAAACTGTGTATCAAAGGTCTGATATCCAGACTCTATAGGGAACTTAAACAAATCAGCAAGCAAAAAAACAAATTACCCCATTAAAAAATGGCCAAAGGACATGAATAGATGCCTTGCAAAAGAAGACATACAAGTGACCAACAAACATGAAAATATGCTCAATATCACTTATCAAATGCAAATCAAAACCACAGTGAGACACTATTTCACATTAGTCAAAATGGCTGTTATTAAAAAGTGAAAAGAAAAAAATAGATGCTTGAGAGGCTGTGGAGAAGAGGAAATGCTTATACACTGTTGGTGGAAGTGTAAATTACTCCAGCCACGGTGGAAAGCAGTTAACAGATTTCTCAAAGAATCCAAAACAGAGCTACCATTCAGCCAAGCAATCCCATTACTGGGTATATACTCAAAGGAAAATAAATCACTCTACCATAAAGACACATGCACTTGTGGGTTCATTGAAGCACTATTCACAAGAACAAAGATGTGGAATCAACCCAGGTACCCATCAATGGTAGATTAGATAAAGAAAATGTGTGGTACATATACATTATGAATATTATACAGCCAGAAAAAGAATAAAAGTATGTCCTTTAGAAGAACATGGATGGAGCTACAGGACATAATCTTAAGCAAATTAATGCATGAACAGAAAACCAAATACTACATGTTCTCACTTCTAAGTGGGAGCTAAACATTGAACACACATGGGCATAAATATGGGAACAACAGACATTGTGGACTACTAGAGGGTAGGTAAGGAGAAGTGGTTTAAAAAACTACCTATCGAGTACCATGCTCACTACTTGGGTGACGGGATTTATATTTTAAAACTTCAGCAAAACACGATATTCCCATGTAACAAACCTGCATATGTACCACCTGTATCTAAAAAAAGAGTTGAAATTTAAAAATATAAAATAAAGTAAAGAGTAAAACTATTTTTCAAAAGAAATTGTATTTATCACATAAATATAAATCTAAATAATTATTTTGATAGTGCTATTTCAGATAAAGATGCTAAGTGAAAAGAAAATTGGGCTTAGGAGTCAAATAGGTGTTGGTTTTAATGTCATCTCCACTTTTTACTAGCTATAAGACCTTGGGGATATATACGTTAGTATCTGTATATCTCAATTTGTTTACATGTAAAAAGGGCACTAAACATATTTTTTCTTTCTTTCTTATTTTTTTTTTTGAGATAGAATCTTGCTATGTTGCCCAGGCTTATCTCAAACTCCTAGGCTCAAGCAGTCTTCCCATGTCATCTTCCCAACCAGTTAGGATTACAGGCACATGCCAGTGTACCTGGCACATATTAAAACGTCTTGCTATGAGATTGTTGTGATGATTAAATGAGAAGCTGCATGCAAATCATTCTGTGCTTGATTAATAATGATTTATCAGTTATGTTTAGGTGTATAGGTTGCACATTGCAGTTGTACAGCAAACACCTGTGTGGTTGTACGTGTAAACACTGGCCAAAAGTAAATTTTTGCTCTTCTAATTAATGTATCTTATCATTATAGATGTCAAAATTTTCTAATTTTTTTCATTAGTGTTCTAAACTAAAGCATCTAATCAATTATCTCAGTTTTCTTCAAGTTATAGTGTCTTGGGTCTACATTTTACAGTTTTATTGAAAATTTCATTTTCACATAGGTCTATTTGATGAATTTCATATTGGCAAATAATTTGATTAAATTTCCATCCTGAACTTTTCGAAGAAGAAGCTCTGCTTTATGAAACTGGCTTCATGCACATTCCTTCTTCATGGAATTTTAGGGTCTTCAGAAAAATTGTTGCTGTTTCCCTCATTCCTCCAGGATTTGTCCATATTGTTGGAGAGAACAGTGTTCACTTTGTGAGTAATTTTGCATTTTGATCTTTTAGACTATAGTCTGTTGGCTTTCTTGTGTGTGTGTATGTGTTTTTTTTTTTTTGCAAAAATCTAACAGGATAACACTTGAGACAAAAAACATATATAGCAACAAGAATACATGTTGCCAAAGTAAGAGAATAGAGGAAACATGTAGGCTAGCACCCAATTCTGAAGCAAATATTGAATACCTACCCTATGGCAGACTTTCTTGTAAGTGCTGGTAAACAAGACACATATGGTATAAGAGATTCAAAAACTTGCCAGAGCCAAAATACTTCATTTCTCATTGAATACATACATAAAAATTAAATTCTTCTCAAAGGAATTACCAATTGGGAGGCATTCAAATTAATGACATATTTAAAGAGACTCACACAAAGAGAAACCTGACAGTCATTAGCAATTCTCTTCCATTATCTACATGTACATGAGAAACAAATCAAGAGCTTTCTTCTCAGTTTCTTATGTACATACCAGCCTTTAAAAGTAAAGCCTTGGCTGAACAGCATTGCCAATGCAATTGCTTCCCACTGAAGTCCCTAGCTTTTTCCAATCTGCAAAATAACATGCATAGAATTCTTACTTCTCCCTGAAGCTTATCCACTACCTCAAAGAAGAATCTCTGCTTTATTTGGCAATGGAGGAAAATACTTTAAACATTCTCTACTTATGTATGAATATACTTCATATTATTATAACACATACATTGTGTCATAAATGTTATATTAATATACAAAATAAATATATATATTTATGATATGTGTGCATATGCCACGTTTGCTTAAAAATCTATTTACTCCTCTTTCCCTTTAGGTTTCGGTTTCCTATTTAACATTTTATTGTATCGTTAAAATACTAAAAACTGACCTCAGTGACAGAGAAAATGTATACCAAAGAGTTTAGTTCTGGTATAATCTAAACCACAAAGGTGCATAGAAATATCTAGTAAAGCAGTTGGAAATATTAGAAGAGTTCAGAAGAGAAGTCTTTTCTAAAAAATATAAATTTTAGAGTTGTTAATATTCAGATGGCATTTATGGTCGAAGATCTGAATACTGTTATCAACACTGTTTCATATCCATATAAATAGATATGAAAAGAAGACAAAGAATTGAGTCATGGAGCACTCTGACATTAAACATAGAAGTCCCAAAGTTTATATGGAGAGGCAAAAGACCCACAATGGCCAACACAATATTGAAGAAGAATAAAGTCAGTGGACTGACACTATCCAACTTCAAGGCTTACTATAAAACGACAATAATCAAGACAGGGTGGGACTGACGAAAAAACAGACAAAGTTTTCAATGGAACAGAAAAGAGAGCCCCAAAATAAAACCTAACAAAACTAGTCAACTAATCTTTGACAAAGGGGAAAAAGCAATACAATAGAGGAAAGATAGTCTTGTCAGCAAATGGTGCTGGAACAACTGCACATCCAAATGCAAAGCTATATAACTCCTAGAATATAACATAGGATAAAATCTAAGTAACCTTGGATATGGCAATGAGTTTTAAAATATAATGCCAAAGGCATGATTCATGAAAAAATTGATAAGTTGGAATTCATTAAAATTAAAAATGTATGCCCTCCAAAGAATGCTTCTTAAGAGAATGAAAAGGTAAGCCACATAGTATAAGAAAATATTTGCAAAAGACATATCTGATAACAGACTTTTACATAAAATATACAATGAACTCTTAAAATTCACCAGTAAGAACACTAATAAGTCCATGAAAAATTTGACAAAATATAGGGAACAGACCCTCATGAAAAAAGATATACAGATGGCAAATAAGCGTACAAAAATATGGTCAACACCATATGTCATCAATGAAATGAACATTGTAACAGCAATGAGAAACCACTACACATGTATTTAAATGGCCAAAATCCAGAACACTGACTACACCAAATGCTGGTGAAGATGTGGAGCGACACAAACTCTTATTTATTGCTGATGTAAATGTAAAATGATATAGCCACTTTGGTAAATAATTAGGCAGTTTTTTCTATAAAATTAGACATACTCTAATATACAATCCAGCACTTGTGCTACTTGATATTTCCCTAAATGAGTTGAAAGTGTATGCTCATACAAAGATTTGCACATGGACATTAATAGTATCTTTATTCATAATTGCCAAAACTTGTGGGCAACCAAGATCTTCTTCAGTAGGTGAGTGGGCAAACAAACTGGTACATTAAGGAAATGTAGCATTATACAGTGCTGAAAACAAATAAACTATCAAGCCACTGAAAGACATGGAAGAAATTCATATGTATATTACTAAGTTAAAGAAGCCAATCTGAAAGGGCTACATACTGTGTGATTTCAACTATACAGCATTGTGAAAAAGGCAAAACTATGGAGACAGTAAAGAGATCAGTGGTCGCCAAGGTTGGGGACAGAAAGAAAAATACATCAGTAGAGAACATTGAATTTTTAAGGCAGTAAAACTGTTAAATATGGTACTATAATGATGGGTACATGCCATTACACATTTATCCAAACCCACAGAATATTCAACACCAAGCATACACCCTAATGGAAACCATGGACTTTGGGTGATGTGTCAAGGTAGGTTCATCACCTGTAACCTGTGAACCACTCTGATGCAGTATGTCGACGATAAGGGAGGTTGTGCATGGGTGGGTGCAAGTGAATTCTCTACATTTTCTGCTTAATTTTGCTGTAAATCTCAAACGATTTTAGAAACTTTTTTTAATTTAAAAAAGTGATGGAAGAGAAGAACCAACTGATTCTCCTGAAAATAGAAGGAAACTAAGATTATTGTATCCTGAGAGTTAAGTGAAGAACATACATCAAGGAAGAGGGAGGGATTGACTGAATCAAATCTTGTTGATGCGTTAAGTCTGAAGACAGCCAATATTTAACCAGTATATTTTTTAATGACAAGAGTAATTTTATGCTGTAATGGAGATAGAAGCCTTACTAGAGTCAACTTAAGAGACAAAGAAAGGAGAGGAGAGAAAGTTAGAACTGGGAGGTATTATGATTTTAAAGAGGGCAGAAAAATGGAATAGTTTCTGGAAAATAATGTTACATACTGAAAAAATATTTTTTAAAAGATGGGAGATGTTATAACATTTATGTATGAAGATTAAGTAATCCACTTTTACCAGAAAAAAATAATGATGCAATTAAGAGAGGAGTGAGTTGCTAGGGTAATGTTCTTAAACAGGTAAAGTGGAAGGAATCTGGTTCACAAATGTAGAAGATGGCTTTATACAGGGCACAATTCATCATTTGTAACTGGGTGACAGATAAAGTCTACAGACATAGATGCTGGTGGTTGGAATATTTAGTGGTGGGAGCATGTGAAAGTTCTCTTTTGATTGCTTGTATTTTCACCGTAAAGTAAGACGCAACATTAAGAGTGAAGATGTTTAAGGAGGAGTTCATTTTGAAGAGTGTAAAAAGTATGAAATAATTGCTTAGGAATATAACTGAATAGACCAAAGAAATGTAGGGTTATTCAAAAACACTAAGGATCGTATGATATTGGGGGTCATTGATTTAAATGAGAGTGATTACAATGAATGATCATTTAGTTTAAGTTGATGAATCTGGAAGTCAAGAACTGGATGAAGGAAAAGGGAAAGGGCAAGGAAGAAGGAAGACAGAGGAAAAATGAAGAAGTGAGGAAGAGGGACTGAGAAGAACTGAGGCACAGTGAAAAAGTAAATTCAATGGATTGTAGTCCCATGGATATGCAGTACTAAACTGTAGTGATAGGAGATTGTTTTCAGTGAATGGAATCAAGTTTAAGAATGGTGTGTAGCTATTAATAGTGATGAAGTATAAGGAATAAACCATAAGATGATATGGCTAAAGTAGAGAAGATGAACCTATGGGAGCAGTGGAGTCCAGGAACCGAGACCAGTGGATTGGAAAGATCATCTAAATGAATAATGACATTATCAAGAATTATAACAAATGACACTGAAAAGAGTGAAACTAAGGAGCTAAAACCTTCGAAGAATTATAAAGGGCTCAGGATGAGTGCAACATGGAAGGATGGCTAGCAGCATGGTCTAATGACATCAACTTCAAACCTAAGTTTTTTTAGGGAGATGGAGGAAAATGGTCATGAAGCACTAATGTGCATCAAGAAGAACATATCACACCCTCCTGGCTCAGAACATAAGGAGCATGAGAGACATAGTCAATATTTAAGAGTGACTCTGCAATGAAAGCAGAGACTCCCAAGGGGAGAATGCAATCAATAGAACAACAAAAGAGTTTGAACAATTAGGGGATATTAATGACCAAGACCTCTGAGTTGTAGAAAACAGAATAGTAAGGATAAGTAGGGAAGAGATGGGAAATAGTATTATACAATATTAATCAGAGAATGGAGAAGTGGATTCATGGATTTAATGCAGGTGAATCCTTCCTGATGCTGTCGAGTCTCTGTTGCTTAAGATACTGATATTTGAGTTTCTTCTTACTTCGAACTAAACTGATCCTAATACAGTAAATATTGGTTGTTTTTTTGTAAAAGACTGATTGAATCGGATGTACTTTTTAAAAAGAATATTCTGGTTGCTCCGTGAAGAATGAAATAGATGGGGGCAAAGGTAGAGGCAAAAGTGCAAATGCCCAGTAATTTACTAAAAGATGCTCAAATTGACTTTTAATATTCATAGGCCATTTGTATTTGTTTTTATGTCAGTTGCTTGGTGTATTCATCTTTGAGGACTACCATAAGAGATTACTGCAACTGGGGGGCTTAAATCAACAGAAATGTATTGCTTCATTCTTCTGGAGGCCAGAAGCCTCTAGTGTAGGATCCTTCCTGGCCTTTTCCAGCTTCTCTTAGCCCCAGGCATTCTTTGGCTTGTGGAAGCAAACTCTAATCTCTGCCTCCCTCTTCATATGGCTGTCTACCTTCTGGATCTGTGAGTCCAAATTACTCTTGCCTTTTAAGGACATTAGATATTGGATTTGAATCCAATTTAACCCACAATACTTGGTCATATTATTTGTCTATTGTTATTACTAGAGGATTTGTCTCTTTCTTATTTTGTAATCTCTTTATAAATGTATGTGCACTGCAAACATTTTTAAAGCTAGTTTTTATTATTTTATCCAAGAAAAAGTAGACATGGGAAACTTAATTTTTAATCAATAGTAGCCTTTTAAAATTTATAGCATTGTATGATTCTTATAAAAATATGTATCATTCCAAGATTATCTTTACATGCCCCTATTTTAATCAATTATCTTTTTAATATTTAATAAATTATTTTAAAATTATGTCATAATTAATTTCGATTGGAATCTTAATTATGTTGTTTTTCTTCTGCCCTTTAATCTCTTCATTTAGCAAGGAGATAGACTTGTGTTTATTGCTCACATATTGGATGCCTGATACAGACAAAAAGGATGCATCATGTGGTCTTTTCTGTCACCTGATTGCTCCGCTAACATTCTCTTCTCTTGGTTATCAGGGTGAACTAAGTTATTTGTGAGATATCCCAAAGAGCTTTTTGGTAAGTAACTTTGAAAACTTCCAGGCTCATTCCTTCTGGTCCAAAATAGAGGATCCTCCTGGGAAATTCTACTCTAGTAAATCGAAACTTTTCCAAGTGTCTTTGTAGACTATCACTAAATAGACATACCCATAAGGATTAAGGAGAGAAAACAGCCTTGGGTGGAGGGGCAGGGCATGGAGTATAGAGTAGAAGAAACTCCAAGTCTCGATGCTCAGGAGAAAATTAGTGAATAGAGAGTTTTGGAGCCAATATGAATTATGAGTTGTCACTGTTTGCATATACACATTTTTTAAAAGAAATAAGGACTTTCAGTCTTATGGTTGGCAGTCAGGCTTCCTTTAGTGGCCATAAATTCCTCCCAAATGTGAAGAATCTGCTAAAATTTGGCAAGACAGCTGAGTAAAAAGGTCATCTTCTTGCCTAATGACAGGTTCTGTAGTTTTTACCATACAATTCCCTTTATGGTCATAATTATCCCATGCAAAAATATAGTGTTACAGCTGACTCATAAAACTGCTGCATCTGGAATAAATAGGAAAGGGCACATTCTCATTTCAAAACAATGTATGCATCAACAGAGCTTAGCTTCCATTTAAAATGGAAAGCAGTGATTCCACTAACAATGCAACACTTTTGATAGACTGCCTGTTTGACCTTTTAGTGCGTAGATGAATCTGTTTGCACTTATTTGAATAGGTATATCTTTTAGATGGTAGATACAGATATGAGTCTCCCATATTTATAGTTTTTATAGGGAAGCAATGCTGTCTCCTTCAGTTATTCCAGGACTCAGCACAGTTTTAAGTGTAAGAAGGAACTTAATACATGTGTTTCAAAGTAAACTTTATTATTGTTTTTATTACTGAAAAAAAAGTAAAAACAAAAAGAAAAAGTAAACAGTGCATGGTGAAGAATTGGTGCAGTCCTCAACCCGAAAGAGAATTTAAATTGACCTCTATACTTTGAAGTTAGCGAGAACATGAGGAGTAGAAAAAGAAATGAGGAACAGTAAACATCCACATGGGGAAAAAAAAATTGAAATCAGGCAGTGTTGTGGTGGGTTACTTGTTTATTTTATTTTTATTTTTATTTTTTTAGTGATGGGAATAATGGATTTTGCATACTGTGACTCAGAAAAGGAAATAAATTTTTGAGGGATAGCTTAACTGGGCAAAGGGACTTCCCAAGGGACCTGATCTGTAGAGAAAAGAGTATCTTACAGACACATGTAGCCAGATGGAGGAGAGACCATTAGACCACATGAAAAACAGAAGCCATTGTCAAGCTCTTGAGTTTTAAGTCCTTTGATCCAGTTGTGCTTTGTTTCTGACAGAGTATGGTATGCAGATGTTCAGAATGTGAGCTCTAGAGTTAAATGGCCTGGTTCTAAACCTATATTCCAAAATCTCTCATTGTGTGAGCAAGTTAACTATCATTTACTTCTAATTTTCTTTTTCTGTAAAATGACAATAATAACAATGTTTACATTATGGAATTTGTGTTGGAATTAAATGGGTTAATACATGTAAAGCACTTAGATTTTTATCTGGTACTGTATTTTTTTAAAATTTTGGTTATTAGAAGTAGCTGTAGAAACAGTAATAGAAGTTGTATTCATTTGTTTGAATTGCATAATAAAGGACAAGACTGAGTGGCTTAAACAGCAGAAATTTATTTTCACATAATTCTGGAGGCTAGAAGTCCAAGACTAAAGTGTTAGCAGAGTTAGTTTATTCTAGGGCCATGAGGACAGATCTGCTTCATTTCTCTCTTTTTGACTTGTAGATGGCCATTTCTTCCTATGCCTTTACATCTTCATACTGTCTTTCCTCTGTATGGGTCTATGTCCAGACTTCTTATAAGGATACCAGTCCTTATAAGGACTCAAACTAATAACTTTCTTTTAGCATAATTAACTCTGCAAAGACACTATTTCCAAATACAGTCACATTTTGAGGTATTGAGGGATTAACACATGAATTTTTGGGGGAAGACAATTCAGTCCATAACAGAAGTCTACATTTGGATGTTAGTGAGATGACTAATTGTATCCTTCCATAAAATTTCTTCTAAGCTCATTTGAAAGAGTTTTACTTGCAACCAAATAGTTGCTGACAAAAATATTGCTTTATAGGTTTGTTGAGAACCTTAAGTGATTTTATAGATAAACAATGCACAATAGGTGCTTAATGCATGATTTTTTAATTAATAAAGGCCATTTAATGAAAACTAAGATCTAAGAGTAAATCAAGAATAGAAATGAGCTGTTTTGATTTCAATTAAACCAGTTTTCTGAGTGTGGAAAGATATTCTGCTTTTTTCTTTCATTAAGCTTCTTTACATTTGTAAATATTTTATAAATCCTGATTCCAAAATAATTTTTACATAGTACAGAATCGTTATCAAAGACTAGTGTTATACCATTGAAGCTCTCATAACATGTCACAGTCTGCTTACCTTTCAAGTTCTGTAGAACGTGGTCCTTTTATTTTTTTTTCACAAAGTGTATTTTCTGTTTTCATGCTGCTGATAAAGACATACCCGAGAGACTGGGAAGAAAAAGTGGTTTAATTGGACTTACAGTTCCACATGGCTGGAAGGCCTCAGAATCATGGCAGGAGGCAAAAGGCACTTCTTACATGGTGGTGGCAAGAGAAAATGAGAAGAAGCAAAAGCGGAAATCCCTGATAAACCCGTCAGATCTCATGAAACTTAATCACTATCATGAGAATAGCATGGAAAAGACCAGCCCTCATGATTCAATTACCTCCCTGTTCCCACAATACGTGGGAATTCTGGGAGATACAATTCAAGTTGAGATTTGAATGGTTCACGGCCAAACTGTACCACAAAGTGATACCATTGTCTTAATATGAACTTCAACTACAATTAGTAAATTCATCCTCATATTGAACAAAGGTGCCCAAAACAAAATAAAAAAAAAATTAGGTAATTCTTTGATGTTAGCTTTGGAAAAAAAGAATTATATTCTTACTCAGAATTTTTTTTTTAACCTATGATTGATACATGTATTAGTCCATTTTTATGCTGCTGATAAAGACATACCCTAGACTCGGCAATTTACAAAAGAAAAAGATTTATTGGACTAACAGTTCCACATGCCTGGGGAGGCCTCACAATCATGGTGGAAGGCAAGGAGAAGCAAGTCACATATTATGTGGATGGCAGCCAGCAAAGAGAGAGCTTGTGTAGGAAAACTCCCATTTCTAAAACTATCAGATCCCATAAGACCCATTCACTATCACGAGAATGGCATAGGAAAGACCAGCTTCCATGATTGAATCATCTCCCACCAGGTCCCGCCTACATGTGGCAATTATGGGAGTTACAAGATAAGATGTGGGTGGGAACACAGAGCCCAAAAGGTATCAATATGGAACTGGGGACTACAGCACTCTTCGTCTTCCCCACTTTGGAATGACATTCAAAACTTCTTTTGGCTGTGACTTTGGAGAATAATACATTTGGCAGATGAAGACCAGCACAGATTATTGTCTTTTTAATTACTTTCTGAATAATTTCATTTCCTTCTTTCAAGGGGAGTTATTTAATGATGTACATAGAATAAGACTAGAAGACAGTGAAGCTAATGTTATTCGTGTGGTTTCTCTTCTTAGGAAAACCACCTTGTATTAGTTTTTTGGGGGCTGCCAGAGATGCACAGAGAAAAAGTGAGCCTCAATCCTAACTTACAGTTCGGGAGACAATAAATCTAAACTCAAGGTGCCAGTGAAGGATTCAGGGATGATTCTTCCTTGCCTTTTCCAGCTTCTGGTGGTTCTTGGTGTGCCTCAGCTTCTGGAAACATCACTCCACTTTCTGCCCCTTATCTTTACACGGCCTTCTTCCTTGTGTCTCAGTTTCTCAAGTCTCCTTCCTTTTTCTTTTATAAGGATGAAAGTGACTGAACTTAAAGTCCATCCTGAATTCAGGATGATCTCATTTTAAGATCTTGAACATGACATCTGCAAAGACCCTATTTCCAAATATGGCCAAATTCATAGGTACCAGAGATTAGGACTTGGACATATCTTTTGGAAGGAACACAATTCAACTACAACATACCACAGGCCCTGGGATTCAGGTGTGTCTTATTTCACATATTGTAGTCCCGTGTGCACAGATGTTTTTAAACCTGGGTTGTTTAAAGTAGTCCATCTCTTCAATCTCAGTAATAGGTTTAGAATGGGTTGATAATTCTAACTGGGTCAATCTGGTCTTTCCTAGAGTTTTAAGACTTTCCTGCTGTGGTGATTTTAAAGTTTTATTTATTTTCTTTCTTTCTTTTATTGAAAATTAATAGTCTTTTGTAAGAGTTGTTTGAGGCCATTGTACCCAAGCACTCTGAGGAAGCCACTTATGTTCCAAAACAATGAGGGCAACATACAAAAAGCACAGCTTTGACAGTGGGGAGCCTAGGAGGGAGGAAGGGAAGGAAAAATGGAGGTTGAGAGGGAGGAAAGAGAGAAGGAGAGGAGGGAAGAGATGGGAAGAAAAGAGGGGATGAGTGATAGGGGAGGGAAAGGGAGGGGAAAGGAGACACACATATTAACATAATGTAAGTCATCGGATCCAGGTAAGCCTATAGGTCAGCCAACCGTGGAACTTGTGACTGTGTGAACAATTTATTATTTTTTGTGTCAACTGATTTGTGAAGTGCTTCTGGTATTTGCAACCAAGAGAATTCTGGTAAATATTGAATTTTTGGTAAAGATCTCACAAAAGGACTCTTTTGTAGAGGACAATTTTTAAAAATATTGTGTACATTGTAAGCTCCAGGCTTCATACCTTTGTATGACCATTCAGATGAGTTTTGTGACAATAAAAATGATAATAAAATAACTGTCTAAAACATTGAAAATTTCATATGGAGTCGGATCAACTTTCTATCTATTTCAATGACCTGTGGTAATGCATGAGCATTTATGGTATTATTAGTTAATTGTACTCTATATTTGCAACTCTGAAATGAGTATGACACAATATGATTGGTGAAATTACAAGAACTCTGCCATTGTACAGATGATGAAACAGATGCTTAAGGGGCCTCGCAGATATTCGGTTGCAGTATAAGGCAATTAATCTAAATCTCTTGATGGCCACTCCAATGAACTGTCTGTCATATCATGCTGTTCTAAAATATCCCTAACTTCCTTGTGAGAGTCATTAAGAAAGTCTCAATTTTATTTATTTATTTTTAACTTTTATGCTTGGGAGGTACAAGTGCAGGTTTGTTATATAGGTAAAATTGTGTCATGGAGGTTTGTTGTACAGATTATTTCATCACCCTGGTATTAAGCCTAGTACCCATTTGACTCAGCAATCCTATTACTGGGTATATATCCAAAGGAATATAAATCATTCTATCATAAAGACACATGCACACGTGTGTTCATTGCAGCACTATTCGCAATAGCAAAGACATGGAATCAACCTAAATGCCCATTAATGATAGACTGGATGCAGAAAATGTGGCACATATACACCATGGAATGCTATGCAGGAATAAAAATGAATGAGATTATGTTCTTTGCAGGGACATGGATGAAGCTGGAGGCCCTCATGCTTAGCAAACTAGCACAGGAACAGAAACCCAAATACCACATGTTTTCACTTACAAATGGGAGCAAAATGATGAGAACACATGGACACATAAAGGGGAACAACACACACTCAGCCTTTTGGAGGGTGGAGGGTAGGAGGAGAGAGAGGATCAGGACAAATAACTAAAGGGTACTAGGCTTAATACCTGGGTGATGAAATAATCTGTACAACAAACCCTCATGACACAGGTTTACCTATGTAACAAACCAATTTTAAATTTATCTGAACAAGTTTTGTATTTTTTTACAGATATGACCAGCATAGATTTTGTTGTGATATATTGATAATCGTGACCTATTTTGTAAATGTATTTTATCTTCTCAAACAATTTTTTTGCAAGTTTCAAAATGTGGTGTCTAGTATTTGAGAATTTGGTGCATATTCTAAAATGTATTGTGATAATTTTTTTTGGGTATCAGTTTATGTTCCAAGCTGTTATCTCCCAAATAGATACTCTTTATTTCTGGGTAGTGTACCAAGTATTGATGCACGAAAAAAGTTTTAGTCCTTTACTGAACACCCATTTTGTGTCAGACACCACTGGTCATATTCACATTTATTTTCTCATTTAATTAATGTGATATTTAGACACACATCTGTGAGGTAGCCATTTAGGAGAGGAAGACAGAACTTTAACCATGAGTAGATAAGTAACATAGTCAATCTTTGGCCAGATTACTTTTGATTACAAGTTCAAAGCATTTTCCACTACAGTTCTAAAACCTTATTATTGACTAATCGTGAATTAAAGCTATGGACTTACTAAAGAGTAATAATGTAAAGCAATATAAATTTCAAATAAATACTATATAGAGTAAACCTTTATCCCCACTAGTAGAAATGCTTTCTTTCTCTTTTTGGTTTAAATAAAATTTAGCTTTTCACTTATAGTAGGTACCATTTTATACCATTGCACTGTAGACCTCACCTGTATGTCTTCTGTCTTTTATTACATGAGGCATTGAAGACTCCTTAAAGGTAAGGTCTGTATGTAATTGATATTTGTAACCTCTCACAGTTTCTAGCCCATTGCTTGTTCCAGTGGGAACCAAATAGACATTCATTGAATATATTGGGAAAAGCTGGGATTAACAAAACTAATCTCTTAAAATCTCTGCATTCCACATTCTGTGCTATATACTTTCCATAAATTGTGCCATTTATTTTTCATTTTTTCTATTTTCCCCACCTTATCTTAAGGGAATGTAAGTATTCTAAAACTAGATAAATGTCTGTCTTGCTGTTAGTTGCATCTCTCCTTCCCAGATCTCTGATAATCACAAGCCCCTAGTAGGTATCTACTGAATGAATGAATAAGAGTATAATAGTGTAGAGTGACTGTGGGTTGGCAGGATGCACGATAATGAAAATTAAACTCAGATGTTACAGATTAAATATTTGAAAGTGGTTGGCAAGAGTACAAATTGCATTGAGGATGTCAGGTTGCAAAGTAGGACATTTTGACATAGCCATTTTTATATTATAGTTTGTTTCTGATGCATTTGCATCACAATAGTTCTGACAAAATGTATGCGACCATGGCAAGAATGTTACATGGCAAGTATACACAGGCTTTTCTTCCCTTATGCTGGCAAAAGAAGAACTTATATTTTGTTGTTTTACATTCTATCCTTTGTAGTGCTGATCAGATAATGGGAGTAATCTATCATTAGAGAGGTATCTCCATTATCTCTGTCTCCAATAGAGAATAATTAGAGTGAGGTAAGAAAAGCTGTGATTTATTTCCATTAGACAGGTATTGCAGTAAGTCATGAAAGAAAATGATTTATCAGGAAGGCAAGGAGTGGTAGAAAGGGAGTTAATATTCCCAGACAGAAAAGAGGAGTAGCAGTGTTCCTGCAAAGAGGGGTTTTGAGGAGTCGGACGTATAAACAGGATTGAGTGGGACATTTGAAGTGTTTTGTGTGATGTGCTTCTCCTATTTGACCGTCTCTTCAAGGTACTCCAGTAGAGAATTGTGTGATTTTTTTCAAGGTTACTGGAGTTGGATTTTTGTTTCTTACTTTTTGATCTCTCACTTAAAAATATCATTTCTAAATATGAATAAGTAGACTAAAAATAGACCTAATAATGGTACTTTTCCTATTTGTATATATGGGAAACTGTTTCTGGTAAGATTCCTGATTTTGCCAATTCTATTTTACTGAGAATATTTATTTAAAAAGAAGAATTTATGGGAAATAGAACAGAGAGTTAGGACATAATAGTATTACTTATCTCAGACTCAAATTGCACAGAAAATTCTCAATAACATTTTTATTATTTGTTTTAATAACCAATGGTATACATATATTTAATTTTATTTTGTCAGACATTTTTATAATAGTATAAACACATTTAGTGTGGCAGGAACAGAGGTCAGGAAGGACGTCATGATCAGCGATACATGTTGCAGCATGACTTACTAATAAAAATAAACATTCCATGTAGCTCAAATAAATAAATCTAAGTACATTTCCAAGCTCTAGGGCCTCCATGACGTCCTCTTCAAAGATTACTGACTTTGCACATACATGTCCCATAGGAGAGACAGTTGGCAATATTTCTTCAACTTGGGGCACCTGTGGTCTCTGCATACACTGGACTATGAAATGCAAATAATTTTGACAGTACACATACTGAAGTTAGAAAGAATAGTAAAAGGATTCAAATAAGCTAGATGGGATATAATGCTATACTGCCTTAAAAGCAAGGGAATGATAATTTAGGAAAAAAGTTCTCAATGCTGTAGTATGTAAGAAATTTTTGAAAGATTTAGTATAAAATAGACATTCTTGAGATATGAATTATTCCCTGTACAAATCTATAAATCTGCATCCCTAATATTTTATTAGCCTATATTTCTAAGTGTAATTGAATATTTTCATCTTTAATTAAATGTCACATGTGTCAAACTCATTATAGCTTGCTTTACCTAGTCTCCTTTTTGTATAATATATTGGTCTCATGCCTCAATCTCTCAAGCTTTAAATAAGTATTCAACTTTTTAAAAATTTTGAAATATACATTTTTAATAACTGCAGTCACCTTGCTGTGCAATAGATCTCAAAACTTATTCCTCCCGTTTATCTGAAACTTTGCAGCCTTTGACCAACAAGTCCTCATTCCCCCTCCTTACCCTGGTCTCTAGCAACCATCATTCTGTTCTCTGCCTCTATGAATTCAACTTTTTAAGGTTCCACATATAAGTAAGATCATGCAGTATTTTACTTTCTGGGCCTGGTTTATTTCACTTAGCCTAATATCCTCCAGGTTTATCCACTGAACTAAAAAGTCCTTCTTCTTAAAGATTGAATTTTATTCCATTGTGTATATATGCCACCCTTTCTTTATCCATTCATGAATTGATGGGCACAGGTTGATTCCAGTGCTTGGCTATTGTGAATAATGCTGCAATATGCATGAGAGTACAGATATCCTCCAACATATTGATTTCAATTTTTTTGGCTATATGACCAGAAATGGGATTACTTGATTATACGGTAGTTATATTTTTAGGTTTTTGAGGTACCTCTATATCATCTTCCATTGTAGCTGTAATAATTTACATTCCCACCAACAATGGACAAGAATTCCCTGTATTCTGCATCTTTACCAACACTTGTTGTCTTTAATATTTTTGATAATAGCCATTCTACTAGGTTTGAGGTGATACCTCATTGTGGTTATAATTTGCATCTCCTTAGAGATTAATGATGCTGAACATTTTTCATGGACCTATTGGCCATGTGTATGTCTTCTTTTGACAGATATCTGTTCAAGCCTTTTGCCCATTTTTAGTTGAGTTTTTTTTTTTTTGCTATTGAATTGTCTAAGTTCCTTATGTATTTTGAATTTTAACCCCTTATCAGATGTATGGTTTGCAGATATTTTCTTCCATTCTGTAGCTTTTCTCTTTACTCTATTAATGTTTTATTTGCTGTGCAGAAGCTTTTTACCCTGATGCTATCTTATTTGTCTACTTTTGCTTTTGTTGCCTGTGCTCTCAGTGTCCTATACAAAAAAAAACTGCTACTTCCTCACACTAGACTTCCCATTCATCCAGCCAAATTCATCTTTGACTCTTCCTTATAACTACCTGAAAATTTATCAAAAACTTGTCACTGTTACCTTCTAGTTAGGTTATTAATCTCTTTCTACATCTCCATTTTCTCCAACTTATTTTCATATTCTATTTCCAAAATTATTTTCCTAAGAACAAGTCTAACGGCATCACATACACATTGTGCTAGATATACTGTAATCGTTCCTGGCTGCCTAAAGGATGGAGTCATACTTCTAAGTGAGGGCTCATGCAACTTCATCTAGACTCCACTATTACCATTTCTTCCTTATCGGAGCTGAGGCAATTCCCTGATAGGACACAGGAGTTACATCTCTATATCCTTTATACATGTTGTCTCCTCTACCCATACTGTGCCTTCTGTCTTTTCTCTATGTGATGAAGCCTCACTCATTCTTTAAAATTGTTTGCTTGCTCTTTGAAATCAATTATGAAGGTATTATATATAGCTGTCATCATCTCTGACATACTTCAATGTTGTCATTTAAATAAAGAAAAACAAGATAGTTCTGTCTCTGTATTCTCGAAGTCAGTTTTCTCTTCATGAGTAAGCATTTTCTCCAATTTTCTGGTGAATTTATTGACCTGGAACTTTCCCAAGACTTTCTAAAAATTGACATAAATTATTCTCTGTTGTCTCATGTTTATCAAAATATAAATATCATTCAGTTAAATTTTATTTCATTCTATGGCCCACTTTACCTTTCTAGAAACAACTTAAAACCACTTATTTCATTACTAATATTTAACATGTAATTTGCTAATTTCTAACTCTGAAGCATTAAATCAATTCCAAGGTCACTTTTCAAGTCTTTTTAAAAAACAAGATGGCAATGAGCCAATGGTTTGGTGCAGTGTCCAATTCTAATGAAAGATTAAACAGTTTAGTGAGCAATTCCAGTGTCCTCTGACTGCTTTAAAAACATTTGTTTGGATGCCATCTGTTCTTGGTGATTTATTTATGTCTTGTTTGTCAATTTGTTCTCGAGCATATTCTCCATTTATTTATTTATTGATCAATTCTGTTGGCCTATGCACTACGAAAGGCAATAATGTATTAAACAGCTAAATTGTGCCTAGCATAGTGCCTGGCTAATGTGGGAAATACAAAACTTTTGAGATATGCATCTATTCTCTAGTAGCTTGTCTTTAGTTAAGAAAATAAAAACAAAAATATGGGAAGCATGTAACTAAAATGACCCAGACCCTGTGAACTGCAGGTAAAAAATACATTAAGCTTCAGATTTTAATGTCTCCTCAGATCTTTCTTGGAGCCCTCCCCACTTCCTGCCAAACCCTTCCATTATTCTGTAGAATTTCTAACAGGTTGTTCTCATGTGCTTCAGAAAATTTCTACTTACATTCTTTTGTGTTAAATCTCTTGGGCATTTATTACTCGAAAATCTTTTGAAAGATATCTCCCTATGGCCACTGCAGTCCATGGATTCCTTGAGGTACTTGTCTCTCTTTCCAATATAGTTGACACTGCTCATGCTTCTGGTCTGCTATTAACACTCTAGCCTGACTCTGCTACTTCAGTTGACAAAGAAATGGGAAGAGCTTAGTTATTCCTACCCCTGCATCTCTTGAGCCTTGAAGTCTGGCTGACTGCACTTCTAGTCTCTGACTATCCCTTGTCAAAATGCCCCCTTATCTTCTTTGCACCTCTTTTATAGAACTTGAAGTGACTGGAGAATGGACTTTATAGCATTTTCTTTTTCCCCACCTTGATTTATTCTGCCTCTGGTGATTGTGAACCACCCTTTTCCTTCTCTCTTTAATCAAAAATAAAAGTTCTCATTCATACAGACTCATGCAAAACAACAACAACAAACAACTGGGAGATATCACTGACCCTACATATCTAATCTTCGTTTGTTGCTGAAGGAACCCACAATGCATCTCAATCCTGGCAAAAATTTTACAAGGTAGGTGCTATTGTTCAGGTTTTACAGCAGCATACATGAAATATAGATAAAACTGAGCTCAAGGGCACACAACTAGTAAGATTCCATTATTAGAAAATGTTGGCAGCCTATTCTGTGAGTGGAAAACTTCAACAATTTGGTTGCTTTGATTTTTATTACTTTCTGCTATTAAAAATTATAAAAGCAATATTTTTATTACAGAGAAAGCAGCAAAGTAAATTTAAGACATGGTGAGAGCTTACATTAAATTCACAGAGTCTAATTAGTTCCTCCCTCAAAAAAACTTTTAACTCTGATGTAGCCCTTTAAGCCAAATTTGAAATAAATAAATAATAAGGCCACTGTTCAAATCAGACAAGATCTGCTTCAGAACTCGTCGTGTCTCAGTTTCTGATTGGCATGTGAATCACAGCCAAGTATTTATTATACTGTTAGGCTCCCTTCCAGTGCAGTCTTCAATTATCTTTGTTATTGTACAGCAAAGAACATTTGTTTGATGAAGTAGGGCTGATTTGCTTATTGTATGTCGCTACATTCTCCTTAATCTCTCTAATTCTGCAATTTGTACTGGTTTTCTAGTTAGTAGTGTGAATCCATGAGAGCATGCTTTATGATTAGTGCTGTCTCCTACCAGTATCTAACCCTTTGGAATATGGAGAAAATGTGACAAATCTGTTTTGCAGGCTGAGTATGAATGGCTACACTATAGCAAACAGATGGGAAAGAGTACTAATGTTTTAACTGGTAGCACAAAATGGTGAATAGGAATTCATTAATATTCATAGACATTTCTGTGTCTTAAAATGTAGCTTTAAAATGTATTTCCACATGCTTGTGGGGTGTCAATTCTTCATTTTCTTCCTTCAACCTTTTGGTAGTATATTCCACAGTGATGCTAGACTCAGCCTCAATTATATGGTAGGGCTTTAATTAGAGATTCAATTAAAGATCCTAACAAAGATCTCTCCATTGGGTAAACATATTAACTCTCCAGCTTATAACTAAATCTTTAATAAATATTTTTATTATGTCTCTTCAGAAGATCCCATATTTCTAGACTTTGGGGAAAACTTGTCTTTTCCATTCATTGGATTTCCCTAAGAATCTTCATGTAGTACATGTCCAAGGGTGGATAGGATAGGGGTCCTGACCTTGCTTAAACATTACTTTAGGGGAAAAATGAAACA
Source organism: Homo sapiens (assembly GCF_000001405.40). Lineage (NCBI taxonomy): Eukaryota > Metazoa > Chordata > Mammalia > Primates > Hominidae > Homo > Homo sapiens. The sequence continues at coordinate 106,688,008 of NC_000001.11, read as the reverse complement.
GTAAGAAAATTCAGGGTTTTCTAATCAATTCTCTTCTTCAAAGTAGTATCCTGTCTTCATAAAACTGTATAATTCTTGCTTCAAAGATTGAATAACATAAATTTGCCACAGGATATGGGGATTCACATGTAGGATGTCATGTTGTAGCATATATACAATACCCAAATAGCAAATTACTGGCAATAACTTTTTCGAAATGCAATTAAAAGGTTTTGTTAAATGGATTTTTAGAAAAGGAATAAGGGAGAAACTGAAATTTTTTTTAAAGGAAGATGATAATAATCAAAACATATTTTGCTTTTACACAGGGAAAATGCCTTTCCGTTTAATCTCTCTGAAAATTGGAGCCCCGTTCTTTCTAGGTAAATATCCAGAAGCAAAACACACATACACTCTTTAATTTACGTACCTTATATATTTTGTATTTTGGTACCTGATCTTGTACAGTCTTGTGACTTTCTTTGGTATTGAGTAGTATGCTGGTACTGTATTACCTAAAGGGACTCTGTTGTAAAGCAGATCTACAATAAGTCAATTCTATAAGAAAGAAAACAAACTACAAATTTATTGAAGTGTTAAATAGAAGATGCCAATGGGATATGACCATGTCCTCATTTCTGATCAAGTCTTATGATACTTAATATTGTGCAAATATGCCCTGGTAGGCAAAGTGCATGAATAATTATGCTTTATGGCTGCAATTATTTCTCAGTTGATTATTCATTACTCATAGTGTGAACCTTGAGTGAAATTTACATTCTCTTCCTATAGTTAAATGTGACTATCAATTTAGTGTTATAAATTTCTGCTGGATGTAGAGTAATCATGCTTCATTTCCAATATCGAATTGCCTTTAAATGAGTGATCATATGTCTTTACCAAGCCAATTTCTATTAATTACTAATATTTTCAAGCTTATATAGTACCATAAATCTTACTTATTAAATGAGAAATTATGGCTAGTTCTGACTCATTAAATGAAAATTAATGACTAAATCTAACTCAATTCATGACAGTATTTTTCTAAATTCCGTGTTTGCCCTAATGTCTGTGAAACCAGATGTATTTATGTGCTTACTTCACATTTGTGTTTTAGCCTTTATAGTAGTTTATTCTCTCCCAAACAGTTCTATATTTGTACCTTGCCTTCTTCCAAAAGGTTTTAAGGCAGCTTTCTACATGGTTCATTATGGATTGAATGTCTGTCTCAAATTACTTTTCAAATCTCTCTTCCTAGGAAAATCTCAACATCTTGATCTTTATTTTCTCTTCAACATATTTTGAAAAGATTTTTTGTTTGTTTGTTTTTAATACTACAATGTGTTCACATGCTTGTCCAAAAACATTTAATAAATGATTTTATAAGGCATTCAGGATAAACAGGGAATAATTTTAGTTATGTGTACCTTGTTCTTCTTTTTTTGCTATTATAAATAAATAATGCTCTGTATCTTTATTTATATCTGCGTCTGTGTCCTGTATCTATGTCCTTACACATATCTTTTTAGGCATTTTTTCTGCTTCTTTCCTTGGGATAAATCTTTAGAAGTTGTATTGCCAAGAAAAAGTTCTTAACTAGACAATTTCTATCTTTGCCTAAATTTGCTAGTTGAAAAATATTCTGTGTGTGTGTTATATGATACAATTGTTTTTTGTTTATTTACTAACCACTGATATTTCTTCATTTATTTCTTCATATATGAGTTGCCTGTTTATTTTCCTTTGTCTCTGTGCCTACTGGAGTTTTTAATCTTTTTATTGATTTGTAGAAAACATTAATAAATTTGTGGCATCCATCCCCTTATACATACTCTTCCCTAGTTTATTTGTCCTTTAATTCTGTTAATGATGCCTTTCATACATAAATTTTATTTGGTGAAATTGATAAATCTTTCTTTACCATTTTTGTCTCTTAAACTAATAACTTATTTTGCAATGCCATACTAATATTTACCCATACCTTCTTTCAGATTTTTTTGCACTTTTTTCTACTTATCACTTGAAAAATATGTAGTTCATTTAGTTTCTCAAAGAACTTATTGCAGATCTGCTTTACAATATAGTCCCTGTGGATAATACAGTACTGTGCACTTCAACATTTGTTGACAGCAGAGCTCATGTGTCTTTGTCCATTCGTGCTGCTATAACAAAATACTTGAAACTGGGTAACTTATAAACAATAGAAATTTGTTTCTTACAGTTCTGGAAGCTGGGAAATCCAAGGTCAAGGCGTCAGTGGGTTTGGTGTCTGGTGAGGACCTGGTCTCTGCTTCCAAGATGGCAAGTTGTTGCTGCATATTCCATAGGGGACAACCACTGGGTGCTCATGTGACAGAACACAGAAAGGCAAAAAGGCCTGGCTAATTCCCTCTTGCCCTTTTATGAGGTTAGCTATCCAATTAATGAAGGCAGGGCCCTCATGGCCTATTTACCTCCTAATGGCCCTACCTCTTAATACTGTTGCACTGGGGAATAAGCTTCAACACGTATTTGGGGGAGTACACAAACATTCAAACCACAGCATTATGTTAAGTGTTCTTTCCACACCCCCACACACAAAAAATTCACAAACACCATACAAACAGAAGAAACAAAAAGGCACAAGAAAACTATGGAAGGTATGAGATATGTCTTTTACCTTGAGTGTGATGATGGTATCATAGGTGTTCGCATATGTCCAAACTCATCAAATTGTACACTTTAAATATGCTGATTTCTTAGTATAACAATTATACCTCAATAAAGCTGTTAAAAACAAATTGATCTATTTTACTCATACTCTTTCGCCATTGACCTCTTGATTAGTATTCAATTATTGCCTTTTAGAGAGCTTAATTAATTTTATACTCTTGTTTATGATACTCATTCTTATCCTTTTCTGTCACTAGCAGCTTTTTTGATGTGACTCCAACTGGTCCCTAGCACAAAATTGGAGGTGCCGCAATTTGGTAGGCAGAATGGTAGCCTACAAAAGATGCACATGTGTATTAGTTCATTCATGCATTGCTGTAAAGAACTACCTGAGACTGGGTAATTTATAAAGAAAAGAAGTTTAATCGACTCAGTTCCTCAGGCTATACAGGAAACATGTCTGAGAGGCCTCAGGAAACTTACTATCATGGCAAAGGGGAAGCAGGTACATCCTACATGTCTAGAGTAGGAGGAAGAGAGTGAAGGGAGAGGTGCTACATACCTTTAAACAACCAGATCTCCTGAGAACTCTATCATGAGACAGCACTAGAGAGATGGTGCTAAACCATCAGAAACCACCCCTGATCTAATCGTCTCCCACCAGGCCCCACCTCCAACACTGGGGATTGCAATTCAACATGAGACTTAGGTGGGGACACACAGCCAAACCATATTAACATGCCTTCATCTCTGGAACACATAAACATGTTCCATTACATGGCCAAAGGAACTTGGAAGAGGGAATTGAGGTCATGGACCTTAAAATATGGATTTTTTCTTGTATTATCTGGGAAGGCCCAATGTAATCATGTTAAAAGCATATGAGGAGGGCAGAAATATTGATGAGAGAGATGTGACAGAAGAATAGACAGGGACATTTGAGGCATGAGAGGGATTTGACCTCCCATTGCTCATTTTGTTGATGAAAGAAGGAAGCCATCAGAAAAGGATGTGGTTGGTCTTCAGAAGTTGAGAATGGCCCTGAGTTGACAGCTAACAAGGAAACAGAAACCTCAGTCTGACAAACGTAAGGAACTGAGTTTTGCTAAGAATGGGTATGAGCAAGAAAATAGATTCTCTCCAAGAACCAGGAAGGAATGCAGCCCTGATAATCTTTGGCTTTAGCCTGGTGAGACCTGCCCTGGACCTCTAACCCACAAAACTGTAAAATAATACATTTGTGATGTTTGAGCTACTAAATTTGTGGTAATTTGTTGCAATAAGAGACTAATATACAAGGCCTAATAGATGTCGGTATTAGACATATTTGGTTTAAATTATCACTTAATCCCTTAATAGCTGAGGAACTGTAGAGCTTTATTCACCACATGCCTCACAGGACTATTGTGAGCCACAAAGTAGTTATGATAATTATATTTAAACAATATGAAATTTCACATACATATGCATATTTTAAAATAGTGATTATAGGCAACACTTATCGAATATTTATATGCCAGATAATTTTTAAGTACCTAAATATATTATGTTTTTTAATTCTTATAATAAAACCCTATTAGATGATATTATAGTCCTCTCTGATATATATATATAATATTATATATATATGTAAAACAGCTCTAGCATAATGATTAATATTGAAATAACAACAACAGCAACAGTGATAATAGAGTGGTTGTAGCAAGGTGATTAAGCCTGCAGGCTGTGGATTACACTGCCTATTTATATCCTAGCCCCAATGCTCACTCTCTCTCTCTCTCCCTCTTTCTGTCTCTCTCTCTCTCTCTCTCTCTCTCTCTATATATATATATATATATATATGAGAGTGTATTAGGCAGTCCTTGCATTGCTATATGGAAATACCTGAGACTGGGTAATTTATAATAAAATAGATTTAATTGGCTCACTGTTCTGCAGGCTGAACATGCAGCATAGCAGCATCTGCTTCTGCAGAAGCCTCAGGAAGCTTCCAATCATGACAGAAGCCAAAGGGGGAGCAGGCCTATCATATGACAAGACTGGGAGCAGGAGAAAGAGTTTGGGGAGAGGTGACACACCAGATCTCATGAGAACTCAGAATGAGAGCTCACTTATCACCAAGGGGATGGCCCAAACCACTGATGAGGAATCCATTCCCATGATCCAAACACCTTCCATCAAGCCCCATCTCCTGCATTGGGATTATGATTCATCATGAGATTTGGGTAGAAACAAATATCCAAACTATATCAGACACTTATTTATTACTTTTTTTTAAAAAGGGGGCAGAGGAACAGAGAGGGTAAGTAACATGCCTAGGCTCATAGAGTCAAAGAACATTGGGGCACGGCCAGGTGCAGTGGCTCACGCCTGTAATCCCAGCACTTTGGGAGGCTGAGGCAGGCAGATCACTTCAGTTTAGGAGTTGGAGACCAGCCTGGCCAACATGGTGAAACCTCGTTTCTACTAAAAATTCAAAAATTAGCTGGGCATGTTGGTGCGTGCCTGTAGTCCCAGCTACTTGATAGGCTGAGGTGGGAGAATCGCCTGAGTCCCAGGGGTGGAGGTTGCAGTGAGCCAAGATCGTGCCACTGCACTGCAACCTGAGAGACCGAGCAAGATTTCATCTCAAAACCAAAAAAAAAACAATAAGGAGCACTGGGGCTAGAATATAAATAGACGTGTGATTGACAGCCTGCAGCCTGCAGGCTTAAGCACCTTGCTACAGTCACTTTACTGTCACTGTTGCTGTTGTCATTATTTCAATATTAATCATTATGCTGCAGCTGTTTGATTATAATTGTTTTTGTTATCCTAATATCAATAAAAAGCCCACAGATGATAAAAAGGATAGTGGTGAAAATGAACGTGCCTTTGCAAAAATTATACCAGTGAAAGAGATCTGAGTTAACTCATCACCTTGGATTTCCCTTAATTAATCCTTGGCTATTGGGCCAAGCTAACTTGGGAAGACATTTAGGCTATAGTCTAAATGATAATAGGCCTCCTCTAAAAGTCAGTCACTTTTGTAAAGCTAATGGAGATCATCAGGCTGGGGAGAGGGGAGGAGCCTGCGTCCTGCTAATGCACAGACATAAAAGAATGTCAGCTATTACTCTGGAGGTTATAAGATACGCAACTTTGCCAGTTACTCCTGCAAATAGCACCACTGTTGTGGATGGGCCTTTTGAAGTATGTCTGCAGTGTTTTTGCATGTCTGATACCCATGGCTCCACCTAGACCCACCTGGACTCACCAACTCAGCACTTGTGACCCTACCCAGAAGTGATTAAGCATGCAGGAAGACAACTTTGACCCCCTATGATTTCATCTCCACCCCAACCAATCAGCAGCAAGCCTAGCCACCCCATGCCTTCCCCCAAACTGCCTTTGGAAAACCCCTAACCTAGGAACTTCAGATGAAATAATATGAGTACTAAGTCTGTCTCCCACATGTTGTGGCTGGCCTCGTGTCTATTAAACTCTTTCTTTATTGCAATGCCATCTGCAGTGCCATGGTCTTTCTCTATGCAGCAGGTAGTAGGAGCCTCTTGGATGGTTACAAGAAGACTTACATAGGGAATTTTGACTGTAAATAAAGGTTCCTGTGGAGCTTCCTCTATGGTTTGATCAAGGGGCCAGTTCAGAGCCTTTAAACCTGATCTAGGAGTTGGCAATTCATCCTGGAATCTGGATACCTGCCTCAGTAATTACTACATTGCTCTGTAAATTTGAATAGTCTATTTAACTTCCACGTTCTGGCTGCACAATTGATCTCCCTAGTCACACACATTTTTGGTCATGAACTAAGTCAGATAAATGGCATTCAAAACTATGAAAATATGAGCTATATCATTCAAATATGAGGCTTTATATCAGCCTAAAAACTTTTCTTTTTAGGATTTATTTTAGAAAAGAACAGAACAATGCACTGTTGGATTTGTCACTTATATCCAGAGGGTCTGTATGTTTTGTTCATCAGTATTGTTGCTTTTATAACACATTTCCTCTGGTTTTCACAGTGTTTAGCCATGGGACTTGTGACTGATAAAGCAGAAGTGTGTGAGGAATGAGACAGTGAGAAGCAGTGACCAGCTGTTCAATATTATGATACCACTGAAATGAATAAATCTATCTTCCTGTAGGAGACAAAAAGTGCCTTGCTCTAAAGCAGTAATGTGTGTAGAGAGGAGATAAGTGTGTTGTGGATGTCATGACAAGGACAGGGCTAAAAGCTGCAAGTGAATTCTCAGTCAGATTAGACTCCTCCCTGACCCACTAAGTAAATGCTGTACCTGATTGGCCTTCTGCAGTCCACAAATAGTGTTTGCATTTCACTTGCTGAAAAAGCAGCAGTCACGCTTTTTTCCCCAATCCGAACAAAAAGAATAATTGAGAGCTCTTGAGGGTGGTAAGAGAGGTTGGTGGGCAGAAGTTTGAGGGGAATGTGGAGAATACTTCAATCAAACCTGGAAGTGTGACAAGCCTGGGCCAGAGGAAACAACTTTATTCACCTCCGTGACTCCTCCTCATCCTGCTCAGTACACATTCGGCTTTTCAATTAGCATTTAATTTCTTTGGCATACTATTTACTCTGTTCATGGTGTACATGTATGGTACTCCCTTACTTTCAGTCATGGATCATGGGTAACTCAGCAAAAGCTCAGCTTATCGATTTTAACATCCTCCTAATTAGGCTCCTGATTAAACTACCAACCCATCGTCCACCCAGAAGCCACCAGGGTATATCTAAAGAGCAGATCAAAGAGTGACTTTCCTTGTCTGACTCCAAAATCAAAATCAAAGTCAAAGCCTTTTTATATCAGTCACTTTACTCTGAGAAGAGATTCCACATTCCTTAATACAATCAAGAGTCTTTATTCCCAAAATACCTCTCCCTAGTCAAGGCCTCCAGTTTCAGATTTTGCTGCAAACAAACTCCAGTTTCAGTTTGCTCCAGTTTCAGTTTGTCCTGTTTTACCCTCTGCATGCCACATGTTAGCCACAGTGAACTGTGTTGTAGTTACTAGTGTTTTCCACTTGCTTTTGTTTCCATGTGTTTGCACCGTGACTTCTCTCCATTCTCCTACCAACAAGTACTCACCTTTACCAGGAAATTGCCTTTTTATGCCCCAGTCCTTGGTTTAGGGGTTTCTTAAACACGAGGATGAATTTGTGTCTTGAATCTGTATTCCCGTTGTGTCCCCAATCATCCTGTTTTCAAACTTTGCCACAGCGAATAGTATATGTCTATTTTCTGCAAGCGTCTTTCAGTATACTACAAGTTCCCTGAGAACATGGCTCCTCTCTCATGAACCATTCTTTTTTTTTTCTGAGATGGAGTCTCACTCTGTCACCAGGCTGGAGTGCATTGGTGCCATCTCAGATCACTGCAACCTCTGCCTCCCGCGTTCAAGCCATTCTCCTGCCTCAGCCTCCAGAGTAGCTGGGACTACAGGCATGCACCACCATGCCAAGCTAATTTTTGTATTTTTTAGTAGAGACGGGGTTTCACCATGATGGCCAGGATGGTCTCGATCTCTTGACCTCGTGATCTGTCTGACTTGGCCTCCCAAAGTGCTGGGATTACAGGTGTGAGCCACCATGCCCGGCATCTCTTCATTGTCCAGCACAGTGCATGGCAATGAGCATCTCTTTGTTAAAACTTCATGTTAACTTGCTGTTCTCATTGCGCTGTGTTTGGGGAAAGGATTTGGGTTGACTAGCTAAATACAAAACCACAAGGTAGGAAATCCAAAGTTATGCTTTGTGAGGCTACAAGATGCCTTGATACTATATTATCAAATAACAAGTAATTAAAATTATGAATAACTTATTCTTTTCTGCAACCATTTTTCCCATGTATTATCTATGTGTCTACATTAGCAGAAACCTCACAACTTCCCAATCTGGTAGCAACTGTTGCCATCATGTCACATAATAATTACTTTTCATAGTTTCAGGTAAAGTCTTGCTCTGTTGGCCAGGCTGGAATGCAGTGGCATAATCATAACTCACTGTAGCCTCAAACTCCTAGGCTCAAGCAATCCTCCCACCTCAGCCTCCCAAGTAGCTGGGGCAACAAGGGCATGCCATCATGCCCTGAAAATTTTTTTAACAAATTTTGTAGAGATGGGGTCTTGTCATGTTGCCCAAGCTGGTCTTGAATTCTTGGGCTCAAGGGATCCTCCTGCATTGCCTCCCAAAGTGCTGGGATTATAGGCATAAGCCACTGCCCTTGGCTAATTGTTATTTCAATAAGGTAAATATATAATGTCTTCACCTTGAAAAGCATAATGATTATCCTTTTATGTATGTATATATACACAGATGTATGTGTCTATCTTTGAATGTTTGTGATAATTTCACATGCATTATGTTATTTATTCTTTACAATACTATCTTGAGGTGGATAGTGCAATTTTTATTATCTCTATTTTATAGATGACACTCATCTATAAAGTATGTTTACTATTTAGCATGTGTCAACAGCCAGTAAGTAATAGAGTAGGCATATCTGACTCACCACATAGAGTCTCAATTTATGAGGAGTTTCTTCTCAATTTTGGAGTGTCTGGGAAAGGCTCAGTCTCAAAGCCTAAAATAATCTGTACTGTAAACCCCATGAGAGCAAGGCCCACATTTATTTCCTTCACGACTGTGCTTTTCATCACTGGGCTTGACAGAGAATAGGTACTTAAGAATTATTTGTTAAATCAGTGAATGAATCTATACTTGGAATTCTTTTCATTGCCTTCCAAGCTTTTTTATATTTGCAAATGGCACACAGAAAAGAGGTGTGATCCTCTATGGCACCTGACATGGAATAGGATAGTAGAAAGAGACAGGCTGAGTTCAATTCCGGCTCCGTTATTTATTAGCTGTGCACTCTTGGACCATTATTTAAATTCTAAATCTCAGTTCTATCATCTGGAAGTTCCATCATCTGGCTAGAACATAAATACAATATTACTCTCTTCATAGGGTTTTTCTTATGGGAAGTAAATGAGATAATGTATAAAATGCATTGACACAGGTCTAGCATTTAGTAGATGCTAGATAAATATTACTAGTTATCTTCCCACTGTGAAGGAGAAGTGTTAATTCATATCCATTTAGGTCAGCAAGAGATTCAATCATTAAATTTTTTTTCTAAACAGTTATTACATATTTATAATTCCAGGCTGCTTGATTTATATGTGCCCTGTTAGCTGCTTCTAAGCAGTTTCCAGCTTTCGCATACCCCTGGAGTTTATCTTATTCTGCTTTATAGGTTGAAAATAAATTTTGAAAATCATACCAATATAACTCAACAATCTTTTACGCTGATGGATTTAGTTGTGAGTTTTAGCTAGGAAAACTAACAACAAGAGTAAAATGTTTTGTAAATCCATACCTGATTGGAGAGAGGATATTAGAAGTTAAGCTCTTGGTTTTAATATATCTAGGCATTAAGCTACCTTTGTACTTTGCTTGGTATGCTAATCCACACAGAAAGCATTACAGAAATTTCGATTTCACGAAGCCCTCTCAAGTGATTCTTTTAACTGTGTGAGTGCTGAAATGTGCAGCTTTCCATCCATTCTATCTACTTAAGGATTCAGAAAACAACATTAGTTTTGCTTTTAAACAAAAATCATTTTAGGCAGGAGCCTTGTTTAGGGAATTAGAAAAGATAATGATACCTTTTTTGATTCCTTGTGTTGCTCTATTAATTAAATTAGTTCATTTTGTTTCTTTCCTTCTTTGTTATTTTTAAAAATAAGTTAAAAATATGTTCTTGTCTACTTCTGCAACTGAAATTGCTGCTTGTTAACTTTTGGGGGCTCTTTCTTTTCTGGTGAAATATATGTGGATTTCTGAAGCAATATAAAAATCTATATAAACGGTTTCTGTAGAGTCTTTTGCAATCAGGCTATGGTTTGAATAGTGGCTCTGATTTTTTAACTAGATTCCTTTAACTATTGTATTTCCCTTTGGTCAAAAGCAGTGATTAATATCCACCTAACCAGTTTGTTGTGTAGGTAGAGTAATATATGTACATTTCTCTGTATGGAGCAGAAGCTCGATAAATATTAATCTCCTCTTCTCTCAAGTATTCTTTCACCATCTATACGCTGTTGATAATTTTATGTTTGGTAATAATAACATGTTGCATTTATGTACCATTTTTGAATTTTGCCAAGTACTCTTCTGTGCTGTCTTTTAACCTCACATCAAATCTGGGAGGTGGATAGCACAGTGATTATCATTTCTGTTTGGGAGACTAAAAAACTTAATGTAAACTTCTTAGCTGTAGGGGACTTTTGCTCTTTTTTCAGTATCTCAGGCTGAGCCTAACACAGAGCTTGGCATGCATTAGGGGCCATATATATACCTGTACTGAACTAATGATAGCAAGAACAGTAATTTGCCCAAGGTCACACAGAGAGATGTAATGTCAAGACCAGGATAGGGCTACTCTGACTTTCAGAGTCTAATGGAAATTAGACAAGGGGTGAGCATATATATATTTCCCAAAACAGTCAACTCGGGGAAAATAAAAATGTTGACGTGCTGCAATTTAAATGAAAGTAGCTTTGTTGAGTCTTGAGGAAAAAAAGTACTGCGTCTACTTAGATTACTTACTTCTGCAATAGAAAAGTGCCAATGGGAAATATTAGCAGTCTTTTTTTCACCACTAAAATGTTAATATCTGGGCATATTTGAGAAGGAATCATCCAGAGGCAGCTTTCCAACATTTTATCCCTTATATTTGCAGAGCACTTTAGGGTTCACAGAGTGCTTTCACAGGCGTAATCTAATCACATTTTGAAACAATCCCAGAGAGAGGTTTCATTACCAACCACCCTTTGTAAGGGACATACTAAAGTTGGAGACGGAAAATGACTTGCCTATGGTCGCACAGCAAGTGTGCAATGAACAAGGCTATGTGCATTGCTTCCTATACTGTATATAAGAAGCACGTGCCCTCTTGGCATTGTTCTTGGTACTGGGGGTAGATATAAGATAGGTCCCCCCCACTTAAAACTGAAGAAATCTGACTTTATCTCTTACACTCTCCCAATTTATGCTTACGTGCTTTTTTTTTTTTTAATCCACTGATTACAGTACAGCTTGGGAATGGGCCAGTCCTAAAAGGATATTGCACAATATCCTGAGGTTTTCTGCCCTAAATGCTCTGCTTTGAATGACATGGAAGTCTACAGTGAGAATTACACCTCACAAAGTAAAGCTGGGTGGTCTTCATGCTGCCTTACATGACTTACTTGTGTAATCCATTCTACTAAGTCAGGTTTTGTTCTGGTCTGTAGAACACTGGCAATTCAGCAGAGTCTTTACTTGAAAATCTAAAAATTAAAGTTGCGATATTGTTAAAATTGTAAAGCTGTGCACAGATATAATAATGCTTTGGAAATTTTTCACTAACTGTGCATTTAGTAATCTTCCTTTCCCACATTTATCCATGCAGCATTTTCATACACTCATTCTTTGCTTTAGTTTGCTTGCAACCTTGGAGATTGCAGTAAAACAAGTTTATTTAACCTGATTGCCCAATGGTGGCAAATGAATACACATCCCCACACCTCCAGCTCTCTTTAGGGAGTTCTCCAAGCTTCTTTAGAGAGTGGAGGAAATCTGTGGATATGTGCTAGGAATAAGGTACATATTTGCATAAAGTGCCAAAGCTGGGAAGTATGAGGAGGGAGTGAGAATGGCACAAGAGGTCTGGCTTTCTGACGATGTAACTGTCTCTCTGTGTACAGTCTCACCCACTGGTCTCCTTCTGTAACTCTCTTCTAAGATTTCTCATTTGTCACAGCTACATGAGGTAGGAATTAATTTTGAAGGTTTTAAATTTAAAAAGAAACTTTTTTTAAACTTACTTCTGCTTCCTCCCTCATCTATATTTTATAGTTTACCTTTGTTGTAAGTGACATTTTTGTACCAAATTCTTTTGAAATTGTAGGGTTGTCTACGATTGAAATGTTCATAATATCTTTTGCAGGGAGAAAGAATACTTAAGAAAAGTTCTGTTGGCCTCAAACAACATGCTACTTTTGAAGAAATCCAGACATGCTTTATATTTGATTTTCTGCTTTCTGACCCAATAGAAGTAATGATTGACTTCTTTTAGACATGGCTGTGTTTGCTAGCTGATTGATGAAGTCCATATTTAGTGGACTTGCTAGGTTCTTCTGCCTATTCTTTCAGTAATGCTGCTGAAAGTGAAATTAGACCCTCCAGAGCAGGTGCTATTTCAGTGGGTGGGTGGATAGATTTAGTCTGTGGTATGGAGGTCACCTTAGACTTGAATACAAATAATTTTTTCTTCTCATATTTTCTTACATCTGCATTTATAAACTATTGCTATACTCCTTTTATCAAAAAATATAAATGTAAAGATAATAAGGGTTCGTTTAATTGGAAATCTTCTCAACCTGAAATTTGCAAATATTTTATCACTTTTGTGTTGTTTGCAACTTTCCATATTTCCAACATGCTAATGACTATATAAATAACATTTCCCAATGTGTTTTTATTTAATAAGAAATTAAAATCTCAAAATACATGCTAAAATACAGAACTTTCCAATAAGGTAATTAGTATAGCTGATGAGAAAAGCTTGTGTCCTTCTCTCTATCTGGTAACTCAGTTTGTTGTCAAAGATAACCTTCGGTCCAATATTGTTCACATTCAGCGACTACTTAAGAGGCACTTACAGCCCAAGACACTAGCCTCAGCTCTTAGAATACTAAGAATACGATATTGCAATGGTGTCTTCACTGATTTTTCATGCATTTTGTCTTTCTGTCACCCAGACAATCCTCTACACTGACAATTCCTTTTTGAAGCCATTTCTGATTCTTCATGAGAATTACTTTTATCTTTTTAAATTTATGAAACAACGTTTAGTATTGTTTTATGACATGTAGGTTATCATTAGATACATCTAATTATAAATGTGGCAAATACAGATACAATGTATCTTCCCCGGTATTCCATTCCTTTTTTTTCTTTTATTGAGACAGAATCTCACTCTGTCACCCAGGCTGGAGTGCAGTGGCATGATCTTGGCTCACTGCAACCTCCACCTCCTGGGATCAAGTGATTCTCCTACCTCAGCCTCCCAAGTAGCTGGGATTACAGGCGTGCACCACCACCACCAGATAATTTTTGTATTTTTAGTAGAGACAGGGTCTCATCATGTTGGTCAAGTTCTTCTCAAACTCCTGACCTCAAATGATCACCCACCTCAGCCCCTCAAAAGTGCTGGGATTACAGTCATGAGCCACCATGCCCTGCTATTCCACTTATTTTTAAGTATAGTTTTAAGTATAACACAGACATAAAGAAGTGCAAAAGTCACAATTGTTTTTCAATAAATTTCACAAAGTGAGTATGCTCCTATAACAGCTATTCAGAGGAAGGAAGAAAACATTACCAGTTCCCATGTGGTCCTCCTTAAGCTAGCTCCCAGTTACACCTCCCCTCATCAACATAACACCACTCCAGCTTCCATCATGATAGGAGAGTTTTAGTTGTGTGGGCCTAGATTTTTTTGCTCAATATTATGCATGAATAGTAGTACATTCATTAGTAATGCTATTTAATATCACATTTTATGTACATACTGTAACATTCATTCTACTGTTGATATAAATTTGTTCTTTCTTGTTTGTTTACAAGTTTAAAGTTATAAGAGAATACTGCTATGTGCATTTGAATACATAGCTTTGGATAGGCAAATAATATGCATTTCTGTTTATTAATCTCCTCTTTTTGGAATATATTATTGCAAACATTAAATCAAGAATTGATTTAATTAAAAATACAAGAATGTATTCTGCAAATATTTGCATTTTGAAAGCAAATAAAAGGAACCTTTAAAGCTGATCTATTTCCCAATCTCAAATATTGAGGATTTTAAGTTTATCTCTTTTCCAATTCCCCAGAAGTAAGAAAACTAATTAGTAGATATTATTAGTTTTAAAAAATGTTCCTAGTTTAAAAGAATTAAAAAACCAAAATATTCTGAAGCATCAACAATAAAGGAGAAGTCATAAAAACCTTAAAGGTGATATTAATTTCTGAATAACTATTTTTGTGAATATCTAGAATCTTTGGTAAAACAGTTCATACCAGTGCTTAGTGAACTGAAACTTCATTTTAACAATGAGCTCAGAAAAGACTAAAGTCATTTTAAGATAGAAAAATAAAATCATAATTGAAAACATTCAATACAGTGCATCAGAATTGTCCTTGAAGAAAATCCGATAACTGAAGTACAAGATAAACTGGAGTAATTTGAAAAGTGTGTATAGATAATTTCAAGAGAAATTTGAAAATAAGAATATACTAAATAATAGGAGTCCCTAGAGAAGAACAAAGAATAAAGAGTAATGAATAAATAAGCAAAGACATTATAAATGAAAACATTCCAGAACTGAGGTAAGTGGGTAAATAAATATATCTTCAATATTGGGAATTGAGAGAAATTTAAATGGCCTAATGTCTTCCGAGTAAATATGTAAGTATAAACAACTATTAAAAGATGTTATTTTTTTAAAAAATTAAAGACTTTGTGTTAGTCCATTTCCACGCTGCTATAAAGAAATACCGGATACTGGGTAATTTATAAAGTAGAGAGGTTTAATTGACTCATAGTTCCATACGGCTGGGAAGGCCTTAGGAAACTTACAGTAATTGCAGAAGGCAAAGGGGAAGCAAGCACCTTCTTCACAAGGTGGAAGAAGACAGAAGAGTGAAGGAGGAACTTCCAAACACTTGTAAAACCATCAGATCTTTTGAGAACTCACTCACTACCATGAGAACAGCATGGGGGAAACTGCCCCTATGATCCAATTACCTCTCACTATGTTCCTCCCTTGACACATGAGGATTACAATTCAAAATGAGATTGGGGTGGGGACTGAGAGTCAAACCATATCAGACTTTATTTTATTAGAGAAGTTTTAGATTCACAGTGAAATTGAGAGAAATGTGCAGACATTTCCCGTGCATCCCTTGCCTGCTGCACATGCCTTCCCCATTATCAACATCTTTCACCAGAGTGACATATTTGTACAATTGATGAACCTACACTGACACATTATAATCGCCCAAAGTCTATAGTTTACATTAGGGTTCACTCGGTGTTTTGTATTCTATAGGTAGGGACAAATCTATTATTTCATTTACCCCCCATTATAGTATCATACAGAGTGTCCTTACTGTCCTAAAAATACTCTATACTCCACTTAGTCAAGCCTCCTACAACCTGTGACAATCGCTGATCTTTTTACTGTCTCCCTAGTTTTGCCTTTTCCAAAATATCATATAGTTGGAATGATACAGTATGTAGCTTTTTCAGATTGGCTTATTTCACTTCATAATACGCATTTAACTGCTTTCTTCACTTGATAACTCATTCCTTTATAGTGCTGAATAATATACTACTGTCTCGATATATCATAGTTGATTTATCCACTCACATAATGAAGGACATTTTGATTGCCTCCAAATTTTGGCAATTCTGAAAAAAGCTACTATAAACATTTGTGTTTAGGTTCCTTATGCATATAAGTTTTCAGTTTTTTGGGGTAAACACCAAGAAGTGTGATTGCTGGATTATATGGTAAGAGTATGTTTAGTTTTGTTAGAAACTGCCAACTGTCTTCCAAACTGGCTGTACCATTTTATATTCCCATCTACAGTAAATGAGAGTTCATGCTGCTCCACAGTTTTGCTAACATTTGCCGTTGTCAGTAATTTGGATTTTGGTCATCTAATAGGTGTGTAGTGGTATCTCATTGTTGTTTGCATTTGCATTACCCTGATGACATATGATGTTGAGTATCTTTTCATATGCTTATTTGCCTTTTAGTGAAGTGTCTGTTAAGGTCTTTCACATTTTACATTTGTGTTTATGACCCATTTTGAGTTGAATTTTGTAAATGGTATAAGGTCTATGCCTACATTTATTTATTGATTTTTGCATGTGGATGTCCAGTTGTTATAGCACCATTTGTTGAAGAGATTTTGCTCTATTGCATTGCCTTTGCTCTTGTCAAAAATCTGTTGACTAATTATGAAGGTTTATTACTGGGCCTTCTCTTCTGTTTCATTGATTGATTTGTCTATGTTTTTGTCAGTACTTCACTGTCTTCGTTACTATAGATTTATAGGAAGTCTAAAAGTCAGGTAGTGTCAGTCTTCTGACTTTATTTTTCTCCTTCCATATTGTGTTGGCTATTCTGAGTCTTTCCCTCTCCGTATAAACTTTAGAATCAGTTTGTCAATATCCAAAATAACATGGCAAGATTTTGAGTGGTGTTGTATCAAATCTATAGATCAAGTTGGAGAGAACTAATGTCTTGACAATATTGAGTCTTCCTATCTATGAATACAGAATATCTTCCAGTTTATGTAGTTCTTCATTGATTTCTTTTATCAGCATTTTATAGTTTTCCTCATATAGATCCTATACATATTTATACCTAAGTATTTTAGATTACAATAGATTTAGATTAGATTAGTATTAGATTTATGCCTAGGTATTTTCTTATTTTGGGCATTAATCTAAATGATATTGTGTTTGCAATTTCAGATTTCACTTGGTCATTGCTGGAATATAGGGAAGTGATTGGTTTTTGTATATTAGCCTTGTATCCTTTAACCTTGCTATAATGACTTTTTAGTTTCTATAGATTTTGTTGATTATTTTATGTTTTCCACACAGATAATCATGTCATCTTTGAAAAAAGACAGTTTTATTTCTTCCTTCCTAATGTGTATATCTATTTCCTTTCTTGTCTACTGCATTAGCTACAACTTTCAGAAATGATGTTAAAAGCAGTGGTGAGAGGGGACATCCTTACTTTAGTCCTGATTTGAGAAAGTTTTTTTTTTTTTTTCTGAGACAGAGTCTTGCTCTGTTGCCCAGGATGGAGTGCAGTGGCACAATCGCGGCTCACTGCAAGCTCTGCCTCCTGGGTTCATGCCATTCTCCTGCCTCAGCCTCCCGAGTAGCTGGGACTACAGGCGCCTGCCACCACGCCGGCTAACTTTTTGTATTTTTAGTAGAGATGGAGTTTTGTCATGATGGCCAGGCTGGTCTCGAACTCCTGACCTCAGGTGATCCACCCACCTTGGCCTCCCAAAGTGCTAGGGTTACAGTCGTGAACCACTGTGCCTGGCCAATGGTAGGTTTTTCGTAGACATTCATCATCAAATTGAAGAAATTTCCCTCAATTCCTAGTTTACTGAGAGTTTAAATCGTGAATGGATTTGAATTTTGTTAAATGTTTTTCTTGCATCTATGGATAAAATTATGTGAGTTTTTTTTTTTAGCTCATAGATGTGATGGATTACATTAATTGATTTTCGAATGTTGAACTAACCTCACATACCCAAGACAAATTATAGTTTTTTTTGTGGTGTATATTGTTTTATTTAGTGTCGTATTTGATTTGCTAACATTTTGTTGTTTAGTATCAAAAATGATGTTTATGAGATTATAATGGTCTTTAGTTTTTTTTTTAATAGCTTTGTCTAGTTTTGGTATTTGAGTGATGCTGGTCTCATAGAATGAGTTAGGCTGTTTTGTCTCGGCTTTTATCTTCTGAAAGAGATTGTAGATACTTGGTATAATTTCATTTTAAATACTTGGTAGAATTCACAAGTTAATGTATGTAGGCCTGGTACTTTCAGTTTTAGAAGATTATTAGTTACTGATTTAATATCATTAATGGATATAGGCCTATTCTGATTGTTTATTTCTTCTTGTGTGAGTTTTGGCAGATTGTGTTTTTCAAGGAATAGCTCCACTTCTTCTAGTTTATATAATTTCTGGGCATAGAGTTGTTCATAGTACTCCATTATAATGATAATTATTACTATTTTATGTTTATTTTCATTTTATGGGTACGTATTAGGCATATATATTTATGTGGTACATGAGATGATTTAATACAGGCATGCAATGTGAAATAAGTACATAATGGGGTATACATCCCCTCCCGCATTTATCCCTTGAGTTACAAACAATCCAATTACACTATTTATTTCAAAATAGACAGTTAAGTTATTATTGACTATACTCAACCTGTTGTTCTGTCAAATAGTAAGTCTTATTCACCATTTCTAACTATTTTTTTATACCCATTCACCATCCCCACCTTCCCAACTACTCTTTCACTACACTTTCCAGCTTCTGGTAACCATTCTTCTACTCTCTATGTCCATGAGTTCAATTGTTTTTATTTTTAGATCCCACAAATAAGTGAGAACACGTCATGTTTGTTTTTCTGTGCCTGGCTTATTTCACTTAGCATAATGATCTCCAGTTTCATCCATGTTGTTGCAAATGACTGGATTTCATTCTTTTTTACGGTTGTATAGTACTCCATTGTGTATATGTACCACATTTTCTTTACCTATTCATCTGTTGATGGACACTTAGGTTGCTTCCAGCTCTTAGCTATTGTAAACAATGCCACAACAAACATAGGAGTGCAGATATATCTTTGATATACTGATTTCCTTTTTAGTATATCCCCCAGCAGTGGAATTGCTGGATCATACCGTAGCTCAATTTTTAGTTTTTTGAGGAATCTCCAAACTATTCTCCATAGTGTTTGTACTAATTTACATTCCCAGAAACAGTATACAAGGTTTCCCTTTTATCCACATCCTTGCCAACATTTTTTTATTGCTTGTCATTTGGATATAGGCCATTTTACCTGGGGTAAACTGATAATACATTGTAGTTTTGATTTGAAATTCTCTGATGATAAATGATGCTGAGTACCTTTTTATATGTCTCTTTGCCAATTGTGTGTCTTCTTCTGAGAAATATCTATTCAAATTTGTTGCCCAGTTTTTTTCAATCAGATTATTAGAGTTTTTCCTATAGAATTGTTTGATATCCTTATATGTTCTGGTTATTAATCCCTTGACAAATGGGAAGTTTACAAATCTTTTCTCCCGTTCTGTGGGTTGTCTCTTCACTTTGTTGATTGCATCCTTTGCTGTGCAGAAGCTTTTTAACTTGATATGATCCCATTTGTCCATTTTTGCTTTGCTTACCTGTGCTTGTGGGGGTATTGCTAAAGAAATTTTTGCCCAGACCAATGTCCCGGAGATTTTCTTCAACGTTTTCTTGTAGTAGTTTCATAGTTTGAAGCATAATATTTAAGTCTTTAATCCATTTTGATTTGATTTTTGTATGTGGCAAGAAACAGGGGTCTAGTTTCTTTCCTCTGCATGTAGATATCTAGTTTTCTCAGCATCATTTTTTGAAGAGACTGTTCTTTCCCCAAGGTATATTCTTGGCACCTTTGTCAAAAATGGGTTCACCGCAGATGTGTGAATTTATTTCTGGGTTCTCTGCTCTATTCTCTTGGTCCATGTGTATCTTTCTATGCCAGTACCATGCTGCTTTGGTTGCTATAGTTCTGTAGTATAATTTAAAGGTAGGTGATATGGTTTGGCTCTGTGTTCCCACCCACATCTCATCTCACATTGTAATCTCAACGTGTCAGTGGAGGAAACTTTCAGAAATGATTAGATCATGGGGACAGTTTCCTCCATGCTGTTCTCTTGATAGTTCTCACAAGCGCTGATGGTTTTAAAAGTGTTTGGCAGTTTCCCTGCATACTTTCTCTTTCTCTTGCCAACATGTAAGACATGTCTTGCTTCCCCTTTGCCTTGTGCCATGACTGTAAGTTTCCTGAGGCCTCCCCAGCCATGTGAAACTCTGAGTCAATTGAATGTCTTTTGCTTATAAACTACCTAGTCTCAGGTAGTATCTTTATAGCAGCATGATAATGGACTAATGCAGTGGGTAATGTGATTCCTCCAGTTTAGTTCGTTTTGCTTAGGATAGCTTTGGATATTCTGGGAATTCTGTGTTCCACATACATTTTAGGATTACTTTTCTTCTCTGTGAAGAATGTCATTGGTATATTAATATGGATTGCATTGAATCTGTAAAATGCTTTTGTTAGTATGGACATTTTAACAATATTGATTCATTCAGTCCATAAACATAAAATATCTTTCCATTTTGTTATGTCTTCTACAATTTCTTGCATCAGTGTTTTATAGTTTTCATTGTACTGATCATTCCATCTTTGATTAGGTGAATGCTTAGATATTTTATTTCATTTGTAGCTATTATAAATGAGATTACCTTCCTGATTTTTTTTTAGATTTTTCACTGTTGGCATATAGAAATGCTACTGATTTTTGTATGTTGATTTTTTTAGACTGTAACTTTACTGAATTTATTTAACAGTTCTAATAGTTTTCTTGTGGAGTCTTCAGGTTTTTCCAAATATAAGATCATATCTTAAGCACCGAAAGATAATTTGATTTCTAACTTTTCAATTTGGATGCCTTTTATTTCTTTCTCTTGTCTGATTGCTCTAGCTAGAACTTCCAGCACTATGTTGAATAACAGTGGTGACAGTGGTCATCCTTATCCTTGTCATGTTCCAGGTTTTAGAAGAAATTATTTCAGTTTTTCCCTATTCTCTATGATAATAGCTGTGGGTCTGCCATATATGGCTTTTATTATGTTGAGGTATGTTCTTTCTGTTTCCATTTGAGGGTTTTTATCATGAAGCGATGTTGAATTTTATCAGTGCCTTTTCAGCATCAATTGAAACTATCGCATGTTTTTTATTCTTTATTCTGTTGATATGATGTATCATTTTGATTGATTTGCACATGTTGTACCATCCTTGTATCCCAGGAATAAATCCCATTTGGTCATCATGAATGATCTTTCTAATGTATTGTTGACTTCAGTTTGTTAGTATTTTGTTGAGAATGTTTGCATCAATATTTAACAGAGATATTGGCCTGTAGTTTCCCTTTTTTGATATTTCTTTGTCTGTTTTGGTGTCAGGGTAATACTGGCCTTGTAGAATGAGTTTGGAAATATTCCTTCATCCTTTATTTTTTGAATAGTTTGAGCAGGATTAGTATTAGTTCTTCCTTACATGTTTGATAAAATTCAGCATTGAAGGCATCAGATCCTGGGCTTCTCTTTACTGGGAGACTTTTTATTATGGCTTCGATATCATTACTTGTTACTGTTATGTTCAGGTTTTGGATTTATTCCTGGTTCAATCTTGATAGATTGTATGTATCTAGGAATTTCTCTATTTTTTCTATATTTTCCAATTTATTGGCATTTAGGTGTTTATAGTAGCCATTAATTATCCTTTGACTTTCTTCAGTATTGGTTGTAATTTCTTTTTTTATTTCTGATTTTATTTTATTTATTTATTATTTATTTATTTATTTATTTTCTTCATTAGTCTGGCTGAAGTTTTTTCAGTTTTGTTTATCTTTCCAAAAAAATAAATAAACAACTTTTGTTTCATTGATATTTTGTATTGTTTTTTCATTTCAAATTTATTTATGACTGCTCTCATCTTTATTATTATTTTTTCTTAGACTAATTTGGGGTTTGGTTTACTCTTTTTTTCTAGTTCTTTAAGATGCATTGTTAAATTGTTTATTTGAAGTTTTCCCTCCTTTTCAAGTAGGCACTATCGCTGTTAACTTCCCTCTTAGTACTGCTTTTGCTGTATCCATAGGTTTTGGTATGTTGTTTCCATTATCATTTGTTTCAAAAAATTTTTCAATTTTCCTCTTCATTTATTCTGACCACTGGTCATTCAGAAGCACATTACTTAATTTCCATGTATTTGCAGAGTTTCCAAAATTTCTCTCATTATTCATTCCTAGTTTTATTCCATGGTGGTCATAAAAGATACTTGATATTGTTTCAATTTTTTTTGAATGTTTTAAGACTTTTTTTTTGTTTCGTGATCTAACATATGGTCTATCCTTGAACCTGCCTGGCTTGGCAGCATGTGCCTATAGTCCCAGCTACTCGGGAAGCTGAGGCAGGAGATTTGCTTGAATCTGGGAGGCAGAGGTTGCAGTGAGCCAAGATTGTGCCAATGCACTCCAGCCTGGGCGAGCAAGGCTCTATCTCAAAAGAAAAAAATAAATAAATAAATAAATAAATAACGTGATTCATGTGCTTAGGAAAATAATGTATATTCTGCAGCCTTTGGATGAAATATCCTGTAAATATCTATTAGATCCATTTGGTCCACAGTGCAGATTAAATTTGTTGGTTCTTTGTGGATTTTCTGTCTGAACTATCTGCCCAGTGCTGTAAGTGGGATACTGAAGTCTCCAGCCATTTTTGTATTGAGTTCTATCTCTCTCTTTAGCTCTAATAATGTTTCATTCATACATTTGGGTGCTCCAGTGTTGAGTGCATATATATTTTAAGTTGTTATATCCTCTTACTGAATTGACCCTTTTATTATTATTTATATAGTGACCTTCTTTGTCTCTTGTTATAGCCTTTGTCTTGAAATCTATTTTGTCTGAGGTAAGTATAGTGACTCCTGCTCTTCTTTTATATTTATTTATTTATTTATTTATTTTATTTTATTTTATTTTGAGATGGAGCCTTGCTCGCCCAGGCTGGAGTGCATTGGCACAATCTTGGCTCACTGCAACCTCTGCCTCCCAGATTCAGGCAATTCTCCTGTCTCAGCCTCCTGAGTAGCTGGGACTATAGGCGCACGCTGCCAAGCCATGCTAATTTTTTGTATTTTAGTAGAGACAGGGTTTTACTGTGTTGCCAAGGCTGGTCGCAAACTCCTGAGCTCAGGCAATCTTCCCACCTCAGCCTCCCAAAGTGCTGGGATTACAGGCATGAGCCACGGCACCTGGCTGACTCCTGCTCTTTGTTGGTTTTCATGGGCATGGGATATCTTTTCCACTTCTTTATTTTCATTCTATGTGTGTCTTTACAGGTGAAGTGTATTTCTTGTAGGCAATAGATCAATGGGCTTTTTTTTCCCCAACCATTCAACCAGGCTATGTCTTTTGGTTGAAGAGTTTAGTACATTTACGTTCAATGTTATTGATAATTAAGCACTTACTTCTGACATTTTGTTATGTGTTTTCTTGTTGTTTTGTGGTCTCTTTTTTTTCTTTCTTTTATTACTGTCTTCCTCTAGTGAAGGAGATTTTCTCTGGTGATATGATTGAGTTTTTTGCTTTCTGTTTCTTGTGGGTCCCTTGTATGTTTTTTGGTTTGAGATTACCATGAGGCTTGCAAATACCGTCTTATAATCTATTGTCCTAACCTGATAACATCTTAACACTATTTGCATAAACAAACAGCAAAATAAAATGAATAAAAACATTATGCTTTAACTTTATCCCCACGCTTTTTATCATTTTGTTGTCCCTACTTTTATCTTATTATACTGACTATGTCTTCAAAGTTGTTGTAGTTATTATTTTTGACTGGTTCATCATTTGGTCTTTCTAGCTAAGAGTTGTTTATACAACACATTTAAAGGGTTATAATATTCTGTGTTTTTTGTGTACCTACTATTAACAGTGAGTTTTGTACCTTTAGATGATTATTTATTGCTCATTAGTGTCATTTTATTTCTGACTGAAGTACTCCCTTTAACATTTCTTGTAGGATGGGTCTAATATTGATGAAATCCCTCAGCTTTTGTTTGTCTGGGAACTCTTTATTTCTCTTTCATGTTTGAGGGATATTTCCACCCATGTATGAGTCCATTCCCACCCTACTATAAAGAACTATCTGAAACTGGGTAATTTATTTTTAAAAAGAGGTTTAATTTTTTACACAGGCTGTACAAGAGGCATGGTTGAGAATGTCTCAGAAAACTTACGATCGTGGCATAAGGGTGAAGGGGAAACAAGCACATATTCACATGGCAGCAGGAGAGAAAGGGATCAAAGAGGGAAGTGCTACACACTTTCAAACAACCAGCTCTTATGAGAACAAACTGTCATAAGAACAGCAAGGGAGAAGTCCCCTGCCATGATTCAATCACCTCCCAAGAGGTTTCTTCCCCAACATTGGGGATTACAATTCAACATGAAATTTGGATGAGGACACAGAGCCAAACCATATCATTCTACCCCTGGCCCCTCCCAAATCTCATGTCCTTCTCATATTGCAAAACACAATCATGCTTTCCCAACAATCCCTCACAGTCTTAACTCATTTCAGCATTAACTCAAAAGTCCAAGTTCAAAGACTCATCTGAAGGAAAGTTAGCATCTTTCACCTACGAGTATGTAAAATAAAAGTTAGTTACTTGCATGGTACTATGGGAGTACAGGCATTGGGTAAATGCTCCCATTCCAAAAGGGAGAAATTGGCCAAAATAAAGGAGTTACAGGTGCCATGTGAGTCCAAAACCAGCAGGTCAGTCATTAAATCTTAACACTCCAAAATAACTTATTTTGACTCCATTTCTTACATCCAGGCCACACTGATGAAAGGGGTAGGCTCCCAAGGCCTTGGGCAGCTCTGCCCCTGTGGTTCTGCAGGGCACACCTACTGAGGCTACTTTCCTGGGCTGGCAGTGAGTGCCAGTGGCTTTTCTAGGTGCACAGTGGCAAGCTGTCGGTGGATCTGCCATTCTGGGGTCTGGAGGACAGTGACCCTCTTCTCATACCTCCACTGGGCAGTGTCCCATTGGGGATTCTGTGTGAGAGTTACAACCCCACATTTCCCCTCCACACTGTCCTAGTAGAGGGTCACCACAAGGGCTCTACCCCTGCAGCAGACTTCTGACTGGACATCCAGGTGTTTTCATACATCCTCTGAAATCTAGGCAGAGGCTCCCAAGCCTCATCTCTTGCCCTCTGCCCACCTGCAGACCCAAGACCACATGAAAGCCACCAAGGCTTGGGGCTTGCACCCTCTGAAGCAACAATCTGAGCTGTACCTTGGCTTCTTTTAGCCATGGTTGTAGCTGTAGTGGTCCCAATGTATGATGCAATGTCTGGAGGCTGCACAGAGAAGCAGACCCAGGGCCTGGCTTATGAAACCATTTTTCCCTCCTAGACCTCCAGGCCTATGATGGGAGGGGCTGCCACAAAGATCTCTGAAATGTCTTGGAGACATTTTCCCCATTTTCTTGGCTATTAACCTCATCCGGTTCCTCTTTACCTATGCAAATTTCAGCAGCCAGCTTAAATTCCTCCCCAGAAATTTTTTTTTCTACCACATGGTTAGGCTGCAAATTTTTCAAACTTCTATGCTCTCCTCTTTTAAAGGTAAGTTCCAATTTCAGATCACCTCTCTGCAAAAGCATATGAGTGTATGCTGTTAGAAGCAGCCAGATTACATATTGAATACTTTGCTGCTTAAAAATTTCTTCCACCAAATATCCTATATCATCTCTCTCATGCTCAAAGTTCCACAGATCTCTAGGGCAGGTGCACAATGTTTCCAGTCTCTTTGCTAAAGTATAGCAAGAGTGACATTTACTCCAGTTCTCAATAACTTTCTCATCACCATCTAAGACCTCCTCAGACTGGACTTCATTGTCCATATCCTTGTCAGCATTTTGGTCACAACTATTCAACAAATCTCTAGGATGTTCCAAACTTTCCCTTATCTTCTCGTCTTTTTGTAAACCCTTCAAATTGCTCCAACCTCTGCCTGTTACTCATTCCAAAGTCACTTCCACATTTTCAGGTATCTTTATAGAAATGCCCCACTTATCTTGTACCAATTTTCTGTATTACTCTCTTCTCAAACTGGTATAAAAAACCAACTGACACTAGGTAATTTATATAAAAAAAAGTATAATTGATGACAGTTCCATTGTTTCATTTAAACTTTTTTCTTCTGTACAGAAGGTATGGCTAAGGAGGCCTCAGGAAACTTACAATCATGGCAGAAGGATGAAGAGGAAGCAAACATGTTCTCACATTGTGCCAGAATAGAGAGAGAGTGAGGGAGAAGTGCTACACACTTTTAACCAACCAGGTCTCATGAGAAATCACTATCTTGAGAACAGCAAGGGAAAACTTTGCTTCCAAGATTCAATCACCTCCCACCAGGTCCCTCCCCCAACATTGGGGATTACAATTCAACATGAGATTTTGGTGGGGACACAGAGCCAAACCATATCAGCCAGATATAATATTCTAGAATATAGGACTTTTCTTTCAACACTTTATATATATGTATATATTATGCCACTCTCTCCTTGCCTGTAAATTTTCTACTGAAAAGTCTGCTACTAGATTTGTTGGAGCTCTATTGTATGCTATTTGTTTCTTTACTCTTGCTACCTTTAGGATCCTTTCTTTAAGCTTGACCCTTGGGAGTTTGATTATTACATGAGTTGAGGTAGCCTTCTTTGGGTTAAATCTACTTGGTGTTCCAGAATATTCTCATATTTGGATATTAATTTTTTCTCTAGGTTTATTACATTCTCAGTTATTATCACTTTGAATAAACATATTTCTTTCTCTCCCTCCTCTTTAAGGCAAATAACTCTTAGATTTGCTCTTCTGAGGTTATGTTCTAGATCCTGTAGGTATGCTTCATTGTTTTTTATTCTTTTTTGTCTCCTCTGGCTGGTGTATTTTCAAATAGCCTGTCTTCAAGCTCACCAATTCTTTTTTCTGCTTGATCCATTCTGCTATTAAAGGACTCATGCGTTTTTCATTATGCCAATTGCTTTTATTAGCTTAAGAATTTCTGCTTGATTCTTTTTAATTATTTCATCTCTTTGTTAAATTTGACAGAATTCTGAATTTCTTCCCCGTGTTATGTTGAATTTCTTTGAGTTTTCTCAACACAACTATTTTGAATTCTCTGTCTGAAAGGTTACATATCTCTATTTCTTCAGGACTGGTCCCTGGTGTCTGTTTTAGTTCATTTGGTAAAGTCATTTTTTTTTTTCCTGGAGAATGTTAATGATAGCAGGTGTTCTTCAGTGTCTAGGCCTTGAGGAGTTAGATATTTATTGTAGTCTTCACTGTCTGGGCTTATTTTTAGCTGTCATTTTTGAGAAGGCTTTTCAGATGTTGGAAAGTACTTGGGTGTTGTGATCTAAGGTGTATCTACTTTAGGGGGTACCCTAAGTCCAGTAAAGCTGTGGTTATTGCAGACTCATAGAGGTAACACCTTGATGGTCTTGGACAAGATCTGGGTGAATCCTCTTGATTACCAGGCAGAGACTCTTGTTTTCTTCTCTCAGTTTCTCCCAAACTAACAGAGTTTTTTTCTGTCTGTTCTGAGCCACCTAATGCTGGGGCTAGAATGACAAGCACCCCTGTGGCCACTACCACTATGAGTGCACTGGGTCAGACCTGAAAACCGAATAGCACTGAGCCTCACCCAGGCTGCTGTAACCATTCCCTGGCTATTGCATATGTTCATTCAAGGCCCTGGGGCTCTACAGTCAGCAGGTGGAAAAGCCAGTCAGTCCTGTGTTCTTCCTTTCAGGGCAGTGCGGATCCCCAGGACCTGGGTGGGTCCAGAGGTGCTGTCCAGGAATCAGGGTCTAGTCATAAACCTCAGTCATCTACCTGGTTTTCTATTGTATTGCTAGCTGAGCTGGCACACAAACCACAAAATGCAGTCCTTCTTCCTATTCCCTCTCCTTTCCAAGGACAGAGGAGCCTCAATCCCTAGCCATCAGCACTCCAGACCATGAGGAGTACTGCCAAACTACCAGCTACTGTTCCCTTAAGGCCCAAGCGCTCTTAAGTCAGCTTGTAATGAATGCTACCTGGCCTCAGACTTACTATTCAGGTCGGTGGGCTCCCCTCTTGCCCAGGGCAGCTTCAGAAATGCTGACTAAGAATATAGTCCTGGAACTGGGTACTCAAGAGCTCGTTTGGTTCTCTGAATCGTGTGGTTGTGCTGGTACTTACTGTTTAGGAAGAAGTTCCCTTTACTTTTCCCTCTGCTTCTCTGTCATGCAGAAAGAGTTTTGCTGTGTAGCCACAACAGCTGGTAATGTGCTGAGACTCACATGAAGCCAGTAAGTTTCAGAGGCTCACCCAAGTCCCTCAATGTAGTACTTGGGTATTGTTGCTGGTTATTCAGGGCCCAAGGCTCTACAGTTAGCAGGTGATGAATGCTGCCAGGACTGGTTGCTTTCCTTCAAGACAGCTTGTTTCTATCATGCCCAGGATATGTCTAGAAATGTCATCTGGGAAATAAGACCTGGAACAGGGGCCTCACGACCCTGTCCAGTGCCTTATCCTGCTGTGGCTGAGCAGGTATCCAAGATGCAAGACAAAGTCCTTCCCATTCTTCTCACTCCCCTTCTCAAGCAGAAGGAAAGGATCTGTTTTGCAGCTGTGAGCTGTGCAACATGGAGTAATGGGAGGGATGATGCCAGCATTACCTTGGCTGCCCCAGCTCGTGTCTTGGTATGTTGCATGACCCTCCTCCAGTTGACTGTCTGGGCCTAGCTCAGCACCAGGACTCACCTAAGAGTTTCAGTCCTTATGGACTAGACTGCCTTTCAAATTTACTTGGAGACACAGAGTGCCATAACCCTCTATGGCAAGGTTTGCAGGCACTCATGATCCAATCACTGAAATCCATGATCTCCTTCAGCTAGGAATGACTTAAATGCTCTCTCTGTGAGTGTCAGCTGGGTTTGGTCAGGTTTTTCTTTCTGCTCTAACAGGACAACACTGAGTCCAATGTCTCCCAATACCATGCCGCTGCTGCTGGGGGTGGGAAAGGGGTGGCATTGGTGATTCCAGCCTGTTTTTTTCTATCTCTTCAGTGGCTTTTTCAGCAATATGAAGTTAAACCAAGTACTGTGAATGCTCACCTGTTTTTTGTTTTTATGAAGGTATTTTTTCTGCGCAGATAATTGTTAAAATAGTGTCCTTGCAGAAGAGGTGGGAGGTTGTGCAGGATGATCAGTGGAGTCTTCTATTCCACTTTTTAATATTCATGGAATCTGTAGAGATGCCACTTCTTAAACTTTTATGTTTCTAGTATAGTAATTTATGTCCTCTCTCATTTTATACTAGCATATTCCAAGTATAATGTACAAACGTAAGCCACTACTAAAAGATTAATAATTTGAACTATAATTTTTATAGCCAATATACGATAAATAACATATCAACGAAGTACTAATTAATTTATCCAAATACCATTTCCTGAAGCACTGGCAGATATAATCTAGCATCGTAGAATATTTCACATGTTGAGCACAATGACAATTTTTTTCTTTGCATTTTCTAGCATGTAGTTCACAGTATATTTTCCTATTTTATCCAAATTGATCATTCCACTAGTCCCATAGAAACACATAAAGAAAGTACTATGCAGGTTATATCTTCAGATGTCCAAAGACATCTCAATAAATTTATAGGATCAATAATGAGCATTCAGAAGTTAAATAACACTAATATCCCAAAGGATAGGTACAAATTTGAGCCAATAATGGAATAGCCAGTAAATGTGGCAGTTGTTTTTAAAAAGAAACAATTTGACTTAATTAAACAACATCACCAAAATGCAGAAAGCTATTAAAAATAAATTAGAGTGCAGACTACTGAAATTAAGGGAGAGAGAGTACAGAAAAATCTTAACTGGTATAACTGCTGAAATAAAATAGGATATAAAGGAAAAAAAGGGGAAATTAATGGACACCACCTTCAAGATAAAAGAAGGTATATGGTTTATTAGTTCATTTTACCACTGCTGTAAAGAACTTCCCTGAGACTAGGTGATTTATAAAGGAAAAATGTTTTATCAACTCATAGTTCTGTATGCCTAGGGAGGCTTCAGGAAAGTTATAATCATGGCAGAAGGGGAAGTAGACATTGTCTTCACAATGTGGCAGGAGAGAGAAGAGTGAGGGAGGAACTTCCAAGCACTTATAATACCATCAGATCTACTGAGAACTCATCCACTATCAGGAGAACAGCAGGAGGGAAACCCTCCCCATGATTCAATCACCTTGCTCCCTTGACATGTGGGGATTAAAGATCCCTCCCTTGACATGTGGGGATTACAGTTTAAGATGAGATTCGGGTGGGGACACAGAGCCAAACCATATCATATGGGAAATGTCTGAAGGTGAGAGGGAAACTATGAAAAGATCTCACCTTTCTTTTTTCAAAGGTAGAACTCTAGTATTTCAAAACTTGTAATGCATTTTAAAATAATTATACTAGTAAGAAGGAGACAGTAATACAGTAACATACATTGATATGGTTTGGCTGTATGACCACCCAAATCTCATCTTGAATTAACTCCTGCAATTCCCATGTGTCATGGGAGGAACCCCATGGGAGGTGATTGAATTATGGGAATGGGTCCTTCCTGCACTACTCTCATGACAGTAAATGAGTCTCAGGAGAACTGATGGTTTTAAAAATGGGAGTTTCCCTACACAAGCTCTCTCTTAGCCTTCTGTCATCCATGTAAGACATGACTTGCTCCTCCTTGCCTTCCACTATGATTGTGAGGCCTCCCCAGCCACGTGGAACTGTAAGTCCATTAAACCTCTTTTTTTCCCCAGTCTCAGGTATGTCTTTATCAGCAGCATAAAAATGAACTAATACAGTAAATTGCTACCAGTAGAGTGAGGTGTTGCTGAAAAGATACCCAAAAAATGTGGAAGTGACTTTGGTACTGGGTAACATGCAGAGGTTGGAACAATTTGGAGGACTCAGAAAAAGACGGGAAAATGTGGGAAAGTTTGGAACTTCCTAGAGACTTGTTGAATGGCTTTGACAAAAATGCTGATAGTGATATGAACAATAAGGTCCAGGCCGAGCTTGTCTCAGGTGGAAATAAGGAACTTTTTGGGAACTAGAGCAAAGGTGACTCTTCTTATGTTTTAGCAAAGAGACTAGCCGCATTTTGCCCCTGCCCTAGAGATCTGTGGAACTTAGAACTTGAGAGAGATAATTTAGGGTATCTGGTGGAAGAAATTTCTAAGCAGCAAAGTCTTCAAGAGGTGACTTGGGTGTTGTCAAAGGTCTGCAGCTTCATAAGGGAAGTACAGCATAAAAGTCTGGAAAATTTGCCTCCTGACAATGTGATGGAAAAGGAAATTCCATTTTCTGGGGAGAAATTCAAG
Organism: Homo sapiens; assembly: GCF_000001405.40. Classification (NCBI taxonomy): domain Eukaryota; kingdom Metazoa; phylum Chordata; class Mammalia; order Primates; family Hominidae; genus Homo; species Homo sapiens. The sequence goes on along the minus strand of NC_000001.11, from coordinate 106,656,416 downwards.
CCAGCTACAGAAATTTGCATAAGGAGCCAAATGTTAATCCCCAAAACAATGGGGAAAACATCTCCAGCACATGTCAGAGGCCTTCATGGGAGAGCCTCCCATCACAGGCCCTGAGACATAGGAGAAATAAGTGGTTTCATGTTCTGGGCCCAGTGTCCCCATGCTGTGTGTAGCCTAGGAACTTGCTTCCCTGTGCTCTAGCTGCTCCAGCCATGGTTGAAAGGGGCCAGTATAGAGCTCAGACTTTGGTTTCAGAGGGTGGAAGCCCCAAGCCTTGGCAGCTTTCACAAGGTGTTGAGCCTGCAAGTACACAGAAGTCAAGAATTGAGGTTTGGGAACCTCAGCCTGGATTTCAGAGGATGCATGAAAACTCCTTGATGCCCAGGCAGAAATTTGCTGTAGGAGCGGGGTCCTCATGGAGAACTTCTGCTAGGGCAGTGCAGAAGGAAAATGTGGGGTGGGAGCCCCCACACAAAGTCCCTAGTAGGGCACTGCCTAGTGGAGCTTTGAGAAGAGGCCACCATCCTCTAGACCCCAAAATGGTAGATCCACTGACAGCTTGCACCTTGCACCTGGAAAAGCCACAAACATACAATGCCAGCATGTGAAGACAGCTGGGAGGGAGGCTGTACCCAATGCCTGTACACCCATTGTATCTGGAAAGTAACTAACTTGCTTTTGATTTTACAGGCTCATAGGTGGAAAGGACTTGCCTTGTCTCAGATGAGATGTTGGGCTATGGACTTGTGAGTTAATGCTGAATCGAGTTAAGACTTTGACGGACTGTTAGGAAGGCATGACTGGTTTTGAAATATGAGAACATGAGATTTGGGAGGGGCAGGGGCAGAATAACACGGCTTGGCTCTGTGTTTCCACTGAAATCTCATCTTGAATTGTAACTCCCACAATTCCCATGTGTTATAGGAGGAACCCAGTGGGAGGTGATAGAATTATGAGCGTGGATCTTTCCTGTGCTCTTCTCGTGATGGGAATGATTCTCACAAGATCTGAGGGTTTTAAAAATGGGAGTTTCCTTGCACAAGCTCTCTCTTTGCCTACTGCCATCCATGGAAGACATAACTTGCTCCTCCTGGCCTTCTGCCATGATTGTGAGGCCTCCCCAGACACATAGAACTGTAAGTCCATTAAACCTCTCTTTCTTCCCAGTCTCAGGTATGTCTTTATCAGACGCATTAAAACAGATTAATACAGTAAATAAATTACAGAAGGTGATACCTAAATAACAAGTAGAACAATAAAACAGTTTCAAACCTCTATAAGAATGAAAGCTTTCAAATTCAATTAATTGACTATATAAAATACATCAAATATATCTTTCAATTGGCAAAAAATGTAAATATCTATGAGCTATAGGTTTAAAAGTGCTCAGGATCCAGGTTTTTTTTTTTTTCAAATATAGAGCTTGTATCAATATTTTTTATATTGGAGGAGAATCAAATAGCAATCTGATGTGGTTACAAATCAATTCTAAATTCAGAGCATATTAAACTAAACTCATAGCTTTCTACCTCAAATTTATAAAATTAAAACTAAACCAATAAATACAATAACATTCAGTTCAAAATTATAGAAAAGTAATAATAGAAAGAAAAGGAAGCAAATTCTCAAATCTCATTCAGAATTATTGTCAAAGTGGTCAAGTTAGCCTGCAAATATTGATCAAAATATTAGATTAATTACCCATATACCACATTGTAAAGTATTGATGTCTTAAAATTGGACAATGTTGAACTTAATTCTTATTTAGATTTCCAAATTATATATTGAGGTTGTAAAGCAGGTGATTTTAGTGGCTTAATAGGCTAACTGCATGACATGAGCCATAGGTATCATTATGAAATAATAATACATTTAACTTATTAATATAGTAGATAATGTCTTCATAGAAGAGTGATAGATTTCACAGTTGCTAGGACTGAAAATTGCCATAAGTTGATACTAACAAGATTCCATTCATTTCATCATTATATGTGTTTTATAAATTTATTTTGAATATAACAGAAAAACCTGACATGAAATAAAGCATAGTCTTCCAAAAGCTGTGTTTTCCTTTGTTTATAGCAATTGCAGAAATCCTAGGAGTATTCATGAAAATGAATGCAATAATATAGGAAACACAAAAGTAAAAAATCTATTTTATGCATCAAGTTCTTGAATATATTTATGAGTATTTGTCATGCTTAGTTACATCAACCGTTGTGTATAATTTAAGTGTTGGAAGCTTTTCATATCATCATTTGGTTTTCACATCTACACTGAGTATATCCCTTGTAACAAACATGTTTGATACCATAGCAGATGAAGTTCTTCTTTGGTTACATTTTGACCTGCCATTTCCCTAATGCTTTATTTTAATATATTGAGATTGGTTTTCATATATGATTCAGGCCAATCTACCTAAACCATGCTGAACTACAATCCAAAAATATAAGCCATAAAATTTAATAAAATCTTTTAAAGTGATGATATGCTTTTAGTCGTTACATAGGAAATAAGTTTTACAGGCCATTTGTTACAGAAATTTTGAAACACCAAATATTGAAATTATCTTTATTTTATGTTTTGTTATTTTTTTTCTGGTCAAAGTATATTTGATTAACCAATTTTTAAATGTATTTTCTTATATCTGTTCCTTAAATGATATTTTTCACTCTGTTTCTTCTAGAACAGTTGTCCCTCTGTATCTTTGGGTTCTGCATCTGTTGATTCAACCATCACAGATTGAAAATATTTTTTAAAATTTGGTCTGTACTGAACATGTTTAGACTTTTTTCTTGTCATTATTCCCTAAATAATACAGTATAACAACTATTTACATAGTATTTACACTGAATTCAATATTATAAATAATCTAGGTCTAAAGTACATGAAAAAATGCTCATCATTACTGGCCATCAGAGAAATGCAAATCAAAACCACAATGAGATACCATCTCACTCCAGTTAGAATGGCGATCATTAAAAAGTCAGGAAACAACAGGTGCTGGAGAGGATGTGGAGAAATAGGAAGAGTTTTACACTGTTGGTGGGACTGTAAGCTAGTTCAACCATTGTGGAAGACAGTATGGCGATTCCTCAAGGATCTAGAACTAGAAATACCATTTGACCTAGCCATCCCATTACTGGGTATATACCCAAAGGATTATAAATCATGCTGCTATAAAGACACATGAACACATATGTGTATTACAGCACTATTCACAATAGCAAAGACTTGGAACCAACCCAAATGTCCATCAATGATAGACTGGATTAAGAAAATGTGGCTCATATACACCATGGAATACTATGCAGCCATAAAAAAGGATGAGTTCATGTCCTTTGTAGGGACATGGATGAAGCTGGAAACCATCATTCTCAGCAAAGTATCGCAAGGACAGAAAACCAAACACCGCATGTTCTCACTCATAGGTGGGAACTGAACAATGAGAACACTTCGACACAGGAAAGGGAACATCACACACCGGGGCCTGTCGTGGGGTAGGGAGATGGGGGAGGGATAGCATTAGGAGATATAGCTAATGTAAATGATGAGTTAATGGGTGCAGCACACCAACATGACACATGTATACAAATGTAACAAACCTGCACATTGTGCACATGTACCCTAGAACTTAAAGTATAAAAATAAAATAAAATAAAATAACGTAAACAGGAGGATGTGCATAGGTTATGTGCAAATACTACGCAATTTTATGTCATTGACTTGAGAATCCATGGACTTTGGTATCCTTGGGAAGTCCTGGAACCAATTCCACATGGTGCTAAGGGAGGGCTGTATAAGTGTATTTAAATTCACTGCTAGCCTTTTTAATGTGTTTAAAAATACACTTCATTCACTATGTAATCTAGACCTGATTTAACCTTGGTTTTTTGTTTCTACTCTTTCCTGCTAAAATAGACCAGGATATGTTTGGGAGTAAAGAAGGATATGTATAAATGCGGTAGGATGCAACGAACTTTTACTAAAAAAGTAACTACCTTCTGACAATTAAACTCATAAAATACTTATATAACACGTCTGGTTAAAGGCTTGTGTTGATATTATTTAATATAGGGAATACTGGAATATTTATCTAATAAAGGAAATAATAGGATTTGGACATCCCCCCAAAAATTTGAATTTTGATAGGGGAGATATTGCAACAGATGTTGCAGTGAGTAATTGATAGCCAAAACCTCCTGGGAAAAGGGCAGACATCAGTATTTTTAATGAATTTCCCATGTAATCCTCTTGTAAACTGTGGAGGTTTGTGTGGAATTTAACACATATACTTTATTTAGTTCTTCTTTTTGTGAAGTTAGTTTTCCTGAAGTTTTAGGAAGGTTCTCGGTTTAAGCAGCTTGTCTCACTTCACTGAGCTTTTTCATCTGTGTGTGTATTTAGTGTTCAATATATACATAGTAGCTTGTTTTAGGGGATTTTATGGTTCTGTCAGTTTTTTTCCACATAATTCTTTCCTTCCTTCACATTTGCTGTTCTGCATAGATCAATTTTGGTTCCACTGTCAGTAATTATTCCTTAATGTGGATTACTGCTCTAGAGAGAGCTCTAGTGGGTCAGTTTGAGAGTTAATAAGAGACAATCTGCTTCAGCTCCCTCAGACCATCTTGTGTATCCCTTGATTTCACTCACTGGCTTCTATAAGGGAAAAAAAGCAAAAACCAAAAAATAAAACCCCTCAGTTTTAGCTGTTATTCTCAAATTGACCTGCTACTTGTTCCAGGGAATATCTGTTGGCTATTTGGTATCCTCTTGTTCTTGGGTCTGTCCAATATCCCATTGCTTCTATCACCCCCTTGTGAATAGTATGCAGTTCTTGTAGCTGCTGGCAGTTTGTCCCCATCTGCTGATATATTTGGGTTTGTGGAGATGTCTTGTCATCTAGTTTTATAGAAAATGCTATTTATGGGTTTTAATTTTGCTCTGTAGTGATTTGTGTTTATTTTTATGCGAGAATGCAAGAAGGTACAATACTGCGCCACGATATTCTAAATCTGTATGTATAGACAGCTCTAAAGGAGATTCTTATGTAGCAGTGTTTTATGGCACGGCATTTCAGCCCCAGTGCCTACTTTCAACTAATCTCAGTTTGTGCTTCTCTTAGTTTCAACACATGAGACAATCTGAGTAATTATTATCTAGCAAAAGCTTAGTGATCCTTTTATCTATTTATGGCCTAAGAAACCATGAATGGGAACAGGAAATGGTACACATTTCTGTTTCAAAACTGAACATAAGAGATCAATGGGGGAAAAGGATATGGCTGTCAAGATGTATTATAGCATTCAATCATGTTTTTTTTTGGAATAGTAAAACATGAGATTAAAAATGTAAAGAAGACTTCTTTCTCATTCTGTTGCTTTTGCCTGAATTTACCCCGTGCTTCATAGTTTGATTCTAACTTTTTGCACATTAGTCCTGATCCTTTGTGGGAACATTTTCCTGGTCCATCCTTTTTCCTTAGTCTGAATTAAATGTTTTCCCATTCATTCCCTATATTTTAAATTTTTGTCTTGCCTTTCTCTAACTCAGACACTGGATGTCTCAGGATAGGAATTGTGTTTTTTCTCCCTGTATCTATAGCATTAAGCACAGCATTGTCCATGTAGAAGGGACCGATAATTAGTAAGGAATAACTGATGAATGAACAAAAATACAATTTTACTACTTAGCATTTATCATCAGCTATTTGTGTTAGGCTGAATACCTACCATCATCCAGGATATTTACATCCTAATGCCAGAAACTGTGAATATGATAACATCCTCCTGAGAGCTCTATTTCTTAATACTGTTGCACTGGAGATTAAGTTCTAATATGAATTTTGGAAGGGACACAAACATTCAAACTCTAGCACCTCTAGAAAGAATTCAGCCCTGCCAGGAATTTGAGTTAGATTTCTGACCTCCAGAACTGTAAGAAAAATTTGCGTGGTTTTAAGTCAGTTAGTTTGTGATAATTTATTATGGCAGCCATAGGAAATTAATACATATTTGGGTACCTGGAAGTGGATTTGCAAATATCTAAAAGTGGAGAAATGGTTTTGGAATTGTATAAGGGGAAGAGGCTGGAAGAATTTCAAGGAGCATGGTAGAAAAACCCTAGGTTGCTTTGAACAGACTGTTCATAGAAATAAGAATATTGAAGTCGCTGCTGGTGAGGCTCCAAAAGAAATGAGAAGTACAAGAGAAAAAAACCTATTTTATTTTAGAGAATACCTAAATAATCATAAAAAGAATGTATATAGATATATTAACATTAAAGTTGCTTCTTTTGAGTGTTCAGAAGGAAATGAAGATCATGCTATTGGAAACTGGAGGAAAGGAGATCCTTATTATACAGCAGCAGCAAACTTAGTTGAATTACATCCTACACTTAGATAGAAGGCAAAATTTATAGAAGATGAACTTGCACATTGAGCTGAGATGATCTCAAAGCAAAATGTTAAAGATGCCCCTTGATTCTTTTTCTTGCTGCTTATAGTGAAATGCAAGAGGAAATATAAGTTGAGCAACTGTTAAGCAAAAAGGAACCAGGACTTGATTTGAAAAACTCTTAGCCTATCTCTATTGCCAAAGATGCTAAAATGAGAAGTTGCACTGTCAGAAAGCATGCTCCGGAGATAAAATCAAAGGTTTGGCTGGATAACCTTTTGCCAGTTCCTCCAGTGGATCCAAAAGTCAAAGGGTTTAGTCTCACAGAACGCTCTTCGAAGAGGTTAGGCATGTAACTCATGGATCCTTTCAACCATCTCAGCAGAATATAATACATTAATCCCCCTTATACACAATTTTACTTTCCAGAATTTTAGTTACCTATAATATAGTATAGTAAGAAAACATGAAAAAGAGAGGTAGAGCACAGTTACATCAACTTTATTACAGTATATTGCTATAATCTTTAATCTCTTACTGTGTCTAATTTATAAATAAAAATTTATCATCGTCTGTGAGAGAGGAAAACACACTCAAAACATGTTTTTCTACCCTCTCACTCACAACCACAATCAACACAGAAGATTTATGTGACCAAATGTGGGGTATTTCTCCCCACAACAAAAAAGCAATCAATTCTGTGGTGGACACTAGCTGGGTATCCTCCAATTAAATTCTAACATTAGCTACCTGGGCCTCTGGAACTTATGACCAAATGATTTTAAGCTGGGGTTCCCATGACCCCCTCTTTGGGTTTTATTAATTTGCTGCAGTGACATACAGAACTCAGGGAGATGCTTATGTTTGCCGGTTTATTAAAAAGGATATTTCAAAGGGTACAGATGAAGAGATTCCTAGGGTGAGGTATGGAGGAAAGGGAGCAGAACTTCCATGTCCTTCCTGGGCCTGTCGCTCTCCAGGATCCCTCATGTGTTTAGCCATCCAGAAGCTCCCAGAACCACATCCTTTTGTTTTTTTACGGAGACTTTGTTACATAGGCATGGTTGATTAAACCATTGGCCATTTGTGATCAACTTAACCTTCCACCCTTCCCCCTCCTCTAAGTTTGGGGTGTGGAGCTGAAAGTTGCAACCTTCTAATCATGCCTTGGACTTTCCAGTGACCAGCCCCCATCCTAAGGTTACCTAGGTGCTACCAGACATTAGTCATCTCATTAGCAACCAAAGAAAAACTTCTCACTTTGGAGATTCCAAGGATTTAAGGAGTTGTATGCCAGGAGACAGGGACAGAGACCAAATATTCATTTCAGAATATCACATATAGATACATTTATATAGGATAAAACCTCATATATACAGCATTCAGTTACTACCTAAGGTTTCAGGCATCCACTGGGAGTCTTGGAATGTATCTTCAGTAGTTAAGGGGAGATTACTATAGAAAGATCTATAGAGGAGACTTTTCTCAAATGGAGACTGTGAGGAATACATAAAAGATCCATAGGTATTTGGGAATGTTACTGCAGCAGAAATACTGTCAACTTGGATGGAAGGAGATACACAGAGAATCAAATAAAGAGTGCTTTCAGGCTTCCAAAATTCTACAGAAAATAAACAGACTAATACTACTACTCAATTGCAAATATGTGCTATCCTTCATGTAAACAAAAAGATTGGAAGGAACCACAGGCCCAGAGGGAAGAGCTGTGAGCCCAGAGCATGGAGTCAAGAGCCAGAAAGGCACAACCCCAAGCAAGAGGAGATCATTCTAGGCTTTGAAACCTAATCGAGTTTGCCCAGTTGGATTTTAATATTGTTTAAGACTTACTACTTATTTTTTCATTTCATTTTCTCTGTTTTTGAAAGAGAATGTTTATCATTGTTAAGCTATGCCTGTCACCATTGTAGTTTAGAGGTAAATAACTTGTTTTCTAGTTTCACACATCTACAGACGAAGCAGAATTTTGTTCCAAGATGTATTAAATTCAGAATCTCACACTAATTTAGATCATTTAAAATGGTGGGATTTGGGATTTTCAAACTGATTAGACTTAGATGAGATTTTGCAGTCAAATTGATGCTGTGATTGATGATTTGAGACTTTTGGTTACCTTCAGATAGGTGAATGTATTTTGCATTTGGGGTAGATGTGAATATTAGGAGTAGAGAAGGCACACTGTGTGTGCTAGGCTGAATATGCCACTCACCTTCACCCCCGCAAAGATGACTACATTCTAATCTCTGAAATCTGTGAAAATGTTACCTTATTCATCAAGTGGGACCTTCTAGGTATGATTAAATTGAGGATTTTGAGGGAGGGAGATTATCTTAGATCATACAGGTGGGCCCTAAATGTAATCACAATGGTCTTTAAAAGAAGGAGACAAAAGGATGAATAAGAAATAGCAGATGTGACAAATAGAAGTTGAAGGGATAAAAAGGGGGAGCTATGATCCAAGGAATGCAGGCAGCCTCTAGAGGCTGAAAAAGGGACAGAAACTGATTTGCCTGTGAAAATTTCAGAAGGAACACAACCCAGCTGACATCTTGATTTTTTATTGTAAACTTCTAGAACTACAGTAGCATAAATTTGCTCTGTTTATGCTATTAAGTTTCTGGCCGTTTGTTACCAAAGCAATGGAATAGTAATACACTGTTGTATTTTGTTTGCTGCCTGTGATCAATAAAATATACTTTTAAGTAATGCAAAAACAAACTGACATTTGTTTTGTGCTCATGTAGAGAATATATTTCCAGTAAAGATTTGAAGATATTCTCTATTTTATTTTTCTTATGATTTTCACAAGGTACATAGGGATAGATTCTAGTCTCATAAATATGATAGTTAGTACCAGATGTTTCTTTTCCTGCAAAATTTTCTGTCACAGACAAGCTTTTATCTTCCTCCTCACTGTTACATTGTATTCTCAATGCCTCACCTTCAGAAATTGAAGCATCTCCTAGCATACATTAGACCACACAAGGGCACTTAATCATGTAAACAGTGAAATCAGTGTCACAGCTAATCTTTTATCTAATGGCAGATTTCTTGGCTGTGTGCTTTGATGGTAATGATGAAAGGAAATACTTTTTATTTTATTATTCCATAATGTGCATTCCAACTTGAGAATCCCAACATGCACTGGTTGTAATTATAATAAAAAATCTCGTTTCTTTTTTTCTTGATTGCTGATACATTAGCATACTTTGGAATACAATACCACTCCAAATTCACACCTCTTTTGTGGATTGTGTAATGTAGCAAAAAAAAAAAAAAAAAAAAAAGATACACCTTGCAATATTTTATCCAAGAAAATGACATATATTGTTCCTTTTTGCCTTTGTTATGTTATGGTTATATTGCAGATAATGGACTACAGGGAAGCTGTCTTCACTGTGATTCATCAGTCTCAGGGGTTAGGAGGTAACATCCAACATCCACTCTGCTCTCAATGATTGGGTTCTAAGTGACATGGCCTTTTGTGCTAAGAAAAAAGAATCTAGTTCTAAGGCTTTAGAATTACATTTAGCCAGAAGACAGAAAATGCACTTATTGTCAATGGATAAATTAAGATGACAAAAAGTATGTGAAATTGTTTAGGTTTCCTGTCTTCTGAAGAAATGAAAAGTAGGATGGTTTCTCATATAGTTATATAACTGCAGTTCTTTTCCTACAGAATTATGAAACAACATAAACAGTTTGTGATTTGGAAGATTCCACATTTACAAGAGCAGCCAAGCAGAACTTCTTGAGTTAAGCCACTAATCTAAAATCATTCCTCAAATCTGAAAGAAAGATTTAAGCCTAAATCTGATTTGTAAATTTTCTAGTTTCAACAACTGGATAATTGACAAGGTAGTTAAAACAGCTAGATTATCTTACATTTTAATATGTTAATCCTTCAAAATTTAAAATGCTGTCATCATTATACCTGATAGGCACAATCACATACCAGTGCTACTAATTGCTGTTTTCTTAGTAAACTTTTCAATTCTTCAATTTATTCATTTTTCCATTGTATTAATGGGCCCTTTTATTAACCTCAATTTATTTTATTTTATTGCAAAATTTAATGAAGTCAGGGGTTATTTAGAACCCATACACTTAGAACACTAAAGAGAATCTTTTCACCTTTAGGCTCTTATGTAACTCCTAAGTTTAAAATGTGGAAGACAAAATTTCACTGATATTCTCCAAGACATCAAATTGATCCCTCCAATAACTGCAAACAAACTTTGGACAATTTATTACTGTTTTGTCTTTGTTAGATTACAGTCCTGTTGTCAAAGCAATGTTGACAGTCATATACCCCCTGCTTGCTATTTCATAAAAGGGCTACAAAAAGGAGAAATTAAATAGCTGGGAAGGACTGGGATATAATCACTGAGAGCTACTTACCCACCCACATCTCTTCTGACATCTCACCTCATTCTTGCAAATCCTTTGGATTTCAACAAAATTTCTTGATTATTAATTGAAATACTGAGAAGATTATTATGTTACTTGGTCATTGTTTTTAAGGAAAGAAGTCTGTTTCCTTTAGCATTTCTAATGTATTCCTTTGAACTGATAATGTATAATTATACAGTAATTCTGATGAGAGAAATAAATGAGAGAGAAATCATGGCCATCCTGATGAGGCATCTTACAACTCTACCAAGCTGACCCCTTTATGAGCCTTGTTAGTTTTATTTAAGAAGCACACATTCATCTCATTATTTGCTCTCTGGAATGTTTCATTATCTCTGAAAACTGGGCCCACTTGTGATAGGTGGATTTAATACATTTAACAATTATCTAAATGCATTTTCCATTCATGCAAATTAAGAATCAGAGCAACCCAAATCCTTTCACGAAAATCTAAAAATAAAGTGAGCATTACTTTCTTTACACTCCCAAAGAAGGGCTTTTAAAAATTTCTCTTAAGATTAAAGGAAAAATAAGTAGGTTTTGTTTTGTTTATTTCTTAAACTTGTTTATAATGGACCACTCAAAGTAAGGAGTTTTATCTTTGTGTATTTGATGAGCAAAATCTTTTTTCATGTATGAATGTAAATACTTGCTCAGTTTCTTTAGGCCTGTTGTGCTGGCTCATGCCTGTAATCCCAGCACTTTGGGAGGCTGAGATGGGTGGATCTCTTGAAGCCAGGAGTTCCAGACCAGCCTGGTGAAACCCTGTCTCTACTAAAATACAAAAATTAGCCGGCTGTGGTGGCTCATACATGTAATCCCAGCTTCTTGGGAGGCTGAGGCACAAGAATCGCTTGAACCTGGGAAACAGAAGTTGCAGTGGGCCGAGATTGCACTGCTACACTCCATCCTGGGCGACAGAGCAAAACTCTGTCTCAACAACAAAACCAAACCAAACAAAACGAAACAAAACAAAACAAAATAAAATTTGCTCAGTTCCTTTAAGGTAGGAAAAGTTGGATGGGAAAGCTGGATGATTTTGGCTTTGGCATCAAACTGACTGTACCCGATCCAGGTTCAATCATTTAATTTGGACCAATTATTTCATCTCTATTTCCTTTTCTGTAAACTAAAGATAATAAAAAGGTGCACTTCATTGTGTACTGTGAAAGTCAAATGAGATAATCTAGATAAAGCACTTGGTTTACCGGCATAAAGCACTCAATGTATTAAATATATTTATTATTCATGATAGCGCAGTTCATGGTCATATATTGGCTTTCAAAATCAGATATCACAATGTAGAATAGTCAGAAAAAAGTAATCTGGAATCAGCCAACTCCTGATTTTGTTCTATAAAAGTATATGTTCATAGAATAGAAAAAAGGAAAAGGCCACTGAATTTCTACATTTTAAAAATAGATTGAACTCAGGATTCCTTACAATCATTAGTCCTTCCAGTGCTTTTAAAATGTGTTGGAATTTGTAAAAATTTAACTTAGAGAAACTTTTCTGGAATCTAACTATTGTGCTGAAATGCTATACCTCTTTGGAGAATAGATTGATGTCTGTCGTTATTCCACTTTTTTATGGTGGTGGTTGTTTTGTTGGGTTGAAGATAAAACTCCATGACAAATTCAAGTAATTTGTTGTATATTTTGGGTTTTCATTCTGTCTTTTTTTTTTTTTTTTTGAGACAGAGTCTCAGTCTGTGGCCCAGGCTGGAGTGCAGTGGCGTGATCTTGGCTCACTGCAATCTCCGTGTGCTGGATTCAAGTGATTCTCCTGCCTCAGCTTACCGAGCAGCTGGAATTACAGGCGTGCGCCACCACGCTTAGCTAATTTTGGTATTTTCAGTAGAGATGGGGTTTCGCCATGTTGGCCAGGCCAGTATTGAACTCCTGGCCTCAAGTGCTGCACCCGCCTTGGCCTCCCAAAGTGCTGGGATTACAAGCATGAGCCACTGCACCCAGCCTCATTCTGTCTTTAAAACATACTTAATTTTTGCTCACTCTTCCCCCAAAATGCGAAGGCTGGTGGTTTGGAAGAAAATTAATAAAGCAGGTTTTTTTTGATTGAGGAGTGCTGTATTTTCTTCTATAGGAATATTCAAATGAGTATAAGTACTCTGCTGGGAACCATAGTGATTCTAATTTCTCCTGCATCACTTCTTGTGCCTAGAATTGTGTTTTTTATACAATCATTAAAATAAAAATTTTTCACTGTTTAGTCATATTTTTCCAAAGGTAACTATTGTCTGTATAATTTTTGAAAACATCAATAATATGTGGGAGAGAGGGCCTGAAATTATGTAATTCTAGGAATTTTACTTTGCGTAACTTAAACTAGAAGAACAAAAAAGAAACTGCAGAAAATTCCTTTTGAGCTAAATTTATTTTATTTTAATTTAATTGTTTAAACTTTTTTTACTCTATTTTACAGATGATAAGTTTATGAAGACATACCAATTGCTTTGTGAATTACTATGATTAACATAATTTGATTGAGTAAATAACTTGCACATTTTTCAGTATCTACTTTTAGTTGATACATATCTGTGACTCAGAATAAAGATCTTCCCAAGCCAAACATACATTTTGAGAAATTCTCAGGGCTCATGAGTTTAACCTTGTATATCTGAATTTCACTTCCTTCTACCATTTTCTGTTCTTGATATCTTTACTACTATTGCTACCATTATTTATTGAGAGGCTATATTGTAATAAATGTTTTATATGTTTTACCTCATTTACTCCTCACAATAAAACTTTGTGTTAGACATTATTCTCATTTAAAAGATGAGATCAATAAAATTCTGACAGGTTAAACAACTTGCCCAAGGTTATACAGCTATTGAATGATGGACCCAGGCTTCAAACTAGGATTCCCTAATTACAGTGCAACTTAACCATGATTTTATATGCCAGAGACATTATTATTTATTGAGGAGAGAGAAAAGCCATACGCAATTACTATCCTCTAAAGGTAAAGTGTGATGCAGGTGATATAACGGAGGAGTCACATAGAATAGAGTGGGATTTAAACTGTGCCTGAAGGCATTCAAAATATTTTCATAATGTAGATGGCAACTTGGGGTGTGACTTGAAAGATGAATGAGTGTTTACCAGGCTATTAATGGTTGTAAAAAAACTAGTTCAAGGTATGGAAATCAGCAAAAGAGACTGTTGGTTGTTATTTCCGTGCTGAGTGAAGTTTAGAGCATTGTAATTGTGCATCTTTGGTTGACTTTATATTGACTAGGCTATTTTCAACTCTTTAAGGGTAGCTGTTAAGTTTTAGAAAACTGAGAGTCACATAAACGATTCACATTCATAGGAGTGAAAATACATTTTTTTCCAGTAAAGATAGAATTGATTTCTATTCAGTACAAATAATAACCCTAAAGGTTGCATTTTATCACCCTATCAGAATATGGAATGTTAACAGGTCTTAAATATATTTGAAAACTTTTTTCAGCTTTTCTAACAACATATTTTGTGTGTGTTTCCAGGCCATTACTTAATATATATAAGTTTACATATATATACATTTATATATATATATACACACACACACACACTCATATAAATATTATATGTTGTAGTTATATTATATACTATATTTATGTATGTATATATATTTATATATTATACATTGTATTTTCCTGCCAAATTGTATTGACATCTTACTCATTCCCTCACTAATTAATGAGTTAAATAAAATATTTTTTCAGGTGTTTGTCTTATATTTGCACGATAATTATGTTTTTAACTTATTAAAAATTATATTTTAGCAATATGGTACAGAAAATTTCATGAAATCAACCACCTTGAACATAAAACAGACTCATAAAATTACTTGGCATGTAGTAGTTGTACATACTTCTAGGAGAGAAGGATAGAAGTGAATGCATGAAACAGGGAAGACAAGCAGGCCCAGTTTTCATAGGCCTTGAATTCTCTTCTAAATAAACTGCATTTATCATATAGGTATAACTATTATGTTATACCTATATGAAAGAGACACATAAACTAAAATCAGAAATCTGATATACCTTTTATTTTTCTGCCTTTGCAAGGTCATTTTTTGGTGTCCATATACCTATTAAATGCAATTTAAGAAATGCTGAAATAAATGTCCTGGAAAATCTTAAATAATAAATTCTAAAAAAATACAAATTCATTAATTAATATATTCAGTTCCAGGCAATAATCAAGGTTTCCAACTTCATTCAAAGCTTCTCCACACCATAGCTTAGCCCTCTTGCCAGGTTGATGGTCAGGCAAAGGGGATCATGGTTATTATCACCCTACTTCTCTTGCCCAGAATCTGGACTTCTGTTTCTCCTCTTCCACGTACCAGATGGCATATAGCTGCTCCTGAATCTTACTTGCCTGGTTCCATCCAGGTGATCAAGGGTTGGTGCTCTCTTCGCTTGCTATGCATTTAAACCTATTCTTTTCTCTTAGAGCACCTTTGAAAGTAATTTGGGGAACCTCCTATCACAGGAATTCTCCTACCTGCAGGTCCTTTAATACAGTAAAGCCCATCAAACTTTGAATGGCTACCATCACAATTAAACAAAGTGTGTAAAAGTATATACTAAATGCTCAATAAATGTTTACTGGTATTATTGTTACCTTTTTCCAGTTTAAAAATATCTGCAACACGTGATTGCAGTCACAAAAGAGAAATAGACGTTTGTTTGAAAGGCTCAATTTCCTGTTTCAGATAGTCATAACTATCCTTACAGTGATTCTAAACATAATTTTAAAATGACAGCAAAATACAAATAGGAATACTTTTTGGAAGGATTCTAAGCATTTATATAAAAATCATTTGCCAAATCACAACTACTTTCTGGCATAGTCATCTCGAATTATTACACATTTTTGATTTTTTATTACCAAACTGATTGGAATTAATTTTGTTTGTTATTTTTTCTGTTCCTAGGGACCAACCTAACTGATACCGTGTTTCTGCTTCGGTTGATTAGTTTTTCTGTTTATATGCAATTTGGGGTTTGCAGGGAAACAATGATAAGCAGATGAATGTCAGTAAGTTTATCAACATGTGACTTTGCTGTCTGAATGTGGAATGTAAAAATTCATTAAAACTCACCTCTGAAACATACAAATAAACAGTTCAGAAAAAAATACCTAACGTGATGGCACCAGAAATTCTCCAAGTATAATTTCAGCCATTACAGTCATTGTTAAAGTAGAACACACCAATTGACACATTTTTTCTTTAAAATCTTTCCAGAATGAGTAGAAATGCTTCTTTTCAAATTTCCCGGTAAGAAGCAGTGAATGCTATTCCTCTTACTTCCTTACAAGGTGTTTTTGTTTTGTTTTGTTTTGCTTTCTTCTCTCACTTCTCTTTGAATTCTTTGCCCTATAATCTTCCCCCAACCTTTGTTTCTGTTTTCACGCATCCATCCCCTGAGCAATACCCTACCTTTCTTGAAGCACATAGTATACAGATATATTTATCTTCTATGCCGTTATTTCTGACAACTTCAAAAATCCATGCCAGCGATTTTTTCGTCCTCAGTCCCTCCTTTTTCCCTCTTTAAACAATCGTACTCTACAAGGTCCTGAATCCAAGCTTCTTCTTTCCTACTTCTTCTTCCCTTGGTGATTTCTATGATTCCTAAAATTTTAGTCTCCCTCAAGACAAAAATGATCAAAATATTTATACCTCAAACTGGTATCTTCCAGAGCTTCTGGGATACAGAGTGAATGCAATTGTCTATCTCACCTCAAATTGCAACAATCAACATCCTCGTCACTCCTGCTCCTCCCCAGCCATATTTGTCTCAGTTAATCAAAGTGTATAACATTCTTCAGGAGCATGGCTTCTAGGTCATCTTTGACTTTTCAGCACTCTCTAACTGCTATGTCCAGAGCCTCATGCCGATGTTGTGCATTTTACATGGGCTTAACAATACGGCTTTCCTCTACAAGCTTGGAAATTTCTTTAGATAAATCACAATATAGATATTCTAGAATAGGATTCAGAAGTTAATCTCAAAATAAGTGGATCTCCAAGACTTTACTAAAGGTGTTAAAATATTTCATGGAAATAACAACAAAAAGTTGTGTCAATCTTGGTAGATTGTTCAGCAGTGGCAAGATAGAAAGAAAATGAGACATAAAAGCTTCCAGCAATCTCCATAGAAGAATTCAAAACTTGTGTCCTTGTAAAGAAAATGGGTGAATTATGCTATCAGGGCTCTATAATACCAGTCTCAATTTCATTTGAATAATTCTGTTTGTTCTGATTCCACTTTCACTTAGTCACCTTCTCATTAGATTTTGGCTTCTTAGGTAGTTTTGCCTACAGATTGAGTTAAGGCAGTTGTTCAGTCTAAATAATAATTTTGTTTCTCATTATAAATTAAAATATTGGCCTTCTGGGTTTTATATTATGAGCCAAGAGAATGTTATTTTTCAGAGAGGTTGTTCAACTTCTTTTTATTTTGCTTTTTATTACAATATGATACTCATATGATAATTGTATAGATCCATAAATTTTCAGAAACTGAGAATACTTATATAACCAGCATCCATCCTGATCAAAAAACAGAAATAATCAACACCACAAAAGTACCCTAGTTTAAGCCTTTGGAACCTTTTACCTAAATCATTGAAATAGACTTCAAAGCAGACTCCCAGCTTCTCTTCACTGACTCTTTCTCTTCTTTCTTTCTCTCTTTTTTCTTTTCTTTCGTTTTTCTTTTTTCTTTCTCTTTCTTTCTTCTTTCTGTCTTTTCTTTCTTTCTTTCTTTTTCTTTCTTTGTTTTCTTTCTTCTTTTTCTCATTCCCTTCCTTCCTTCCTCCCTCTCTCTCTTTCTTTCTCATTCCTTTTCTTTCTTTCTCTTTTCCTTCTCTTCTCTTCTCTTGGCTTCTTTTCTTTTCTTTTCTTTTCTTTTCTTTCTCTCACCCTGTCACCCAGGCTGGAGTGCAGTGAGGCAATCATGGCTTAGTGCAGCTTCAACCTCCTGGCCTCAGGCCATTCTCCCACCTCAGTCACCTGAGTAGCTGGTACCACAGGTGTGTACACCATGCCTGGCTAATTAAAAAAAAAAATTGTAGAGATGGGGTCTCACTATACTGCCCAGGCTGCTCTTGAATTCCTTGGCTCAAGCAATCCTTCTGTCTCAGCCTTCAAAAGTGCTGGGATTACAGACAGGTGTGAGCCATTGTGTCCAGCTCATTTTCTTAATCACAGTTTTAATCACAGAAGTTGTCTGATGACAGATACTTACTGCTTCCCTGTTGCCTACCTTCTAAGGTACTTAGAAGTTCTTACCTACTTTTCCAGCTCCAAATCCCACTGCTTCCCTATCCAAAATAAATAATTTTTCCAGGCCTAGAGATTCAAAACAAAATAATGGGGATTACTTCTGCAGAAAGAAACAGGAGCTACCACCAATCCGATGATTCTTGACCAATGTTGCACTTTCGAATTGTCAGAGAATCATTAAAAAAAATACATATCTGGCTCAATTTATTTTTTTGACTGTTCTCTTTCTTGCACATCTGACAAACAATCTTCTAGCAAGTGGTATCAGCTCTGCTTTCAAAATATACCCAGAAGCCCACCACTCCTCTCAGCCTCCAAAGCAGATACCTCAGCTACGATAGCATCCTCTCACATGGAATATTGCAATAATCTCCAAATTGGATCCCTTTCCATTTTACAGTTTGCACAACACGGTAGTCAGAATGATTCTGTTACAATGTGTGAGTCAAATCATGTCTTTTTTTTCCCCAAAAAAAACCTCTAGTAGCTTGTTATCTCACTAACAGTAAAATCTAAAGTTCTTAAAATAGCATTTGAGTCTGTAGTCTCCCCTGTCCAGCATAGCAGTCCTATCCACACGTGGCTACTGAGCACTGCAAATAGGACTAGACCAAAGTGAGGAGTGCTGTACATGTAAAATACACACAAGATTCTGAAACTTAGTATGAAAAATGTAAACATCTCAACAATTTTTTATTGATCCTGGTAAAAATAATTCCCACATGCTGAGTTAAACAGCATATATTATTACAATTAATTTCAGTCTGTTTTTACTTTATAATGTGGCTGCTAGAAAGTTTAAACTTACATATGTGACCTATATCCTATTTCTACTGGGCAGTACTGCCCTAAACAACCTGGGCTCCCTAGCTTTTCTGATCTCTTCTTTCCCTACTTCCTCACCATTTCTTACCATACTGTCTTCCTTGCTCTTCTTTGTACACATTAGGCATACTTATCCTGCAGTGTCTTTGTGTTTTAATTTTCCTTCAGCCTGGAAGATTCTGTTCCTCACATTTGATGGTATCTTCCTCATTTCTTTAAGGCCTTTTCTTTAATGTTATCTTTTCAATGAAACCTTCCATGTCTATTTGATCTAAAATTGAAACCCATGGAACTTTGTATCCTCTCTGCTTTATTTTCCCCTTTCATTTCTTATCTATACAACACAAATTTATCTGATAGAGCAAACTGTATACTAGAGAAATGCCTTAAATCTAGAAGAATGTAGTTTCTATAGGCCAAAATAGGGCAGCCAGGTGGTTCGGGGTCCCCAGAGAAACTCCAACCAGCCTGCACACTGGGGTGGAGCCATAGAAGTTTGCTCTATTTGAATAGGGGAGAAGCCTGGCCCTTCCTCTTCCTGGGTGAAACCTGAAATTTAATCGTGAGGTAGGAAGCCCACTGGCAGGAAACACACACTCTTACTTTGCTAAGAGCCTCTGTTTTCTCTTTTTTTCCCTTTCTTTTTCTTTTCTTTTCCTTTTTTTTTGAGATGGAGTCTGGCTCTGTTGCCCAGGCTGGAGTGCAGTGGCGCGATCTCGGCTCACTGCAAGCTTCGCCTCCCAGGTTCACCATTCTCCTGCCTCAGCCTCCGGAGTAGCTGGGACTACAGGCACCCGCCACCACGCCTGGCTAATTTTTTGTATTTTTAGTAGAGGTGGGGTTTCACCGTGTTAGCCAGGATGGTCTCGATCTCCTGACCTCGTGATCCGCCCGCCTTGGCCTCCCAAAGTGCTTTTTTCCTTTTCTTTATTTCCCAGTAAATCTTATTTTTCTCACCCTTCAGTCTGTGAGCCTAAATTTTTGTGGCCATGTGACAAGGACTTCATCTTTAGTCTTTAGCTGAACTAAGGAAAAGTTCCACAACAAAAACACAGAATCTAAGGGTTAAAGCTATTGCTGCTCAAGGTTCAGATGAATAATAGAGAATATAAAATAAGAAGAAGGTCTCTCCAGAACTTCAGAGCACATGACTAGAAGCATAGATGTGAAGCAATCAGCACCCAGTAGTCACACAACAGTGACTTTCAGGTTCAGGAGATACGATCATGAATCACAGAAGCGCAGAGCTTCATCTCTGGAGGACAACTGCAAGAATATCATGGTCACATGACCAGCCTAGAAGGGGCCTGGGTCATGACAAGCAGAGGCACTTACAGTAGAGATTGAAGTAAAACCTCTCTCACTTGTTTCAGTGGGTATGGCAAAGGGTGGGCTACTAAGAGTGAGAAGCATTATCTGAGAGAACAAATATATTTGGGTTGTTAGTAATACAAGAGACCTGTACTCCGTAACTGTGACCTCCTTCCAACACCAGAACAATAATCACATAAAGAGACCTTAGGAGACCATTGTTCTCACCATGTATATTTTCATGACTTCCCTTTTTCTATTGTCCAGAACCATGCAAACCAACTCATAGTCTGGCAGCATCATGAATCTTTTAGGTCACTGCAGGCCCCTGTACAATAGACTGGTTCACCAAGTGTCTCATGAAGGTAGCAGTGTTAACTACGTCAGCCCTCTCTGACACTGAAAGGAATGTTCTGCTCTTAGCCACCTGTGTCCAAGAACACTGCATTTTATCAGAGAGTATACTGCATGCTGTCCTTGAAAGGGTGGCTAGGTTGCAGCTAGAAAGAGTTGGGAAAGAAAGGACACTTATCTCTGGTCTTTTTTTCATATTTAATCACCTTGTACGGTGCAATTTTTGTTCACTGCATGTAAATCTCACAAACCAGAAAATGTTACCATGTTAAGAGCAGGAAGAAAAAATGGGGTCTTCCAGACTTATGCTGGATAATTTTATTGTAACTATTTATAATAACACTTTATTAAAAGTGAAAAGGAAGGGCAATAGAGTTTCAATATCAATTACTATTCAATGAGAATACACACATATTACCAAATGAAAATGGAGAACACAAAACATTTCAAAGCATCAACAGAAACTATAAAGATAAATGGGCCAAATGAATGGGGCTGCCCATGACATTCACTACATACATTTGCTCCCCTTGGCCCATATTTGAGACTAAGCATATGTCTCCAGTACATATTTAACTCTCTCCGTATCCAATAGTGTGATGTTATACATGGTTATTTCTGTCTGCTTATTTATCACCCTGATTTTCCTATTTCCTAGAGAATTTCTACTTTTCTTTATAGTTTCACAGTTCCTGAGGAGAAAAAAAGTCTCAAAACAGAAATACTCTAGTGGGTTTCCAATACAAAACAAAAATGTAATGTGTCATACATTGCTTTACAGTGTGGGGTTGGACAGAAAGGAACAACTGTGATTGAGAAGAAAAAGGATGTCAAAAATAAAATATAAGGTGCTGGGGTGTTGTATTTATTTATTTATTTATTTATTTTTTAGAGTGAAGATTATTAAGAAAGCAAAGGAATAAAGAATGGCTACTCCACAGGCAGAGCAGCCTGTTGTAATTGTTTGAAAAAATTGCAATCAGTAGCCTGATGAAGTACGGGTAGAAGAGGAAGTGACTTTGGACAGCCTACTTAAGATTTCTGAGCCTCAGTTTCCACAGTGATAAAGGATATTTGCATCAAGTGGATGCTGTGAGGAGAAAATAATATAGACCATGTATAGCACTGTGTGTGATCCATAACAACCGTTCCATCAAAGCATTTTTTATTATTGCACTTATTGCTGTTCATCCAGTAGATTCTTCACCTTTAATGCAGATATCAAACAACTAATTTTTTTTCTTGACTAGTTTTGTGGCTCTTGAATAATGATATTACGGCATCACCATGAAAGAGAAATTACTCTTCACAAAGGCTTCTGTTTATACAGATACTCTGACTCCAAGTAATTTACAATCCAATTAGACAAGTAATATTTATACGTGTGATACCATATGATGCCAATACTGAGAGCTACTATGTACCCACTAATGATGGGCTCTATGAAAGCAATGGCCATTCTTCATGTAACAATGACAGGAAGAAGCATAAGGAGAAGAAAAATAATGTCTTTTACTGAGTTTATTAATGTTACTGAGTTACTAATATTTATTTTATGTCAAAAAAGTGTTAAACATTTTAATTGATTTATCATATTTCACTCTCATGACACATAATATAGGAAAGCACTATGATCCTTCCTATTTTATATATAATAAAACTGGAGCTTGAAGGGTTAAACTCTCTTGCCCAAGATAGTGTGCAAGTAAATGGAAGATCCCAAAAGTGAATCCAGTCCTTATGATTCTACACTTCACTTTGCTGTTCATGATTGTACCCAGGGGACCTAACACGGTGATTGAAACATAGAGTGTATCGAATAACTTTTTTTAAATAAAAAATCAATGAATGAATTAGTACAATGTGAGTTACAGGCTATACATACTTTTATAAATTCCATGATTAAAGAAATTTTTTTATTTAATGTTTTACTCAGCATACACGTAGCATGCATCTACCATATTCCAGGCATGGTCATAAAACCTAGGAATATAAGGAAAGATGTGATATAATTTTTGCCTTTAGTAAATTCATATTAAATAATTAGAATAGGTCTTTTGAAAGTCACGCGCAGTGGTGCATTCCTGTAGTCCCAGCCACTGGGAAGGCTGAGGTGGGAGGATAGCATGAGGCCAGGAGTTCCAGCCTAGCCTGGGCAACACAGGGAGACTCCATCTCCAATAAAACAAAACAAAACAGAAAAAATACTTTTAATATTATAAATGCTGTAATAAAGAATACTACAAGTGTTGTGGTTAGGTGATTGAAGAAGTGATTTATGATTTATCTTGGCTATGTGGTGATAGATAGAGAATGTCTCATAAATGAAAGGTTACTAGAAGATACTTACCAAGTAGAAGAGAAGAAAGAAAAATCCTAGGCATAGAGATCAAGAACTCAAACAGTAGGAATTGTGAGAGTACAACTACTTTGGAAAACGAATCCTCTCTGAGTGGCTGGTGTATGGATAGGGTAAGAAAACAAGAGAGTAGAGTTAACCTCATATAACGTGGGTTTCCTGTAGCTGTAACCAAGAGCAAATGCTGGCCTTATCTAGAAAAAGACTGCTTGGAAAATGAAAGTCAATAAATGGAAAAGGGCATAAGATGTACATATTCTAGTAGGCTCCTAGGAGGAAGATTTCACCATCTCTTACTACTCTAACAGCCTTGAACCAGCCCTTGATCTTGCTGGAGAAGGCACTGGGGCTTCCTTTATTAGCTGGTCATAAGCCTCACAGCCTAAAGGGCAGGATCTCTCTCCCTGCCAACAGGCCCTGTTAAGTTCTTTGTGCTGCCTCAGTCCATGGACAATCAGGGGGGTGTGAACTTGTTATTAGGTTTTCCCAAGTAACCAAAGTCCCAGGCTTGTGAAAGTGCTATCTAGTTACACACCTCAAATGATCAATGATTGATAAAACTAAAAAGGCAAGTTGAAGTCATTTAATAAAGGACACTAACTGTTATGTCAGGGCTATTTACTGAACTATGTCTCCTCCCCCTCTGATTCATAATGTAGAAGCTCTAACCCCCCACGCAACTGTGTTCAGAGATAGGTAATTAAGGTTATTATATAAGGTAATAAGGGTGGGGCCTAATCCAATAAAACTGGTGTGCTTATAATCAGATAAAAAGATCTCTCTTTCTCCCCACTGTGTGAGGACATGGAGTGAAGGCAGCCCTCTGTAAGCCGAGAAGAGAAACTTCACCATCACCTGACCACGCTGGTATACCCTGATCTCTGACTTTAGTCTCCAGAACTATAAGAAAATACATTTCTGTTAAGTCACATATGTTTATGATATTTCGTTATGGCAACCCAAATAGAATAAGAAAACTGAGGATTAGAAATGTAGTTTGGAAGCAATGGAGAGACAGTGATGAGTAGTGGAAATAAACGTCATCTAGAATTGTGAGGCAACAGAAAATAGAAAGTGAAAAAAACTTTCTAATATCCATTCCATCTTTGTCTGAGGTAATTTGTCCTTTACCTACAGTTGCTATTAAGTCTCTAACAGAAGAATGTGTTTTAGAAAAACAACAACAGCAAAACACATTTTCACTACAGAACTGAATGTATTATATCTTCTATAACTATACTGAAGTAAAAGTGATATAAAGATGAAAATCCATGATAAACAAAAAGGAAAGAATCTATCTCAAACTTCAGTCATTAGCTAGAGACAATTGCCAGGAAGAGAAATGTCAAATTCTTGAAAATATTTAAAATAGTGTTAATAATAAACAACTTCAGTTCTATATTCTCTCCCCACCACCATCTTGTTTAGAAAACCTGAATGGTGGATGTGGGTTTTGACAGAGAAGAATCTTCATTACATTTAGTGAAAGAGAAGTTCTTACTTCTGTTAAGGCTTGATCAGTTCACTCTTGCTGAAAATCCCATCTTCTAGGGAACATTGTTCAAACAATTGTCTCCTTTTATCTATCATTATACTTCATATCACTTGGTCAATTTTTCTTCCTAGTCATGCCTCCACACACTGCTGTCTGATTTCAGCCCTGAAAAATTCACTGCTCGTTCTCTACTTCAAGCCACTCCTAACCTACTAAATGCTATATCCAGATGACATACTTCATGCTCTACTACCTGACCAATATGGAGATTTTAAACTTTAAAGCATTTCATCCTTCTTGATGTTTTCTACCTCGCCCTTTCACCTTTTTCTGTATGTTCGCTTTTCATCGTACTTCTAGAAAATTGGTCTTCCCTAGAGTTTTGCCTTTGGTCTTCTTTTCTAATTCTATGCATTATAAATGAGTAAATGTATCTACTTTCATGACTTCAACTACAAAGCCAGCAGATTCTACACTTAAATGTTCACAGGAAGGCTCTCTTCTGAGCTTTCACCATGTATACCCAACAGTCTACTGGGCATATAATTTAACTATCTGAGTAATCTTGGAAAGGTTACTGGGTTTCTTTAAATTTCCTTATTTGTAGCATGGGATAGTAATACTACTAATAATAATTTACCTCACAAAGGTTTTTTGGTAAGGTGAAAATGAGATAAAAATAAAAGTGGGTTAGCACAGTGTCTACTAGTTGCTGCCTATTTACAAATTTTATTGTTATTTCATAATATATAATTTACTCAAACTCATCATTCCCCCCTCCAATAACCTTCCACTTTTTATGTCAATGACTCCATGAATTGTGACATTCTAAATTTCTTACTGTCCATCATCTTCCCCATCTTGTTGGTCACCAATCTAGTTGACCTTTCTAGGACCCACTCTGTCTGTATTCTCAATACCATTGCCCTAAATCTAATCACTTGTTATTTCTCCCTGGGAGAAGAAATGCATTTTAGTTACTGCTAACCTAGTCTTTAGACCAATTTGATTAAATTTATTCTCCACACAGCTTCCAGATTTAACTTGATTAAATCTATTCTTTACAGCACTTTCATTGTGTTCTTTCAAAAACATAATCGTGCTCATTTTTTTCTCTGTTTAAATCCTTCTTTGATTCATTCCAATATTCTAGATATAGCCCAGGCTTGGTAAGTTACACAAGACCCTTCGGAAACTAAACCTGGCCTACATTTCTTATACTCTCTCATATAAAATATCAATTATTTTTAAAGCATAATTCTCCGTCTTTCTAGAGTGCCCATCTTCTCTTCTCTGCCTAAATACGCTTTTCATCAATGGTTCTTAAAAGGCTCCCAGATTGAGCCAGAGCTAAGATTGTCACCTATGTGTCCCCATCACACCCTGTTTTCACATCTCTTATATCACTAATTATGCTGATGTTTTTAAGAATAATATTAATATTAGAGAAGAAATAACATGAAAAAGAAATTTAGAGTCTGAGGGACCAGACTATATTTGGGTAACAATAAAGAAAACAATCTTCATAAGTTGGGGAAGGCTGGCTGTATTGGGGAACTGTAGTACCTTGTGTATATGTTTAGTTATATGGCTGGGTTGATCTATCAATTGTAGGGAATTTGAGGTAGATCATCTGTTATTTAAAGATGATAATATTCTTTCCTGATAAATTGAGTACCTAGCTACTCAGAAAATTATTAACCTAGGCAAAGGATATTAAGATATTTACATGTAATTATTTTCTTTTGACAAAGAAAAAATATGTTGAAGTGATTGTCATATTCTTTACAATATGACCACTGGAATAAGAATATTTAATGTTTAAATTCAAAATATCCCTTAAAAATTGATAATAGCATCTTACAAATTTTTAAGTGCTTCATGGTGGGCGACTTCAAAATTGCTTGCCAAAAATATTAACTTGCCTCCTTTCTTTTGAAGTTTACTTTCAACTGACTAACATAAAACATGTTACAAATATTGGCTTACTGGAAAATACATTTGGTTTTAAATAAAACCATAATATTTGGCACTAATTGGTTTATTTAACCCAGTCTCCAAGCCTGGCTTAAATTTAAAAACAAATAACTTCAGACAGTTTCTTAATTATAATTCACATTGAGGGCATTGAGACTGGATTCTTTTTCTTTTTCACTCAGTGTTATCTCTTCATAGACGAAGAGCAGCGACAATGAAGTGCCTATAACCACTGCCTATCCTACTGCTCTTATTTATTTTTCTGAAAGGATACAAGAACAACTTTGTCCCTTGGGTGGTATGGTTGTCTATTGTTGGCCTGATCACTAAAGCTCCTATTTGGAAATAAGTAAATATATGTATGATCTGCAAGTCAGGCACACATAAAGAAGAGGACATTGTCTCGGTGCCTGTACAGGAAGAATTGCAAGGACTGGACCTTGCAAAGCAGACGCTGTGATGTGATTAACTGAGTAGAAGAACATAAGCTACTGCTATGAACTGATGTGGCTCTGAATATAAAAGTCAGCGAGCCCACCATACCATGAGCCTCTGACCCAGGGAACCTCTCTCTACACATAGACTTCTGAGAGCTCTGAACTCGAGAAAACATTTCAGAGTAATACAAAGAGGCAGTGGAAAGGTCTGTCCACTCCTCTGCTTCTTTGTCTAGTTTAAATTCATTGTAAACGCATTAGTTGAACTGTGGTACAGTTTGTGATCCGTCAATCAAAGATAACCAAATATGCAGTATTTGTAGTACTAGATTTAAAGACTAAATACTGATGTATAATCCTAGCCATAAAACCTGTCATGTACAGACTCTTTTTCCCTTTATACTACCAAACCCCGGAGGAAACAAGATCTTGGGAATTTCTCACATAAATTTCTTATTCATCCTCATTATACATATGTGAAAAAAAAACAGAAAATGAGTTTCAAATAACATTTTTCATAAGAGAAAAATATATTAAAAAGTTTTTTTGAGACTAAAATCTTAGATCAAAAAGCCAAAAGGAAAAAGTATCATGAAGCATACTATAATTAGGTTTCTTTGGCAACCAGAAATAGTCTTAATAATTTCAATTTAGAACTACGGCCAAGTGTCATTTACTTAATGTTTTTAGAGAATATTTCTTATAGATATGTCTCCCCAGCCTTGCTTTTCAGAAAAACAACAGATGTATATTTTGAAATTAAGCCTTTGGATAAATGGCAGTTTTGAGTATTCTGCTGTATGTTCAGTTGTTTTTAATTGGAACGTAGTAATATCTCAGTCTCACTCATGGTAAATACTCATTACTAAATCTCTTAATGCTTTCAGTATGACCACATATATCTCTGAAAGTTTCTTAGAGGGAAATTACTATAAATGTTTTGCACATTATCTACTCTATGTGTGCATGTGTGTGTAAGTATGTGGGTGAATGTGCATTATTAAATAGTAGAGATTGTTTATGTCTATAGATATCTTTTTTCTTAGAAAATTCAAGGCTAGTCTTCTCTAGATTCCTCCTGTCTGGGCAGGGCATCTCTGAAAGAAAGGCAGCAGCCCCAGTCAGGGGTTTTTAGATAAAACTCCCATCTCCCTGGGACAGAGCACTTGGGGGAAGGGCAGCTGGGGGCGCAGCTTCAGCAGACTTAAACGTTCCTGCCTTATGGCTCTGAAGAGAGCAGCCGATCTCCCAGCACAGAGTTGGAGCTCTAAGGTACAGACTGCCTCATCGAGTGGATCCCTGCCCCCCGTGCCTCCTGACTGGGAGACAACTCCCAGCAGGGATTGACAGACACCTCATACAGGAGAGCTCTGGTGGGCATCTGGCCGGTGCCCCTATGGGACGAAGCTTTCAGTGGAAGGACAAGGCAGCAATCATTGCTGTTCTGCAGCTTTCACTGGTGATACCTAGGCAAACAGGGTCTGGAATGGACCTCCAGCAAACTCCAGCAGAGGGGTCTGACTGTCAGAAGGAAAACTAACAAACAGAAAGGAATAGCATCAATATCAAGAAAAAGTGTGTCCACACAAAAACCCCATCCAAAGGTCACCAACATCAAAGACCAAAGGTAGATAAATCCAGAAAGATGAGGAAAAAATCAGTGCAAAAAGCCTGAAAATTTAAAAAACTAGGATGCCTCTTCTCCTCCATGGGATCATAACTCCTCACCAGCAAGGGAACAAAACTGGATGGAGAATGAGTTTGACAAATTGACAGAAGTAGGCTTCAGAAGGTAGGTAATAACAAACTCCCCCAAGCTAAAGGAGCATGTTCTAACCCAATGCAAGGAAGCTCAGAACCTTGAAAAAAGGTTAGAGGAATTGCTAACTAGAATAACCAGTAATAGAAAAGAACATAAAGACCTGATGGAGTTGAAAAACACAGCACAAGAACTTCGTGAAGCATACACAAGTATCAATAGCTGAATTGACCAAGTGAAAGAAAGGAGATCAGATGAAGTAAAGTGTGAAGACAAGATTAGAGAAAAAAGAATGAAAAGGAACAAACAAAGCCTCCAAGAAATATGGGACTATGTGAAAAGACCAAACCTACATTTGATTGGTGTTCCTGAAAGTGACGGGGAGAATGGAACCAAGTTAGAAAACACTCTTCAGGATATTATCTAGAAGAACTTCCCCAATCTAGCAAGACAGGTCAACATTCAAATTCAGGAAATACAGAGACCACCACAAAGAGACTCCTCGAGAAGAACAATCCCAAGACACACAATTGTCAGATTCACCAAAGTTGAAATGAAGGAAAAAGTGTTAAGGGCAGCCAGGGAGAAAGGTTGAGTTACCCACAAAGGGAAGCCCATTAGACTAACAGCAGATTTCTCTGCAGAAACCCTACAAGCCAGAAGAGAGTTGGGGCCAGTATTAAAGAGAATAATTTTCAACCCAGAATTTCATATCCAGCCAAACTAGGCTTCATAAGTGAAGGAGAAATAAAATCCTTTATAGACAAGCAAATTCTGAGAGATTTTGTCACCACCAGGCCTGCCTTACAAGAGTTCCTAAAAGAAGCACTAAATATGGAAAGGAAATACTGGTACCAGCCACTGCAAAAACATACCAAATTGTAATGACCATCAACACTATGAAGAGACTGCATCAACTAATGGGCAAAATAACCAGCTAGCATCATAATGACAGGATCAAATTCACATATAACAATATTAACCTTAAATGTAAATGGGCTAAATGCTCCAATTAAAGACACAGACTAGCAAGTTGGATAAAGAGCCAAGATCCATCGATGTGCTGTATTCAGGAGACCCATCTCATGTGCAAAGACAAACATAGACTCAAAATAAAGAGATGGAGGAATATTTACCAAGCAAATGGAAAGAAAGGAGAAAAAAAGCAGGTTGCAATTTTAGTTTCTGATAAAACGGACTTTAAACCAATAAAGATCAAAAAAGACAAAGAAAGGCATTACATAATGGTAAAGGGATCAATGCAGCAATAAGAGCTAACTACCCGAAATATACATGCACCCAAAACAGGAGCACCTAGATTCATAAAGCAAGTTCTCAGAGACCTACAAAGAGACTTATACTCCTACACAATAATAGTGGGAGACTTTAACACCCCACTGTCAATGTTAAACAGATCAATGCAGCAGAAAATAAACAAGGATATTCAGGACTTTAACTCAGCTCTGGACCAAGCTGACCTAAGAGACATCTATAGAACTCTCCACCCCAAATCAACAGAATATACATTCTTCTCAGCACCACATCGCACTTATTCTAAAATTGACCACATAATTTGAAGTAAAACACTCCTCCGCAAATACAAAAGAATGGAAATCATAACAGACAGTCTTTCAGACCACAGTGCAATCACATTAGAACTCAGGATTAAGAAACTCACTCTAAACTGCACAACTATATGAACAATCTGCATCTGAATGACTACTGGGCAAATAATGAAATTAAGGCAAAAATGAATAAGTTCTTTGAAACCAATGAGAACAAAGACAAAATGTAACAGAATCTCTGGAACACAGCTAAAACAGCGTTTAGAGGGAAATTTATAGCACTAAATGCCCAGAGGAGAAAGCAGGAAAGATCTAAAATCAACACCCTAACATCACAATTAAAAGAATTAGAGAACCTAGAACAAACAAATTCAAAAGCTGGCAGAAGATAAGAAATAACTAAGATCAGAGCAGAACTGAAGCATATAGAGACACAAAACAAAACCTTCAAAACATCAGTGAATCCAGGAGCTGGTTTTTTCAAAAGATTAACAAAATAGATAGACTGCTAGCCAGACTAATAAAGAAGAAAAGAGAGAAGAACCAAATAGACACAATAAAAAATGATAAAGGGGATATCGCCACTAATCCCACAGAAATACAAACTGCCATCAGAGAATACTATAAACACCTCTATGCAAATAAATTAGAAAATCCAGAAAAAAATGGATAAGTTCCTGGACACATACACCCTACCAAGACTAAACCAAGAAGAAGTCAAATTCCTGAATACACCAATAGCAAGTTCTGAAATTAAGACTGTAATTAATAGCCTACCAACCAAAAAAAGCACAGGACCAGACAGATTCACAGCTGATTTCTACCAGATGTGCAAAAAGGAGCCAGTACCATTCTTTCTGAAAATATTCCGAACAATATAAAAACTGGGACTCCTCCCTAAGTCATTTTATGAGCCAGCATCATCTGATACCAAAACCTGGCAGAGACACAACAAAAACAGAAAATTTCAGGCCAGTATCTCTGATGAACATTGATGCAAATATCCTCAATAAAATACTGACAAACCAAATTGAGCAGCACATCAAAAAGCTTCTCCACCACTATCAAGTTGGCTTCATCCCTGGGATGCAAATCTGGTTCAACATATGCAAATCAATAAATGTCATCTGTCACATAAACAGAATCAACGACAAAAACCATGTGATTGTGTCAATAGATGCAGAAAAGGCCTTCGATAAAATTCAACACCCTTCATGTTAAAAACTCTAAATAAACTAGGTATTGATGGAATGTATCACAAAATAATAGGAGCTATTTATGACAAACCCACAGCCAATATCATACTGAATGGGCAAAAGCAGGAAGCATTCCCTTTGAAAACCGGCACAAGACCAGGATGCCTTCTCTCACCACTCCTATTCAGCATAATATTGGAAGTTCTGGCCTGGGCAATCAGGCAAGAGAAACAAATAAATTGTATTCAAACAGGAAGAGAGGAAGTCAAATTGTCTCTGTTTGCAGATGACATGATTGTATATTTAGGAAACCCCATTGTCTCAGTGCAAAATCCCCTTAAGCTGATAAGCAATTTCAGCAAAGTCTCAGGATACAAAATCAATGTGTAAAAATCACAAGCATTCCTATACACTAATAATAGGCAAACAGATAAGTAAACTCTCTTTAACAATTGCTACAAAGAGAATACAATACCTAAGAATACAATTTAAAAGGGAAGTGAAGAACCTCTTCAAGTAGAACTACAAACTGCTGCTCAAGGAAATAAGAGAGGACACAAACAAATGGAAAAGCATTCCATGCTCATGGATAGGAAGAATCAATATCATGAAAATGGCCATATTTCCCAAAGTAATTTGTAAATTCAATGCTATCCCCTCAAGCTACCATTGACTTTCTCCACAGAATTAGAAAAAAACTACTTTAATTTTTATATGGAACCAAAAAAGAGCTCATATAGCCAAGACAATCCTAAGCAAAAAGAACAAAGCTGGAGGCATCACACGACCTGACTTCAAATTATACTACAAGGCTACAGTAACCAAAACAGCATGGTACTGGTACCAAAACAGATATACAGACCAATGAAACAGAACAGAAGCCTCAGAAATAATGCTACACATTTACAACCATCTGATCTTTGACAAACCTGAAAAAAACAAGCAATGGGGAAAGGATTCCCTATTTAATAAATGGTGTTGGGAAAACTGGCTAGCTATATGCTGAAAACTGAAGCTGGAGCCCTTCCTTATACCTTATACAAAAATTAATTCAAGATGGATTAAAGACTCAAACCTAAGACCTGAAACCATAAAAACCCTTGAAGGAAACCTAGGCAATACCACTCAGGACATAGGCATGGATGAAGACTTCATGACTAAAACACCAAAAGCAATGGCAACAAAAGCCAAAATTGACAAATAGGATCTAATTAAACTAAAGAGCTTCTGCACAGCAAAAGAAACTATTATCAGAGTGAACAGGCAACCTACAGAATGGGAGAACATTTTTGCAATCTATCCATCTGACAAAGGGCTAATATCCAGACTGCACAAGGAACTTAAACAAATTTACGAGAAAAAACCAACCCCATCAAGAAGTAAGCAAAGTATATGAACAAACACCTCTCAAAAGAAGACATTTATGTGGCCAACAAACATATGAAAGAAAGCTCATCATCACTAGTCATTAGAGAAATGCAAATCAAAACCACAATGAGATACAATCTCATACCAGTTAGAATGGCGATCATTAAAAAGTCAGGAAACAAAAGATGCTGGAGAGGATGTGGAGAAATAGGAATGCTTTTACACTGCTGGTTGGAGTTTAAATGTTTAAATTAATTCAACCATTGTGGAAGACAGTGTGGCAATTCTTCAAGGATCTAGAATCAGAAATACCATTTGACCCAGCAATCCCATTACAGGGTATATACCCAAAGGATTATAAATCATTCTACTATAAAGACACATGAACATGTATGTTTATGGCTGCACTATTCACAATAGCAAAGACTTGGAACCAACCCAAATGCCCATCAGTGATAGACTAGATAAAGAAAATGTGTCACATATACACCATGGAATACTATGCAGACATTAAAAAGGATGAGTTCGTTTCCTTTGCAGGGACATGGATGAAACTGGAAACTATCATTCTCAGCAAACTAACACAGGAACAGAAAACAAAATACTGCATGTTCTCAGTCATAAGTGGGATGTGAACAATGAGAACACATGGACACAGGGAGGGGAATATCACACACTGGGGCCTGTCGCGAATTGGGGGCTAGGAGATGGATAGCATTAGGAGAAATCCCTAATGTATATGTTGGGTTGATGCATGCAGAAAACCACCATGGCACGTGTATACCTATGTAACGAACCTGCACGTTCTGCACACATATCCCAGAACTTAAAGTATAATAACAATAATAATAAAAGAACACCAGTGCATAGGTGTTCCTAACGGTGCAAATATTATGGCACCTTTGAGAAAAAAACAAGAAAGAAAATTGAACCCTAATACAATTAATTTGTCTGTGAGAAAATGAGTATTGAGAAGCTCAGCTCTCTTTGTGGCAGTCATTCGTTTTGCTGCACATTCTGGAGACGAAAGTATTTCCAACTCTCTCTAAGCATTGCTTACGCACTGAAACAATTTACTGCAAGAAACCAGATCATTCCATTTTTTTTTATTCAATAAGCACAGGATGTTTTTACACACCTATGAGGAGAAAGGGATTGAGTTTGTGATTCATTATTTAGTTTTCTTTCTTTCTTTCTTTTTTCAGACAGAATTTCGCTCTTGTCACCCAGGCTGGAGTACAACAATCTCTGCTCACTGCAACCTCTGCCTCCCAAGTTCAAGTGATTCTTCTGCCCCAGCTGGGATTATGGGCACCCGCCACCATGCCCAGCTAATTTTCGTATTTTTAG
This sequence comes from Homo sapiens, assembly GCF_000001405.40. Classification (NCBI taxonomy): domain Eukaryota; kingdom Metazoa; phylum Chordata; class Mammalia; order Primates; family Hominidae; genus Homo; species Homo sapiens. The sequence continues at coordinate 106,622,280 of NC_000001.11, read as the reverse complement.
TAGAGATGGGGTTTTGCCATCTTGGCCAGGCTGGTCTCAAGCTCCTGACCTCAGGTGATCCACCCACCTCAGCCTCTCAAAGTCCTGAGATTACAGGTGTGAGCCACTGTGCCCAGCCCGATTCATATTATTTCTAAATTAAATATTGCATCAGCTTTGTTTCTACTGAGGCATAAATCTTTACTTTGTAATCAATGTGCCACTGTTAATATGTAGCTGGGGGGATATATATGTTTACCTTTGTCATGCCAAATGTCCATTCAAGCATAGCACTGTTGAGGGGATAGCGTGAGAAGCTAGATGTGGAACTCCTGGGAGAAGCCAAGCACTTGGGTAATGGCCAGGATATTTGAAATCCTTCTGGCTCAAAAACTAATTGAACTCTCTTAGTATTAGTTTATTCATCTGTAAAATTAGATTAATTTCAAAGCTCATTCCAGATTTAAATAATTTTTAAAATCACTTATATTCAAATGTATTTCTAATCACAGTTTTCTTATTTGTAATCAAATGATTTATATAACAGTATTCACTTCAGGAGCTCTTAGTAAATCAATATGATAATTAAGAGAGGTGCTCAACAAGCATTTATTCAATGTTTACTATGTGTTAGGCACATAAAACTTACTCAAAAGAGCCAAAGAGTCATGATCATTACTGTATACTGTGAAAAGTACTATCTTAGAGACATGCAAATAGTGCTAAGATCTTCTATGTGGAGAAAGGGTGACATAGTCTGGGGTGAGAGTACATAAGCTTCAGAGTAAATGACATTTAAGCTGGGCATTGAAAGATAAGAAGGGTTAGGATATATCAGAAAGTAAAGTGGGTTTTTGAAATAGCAAGAACAAACAGAAACAGAGGTCTGAGTTAGAAATATCAGTTAGGAGGCTACTGTAATCATCTACGCAAGAGGCAAGGAAGGCCAAGCACAAAGTGAAGGGAGAGGAGGAGAAGGAGACATTGTCGAAAGCCAAATCAGAAGACTTTTGCAGCAGATTATATGTGAGGTGGTAATAAAAAGAAATCCTTCATTCCCATCTCTTTCTCTCTCCAAGCCTAGAAACAGAGTCACTGAGTTGGTGATTCATCTCATATCTTGTGTCTTTAACACTATCAATCTAGCATTGTCCAGTAGAACTTTTTGAGATCATGGAAATTGTGTTGTTTAATATGACACTGCTGGGTTAATATGACATTACTAGGCATATATGCCAGTAGCCACATTGAGCACCTGAAATGTGGCTAAAAATACTCGTTGAATTTTTATTTTATTTTAAAATTAATCTAAATTTAAATAGCCACATATGTCTAGTGTCTACTGTTACAGGATCTTTGGGGTGTCATTTTTCTGGCTGGAAACTTCTGTGGCTGGTGGTGCTGTTGCTCAAGTTTTGCTTAGGCCTGCTGTGCTTGTTTCACCCACTCAGCTTGGCAGACTGTGCTCAGCACACACTACCGGCCTGGATCCCATGCCTGCCAACGGTGAGTCAGGCATAGGATGGTGAGCGGTTTGTGAGTAAGCATAGGGTTTGGCTGTTGCGCAGTCAGATGTGCCGGCTGCTGCAGTGGGGCCGGCAGCTCCAGGTGCTGTCATGGGTGCTAAATCTCTGCCAGGCTGCAGCCAGACCAGGTGCACTGCAAGCAGCTTCCATGGCTGGCACTGGGAAACATGTTGGTGGCTGGAAGTTGGGAGACGCTAGGAACCACAGGGTCCCAAAAAGGGAGTCACAGCTCTGGCTTAGGGAGCTCCCAGGTCTGGGTTCCCTGAGGAGCCACAGCTCTTCTTTCCTTCTCTTTGCCGACAATGGGGCAAGCAAGGGGAATGTCTCAGTCCTCTTTGTGTTACAGCTCTTTCAGCCTTGCCATTCTGTGGGTCCCAAGTTCTTGTCCTGCGACCAGGAAGAATGAGGTACATAGACAAGTGAAGGCTGAGCAATACGAAGAGGAGCTTTATTGAGTGACAGAATAACTCAGAGGAAACTCGCAGGAGGCTGCTCCTTTCCACAGGCAGTGTGTCCTGATGAGTGTTCAGTTCCTAGCACAGAGGTTAGCTTCTCTCTGCTAGGCAAGTTGTCCTGACAAGTGTTCAGCTATCAGGAGAGAGGGTAGTTCTTTGCTCCAGCCAGTCATCCCATTGGGTGCGCAGCTCTCAGAAGAGAAGAGGCCCCAGAGTGGGTAGCTCCTTCTGCAGCTGGTTGTTCCAACGTTTGCTCCACTCTGGCTGAGCCCTGATCTTTAATGGGCCTCAGAGGGGAGCAAGTGCATGACAGTTGGTCCGTGGGTGGTCATGGGTGGGCCCAGAAAACGTACCACAAGTTCCCACTCTGGTCGGTGAGACTGGCAGCCCAGCCCCCGGCCTTCAGGCCCTCCCTGGCCTGAAGGTGAACCCTTGCCAGGGACCATCCCCTTCCACCCAGTAACCTGTCTGGCTCCTGCTGCTGTTCATGGCACCCAAGGTGTAGGTGCCAAGGGTTGCCTACAGGCCAGTGCCAAGGTGTCCTCAGCCCCAATTCAGGTTTCCTCCTATGCTCCTTGGTGCCCAAAGTCGGGAGGGGGCCAAGGCAGCAAGGGGCTGGCGTGTTAACACTTCCCTGAGCATGTGCACACCCTGCCGGGCTGTGACAGCTCCTGGGCTTGACTCCGACTTTGTTCCTAGACTAGAGTGGGTGCCAACAGCAGGGAGAATTCAGGCAGCAAGAGCAAACACTTTTGAGCCTGCAAGGTCAGGTGGGGCCTTCCCAGGACCCCAAGAGTGCAGAGATGCCTGGGCCTGCAGCTGCAGTTTGCATGGCTGCAGCTGTGCTCAGGAGGGCAGGGCTGCTGCCTGCTCTGTGGGATGAGAGGTCCAGGACTGCAGCTGCAGTTTGGGTGGCTGAAGATGCACCCAGGAGGGCAGGGCCTCCACTTACTCCCAGCCCCAAGAGCTGGGAGCCCGGGTCTGCAGTCTTAACTTGGGTGGCTGCAGTGGCACCAAGGGAGCGCCCGCCCAACTTGGAAGGGGTCGGGCTTCCACTTGTCCCTGGCTCCCACTGGCTTCATGGAGCAGGCAGCCCTGCCTGTGCCTCCCTCCTGCAGCCGGTGTGTTGGCAGCAGACACTCTAGAGGGCCCACGGCTTCCATCACTACTATATTGGGCAGTAAAAATGCCATCTCCTAAATTTATGTCTGCAGCTTATGTTATTCTCCTTACCGCATGACTATATCCAACTGTTTGCTAAATATCTTCATATATATATATATATTTAGACGGGGTCTCACTCTGTCGCCCGGCTGGAGTGCAGTGGCACGATATCAGCTCACTGCAATCTCCGCCTCCCAGCAGAGGCGGGAGATCAAGTGATTCCCCTGCCTCAGCCTTCTGAGTAGCTGGGACTACAGATGTACCCCACCATGCCCGGCTAATTTTTTGTATTTTAGTAGAGATGGAGTTTCACCATGTTGGCCAGGATGGTCTCGACCACTTAGATTTTTAATGCACATCCCAGGCTTTACAGTTTAAAATCCAATTTTTGGTCTTTTCTTTGAAATCTGCTCATTCAACGTCTTCTCTATCTTAGTAAATGGCAACTTGACTTTTGAATTCTCTTTGAGTTCTCTCTTTCTCCAACATCTACATATACTATGTGTCAATCAATCAAGTAAACAAAATATTTTCAGAATCCAGCTCATCCTTTCCACTTAGTCCACAATAATATCGCCTCCTGTCAGGATTATTGCAATAGCTTCCTTACTTTCATCTGTGTGATTTTTAGTAGTCTAGTAAAAAATATAGCACATATTGTATTATTCTTCCATTCAAAAATTTTATTCTTAGTAAAATTTAAAATCTTTGCAATGGTCCATAAACTCTGGCCCTGTTTTCTCTGTTATCTCATCTTCTACTTGCTCCCCCAGGTTCTCTCTGCTCCAATTGCACTGGATTTCTTTGCTGTTCCCTGAACACACAGACATGCTCCTACTGCAGGGCTTTGCATTTCCAATTTCTTCTGTCTGGAATGCTCTTCCTTTGTAGCTCCACATGGCTTGCTTCTTCATCTTCTACATGGCTCTGCACAAATACACCTGGGTGGTGGTTCTTCCCTGATCACCTTATTTAAAATCTCATTCTTCCAAGCTAACACTCTTAATTCCCCTCGTCTACCGTGTTGGTGTCCTCAATGTTATTTAGAACCAACTGGCATAGCAAATATGTCATTTTGTTTATTGACTGTAGTCCTCCTATCTAGACTGTAAGCCCCCTGCAGATGGATACACTGTTGTGTTTATTACTATATCCCTAGCACATAGAACACCGTCTGGAACATGGTAGTTGTTCAACAAATTTATTGATTACATGTCTAAGTAATTTTCAGTTTTCTAATTCAGGTTGTATTGTTTTATCACTAGAGTAGAAAACATAGGAGGAATGGGCATGGCACATAGTAGGTGCTCCATAAATATTTGTGTAATGTAGTTTTTAAATGAATTAGTGGGAAATATGATATGTTTAATTCTGTGTGGCAAAAAGTAAATGGGTGGAGATCATTCTGAGGATGAGAGAGCTAGTGTAACAAGATAAGGCTGCTGTGTTAATGAGATTTACGTTTTATTTTTTATAAGGGACCCTTGAATATTTTAGCTGTGGACTGATACCTGTGGATTATGGCAAAGAAATAAGCTGTGTATGCACTATCTCCTAAGATAGCCAAACTCATCTCCACCATCACTCCAGTTGAGACTCTTATTCATTTTTACCAGCAACAACCTCCCAACCAATCACTTTGTCTCCAATTTTTATTTCTCAAATGCATCCTTCATCTTGCCACATACTGATTTTCTAAAATATATATTGATTCACATATTGTTGACTTTCTGCCTCACTGATATTCCTCATGTTTATATATAAACCTACAGGTAGTTGGGTCTGAATCTTTAGGGTCAAATAACAGGATATATTGTTATATCCTGGAAAGTTATTATGGGATAAGGACTAGAGGGATAAGGATTAGAGCCTCATGTGGAGTCAGGGACTTCTCTTTATTTATCAAAATGTAAGGTTCACTTTCTCCACAAATATGCTACCATGATTTTCTATTCACTAAAAGTTCTTCAAGTGTCAGTACTTGTTAGAATTACCCCTATTCTCTAACTATTTTGTTTCATAATGACAATGCTTGGCATTTTGTAGCTGGGCTTTGGGGATAGGTACAAGGTATGCCATAAGTGTGTCCATAATGGGTACCTTCACCAGCTCCATTGCCAAGTTATTTCTGACATAGAATTGTAATTAATGGGAATGTGCTTTCTATGCTGTATATCAGTAATTTGGCAATGACAAAAACATACTCTTTCTTTGATGAACCTGAAAGTGAGAGGAGGTGAGAGCAAACTTACTAGAAAGCTAATTCTATTTGACATTCTACCCCAAGTGATATCAACAAGACTTTAAGTATGTTGATATAAATCAAGATGTAGCCGAAAGCTAGGTTAAGGCAGCTTGAAGAAACCGTTAGATCAGCTGTATTTATGTCCCTGGAGCAGATAAAGCAATGATGTTGCCTTCAGCATAGGATAAATTACTGACCCCTTCAGACAGTCAGCTAATGAAAAGGGGGAAAAAATCAACATCTGCTATCACAACCTATCAGTGCAGACATTCAGGGCATAGCAAGGGGAATTCACTAGTAAAACCACCAGTTGCCTAAGTTCGTTATCTTGGAGTCATTCTCATTATTTTGCTCTCAACATCCAATTTATTCTCAAATTCTATAACTTTTACTCCCAAATATTTCTCAAATTTGATCCCACTTCTCTATCCCTCCTCAAACTGTATGCATTTGGCATAAATTGAATAGTTTTTTAGCTGGTCTTGTTTTTAGAATTTCCCTCTATTGAATCCAGCTACTGAAAAGCTATCAAAGAGAGATTTGCCATAAAAATTACTCAGGGGCAACATGTTGACTCCAGCCATAAAATTAATGACTAATGTTTATTGTGTGCTTATGTTCCAGACACTTTCAAAAATGCTTTATGTGTTTTTATTTTATCTAAATAATACACCTATGAGATAGGATTACTATCCTCAATTATAGATAAGAAAACTGAGTCACAGAGCAGTTGAATGAATTATTCATATTCTCAAATCTTTTATAAGAGGTGCTTGAAATAGACTCCAGGTAGTTTGTCCTCTGATTCTGTGCATTTAATCACTACGTGATAACCCTTTCTTTGGATAGCATACAGACGTCATGACCAGGCCTCTACCTCCCTCTCCTGTTACAGTCACGACCCGCGTAATGATCTGTCCGTGGCAGACTGCATGTGTGAGGATGGTTTCATAAGATTATAATACTGAATTTTTACTACTTCTTTTCTATGTTTAGATGTGTTTAGATACACAAATACTTACTATTGTGTTATAGTTGCCTACAGTGTTCAGTACAGTAACATGCTATACAGGTTTGTAGCCTAGGCACAATAGGCTACACCAACTAGGTTTGTGTATGTTTTTTAATATTTTCAGAGCAAAATCACCTAACAATGCATTTTTCAGAACGTATCCCCATTGTTTGGCAACACATGACTGCAATCTCTCTAATACTGCCATGCCCACTGTAAGTCCCAGCTACAATTTCTGGAATGTGCCCTGCATGCCCAAACTTGCATGTTGTGATATCAGCCTAGATGTTCATCTGCTTCCATTTTCTACTTCTTGCTTTATATATAATGAAGTGTTACCCTTTTTGTTATTTATTTTATTTTTTGATACAGAGTCTTGCTCTGTTGCCCAGGCTGTAGTGCAGAGGCATGATCTTGGCTCACGGCAGCCTCCGCCTCCTGGATTCAAGCAATTCTAGTGCCTCAGCCTCCCAAGTAGCTGGGATTACAGGTGCATGCCACCATGCCCGGCTAATTTTTGTCTTTTTAGTAGAGATAGGGTTTTGCCATTTTGGGCAGGCTCTTCTCAAACTCCTGGCCTCAAGTGATCTGCCTGTCTCAGCCTTTCAAAGTGCTGGGATTACAGGTATGAGCCACCAAACCTGACCCCAAGAATTACCTTTTTACTTCTTCCAAGGACTGGATTTATAGGGCATTGCCATGTAGCTTGAAGTGTGGTGTTGGATCTCCTGAATCAGCAGTGATTGGATAATTGCTTAAGGAAAAGGGAGAGAGAAGCATATTTCTGAGCTTCATCCTAGATTCACTGGAGACAAGTCTTTTAGAATCGCTTTTTCAAACTCTTCAAGTCATGCTTATTCACATTAATGTTTGAGAGCCATTGATACAGTGATAGGATAATTGGGCTCTAGAATTAGGCAGATATGAGTCAAAACCTCAGCTTTGTCACTTTATGACCATGGGTTGGTTACCTAAACTGGCTGAGTCTTTCTTCAACTATAAAACAAAGCCATGAACAGTGACTGCTCATAGGACCATAATGAGAACAAAGTGAAAAAATAAATGTAAAGTGCTTGTGAAGGGTATGGGACATAGCAACAACTTAGAAATGCTAGCTGTAATTACTTTCATCCTTTGCTTATTTAGCACTTTGCTAATACCATTATTATGAGAATTCCTTGCCATCCTGTAATTTGGGGTTATGCACCTACCTCCTTTATTAAACTGAAGAGAAGCAAGTTGCCTCCAGCTCTGTGCTCTTCTGTGTTTAATATATGTCAGTTGAATGCATGATTAAATAATTTTTAAATGTCACACTTTCGTTTAAAAGCAATTTTCTAATCTCATTTTAAAAATATGTTTTCTGAAATTTTGTTTTATAGTATCTCTAAGGTAAGATAGATTCACTAATGGAAACTTGGAACTTTTCAAAAATATAATTTTGTTTAACATATGGAAAGCCTACTAGGTGCTGAGTAATCTTCTAGGCACTGGAGACATAGCAGTTTGAAAAGCAGGCCAAACAAACAAGAACAAAAACAAAAACAATCCTGTTTATCTCGAGTTTATAAGCTATGTATGTTTTGATGCCAGGACAAGAAATAGAGAATAAAAATTTAGATATACAGATAAAACAAATAGTGTATTAGTTTTGTATTGCTGGGTAACAAATTGCCACAAACTAGGTGATTTACAACAGCAAATATTTATTAACTCACAGTGTCCACATGCCAGGAGTCCAGATGTGGCTAATCTGGGTTCCCTGCAAAGCTGCAATCAAGGCATTGGTCAGGCTGCATTCCTTCCTAGAGCTTGAGTTCGCTTCCAAGATCACGTGATTGTTGGCAGACTACAGTTGCTTCAAGCTGTAAGACTGAGGTTCCCGTTGTCTTGTTGGCCGTGATCCGGGCCACTCTCAGCTGCTGGAGGGTCCCACAGTTTTTTTCCATGTGGTCACAGTCTCTTACAACCTGGCAGCCTCTTTCTTCAGGCCATCAGGAGAAGCTCTTGCTCCAGTCAGCTAACAAGGAGTTTTATAAGCATAACCTAATCAAAGGAGTGCTATCCCATCGCCTTTGTCACACACTGTTATCTAGAAGCAAGACACATGTCCTGCCTAGACTTAAAATAGGGGTTTAATTTCTGGGTGTAATTCACTGGAGGTCATCTTGGAATTACACTTACCCCACACACATGGTATGTCAGATGGTGATAAGTTTAATAGAAAGAAATACAATGAGGAAGGGAGAAAAATGTCTCAAGGTGATTAAGATGCTAGTCATTGCCGTGTAAATGAGAAGGGGCAGGGGAGGAAAAGTTCTCTTTTTTATTTCAGTATATTTTATACATTTTTTTAACAGCTTTGACTATAAATAATATATCAATTAAAGGATGTAAAAACTGATTAAATGTTGAAACCTTTAGTAAAACTCAGTTAAAACAATCACAATTATATGGCTGTCTTCTCCATCTAGACCAATCTGAGGAGAGAAGAAGCATCTCACACAATAAAATCAATGTCTTAGAAATAAGCCACACTAAAGAAGGAAAGTACAAATGAACACTTTTCTCCTCAGGGATTTCTATTCATCAGTTAAGAGTGTGGTTTTCTTCTTTTATTGCTTGTAATTCATCTCAGAAAGTTCTTTATTCCCCGGAGGCTGTGCCTTACTCATTCCCACTCACTGTGCGATTGGGTCCCTACGAAGCAGTTATTTTTAGTCAACAATTTATACTCCTAATTTGTTTCCTAGGTATTATTATTGGTTATCTCACCAATCTTACAAACTCTATTTATATCCCAATCATATGAGCATCTCAAAAGCCATTAATATTAGAAGAGTAAACTTGTCTTCGTAATAAGTTTTATTTCTGATTGAAACAGGAGAAACCTAGAAGCAGTAAGAAATTTCTGAGCCATATGTTCTACGCTGAAAACATTATAACTTGTCAAGGGAACATCAATCCACATAGGATACCCTCCCCCAGCCAAACTAGATACTTTCTTTTTTTTGAAGGACCAGTGACCATTCTTTACATGCTTGGCTTTTTCTTTCTTGGGCTATATCAATATTTTGTTCTCTAGAAGAGGATTTTCCTGGGGGTAAGAGGGTGTAGATAAAAGAAGGTGGAATAAAACTAGTCAATTTTGCAGTCAACTGTCAGTACCACTCAATGGCTTGATAACAATGAAGATAACCTTACTAGAAAGAAACTTTGATCTTATCTTCAGCTTTTAATTACCTATTGTCTGTCCACATTATAAAAGCTAAAATTAAGAGAATATTAATCATTTTGTATAATTTTAGGGAATTATGATATTTTCTTTCTCCATTTAGTAAGCAGACCCAATTATAATTCCACATCTTCTTCTAAAGTATATCATGGAGGGGGGATGTTTGATCTGATTAGTATTGTCTGCTTGAGCATAAATTTCTTTGAAGTATTATGTTTATGTTCAAAATCCACATAAAATTTTTTATAAACATGTTTATTTTCATAAAACAATATTGTTATAAAGTACTGACCATAATTGGAGCGCGCACACACACACACACACACACACACACACACACACACACACAGATACCTCCTATAAAGCTATTAAAGCTTGAAGTACCACAAACACAAGAAGTACTACTATGTAACCTAATTTTAGAAAAACAATAAAAGAGTTACCAGGCACTACTCTAAGAATGAAATTAAAATACCTGCATGATAACAAGCAGGTATTTTGTTATAATCTTCAACCTGCTCTTAGTTTTATATTGGATTGCAGGCATATCTCATTTTATTGCACTTTGGAGATACTGCATTCTTTACAAACTGTAGGTTTATGCCAACGCTGCATTGAGCAAGTTTTCCCAGCAGTATGTGCTCACTTAGTGTCTCTGCATCACACTTTGGTAGTTCTCACAATTATTTCCGACATTTTCATTGCTATTATGTATATTATGGAGACATATGAGCAGTGATATTTGATGTCATTATGGTAATTGTTTTGAGACACCATGAACCATGTCCATATAAGACAATGAACTTAATTGGTAAAAGTTGTGTGTGTTCTGACTGCTCCACCACTGGACCATCCCCTGTCTCTCTCCCTCTCCTCAAACTTCCCTTTCCCTGAGACAGAACAATATTGAAATTAGACCAAATAATAACTCTACAATGGCCTCTAAGTGTTCAAGTGAAAGGAAGTAATTGTAGGTGTGGTAGAAAGAACAAGAGAACTAGAATTAGAAGCGGAGCCTGAAGCTGCAACTGAATTGCTGCAATCTCGTGATAAAAATTGAATGAATGAAGACTCACTTCTTATGAATGAGCAAATAAAGTGTTTTCTTAAGATGAAATCTACTCCTGGTGAATATGTTGTGAACATTGTCGAAACATCAACAAAGAATTTAGAATGTAACATAAACTTAGTTGATAAAGCAGTGTCAGGGTTTGAGAAGAATGACTCAAATTTTGAAAGAAATTCTACTTCGGTTTTGCATAAAATGCTGTCAAACAACACAAATGCTACATATAAATCATTCAAGAAAGGAAGAGTCAATTGATGTGGCGAACTTCATAGTTACTTTATTTTAAGAAATTACCACAGTCACCCCAACCTTCAGCGATCACCACCCTGATCGGTCAGCAGCCATCAACATCGAAGTAAGACCTTCCACCAGCAAAATAGTATGACTGCTGAAGGCTCAGATGATAATTAGCATTTATTTTTAGCAATGAGATCTTTTAAAATTGAGGCATGCACATTTTTAAAGATATAATGCTATTATACACGTAGACTACAGTATGGTGTAAGCATAAGTTTTATATGCACTGGGAAACTAAAAATTTAGTGTGAATCACTTTATTGTGATATTTGTTTTCTTGATATGGTCTAGAATTCAATCTGCAATATTTCTGAGATATGCCTTTATTTTCTTGATAACATACTTAATACCACTGTGTGCAGACTTATGAAATAAATGTATTGACTATTTCTATGCATGTAAAAATTAGGTATATGAAAGCCTTTACATGTAGAAATTTGTTCAGATCATTAATTGTTTCACTTACAGGAAGTCAGTTAAAATTCATCAACCCAAGGTAGATTTACATGGTTTTTCAGTCTACTTCTTTCTCTTTTCCCTTCTCTCTTGTTCTTCTTCTGTTTCTCTGCTCTTCACCTCTATCTCACAATGTCATCATCAACCTCTGTTCTTTTCCCATAAAATGTGTTGCCTCTCTAATAAAGTCTCTTTGCTTCTCCAGTTTTTCTCTGGTTTCTACTTTTATCTTGATCAACTGATTCTTCTCTTGCTGGCTGTTTGCATTTGTCCTCCTTATGCCACTATCTGTCTTGAGTTGTGTCCTCTGATTTTCTTTTCTTCCCCAGTTGCTTCTGTTTTGGCTGTTTATTTGCCAAAAGAAAATTCTTCACTTAGCATTTACTAATTTCTGTTTCCTTACTTGAAAATAGTCCTGAGTTAGTTTTGTGGGCTAGGACAAAATTAGGCATTGATAAAGTTAAATTCATGTCTTCAGCTCCATTCAGTCCTTCAGTCAAGTCAGTCCTGATACATGACAAGCTTGGTCATCTATTAGATGTTTCAAACATAATCGCGAGTGACCTCTTGGATATGGTATGCTATGCTATAGCCTCATATCTGGTGGTACTGGAGTAAGTCCTAAATTCCCATTGCCTATCAAATCACAGCTTTCACCAGGAACATCCACTGTGTTTGTTCATCCCTTACAAAAGAGGTTGGTTTTGTTTTTTAAAGTATATACCTATTCGTCCCTTTAGAGCTGGATCTCAGGATTGGAATTCCAACCTATTTTGGGAAGACCAATTTTCCTGACTGTCTTATTTTACATTCTTTCTCCTGGGGGTTGGATTCTTTTCTTTGAGCAATAGCTGGCATCCTGAGATGGCTGCTTAAAAACATAAAGGCCACTCAAAAACATAAAGCTACCAGTGCCACCATTCCCAGACACTTTTGACTTCATGTTTAAACTAAAAGCAGACTCCTTCTTGGAGCCAACAGGGGTTTGCAATGATACACTGTGATTCAGGGAGTTGGTAGCCATGTTAAGAGTCAGGCCCACTGCAAATGTCCCCTAGCCTGTGACTTTCACATTCTTAGCTTTTTTTTCCCTTTAGATTGATCTGTCATTGAAGTCCTATAAGCTTCATTCACTAGTCTTCCTGATTTACGAAATCAGCTCACCAAAAAAAAGGCAGCAGAAGAATCAGCTCAGCACTTCTCACTTATCATTAATTAATAGCAACATATAGGTTCCTTAATGATATTTTTTTAGCAACACTTGCACTTCAACCTTAATGTCAATGGTCTTACTGAGGAATCGTAGACAATAAAGTACTCTTTGTACAAGATAGTAGTACCTCGTTACTAGCTTATTTTCTATGGATGTGTTATATATATGTGTATGTGTGTACACATCTGTCTTTCTCCTTATATATAATATAGATATAGCATATACATATATAATGTATATTTTTGTATACACATAAATATATAATCTGTATATTATCTAAACTCTTATATTACCTTTAATACTTTTTAATATAAAACTATTATTGGAAGGTTAAAATTTTTATTCACTTTAAAAAATATTAATCAGTTTTATACTATTCTTTAATGAGATTATGATTTCAAATATATGATACTATGTCTTTAATTAGAGCCTGTATTCAAACTACTGATGAGATCACAGCAAAATCACTCAAAATCAAGGACATTATTTTTCCCTTCAAAGAAGGCAGAAAATCTTTTGAGCATTTGCTAATGAGTGCTAACATTTTTTTTTTCATTTACTTTGTTTTATTCAGGGAAATGGAATGTTTTGCCTGGATGTTAAAAGTCTGACTAATTGGAAAAGAAAGTTCAGTTTCAGCAAGTAATAGATTAATCCTTCAAATTGTTAGCTTCTAGAAACAGCTGTATCTTTCACCCTTTGAGATTTCTACTCATACCTATTTGACATTAAGTTCATTCACAGAAGCTTGAAATAGAAATGGGCAAAATGGATCATTCTTTATATTCTTCTGTCAGTAGTGTGTGGTTTGCTGCATTTTAGTTGGAGAAAAGATATACATTTCAATGTCCCCAATATTAGATTCCTTAGACAGCAATTTGTCAGACTCTTAATATTTTATAAATTTAAATATTTATTAAATTAATTTCATATTTCACTTGTATATTCAACTTTCTTCCCAGCCTAGGCTCAAAGATGATCACAATGGCTCCTTGCTCACTCAATGTCTATTTCTAAGTGTTTGCATCTGTGACTATATACCCATAAGTCCAGGGTTCTATCCCAGACAAGCTGCATTAATTTTCCCCTTTTATCTTACAGAATAAATTCTGTCCTTTATTTCTTGCTATGCAATGGATTTTGTCCCCTAATATTCTCATATTGAAGGCATAATACTCATAATGATTTTTGTTTTTTTTGGAGCTGGGGTCTTTGGGAGGTAAGTAGGATTAGATGAGGTCATGAGAGAGGGTCCCTCATGGTAGGAATAGTGACTTTATAAGAATAGGAAAAGAGACAAATAGTTTTCTCTGCCATGTGAAGACACAGCAAGAAGGTGGCAGAAGGTGGCTGTCTACAAGCCAGGAAAAGGGCCCTCATCAGGAAGCAAATTGACCAGCACCTTGATCTTGGACTTCCCAGCCTCTAGAACTGTGAGAAATAAATGGCTGCTGTTCAAGCCACCTGGTCTGTAGTATTTTGTTACAACATTCCAAGTAGAATAATATATTCCTTTAACCAACTTATCTGTTAAACATGATTTACTTAATCTCTTCAAATACATTGCAGCTTTAACTGTGTATGACTATAAATTCAGTTTGTCTTTGTATGACTGTGCAAACATGTAAACTTCATGAGGTCAGGACCTTTCTTTCTTTTTTGCTTTGTTCACTGGCAGATGCTAACACTTAGGAGACTACATTTTCTTAAATGTGTGTATCTTGTCACATTAGTATATTGTCACACTCTTGCTTACCAGAAAGTAATTGAAGTTGAAAAATCCTCAGACTTTTTAAAAAATTCTTTTGGAATATCAATTTTATATACATAAAACAGTTCAGTAAATATGTGGATCTAGGAGGAAGGAAGCTCTACCAAACCTTCTGGATAGATGTGGTATTCATTTATTTACTCAACAAATGTATTATTAAGCACCTACCATGTTTCATGATGTATCATGTGCTTTGCTAGTTCAGGGAGTTCTGCTGTGAACAAAATATAAATTTATCTTATGGAACATATAGAAAAATGGAGAAAATAAACATTGCTCAAATAATTATTGAGCCAATAATTATATGAACAGAAATTTGGTAAGTGATACACAGAATAAGTACAGGTCAGTGACACTCCCCTCCTTATTTTAAACAGGAAGAAGCTAGCCTAAGCCCTTTTTCTGACTTATGGAGGCAGGCATTTGACAATATGTTTATTTCAATATGCTTTGTAGGATTTTATAATATTTTATAAGTCTCTTGTAACTCTTATTGTAAATTATAATTCAGTGATTAATTGTGCAATTCATTGTTTAGTGGCTATCTTCCCACACAACCAAAGCTCCAAAGACTACAGGAGCTGTATCAATAATATTCAATTCTGACTCCCCAGTGCCTAACAATAGTACCTTATGTCTAATAATAGTACGGAATTTCTTAATGAAAAGAATGAGCCATGTTCATTATTTAAAAGAATTCTGTGAAATATAACATAATGTCAAATTGGGCCTTACTCTCCTGCATTTTCAGGAACATGTTGCTGTGTCTACTGGACACACTGCTTCCTAATAGTATAACTGAGCCTGGAGATCAGAGTATTAAATAATGCAATTTATTTGTTAAGCAGGTGTTTTGTGCTTACTGGGAACAAAGCAGACCATAGAAGTTGTAAATACAAGATAAATATAAAACTAATAATTACTGAAAGACTTAGCCCCTCGAATTTGGTTGATTACTCTAAGTGGGGTTGTAGGTTTTAGAAAATGTAGATATTTAAAAAAACACTAATACTGGCTTAGAAAAACACTCTAAAGTTTTTAGTATCAGGATTCCTTTATACTCTAAATTACAAAGAATACCAGAGTTTTTGTTTACGTGGGTCATATTTATAGATATTTTCCCCATTAGAAATTAAAACTGGTAATTGAAATATTAATTCATTAAAAATAACAATAAATCTATTATGTGTTAACATATATAGCATATTGTGTGAATAACAACTAGATTTTCCAAAACAAACAAAAGCTAGTGAGAAGGGTGGCATTGTTTTACATTTTTGCAAGTTTCTTTAATGCTTAGCTTAATAATAGCTGAATGCTCATGAAAAATAGGTAGAATAAAACCTTGCAGCTTAAATAAATTAATTTAGAAATACATGTTGATAAGCTCTTGAGTTTGTTCTGTTATCTGGTGATGCAGAATCTTCAACTGAAAAGTTGCTGAGGTCACTGGATGACTGAATGTAGCGGCTGTGAGATGAGAAAGTTATAGGCTTAGAGTCATAGAAATTTAACTTAAAGTCTCAGTTTTACGAACGTATTTACTTGAGAAAGTTGTTTAACCCCTGAATTTTGGTTTCCTTATTAGGAAGAGGAGCTGTAATGCTTAAATTATATGATATGTGATAAAATTAAATTAAATCATATATCTGAAATGGCTGGCACATAGTTTCGTCTCAGTAGATGTTAGTTACTTTTCCCCTTTCTTTCCCCAGTTCCCAGATCTTTAAGTAATTTAGTAGAACTGAAGCATGACAGTCATTATATTAGCATGCATAGTGAAGAATTCTATGCATTAGACATTGTTTCTCTTATACATGTTGACTGGCTTGTAAAACTTGTGCAATTTCATAATATAAATATTACCTATTAATGTTATAGTTGAATCCTTTGGAAATGTCAAGGATACTATTGCAATTGCTCTCAAATTTTGTGATACTAAGTTGACAAAGAAGACTTACCAATTGCAAACTTCAAGAACCCATTAACAAGTGAGAGACAACATAGTACAAAGATTATATCAGAGTTGAGGGATTATAAGATAGGATGATTCCCACCAAAAAGGCGGACAGACCCCCAAAGAGTCCAGTGGGAATGAACTGAATGTATTAAATATACATGTTCAGTCCAAATGTATGTATATGTGAAGAAATACCCATGGTCAGAAAAAGGCAGAACATCAGCTAATGCAAACAAATTCACTGGAGTGTAACTGCATCTTTTATACAGTGTAGATTAGGGGGAAAGAGCATGGCTTCTAGAACCCGAAACATCTGGATTCAGGTTCTGGTGCTGCACTTAGGAGCTATGTGACATTCAGTAATTATGTAAATGTTCAGAGCCTCATTTACTTACCTCATTGGATTTCAGTAAAGTTTATCATTACCTGCAAAATGGTAATACTACTACTAATACATATTCATCAGGTTATTCAGCGGATTACATGTTACAATGTATGAAACGCATAAGCTCAGTGTTGGGCACGTAGAGAATACCCAGTAAATATTAGCCATCATTACTATCATTGTGAATATATCTCCATCTTTGTAAACATAAATTGATAATCAGGCCTCTCGAATAAGTCACAACAATCATAATTCAATTTTTAGAAAAGCTTTTGTCAGATGATATTTCAGATAGCCTAATTTTCAATTAAAACTGTTTATTACATTGTGATATTGAATAAAAATTTCAAATAATAGAACGATATTATGAATATACATTTGTTTGTTTGTTTTTATTTTCTGAGGATTTTGTTCTATTTCTCATTCTGCTCCAATAAGAAGCTTCTTCTATTGCACCTAGCTCCTCTTTGATTTGCTGGGTAACTCTCCCTAACTATGCAGGGGATTTGGCACATTATGATTGAGGGACTGGGTGACAATTTTAGGTCCTGGTGCCAATTATTACTGACACATGGCCTCCATCATCTCATATTTCTAGTTCTGTAACAA
The DNA here is from genome assembly GCF_000001405.40 of Homo sapiens. Lineage (NCBI taxonomy): Eukaryota > Metazoa > Chordata > Mammalia > Primates > Hominidae > Homo > Homo sapiens. The sequence goes on along the minus strand of NC_000001.11, from coordinate 106,604,904 downwards.
TTCATAATTTCTGCACTAGTTTACTTAATCCTATCTTCCCTATAAATTTTGCATACAGCCTCCCACTCAATTATGTATCTTAGTCTGCTGGCATAATTCTGACCAAATGTTTACTGTTGCCAATGTCTTACCATGGCTTTGTTTTGACTAAACTAGAGTAAGGCTACTCTCTTTCTTAAAAGCTTCTGAACCCTGCTTGCCTTTAAGCCTAAGCAAGCACTAAAAAGTGGAATGAGCCCCCCTTTTCTGCTTCAACTGGGAACTGGCAAGACACTTTCCTGTCAGATCCAATGGTTCATTTCCATTGGCTTCTCTAACTTCCCTTTATATGATTCAGCATATCTTTGCTTGCCTTTCTTACTCTATAAAAGAGGAATTTTTTTTTCTGTTGATTTTGAGATGCTTGCAGATATCTGAGAATGGCTTTTTCTCTCTATTGCAATAGTTTTTCTCCTGAATAAAGTCTCTTCCTATACGTCTGGATTGTTTTTATTTGTAAATGTGTTGGTTCTACTCTCCTGGGAAATTCTCCCTTTCTCTTTGTCTTTGCAGCACTCCATCTCTTTCCCTCAGTATCCTAATCTCCTACTTGCTTCTTGATAAAAATATCAGCAATATTTTCTCACATGGCCTGTTCTCTCGACCTGGGGTAGGTGAGCCTGGGCCATTAGAAACGATGTTGCTGTTAAATTTGGAACATATTTTCTCTAAGTCTAATGAAAATCACCATCTTACACTGAACAAAAGTCTTGATATCTTCCCAAGTTTGAAGGAAGGTATAGAGAGATTCAGTGTAAAAACTGACTGGCTTTGTATCAAGTGGCATGGAGGACCAAAAAGAAAAAAAGAGCAGTGGATTTTGTCAACGCGCTCTTCCATTTGCTTTGCTTAATTATTTTAATTAATGTTTTGTTGATTAATTTATATGCTGAATCTAATTACAATATGTTGGTTTATGTGCTAATTGTATAGGAATCACTGTATTGTTTTTCTACTCCTATTGAAGCTGTTAACATGTCCCAATTTCGTTATCTGAAAATAACATGTCTTTCACTTCTCTTTTAAAGAACACATAAGAAGGCTAAAACATTAATATTGCACCTTGGCTTCTTTGGGTTCTGACTTCTGCTTTTTTCATCTGAATACAATTTAATTATTGCCTTCCTGTAGCCTTTCACCATGTGCAAATCATTCTCCATATAAGTAGTAAAAAAAAAAACCCAGACACCTGAACTATCATTTAGATCTTGGCATTCTCTTTTTCAGAAGCCTATAATTTTTTTATTTGAGCCCTAATTGTGATAAGAAGCCCTGTAACTATTGTCTCCTCATGTCCTTGCTCCTGGTCTCCTGCTTGTGGCCAAGTTGGTTCACATAAGCACATAAGATACACAAATCTCAACTTTACTTTCTTAGAGTATATTCATACAGTTCTGCCTTTCTTCCATCCATTGCTTGAAACTCTACCCAAACATATTTAGAATATTTGAAGTTTTTTCCCCAAGGATCAGAACACTTATAATTTTTTTTTGGATAATTTAAGAAGACTGTGCCAAAATGCATTTAATTTCCAGGTAAACTTATTAGATTTTCAGTCTTTTGCCCCCAAATTTATTAATTCTCTTAAAACCTAAAATGGTCATTGTTTTGAATTAATTTATATGCCTTTCTGTTGACCTTTTCCTCACATCTTTATTAATATCTTCACAGTATTGTTCGTCTATCATAATCTCTAAATCAATTTGAAAATAATAATAGTAACTATTTTTAAACACTATAAAAAAGTGTTTTCTAAACATTGTCTTTATCACAATTTGGGAGGCAGGAATATTATCTAAATTAGATGACGTAAGACCTCTAGCTTCTTTTTATATTCTAATGCAACTATAATTTGAAATACATTTGAGCAAACCTGCTTTGGGTATGTAAAAAGAAAACATTTGGGGGAATGTTGTATAAATATATTACATTCAAGGATTTCTATGTGAGAGATCATGAGATAATGCAGATATATTGCTTCTCCTGCTGAGACTGGTCAGGTAAGTGTAGCTTTATACCTAACCTGTTCTGACACATGTAAGAAACTATGGCCAAGGAGAAGACAGAAAATCTCTTGGTGTCCCTCCCACCTGTCCTGCCTAGGAGAGGAGCCACCTGATATACCTAAGAGCCACCATGCTCTTGCTAGCCAAACCTTACCCCAGGATGTTTGAACCTGCCAGGAGAGGTAGTAGAACAAAAACCAACATTAATAATAATGACACAAAATAACAGTAAGAATTAGATTGTCTAACATTTGCTAATTAGTTTGGCTCTGCTAAGTACTATGTTAAATGTTTTATGTAATCATTTTGATTTAATCTTGACAAACCATGTAAGGAAGATACAATACTGTCAGCAAATTTATGAAGGTAAATTCACGTTAAATGTTCATAAGTATTTCAGATGTGTTCAGAATGTCTTGATCTGAGTCTCTAAACTTTCCTTACCTTGTTGCTTATGCTTTTGGCGGCAGAGAAATAAACAAATAGAAGTTTATTGGATGTTTTTACTATAAAGTAGCATAATGTGCATATTTTCTAAAAGAAATGTATATTGTAGTTTGTGATAGAGATGCACAAATTGTGACCATATAATTTATTATCCAAAGATAACATTTATGATGCAGAAATGGGAGGATAAAATGTTTTAATATGTTTGTCAACTGATGTATATTAGGCATAACTGGGTTGTCCTAGGAAAGTGGGATTTGTGTTTACCTTATATCTAAGCCATTGCCTGGTAGCTGTATAATATCAGAAATTTTCTGGATACATATCCAACAGTTGAACACAATTATTTATCTAGTATATGAAATGTATGCAATGAAAAGTCAAAATGTTTTCAAATTATAAATTGTACACTTTATTATACAATTAATTAGATAATAACAAAATAATTGATGTTCAGGCTTTTTACTCCAATTCTATTGAAGATATTTCCAAAATATTACATTATCATTTCACATTAGTAAGTTAGATAAAAAATTATTGTCCATTATCTTCACCTCATTAGATGGTTAAAGTGAGAAACAAAACAAAATTTCTAGAAGAAATAAACCAGCATGCAAATTATAACAGTTTGTAATTTTCATACCTTTATATCATTGCTTATTAGTATTTAGTTTTCATAACTCATTAAGACACTCTTTGAATTAAGTTAATTTTCTTCTTAGAATACTTCAATTTGTTTTAATTACCTACAAAATATTGTCTCATTAACCTGATATCCAGGGCCTTCTATAGACCTGTCCGTTTTGTGCTATCCAATACAGTAGACCCCATGGCAATGATTTAAATTTAAAATTAAATTAATTAAAATGGGCTAAAATTTAGTGTTTCCACCACACTAGCCACATTTCATGTCCCCAATCATCCAGGCAGCTAGTGGCTACTGTACTGGACAGTGCAAAATAGAAAAAATCCACCATCACAGAAAGCTCTATCTCATAGCCCTGCTCCCTATGTTTTATAGGCTTGTTATTTATTGTTGCCCTTCCGAAAATTTCTTTTTTCCAAATTAGATTGTGTTCTCTCCTCTAACAGGTTGTGCCTTCATTTTCTTTAGCCATCTTGTAAAATTTTATATTATGACTTGAAATATCTCCATTACTTCAACAATTCATGTGTTTATTCTTGAGGTTTTGAGATTAAATATGTAAAATGATTTTTGTTGTTGCTTTTTTTGTGTGATGACGGGAAGTCTTAGGTGTTGGAAAAACAATACCAAGAAACATAACTCTTGCCCTGCAAAAGGTCACAGACTAATGGGGGAAAATGATAAGCAGATAAGTGAGTATAGATGATAGCTGTTAAGGTAGACAGTTTTATGGGAACAGATGAACACTCATTATCAGAAATTGGAGGAGAGTCAGCAAAAGCTACCTGTGAAAGATGGTATATTATCTGAACCTATAAGCATAGTAGGCGTTAGAAAAATAAAATGAAGAAGCAGGATGGGGAAAAGCACAATGATCTGAGAGTGTATGGGCTATTTGGGATTTGCACATTGTTTGCTATGGCTAAGTTCCAGTATGCAGACTATGGCACTTGAATCATGCAAGAGTTCATATTCCATGTTGGGAATGCTGAGCTTTATTTGAAAACCCAAAAAGCAAATGAAAGATTAAGTGCAAGGATGTGACAGAATCGGATTTGTGTTTTAGCTAACTTCACCCTGAAAACAAAGAAGAAAGTAATTGGAGGAGAATCTCAGTCCATAGTTATTCTTAGTACAACAGAATACTACAGAATGGAAAATGTATAATGAACAGAAATTTACTGGCGCACGTTCTGGAGGCTGAGAAATCCAAGATTGAGGGGCCAGTAATATGGGGAGGGCCTTTTTGCTGCCTTATAACAGGCAGAGTCATCACATGGCAGAAGGGCAAAAAGAGGGCGAGAGAGAGAGACAGAGAGAGACAGAGAGAGAAAGTGGGGTCTGAACTTAGTCTTTTAATAAGAAACCAGTCCCAAAATAACAAACACAGTCCCATGGTAATGGCATTAATCAATTCATGAGACTGTTGCTCCCATGACATAAACACCTCCCATTAAGCACCACTTCTCAACCTTGCTTCACTGGGAATTAAGTTTTCAACACATGAACTTTGGAGGACACATTCAAAGCATAGTGAGGTGAAAGTCAAATAGAAATCTTTTTCAATAATCTAGGTGACAAGTAATACATTCCTATATTAATGTAGTGGGTGTTGGCTAAGAGTAAGGTTTTCAGATTACAAATGAACAATTTTTTGGTGATAGTGGATAGGTATTGTGAAAAAGAATTTGCTTTCAAACTGCTATTGATTCTGAAAAGTCCAATTCAGATGCCATCTTTAAACTGAAGTATTCCACATCTGGGAATTTCTGCCTTTAAATTTCTATGGTGCTTTTAAAAAAATTACTCATTTTTAGTGCTTGTTTCTATTACTGAGCTCCTTGACACCAAAGACTATGGTATACTTCTTAGCATCCACTACAACATTACCCAGTGCTTTGCTTTAATGATCATATATATATATATATATATATATAGAGAGAGAGAGAGAGAGAGAGAGAGAGAGAGAGAGAGCTCACTGATAGGTTGTCTCCAAAATAATAACGTTGGGCAAATGCCTAAATGACCACTAATCAAAGAACATCTGAGCAAAATAATGAAAAGAAAGTTATGAGTGGCAAGCTTAATACTTTCATAACACACAATGCTTCTTGGTTGCACTTTTCATAATTGCAATTAAATAACAAATTGTGTAATTGTTTGTTGAGCCCTGGTTTTCCCAATCAGAGTATAGAAATTCTGTGAGAGTAAGAGTCATGTTTGTCTTGCTTATTGTTGGATTTTAATGTCTAGAATGGTGTCTGTATTACAGTTAGTGCTTGATACATATTCAGGAAATGAATAAATCTGAAATTTTCAAAAGGAAAGGGAATTACCATTTGAAGGCCATTTATTATTTTCCAGATATTATCTTAGGTATATATATTTAAAATATTGTTTATTTTATTTCTCAAAATATTCCTAAATATTAGCAACATCATAGAATAAGTATTAGTATCATCATTTTATGATTAAAGACACTCTGGCTCAAAGAACTTGGGTGACTTACAGGACAACCAATAAATAATAGTTCTGGAATTTTAAGGCTAATTTTTTCATGTCCAAAATCTATGTTTTCTTGCTATGATAAGTTGCATGTAAACATGTAAGTTCCATTTGGGAAAGGATATTTGTAATACATAAGTATCACTGAACATCATATCTACATAGTGGGCTAATGTTCAGATTATCAACCACTTAGTCCTGCTAAGATATCAGCTATGGCTCAAAATAACAAAAATTGATTATACAAGGATCCTGTCCTAAAGAGCCTTATGCTAGTGATGAAGACAAACGCTTAAGCAGATAATTTAGATTCAATAAAAAACACATGTGCACACATACACACACATTTAAGCTAATATAAGAATGGTGTGCTTAAGCAATTTAGAGTTTCAAGGAATGTTTTTTAAAGAAGTGGAATATTGATCTAAACCTTAAGGAATAAAAAATATCTAGTAAAGGATAGGAAAGTCAATCAGAGAAATACTTTAGCCCAAAACAATATGGGATTTCAGCAAAAAACAAGTTTAGTAGTTTAATTTGCCACAGCACTGATAAATAATAAAGCAAAACATGAGAGGAAATTAAGAAAGTTGAACGTAATCCAGCATATAAACAGAACCAAAGACAAAACCACATGATTATCTCAATAGATGCAGAAAAGGCCTTTGACAAAATTCAACAGCTCTTCATGCTAAAAACTCTCAATAAATTAGGTATTGATGGGACGTATCTCAAAATAATAAAAGCTATTTATGACAAACCCACAGCTAATATCATACTGAATGGGCAAAAACTGGAAGCATTCCCTTTGAAAACTGGCACAAGACAGGGATGTCCTCTCTCACCACTCCTATTCAACATAGTGTTGGAAGTTCTGGCCAGGGCAATCAGGAAGGCGAAAGAAATGAAGGGTATTCAATTAGGAACACAGGAAGTCAAATTGTCCCTGTTTGCAGATGACGTGATTGTATATCTAGAAAACCCCATTGTCTCAGCCCAAAATCTCCTTAAGCTGATAAACAACTTCAGCAAAGTCTCGGGATACAAAATCAGTGTGCAAAAATCACAAGCATTCTTACACACCAATAACAGAGAACCAAATCATGAGTGAACTCCCATTCACAATTGCTTCAAAGAGAATAAAATACCTAGGAATCCAACTTACAAGGGATGTGAAGGACCTCTTCAAGGAGAACTACAAATGACTGCTCAATGAAATAAAAGAGGATACAAACAAATGGAAGAACATTCCATGCTCATGGATAAGAAGAATCAATATGGTGAAAATGGCCATACTGCCCAAGGTAATTTATAGATTCAATGCCATCCCCATCAAGCTACCAATGACTTTCTTCCGAAAATTGGAAAAAAAACTACTTTAAAGTTCATATGGAAACAAAAAAGAGCCCGCATTGCCAAGTCAATCCTAAGCCAAAAGAACAATCCTGGAGATATCACGCTACCTGACTTCAAACTATGCTACAACGCTACAGTAACCAAAACAGCATGGTCCTGGTACCAAAACAGAAATACAGAACAATGGAACAGAACAGAGGCCTCAGAAATAATACCACACATTTACAAACACCTGATCTTTGACAAACCTGACAAAAACAAGCAATGGGGAAAGACTTCCCTATTTAATAAATGGTGCTGGGAAAATTGGCTAGCCATATGTAGAAAGCTGAAACTGGATCCCTTCCTTACAGCTTATACAAAAATTAATTCAAGATGGATTAAAGACTTAAAAGTTAGACCTAAAACCATAAAAACCCTAGAAGAAAACCTAGGCAATACCATTCAGGACATAGGCATGGGCAAGGACTTCATGTCTAAAACACCAAAAGCAATGGCAACAAAAGCCAAAATCAACAAATGGGATCTAATTAAACTAAAGAGCTTCTGCACAGCAAAAGAAAGTACCATCAGAGTGAACAGGCAACCTACAGAATGGGAGAAAATTTTTGCAATCTGCTCATCCGATAAAGGGCTAATATCCAGAATCTACAAAGAACTCAAACAAATTTACAAGAAAAAAACAAGCAACCCCATCAACAAGTGGGGGAAGGATATGAATAGACATTTCTCAAAAGAAAACATTTATGCAGCCAACAGACACATGAAAAAATGCTCATCATCACTGGCCATCAGTGAAATGCAAATCAAAACCACAATGACATACCATCTAACACCAGTTAGAATGGCGATCATTAAAAAGTCAGGAAACAACAGGTGCTGGAGAGGATGTGGAGAAACAGGAACACTTTTACACTGTTGGTGGGACTGTAAACTAGTTCAACCATTGTGGAAGGCAGTATGGCGATTCCTCAAGGATCTAGAACTAGAAATACCATTTGTCCCAGCCATCCCATTACTGGGTATATACCCAAAGGATTATAAATCATGCTGCTATGAAGACACATGCACACATATGTGTATTGCAGCACTATTCACAATAGCAAAGACTTGGAACCAACCCAAATGTCCATCAATGATAGACTGGATTAAGAAAATGTGGCACATATACACCATGGAATACTATGCAGCCATAAAAAAGGATGAGTTCATGTCCTTTATAGGGACATAGATGAAGCTGGAAACCGTCATTCTCAGCAAACTATCAGAAGGACAAAAAACCAAACACTGCATGTTCTCACTCATAGGTGGGAATTGAACAATGAGAACACTTGGACACAGGAAGGGGAACATCACACACCAGGGCCTGTTGTGGGGTGGGGGAAGTGGGAGGGATAGCATTAGGAGATATAGCTAATGTAAATGACGAGTTAATGGGTGCAGCACACCAACATGGCACATGTGTACATATGTAACAAACCGGCATGTTGTGCACATGTACCCTAGAACTTAAAGTATAATTAAAAAAAAAAAAAAGAAAAGAAAGTTGATTGGGCTTCTTATCCGAAGTTACAATGCTTCAACTTAATTCTGTTATCAGCATGGAAGGTGTTAAAATAGTTGTAGTTAACCTGCTCAACTCTGGTTGCAATTTAGAGAAAGTATTTAAAGAATGAGAAATTGAGAAAGGGAGAGTATAACGTAATCTAGCTAAGTGTCTGAACTAAAACAATGGCAGTAGAGATGGGGAAAAGGAGCTGGATTCAGGAAATAGAGGGTAAATCTGACAGTTTATCATAATTGATGGGATATGAGTGAGTGAGACAAAGGAGTGTAGAAAATTTCCATAGTCCAGTGTTGAAGGATGAAGTTGATTGTGGTGCCTTACAGAAATCTACAACAAATATAAAGTTGTTTTATCTAGCTTAATAACAAAATCAAGTGAATACAACAAACAAAAGCACAAATCCTCTCATGACCTTACTTCTTCTTCCAGTTGTCACTTCATTTCTTTCCTACCTGTGATCATACAACTTTTTGAAGGTGTCATCTCGAGTTGCTGATTCTATTTCCCCATCACCTTGTCCTCTCCCCTTCTGTAATAGGGTCCTTGCCCTCACCATTTCACTGCGATTGTTCCTGTGTAGGTCACAATTGACTTTCAAGTTGTCAAAATAGAATGTTCTCATCATTAGTCTTTTCTTATTTGGCCCAAAGCAGTATTATTTATTTCCTCCTTCTTAAAATACATTTTTCTCTTGAATTCTATAATATAGTACTCTGGTTATTTCTCTTCTAGGTCTCATTTGCTAGCCTCATATCCTCTTTTGATGATTAAATCTTGAAATGAATCAGTGCTCCATGCTCCCCTCCCTTTGTATCAATACAATCTCCCTTGTAGACGTTATCTTGTCCCACAGCTTTAAGTACAAGTTATATGTAGTAACGTCTAAGTTTATATCATCTGCGTTATGCCTTCCTTTGAATTCCAAACTGATCTTTATCAAATTCCTAGCTGACACCTCTATAAGTATGTCAATAATAACCTCAAACATTGCCAAAACAGAACTCTTCATACCTGTTTCACTACTGTAACTACCACTCACCCATTCCTCATCATAATGATTTACATCACCAGTGCACAATGATCTAGCCAATCATTCATTATTTCTTTTCCATCATTCTTTATTCTCAATTTACTGGCAACTTCTGCCACCACCTCCAAATGTACCCCAAAATATCCTCTGCTTTCATCTTTACTCCTACTATTCTCAATTGCCCAGGAGGCCATTGCTATATCCCAAACAGTTCAGTGCAACAATCATCTAAGTAGTCTTTTTGTTGCCACTCGTTGCTAATTTCAATATACTTTCCCAAAGCAGCCTGACCTTATAAAGATATACATTTTTGGAGGGCTTCAAAATAGATAACTAAAGGCATCTTGTAACTCACCTCCATCACAAAAAAGCAGCAAAATAGTGGGTAATCACAATTTCATCAGATCATTTAAGGAAAAACACCGCATTCAATGGAGGAGTGAAAGGAAACATTTAAAGCAAGAAGGGAGAGGGAAGCAAGGTAGTCTGCTCAGCTGGGATTCTCTAAGAGCCTGGAGTGGCTCCTGAATTGGGGGAAATTGTAAGTGATTGACCCCCAGTAGTCCACATTCTAACTATAAACTCCTATATCCAGGCCACAGGAAAACACCTAGACATTAGTGGGCCTGAGGCTTAAATAGAGAGCTTCCTGAAAACTACATGAAGGTATTGCTCCAGGGAGAGAACTCACACTGGGCCCCATACCTACTCTGAACCCTAAGAAGCTGCAGCATGACAACATTTTGAGAGACTAGACTATATTCTGCCTTGGGGACCAAAAGCCCTTGCATCACTACATCTCTAGAGCACATTTACATTTCTCACCTGTAGCCGCCACCATGACATGCTGATGCCAGCTAGCCTGAAGTAAGAGCCATTGGCAAAGTCCTTACTGCTCCAGCATCAGAGCCACTGTGAATTTTCATGTGCCCTGAGGACACACTTTCCCGCACAAAGCAGCTGCAGCTACCACCACAGAGAAGCACAAGGGAAGTATGTGCTTCCCAACTGCCTACACGCAGCTGCTGCCACTGAAAGCAAGACCACCCTCCCGAGGAGCAAGAGACGAAGAAGGTCATTATATAGTGACAAAGGGATCAAGGATATAACAATTCTAAACACATATGCATCCCACACCGGAGCATCCAGATATATAAAGCAAATATTAGTAGAGCTAAAGGAAAAGATAGACTAGAATACATAGTAGTTGGAAACTTCAACACTCCACTCTCAAATTAGATGTATCGTCCAGATGGAAAATTGACAAACAAACGAAAACACTGGATTTAAACTGAACTTTAGAGCAAATGGAACAGAAATGTACAGAATATTTTACATAACAGCTACAAAATACACATTCTTCTCAGCACACAGAATATTCTCTAGGAGAGATCATATGTTAGGACACAAAACAAGACTCAGCAAATTAAAACAAAATCAAAATCATATTAGGCATCTTCTTGGATCACAATGTAATAAAACTAGAAATAAATAATAAGGTAAAACTTTGGAAACTTTACAAATATGTGAAAATTAACATACTCCAGAATAACCAATGAATCAAGAAAGAAAATAAAGAGACAAGAAACAAATTGCTGAAACAAATTAGGATTGAAACACAACATTCCAAAACCTGTGGGGTGCAGCAAAAGCAGTGCTAAGGGGAAAGTTTATAGAAATAAATGCTAAATCAGAAAAGTAGAAAGATTCAAATAAACACTCTAGTGATGCACCTCAAGAAACTAGAAAAGCAAGAAATAACAAGCCCAAATTTAGTAAATGTAAAGAAGTAATAAAGAACAGAGCAAAACTAAATAGAGACTAAAAAAACACAATACAAAGAATCAACAAGACAAAAGAATCAATAAAATATTAGCTAGATTAACCAAGAAAAAAGAAAACAAAACACAACTAAACAAAATTACAAATGTAAAAGGAGACATTGTAGCTGATACTTCAGAAGAGTCTGTTATGGAAAACTGTATGCTAATCAATTGTAAACCCTAAAGGAAATGGATTAATTTCTGCATTAATTAATGGATTAATTTCAACCTATCAAGATTGAATCAGAAAGGAATAAAAAATCTGTACAGATCAATAATGTGTAATTAAGTTGAAGCTGTAATGAAAAAAAATCTCCCCACCAGGAAAAGTCCAGGACTGAATGGCTTTACTGCCAAATTCTACCAAACATTCAAAGAAGACTAACACCAATTCTCCTGAAACATACAATCAGATAGAAGGAATAGGTTGCAATGTTTGATAGAAGAGTAGGGTGATTATAGTTAACAACAATGTATTGTATAATTCAAAATAGCTAGAAAAGAGGACTTGAAATGTTCCCCACACATAGAAATACTTGAGGTGATTATTACTCCAAATACTCTGACTTGATCATTATACATTATATTCCTTTAATGAAATATTATATGTGCCACATTAATTTGTACAAATATTATCAATACAAAGATATGAATTATATCATATTACTTTCCTGTTTCTCATTAAAGCTTTCTCATATTGACTTTAAAGCTCTACTGATTTGGCACGTTCCCTAACTATATTTTTTTTCATCACTCACTAGACTTTCAACCCAATAGACATCTCTGTCCTCTTCAAACACGGTAAATTCATTCACAACATCAGATGGGCAATTTTCCCCTTGAACTATTCTTACTAGCAACAGTCTGTGGCTGCCTTCTTCTGTCATTCAGAGATCAATATAAATACAGTCTCAATGAAACATCCTCTGACTCGCAATCACTATCACATCAGCTTAATTAAATTATCTAAATAGCACATGTCAAAATTTTTGGTTTGTCATTGTTTATTTTATTATAGGCTGTTTCCCTGTATCTGATTTAACTTATTCCACACAGACACAAACAGGGATGCAAACTATATGGGTGTAGAAACTTTGTGTTGCTCACAGGTCTATTCCAAAGTCCTACAGTAGGCAGTTTGATAAATTAGACTAAAATACAAACTAATGGAATCTGCTGAGTGTAATAAAGAGCCTGAAAGACAATGGGAACCATGTGAAATAGGCTAAAATGGTACTATTGGTTAGGTGAAATATTGTGAAAGAGTGTATGCCACGGAATCCACAAAAATGAAGAATTTTCAAGAAGAAAAAAATCAGAACTTTATCAAAAGCAGCAGAGATTTAGTAACATGGGAACTGCAAGAAGTGTCCAATGGATTAAACAATGGGTTAAATTGTTGGTTTAGGCTCTCATGACTTTGGCCACAGTTGTTTCAGAGGAATGGACAGAGCTGAAGGTAGAGTACAGTGGCTGGAAAAGTGAATGGAAGAAAGACATGAAAAATTAAGGATAGTGCTTTTTCAAGAAGGTTCGCTGAGAAAAGAAGGAATGTCCACCAAGGGTGTACTTTGGATCAAGAAATTACCTGATATGCTGAGAGAGATGTGAGGGAGAAGAAATAATAAAAAAATTTGAAAACATAAGAGAAATGGAGCAAAGACCCAAAGGAGGCATAAGGAAATGTGATTACAACCACACATGGAAGCTGTCCTGAAAAGACATGACAGGAATAAAAGGCAGCTACTTCTAGTTTGAGGTAGCTCATGTTGATACTTTCAATTTTCTTGATAAAGTGGGTGGCAAGTCAGCCTTCTGAAAAAGAGAGATTTAAATATTGGATAGACTGCTGGCAGAGGACGATGAAAGTTTGGAATGGCTTAGAAAGTGAGTGGGAGATAGTTCTGAACAACAGCAGTGTGATGGTTAATACTGAGTGTCAACTTGATTGGATTGAAGGATACAAATTATTGATCCTGGGTGTGTATATGAGGGTGTTGCCAAATGAGATTAACACTTGAGTCAGTGGGCTGGGAAAGGCAGACCCACACTAAATCTGGGTGGGCACAAAATAATCAGCTGCTGGCACAGCTAGAATATAAGCAAGCAGCAGATGGTCTATAATTCTGTCCCTTTAGAGAACCTTGAATAATACAGATTTTGGTACCAGAAGTTGTTCTAGAGGAACAGAATTCTAAGGATGGAGTTCTTTCATTGGTTTTGTTGTTTCTGGAGTTGGCTGTTTAATATACTTAGACCTAAAAATGCTAAGGGCTCTACTTCTAATAGTATGGAGAACACTGATAGTCCTTGGTGTAAACTGTTTAGAGAGTTACGCAAAATAAATGCATTTGACACTCGTGATTCATCACTCGTGAGAGGCAAGGAATTTAGTGACTCCATACCTAATACCTTTGACCATATGTGGAGAACATATGCAACATAATGAAGCTGGTTGGTTGCTCCTAAGTTCAATGAATGAAGTAATGAAAGAAAATGATGAACACAGGAATTCTATCACCTGGCTGCTGAAGCAGATACTAAGCTTCAAATCTGGTAAGATTGCCCTGAGTGAGAGTCTTATTCCTGTAGAGAAAAAGTGAAATTGTGGAAAAACAGGCACAAGCTCTTATCATGCGAGTAGCTGACCTGTAACGAAAGGTCATGAACAGCCTCACCAGATGTCTACTGTTAAAGTGAGGGTATTGATTGGAAAAGAATGGGACCCTGCAACTTGGAATGGGGATGTGTGGGAGGACACCGATGAAGCTGGAAACACTGAGTTTGTAAACTCTGATGAACCTTTTTTGCTAGAAGAAACAGCTTCCCCATGCCCAGTAGTGGCAAGATCCCCACCCTGACCCATGCTACTATCAGCCTGTCCACCTTTGTCTAAGGAGATAAATCCTGTTTTGCCTGAGGCAACAATGATGGCCTCCGCTGAGGCACTTGTCAGGCAAGATAATGTTGATTCTCATCAGGAGCTACCTCCAACACCCCTGTTTGCTTTTATACCTATAACTAGACTAAAGTCCTGGCAGGCCCCTAGAAGAGGGGTTGAGAGTGGGACCCATAAGTAAGGAGGTGTTCTACACTCAAAAAGAACTGCTTGAGTTTTCTAAATCATATAAACAGAAATCTGGAGAACAAGCATGGGAATGGATATTAAGGGTTTGGGATAATGGCAGAATGAACATAGAGTTGGATCAGGCTGAATTTATTGATTTGGGCCCACTAAGTAGGGACTCTGCATTTAATCTTGCAGCTTGGGGAGTTAAAAAAGATTCTAATAGTTTATTTGCTTGGTTAGCTGAAATATTGATTAAATGATGGTCCACTGTGAGTGAGCTGGAAATGCCATATCTTTCTTGGTTTAATGTAGAAAAAGGGATCAAAAGGCTTAGGGAGATTGGGATGGTGGAGTGGATTAATCACTTTAGACCTACTCATCCCAGCTGGGAGGGTCCAGAAGATATACCCTTGACTAATGCCTTGTGAAATAGATTTGTGAGGGCAGCCTCTGCATCTTTAAAGAGCCCTGTAATTGCTCTTCTCTGTATTCCAGATGTAACACTGGGAACTGCAGTCACTCAACTACAAAATTTAAATACAATGGGAATAATTGGATCTCAAGATGGCAGGGGTCAAGTGGCGGCACTTAACTGGCAAAGGCAAGATGGGCATAGCTACTGTAATGGACAGCAGAGGCAAAATGGCAATCAGAATAGTCTGACTTGTGTAGAGCTCTGGCATTAGCTAATTAATCACAGTGTTCCTAGAAGTGAAAATTATAGGAAGCCTACTGCATTCCTACTTAATTTATACAAGCAGAAAACCTAGGTCAAATGAACAGAAGGCTAATTTGAATTATAAAAACAGAGTATCATAGCCCCTCAATCAATTTCCAGACATGAGCCAGTTTAGAGACCCAGAGCCCCTTGAATGAATGGGAGTTCAGGTCCCCTTGAGGAAGGACCCTGCTACATTTCTGACAATTTATGCAGTGAATTTTTCTCCCATCCTTCCAAAAGGAGACCTCCAGCCTTTTACCAGGGTAGCTGTGCATTGGGAAAAGGAAAATGATCAGACATTTCGGGCACTACTGGGCAGTGACTCTGAGCTGACATTGATTCTATGGGACCCAAAACCATCATTGTGGTCCTCCAGTTAAAGTAGGTGCTTATGGAGGTCAGGTTGGAGTTATAGCTCAGGTGCGACTTACAGTGGGTCCAGTGGGTTCCTGGACTCATCCTGTGGTCATTTCCCCAGTGCCAGAATGCATAATTGGCATAGACATAATTAGCACCTGTCAAACCCCCAAGCTGTCTCCCTGACTGGTAGGGTGAGGGCTACTATGGTGGAAAAGGCCAAATGGAAGCCATTAGAGCTACCTCTACTTAGAAAAATAGTAAATCAAAAACAGTACTGCATTGCTGGAGGGATTGCAGAGATTAGTTCCACCCTCAAGGACTTGAAAGATGCAGGGGTGGTGATTCACACCAGATGTCCGTTCAACTCTCCCATTTGGTCCATGCAGAAGACAGATGAATCTTGGAGAATGACAATGGATTATCATAAGCTTAACCAAGTGGTGACTGCAATTGCAGCCACCATAGAAGTTATGGTTTCATTGCTTGAGCAAATTAACACATCTCCTGGTACCTGGTATGCAGCCACTGACTTGGCAAATGCCTTTTTCTCCATTCCTGTCCATAAGGCCCCCCAGAAGCAATTTGCTTTCAGCTGGCAAGGCTGGCAATATACCTTTATTGTCCTACCCCAGGAGTTTATCAACTATCTGGATTTGTATTATAATCTTATTTGGAGAGATGCTGATCACTTTTCACTTCCATAAGATAGCACACTGGCTCATCACATTGATGACATTATGCTAATTGGATCCAGTGAGCAAGAAGTCGCAAACACACTGGACTTATTGGGTGAGACATTTGTGTACTAGAAGATGGAAAATAAATCCGAATAAAATTCAAGGACCTTCTACCTTAGTAAAATTTCTAGGCATCCAGTGGTGTGGGGCCTGTCAAGATATTCTTTCCCAGGTGAAGTTATGATAAGTTGCTGCATTTGGCCCTTCCTACAGCCAAGAAAGAGGCATAATGCCTAGTGGGCCTATTTGGATTTTGGAGGCAACACATTCCTCATTTGGGCATTACTCCAGCCCATTTACTGAGTCACCCAAAAGGCTGCCAGTTCTGAGTGGGGTCCAGAATAGGAGAAAGCTCTGCAACAGGTCCAGACTGCTGTGCAACCCACTCTGCCACTTGGGCCATATGACCTAGCAGATTCTATGGTGCTTGAGGTGTCAGTGGCAGATAGGGATACTCTTTGGTGCCTTTGGCAGGCCCTGTAGGTGAATCACAGCAGACGGCTCTAGGATTTTGGAGCAAGGCCCTGCCATCTTCTGCAGATAACTGCTTTCCTTTTAAGAGACAACTCTTGGCCTGTTACTGGGCTTTGATAGAAACTAAACGTTTGACTATGGGTCATCAAGTCACCATGTGACCTGGACTGCCTATCATGATCTGGGTGCTTTCTGACCCATCTAGCCACAAAGTTGGTCATGCACAGCAGCATTCCATTATCAAATGGAAGTGGTATATACATAATCAGGTTCTAGCAGGTCCTCAAGGCACAAGTAAGTTATATGAGGAAGTGGCTCAAATTCCCATGGTCTCTACTCCTGCCACCCTCCTCTCTCCTCCAGCCTACACCAGTGGCCTCATGGGGAGTTTCCTGTGATCAGTTGACAGAAAAAGAGAAGACTAGGGTCTGGTTCACAGATGGTTCTACAAGATCCATCACCTGCAAGTGGACAGCTGCAGCACTACAGCCCCTTTCTAGGACATCCCTGAAGGAAAGTGGTGAAGGGAAATCTTCCCAGTGGGCAGAACATCGAGCAGTGTACCTGGTTGTGCACTTTGCATGGAAGGAGAAATGGCCAGATGGGTGATTATATACTGATTTATGGGCTGTAGCCAATGGTTTGTTTGGATGGTTAGGGACATGGAAGAAGCATGATTGGAAAACTGGTGACAAAGAAATGTAGGGAAGAGGTATGTGGATGGACCTCCTGAGTGGTCAAAAACCATAAAGATATTTGTATCTCATGTGAGTGTTCACCAATGGGTGACCTCAGCAGAGGAGGATTTTAACAATCAAGTGGATAGAATGACCTGTTCTGTGGACACCACTCAGCCTCTTTCCCCAGCCACCCCTGTCATCGCTCAATGGGCCCATGAACACAGTGTCCATGGTGGCAGGGATGGAGGTTACGCATGGGCTCAGCAACGTGGACTTCCACTCACCAAGGCTGACCTGGCTACGGCTGCTGCTGAGTGCCCAATTTGCCAGCAGCAGAGACCAACCCTGAGCCCTCGATATGGCACCATTCTTTGGGGTGATCAGCCAGCTACCTTGTGGCAGTTTGATTATATTGGAGCTGTTCCATCATGGAAAGGGCAGAGGTTTGTTCTCACTGGAATAGACACTTAACTCAGGATATGGGTTTGCCTATCCTGCATGCAATTCTTCTGCCAAGACTACCATCCATGGACTCACGGAATGCCTTATCCACAATCATGCTATTCCACATAGCACTGCCTCTGTCTAAGGCATTCACTTTATGGCTAAAGAAGTGTGGAAGTGGGCTGATGCTCATGGAATTCACTCGTCTTACCATGTTCCCCAGCATCATGAAGCAGCTGGATTGATAGAATGTTGGAATGGTCTTTTGAAGTCACAACTACAACTCTAGCTATGTGACAATACTTTGCAGGGCTAGGGCGAAGTTCTCCAGAAGGCCGTGTATGTTCTGAATCAGAATCCAATGTATGGCACTGTTTCTTCCATTACCAGGATTCACAGGTCCAGGAATCAAGGGGTAGAAATGGAAGTGGCACCATTATCCCTAGTGATTCACTAGCAAAATTTTTGCTTCCTGTTCCCATGACATTACGTTCTGCTGGCCTAGAGATCTTAGTTCAAGAGGGAGGAATGCTGCCCCAGGAGACACAACAATGATTCCATTAAACTGGAAGTGAAGATTGTTTGCCACCTGGACACTTTGGGCTCCTCCTACCTTTAAGGCAACAGGCTAAGGAAGTTACAGTGTTGGCTGGGGTGACTGACCCAGACTATCAAGATGAAATCAGTCTCCTACTCCACAGTAAGGAAGAGTATGCAGGGAATACGGGAGACCCATTAGGGCATCTCTTAGTATTATCATGCCCTGTGATTAAGGTCAGTGGGAAACTACTACAGCTCAGTCCAGACAGGACTACAGATGGCCCAGATCCTTCAGGAATGATGTTTTTGGTCACTCCACCAGGAAAAACAAAAACAAAAAACCACAAACTGCTGAGGTGTTTGCTGAAGGCAAAGGAAATACAGAAGGAGTAGTAGAAGAAGGTAGTTATCAATACCAACTATGACCACATGACCAACTGTAGAAACAAGGACTGTAATTTTCATGAGTATTTCCTCCTTCTTTTGTTAAAAAAATGTTTATACACTTGTACTAAGAAAATATCTTCATTTTATTGCCTTTCTCCTTTATCATGTGACATAAGATTTATTGACTTCACATCAGTATTTAAGTATTGCTAACTTCATGTTATAGTATTTGGGTTGGTGATTGATGCATTTCTGGTTGTGTGAAGGATAGCTATTCTATGTTAGGTATAATTATGACCTTATTATTGTCTTTATTTGAAGATTATGTATGATCTCAGGAGATGTTAGATGTTAGTGGGTTCAAATTAACAAGGGGTGGACTTGTGATGGTTAATACTGAGTGCCAACTCGATTGGACTGAAGGATACAAAGTATTAATCCTGGGTGTGGCTGTGAGGGTGTTGTCAAAGGAGATTATCATTTGAATCAGTGGGCTGGGAAAGGCAGATGTACCCTTAATCTTGGTGGGCACAATCTAATCAGCTGCCAGCACGGCTAGAATATAAGGAGGCCAAAAATATGAAAAGAGAGGTCGGCCTAGCCTCCCAGCCTACATCTTTCCCTTGTGCTGGATGCTTCCTGCCCTCGAACATGACTCCAGATTCTTCAGTTTTGGAACTCAGACTGGGTTTTCTTGATCTTCAGCCTGCAGACAGCCTATTGTGCGACCTTGTGATCATGTGAGTTAATGCCTAATGAACTCCCCTTTACATATATATACACACATATATGTGTGTGTGTGAGTGTGTGTATATATATATATATATGATCACAGGTACTTTGTGTACTTGTCTTTTATTGTAAGTATAACTTTTTAGTGATTGCATGCATTACGTTTCTGGCTAAATTGTGAGATCCTCAAGAGAATGGCCACCTTGTATTTAACCTTGTTTTCTCAGTTTCTAGAACATGGCCTAGAATGCCCATGAATAATGCCATAATTTATATTAAATAGAGAATAAGACTGATGTAATTGAAGTATGAATTTTCTCTGGGGTTGAGAGACAGGGGTTATGTAGAGACCTACATTTAGTGCTGAGATAGTTTATAAAGAAGTCAACTGGGAAAGTGAAAGTTAGCTGAGGATAGTAAGCTGCCAAGATTGACTAGCAAGCTTGGAATTAGTAGGAGGATCTGGCCTTGGGAGCGTAACTAGGTGTGTGGAGGAGCGAAGGTCGGCAGCAGTGAGTTAGCTGAGGTGTGACAGTCCAACAATTATGGGACTCAGTGAAAAGAGGGTCTGTGCAAGGTCAGAAAGAAAATGGCATTCTGAACAAGGAGAAAAGGGATTCTTATCTTCCTTCTCTACATCCTATCTTTACCGTTCACATAAAGGCTGTCAAAAGACACAATTACAACAAATTTACTTTAAAGATCTTAATTGGCTTTTATTTGTGATTCTAATATCAGGCAATATCTTATTCTATAAAACAGAATGACTGTTTCCATGAGGCGAGCAGAGAAGGGTGTTTTATAGACAGAAAAGGGCTGAGGAAAGCAGAAATAAAGAGCAAAAAGCAGATTGGTCATTTCAAAGTTACTTTTCTTGTAAAGATTAAAGCAGAGGGGACTTCCTTATCATGCCAGCTAAAACTGTCCTGTTTGGAATTTGACTATTATTTCTCTCTCTTCTGTTCTTGGAAGGTCAGATAAAGATGTTAGTTTTGGCTTGGTGGTATGGAATTTCAGGATGAGTAACTCTATTTTGGTTTGGTCTGTTAGACCTAGTGCAGAAGTTCAGTTTAAACCAATGGCCTCCTATAAAGTTTATTATACGAAGTCATACTCATTATGAATGTTTAAATTTTCTTCCAACTGTGATTTCATTTGCAGCAGGCACTTAATTATAATAGTTGACATTCTTAGGATGAGTTTGTGGGCAGGGCTGCTGAGCTGAAGAAGAAAGAGAACTAGGTGAATGACAAATTTGCTAGCCAGGTGGTGCCTCACTGGTGGCTTCCAGGATTTGTGTTGCAATTTGTTGGGAATTTAAATATGTCCATTGACATTTTTATTAAATGTTTGAACTTGATCTCTGCCTAATATATGGCTCTTAGTCTATTAAAAATAACAAAATAGCATCAATTAATATATTATTCCCATGGCAATTAATGTTTGCTTTTAATGATAAATCATATTCACAGTATCAGCTGTTAGTTAAGACAAATAAATCAAGTCATGTTGATGACTTTCTGTTACATATAATTTCTTGTGGATATTGTCTCTTATCTCATCTATTTATTGTAAATATAGTCTTTTATCTCATATATTTATCTTTTATCTAATCGTTTTATCTCATCTCATCTATATCTATTGTGAATATAGTATTTTATCTCATCTATTAACTCCATTTGTAAATAAGCATTGAGAGTTTCAGTTAGAAAAAGCATATCTATTTTCATCAACAATCTATAGGTATATTTATGTTTTTATATTGACAATAGATTAAATGCAAAATTTGCAAATTCTTATTTATATTCTGAAGATATGGAACCTGTTTATGGACTCTACTAGTCTCCTCCAATGCATACATTTACTCTGCCTCTTCTATGCTAAGAGTTACATAACTACATCAACAGCAATACTAATACTAACATTGGTAGTAATAGCTAATACTTACAGAGAAATTATTATGTACCAGGTACTTTTCCATTCCCTGTGTATACTGAATTCACTTAGTCTTCAAATCATTTTTATGTTATAGGTCCAATTATTATCCTTATTTTGAAATAAAGAAACTGAGGCACAGAGAGGTTAAGTATTTCATATAAGATCACATAATTAGTAAGCAAAAGAGTGGGACTTCAATCCAAGCAGGGTGGCTCCAGGTTCCAAGATACTGTCCTGCTCCCCAAATCTGATCTAATCCAAATTATGATGGCGCATACTCTCCTGTCTAGGGAAGTGGTGCCAGCATAGTATTTTCTGACTGGTTCTGGAAGCTTCTCTGGGCATTGGCTATTGTGATAAGGATAAACTTTCTCCAATGGTGATAGACTAATTACCCAACTCTGGTCTTGGGGAAATAACTTCATGCTCTACTTGTCTTCCTCTCCCTAAGCATGGGGGAGGCTCTTATTCTCCACAGCATATAGGAATCCACACTATGACTTTAACATTTTAATAAAAGCTCCGAGATAATTTTTAAAAGGTACCCACACAAATTTACTTTTAACCACTACAGGGGGCCAGACCTATCTTTAGGTTCCCTAGCATGTTCTGCTTCTTGTCTTATTCCTGTCCTATGTCCGCATGACCTTGAGGAACTCAGCTAATCAGCAGAGATACTCAGCTGTGTCACAGATCCCCGAAGATGGTTCACTTATTTGGTCTTAGCACCTCAGCTTGTTGAAGGTTTTTGTCTTTCTCTGTGTTTTTTTTTTTTTCCCTTTCAAAATTTTTTTTTAGGTTCAGGGAGTACATGTATTGGTATATTGCATGTTGCAGGAGCTTGGTGTAGAGATTATTTTGTCACCCAGGTAATAAGCATAGTACTCAATAGAGAGTTTTTCAATCCTCATCCTATTCTCATGCCCCACCCTTCAGTAGGCCCTAGTGTCTATTGTTCCCATCTTTCTGTTCAAGTATACTAAATGTTTAGTTCTCACTTATAAGTGATAAGATGTGGTATATAGTTTTCTGTTCATGTGTTAATTAGCAGAGGATAATGGCCTCCATCTCCATACATATTGCTGCAAAGGACATGATCTTGTTGTTTTTTGTGGCTATGTAGTATTCTGTGGCATATATGTACCACATTTTCTTTATCTAGTCTACCATTGATGGACATTTAGGTTGATTGAATGTCTTTGCTATTGTGAATGGTGCTAAGATGAACGTACACATGCATGTGTCTTCATGGTAGAACAATTTATATTCCTTTGGGTATATACCCAGGAATGGGATTGCTGGGTCAAATCGTTGTCCTGTTTTAACTTCTTAAAACAGTGGTTCAACTCATTTACATTCCTAACAGTAGTGTATAAATATTCCCTTCACAACCTCACCAGCATGTTATTTTTTTGACTTTTTTAATAATAGCTATTCTGACAAGTGTGAGATGGTATCTCTCCATGGTTTTGACTTGCATTTCTTTAATGATTAGTGATGTTGGGCATATTCATCAATGCCTATGTGTCTGGAATAGTATATCCTAAGTTTTCCTCAAGGGTTTTTACAGTTTTAGCTTTTACATTCAAGTCTTTAATCCAACTCAAGTTGATTTTTGTATATGGTATAAGAAAGGGATCCAGTTTCAATCTTCTGCATAGGGCTAGCTGGTGATTCCAGCACCATTTATTGAGTAGAGAGTCCTTTCTCCATTGCTTGTTTTGTTGACTTTGTTGAAAATTAGATGGTTGCAGGTGTGTCCCTATAGGACCACAACTGATGAGCTCTTGGAAGCACCACCTCCTGGCTACAGGCCAACAAACAAAAAGCCAGCACACTAAACAAAAACACAATCAAGGACCCTCCCTTTTCTCCCCTGCTACCTCACCTGGAGCAGGTGCTAGTAGTCATGGCTGCAAGATCTGAAGATGGATCACATCACAGGAGTCTCTATAGACATTCCCCAGTACCAGGATGGAACTCAGTAGCTCTACTGGGTGGCTAACCTGGAAGAGCAAAAACAATAACTATGGTTTGGCTCTCAGGAAGCCCCTTTCCTAGGGAAAGTCAGAGAACACCACATCAAGGGATCTTTATGTTTGAAACCCTCAGCAAAATTGGCATAGAAGGAGCATGGCTTAAGGTAAGAAAAAACATCTAGGACAAACCCACAGCCAACATTATACTTAATGGGGAAAAGTTGAAAGCATTCCCCCCAAGAACTGGAACAAGACAAGGATGCCTAGTTTCTCCACGTCTATTGAAAATAGTACTGGAAGTCCTAGCCAGAGCAATTAGACAAGAGAAAGAAATAAAGGGCATCCAAACAGGTAAAGAGGAAGTCAAACTGTCACTATTTGCTGATGAAATATTTGTAAACCTAGAAAATTCTAAAACTCACCCAAAAAACTTCTAGAACAGGTAAATGAATTCAGCAAAGTTTTAGGATACAAAATTAATGTACACAAATCAGTAGCTCTGCTATACCCCAAAAGCATCCAAGCTGGGAATCAAATCAAGAACTCAACCACTTTCACAATAGTTGAAAAAAAAAAAAAAAACTTCAGAATATACCTAACCAAGGTTGTAAAAAACCTCTACAAAGAAAACTACAAAACACTGCTGAAAGAAATTACAGCTGACATGAACAAATGGAAACATATTCCATGCTCATGGATGGGCAGAATCAAATTTATAACAATGACCATACTGACAGAAGCAATCTACAAATTCAATGCATTTCCCATCAAAATACCAACATCATTCTTCACTGAACTAGAAAAAACAATCTTAAAATTCATATGGAACCAAAAAAGAGTCCACATAGCCAAAGCAAGACTAAGCAAAGAGAACAAATCAGAAGGCATCACATTACCTGACTTCAAACTATACTATAAGGCCATAGTCACCAAAACAGCATGGTACTGGTATAAAAAAATAGGCACATAAACCAATGGAACAGAATAGAGAACCCAGAAATAAAGCCAAATACTTACAGCCAACTGATCTTTAACAAAGCAAACAAAAACATAAAGTGGGGAAAGGACACCCTATTCAGCAAATGGTGTTGAGATAATTGGCAAACCACGTGTAGAAAAATAAAAATGAATTCTCATCTCTCATCTTATGCAAAAATCAACTCAAGATGGATCAAAAGACCTAAATCCAAGACCTGAAACCATAAAGATACTAGAAGGTAACATCAGAATAATCTTCAAGACATTGGCTTAGGCAAAGACTTTTTGACCAAAAACCCAAAAGCAAATGCAACAAAAGCAAAGATAAATAGATGGGACTTAATTAAGCTAAAAAACTTCTGTACAGCGAAAGAAATAATCAGCACTGCAAACAGACAACCCACAGTATGGGAGAAAATCTTCACAATCTGTACATGCAACAAAGAACTAATGTCAAGAATCTACAAGGAACTCAAACACATCGGCAAGAATAAAACAAACAAAAAAAAAGCCCATCAAAAAGTGGGCTATGGACATGAATAGACAATTCTCAAAAGAAGATATACAAATGGCCTATAAGCATATGAAAAAATGCTCAATATCACTTATTATCAAGTAAATGCAAATAAAAACCACAATGCAATACCACTGCACTCCTGGAAGGATGGCCATAATCAAAAAATCAAAAAATAATATATGTTGGCATGGATAAGGTGAAAAAGGAACACTTTTATACTGTTGATGGGAATGTAAACTAGTACAACCGCTATGAAAAACAACATGGAAATTCCTTAAAGAACTAAAAGTAGATCTACCATTTGATCCAGTAATCCCACTACTAGGTATCTACCCAGAGGAAAAGAAGTCATTATTCAAGAAAGATACTTGCACACACGTTTATAGCAGCACAATTTGTAATTGCAAAAATATGGAACCAGCCCAAATGCCCATCAATCAATGAGTGAATAAAGAAAATGCGGTATTTATATATACCATGGAATACTCCTCAGCCATAAAAAAAAATAAAATAACAGCATTCACAGCAACTTGATGGAATTGAAGACTATTATTCTAAGTGAAGTAACTCGGGAATGGAAAATCAAACATGGTATGTTCTCACCCATAAGTAGAAGCTAAGCTATGAGGACACAAAGGCATAAGAATGATACATTGGACTTTGGAGACTGAGGGGAAAGGGTAGGGGGTGGCAAGGGATAACAGACTATACATTGGGTACAGTGTACACTGTTCAGGTGATAGGTGTGTCAAAATCTCAGAAATGACTGCTAAAGAACTTATTCATGTAACCAAACACCACCCATTCCCTCAAAATGTATTGAAATAAAAAAATTAAAAAATATATGAATACTGACAACAAAACATGATGTGTATAGTAAGAAATATAACATAAAAGAAACTATAAGGGGTGACACAATATAGCCTGACCTTCACCTAAAAGGTGGTAAAGTCTTATACCTAGAAATTCTGATTTATTAATAAAAGGACTGAGCAGAGCCTGGCCATTGGTCGTTTTGGTAAAGTATCCAGTTGCCACAGCTGGGAACCACTGATCAAGATCAGCCTCTTCCTAGTATATACAAAATATAAGCCCAAACCAAATGTTTTTATATAAATTTTCTGTGCTTTTTCTGGACTTTTGTGTTGGAATATATCAACATTAAAAAAATTACAAAGTTATGTTCCCTTATAAAAATCTGATAAAAGAAGTAGACAGACATGTTTTCTAATGCCTATATGATTATAATCCTTATGTTATATAGCTCTAACTTTTTATTTAATCAATATAAACCCATAGTCAGGGGTGTCATGTTTTTTCTTAATATTCTTTTGAGAGCTTAATATAAAAAGCATTTTCATAGAATCCTATCAGTAAGGAGAAATTAGATAAAAGGAAAATATTTCTAAGGTCTATTTTGTGTTCTAAAGTTATAAATTTATAATTTTTCCACTTTTATATGTGCATACCAAAAGATAACTTTTTATTCAAAGTATTATAAATGATTTTAGTTATTTTGTAGAGATTAATGCATGAAAATATATTTGTTTGAATGATGTTTTAAATATCCCTCATCAGTAATTCAGGTGATATTCTCAAACCAGATGAGGACTTCTCTGATTAATCTAAGTATTCTTTTCATGCCCAAAGTTGGGGTTCCCTGGATATTTTAAAATATATGGACAACCTTTTTATCTTGGCATGTATCTTTGATTTCACCTATGCTGTGTGTGCTAAGTATGGGATCCATTATTTTTTAATAAATATTCATTGGTTACCCTGAATACTGGTGACTAGGGTCATCCATGAAAAATGTAGATAGATTTTTCTGCCTTACTTATTCTTCTAGTTTAATCTAGTGTTTCTCAAACTTTATTGTACATACAAGTCACCTGGATCGTATAAAATACAATCTCAGATGTAGTAGATCTGGTATATGACCTGAGATTATGTATTTCTAACAAGCTCCCAGGTGATACTGATATTGCTGGTCTGTGGAGCACACATTAAGTAATAAGATTTCATTCTTCCTTGGTGACTTTAGGTGTCAGTGATTTCTACTATTGAATTATTACAAACATATATTTTTGTTATGAAATACACTATTTAAATCAAATACTTAAAAAATACTTGCCATTAATTTGATTGTAGTTCTGCTCTGTAACTCAATTATAACCTGTTTGAGGCATGGCCCAAGTTTCATATTTCCTTACCTCTGATAACGTCTAGTGTGCCTGGGACCAGGGAAAGTACTTAATGAATACTTAATAGAGGATATTTGATAATTTGATTTTAACCTTGCAGAAAAGCTGAAGGGAGCATTGCATGATTTCTCAAAGATCCCAGTATAACTATATAAAAAATCAAATAGATTTGGTGATAATAATCTTTGTATTGAAAGGACTTCTGCCTCCCTCTCTACCACACACCCTAATCATCAATCTCCTTTTTATTTTCTGCATGCGTTTCAAATAGATGATATGCTCAGTAAGCAGCAGCAGTTGCTGCATTGCAGAACCCCTCTCACCATCATAAAGTAGCTCTCAAAGAAAGTGCCTATGGATTAAAAAGGTTTGTGGAGAGGAACCAGCGGTGTGCCTAATCTGTAGAAAATGTTTGTAGAAAAATATAGGTTCTGATTATTCCCACAGTGCCTCTTCTGAACAGAAATGGGAATTGTGGGCTTCATTTTATTATTTTAATTAGCCTTATGTAGTGCATTACGGATTCCAAAGTGGTCAGAAAGCCACAGTACTCCCATGTATTTATTTCATAGTTCTGTATGCCATGACAATTGGCTTTCAGATTTCAACAAATTTTATCCCAGGGCTTTGGTTAATTGTGACAATAATGCAAGAATAAATGAGCACGTGCACTATTATTTGTTGCATAAATACACACCAAACTTTACCCAGCATCCTCATTTTTAAGGCTTTTGTTTTTTTTTAGAAATGTCTTCTCTCTTACAAAAATGTTTCTCCATGTTAAGTTGCCTTCTTAGAGCACTGACTATTACATGCAAAAACAGTGAGGTTTTTGTCATGTAACAAATGTCCATTTTCCCTACTGACAAGGAGCCATTCCCAACCGCTGCACTCATGCAGCTGCCTGCTGCTTTGGACCTAACACTGTCATCCAAGGAGTGGTGCTTTTTATTTCTCTAGCATAGGTGACTTAATGTGACAAATGCAACTAGTTCTCAATACTGAATGAATTATAGAGAAAGCACAGAAAGCTAAAACCCAAGAATCAAGGTTTTGTTTAAAGAATAGTGACACTTATTGTAAACTAGAGTTTGTCTGTTTGTTTTTAATTGCAGGTAACACCAAAGGAATCATGTCATACACATTGCCTGCAAGAGAGTGGGTCTTGAGAGTTGAGACAATGATGAACACTTTACTTAGATTGCAAATTATCTAGCTACCTCTGCCTACTGTGAAATCAACTGAAGCCTTTCAGCATTTAATTAAGCAGGACCAAAGAAAGCTCCAATAATAACAGTGTGAAATTGCCAGAGAAAAATTATGAATACAAAGGGAGAAATCACCAGTAATTAACCCCAATCGGAGACTACAGAGGAGACTCCAAAACAAGAGGGTTGCACATATAAATAATACTAAATTTGCTTGTCTTAAATGATTTCGTCGCGTTCAATTGAGCTATAATTTCACAAGAATAGTGGCCCAATTGCTAAGAAAAAAATGCTCCATGTAGCAATTCTCCAAACCTTACTAGGGCAGATGAGTTTCTCATCTTGTGTGAGCTTCCTCTTTGCTTTATGGGTGGAATTTTACAATATTACTTTATCATCCCTAGCTGAGATATTGTGTAGAAAAAAAGGAACCATAGACATGGTGTTTGGGGTTGAGGAAGAGAGGGGATTCTTCCTAAAGTAAATCTACAAAATAAGATTCATTAGCACCCTAGAAAACTACATCTTTCCTCATAATTTGTCAACCTGGAAATTTCATTTTTTAAAAAATCTAGCTTATATATTATCTTCTTTAGTGGTATCTTCTATGACCTGCAGTGCTTGTCTATTCTTAGCCCTTTGAACTATCTCAATTAATTAGCATAGCTCACATTACCTTACGATTGTTTATTCTATATTATGACTCACTTTTTAAGCATCTTTAAGGCATAATCTAAATTTTATGTTATTCATCTTTGTATTCCAGCACCTAGTACAGTGCCTGACCACATATTAGCATCTCAACAAATGTTTTTTAAGTGCTTAGCATTGTATCTATATGATATTATATATACTAGATATGTAACATAATAGATATAAGGATATGCTGATTTTCAAAAGGACTTGATATGAATATCACAAATACAGATTGAGATTTCAAAAGAAGCATCTTAATAATAAAAATATGTCATGAATTACATAAATGCTTTTTCTAAACACCTATAGCACTACACATTGTTATGTAGAGTCTGTGAGTTTAGTTCATCTTGTGCTGTCTGATTAATAATTACTACAGGTAAAAAACAATGAAAGCAATAAGTTTTGTTTTCAGAAATTTGAGATTTAGAAAAATTAAATTTATTATATAAGTATTCTTACAAATCATAGAAAAGATACACACAGTAAGCCTGTATTAGTCCATTCTCACATTGCTATAAAGGACTACTTGAAACAGGGTAATTTATAAAGAAAAGAAGTTTAATTGGTTCACAAGTCTCCAGGCTGTGCAGGAATCTGGCTGGGGAGGCCTCAGGAAACTTACAATCATGGTGGACGGTAAAGAGGAAATGGGCAAGTCTGCATGTGGCCAGAGCAGGAGGAAGAGAGAACAAAGAGGGAGGTTCTACACACTTTCCAACAATCAGATTTTATGAGAACTCTATCATGAGACAGCATTAGAAACCACCCCCATGATCCAATCACCTTCCACCAGGCCCTACCTCCAACATTGGGAATTACAATTCAATCTGAGATTTGGGTGGGGACACAGAGCCAAACCATATCAAAGCCTATTTATTATATTATCAGTTAAATAGCTTTATGTCATATATTACTCATAGAAATTATACATATTTTAGTAGTCCATGATATCCACCCATCAAAATGCTTGAAGAAATTTAATTTTTAAAAAATTTAAAAATTGTTTAAGAATTAAAGAATTCTTAAAAAAGAAATGTTTTAAGATTTTGGAATATTATTCACCTGGAAGATTGAGGAAATGCAGAGTTATATGTACATGTTAGCTAAAGTACAAATTATGTAGATAAACTGGCCTTTATTTATATGCCTCAATTTCAGTGATATACAAGTAGCCCTCTCTATATTTGTCTGACTGTGAAATAATAATTGTAATTAAAAAAAGTTAACATACAGTTTATAATTCTAATGCCACAGTTGGTTTCTCAGTTATTTTAAACCTAATTTTTTTATTGTTTTAATGTTATCTGTTGTTCAATAAATACATTTTAATTTAATTTGAACAGATGACACATTGTTAGGTTTTACAATGATTCAAAGACTATTTATTAAATGGAGGTATTATTTTAAAAATAATTTCCTAAACCATTGTTAAAACTGTTATTTTGAAAATTAAAGGGAATTTGGCCTAATGATTGTTTAACCAAATTCCTTTGCTAACAGCATTCTACCATTGTAAATATCAGCTCTGAATGACATTACATATTTCAGTAAAAATAACCCCCTGGTAATTGATTCTTGACTTTTATTCTTTAGCTTATTATGAATTGGGATTAGTCCCAGTTGTTTAATTTTCCTGCATGTGTGCATTTGCTCAAACTATTCTCTCCACTTGCAAACCCCTTACCTCATATGTCTGTCTATTTAAATCCCAACCAATTTTTAAGTTTCAGGTAAATTTTCATCCATGTAGTGTATGCCATCCTAGTGTCTTATCACTGCAGGCATTCACTGAGTATCTATAGGCTTTTTCTCTTGTAAGATGGATTTGTAGTACAGTTCATAGCGTTTCTTCTTCCAGTATGCCTCCAACAATTGCATTAAACATTCATCTAATAAGACAAATGCAACTAAATGTGCATGGATGGAGATTGGCAAGAAAGAGAGAAAGTGGGATTTTAAATAGAGGGTGATTTTATAGATCCCAGTCATATCCTCTTCCATCCATAATAAATGGTCTTAAAGAGCGTGACTTTCTACACTGGTTCTCTAAATAGTTCTTAATCACCTATGTCTCAGGAACTGAAATCCTGCCATCACATTAAGTTCATCCAACATGACTCCCTACACGCAGTCTTATGCTTGATGTGATGATCAACAATAAAACAACGATCTGTTTCAACACTGAAGAAAACCTAACTGTCAGGGTTTAATGCAAAACTCAATCTTTAATGAGGTATCTTCCTTAAGAGTTTTCTGGACAATTTTTAACTATATACAATTTTTCTCTGACTCACTGATTTTATACTTTAAACTTCACCTTAAATGCGACTCCACTGTGTAATATTATAAATATCTCTTTCATATCTAATTTATCTATTAGACTATAGTATTACTGTAGGTTAGATTACTGCTTTCAATTCTCATTCTCTTTTTCTCATTAACATTATTCATCCCCACTCTTGTTATGTCTTGATGGTGATCAGAGTTTATTTTCTCACTGTTTGATATTTGTCTTGATGATGGGGTGGGACACAAGCAGGCTTTAAATGTGCTATTGAGGTGTGACTTTTCCTCTTGTGTTCTCATGATTCACCATGAGAAGCATAGGGTTTGGGTAACAACTGTTCCTAGGAGAATAAAGAAACACTTGGAGATATCCTGAATCCAACCTGCAGCATGGAACGGAGACATCCAATCACAATTGTTTGTCAAATCCACAGCAAACAAACTGTGGTATGCCATTATTTCCTCATTTGTTTAAGGATGATGATGATGGTGGTGGTGGTGGTGGTGGTGGTGGTATAATATCTATAGCAAAGAGTTCCTTTGTGTGTTACATGAATTACTATGTGTCTTAGAACACTGCCTGACTCAAAGTAAGCGCTTAATAAATGTCAATTATTATCATTACAGTTTTAAATCATGGTTTAATCACTTTACATATAGTATCTCACTGAATATTAAAACACCTTTATGAGAGAAATACTATTATTATTTCTATTTAGCAGATGAGACACTGAGAAACAGAGTTAAATAATTTTCTCAAGGTCATACAGCTCTTAAATGGCAAAGTGAGACTTTGAATGGAGATGTGCTGACTCTGGGGTCCACTTTTAATCACCGCTATCTTCCACATATTATTTTTACTCTGGTTTCAAATTTTTAGAAACAAAAGCTAAAAACTCTATAATGCCACTTTAACCTTCTGACTTATCACACACATACCCTAAGGCAATGTGGAACAGAGCCAGCTAACTGCCAAAGGGAACAAAAGGGAAATAATACAGGACAGAAAAAGAATAATATCTCAGAATTTTATCCAGCCATCCTAGGATTTTTGAGTCTAAATAATGATTTTACTTTCAATTTGTTTCTAAGTGAGAACATGACAACACTTAAAAAGTCTGTTTTCATGAATTTCCTTACGTAAATGTGGTTCTTAGGAGTTAGAACAAAAGATGAAGAAATTAAGAAAGGAAAGAAAGCAAGGGATATACCCTCCTTCCATATTAAACTTATTAAAAATGTTTACTTATTTATATATGTAGATATTTCTCAGTGGAATTTCAAGGAAAGTAAAGAGTTTTTTGTTGTTGTTGTTGTTGGAACACTATATTTTAAATCCTAATGCTTAGTTGTCCAAGAGTGTTAAGGACATTGAATTTCCGTATGGAATAGAAGATTCTGTTTTAGGTAATTCCATCTTTTATCTAATGTCAAGTTAAGTAAACCAATGTTCAGCTGATAGCTGTTTTCTCACGCTATCTTGTTTCCCCAAAGGCATTGGTGGATGGGTATAGAGGAAGAAAAACATACACCATCTGTACTAGAATTATGGGAATTTCCACTAGAGAGAGTTTCTCCTTACAGTTCAAAAAGTTATGCTGAGGAATTTGCTAAGCTCTTCCAGTGGGTTCGATTGATAGCATTATCTTTTCATAAAGAGAGAATACTGAGTTATTCTGGCAGTTTTTTTTGACATGACTGTACACTAAAATGTTTTTGAAAAGCCTCTTTTCCAGAAAATAGGGCTCCCTATATTGTTACAGGACATAATCCAATATTTATGACATATTGCCAAAGGTTGGAAATAAGAGCTAACCTGAAGACAGGCCATGGCTATAGCTCACATATACATAAGTCAACAGTTGGAGAAAGACAGTAAAACCAACCTCACAGGGTTGACAAGAATTGCATTCTGGGTTCTAGACAGAAATATGGTTATAATAAAGCATTAAGCAGGCTGCACTTTGGCCCACTTCCCTGTAGTCGCTTCTTAACCAAAAGTCACGTAGCTCTAAATACTGAGCATTTACAATTCCCTTGCTCCTATTGATAAGATCTGTGATGTTAGAATCACAAGGCTTTTGTTAAGAATTATTAAGATGTTTTTGAAATCCAGAATTCTGGTGGAACAGCTGCTGCCAACCAGTTTGAAGGCCACCTACAGTGGAACCAAATCAGCATAAGAATGTAGTTTCTTCATCTCCTGGTCCCATGACTTCACTCTTTGACCAATCAACAGTCTCTATACCTTTGCCAAGTAGCTGTCCAAACCTCTTAAAATTCCTAACCCCAAACTCCTCAGGGAGACAGATTAGTGGTTTCCTCTTATTTGCTCAGGTGGCTGCCCTACAATATTAAACCTCTTTCTCTGCTGCAACTCGGTGGCTCAGTATATTCACGTACCGTGTATTGGGAAATTAACGTGGTATGGTTACATCAATGATGCAAGAAGTCCCTAGTCTACCATGGTTAAAGTCTACAGCTACTTATTTAGTGGTAGAAAGGAGATTTGTCCAACATTCATAAACATAACTTATTATCTCTTCCATATATATTTGGATTTTAGGAGCTTTGGGAGTAACCTGGAAAGTGGACTCCCCTGGTGATCAATGTTCTCACCATTATGACAATGAAAATGAATCTTTGCACGTCAAGTTTAGAGACCTAGAAGGAACTATCTTTTTAAAGTCTTGAGATATCTGCTAATTGAAAATAATTCAAACAACAAAGGTATAGTGTAGTCCTCATTATTCCCTCCCTTGTTAGTAGTAGAAATTGGGTGGTATTAGGTTAGATCCCAAGAGAAAAAGAAGCCAAGGCTCTGCATCTCCTTTAGTTTCCAAAATAGAATTTCCATTTGTTTGGAATTCAAATGTAGTGTTGCCTTCCAAATTCTGGTAAATATATTTAAAAACAGAAGTTAGTTCGGGGAATGATACTGCTCAGTTCAGCGTGCTAAAACATATGCTTTTACGGCCCGAGATAAACCAATTCAATCCCACTGTAGCATATATTTCAATAACTCTTTGGAATTGAGATCATCAATAGCATTTCATATTCTTTTATAATATAAAAAATTACTGAAACAAGAGTTTTTCTTTTGGTGGATATGTGATTATTCTGCTGAGACTTTTTGACATGTTGGCCTTTTGGCCTAAAATAACACCAAAAGAGAAAACATTTGGGTAAGCTAGCTAAAAGATAAATCTAGAGTAGAGAGAAATAACCCAAATGCTAAAGAGAAGACATTTTGAGTAAGGTATCTCATAACTGATAAAATGACAGGCTTTTATATGCAAGCATCTCCATGACTAAAATAGAGTGAAAATGGGACTTAGAATGAAAAATATATTAGTTTACAGAGAAAGTAGGAATTATCAGAAATCTGCTCCAATTGAGAAGATTAGTAACTACCAAATTATAAGAGGTCATTGTTAGTACCAATTGCCTTCATCTCCCTATGATAATAGAAATATGAACTCATCTTTTCTGGCTTAATCTGTCTGTGTCAATGGTTTTCAGACAAAAGCATTGTGGTGAGAATATGAAGAGTCAGGCCATCCTTGGGGAAATTTATATCCGGCCAGATGATAATTAATATGCTTCCATATCACTGTAAAAGATAGACTTACTCCATGGATTAAATCCATTCATATCTGATAGGGGTATGCCTCTGATGGCCACTGGCCTGGTGACTTCCCTGAACCTGGCCTTGGGAAAGAAGCAGCCTATGCCAATGGAAGACAACTTTTAATTGAGCCCTAGAACTTCTGTTCATTTCTTCCAGCACATTTTGTCAAATAACTCGTTTCATTTTTATCAGGTCCAGGGGCTCAGGGCTATTGGGTAGAGAAGAGAAAGGTGGCAACCATTCTGTATTTGATTCCAATAGGGCAGTGATTCTCAGACTTTAGTGTGCATCCAAATCACGCGATGAACTTGATCATGCACAGGTTGCTGGTCTCCAATTCTAGAGTTGCTAACTTGGTAGGTCTGAGATGAAGCCTGAGTCTTCCGAGGCTGGGGCTGCTAGTCTGAGGACCACACTTTATAAGAAGCACTGCAATGGAGCATATAGATGTTGTTCTTAAACAAATGCTTTCCCATTTTGGTGCATAGACTGTGCTACAGTTGCATGTAAGGGAAAGAAAGGATCAGAGACCAGGAATATGTGTGTAGCCTGGGAGCCAGGGACACGCAGGCCTCTTAAGGCTGATCATTCGGGTAGAATCATGTCTAGAGTTTTGCCTACATAATGAACCTATAGTTTAATATGAGTCTTATATCTTGTACATTTAAAATGAGAGATGATTGAGAAACCATTTCAGCCATTGTATAGATCAGAAAGATTAGTGGAAATAAACGGGAAAAAGGGTCTGGCTTGAAGCATGGGCATTTCAGGCCAGCAGACTCAAGAAACCCTTCTCATAGGGTTGAGGGAAAACCAGAAACAATTGCAGCATTTGTACTTGTCATTTACTAGACATTTTGTAAATTTTCTTTCCCTCTTCCTCTTTTCTTTTTTCTCTTCCTCTTCCCCTCCCACTCTCTCCCTCCCTCCCTCTCTCTCTTTCTAAAACACACACAAACAACCAAAGTAATAAGATATTTTTAGGCAGCAAATGGCATATGCTTAAGACTCATAGTGAGAAAAAAAATTTTCAATATCCTTAAGATGTGTATTACCAAATTTCAATTGTGGAAGAAAGTATGCTTAAGAAGTAAACACTTGATCTTCTTGCTCAGAAAGGTTTGCTCCTTTTAGCATTCCACTGGGAGTACATTTAAAAAAATTCTCTTCCCTTCCAAGTAGGTAACCATTTAGCTTCTGACATGAAATAGCTGATAACCATCTCTTCCCTTTCAAATGATTGAAATCGCTGTTGAAGGGATGGTTAATTTTTAATGTACTTGTTTCAAAAGTTAGACGAACTTTTAAAAACTCAAGTCAGAAACGAAAACGGATGTTATCCTATGGACAAATGACATCAATTGAAATGTACTTTTTTTCTTCAAAGTGATTGACGTAATTTTCTATTAAAGTGACCTTTGCTAGAAATGTTTTCCCTTTAATGATTTCCTGTCTCTTTGGCTCAGCAGCCAACAGAAAAACTGGTTTAAGCCTGTTTCAGCTACTTGATGTTGAAATGGGAAGAAAAGTGGACTCTGAAGCAAGCATAGCTAAGGTGCCATGTGACAGCCATGGCAATCCTAACCGAGCCTTCTAGCTTCTACCATCACAGCTCTCCTTGGTCTTCTCA
Organism: Homo sapiens; assembly: GCF_000001405.40. Taxonomy (NCBI): domain Eukaryota; kingdom Metazoa; phylum Chordata; class Mammalia; order Primates; family Hominidae; genus Homo; species Homo sapiens. The sequence goes on along the minus strand of NC_000001.11, from coordinate 106,568,270 downwards.
TTGAGTCATATCTGCTACTTTAATGCAGCCCCACCCCCCCTTTTTTATTATCAAGCATCTGTGGTCATGCAGCTACACTCATAGAACTCCAGGTGAATATGCTAACATAATCTGTACCAGTTGTAGAAATATAAATATATTATAATCTAAAGAAAAATGAGGCAAGGAAGAAGCTGAGATCCAGATATGAAAGGACGTTGTAAAGGATGGAGTGAGAAGTGAGAATATACATATACAACTTGAAAGAGTTTGCTGTTCTCGGGTCCGTGGTTGAGAATCAAGTGTGTGTGTGTGTGTGTGTGCACGCGTGTGTGTGTGTAAACCAACCCTTTCTAGTTTGTTGTTATTTGCCATTTTCTTTTGGTCTGATTTTTCCCTATCTTTAGAAACTGGCTCTGGTACAAAAATTCCTGAATGTATTACTGATTGCGTCTTAGAATTTGCTATTTTAATACATTTGTTAATCTAAAAGTCACTCTACTTTTCTGACCCATGTATCGACTACCGTAGAGAAGGTTAGAAAAACACACCAGCATTTACTTGGTTTGTAGAGTGATTTAAATTTTAATTGTGAAGAAGGATTGTTTTCCTTTAGCATGTGATCCTGTTTGTAATTTTCTATCACAAGAGGCAGAAACATTTTTGTGTCAGCATTATCTAATAGAAAGTGACCCTGACATAAAAGTCTTAGCCATTGAAATTTATCTAGGAAATGAACAAGAAGTAGTACACAGAAACAAAAAAAAATGCTTTAAGTAATAATCGGTGATAAGTAGTTATTATGATTTATTTCACTACTTGTATGAAAAGTATCTACGGACAGAGTTAATTGAAAAAGCATGCATAGTCTCCTCTCTTGTAAGACTTCATGCTGGCTCAACAAAATCCATGCTGCTTTTCAACACATATGTACACGCATGCATAAACACACACACTCACACATATTTCTAAAGCCACTTATTACTACTACTTCCTTAGGGATAAGAAATGCCAATAGTAAATAGGAAATAATGTGTGATTTTTCTCGTTTGAACTTATACTTGAATTTGTTGGAAAGGCCCCCTTTAGCTTTAACATTATAAACTGTGCTCAGCACACCAGCCAGTCTCCCTATACGTATTTATTCATGATATTTATTTATAGATCCTATCTGAATTAGAACATATTGAGGTACAGAGTAATGAGATTAAGACATAGAATGATTTTTTTTTGTCCATTACTTGTAATGGGATTATTACTTGGGATTATTTCAGAAAAAGATTCACTTAATCCACAGGTCTTAAGTACAATCCAAACTGATTTAGGCCAGTTGAGTTAATTTCAATTTGTTCTAGAAAGAAAGAAAAGCAATGATTTTGTTGCAGGAGGATCTGGAGTTTGACATATATATGTATCTGTAAAATCAGCCAAAAAAAAAAGCTTGAATAATGTAAGAATAATTACAAATGAACAAAACTAGAGGAGAGAAAATGTGAAAAAGATTATAAAGTTGAATTAAATTTTCCCTGAGTCTCCAAATATCTCTAGATATATACCTGACCCAACACACTACATAACTCTGGGTTGCCACTCTTTTCTTTCCCAGCTATATTATGTCAAAATCTCTTCTACTTGTGACAAGACATCATGCTTGGTACTTTGGTTACCCGTACAAAGTGAGTGGTGAGGTATTTCTTGAATAAGTCAAGTCCAACTGGCTTGTCCTGTAGAGGACAGAGAAATTGCTATTACTCTCAACCTTTCTCTGATTTGTAGTCGGACAACATTCAGTAGACACCAGAGAGGTTTGTTTGGAGGTGAGGAGTGCTTCCCATTGAACACCTTTCTATCCAGAAAATATAATTGTCATGGGTTAACAGCAATGCTGAGTTCAAAATCCTTAGAAATAAAATATAAATAATATATATGTGATTTTCAGTAAATATTTTACATTTCTATCACTTTTATTATATATTTTAATCTTTTTACTTTGGTACTCTGTGCCTTCTATTCTTTTGAGTATTTTATTGAATAATTCACTGAAAATCATAGATTCTACTTTTAGTAACATTTTATTTTTAACGAAAAGTTTTAAAATTCAAACTGTTCAGCTAGCACATTTGGGCATTTTACAGGGATAAATTTGGTGAACATAAGCATTTAAATAAAATATTAGACATTTAAAAATTGCTGTATTTGGAAATAAATCATATCAACTCTAACAACATATTAAATCAGAGATTCACCTTATAAACATAAATATTTTTTCTATCTATCTCACAACTGAGCTTCAGAGCTAAGTGTATAGTCATACTGTTTACTGATCTGAAAATCTTAAGAGTTGCAAATGAAGAACCTGCTTTTTCCACAGGTCCAAGAAGGAGAGAATACTATGTAAGAAAGGCAATCTTTATTTCTGCAAAAATAACTCTGCCAAGGCCAGGCATATTACCAACACACCAAAGTTGAAAGTGGAGATCATGCTAGGCTATCTTATTCATGCTGATGTATAATCTAATTTCAAGTTTTTCACTTTGCAAAAGTTCTTGTTTCAAGGAAACCAATTCTCCCTGCCTACACCCTATTTTTATCTCTGAAATAAATAAAAAAATGCAGGATACCCTTGGAATGAAATTTTTTCTTATTAGGAGCTGACTCTGCCCTTCTTTGAACCACAACTGCATATTATCACTTATCAATAAATCATTTCAATGACTTCCGTCACTCCATCTCAGGCTGGAAAGTCACACTTCCTTTGGTCTGATAAACCTTTTAGGTTACTTCTTTAATGTATGTCAAATGTATCTATACATCAAATGACATTTCAAGAGCTTGAAAGATCTCATTAGAGTGGTGTTTTAAAATGGCTGAGTTCTATTTTACTGTAAAAGAGAAAAAAGATGCAACTTCAAGTGACTATGTATTTACCCTTCAGGTATTTATGTGTTTACCTCTCTACCCCTGTAGACCATGAGCTTCTTTGGGCTGGGTCTCTCTGCTTAATTATCTTTTTTGTTTGTTTGTTTTTTTAACACTCTCCTTTGGTGAAATGCCTTGAACAAACTAGATTATCAGCAAATTTTGAATCGAACTTTGAATTTTCTAGAATCACATATCTTGTCTGCCTCACACCCCCATTCTATGCCATGGAATGTGGACAGGAGAAACAACAAAAGGAAAGAAGTTCTCAAGGACAGCATCAAGACGTGTGGAAATAGGTATGGTTTTCCTTAGCTTCCCTCCTCCGTCATCTCATACGCACACACAAACACACACACACACACACACACACACACCCTTCTACCTTCTTCATGTTCATTTATAATCCAATATTAATATTAATATTAATTTTAAATCCCACGCTTTACTTGCTTTATGTAAACTACTTGCCCTATATGCTGAGATAATGTTAGGAATTTGTTTTGTTAAATTGTCTAATGTCACAATTCTAAGTGGCAGGAGTGGAATTGAAAATTGTGTTTATATGTCTTTTCTTGTAAAGAGAGAGATGGAAGTCTTGCTATGTTATTCAGGCTGGCCTTGATTTCCTGGGATTAAATGATACTCTCAACTTAGCCTCCCGAGTAGCTGGAGCTACAGGCTATGTAGCTGTATTTTATTCTTAGAGGTGAGGTATCTCTCCTCCTCATTCCACCTGTCCTGCTGTCTCTGAAACTCCATTTATCTTGTCCCCTCTAATCTTGCTCTATCTTTTACTACTATCATGTCAACATTGTAAACTTCCTCATTCTATTGTAGTTTTTTTTTTTCTCCTAAGCATCCTCATTTCTCGCCTAACCTGAATTTGGCTACGTTGACTTTGTGCCTCTTTGTGGTTACAACCTTTTTGCCCTCTTTTTCATGAAAAGATAGTCTGCACTCCTTGTCCCCACTTCCTCATTTTCCATTTACCATGCAACTCACAGCTGTTTGGCTTTTGTGCCAAACAGACTGAAATTACCCTGGCAAGGGTAAACCACCAAAAGACTTATTTAAATGTTTATATATCTGGAATAAAGACCTATAGTAATACATTTCACAGGGTGGATACATAAGCTCTTTGACTTTCATAATTCCTAGTTGCCTTCTATGAGACCAGTTGTCTTCTTACGACCTGACCTCTACTTCTAAGTTTCTCTCATGAACATCTCTTCTGCATACCATTTAAACTGGTGATCTCTCGTATTCTATTCTCACAGCCTACCCCTCTTCTTACTTTAAATCTCAGCCTCCTTATATATCACCCTCTTCTCTTTTACGGAACCCATTTCCGATATGCATGTGAGACACACATGTAGATACTAAGAGAGATACTGTAGGTAGATATCAGATAGGACATCTATAGCCTTGATTTCCGTAGGGGCAATCTAACTTCTTGCCACATATTTCCAGTCATATATTCCAGAAATATTACTATTTAACGGGCTCTTTTTGAGAAAACTCAAAATTTTTTCTTCCATATTTTCTTATTTCTCATCTCATAGCTTTGTAAAAAGCATCACTGTACACCTAGCCTTCCAGTTTTTCATTTCCCATTGAATCCTATCCCTCAACCATCACATACAATTAATTGCCAAATCCATTTGATCTTTCCTCCTGAATTGTTCTGAAATCTATTTCCTATTTTGCATGACACCAACTAATATTGAGTTCAAGCAGGCTTTTGTTTTAATTAGCATGAAATAGTGAAATACCAAACTAACAACCTTTTACCTTCAGTGTGTCCCTTCTTCCCCACTTTATCAGCCTATCCATCTTTCATCTTGTAGCCAGAGTGAGCTTTCAAAATTAAAACTTAGTTCATATCACTCTTTTATAAAAATTCTTTATTTTAATTTTTGTGAGTACATAATAGGTGTATGTATTTCTTGGTTACATGAGATATTTTTATTCAGGCTTGCAATCTATAATAATCACATCAAACATTTGGGGTATCCATCAGCTCAGACATTTATTTTTTATGTTACAAACAATCCAGTTTTACACATTTCGTGATTTGAAAAAAATGTACAATTAAATTATTTTTTACTATAGTTGCCCTGTTGTGCTAGCAAATACTAGGTCTTATTCATTCTTTCTAACAATTTTTGTACCAATTAACAATCCCCACTTCTCCTCCACCCCCTCCCACTACCCTTCCCAGACTCTCATAAGCATCCATCTACTCACTCTCTCTATGAGTTCAATTATTTCAATGTTTAGCTCCCACAAATAAGTGAGAACATGTGAAGTTTGTCTTTCTGTGCATAGCTTATTTCACTCAACAAAATGACTCATGTTGTTGCAATTGACAGGTTCTCATTCTTTCTTGTGTGTGGCTGAATAGTATTCCACCGTGTATATGTACCATATTTTCATTGCAATTTGTCTGTTAATGAACACTTAGGTTGCATCCAAACCTTGCCTGTTGTGAATACTCCTGCAATAAACAGGGGAGTGCATGTATCTCTTCAATATACTGATTTCCTTTCTTTTAGGTATATACCTAGGAGTGAGATTGCTGGATCACATGGTAACTCTATTTTTAGTTCTTTGAGGAACCTCCAAATTGTTCTCTATAGTGGTTGTAGTAATTTACATTCCTATCAACAGTGTACAAGGGTTCTCTTTTATCCACATCCTCACCAGCATTTGTTATTGCCTTACTTTTGGATAAAAGCCATTTTGACTGGGGTAAAATGATAACTCATTGTAGTTTTAATCTGTATTTCTCTGATGATCAATAATATTGAGCACCTTTTCATATACCTGTTTGCCATTTGTATCTCTTCTTTTGAGAAATGCCTAATGAATCTTTTTCCCATTTTTTAAATAATCCAATTATTAGATTTTTTCTATTTAGTTGTTTGATGTTCTTATATATTCTGGTTATTAATCCCTTTTCAGGTGGGTAGCTTGCAAATATTTTCTTTCATTCTGTGGGTTGTCTCTTCACTTTTTTGATTGTTTCTTTTGCTGTGTGGAAGTTTTTTAACTTGATGTAATCCCATTTGTCCATTTTTGCTTTGGTTGCCTGTGGTTGTTGGGTTTAGCTCAAGTGATCTTACTCCAGTCCAATGTCCTGGAGAGTTCCCCAAAGTTTTTTTGTCATAGTTTCATAGTTTGAGGTCTTATATTTGAGTCTTCAACCATTTCGATTTGATTTTTGTACATGGCAAGAGACAGACATTTAGTTTCTTTCTTCTGAATATGAATATCCAGTTTTCCCAGTACCATTTATTGAAGAGATTGTTCTTTCCCCATTGTATGTTCTGGGCACTTCTATCAAAAATGAGTTCACTGTAGATGGATAAGCTTATTTATGGGTTCTCTATTCCATTCCTCTGTTCTATGTATCATTTTTACACTCATGCCATGCTGTTTGGGATACTATACTTCTGTAGCACAATTTGAAGCCAGGTGATGTGATTCTTCCAGTTTTGTTATTATTGCTTAAGATAGCTTGACTATTTTAGGTCTTTTGTGATTCTGCATAAATTTTAGGATTGTTTTTTCTATTTCTGCAAAAAATGTCATTGGTAGTTTGCTAGTATTGCGTTGAATCTGTAGATTGCTTTGGGAGTATGGACATTTTAACAATATTGATTCAGCCAATCTATGAACCTGATATATCTTACCGTTTTTTGCTGTCCTCTTCAAGTTCTTGAATCAGTGTTTGATAGTTTTAATTACAGAGAACTTTCACTTCTTTAGTTAAGTTAGTTCTTAGGTTTTCAATTTTATTTGTAGCTATTATAAATGAGATTACTTTCTCAATTTCTTTTTCAGCTTGTTTGCTGTTAGCATATGGAAATGCTAGTGATTTTTGAATGCTGATTTTTTTTATCCTAAAACTTGAGTGTATTTATTTATCAGTTAGAATAGCTTTTGGTAGAGACTTTAGGTTTTTCCAAATAAAAGATCATATCACCTGCAAACAGGATAATTTGACTTCTTCCTCTTCAGTTTGGATGCCACTTTATTTCTTCCTCATATTTTATTTCTCTAGCTTTAGTACTTTCTGTACTATGCTGAATAACAGTGGCAAATGTGGGCATCTTCGTCACGTTCCCAATATTAGAGGAAAGTATTTCAGTTGTTTTCTCCACTCAGTTTGATATTAGCTATGGGTCTGACACATATGGCTTTTATTATGTTGAGACATATTTCTTCTATCCCCAGTTTTTTAAGGGTTTTTATCATGAAGGGATTTTGAATTTTATCAAATGCTTTTTCAGCATCAACTGACATGATGATATGGTTTTTGACCTTAATTCTATTAATATTATGTATCACATTAATTGATTTTCATATTTTGAACCATCCTTGCATCTCTGGGATAAATCCCACTTGGTCATGATGAATGATCTTTTTAATGTATTATTTAATTCAGTTTCCTAGTATATTGTTGAGGGATCTTTTTAATGTATTATTTAATTCAGTTTCCTAGTATATTGTTGAGGATTTTTGCACTAATATTCATCAGGGATATTGGCCTTAGTTTCCTTTATTTGATGTGTCTTTTTCTGTTTTTTTTTTTTTTTTTTTTTTTTTTAACTATAAGTTCTGGGATACATGTGCAGAACACACAGGTTTGTTACATAGGTATACACATGCCATGGTGGTTTGCTGCACCCATCAACCCGTCATCCACATTAGGTACTTCTCCTAATGCTATCCCTCCCCTACCCCCCACCCCCCAAAAGCCCCAGTGTGTGATGTTTCCCTCCTTTGTCCACGTGTTCTCATTGTTCAAATCCTACTTATGATTGAGAACATGCGGTGTTCAGTTTTCTGTTCCTGTGTTAGTTTGCTGAGAATGATAGTTTCCAGCTTTATCCATGTTCCTGCAAAGGACAAGAACTCATCCTTTTTTATGGCTGCATAGTATTCTGTGGTGTATATGTGACACATTTTCTTTATCCAATCTATCTTTGATGAGCATTTGGGTTGGTTCCAATTCTTTGCTATTGTGAACAGTGCTGCAATAAACATACGTGTGTATGTGTCTTTATAGTAGAATGATCTATAATCCTTTTGTTATATACCCAGTAATGGGATTGCTGGCTCAAATGGTATTTCTGGTTCTAGATCCTTGAGGAATCACCACACCGTCTTCCACAATGTTTGAACTAATTTACACTCCCACCAACAGTGCAAAAGAGTTCCTGTTTCTCCACATCTCCTGCAACATCTGTTGTTTCCTGACTTTTTAATGACCGACATGGGATGGTATCTCATTGTGGTTTTGATTTGCATTTCTTTAATGTCCAGTGATGATGAGCTTTTTTTCATATGTTTGTTGGTCACATAAATATCTTCTTTTGAGAAGTGTCTGTTCATATCCTTCACCCACTTTTTGATGGAGTGTTTGTTTTTTTCTTGTAAATTTGTTTATGTTTTTGTAGATTCTGGTTATTAGCCCTTTGTCAGATGGATACATTGCAAAAATTGCAAAAATTTTCTCCCATTCTCTGGATTGTCTGTTCATGCTGATGATAGTTTATTTTGCTGTGCAGAAGCTCATTAGTTTAATTAGATTCCATTTTGCAATCCTAGTCTCTGATGAAACAGACTTTTACCCAACAAATATCAAAAAAAGGCAAAGGGCATTACATTATGGTAAAGGATCAATGCAAAAAGAAGAGCTAACTATCCTAAATATATATGCACCCAATACAGGAGCACCCAGGTTCATAAAGCAAGTTCTTAGAGACCTACAAAGAGACTTAGACCCCCCCACAAAAATGATGGGAGACTTTATCACCCCACTGTCAATATCAGACAAGATCAGTGACACAGAAAATTGACAAGGATATTTAGGACTTGAACTCAGCTCTGGACCAAGCTGACCTAATAGACATCTACAGAACTTTCCACCCCAAATCAGCAGAATATACATTCTTCTCAGCATCACATCACACTTATTCTAAAATTGACCACATAATTGGAAGTAAAACACTCCTCAACAAATGCAAAAGAATGGAAATCATAAAAAAGAGTTTTTTTCTGCTTTTGGTGTCAGAATTCTACTGGCCTCATAGAATGAGCTTGGAAGTATTCCCTTCTCTATGTTTCAGAATACTTTAATTTGACATTTAACATAAAACTATCATAATAGTTTAATATGGGTATTAGTTCTCCTTTAAACATTTGACAGAATTCAGCAGCAAATCCATTAGGTTACTGGCTTTTTGTTACTGAGAGATACTTTATTATGACTGTGATCTTGTTACCTATTATTGCTCTATTCAGGTTTTGGATTTCTTCATGGTTTCATCTTGGTAGGTTGTATATGTATAGGAATTTATCAATTTTTTCTAGAATTTCCAATTTATTGGCCTATGGTTGCTCATAGTAGCCACAAACGATCCTTTTAATTTCTGCAGTTGTAAAGTTTCCTTTTCCATTTGTAATGTTATTTATTTGGGTCTTCTTTCTTTTTTTCTTAGTTCCTCTGGATAAATGTGTGTCAGTTTTGTTTATCTTTTCAAGAAACCAGCTTTTGGTTTTGTTGATCTTTGGTATTGTTTCCCTCATTTTAATTTCATTTACTTCTGCTAAGATCTTTATTATTTATTTTATTCTACTAATTTGGGGTTTGATTTGTTCTTTCTTTTGTATTTGTTTAAGATAAATCATTACAGCATTTATTTAAAATTCTTCTTCTTTTTTGATGGAGGCACTTATAGCTGTAAGTATTACTAATTATAGTTTAGTACTACTTTTTCTGTATCCCATAGGGTTTTGCATGTTGTGTTTGCATTATCATTTGTTTCAAGAAATTTTTCAATTTCCTTCTTAATTTCTTCATTGACCTATTGGTCATTCAGAAGCATATTGTTTAATTTTCCTGTATTTGTACAGTTTCCAAAATTCCTCTTATTATTGATTTCTACTTTTATTCTATTGTGGTCAAGAGAAGATGCTTCATGTTATTTAATTTTTTTTAATGTTTTACAACTATTTTGTGACTTAACATGTGACTTATCCTTGAGAATAATCCATGTGCTAGAAAAGGAATGTGTATTCTGTAGCCATTGAATGAAATGTTGTGTAAATATCTGTTAGATCCATTTGGTTTATAGTGCAGATTAAGTCTAATGTTTCTTTATTCATTTTCTGTCTGGAAGATCTATCTAATGCTGAAAGTGGGATGTTGGTCTCCAGTTAGTATTGTATTAGAGTACATCTCTTTCTTTAGTTCTAATAACATTTGCTTTGTATATCTGGGTACTCCACTGTTGGGTGCATATGTATTTACAATTGTGTCCTCTTGCTCATCTGACCACTTTATCATTATTTAATGAACTTCTTTGTCTTTTCTCATAGTTCTTGTTTGCAATCTATTTTGTCTAAGCATAGCTACTTCTGTTCTTTGGTTTCCATTGGCCTGGAATATCTTTTTCCACCCCTTTATTATGTGTCTTTGTCTATCTTTATAGGTGAAGTGTATTTCTTGTAAGCAACAGATCATTGGGTCTTTTATTTAATTCATTCAGCCACTCTATGTCTTTTGATTGCAGGCTTTTGTGCATTTACATTTATTGTTAGTATTGATAAGTAAGGACTTACTCCTGCCATTTTGTTATTTGTTTTCTGGTCTTCTCTCCCTTTCTATCTTCCTTTTATTAAAGGTAAATTTCTCTGGTGGTACAAATTAATTTCATGCTTTTAATTTGTTGTGTATCTGTTGTATAATTTTTCATTTGAACTTGTTATGAGGATTGCAAATAATATCTTACTACCCATTATATTAAGCTAATAACAAGTTAACTCTATTTACGTAAACAAACAAGCAAAAAGAAAGCTAATAAAATTCTAAACTTTAATTTCATTCATTTTATTTTTAGCTTTTTGTCATTCTTATTTATATCTTTTTGTACTGTGTCTTGGAAAGAAGTCGTATTTATTATTTTTGATTTGTTCATCTTTTAGCTCTTCTACTTAAGATAAGAGTGGTTTACACTCCACAGCTATAAGTGTTATAATATTGTGTTTTTTCTGTGTACTTACTACTAGCAGTGAGTTTTGCACCTTCAGATAATTTATTTCTCACTAATGTCATTTTCTTTCTGACTGAGATACACTTTAGCATTTTTTCGTGGGACACGTCTTGTGTTGATGAAATCTCTCAGCTTTTGTTTGTCTTGGAAAAACTTTATTTCTCCTTCATGTTTGAAAGATATTTTCACCACTATTCTAGGGTAAAAGTTTTTTTTTTCTTCAGCTCTTTAACTATCTCATGCCACTCCCTCCTAGCCCATGAGGTTTCTGCTGAAAAGTGTGCTGCCAGAAGTATTGGAGCTCCATTGTATGTTATCTGTTTCTTTTCTCTTGCTGCTTTTAAAATCCTTTTATTTATCTTTGACTTTTGGGAATTTGATTATTAAATGCCTTGAGGTGGTCTTAACATTAATCCTGGTTGATGGTCTGTAACCTTCATTTACTTGGGTATTGATATCTTTCTCTAGGTTTGGGAACTTGAATAAACTTTATACCCCTATCTCGTTCTCTACCCTCCCTTTTAAGCCAGTAACTCTTAGATTTGCCCTTTGGAGACTATTTTGTAGATCTTGCAGACATGCTTTATTGTTTTTATTCTTTGTGTGTTTGTGTCTCTTCTAGTTGTGTGTTTTCTAATAGCCTGTCTTGAAGCTCACCACCTCTTTTTTCTTGTTGATCAATGCTGCTATTTAGAGACTCTGATGCATTCTTCAGAATGTCAGCTGCATTTTTCAACTCCAAAATTTCTTTTTGATTCTTTTTAATTATATCAATATCTTTCTTAAATTCATCTGATAGAATTTTGAATTCCTTCTCTATCTTGAAGTTCTTGTAGATTCCTCAAAACAGTTATTTTGAATTTTCTGTCTGAAAGATCACATATCTCTCTTTCTCTAGGATTGAGCCTTTGTGCCTTGCTTTGTTTGTTTGGTAAGGTCATGTTTTCCTGTTTTCCTGGGTAATCTTGATGCTTGCAGATGATCGTTGGTGCCTGGGCACTGAAGAGTTAGGTATTTTTGTAGTCTTCACTGTCTGAGCATGTTTGTACCCCTGATTCTTGAAAGGAATTTTCAGGTATTCAAAAGAACTTGGATTTTGTGATATAAGCTATGTCTGCATTAGGGAGTACCCCAGGCCTAGTAATGCTATGGTTCTTGCACACTCATAGAGGAACCAACTTGATGGTCTTGAAAATGATCCAGAAGAATTCTCTGGGTTATGAGGAAGAGACACTTCTTGTCTTTCTTACTGTCTCCCAAAACAAATGGGGTATCTCTCTTTCCACCCCTTACTCTCTCTCTCTCTCTCTCTCTCTCTGTGTGTGTGTGTGTGTGTGTGTGTGTTAAGCTACCTGGAGCTGGGGGTGAGATGACACCTGTATTCCTGTAGCCACCAATACTGGGACTGTGCTGGGTCAGACCTGAAGCCAGTACAGCACTGGTTCTTACCCAAGGCCCTCTGTAACCACTACCTGACTATTGCTTATATTTGCTCAAGGCTGTAATACTCTACAATTAGCAGGTGGCTAAGCCAGCTATACCTGTTTCCTTCCCTTCAGGATGGTGAGATTTCCCCAGACCTGGCTGGTTCCAGAGATGTCATCCATGAGCCAGGGACTTACGAAAAAAAAAACTTAGAAATCTATCTGGTATTCTAGTCTACTGTGGCTGAGCTTGCACTCAAACCATGAGACACAATCCTTCCCACTCTTTCTTCCCCTTTCCATAGGCAGAGGAGCCTCAGTCTACAGCCACCACCATCACATGCCCATGGGGAGTGTTGCCAGGCTACAGCCAATGTTCAGTTAAGGACCAGTGGTTCTTCAGTCAGCTTGTGGTGAATGCTGCTAGGCCTGGGGCTCACCCTTCAGGGAAGTGGGCTCCTGTCTGGCTCAGGACAGGTCAAGGAATGCTGTTCAAGAGCCAAGATCTGGATTACGAACCCAATTGCCCACTTGGTGTTCTATGTGGCTGTGGCTGAGCTGGTATCTAAGGTACAAGGCATTACTTCTCCCTCTGCTTTTCTGAAGCAGAAGGAGTCTCTCACTGTATTCACTACAGTGATTCAAAAGGTGCTGGTTCTCACCTGAAGCCAGTAAATCTGAGTCCCACCAATGGTCCATGGTATACTACCTGGGTATCATTACTGATTATTCAGTGCCCAAGGTCTCTTCAGTCAAAATCCATCACTCTTTAGTCAGTGATGGATTTTGCCATGACTGAGTCCTTTTTTTCAAGGGAGTGGGTTCCCTTCTGACCTAGGATGTGTCTAGAAATATCTGGGAGCTAGGACTTGGAATGAGGGCCTCATGACCCTGACTGGTGCTCTATTTTCCTGTAGCTGATCTGGTCTCCCAGATGCAAGACAGAGTCCTCCCTACTCTTCCCTCTCCTCTCCTCAAGGAGAAGGAAGAGGTCTGTTTTGGAGCCACAAGTTGTGTTACCTGGGGTTGAGGGATGGGTAATGCAAAATTTCCTTATTTGCCCCTGTGGGTGTCTCAGTAAGACACAACACCCTACTGAGATATATATATACACACGCATATATATTATATATATATATATATCTCATATATATGTCTCATATATATATTTAACAGGAAAATAAAGTTTTATTTTTCCTTTATTTGTTCTTACAGATATCTTTTTTATGTAGAATAGGAAAAGATCTACTCTGTTTCTTTTGTGGATATGGAAACTAAATCTCAAGTGAAGTCATATCCAATTACAAAGATGTTTAAGAAACAACAGTAAACCAGAGTTCTTACAACCCAATCTCCACCAGGCCCAAGGGTATGCCCAGAACATATTTTCAGTTTCAGTGAAAGACATGATTCATTGAAAAAAAATTTACTGGTAATAGTATGTCCTAAACATCATCCAAGCCCTAAGTAATGCAGGCATAGCAATGAAAAGATAGATATGAGATGATGGGATTTTCTAGCTATAGGATCATATCACCTGCAAACAAAGACAGTTTGACTTCCTCTCTTCCTATTTGAATACCTTTTATTTTTTTTCTCTTGCCTAATTGTCCTGGCCAGAACTTCCAATACTATGTTCAATAGGAATAGTAAGAGAGGGCATCCCTGACTTGTGTCAGTTTTCAAGGGGAATGCTTCCAGCTTTTGCCCATTCAGTATAATAATGGCTGTGGGTTTGTCATAAATGACTCATTATTTTGAGGGATGTTCTTCCGATATATAGTTTATTGACAGTTTTCAACATGAAGGAATGTTAAATTTTGTCAAAGACCTTTTCTGCTTTTATTGAGATAATTATGTGGTTTTTGTCTTTAGTTCTGTTTATGTGATGTATTACGTTTATTGATTTGTGTATGTTGAACCAGGCTTGCACCCCAGGGATGAAGCTGACTTGATCATGGTGGATAAGCTTTTTGATGTGCTGCTGGATTTGGTTTGCTAGTATTTTTTGTTTGTTTGTTTGTTTTAGACAGAGTCTCATCTTGTCCCTGTCACCCAGGCTGGAGTGCAATGGCACAATCTCAGCTCACTGCAACCTTTGCCTTCCAAGTTCAAACGATTCTCCTGCCTCAGCCTCCTGAGTAGCTGGAATTACAGGCTCCTGCCACCATGCCCAGCTAATTTTTGTATTTTTAATAGAGATGGGGTTTCACCATGTTGGCCAGGCTGGTCTTGAACTCCTGACCTCATGATCCTCCCGCCTCGGCCTCCCAAAGTGCTGGGATTACAGGCGTGAGGCACCACGGCTGGCCAGTTTACCAATCTTTTATTGAGAATTTTTGCATCAATGTTCATCAGGGATATTGGCCTGAAGATTTCTTTTATTTGTTGTATCTTTGCCAGATTTTGGTGTCAGGATGATGCTGGCCTCATAAGATGAGTTAGGGAGGAGTCCCTCCTTTTTAATTGTTTGGAGTAGTTACAGAAGAAATGGTAAGGGCTCCTCCTTGTACCTCTGGTAGAATTCAGCTGTAAATCCACTGGGTCCTGGGTTTTTTTTTTTTTTTTTTTTTTTGTAGGCTATTTATTACTACTTCAGTTTCAGAACTTGTTATTGGTTTATTTAGTGATTCAACTTCTTCCTGGTTCATTCTTGGGAGTATGTATGTATCCAGGAATTTATCAATTTCTTCTAGACTTTCTAGTTTATTTGCATAGAGGTGTTTACAGTATTCACTGATGGTTGTTTGCATTTTTATGGAGTTAGTGTTGATATACTCTTTATCATCTTTTTACTGTGTCTACTCGATTCTTCTCTCTTTTCTTCTTTATTAGCCTAGCTAGTGGTCTATCTATTTTATTATTTTTTTCATAACACCAGGTCTTGGATTCATTGATTTTTTGAAGGGTTTTTTGTATCTCTATCTCCTTCAGTTCCACTCTGAGCTTAGTTATTTCTTGTCTTCTGTGAACTTTGGGGTTTGCTTGCTCTTGGTTCTCTAATTCTTTTAGTTGTGATGTTAGCATGTCAATTTGAGATCTTTCTAGCTTTTTGATATGGGCATTTATCATATAGCATTTATCATATAAAGTGTTATAAATTTCCCTCTTAACATGGCTTTAGCTGTGTCTCAGAGATTCTGGAACACTGTCTCTTAAGCAACCTTAGCAAAGTCTCAGGATACAAAAATCAATGTGCAAAAGTCACAAGCATTCCTATACACCAACAACAGACAAGCAGAGAGCCAAATCATGAATGAACTCTTATTCACAATTGGTACAAAGAGAAGAAAATGCTAGGAATAAAGCTAACAAGGGAAGTGAAGAACCTCTTCAAGTATAACTGCAAAACACTGCTCAAGGAAATAGGAGAGGACACAAACAAATAGGAAAACTTTCCATGCTCATGGATAGAAAGAATCAATATTATAAAAATGGCCATAATGGCCAAAGTAATTTATAGATTAAATGCTATTCCCATTAAACTACCATTGACATTCTTCACAGAATTAGAAGAAACTATTTTAAAATTTACATGGAACCAAAAAAGAGCTTGTGTAGCCAAGACAATCCTCCAGAACAAAGCTGGAGGCATCATGCTACCCTACTTCAAACTACATTATCAGGCTACAGTAACCAAAAGCATGGTAGTGGTACAAAAACAGACACATAGAACAATAGAACCAAATAGAGAACTCAGGAATAAGACCACACAGCTACAACCATCTGTTCTTTGACAAGCCTAACAAAAACAAGTAATGGGGAAAGGATTCCCTATTTAATAAACGATGCTGGCAGAACTGGCTAGCCATATGAAGAAAATTGAAAGGAGACCCCTTCCTTACATCTTATACAAAAATTAAGATGGATTAAAGACTTAAATGCAAAACCTAAAACTATATAATCCCTAGAAGAAAATCTAGGCAATGCCATTGAGGACATAGACATGGGCAAAGATTTCATGATTGAAATCGCCAAAAACAATTGCGACAAAGGCAAAAGTTGACAAATGGGATCTAATTAAACTAAAGAGCTTCTGCACAGCAAAAGAAACTTTCATCAGAGCAAACAGGCAACCTACAGAATGGGAGAAAATTTTTGCAATCTATCCATATGACAAAAGTCTAATATTCAGAGTCTACAAATAACTCAAGCAAATTTACAAGAATAAAACAAACAACCTTATGAAAAAGTGGGCAAAGAAAATGAACAGACAGTTCTTGAAAGAAGATATTTATGTGGCCAACAAACGTATGAAAAAATGCTCAACATCACCGATCATTAGGGGAATGCAAACCATAACCACAGTGAGATACCATCTCACACCAGTAGAATGGCAGTTCTTAAAAAGTCAGGAAACGAGAGATGCTGGCAGTGTTGCAGAGAAATAGGTATCCTTGTACACTGTTGGTGGGAATTTAAATTAGTTCAACTATTGTGGAAGACGGTGTGGCAATTCCTCAGAGACCTAGAGGCAAAAATGCCATTTGACCCAGGAATCCTGCTACTGGTATATACCCAAAGGAATATAAATCATTTTGTTATGAAGATAAATGCACGTGTATGTTCACTGCAGCACCGTTCATATTAGCAAAGACATGGAATCAACCCAAATTCCCACATATACACCATGGAATACTATGCAGCCATAAAAAGGAATGAGATTAGATCCCTTGCAGGGCCATGGATGGAGCTGGATGCCATTATCCTCAGCAAACTAATGCAGGAATAAAATACCCCAACCACATGTTTTCATTTATAAGCAGGAACTGAACAATGAGAACACATGGGCACAGGAAGGGGAACATGCCGCCTGTCAGGGGTAGACAGCTTCAGAGGTGAGGGAAAGCATTAGGAAAAATAGCTAACACATTCTGGGCTTAATGCCTAGGTGATGGGTGGATAGGTGGTGGATAGGTGCAGCAAACCAGTATGGCACACATTTACCTATGTAACAAACCTGCACATCCTGCACATGTACCCTGGGACTTAAAATTAAAAATTAAAATTAAAAAAAAGGAAAAAGATAGATATAATCTGATTCAGTGAAAAAATTCAGAGTTTTGACAATTTGCTTTCCTTCTCCCACATATTTTTTAGATACCTGCTGATTGTATGCCCACAGTGCTTCTTTCAATCACCCGGTTTCTAAAATGGGGATAGTGATATCTGTGTCACAGAGTTAGTAGGGTGGTTGCACGAGATAACTTAAATAGTTTCTGGCCCTGAGCTTGATAAAAATGAAGTAAGCAATAAATACAAATCTCCCCTTCTTCCTCTTTTCCATTCTGGTCCCATTTGTCTTCTGTATTACTTAGCAGATTATTGCCATACTGTCCTCAGTGGTCTCTTGTTCTCTGTCTTCTTTTGCAATTCACCTTCTACTGTGCTTTTTGGACAAAAAAAAAAAATGAGCTAGTAACAGGGCCACTGGAAAGGTCAGGCTGCTAATCCTCCACAAATATTTATTAATGAAATCCATAATAAGATTTAATTTATATTTTGAATGTTAGGTGAAAGGCACGAGACATTTGTGAAATTCTAGTCCAAGCCATTTTCATGACATTTTAAAGCATGCATTGTGGTCCTGGCTTAATCTATGCCCAATGCTTTCTTCTTAATAACACATTCTGAGAGCCCCCCCGCCCTGCACATGTTAGCTAGAATTAGCATCAATGTTTTTACTCTCTTTGCTGAGGTAGGAGAAAGTATGTAAGTCATTCCTAGTTGAATGTTTACTCTAATTAGTAACAATTTCTCTAAAGGAAATTGGAACTATTACTGTATACAATTTAGAAATCTTAAAAGCAAGTTTTAAAATCATTACAAAATATTATAATCCTGTACAATTTTTTTGTGTCTGTTGTTCATGCAGCAAAACACCTTCAAATAGGGCAATGACCAGAGCTGATGAAATTATACACTGCCACGCCCTTTACAAAGCTCCCTCTCTCCAAAGAAGACTTTGTTTCCATGGGCAACAAAGCTGCAATGGCACACTGATTCTGAAGCACTCAAATTGCATGCCCCAAGGTAGACAGTTGCCTGCACCACCTAAATACTGAAAGCAAAACTCTCTTGGTAAAAGACCTGACCAGCATGAATTGAGGGGTAAACTACAGGCTGCTCCAAAAAGCCTGCCTCCAACAGCTCCCTGATAAAAGTTCCCAGAGAGAGTGCTATAAGCCCTGTGGTTTCAATAATTTCTACCACTTAGGGATAGGAATCTTTTGTCAGATATTTGCAGCTTTTATATTGGTTTGACATACAATAGAATGGCATTAATGTCATCATTGCCCTTCAAATTCCAGGGAGAACACAGTGTCCAGCAAATTTATTTATTTCTAAATCAAGGCAAGTTGAAGGAATTTTCTTCATGCTTTGAAACCAATAGTTTTGGGCATGTGTATATATAATCACACATTCATGGCTTTAAACGAAAGTGGGAATAATTATCTTTATATCAACTTTCACAGTTAATTCTTTTTCTGTCTTATTTACAGGTTGAAATGTGTTTCATTGTATGATGTTAGGCTATTTCTAAACAGTTTGATAATAATTGCAACATTCAGATGATCTCAGCAATATTGTTTTAATAATGTGGGTAATCAGAATAAGAGCTTATTCAACGTGGATGTTTTCCTTATTTTTCTCTCATCAAAATGTTCAAGTGAGAAAGTAGAGATAACATATCTGGAAGGAGAGATTCCTAGAATGTGGTGGTGTTGGCTTTATGTGACATATTTCCAGCTATAACACAGTTTACTCATACTCTGAACATTGTATCTCTTCCAGAAGCACTGAGTATTTTAGAATGTTTTTGTCCCATCCTGGTGGTGCATTTGTTCTGTGAAGAAAAGAAGCATGACATATAGCTCCCTAGTGTATTCCCATCCCCCAGTATAACTTGCCACTTTAATACGGCACTTAGTAAGACTTGTTGAAAGAGTGGAATGTAAATTAACAAAAGCATATTCAGAAACACTAAAATAATTAAACCACACAGTCTACACTAGAGCAAGAGATGCATAAACTGGTATGTAAAACATGCAAGTGTTGAGGTAGAAATATCCACTCATCTAGGACTCTGCCTCTCATATCTCAAAACATAGCAAAATAGCAAACTGATGCTCAGCAATAAAAGTGTCTTACATCTGTGTGATTGTTTATGAAGCACATCATCTTATGTGATCTTCACCACTATGCTATGAGTTCAGGAGAAAATCCATTTAATGATATATACAATGAGTACAAGTTAAGGGAACTTGAATTATTTCCCTAAGGTTACAAGAAAGTTACTCAAGTCCTCTGGATTCTTTCTTAATACTCTGTCTGTTATTCCCCCGTCTCCTCAGATTCTGAGTAGGAGAAAAGGAGGTGAAGACTTGAGAATGCAGAGATAAGACAGCAGAGTCATTTAGTTGCAGATGGTCATTTAGCCACACAGAATTCAGACAAAATCCATTCAAAATTTTTGGAAGACTCATCCATTTAGAGAACTGTAAATTTATTGACAGAATTTAGACCATGCTGTCAAGGTGTTAAAGAGAGATACTAAAAGAAACGTGATTTTAGGCAGTTAATGCCAATATATTAATTACCAACATTTGTAAAATGTTTTAAAATTTAAAGACCTTTTCTATCGATTATCTTATTTGATATTCACACAAACCATAATTGGGAGGCATTGAAACTGGCCTACACTTTCAGTGGACCCTATGTCCTATGATCTTTTTCTCTCCTAAGCTAATTGGCAAACATCCTGAAGGCCTTGGCAGTATTGCCAGCATGGTTTATAACCATGGCTAAGTCCCCAGCTGGGCCTGTTTAACTTCCAATCGGGTCTATGGGCACGGCCTGCATGGAGCTTTCTGAAGTAAGCTCTCCAATTCCATGAGAGACAGAGCACAACAGTAGGACTTAATCAGTTCTAATCCATACCATTTAATGGAAAAGTATTCATTCAACATTTATTGAATATTTTCTATCTGCCAGGTATTGTACGGTGCTGGCTTTCTTTCAAACAATGAAAATGAGTCTCTGCTCTCAACCAGATTATCAGTCACACAACAGTTTATTCATCTGTCTATATGAAGAAGAGAACATAAGGTTACAACAATTAAGAAATGTCTTAAGCAAAATTTCTAAAGAATTAGTTTGCTGAATTAAGTCATAACTGTTGATGCTATTATTAGATTACTTATCACCTAAATTATTTTTCAAAGGAATTCAAATTTAGTCTCAGGTTTCAGAATAATATTTTATTTAAAGTTACAGTTTAATGTCTTCTGTAAGCATTTAGGACTTTTTTTTTTTCTATTGGTAAAAATAGTTTATTTTGGTTTCCCAGGAGTGTCTATAACTGCAGGATTGATGTTTCTGTTATTCTGTTAGGTTTTTTCTTCAAACAGATAATCTGGTTTCAGGTTATTCAGTAGCCTTCTCTTTTCCATTTGCTGAAAAGTTGATTTTGTAATGTTTCTGCTAGTACTATTTTATACACAAAAATTTCAAGGTCCATTTAAAAAAATCCATCGGAGGTAATATAATGCAAAGAGAAAAGGAACGTGGGCTTCAGACTCAGTCAAGCAAGATTTTGAACCTCAGTTTCATTGATGAGTATTTATATTTACTTTGGGGAGTCAATTAACTTCTCTGGCCTCCAATTTCTTCATCTGTAAATAGAGGTAAGATTTTCTGTCTTTAGGTTTTATTAAGAGTTACAAGGTAATTTTGGAACGGTCATATGGAACCAAAAAAGAGCCTGCATTGCCAAGACAATCTTAAGCAAAAATAACAAAGCTGGAGGCATCAAGTTACCTGACTTTTAACTATACTACAAGGCTACAGTAACCAAAACAGCATGGTACTGGTATCAAAATAGAGATATAGACCAATGGAACAGAACAGAGGCCTCAGAAATAACACCACACATCTACAACCATCTGATCTTTGACAAACATGACAAAAACAAGAAATGGGGAAAGGATTCCCTATTTAATAAATGGTGCTGGGAAAACTGGATAGCTATATGTAGAAAGCTGAAACTGGATCCCTTCCTTACACTTAATACAAAAATTAGTTCAAGATGGATTAAAGACTTAAATGTTAGACTTAAAACCATAAAAACCATAGAAGAAAATGTAGGCAATACCATTCAGGACATAGGCATGGGCAAGGACTTCATGTCTAAATCAAAAGCAATGGCAACAAAAACCAAAATAGACAAATGGGATCTAATTAAACTAAAGAGCTTCTAATGGGATCTAATTAAACTAAAGAGCTTCTGCACAGCAAAAGAAACTACCATCAGAGTGAACAGCAACCTACAGAATGGGAGAAAATTTTTGCAATCTACTCATCTGACAAAGGGCTAATATCCAGAATCTGCAAGGAACTCAAACAAATTTACAAGAAAAAATTAAACAGTCCCATCAAAAAGTGGGCAAAGGAAATGAACAGATGCTTTTCAAAAGAATATATTTATGCAGCCAACAGACACACGAAAAAATGCTCATCATTACTGGTCATCAGAGAAATGCAAATCAAAACCACAATGAGATACCATCTCACACCAGTAAGAATGGCGATCATTACAAAGCCAGGAAACAACAGGGGCTGGAGAAGATGTGGAGAAATAGGAACACTTTTACACTGTTGGTGGGAATATAAACTAGTCCAACCATTGTGGAAGACAGTGTGGCAATTCCTCAAGGATCTAGAACTAGAAATACCATTTGGCCCAGCAATCCCATTACTGGGTATATACCCAAAGGATTATAAATCATACTATTATAAAGACACATGCACACGTATGTTTATTGCGGTACTATTCACAATAGCAAAGACTTGGAACCAACCCAAATGTCCATCAAAGATAGACTGGATTAAGAAAATGTGGCACATATACACCATGGAATACTATGCAGCCATAACATAGGACGAGTTCATGTCCTTTGTAGGGACATGGATGAAGCTGGAAACCATCATTCTCAGCAAACTATCGCAAGGACAGAAAACCAAACACGGCATGTTCTCTCTCATAAGTGGGAATTGAACAATGAAAACACTCGGACACAGGAAGCGAAACATCACACACCGGGGCCTGTCATGGGGTGGGGGGATGGGGGAGGGATAGCATTAGGAGAAATACCTAATGTAAATGACGAGTTAATGGGTGCAGCAAACCAACATGGCACATGTATACATGTGTAACAAACCTGCACATTGTGCACATGTACCCTAGAACTTAAAATAAAATAAAAAAATTTTTAAAAAGAGTTATAAGGCAAATATCAAAATAGTTACAAAGCAAAATTTATGAAAACCAACAGTCATTATAATCCTTGTCACAGCTATCTTTCCAATTCTTTAATGGCCCTTGTATTGACTGATAATGGCAGTTCACAGATTGATGTTTTTACGCATTTATAGAATTAAATCTTAAGACTGATCCCCACAGAGTAGACAAAGCATCAAAGCACATGTGTGTTCCTCTGTTTAGCATGCTTTACCCATATACTTTCAATAGCCCTGCCTCGCATTTGGCTCTTGAGTAACTAAAACGAATATTGATTATTCATGATTGTATTCAACTGATTAACAAACATGTGAAATTCATTGATAAAATATTTGATTAATAGATTAAAACTTCAAGAACTGCAAGTATTTTTAGGTAATGTTAAATATTTAAATGCTATTACTGATGAATTCTGGAGCAGTGAAAAAGGGTTCTTACTTGGTTTCAAATAGTTTTCCTAGGACTTCTTGAGATTCAATAAAGCTTTAAAAAATAATACTGTACTCTTATGTGCCAGGACTCATAACAGGCTGTAATAATATGTAGCTATACTGAGACCTGAGAAATATTCATTTGTTTAACTAATGTGTATAAAATGCCTTTTTTGTGCCAGGCACTCTGGGAGGCACTGTGGAAACAATGGCGAGTGAAAACAGACAACGTCTCATTTGCTGAATTTTAGACTGTAAACCACTTCTTGATCTGCCAGGTATCTGCAGCATCAACTAGCTCTCTGGGCCATTACTAACTGAACCAGAGGTCAAGATACTTGACACAAACAGCCATTCAAAGTATCTCTCTTGAAAATGAAAATAAGTAGCATCAAAATTCAAGGCTAGCTGAGTCAGGGAAATGGACTCCGTCTCACTCCATGGAGAAGCTGCTTAGGTTACCACTTCCCCACCACAGATTCTCATGGGCTCTGGTGGTTTCTGGTGCAGGAACTGAGAGGCCCTTCCGTGTTCTACCTGGAGGTATGGCTGGCAGATGTGACCTTTGAGGCAGACTGAGCCATAATTCCAGGACTGGAGTGGATGAGCCTGTCCCTGTTGATGGTGGACATAGTGGACTCTGGGATCCAAGTCAAAATCACAATTTTTGGACAACTCTGTGTATGGAATCGGGTAAAGTGCATGTTCCTGTGCTTGACATGGCTTCACCAACAATCATGCTTAAGCTGAGAAAATAAAACACATTGAGGAGAATTTGAAGGCCTCTACAGTCCTCAGCATCCTGTTGCTTAAGACAACACAATTATTGTCAGGTGCATTTTGAAAACTGTCCAGCTTTTGCTGCTAAAGTTGAAGAGAAACAAGTACAGCATTCCCAAATCTCTGTATTCGTTTTTCCTGTGACTTGATGAATATGGTTTATTTTGTTGCAAGAGTGAGTTTGAAAAACTATTTTAATAAAGAAATGGCTATTTTGTCCAATGGCATACATATTTTTGCACACTTTAAAAAATAATACTATTCTATACTTATGAAAGAAAAAATACTATCATCCAAGGAGGATCATAAGCTGATCCAATGAGATGCCTCGGACTGCTTGATCTTCATCTTTCAGTTTCGCTGGGCTAACCTAGTCTATTACTAGATCTGCTCTTACCTTTAAGCTGACTTAAAACAATGCATATTTTGCAAACCCTCTTGCCATCAAAAATATCGAAAGTAATATATCAAACAATAGTTAATAAAAATCTGTAATGTCCAATTATGTTCTGCACAATATTTTCTAGTTAAATATTTTTAATTTGGTCATGTTCATCTTTAAAATGGTTTATCAAATTTTAAAAATACATTATTGCTTCCTGTATTCATAGCATTCTGTATGTCTAAGGTCATATCCTAGTCTTCACTGGAGATTATGAGCCTGACTACTAACATATATGTCAGGAAGCTCACAGTCTTTGTGAATTTAAACTTACTTTGTACCTGGACAGATCAATGAGTATGAAGTTCTTTTCAGTGACTTGATTTTTTTTTTTTTTTTTTTTTTTTTTGAGATGGAGTCTTGCTCTGTCACCCAGGCTGAAGTGCAGTGGCACGATCTCGGCTCACTGAAGCCTTCCCCTCCCATGTTTAAGCAATTCTCCTTCCTCAGCCTCCTGAGTAGCTGGGATTACAGGTACGTGCCACCACACCCAGCTTATTATTTTGTATTTTTAGTAGAGACAGGGTTTCACCATGTTGGCCAGGCTGGTCTCAAACTCCTGACCTCAGGTGATCTGCCCACCTCGGCCTCCCAAAGTGCTGGGATTACAGGCATGAGCCACCATGCCTGGCGGAGTGACTTGATTTTTATTATAATTAGGAGCTTTGTCTCCTTCTTAAAGGAATTTATAGGTTTTCAGAGCATGCTAGCTAAAAAAAAATCCTTTAAATATTTCAGTAAGATATTACTCATTGACTAATACCAATTCTCATCACTTCATATCCTTTTCATCTATTTTATTTTTCTTCATTGTATTAATCACAATAAAACTTGTATATATATCTTATTATATTTCTCGCCAAACTAGATAGTTAGCTGCAAAAGAGCAGGGGCTTTGTCTAGTCTGTTCCTATCCAGATCACCAGCATCTGAATTGTGTTTCATACCCTTAAACACCCAATCTTTATCTGTCTAATGAATGAATAGATAAGGCGATTAGGCTCACATACTAATATTAATCAGACTTGGATTCAAATACGAGCTTATCACTTATTCGCTACACAAATTGAGAAAACTAGTTAACTGCTGTAGGGTACCATTTTCTCATCTGTTGATATGGTTTGGCTGTCTCCCCACCCACTTGAATTGTAGCTCCCATAATCCCTACATGTCGTGGGAGACACCTGGTGGGAAGTAATTAAATCATGGGGGTGGTTACCTCCATGCTGTTCTCGTGATAGTGAGTGAATTCTCACGAGATCTGATGGTTTTATAAGGGGCTCTTTCCGTCCTTCACTCTGTACTTCTCCTTGCTATCACCATGTGAAGAAGGGTGTGTTTGCTTCCCCTTCCACCATGATTGTAAGTTACCAGAGGCCTTCCCAGCCCTGAGGAACTGTAAGTCAATTAAACCTCTTTCCTTTAGAAATTACCCAGTCTCAGATATGTCATTTTAGCAGTGTGAAAATGGACTAATACATCTGTAAAATGGGTGTAATAACTCATTTGTTCTTTTGAACAGTGACTTGTATGATATGGTCTATGCCTGGTTCATTCTAAGTGCTCAGTAAATGATAGATATTGTTGTATAGATAATAGCTTTGTGAGTTCTCAGAATGTAATTTGCAGTTATTCCTTTTCTAATTATCCCCAACATAAACTGGTGCTTTGTTTAATTTTATATTTTGGTTTTGATTTTATTTTAGTTTTTGAGTGATTAATGAAGCACACATTATTCTCTTTTTTGCTGTTGACCTGTGGTCATATCTTTATGACTATTAATATAATTCAAAGTCGCAAATCATCCCTTTATATGTTATATTCATTTTCCTTTTAACAAGAATCATGTAATGTTTAAAAATCTTAAAATGAGGCTGAAGAATTGAGTATACTGGTTTTGAACTAGTTTCGTGTTTAGCCTGTTCTTGTTGATCAGATTAATTCCCAAGTAAAGTTACCACCACCTAATAGAAACATCTAGATTTACTGGGTGAAAAAAATGAATATTTAAATGTCAAAATATTTTCATTGTCTTCCTAACTATAAAATATATGTTTATTTTGGAAGGAAAATAAGAACAAATCTAAATGTAATGGCATGAACTTTCCAATCATAAGAAAAATCTATACTGTATTTATTGAGAGGATTTTATTTATTTATACAACAAATACTGCACAATATGCAGTATAACAGGTCCCTGTCTTCATACATCTTGTGATATAGGGATCTTTGAGTCTTCTTTTGTTGTTACATCATCTGCATATCAAACAAAGTACAATGTGTGTAACTGGCTGCCAAACACTGTTATTGTCCGTGCTCAAATGAAGAGTTTGCTGTGGTCAAGTTAAGTGAAACAGCAGTATCTTATCCATAAGCTCATACTCACTGAAGTGAATATGATTTAACATAGAGCCCAAATTGCTATAAATTAATCAAGCATATCTTTGAGTTAAGGAATTTAGTTTTAGTTATATAATACACTGAAAATATTTCTAGGAGATGCATTTATCTCTAGGTCACAAATATTTATTTATTCTTTGATACATCTAAGGCACCATGCTAAATTACTTCTGCATTGTTCTTTTAGTGCCCTGAGCGGCCATGTAAGAAGTCCTGTTATCTTGCAGGATACACCTTGTTGCGAGGCCTTCAGGCTACATGGCAGAGAAAGGGGCCCACTTGAGCCCAGCCTTCCATCCAAGGCTTGGTCATATAAGTAAATATCATGTCCCCTCCATACTAGCCGTGACATGAGTACCTTGAAGCGACCTCAATTTATTGACTATAGAAGAAATGTACCATTCTTGGTAGTTCTGGGAGAAGCCTGAATTTCTGACTCACAAAATAATACAATATAATAATATTTTTGTGCTTTCCAGCTGTTAAAACTGTGGCATTTTGTCAGGCAACAATGGATAACTAGTCATGCAAATTGATATATAGTTATAAATCGCTACAACCGCAATGGCTGAAAAGATACACATTACTTAAAAAGGTTTTAATGGAGAATTCTGGTGTGATGTCAATGATTTTTTTTTCAATTATTTTACCATAATAAAAAGAATGTGAGTAGTGTGTGTTTTAAAAGAGGAGTGATTGGTAATGGGTTATAAAAGTGCTGAAACCATTATTCTGCATGTGGATATTCAGTTTTCCCACCACAGTTTATTAAAGAGACAGTTCTTTCCTCATTGTGTGTTCTTGGCATCTTTGTTGAAGGCTAATTGACTATAAATGCGTGAATTTATTTCTTGGGTCTTTATTCTGTTCCATTGATTTATACATCTGTTTTTATGCTATTACCATGCTATTTTGATTACTATAGTTTTGTTATATATTTTGAAGTCAGGTAGTATAGTGCCTCAAGCTTTGTTCTTTTTGCTTAAGACTTTTGGATATTCAGGGTCTTTGTGACTATGTGAGTTTTAGAATTTTTTTTTTTTTTACTCCTGTGAAAAATGTCATTGGAAGTTTAATAGAGAGCACATTGAATCTGTAGATTGCTTAGGTAGTATGGACATTTTAATAGCATTAATTCTTCTAATCTATAAACATGGGATATTTTCCCATTTGTTTAAGTCTTCTTCGATTTCATTCATCAATGTTTAAGTTTTCTGTGTACAGATCTTTTATCTCTTTGGTTAATTTTTTTCCCCATTTTATGATGTTATTGTTTAAAGGCTTAAAACAAGAGGCAGTAAAACCACTGGAAGAAAATATAGGAGAAAACGCTTCTCAACATTGGTCTTGAGAAGAATATTTTGAATATTACCCCAAAAATATAGACAGCAAGGGCAAAAATAAATGGGATTTCATCAAACTACAAAACTTCTGCACACCAAAGGAAACAATTAATGGCATAAAGAAACAACCTACATAATAGGAGAAAATATATGCAAACCATACATCTGATGGGGGTGAATATCCAAAATATATAAGGAACTCAAATGACTCAATAGCAAGAAAGCAAATAATCCAATTGAAAATGGGCAAATAACTTGAATAGATTAAAAGAAGACATACAAATGGTCAACAGATATACAAAAAAAGTGTTCAACATTACTAATCATCAGGAAAATGCAAATTAAAACCATAATGAGAGATCACCTCACACTTCTTAGAATAGCTATTACCAAAAAGACGAAGATCAGTGTTAGAGAGGATGTAAGGAAAAAGAACCCTGTACACTATTGGTGGGAATGTAAACTGGTACAGCCATTATGGAAAACAGTATGTCAACTTCTTAAAAAATTAGAATTAGAACTTCTAATGGACCCAGAAATCCCACTTCTAAGAATATTTCCAAAGGAAATGTAATCAGTGTGTGAAAAAGATGTATGTACCCCATATTCACTGTAGCATTATTCACAATAGTCAAGATATGGGATCAACTTAAGTGTCCATGAAGGGATGAATGTCTAAAGAAAATTTGGCATATATATAATGGAATTCTACTTAGCCTTAAAAAAGAAGGAAATCCTGTCATTTATAAGAACATAGATGAAACTGGAGAACATTATGCTAACTAAAATAAGTTTGGCAAAGAAAGACAAATAGTGCATGAACTTATATGTAGAATCTACAAAAAAGTTGAACCTAGAAGCAGAGAATAGAATGGCGGTTACCAGTATCTGGGATGGGATTTAAGGAATGGCAAGATGTTTGTCAAAGGGTACAAAATTACAGTTTGATGGAATGAATAACTTCTGGGGATCTATTATACAGTGTGGTTAATATAGTTGGTAGAAAAGTATTGTATACTTGAAAATTGCTAAGAGACAAGATCAAATGTTCTCACCAAAAACAATAATGAGTATATATTTGGACAGATATGTTAATTAGATTGATTTAATAATTTCATAATGTATACATATATCAAAACACCATATCAGACACCATAAATAGATACAATTTTTGCTTTTCACTTAAACCTTAAAATCTGGAAAGAAGTTTCTAAAAGAAGCATCTAAACTGGCCGGATATGGTGGCTCACACTTGTAATCCCAGCACTTTGGGAGGCCAAGACACGCAAATCACCTGAGGTCAGTTTGAGACTAGCCTAGCTAGCATGGCAAAACCTGTCTATACTAAAAATACAAAAATTAACTGGATGTGGTGGCACGCACCTGTATTCCCAGCTACTTGGGGGGCTGAGGTGGGAGGATCACTTGAACCCAGAAGCGGAGGTTGTAGTGAGGCGAGATCATGCCATTGCCCTCCAGCATGAAGGGCTGGAGCGAGAATCCATCTCAAAAAAAAAAGAGAGAGAGGAGAAAAAAAAGCACCTAAATTGGATGCAAGGGAAGCTGAAGGTTAACATCACTTATGTCACAATTGTCTCCTGAACCATTTCTTTTGTTTTCTTCACCCCCGCCGCCACCCCCTGCCCCCGCCTTCCCGAGATGGAGCTTCGCTCTTGTCGGCCAGGCTGGAGTGCAGTGGCGCCATCTTGGCTCACTGCAATCTCTGTCTCCCGGGTTCAAGTGATTCTCCTGCCTCAGTCTCCCAAGTAGCTGGGATTACAAGTATCTGCCACTATACCTGGTTAATTTTTGTATTTTTAGTAGAGACGGGATTTTGCTATGTTAGCCAGGCTGGTCTTGAACTCCTGATCTCAGATCATCCACCTGCCTTGGCCTCCCAAAGTGTTGGGATTACAAGTGTGCTCCTAAACCACTTATATGAACTCACCTTGAAGGTATACTATCTATTAAGTACCATAGAATATCTTCTTATTTTTAGAAAGGGTTTCAAAAAGAAAATTCAGTAATTTCAAGAGAGAAACTATATCAGAAAAATATTTATTAATAATAAATATAAAACATACCATTTATTTAGTTTCTACTATGTATTAGGGACTAAAATAATGTCTCCTGTGGCCATTATTCCTTTAAATTAATTCAAAGACACTGATATTTTGAAGTTGTAAGATTTAACTAATTTTCATTCTACTTTACTGATGCTTCAAAGACTTAGAATGGTGTGTTACTAATTTTCTCAATGTCTGAACATAACTGGGACGAATCTGGGTTTCAAGTCCCGTTTGATTTAAATGTCTGCCCTGAACACTACCATATTATTTATAAGGAACATACTGGTTATGACCATTATGAATCTGGACTAGAGTTTGTGAACAGCAACTGAATAAGAGGTTTATGTTGTGCTGCCACTGAGAACCAGAAAAGGTTTTCTGTTATGTTTTTCATTAAAATGGTCTATTTTGCTTTGAATTCTGAAGGAAAATGTGGTTTTCACAGAACTACTGTGACACACACACACAGTTGCACACACACAAATGCATATGAATATACCACTGAAGTTACCTCAGCAACTTTACATCAATTTTCTTTAACCTTAGAAAAAGCCTTGAGAAAGATCTGAAATAGACAGTGCAGCAGGACCTCTAAAGAAAGGCAAATCAAATAAACACTGTGAAATTGCAAAACGAACAAAGAAACAAACAACAACAATAGCAAAGAAACCCGAAACAATGTGAGTTGGCCTGCACAGGACCGGCTGCTGCAATATTTTCTTGCAAGTAAATATCGCAAAGATTCTTTCAATTCTGTTTGCCATTAAGCATATTTGGGCAGGTATCAACCTAATTCAATTTATTACTCTGTAAATAATATTCTTACAGAAAGGGAAGACAAAACTAAATCATTAATGATTTCTAAGATTACTCTCTGGACACGTTATGTAAAAGATGCTAAGTTGGTCCCTAGATCAAATATCGATTAATCTTAAATCTAATTTTAATCTGATTTATGGTGAAGTTCAATAGATCTGGCCCTTTTCAAATTACCTACATTTATAGGCAGTGTACATCTATGTAAGACTTTTGTATGAGTCTTCCATTTGGACTTTCTTTTTTTTTTTTTTTTTTTTTTTTTTTACTTATTACTAAGCTTCATTTTAAAGTACTTGCTTCAGACAGCTGTGGTAGAATCTACTCTATTGTCAGTGACATCTCTTTTAGTGGTTACCCTCAGAGGATGCAGATTCCATGCCTCTGAGTCTGTCCTGTGAAAAGAGAACTAGATTAAAATAAAATTTGTGGCAGAGCCAAGCTTGTTTCATCTTTGACTCTTCTTCTGTTATTAAGAAGTCTCAAACATGATTCTCTGCACTAAAAGGACATCACTTTTGATTTCAAACACCTTAACTTTCTAGTGACTTTTTACCCTGGCAGATATAAGAAAACACAGAAGAAATCTCTCGTTAAAGGTGGCAAAAATGTTAAAAATGGTAAAACCAGTGCTCATTTATTAAATGATGTAATGTAGTGTACAAGGAAAAATTTTCTGTTAATTCTACAGCCACACATTTTAAAATTGGCATATCTATCTTATATTGCACATATAATTTGTATTTCAGATAAAAGTACATATTTGTCAACTGGCTTAGAAAAAACAGAACTGAGGTTGAGGAACTAAAAATATAGAGATATAAAGAGTATACCCTGAGCCTTAATGCTAGTTGTAACTATTAAGAGCTTTTTGCTATGGCAAACAATGTGAATGTTGACATAAATGTGTTTGTGGTAATTGTGTAACCCTAGGAAAATTACTGCTGATTTTCTTAGACAGCTATAGAAACTCAACACTCCTAAATGAAATGCAATAACAGGAAGTGTCTGACCCAATAACTAAAGAAGCAAGTACTTAATTACAAGGTATTTGGAAAACTGAATGTCAGGCAACTCTCCTGTTACAGATTGGTTATATTTGGCAAATTTAAAAGGCAAATGGATAGCCCTTTCTTATCAGCGAGTCATATGTGCAGTATGGTGTGGGATTCATGTGACAGTGGAACGCCTATAGACTCTGGAGACAGATAAGTTACTTTGGAGATTTGTGGAGAATTTTATAAATGGATTACTTGCAAAGAGGTGGACAGAATTTAGGAAAGCCAACAAGGGATGGTTTAGTATTCCTGGACTCACAACAGGTAGGAACCCTTACCCTATGTCCGAAGGAGCAGGGAAGGAGCAATTGCCCAAATTCTGAGAGGGCTGCCTGACAGGTAGTCTGCAACAGAGGGACACAGATGATCCACAGTGACCCAGCAGGAAGAATAAATACATAAACCTTACTGTTCCATCGTTGGCCCTCAAATTATCTGCTTGTCCTCCACTGGAAAAACCTAAGAGAAGAGGGTAAGGAAATACACTGATGTGGGTCGTTAAGGTCACCTCTAAGGCAAGGCGGAGGAGGACAGAAGCCCAGGAAGGGGTTCAGAGAAGGCAGTGGAGTAGACCCAGCACATATACCACGTTTGTGGACATTAGATCACCAAAGAGAAATTATTTCATTATTTAACTTCAATGACATATATATCTCTACTTTTCAATTCTTTGCAGCTCCCTTTTTAACTTTACAAAATTAGGAAAGAGATGTTACTGAATCAACCACGTTTTCCTTTTCAGCTCTGTTGCCAATAGGAAACCTCTAGGTAAAATTTATGATCAATAACATTAACTATATTAGCAATAACTATAATTGATTTCATTTGTTTCCTGTTCCTCTTCATGTCTTTATTTTATTTCTTGACAATTTTCATAGCTTAACTGCATTTTTAACTATTGGCTATATACGCATACTGACTGAATTCAAATTCAACTCTACTGCTTGTTAGCTGTGTGAACTTGGACAAATGACTTATATTTGCTAAGTATTAGTTTGCTCATATGAAAAATGGAGATATTTTTATATGTCTTAGGATTTGTCAATAAATATGGGAGAAACTCAATAAATTTTATTTGCAATTATTGTTTATCTGGGAAATGATATGAGTAATTCATAAGTAATTAATAATTGATATGAACTGTTAATTTGTGTAAATAATCATACATTATGAAATAACCACACTTTCTTAATCTGAACTCAGAAGTAATATTTTCCTCACAATATTGTTGTGAATATGAAATGAGATAAAACATTGAAAGGTTTTTTGTGATATATAATGCACACATACACACTTGATTCTATTTTTATTGGCAGTAATAGACCGTTCTCCTTTGGTAACAAGTTCTCTCCAGTGGGAGAAGTAGGCTAGTTGAGCTTTAATCACATCTCAAATGGCCCAACAATGTGTGTCTTGTGGCTAAAATACTACCAGAAGGGGGAGTGCAGTCAGTTCCTACCTTTTTTTTAAGCATTTGCTATAGGAAGTGAGAAATTTGAGTGAAAAAGAGGGACTGACTTAGGTGTATTTCTTTGCAGAACGAGAATAAAAACTGTAATAAGGAAATAAGGAGAAAGTTTTATAAATGTACTTATCCATAGTTTTTTTAAATAGTTAGAACTCAGAAAAGTAAGGTACTTTTCCAAGGTTATATTTTAAGTGATTAGGCCAGCAAGGAAAATGATAAAGGACAACCCAAGAAACAACAGAATAACAAGGGCATTTCTCTGGCATAGATTAAAGTCCAGTTGCAAAACACTTATGATTTACTATTCTTCCTTAATGGAAGTATTAAAATATGTATATGTTATTTATAATGTATACAAAGCTATATGGTTTGTAATCTCTAAAGAGAATCCATGTATTTTAGAAGAACAAAATCCTGGGTTAAATCAATCTACTGAAATACCCTTTCTTTATGATTTATACTGGTAAATATGTAAACCTATGAAAAATATCTTGGCACATCTTTAAAATATAATAAAGTTTTAAGTATCTGTGTGTGTGTGTGTGTCTGTGTGTGTACAATCACAATGCTGACCACTCCACATATTTTTTTTTAACATGGGGAAGATTTGGTAATTTGTGTAACGTAGATGGGTATGGAATATGAATCTAGAATTGTCTTGCAGTTTGGAGCCCTTTAATATATTTATATGCAGTTTGCCCTATGAAAGCTTCATGGAGTGGTAGAATTACAATGAAACAGTTTCAGGAGTTCTTGGTTATAGTCCCAGTGCAGTTGTAGATGAACACTGTGACCTTGGTCAAAGTCATTTAACCTCTCTGGATCTGTTTATTCATCTCTGAAACCTTGAGACGGAACTCTTTGCTCTCTAAGGTCCTGATGAGAGGTAAAATTTTATGATTCTCTATGAGTTGATTATTGAGGTCTTTGTGGTCAAGTTTGCATTCTTCATTGTTTAAGGCAGCAACGAAATGAACTGGAATAACTTATTCTCCAAAATTAGAATATTCTGCAACTTACTAGAAATGGATAAAAATATTTCAAGGATAATAATGATCACATTACTTGGTCTAGGCACAAAACTAAAAAATTCAAAACAAAGCCTATTTACCATCTCTTTAAGTGCTTCCCTTGTTCAAAAACAAATCAAGACAGAGACTCGTTATTCCCTGTAGCTCAAAGCTACATAACACTGTGGGTGCTTTGGTTAACGCCTTTGCTGTGGTCTGACATCCTCTTCGGATCTGCTACTGGTCCTTGTCAGTGCCAGTGACAAAGCCTGGTTTCTCTTTCATACACAAAGTGCAAAGTGGATTTAAGAGAAAGGCAGGACAGTGTCTTTTCTGTTGCTTAGATTTTTTTTTTTTTTTGTCACACATTGTATCTCACCTCTCTATTCTGAGGTCACTGGTCTGTATTCCCTCATAGATTAATTCCCTCATAGATGTTGTGGGGTGGCAGGAGTGGGGAGGGATAGCATTAGGAGATATACCTAATGCTAAATGACGAGTTAATGGGTGCAGCACACCAACATGGCACAAGTATACATATGTAACAAACCTGCATGTTGTTCACATGTACCCTAAGACTTAAAGTATAATAATAATAATAATAATAATAATAATAATAATAATAATAATAAAGGACATCATATCCCCAGGACCTGTCTTAAACAGAATAGCACAGGAGACAAAGACTGTCTTTGGGAAATTTTAACCTCCCTTTTCAGAACCATCATCAAGTGCCTAGCTCATGCCCCATTCTCTCCAGGCTAGATTTCAATACTATATTATCTGTTAGCTGGTAAGTATTTAAGAGCATGCCCGCTCAAGGGGGTTTGCCTTATGATAGTGCAATATAATGGTAAAAAATCTTGAGAACCAAAGGAATTAGGGCTGTAAATGTTAAACAGAAATGAGTGCCATTTACAAAAACAAGCCTCCCTGGGACAAGGAAAATAGTTAAAAGTCACTGTAAATATATGAATTCCCACATGTAGATCCATTTGGTATTATAAACAGATAGATTGGGCAGGTAATACGGTATATTGGAAAAAGCAGACCTATATTTAAATTTTAGCCCTCAGCAAGGTTATTTCCCTTCCCTCAGCCCAAATTCTCTAATCAAAAAAATGGAAATTGTATAACTCCATGCGGGCTTTCTATGAAGTGTAATTGAAATGATTTATTTAGAGTCTCTGGCACAATTACCTTGAAACTCCTAAGTATTTCCTAAATATTAGTTATTTTCCTCTTAGAAACTATTGTGTAAAATAAAAAGCTGGTCATTTGCATGTTTCACATAATATTAACCACAATTAACGGTGGCATAACAATTTTTTTTTTAACTAAGCAATCTGGAAGTAGGTAGATGCTGGCATCCGTTCACAAGGTCAATGATATCAGGGTTAGCCTCTGCTGTTCTTTTGTCTTTCCGCTCCTGCTTACACAATGACTGCGGTTTTTTTCTGGGCATCACATCTATATTCAAGATGCTAAAGATAAAATGATAAATCTTTTGTTAGGAAATAATAAGGACTTCTAAAAGTCCAACATCAGAATTTCCTTTAATTTTATTGGGCACAGTGGGCCATGTGACTAGGTCTAGCTGCAAGAGAGGCTGGGAAGCAAAGAACAAGAAACCATTCTAGAATTAAACCAATAATGATCCATTGTCTGGGGCCAATATAAACTCCATTCTGAAAAGAGGTTTCATCTTCCTGTCAGAATGGAGAACTAGCATGTCCTGCTGGAACCTTCTCTACAAAGCAAATATATGGAAATAAAGGAGAACATGGATCTTAGGAACTTACAAAAAAATGAGAAATCCTTGGGAAGACAGAAGGCTATCATGAACTGTTGTGGGTCTGTGTGACTCTTTGTGGAGGGATAGCTGCAGCCAGGCACTGATGGTAACTAAAAGTGGCAGCAAGGGATTAAGTTAGAGGAACACTCTCTATTTCCACTTTCCCCCTTTCTTGCATTGCCTTGGATTATCATGTCCTCCTCGTCAGTGAGAGAAATAAAAAACTACAACAGGTTTTGGATGGGCAATGACTGAGACGTCAAAAGCCCAGCTGCAGAGAGGAAAACAGGTACATGCTGATCTTCTCCCCCTACAACACCCAGGAAACTTGGATGACAACCTACGAAAATGTTCTCTGCTAGAGCTGTAGATTTCTACAAGCTAAAATCAGAAGAGTTTCTTGGTAGAGAAGCATCATATAGGAGTTGTTGATTTGTCCTGTTTTGGCAGATTGTGTCTTTCAAGAAATCACTTCATTGCTTGTAGGTTATCAAATTTGTGAGTTATTTATTGTTTTCCTGTATTATCTTTTTATTATTGTTTTGTTATTTATTATTTTATTTATTTATTTGTATTGTTAATTTATTTTATTGTTTCCTGTATTATTTTTTTAATGACTATGGCATCTATAGTGATATGCTCTCTTTCATTGCTGGTATTATTAATTTGTTTGCTTTCTCTTTTTCTAGTTAGCCTGGCTAGAGTCTTAATGATTTTATTGATCTTTTAAAGGCAAGCTTTTGATTTTGTTGACTTTTTTCTATTGACTCCCTGTTTTCAAATTCATTGACTTCTGTTCTAACTTTTATTCTTTCTTTTCTTTTACCTACTTTAAACTGAATTTGCTCTTTTTTTCCTAGTTTCTTATGTGGATGCTTAGATAATTGATTGTAGATCTCTCTTATTTTCTAATATATACATTCAATGCTATAAAACCCCAATTAAGATCTGTTTTTGCTGGCCAGGCGCGGTGGCTCACACCTGTAATCCCAGCACTTTGGGAGGCCGAGGCGAGTGGATCACAAGGTCAGGAGTTCGAGACCAGCCTGGCCAAGATGGTGAAACCCCGTCTCTACTAAAAATAAAAAATTAGCCGGGCATGGTGGCAGACGCCTGTAGTCCCAGCTACTCAGAGGCTGAGGCAGGAGAATTCCTTGAACCTGGGAGGCAGAGGTTGCAGTGAGCCGAGATCGTGCCACTGCACTCTAGCCTGGGTGACAGAGCAAGACTCCATCTCAAAAAAAAAAAAAAGATCTGTTTTTGCTGCATTCCACAAATTTTGACAAGTTGTGTTTTCATATATATATTGTTCAAAATACTTTTGAATTTATCATGATATTTCTTATTTAACCTATGTGTTATTGAAAAGTGTGTTGTTCATTCTCCATGTGTTTTGGGATTTTCCAGTTATCTTTCTGTTATTGATTTGTAGTTTAATTTCATTGTGGTTTGAAAGCACACATTGTATGATTTCTATTCTTTTAAATTTCTTAAGGCATGTTTTACAACCCCAAATGTGGCCTGCCTTGCTGAATATTCCATGTGAGCCTGAGAAGAAGGTGCGGTCAGCTGTTGGTGGATAAAGTAGACTACAAATATCCGTTATATCCAGTTGATTGATGATTGTGTTATGTTCAACTACGTCCTAACTGATCTTCTGCCTTCTGGATCTGTTCATTTCTGACAGAGGAGTGTTGAATTCTTCAACTATAATATTGGATTCATCTATTTCTCCTTGCAGTTCTGTCAATTTTTGCCTCACCTATTTTTATGCCCTGTTGTTAGACATATACACATTAAAGATTGTTATGTCCTCTTGGAGAATGAATCGTTTATCACAATGTAATAATGTTTTTAAAATTTCCATTTTAGATTCAGGGGTACATGTGCAGGTTTGTAATACAGGTAAATTTTGTGCCACAGAGATTTGGTGTACAGATTTTCTGTCACCTAGACAATATGCATAGTACCCAACTGGTAGTTTTTTGATCCTCTCCCTCCTTCCGTGCTCCACACTCAAGTAAGCCCTGGTGTTTCTTGTTTCCTTCTTTGTGTCCATGTGTCCTCAATGTGTAGCTCCCACTTACAAAGGACAGAATGTGATACTTGGTTTTCTGTTCCTGTGTTAGTTGGCTAAGTCCACCAGCTCCATTCATGTTGCTGCAAAGAACATGACTTTGTTCTTTTTTTATGGCGGCATAGCATTACATGGTGTATATGTACTGCATTTTCCTTATCCAGTCTACCATGGGCATTTAAGTTGATTTCATTTCTTTGTTGTGAATAGTGCTGCAATGAACATATGATATGCCTGTATGTGTCTTTATAGCAGAATGATTTATATTGCATTTGGGTATATAACTAATAATGCGATTGCCGGGTTGAATGGTAATTCTGTTTTCAGTTATTTGAGAAATCACCACACAGCTTTCAACAATGACTAAACTAATTTACGTTTCTACCAGCAGTGTATAAGTGCTCCCTTTTCTATGCTTGCTAGCATCTGTTGTTTTTTTTGAATTTTTAATAATAACCATTTTAACTGGTGTAAGATGGCATCTTAATGTGGTTTTGATTTGCATTTCTCTAATGATTAGTGATGTTGAGCATTTTTTTCATATGCTTCTTGGCCACATGTATGTCTTCTTTTGGAAAGTATCTGTTCATGTCCTTTGCTCACTTTTTAATAGAGTTGTTTTTTGCTTGTCAATTTGTTCAAGTTCCTTATAGAATCTGGACATTAGACCTTTGTCAGATGCATAGTTTTCAAATATTTTCTCCCATTCTGTAGGTTGTCTATTTACTCTGTTTGGTAGTTTCTTTTGCTGTGCCGAAGATTTTTAGTTTAATTAGGTTACATTTAGTCAAGTTTTGTTTGTGTTGCAATTGGTTTTGGTATCTTTGTCAAGAAGTCTTTGCCAGAGACTATGTTCAAAATAGTATTTTCTACATTATCTTCCAGGGTTTTTATAGTTTTAGGTTTTATATTGAATTCTTTAGTACATGTTGAATTGATTTTTGTATATGGTGTAAGGAAGGGGTCCAGTTTCAGTCTTCTGTATATGGCTAGCCAGTTATCTCAGCACCACTTATTGAATAGAAAGTCTTTTCCCCATTGCTTGTTTTTGTCATCTTTGTGAAAGATTAAATTATTGTAAATGTGTGACATTATTTCTGGGCTCTCTATTCGATTATAGCTCTATATGTCTATTTTTGTAAGTTTTCTTGCTTTGAAGTTTGCTCTACCTGAATTAATATAGCTACACCCACTTTCTTTTGATAAGTGTTAGTATGATATATCTTTCTCTATCTATTTACTTTTAGTCTATATGTATCTTTTCCATTAAAGTGAGTTTTTTGTAGACAACATGTATATGAGTCTTGTTTTTGAACCACTCTAATAGTCTGTCTTTTAACTGGTATATTTAGACCATTGCTATTAAAAGGTATTATTGATATAGTTATACAATATACAATATCTAATATCTATAATATTTGTTACTTTTTCTATTTGTTCTACTTCTCTTCCTTTCACTCTTTTTCTGCCTTTTGTGGTTTTAATTGAGCATTTTTTATGATTAAATTTTCTCTTCTTTCTTAGAGTGTTAGTTATATATCTTTTATTACTTTTTAGTGGCAGCTCTAGAATTTGTGATACACACTTACAATCCAGTTACACTTTTCAATAACACTATGCCATTTCACAGGTATTGTAAGTACCTTGTAATAACAAAATAATTCTAATTTCTACCTCCTATCCCTTCTATCATTTCTGCCATTCTTTTCACCTGTATATAAACATATATAAACATGAATATCTACATGTATAAGATATATACATAAGCATACATAATCAAATACATTGTTGCTATTATTATTTTGAATAAATGTATCTGGCAGATTAAGAATGAGATGAGAAATTTTATTTTACCTTCCCTTATTCCATCTTTCATGCTCCTCCTTTAGTTATGCAGATCTGTATTTCTGATAATTTCCCTTCTTTCTAAAAAATTACTTTTAGCATTTCTTGCAAGACAGGTATATTGGCAAAACATTTTTTCAATTTAGTTTTTGTTTATCTGAGAAAGTATTTTATAAGATATAAAATTCTAGGCAGATATTTTTGCTTTTTCTTTCAACACTTTAATGATTTAACTTCACTATCTTACATGGATTTGAACGAGAAGTTAGATATAATTCTTACCTCTGTTCCTCTATAGTAAGATGTGATTTCCTTCTAGATTTTTTAAAGATTTTTTTTAAAAACCTTAGATTATAGTTTGAATATAATATATCTGGATGTAGTTTATTTTTATTTTATTTTACTTTGCATTTATCATATTTAGTGTTCTCTGATTTTCCCAGATTTGTGGTTTGTTGTCTGACATTAACTTGGGAAATTGTCAGGCATCATTGTTTCAATATTTCTTCTGTTTCTTTTTTTTTTTTTCTCTTTCTCGTATTTCCATTACATATGTGCTTCACTTTTTGCAGGTGCCCACAGTTCTTGGATATTAAAGTTTAGGGAAATCTTTTTTCCCTTTACTTTTCAGCTTTGGAAGTTTACATTAAGATATCCATAAGGTCAGTAATTCTTTGTTCAGCCATATCCAGTATAATAATTTTTTTTAATAAGAAAAAAGAAACTAAGCAATTGTGATAGGCAAAAGGAACTTTGCAGATGTGATTAAATTAGATTAATGAGATGGAAGATTATTCTTGATTGTCTTGGTGAGTCCAAATGTGAAAAGAGAAGCAGAGAGAGATTTTGAAGAGGCTATTCTCTGGCTTTGAAGATAGTGGAAGGGACCATGAGCCAAGAATTACAAGGAATGCAGCTCTCTTATTGCCCATATGAGTTCTTCGTGCCCACTGCCCAGAAAAATCTGGGCAGAAAAGTCTGAGATAGTAGAAGTTGCAGCAGAGAAAGAGTTTAATAATTGCAGGATGACAAAGAAAGGAGGAGGGGAAATATTTCTCAAATCCACCTTCTTTAGAATTCAAAGGCAAGGATTTTTCCAGGATGATTTGACAGGCAGGGAGCTAGGGAATGGGGAATGGGGAATGCTGATTTGTTGGGTTGGGGATGAAATCATCAAGGCGTTGAAACTTTCTTGTGTGCTGAGTCAGTTCCTGGATGGAAGTCAGGAATCTGTTGAGTCAATTTCTTGGGATGGGTTCCTGGTCCAGATGGTACCAGTTGGTTCACCAGAATGCAAGGTCTGAAAAATTCTCAAACACCAGTCTTAGGTTTTACAATAGTAATGTTATCTATAGGGGCAACTGAGGAAATTGTAAATCTCGTGACCACTGGCTACATGACTCCTGAGCAGCAGGCACTTACAAATAGGCAAGTTATAAAACATTGATTTGTTAGAGTTAACTGTACCTACATCTTAGCAGAAGAAACAATGACTTGTAAGAGTTAAACTATGCCTACATCTCAGCAGAATTTAGGCCCCTACCATAATTTTAACTTCGTGGCCTTTCATTACCTTTACAAAGGCAGTTTTGGTTCCTGAACAAGAAGATTAGTTTTGGGAAGGAGCTATTCTCATTCTTGCTTTAAAGTTAAACTCGAAAACAAATTCCTCCCATAGTTAGCTTGACCTGCATGTAGGAATGAGCAAAGCAGAAACAGCTTGTCAATTTAGAAGAAAATGGCTAGCTATGTTAGATTTCTTTCTTTGTTATAATTTTGTAAAGGTCGTTTCAGCTCTAGAAGCTGAAACAAGACAGAAAACAGATTCAGCCCTCAGAGTGAGTAAGGCCCTATACGTTTTGGTTTTGGCCAAGTGAAACACATTTCAGACTTCTGATCTTCAGAACTTTAAAATAATTAATTTGTGTTTTAAGCCACTAAGTTTGTGGTAATTTCTCATAGGAGCCATAGGAAACTGACACACATTTATAGAGGATCAAGAACATTAACATCTTGAAATTACAAATCCCAGAGGGAAGTAAGGGGAAAGGATAGAGAATATTTGTAAAAATAAGAAGTATTCTTCAAAATAATGGAGAAACATTTGTCATATATATATACATACGAAATAATTCATAAAATGAACATATAAGACAGAGGAATACCCATACTGAAATGGTAAAAAAATAGAGCATATATACACTTATTTAAAACTTTCATTTAAATTCCTAAGAAATCATTATTCTACAGATTTCCCTCTCTATCTGAAGTACAGTAAAATTAGAAATTAACATTTAAATGGTAGCTTTAAAAATGTTTCATATTTGAAGACAATTTAGTATGTTACTAAATAATCCTTAGGTTAGAAAAAAGTCATAAAGAACTTTTAAAAATTAAAAATACTCATAATTGATATTTTAAAAACTATATGTCACATTCTATGTGACACAACTAAAATAATCCTTACATGGACATAATGACCCTAAATATATTTAAAATATGTATTTAAACTATCTAAATAGATGACTTAAACAAATGGGTTAAGCATTAAACAAAATAAATTAGAGAAAAAAGCAACGGAGGAA
The DNA here is from genome assembly GCF_000001405.40 of Homo sapiens. NCBI lineage: Eukaryota > Metazoa > Chordata > Mammalia > Primates > Hominidae > Homo > Homo sapiens. The sequence continues at coordinate 106,525,463 of NC_000001.11, read as the reverse complement.
ACCCAAAGTAATATGATGGAAAGAAAGAATAAAGATAAAATCTGAAATCAATGAAATAAGCAGGAGAAAACAATTAAACAAACCAAAAACAGGTTCTGCATAAAGACAATTATCTCTTTGACAAGACTAAATTAGAAAAAAATAGAAGAGTTGCAAATAAACAAAATACATACAAAATGAAGTCTATCTTAAAACAAAATATTTAAAAGCAAAATTATGAACTATGCAATAATAATTTTAGATCTCATGGGACTAATATAATTTGATTCCAAGAACCAGATAGCAGTAATACAAAAAATGAATGTATAGCTTCACGTTTTAAGAAAACAACAAAAATTCTAGATAATATATACGCTAAGAGAATCTAGCTATGCATTAAGAATTAAAATACCGTCATTTTCCTTGGTTTCTTCAAGAAGCAGACATATTTGTCAGAGGCATTTGAACCAGAGCAACTCTATCTTGAATAGGGGCTTGGTAAAATAAGGCAGCACCCTACTGCGCTGCATTCCCAGACAGTTAGGCATTCTAAATCACAGGATGAGATAGGAGGTCAGCACAAGATACAGGTCTTAAAAACTTTGCTGATAAAACAGCTTGCAGTAAAGAAGCCAACCAAATTCAAGATGGCCACAAGAGTGACTTCTGGTCGTCCTCACTGTTACATTCCTACCAAAGCCATGACAGTTTACAAATGCCATGGCAATGTCAGGAAGTTACCGTATATGGTCTCAAAAGGGGAGGGAATGAATAATCCACCCCTTGTTTAGCATATAAGCAATAAATAACCATAAAAACAAGCAATCAGCAGCCCTCAGGGCTGCTCTGCCTATGGAGTAGCCATTCTTTTATTCCTTTACTTTCTTAATAAACTTGCGTTCAGCTTACTCTATGGACTCACCTTGAACTCTTTCTTGTGCAAGATCCAAGTACCCTTCTTTGGGGTCTGGATCAGGATCTCCTTCCAGTAACAAATTCACAAGCAAGCAGGATATTTAAAATGTGAATCCAGAAAGCATTGGTAGAGAAGTGAGAAAGAGATTAAGAGAAGGCTGTTAAAGAGTTCATTAGCCAGGAAGTCACCACTGTGGGCAAGTGATGTTATTTCATGGGGAAGTTCTAGGACCTCGAGTAGTACATGAGTGTAAACTCACCTAAGTAGCATGGGACTTTTGTTTATAAATGAATCTGCATCATTTTTTTGGTTGAGGGTTGCTCTTTATAATTATGATGCTACCAAATAAATCAGTATTTCATAGTATTAAATGTTCCCTGAAGTAGTCTCAATCAGTTAATACAATTTAAACTGTAGTGTTCTTTGAGATATATTATTTAAAGCAAAATCCTGCTTTTCCTGTATACAAAAAGGTATGCAAAATACGTGAACTAAGAATGCTTTCTTCCGTTTCCAACATGATTTTCCTGTGTAATGTAATTAAATCTTTGAATTTTCTGAGGAATTTTATTTCTGAAGAAAAATGGCTATTGGCTTTTCATAGAAGAATATTGCCTGTTCATTTCTTAAAATAAAAAGTTAAAGTGTCTTCTTCACATTTTTACTCCTTCTTTCAAGTGAAATTTGGATTAAGGGTGAGACGTTAAAGAGAAGATGTCTTTCCTGAACACACACGCACACACAATGCAGTCTTTGAATTAGACTGCTGAAATGTTCTCTTCTTATGGAGATTGCTTATGGCTAGGTCTATTTTCCCTGCAATGCCTCATTAGCTCTGAACACATTTTTCCCTAGATAAATGTAAAAGCTCATCCTCATTAGACTTCACTGGGGTGGTCTGAATTATTTGATCCATTCAGAAAACAGATAGAAAAAAGACTACCCTGCAGGGAGCGGCGGTGGGGGGTGGCTAGCATGAATGATAGTGAGCATTAGCATTGTGATTTTAAGCTTTGGGTAAAGCTACATGAAATTTTCGAAAATCTGACGCCAACACCAGGCAATAAATAGCATTCTCAAGCAGAGAAAGCATTCTTTCTCTTGCATTTTATTAAGTACTTTTGTAACTGTAATACTTTTTCATCTTCCCTGGAATCATTTTGCTCCTGACACCATTTTATCGCACCAAATCACTTAAAACAAAGCTGAGTTATTTCATGGTAAAGGGACTTGGATGTGCATTATTGCATTTTAGGATGTACCCTTCTCCAACTGTACTACCAATATCCTTCATGAACTTTTCTTCTTACCACTCCTATTGCAAAAACTTCAGTCTATCCTTTATGCTGTGAAAGGAAAATTAATAACTAAGCTAAAGGGAAAAGTCAACTATGGAACTGCTTAGAGCAAACCTGCCTCTCATTCTACTCAAAGTTTATTCCTCTGCTTACTGAGATAAATGCATATCTGATTGCCTCCTTTGGAAAGTCTAACCAAAAACTCAAAAGGATGCAAATATTTGTCTCTTATCTACCTATGACCTGGAAGCCCCCTCCCTACTTGGAGTTTTTCCGCCTTTGCTTTGAGTTGTCCCTCCTTTCCGGACCAAACCAATGTTCTTTATTTTTTGAAATAAAGTCTCACTCTGTCGCCCAGTCTGGAGTGCCGTGACGGCATCGTGATCTCTGCTCACTACAACCTCCACCTCCCGGGTTCCAGCGATTTTCAAGCCTCAGCCTTCCAAGTCACTGGGATTATAAGCTATCACACCCGGTTAAATTTTGTATTTTTAGTAGAGATGAGGTTTGCCATGTTAGCCAGGCTAGTCTCAAACTCCTGACCTCAAGTGATCCACTTGCCTTGGCCTCCCAAAGTGCTGGGATTACAGATGTGAGCCACTGCACCAGGCTCCGATGTTTGTTCATCTTACATATATTGATTGATGTCTCATGTCTCCCTAAAATGTCCAAAACCAAGCTGTGCTCAGACCACCTTGGGCAGATGTCTTTCGGACCTCCTGAGGCTGCGTCACAAGCAGGCATCCTTAACTTTGGCAAAATATACTCACTAAGTTGACTAAGACCTGTCTCAAATATTCAGTATTCACAACACAACACCAGTGGCAGAATTTTTCTTTAAAACTGCCCATGTCCGACATCTAATTTAGGTATTTACAAAGTTTCTTGTCTTTTCTTCAAAATAATACCTAAAACATTATCTTTTAGTTTTCTATTCATGAGACTGCATCCATCACATACATGATCTCTACCGGCCATGAAATTGTGTCTCTTTTCATTATAGCATTAAAATCTGGCATATGGTCAGTATAGTGTATAGTTATCGAAAATTATAGTATAAAAATGATTAAATAAATAAAGCGATCTGATCTGCACATCACATGAACATTTTCCTATATAAGTCATGATATAATTTCAAGTTCAAAGTATGACACAGAATTTCTCTTACAAGTAAAATTTATTCTACTTCTCAGACATGTTTCTAGTAAGTCCTTTAACAAAGGCTATGCTCAAATGATACTCAGTTTTCCAGTAGTATATCATTGTTTCTCTTCTCTATGCCTTATCCTAATATTTTATTATGAACATTATCAAATACATAAAAAATTATTAGAAATGTCATTGAACACCTGTGTTACTCCCTACTTAAATTCTACAATCAACATTTTGTTATATATCACAAACTTATCTACCTATCTATCCATCCATCAATCCACCTTATTTTTATACATTTCAAAATGAATAACAGATATCATTATATTTTATCCCTAAACCCTTCAATATGCTTAAACTTATAAGTTAAATGTTTGTGTTTTTCTAGATAAAATTAACAGGGTGAAATGCAAAAATCTCAAGTATGCTAGTCAATAGATTTTTCATATATGTATATATATTTTGCAAAAAAATAATGTGTATATATATATTATATATATATATGTATTATTTAAAACTGTCCATGTAAGACATCTAATCCAGGTGTTTATATATATGTAATATATATGTTATATGTATATATATTTGGCAAAATTAATTAAATAGCATACTTAAGATTTTATATATGGTGATATATATTTTCATATATAAAATCTTTATGCTATTCAATAAATTTGTCAATAAAACATATATGTCTATGTATCTATATATAGTTGTATATATAGATATACAGATAGACATATATGTTTGTATCTGTACCATATATGATAAATAAAATCATATGTACAGTACATATATATTTTTATCTGTGTGTAACTGTGTAACCCAAAATTATTAATATACCAGCCACAAAATTCCCTGATGTCTCTTTCCCAGTCAATCCTAGCTCCCTACCCTGTTAGTTTCAATTACTGTTCTGTTCTTCTTTTTAAAGGCATAATTGTGCTCCTTAGAATTTCATATAAATGAAATAACAACGTATGTTTTCTTTTGTATAAGGCAATTTTCACTCAGAATACTGGCTTTGAGATTCATCCATGTTGCTGCGCATATCAGTAGTTATTTTTATTGCCAGGTTGTATTTTGTTGTATTAATATAACACAACGTTTTCTATTCTGTTGATAGAAACCAGGGCTATTTCTATGTTCTGGATAATATGAATAAAGCTTCTATGAACATTCTTATACAAGCCTTTCTTTTCCCATTAACTTTCATTTATCTTGGGTAAATACCTAGGAACTGTTGGATTAAAAATTAGATGTTTATTTAATTTTATAAGAAAGTGCTGAAACTTTTCCCAAATAACTTGTATAACTATGTACATTCACCAACAATATATTAGAGTTTGAGTTGCTCCATAAGCTTGCTACTATTCAATGCTGTCTGTTTATTTATTTATTTATTTATTGACGTGGAGTCTTGCCCTGTCGCCCAGGCTGGAGTGCAGTGGCATGATCTTGGCTCGCTGCAACCTCCGCCTCCCCCGTTCAAGCGATTCTCCTGCCTCAGCCTCCCAAGTAGCTGGCACTACAGGCACGTGCCACCACACTCGGCTAATTTTTTGTATTTTTAGGAGAGACAGGGTTAGCCACGATGGTCTCCATCTCCCAACCTTGTGATCCACCAGCCTTGGCCTCCCAAAGTGCTGGGATTACAGGCGTGAGCCACCGCTCCCGGCCCGGCCCGTCTTTTAAATTTTTTTTTTTTCATTCAACAGGAATTTATTGAATATGCACTATGTGTCAATTATGATACAAAGAAACTGGGTTTTTACACAGCTTTATATATATATGTGTATGTATAGGTATATATACATGTATATATGTGTGTGTGTATATGTACATACATATATGTACATACACACATATATATACACACACATATATGATTATAAGCATAGAGTCTACAACATTTAAATTCTGCAATTTAATTTACATTTCAATTCTATTCATTTTGGTGTTGTAATATAGCTAGTTCTTAATAAGCCTACCAGTTACAAGTCAGCTTTCTTTTTTTCTGATTATAAAAATTACACACATGTTTTAAATTTTAGTCATTCTGGCTTGTGTGATGTTGATACCTCATTTTGGTTTTAATTTGCATTTCCTTGATGACTACTGATGTTGAGCATTTTTTCCCCATGCTTATTGATTATTTGTGAATCTTCTTTTGTGAAGTGTCTCTTAGTCATTTGTCTTATTATTAATTGAGATGTTTTGTCATTTTATGATTGACTTATAGGAATTATTTACCTATTTTGATATATGCATTGTCAGATATAAGTGTTATGATTATTTTCCACGAGCCTATTTTGCTTTATAAGTTTGTCGAATGCTGTCTTTTTTGATGAAGATTATGTTATTAATGTTTTCCTTTTGTGACTATTGCTTTATGTGCCCTATTAAGAAAAACCATGTTTACCCTCATGTTGCAAACATATTATCTTACGTTTCCACTAAATCTTTTGCTTATATGTTTAGCTGTATGATAGTTTTAAAATTATTTTTTGTGAATGGTGAGGTAAAAGTCTAAGTTCTCTCCTATATGAATACCTTTCTCCACTAAGCTACTTTGACAACTTTGTCAAACACCAAGTGAAAATATACATTGGTCATTTTGAAATTTTGTTGGTAAAGTTGATCTACGTATCTGGTATTTTTTCCATTACCACACTATCTTTATTTTTGTAGCTTTATAGTAAATCTTGAAATCAGGTTGTGTAAATTCTTCTACTATATGCTACCTCTTCATGGTTACTTTGTACATTCTAAGTCATTTGCAGTTTTGAATAAATTTCAGAAATTGTTTCTCCATTTTCCAATATGTTTGTTGAGATTTTTATTAAGATTTCAAAAAGCTATAAATAATTCTCAAAAAATTGGTATCTTAAAAATATTGGTTCTCCCAATTTATACACATGCTATGCCATATGTCTTCATTTATTTAGGTGTCCCTTAATTTTTCTCAGCAGTGATTTGCGATTTCTAGAATATATGTTTTACAGATCATTTATAAACTTATTCCTAAACATTTCATTTTTGATGCTATTGCAAATACGTTTTTAAAATTTTGTTTTTAACTGATTTCTTTTCTTTTCTTCTTCTTTTTTTTTTTTTTGGATGGAGTTTCACTTTTGTTGCCCAAGCTGGAGTGCAACGGTGCGATCTCGGCTCACTGCAACCTCTGCCTCCTGGGTTCAAGCAATTCTCCTGCCTCAATCTGCCAAGTAGCTGGGATTACAGGCATGTGCCACCACGAACTGATTTCTTTTATGTATTTACTTAATTTAAAAATATTTTTATAGAGATGGGATCTTGCTATGTTGCTCAGGCTGGTCTCAGACTCCTGGTTTCAAGCAATCCTCCACCTTGGGCCTCCCAAAGTGGTTCATGCTGAGATTACAGGCATGAACTACTGCTCCTGGCCTGTGTTTTCTAACAGAATATATAATGCAAGTGATATTATATATGTGTATATATATGTGTGTGTGTGTATATATATACATATATATGTATATATATGTATATATACACACTGAACTGACAGCTGTGTCCTTGCTAAACACACTGATTACTTATAGAATTTTTAGATTTCTCAGGGTTTTCTTCATAAAGAATCTTGTCATTAGTCTGAATAGAGAGAGTTTTCTTATTTCTGTCTGATCTTTAGTTTTTGGTCTTTCCTTTATCTTTCTTGCTTTATTGTATAGGCTTAGACCTCCAATGAAATCTTTAATATAAATGATAGGAGTAGATATTCTTGTTTTATTTACACATAAGAGTTATCCTTTCTTTAATCATTATGATTGCTGTAGGCTTTTATAAATGCCCTTAGCATATGAAAGAAGTTTCCTTCTGTTCCTCATTTGCTGATCTTTTAAAATTATTATGAATAGATTCTGAAATTTACTAAATATTTTTCAGTAGCTGTTGATATAATCATACTGTTTTTATCTTCTGTTTTCTTAAAGTGGAAAGTACATTGATTAATTTTTAAATCATAATTCAACCTTTAATTTCAGGAATAAATCTCATTTTGACATGATATGTTATATTTTTAATATATCATTGAGTCTAATTTGCTATTATTTTGTTAGGGAATTTTCCTTCTATGTTCATAAGGAATACTGGTGTGTAATGTTATTTTGTATACTATCTTTGTTAAGTTTTGTTATTTGTGTAAGCTAGCCTCATAGAATGAGTTTAAATATCCCCTGTACTCCAAAATATCCTGTTTCCTGTGTGTATAATGCCTTAATTTTCTTCTCTGCCTAAATAATTCCTACTCATTCTTTATAAAATAATTTTGATGTATCTTCTTTTGCATAGCTTTTCTGACTCTAAACTTAAGCAATCATTCTCTTCTCTGTTTTAAGTTCCTTGGACATCATTCTGCAATAGGATGATGTAATAAAACTCTTTATCTCATAACCTTAGTTGATTACTTAAAGCCAAAAAAGATGTATATTTAATCCAGTCATATCCAAAAACAAGTTGCTGGGTCATCTCTATGTGATTTGTATTTTGAGGCATTCATAAATGCTTCTTTTTCCATTGGCCTACAAATCACCTCTAGGTTACATGAGAAATGCTAAAAATTTACAAGACAGGCTGACAATGAGACTTACTTGGGAGAGTTACGGGTGTGATGCACATTCTTTTCTTTTCTTTCTTTGTTGGTTGGGAAGGGGATCTTAGCACCTCAAACCAACTGAGCAGGAACTTCAAGAGGAATTCAAGAATGCGATGTGTAACCTCAGCAATTTGGGGAAAGCACAGAGATGAGTGCCTGATGCCTTCTGTGATAGTTTTACATGTCAATTTGGCTAGGCTATAATACCCACGTATTTAACCAAATAATAATCTAAGCATTTCTGAGAAGGGATTTTGTATATGTATATGTATACGTATATGTATATATATATATATGTATATGTATATGTATATATATGTATATGTATATGAAATCAATCGACTTTATGTAAAGATTACCCTTCATAATGTGAGAAGAGGCCATTATTGAATGGTTATAGGTCTTTAGAGTGAAGACAGGTTTCCTGAAGAAGAAATTACATATTATCTATATTACATATGATATATACACACCCGCTCACATGTGTATATCTTATTGGTTCCTGTTTCTCTGGAGAATACTGAATAATGCATCTCCATTAAAAAAAAGTAACAGGGCAATTGGAGCCTCAAGGAAAGAGCTATTCCTGGTAAGATCTAACTTCCACAGATTGGGCAAGAATGCTTGACTACTGAATATTGCCATGGATCAAGTAGATGTGAGGAAGGGAGCCTGAATTTGGTAACTATGAAAATAATTATTTCCAAAGGTCCACCTGGAGAGGAAGCATAATTCCACAAGGGGCTGAACTACTTGAAGTCAAAGACAGGAAGTTGTAATAAATGCTCAGCTAGAGAAGGCATCATTATGTTAGAGACATCAGCTAAACCCAATCTAGGAGTTTATAAGGGTTGCTAAGAGTGAACAAAACCACCCCATGAAAGTTAAAATCAACATTTGAGTAGTTGCACTGAGGGCAGATCATAACCCCATCAGTCACTTTGTTCTTTTCTTGAATTCCTTCTGCCGCCTTTGCTCTAAAAAGGAGAATCTAGAAAAAGCAGTAATAAAAAGGAACAAAGCAAGTAAAAGGAGGGGTGAATTCATCACTGTTCCCTTTCTAGGCTTCAAGGCCTTAAATTAGAACTAACTATAGGAGATAAAAGTATTAAATGTAGGTAAAAATGAGAGAATAAAATTATATTTAGATTACTAAGAATTTACAATACATAAAAAATACATTTGTTAATACATATTTTAACTGAGAAAACTATGTTATCTACTATTTTGTCCAAGTTCATGGAAGAATGACTTTTGGGAGCAAAGGTACAGAAGAATAGTATTTAATTTATAAATTCACATGAGAAATTCCAGTTTATTAAGCAACTGGTTATATTTCTATAATAATGAATTTTGTCTAAAAATATATTTGGCTCCACAGAAATATTATTCCTTCAGAAAATATATATTATTAGAAATGATACCATAAAATAATTATAAGTTGAAAAAACTTGATGAGGAGCTCAGAGTTTCAGAGTCCTAAAGTTATTTTTTCTTATAAAAATTTCGATATAAACCTTTTAACAATTAAAATAATATATTTAATGCCAAAGTATTAAATAAACACCAATCATTACTTGATTATTCATCTATTAATTAGGTAAATATATTTGTTTAATAAAACTGATCAAAAGAAATTTAAGACCATTAATTTAATACTTAACATGGTCAGACCAAAATTTATGTTTCTAAATCATCATTCTTAGTTATTATAATAAAACAAAAATGGAAATGTGATTGTTTAAAGAAAAAGTACCTGATTTACACGACAGTTCATAGCCAGCATTTGTAAGGAAAACAAATTAGATGTCAATGAACAGTCACTAACAATGGTTTTGGTATGCTGCATTGCAGATTTCCTCACTTTTAACCAATATTTAACCAGCTGTGTTCCCATTGAATCACTCAGCAAGTACTGCTGAGTGCCCAGTAAGTGCAGCAACTACAGGAAGAAACACAAATGATGAAGTTGGGTTTGTTGAGCTTCTACCCTGAGGGGAAGAGACAGAGAAAAAGAGATATGAGTGTCATGAAGTGCCATTAAAATCGTACACCAGATGAGGACTAGAGCAGGTGGCTTAGTGGTTGCGGGTGAGGTGGAGGAGGAAGTTCTCTCAGGTGAGGTGGCGTTTGAGCAAGGTTCTGAATGAAGTGAGGGAGTATCCAAGGGAGTGCAGTGGGAATAACACGTTTGTTCTCTAGATAGTACTGAACAGATACAAAATCTGGCTGCTCATTTACCTGTATCTGAACGCCAAACCCTTTAGTTTTTCTTTCATTGTTTTTTCTTCTAAACGAGTAGAAACCTTAGTATTTCTAATCTATTCTCGTATTTTTATTATTCATTTTTATTGAAATTATCCCTACATTGGTAGTGCAGATCAATATTTTAATTTGGCTTAAGCTTCAACAATTTTATTTACAAATACAGAGATCTAAAATACCTTCTGGTTAAGTTATTGTGGTTTAATTTCATTCTTAGCAGTCATCACTATAATATCAAATTTTTAATAAATATTTTATTTCCTTATGGCCTGTACTCAACCAAAAACTTATACACTTTGTTCGAATCTGTTTCATATTTTAAAAAATAATGTTTAAAGGAAATTCATAAAGTAAAAATCCAAGCTAAATGTCAGTGATGAGAGAAAAATGTAAAAATTTTCATAACAGGCATAAAATGGTATAGACCTATATTATTAGATTTAACTGTATGTTCCATGTTTCAGATAACTATTTGTGCAATAAATAATTCATATATTTTATTTTTTATGAATTTGTATGGTACTTTTTTTGGCTTATAAATAACTTTAGTAATATACAATGATCTTATTTTAAAGTAAACGAAAATACGGAATACAACTAAAATTATAAGGTACTAATATAATTGCATATTTAATGATTATAAATGCTCGCATGTATTTTTCATTCATTTTCTTTTTTAAAAAGTGTTCTTTCATTCAGTGTATGTAATACCACTCCATCATCTTCTCCAGGGTGAATAAGTATTGTAGTTTCTTGAAACTCTTTTAGGATAGAATATATTACAACAGTACTTTTTCCCAGTGAGTATAATAATCACCTTGTTATTTTACCTTTTAATGCTTCTCCTAACCACGTGGCTTGCCAAAGCTTTTAAACTATTGATCTGTGTGCCAGCTATAACGTTACCATTTCATAACACATGTTGTAGGCTATCCCTATGCATGCATACTTCTCTTTTCACTGGGACACACTCTCTTAGTGCTTAAGCTTCCTTACATTTGGAACAATCATAAAAGTTCCATTTACTATTTTAGGCATTAAATCCAATAGTACAATCCTTCCAGTGTAGTGCTATGGGTTGATAAGTTATGCTGAACTTGGAATACTGGACGTGGAAAGCAGAAATTATGACTTACATTTTTGGTCTCTTCATCATTTACTAGCTAGATGATGTCAAAAAGTCACTTCATCTCTTTGAGTCTGGTCTTCTTAGCCTTAAATTATTAGATAAGTATTACATAAATTATTAGTCTTTACATTGGATTCTTTTATTATAAAAGTTTAGAAGACATTGTCTAGCAAGGATAATACATAGCTAAAAAGCAGAGGGAAAGCTGTGATAGATATCTCTAGCAATCTCAAATGCATTAAAAACCCAGTCAAAAGATCACATTTAAAAAACACAACTTAATATGAAATACGTTGGCTTAAAATAAATTGGCAAATGTCTTCAATCTATCTTGTAGAAAGTTGACTAAATTTTTTGAAAGGTTATGGAAGAAATAATGTAGTAGAATCATGTCTGAATAAGAACTGTGATAAGAAGAAAAGGTGAACTCATAAAGCAAAGGAACTGTGAGATGCCTCCAGGAGCCGAAAGTCCCCTTCCACTTCCAATAGCTGGCAAGAGAAAGAGGGCCTTAGTTTTACAGCAGAGCATGTATGCACACACACACACACACACACACACACACACACACACATGAACTCTGCAAACTCTCAGGTGAGCTTGAAAGAAGACCCCAAGCTCCAGAAGAAAATGCAGTCTAACTGACAGAGTGATTTCACCTGTGAGACCTTCAGCTAATTCCCGCCCAGAATTTCTGACCGAGGGAAACTGTGAGATGACAAATTTGTGTTGTTTTAAGCAGTTCAGTTTTTGGTAATGTGCTATGCATGCAGAAAACAAATACAGTGCTCTTTAAAATACATTACTTCTTCAGATTTTTTTCCAAATTAGTTAAAATAAAGTCAACATGGGTAGACAGATGAATTAAACAAATGCATGTATTTTTAAATTTTAAAACATTACCAGGATATTATACTTAAAGAAAAATTTCTTCCCCACAAGAATTTATTACATTCACGTAGTCCGTGTGACTACCCTAGTACCAGTGACAGAAATAATCTCGTATCACAAACATTAAAGCATTTATGTGTGTATAGACTCTATCTTGGCACTCAAAGTGCAAACAAGGAATGGGAGCATCAGCATCTTCTAGAAGCTTGGTGAGTATGCAGAATTTCAAGGCCTACCCTGGATCTACTGAATCATAATCTGCATTTTAACAAGATACCTGAGTGATAATGCATTCACATTAAAGGTTGAAATGCATTTTCCACCTATTTTGTTAATAGTACATACCTCTAGGTATCTTCTGCTGGGGAATGTTTAACTATCCAACTCAGGAAGTGTCATGAAACAATTCAAAGTGAGATCCATTTCCAGGACTCTAAGAGGGAAGGAACTACCTCCAATAAGGCAGTTAGAGAAAGGAACACATACATGGCCTTTATTTGATGTTGGAGTTTAGTCATTAAAAAGAGAAATACTTTTTTTGTAGCCATAAAATTTAGTGGTGGGAATTAGGGTCTTGTGTAGTTACATACAAGGAATAAGGTTTATTTAACAATGTTGCAGTAAGGATGCTAAGAAAAGAACTGGACAAATCGAGATAAGCAGTGTCCCTCACAGATGTATATCTCAAAATCTGATGGTTGTATTCCTCAGGACTCTCTAATGTCCTCCTGCATTGGAATCTCCACTCATCAGTTTTAAGCATATGAATTTTAACAATCCTCTGTAGGTGATTCTGAGTTATAGTTTTAAAACTACTTGTTTAAATTCTAAAATAACATTGCTTTATTTTGTTGTGTAACATGTTACTAGGTACATAATTAATTTGAAGTTGTTGACATTTTCAAATTCTTAGTTTCATTGCTGTAAGGTTTATTTACTGATTTTTTGGGGTTTGCTTTCATTTGTGTAGTCCTGTTTTATAAATATATTTTGTGATCTTATGTTATTGAAGGAGATTTCATATGCCACTAAGTCATGTGTGTGTAATGTTACAAATTGTTACATAACCTTAATGGATCTGGAAATAGATTCAGCTAAAATAATTAAAATAGGCATAAAAAGGCATTAACTCTGAGTAAATGCATTAAGTTTATGGGATAATTTTATATTTGAAGGTTTAGATCATTAAACAATGATTTATTAATCTGATCCAAGGTTAAGCAAAATGAATCTTGCATCATGTCTACCCATGGATCAGAATAGGATAGGAAGAGGCATGGGCAAGTGTTGGGCATGAAGATAGCAAATGGAGTGGCAAATCCATATGCAGACCAGACACCCTTGCCCTGAGGACAGTTTGTGTTAAAAAATAAAAAAAAAGAGCCTCTGATATTGGAAGCTTCGTTACAAACAATAGATCGGTTGCTGAAGGTCCTAAGTAGATGATGTACCTCCAGATGAAATTAGCAAAACAGATCTCAGCAGTGAAAGCAATAGAAGACAACACCATGATTAGTTAGAATAAAGGAGAAGAAAATAGTGAATGACTCCATACAATGAGAATTATTTGAATGAATTCAGCTATACTTAGAAATTTAGAAGGGATTGGTTTAAAAAGGGGGCAAGGGTCCATTTCTACAGATAGCCTAGGAGGAAATCAGAGCAATATTAAATTATGGCTACCATTGAGACATAAAGAAAATGTAGCCTGGGAAATAAGAGATATTCCTGAATCATATCGTGGACCTATTTTAGGTTTTATGCCCAACTTCTCCTTTTATGCTAGCTATAATTGATTTTGAGGAGATCTCCATCTTCAGAAGTTACTATGGAAACAGTTGCATTTGTTTAAAAGTGACCTCACACCTGAAAACTGATTGTATGAATTTGGGGTATTTTACCTAAGGTGGGTCAACTAGTTCCTTCCTGAAATATTTAGGTGAGAGACTAAGGAATTCAAGACAGTCTTTTCACATAGTTGCAATGGCTACATTTACCCTTGGAGATTGTGGTGACCATGTCTTTTTCCACATGAACTTGTCTGCAATAGGAAAGAAAGATACTTTGCAGAGAAGGAGTGTTGTCACAGTTAATTTTATGTGTCAACTTGTCTGGGTCATGAATTGCTCAGATATTTGGGTAAATATTATTTCTGAGTGTGTCTGTAAGAGTGTTTCTGAGGGAGATTAGCATTCAAATCTGTAGACTAAGGAAAGTGGATTGCCCTCTTGATCTAGTTTGGATATTTGTCCCCTCCAAATCTCATGCTGGAATTTGATCCCCAATGTTTGAGGTAGGGCCTGGTGGGAAGTTTTTGGGTCATGGAGGCAGATCCCTCATGGACGGCTTGGAGCTGCCCTGGCAGTAATGAGTAGGGTTTCACTTTATTAGAGTCCAGGAGATCTGATTAAAGATCAGACTGAAAAGAACCTGGCATCTCCTTTCCCTCTCTATTCTTCCTCCCTCTCTCATCATGTGATCTCGCCAGCTCCTCTTTGCCTTTGCCATAGTAGAAGCAACAGAAGCCCTCATCAGAAGCAGATGCTGACATCATGCTTCTTGTATAGCCAGTAGAACCATGAGCCACATGAACCTCTTTTCTTTATAAATTACCCAGCTATAAATTATCCTTTGTACCAACACAAATGGACCTATACATCTCCCCAGCATAGATGGGCATCATCCAATCCCTTGAGGGGAACCAAAAGGCATAAGAAATAATTTTTTTTCTCTGCCTGACTGATTGATCTGAGACATTGGTTTTTTCTTGCCTTCAGACTGGGACTTATACCATCAGCACACCTGGATTTCAGGCCTTCAGATTCAAATTGGAAATATACCAATGGCTTTCTTGTGTCTCCAACTTGCATACAGAAGATTGGGGGAATTCTTAGCATCCATAATTCAATAAATCAATTCTTTATTATAAATCTCTCTTTCTCTCTCTCACCTGTTAGTTCTGAAGAGTCTTGACTAATGCTCTAAAAATAAGAGTAAAGATTCAAATATTTTTAAAACATAACTTTGGCTATTTACTAAAACATCTGTGTGTGAGAAGTTGACTATGACAATTCTTCAAAGATCAGTTTTATATTTTATTTTTCTCACATAAATATGACTCAAGATCAACCCTCCCACCTGCTACATGGACACACATACATAATGTTCTGAAAAATGTTTTGCAATCCTCAAATAAGGGAGGCCCTTATATTCATAAGTATATAATATAAACTAAAAATGACACACATACTGCACACACACACACACACACACACAGATAGAGAGAGAAAGACAGACAGACATAAAGCAATTGAGCACATATTTTGAAAACAGGAAGAGTAGCATTATAAGAGGTCTTTAGAATACAGTAAAAGAGAATAAGAATTTCATCACTTCCAGTTTGTGGTCCCATTTGTTTCTGAAACCTGGATAAATTTTGTTTCATAGATTTTATTAGACTCTTTTAAAAGACTTTTCAAGCTAAAATTTGTTTCTCTTACTACTACCCAGAAAAATTTGGGGAGAGGACTATTAGAGGAGAGGTATAGGAGACATACATGAGCTGTGGACAAGAATTAAAATGTCCAAGTTGGTTAGGAAACAGGGTGAGGGTAGGAAAGAATCTCAAGATAAGGACAGAAACAGTCTGCCTTGTTTTCTGAGTTAATTAGAGGTCAACTCCATACAACCAACTCCATACAACAATTGGAGTATGAACTGCAAGATCTTTTTTTGGAATGAATGAGCTATGTTGTACATAAATTTGAAGGATTACTGTCCTGTGAAGCCATAAGGCATTTAGTAGAATATCAAAGTCCTAACAAGTACTCTCTTCAAGCATTGCTTACAGTACTAGTTAAAAATTTCATTAACCTAATTATGACACGCATGGAGAAAATGATACTTAGGACCAAGAAATCCTGGTGGGCAAGAATATGTGTACATTTGCCTTTAGTTTATTTCTACTAAAATAAGCATCGACTAATGTGATCAATAAGTTTGAGCACAGTGGAAACACAACATTGAAAAATATTCTCACATCTCAAGAACATTAAGATAGAACTTTAATTACACATATTCCACTGGTAATTATTTTGTTGTTGTTTTAAGTCATAAATCACCAAAACAAAGGAGAAACCCTAAAGTCATGTTGAAGCAACTAAAAATTTACTGTACTTCAAGGGGAAATGTGAACGCAAGATTGAAACATGAGTATCTAAACAAAAATCATTCCTTCTTTATTCACTCATGCATACATACACTCACCAAATGTTTACTGAATAGATACAGTGTGCCATGCACCATAACTACTTTATGTAAGTTAAAACAGTGATGCTTGTGTGTGTAGGAAAACTGAGAGTGTATTTCTAAAGCACCTTCTGTCTATGACATCCTATCGACCTTCTAAAGATTCTGCCTCTAGTGCATTTTGAGTGAGAAGACGTGTGCAAGACCAGTATTGTATTTTATTTCATTTTGTGTTGCAAATAGCCTAGGGCACAAACATACATTTCCTGGTGTTTCCAGGCGCAGGTGCATTTGACGATTATTCCAAAATTCTGAAACTGCTTCACAGAACTCCCAATAGACATATCAATACTGTTATGGCCAGTGTTAATCTTGTCAAAAGAGTGTGGATTATATGGATTCTTTAATCACTAGCAACTTTTAACTCTGAGTTCTGGGGGATCTACATTCTCCTTGGACTTTTATTTCTAATTTTAATAGATTCAAAAGAAAATATCTACTTGTCTACCTATATACTTATTTACTTTTTTTTTTAAGAGATGGAGACTTGCTCTGTCCCTCAGCCTGGGGTGCAGTGATGCAATCGTACCTCACTGCAGCCTCAAACTCCTGGGCTCAAGCGATCCTCCTGCCTCAGCTTCCTGAGTAGCTGGGACATACACCATCACACCCATATTTATTTTTTAACGTGTCAAAATCTCTTTCTGAAACTGACAATATTAACAAAAGTAGACTATATTTATGAGTGCTTATCAACCCACAGATTGTTCTAAGTGCTGTCAGAAACCTAAAAGGCAGGTACTCTTTTATATGCATCTTACAGAAAAGGAGAGAAGATATTGAAACAGTAAGAAACTTTCCTAGGAGAAATAGCTAAGAAATTTTGGTAAAGTCCAGGTCCTAAAGCTTTGTGGCCCTGCTATACATACTGCTTTTTTAGCAGATTTAGTAGTATTTGGGATGCTGATAGATATTTGTCTAAGAAAACTAGAAATACCCAAATCGTGCTGGGATAATTTTTCTCCTCTCTCTGTAGGTTTCAAGGGACATGTTTACAACTTTGAACAGTAACAAATGAAGAATCAAGAAATCACTTAATTACTAACTAGGCTAATTCCCAATTACCTACCACAGAACTCTTTTTTTTTTTTTTTTTTTTTTTAAGACGGAGTCTTGCTCTGTCGCCCAGGCTGGAGTGCAGCGGCTGGATCCCGGCTCACTGCAAGCTCCGCCTCCCGGGTTCACGCCATTCTCCTGCCTCAGCCTCTCGGGTAGCTGGGACTACAGGCGCCCGCCATCACGCCTGGCTAATTTTTTGTGTTTTTAGTAGAGACCGGGTTTCACCGTGTTAGCCAAGATGGTCTCGATCTCCTGACCTCGTGATCTGCCCGCCTCGACCTCCCAAAGTGCTGGGATTACAGGTGTGGCCCACCGCGCCCAGCCTAGAACTCTTAATGAACTGGACTAAATTAAGAGTTTTATACCTAAACTCTAAGTATTAGTAGTAATAATAATAATGTTATTCAATATTGGATGCTTATTATCTGGCAAGTACTGTGCTTACCACTTTATATGATGCAGTTATTCTTTCCAATAACCTTATTATTATCTCCATTATATAGATGAAGAAACTAAGGCAAAAATGTTTTAATAACTTGGCCACAATCAGAGAGTTAAATAGTGGTGCCATGCACCTCTGCCAAGTGTCATGAAAAGCTTGCATCCAGGCAAAAAGAACTTAACCTGGATGCATACTTTCTTGTGAAAGGTGGATCAGAATACAGATGGCTTGACCTCCTTATTAACTCACCTTTGGCCAATCGATTGCTCAGAACTGATGTAATATGTATTAGTATTCTTTTTCTTTGGTTAAAAGGGAGTGCTGCTTGAGGAGGAGGGTCGGAAGAAGAAAAAGAGACACCCTATCACCACAGCATCTATTAGATATACTAAATGATACTTATATTTATTCCACTATTTATTTTAATAAAATACTTAAAAATGTGAAGTTTCTAGTTATATATCTTTCTTACTGTAGCAAATTATTCTTTCAGTTGTACAATTTGTATTGTATGCTCTATGCACTAAAAATTGAACTGAACTCATTATTTTTGTCGTTTAAAAAACGTTTCTCAGGATCATTATAACAATGGTGGCAAATCTGCATACCACGGCACATGAAAAATGAATTATAACAATATTGTTCTAGAAATGAAATAATCTATGTTAAATATCTCTTAAAGATTGCCTCATGATAATCTTCCTCTTTTTAATGTTTACTTGATCTTCTGTCTTACTGCCTATTTATCATAAGGAATAAGGCCAGATTTAAGTTAAAGCTCTCTTATGTTTAATTCCACATATGCAAAACTTTTCTCTTGATCAGAACCTTTAGCTTTTGGCGGGCTTTGTACACATGTACCATGAAGGGACTCTTAATTTTCATCCCTCGCCAGCAGTCCATTGCTATTGTTTGTTACTCTGTGCAAGGTTTATGGGGTTTATGGTCATGGTGGGAGTTGAGAGTCCATTCTCTTGCTCTGGTTTCTGTCTCAGTCATGGGGTTTTCTCAATATTCTCATGCCTCACCCTCCTGGCTCCAGTGGCAGCAAGGCTCTGCCCTATATCTGGTATAATAAGCCTGTGTTCTGTCTTTCCAACAGTGGCGATGACTTTTTCTTCTACTTTTCCTCTAGCAGAAGCCAACTTTTGCAGCAGACGATGTTTACTTCTATTACTTTTCCAACAGCAATGCATATTTGCTTGAAACTAGGTGAAAGAGGGCATCTTTTTACTTCTGTGGTGCCAAGCAGCTTTGCTTCATAAGAAACATGCTTCTGTATACCAGAGAGGAAAACTTTCTCAGGTCTTTGCCCTACCCACAGTCTTTCTTGTGGGCAGCCAGTAGAGGCCAGTGGAAGAGTTGGAAGTTGGACATTGACTCCACTGGTATCTGCAACTCCCAAGAATTTTTGGATTCAAAAGGTCAATTCCCAAGGAACTGATACTCTGGCCTGTAGTGGTCTTTAAGAATTCATTAAATTTTAATTTTAGTTATTTTCATCTTATCTACTTTTTTTTTTTTTGAGATGGAGTCTTTACCCTGTTATCCAGGCTGAAGTGCAGTGGCATGATTTTGGCTCACTGCAAACTCAGCCTCCCAGGTTGAAGCAATTCTTCTGCCTCAGCCTCACCAGGAGCTGGGATTACAGGCATCTGCCACCACGCCTGGATACTTTTTGTATTTTTGGTGGAGATGGGTTTTCACCATGTTGTCCAGGCTGGTCTTGAACTCCTGACTTCAAAGGATCTGCCAACCTTGGCCTCTCAATGTGCTGGGATTACAGGCGTGAGCCACTGTGCCCGGTCTTATCCACTTTTATGATTGTTTTTCATTCCTCCTGTGCTCTGTTGAAGGTTAAACAACTAACGCATTCTGTCCCTATTTAGGTAGTCTTGTCACCCTTAAGAATTGACTTTATTTGGTTACCTTGTGACCTCAGCTTCCTATCAACTCAAGGTTATAATTTTGCAGAATATCTGGATCTTCATCATCATTAGGGTGAGGATACCATTCATTTGTGATATTTTACATCTTAAATAATCTATAACAGATTTTTTTGGAATTCCACCAAATATCTAATTTTAATATAAGGAACAAAGATAACTTTTAAAATATAACTTATTGGTTTACTACCATCTTTATAATAACATAATTTAAAATAAAAATATTAATTGGATTAACTCTAAATAAATAATTATGCTATTTTATATTTAATAAACAACATTATGGAGACTAGGAAGACTTTTCAGAAATGTAATTAGAAACAAACTTTTTTGTATAAAAATAATTCATGACTTCATGACTAGAATTTATTTTGATAACATGCAAATAACTTTTGTGTGTATTTACCTGAGCTTAAAATAAATATTTATAATGGGAAGGAATTTTTCTATAATAACTTCTGTTTTTCTTAGTAAGACATTGTTATTTGTGATGCTCATGTAATTATATGCCAGTGTAATTCAAGTATGTAATGACATTTTTCTTTGAAAGCATTTAAATAAGTCAGGAAATTGCTTTACTCTTCTGTTTCCTGACTTAAAGCCCACTTTTGCCATGTTTATTTTATTATACAATCTGCTTCGACTCATCCAGGCAAAATATATTCCACCCAGTATAATGTGCACAGAATGTTTTACTGGTTGATAGCCATATATTTGTATCCATTCTTGCATTTATATTTGTACGTAGACATTTAGCATATTATATACAAATAGTTGGGTTTCTAAATGTGCATGCAAACATATCTGAAGAAGGATTTGCACGTATTTATTTTCCTCTCTTTATTATTCCAGTTGATTTTAAAATCAGATATTTCATGAATTAGTATTTATTTTATGAATTATAAAAGATTCACTAAGGAAGGTTGAAAGAAGAATAACTCAATCAAATTGTAGTGTGTAATTAGTTTGATTAGAAAGTAGAAAAAGAATTAGGCCTTTTACCTCTCTAAATGTATTGGTGTTTTTCAGTTCATATCACATAGCCACCTTGTGTACTGATTACAATGAATTAATACAATTCTAGGTGACAGCATACATTCACGTATTATGAAGGTAAAAGAGCTATTTGCACTCAGGTGGCAAGATAGCCACTAACGTTTATGAACACACTTGTAAGCAAATGCTTACTAAACCCCTTTCCCATTGATATCAAGAATTCTCACTGGCAGGAATTTGATCTCCGTTACATGGGGGGACCTTGCTTTGTCACCATTTTTATTTTGAAATCTTCTTTTAAGTGATGTTCCTCATCTCTCCTGCCAAAATGAGCATGGAGACAACAGTCTTGTACTATTTGTATGTTTCTTTGCGTGAATCTGTAGAAATATTTTGAAGTACTAATGAAAGCACAAGGACCCAGGCTCAGAGAAAAGTACAAGTTACAGAACAAAGGATGAAAGAAAAAGACTAAAATAACACATGCTAACAGTGCTGCAAAGATAAACATTGTCGGGAATGCATATTCCCTCTATTTTTTTTTAAACAAAGTTATCTTATGTGTACCCTGGAATACAAACTTTGACCCTAATAATGTTTTGATTAGGTGCCATTATAAATTGAAAACCATGTTTTGGAATAACAATTTATTGTCCCTATAATCATGTCTTGATAATTTTTTCAAGGAACCAAGTATGCTTATATTCTATGTCTTTTATATGCTTATTTTAATAGGCATTAAAAAAAAACCTTCTGAAGTAGGGATGATTTTTCTTCCATATGCTGCTTTCTTTCCCAATTTGCAAGAAGCTGACCTCACAATCAATTGCTGGCCCTTTGTGAAAACTAACTTACATACGTATTCCCTTCTCAATTCTGTCTTTTTCCTGTTTTACTTCCTACCCTTCGTGTGAATTTGTTCATGTGAGGGATCAGGCAGAGTGGAGATAACATTGGACTCTGCCATTAGCTAATGTATATGAAATTGAAAAGTTATTTGGTTTCTCTAGGTGTCATTTTCTTCCTCTGAAGACTATTCCAATGGTTATGGAAGTAGATGCCAGCTAGGACTCAAATAAATAGGAATGCGAAGTTAGCTAATTTGTCTCCTTTCAAAACCAAGTGTTTGTTCATATCTACTGGTTTATGTGGTTTTCATGGAGCCTCCTAAAGAGAGAAAATAAATTGTCCCTCTCCTCAATCCATGATCAAATACTTAAATTTTGCCTGGAAGCTTGAGATGGGAAGAGGAAGGAGCAGCCATTAAAGCTAGAGCTCTGCAATGCACAGACAGGCGCTACAAGAGAAAAGTCATCCCAAAGGAAGAAGAGTAAACCAGAAAAGAAAAGAGATCTTTTTAGATGGCTCTGAGATCAGCAAGATAAAAAATTCTAGAATCCCTGCAATTTTAAGTTATGTTGGCTACAAACAAATGCCTTGATGATAAAATGGCTTTTTGTATGTTCTAAGTATGATAAAGCTTGGGCAAGTCCATTCTTGAGTGTGGGCATGTAACCAAAAAAAATGCATTCTTTGTTTGCCTCAATCTGACAATCTACTGGAACACTTTGTGTCTTGAACAGCCCAGTGGAATTGTAGGGATACATAACTTCTCACTGACACAGAATCAGATGGCATAATAAGGGTCACCTGAGTTCAGAAGAGACCGACAGGAATACTGTTGAGGGCATAGAGTAGCTTAGGCCAGTAGAGTACCAGCCTGAACTCAAGTGTTAGTGCCTAGAAGGCATTCCCTCTCAGTATGGGATTTTGGAGCCATCATATTTGAGCTTTAGTATTAATGTGACCTAATTTGCAGCTGTAGGGTATGGAATATCACAATTACATTCTGTTTTATGTATCTCCTCTTCACTGCCTAGTTCCAAGAAAAAAAAAACTTTTTGTGTGGAATTTTAAAATTAACCTTTATAAAAGGTAAACTCAGCTGGGCATGGTGGCTCATGTCTATAATCATAGGACTTTGGGAGGCTGAGGTGGGAGGATCCTTTGAGGCCAAGAGTTCAAGAACAGCCTGGGTAATATAAGGAGACCTTTGTCTGCACAAAAAAATAAAAAATAAAAAAAATTAGCCAGGCATGTGATGCACAGGTGCTTGTCATCCCAGCTACTAGGGACACTGAAGCAGGAGGATCATTTGAGCCCAGGAGTCCATGACTGCAGTGAGCCATGATCACGCCACTGCACTCTAGCCTGGGCAACAGAATGAGACCTTGTCTCAAAAACAAAAACAAAAAAGTTATAAAAATAAAAATGATTAATTCTCTTGCACTAATATATTAGTGAAGATCCTCTTAAATTTCACCTTTATTTCTAGCTAACAATTGGCACTAAAATAGGAAACTTCTGATGAAATGGTACTAATTACTTTAGGAATCTTAGACAAAGTAAGAGAATAGTAAAGTGAGGGGACCGTCACCTGGAGCTATTCATACTACATAAACAAACCTGTGTAAAATTTTAAATATAATTGAGTTTGCCAATTTTAATAAAAGAAACACTGAAACACTAAATTAATATAATTTGTACTTGAATGAAGAAAAATAAATATTTTATTGTGTTTTTGTTAAATATAAGTTTAAATGAAAGATGTGTGTTTGAAAAATTTTGATAGCTTTAGGCACCATATCAATGTCCAAAAGGTGATTATCTTGAGATGGGACAGTTGTGAGTAGAGTTTGTGAGTAGAGATGAGACAGCTGTGAGATGGGACAGTTGTGAGTTGTGAGTTTGTCAGCAATGCAGAAGTAGAAAGTAAAATAAGTGAAAAGCGGGGTTTAGCTGGTGGAGCCTCTCACAGTACAAATAAATGAGTTAAGAAGGATGGTAGAAGCTCCTTTAGGAGTTCCTCCAATAAAGCCAGAGGCAGAAGCTGAGACTTGTCAGATACTGTTTTAAATTGCTGTTAAAGAAAGTTAATGGTTCCCACACCATTCACCCTGGAGTCCTAAAGATTTGCAGATATGGATGAAAGTGTTTTAAAATAAGAAAAAGCGTGGGCTAAAGGGGGATATTTACATGGTGGCTGAACTTTTCTTTTCCTGCTGACAGCACAGTGTCTTTTTAGTGACTGGTGGCTCACACTGTCCATTAAGCCTAGCTGATGTCCTGTTGGAGCAACAGAATTGCCCCATGTTTTCTTCCCAGTTCATCTGCAAAACTTCTCTCTTTCATGTTCACGTCCTCTCATTCCAACGTCCAGAAAACACTCAATGCCTTGAAAACCTAGCTGTGGTGCCTCTGATTTGCATTTCTTTAGGGTTCAGATGAAGGTGGCTGTGGCTATTTTTTTTTTAGCTCTGAGATATCACTGGTACCTTACTCCATTAGAAATAACCATGAAATTTTCTTATTTTAATTTACATAATTCATCTAACTTCTGTTTGTTTTACTTTTCACTATTATATTTCCAGATATCTACAAATATTGGTTTATTTAATTAATTTTTAAGTAAATACATTTCTGTAATATTTCACTTATACAGCATAGTACAATAGAGAGTACTTACTCATCAGAGAAACCAGAAAATATATTAACTTTGGATATTTGAGCATTAAAATATTAAGTATCTTCTTTATTAAAAGAATAAAAATGGAAAGCTTATTTTTCCAAAGATGGTAATTTCTTAAAATAGTAGATTTTTAAAGGTAATATAAAACTGAAGAAAGTTAGACAGTGGTAGATGTGTAGCCATGATGTCAAATATTGAAGACAAGGAAAGAAAGATTGTGCCATGAGGCTTATGTATGTCGCTGTCACAAGACATGAAAGTGTGAGTAGCCTAAGAACCCCTCACTTTATGAAGCCCAAGCTATGTGGAAAATCCATGGAGGAAGAGATGACATATAGAGAAAGAGGGAGCTAAAAAGAGAAGCTCATGTAAGTTACTTAGTTTTGACACAGTTACATAGCAAAGGGGCAACAAAAGCACTTGACCAAGGTCATAGCTAGTAAGTGTTGGCATTGAAATTCAACTCAGCTATCATGTTCCAGAGGTTGAATGTCGAACCTCTAAGCTGCCCAGAGTTTTCTTAGCTATAAAAAGGAGATAATTGCATATATTTAATCAAACTGTTATGAAAATTTAATAAGTTATTATATTTCAAGCAATTAGAATAAACTCTGGTATGTAGCAATAATTATATATTTAACTTTTGGTTTAGTTTTCATGATTATTGTTAACAAATATAAGCAAATATATGGGACCACATTTTAAAAAACTTTTCAAAAATCCTCATCTAGATATTTTATTTTATTTTATTTATTTTTTATTATGCTTTAAGTACTGGGGTACATGTGCAGAACATGCAGTTTTGTTACATAGGTATACACGTGCCATGGTGGTTTGCTGCACCCACCAACCCGTCACCTGCATTAGGTATTTCTCCTAATGCTATCTCTCCCCTAGTGTCCCACACCCTGACAGGCCCCAGTGTGTGATGGTCCCCTCCCTGTGTCTATGTGTTCTCATTGTTCAACTCTCACTTATGAGTAAGAACATGTGGCGTTTGCTTTTCTGTTCTGGTGTTAGTTTGCTGAGAATGATGGTTTCCAGCTTCATTCATGTCCATGCAAAGGACATGAACTCATTCTTTTATATAGCTGCACAGTATTCCATGGTATATATTGCCATATTTTCTTTATCCAGACTATCACTGATGGACATTTGGGTTGGTTCCAAGTCTTTGCTATTGTGAATAGTGCCATACGTGTGCATGTGTCTTTGTAGTAGAATGATTTATAATCCTTTGGGTATATACCCAGTAATGGGATTGCTGGATCAAATGGTATTTCTGGTTCTAGATCCTTGAGGAAACACCACACTGTCTTCTACAATGGTTGAACTCATGCTCTTCTAGATATTTTAAAGTTTTGTTATGGAGAGATCCTTTTTTTGAATTTTTATAAACAAATTCATTAAAATTAATGAAGTTAATGAATAAGTTAATTCATTACCTTAATAAGAAAGTATTAGCTAATCATTGCAAGCTACTTTGCCATCAAAGGTTGTAGCCATTATGTCAAATGTATATTTTTGAGATCAAAGGGTAAACCACTAAAAATGAAAGTAAAGGATTCTAGCATATGCTAGTTACACAAATGATTATAATTTTATATATATTTTTTCTAAATGAAATTCAGTTAGGTCTAACTGCTTATTAAATTATTTTTAAATTGAATATACTTTTATATCATAGATAATATAAATTCTTATCAACTTTCCTCTAAAAATAAATCATTTTTATAAACTGATACATCATTATTTTCCTTAAAAATATATCAGCTTATATCGATTTGAAAATAACCCATTGAAAATCACCCTATTATTTAATCTACTTATTTACTCCCCAAATATTTAAAATGGGTTACAGAAATACATATAATATAAAAAGGTTAAAGAATGTAGACAGTATCTGAGTGAAGGAGAACAAAGAAAACCCTGGAAAAGAAGCTAGTAAAACAAAATTAAATTCCATAAGTACCTTTTCAGTTTTTAAAGACACACTGGGATTAAGTGGGAAGGAAGATGGAAATGTCATATACCCTGATAGAGTTCTGGGTTATTTAGTTGTATCAAAATTTGTTCAGTTTAAAATATGTAAATTTTACATAAAGTAACTGTGATTATAATGAAAATTGTACAAATAGGAAGTGGTTATATGAAACAAAAACTGCAAATTAGTTGTTCAAGTTTAATGACCGATACATGAGACTGCAAATAACTATTCTGTTTATTTTGAATATACTTGAAATTTTTCATAATAAAATGTTAAATAAAAGTAGAAGCCAAAAACTTAATTCTACAAATTCTATTCAGTTAAAGCAGACTTCATATTACTATTTATAATCTTACTAGGATATACCAGACAATCAGGAGAAGTGCATGTTTTCTTGATTTTGATGCCTGAAAGAAATTGTTCCCTTGTCTCTCATAAAAAAGAATGTAATATGATGTATTTGACCACATTTTCAGTAAATAAAATAGTACATCTTCAATAGATGAGTCATCTTCCTTTGTGGCATAAATGCAAAAGCAGTTCTGAAGGTAAAAGAACAGTTAAATGATATTGACAAGTGTTTCTCTCCGGTTGTTTAGCTTGACAAAAATCCTCTAATTTAAAAAAATTAATTTGCAAGTTCCAGGACCTTATTAAAAGTAACAAATTATTCTCAATAACTTTCTACTTTGTTATAGCAAAACTGAGCACTGATTTAGACACAAAAATAGGTTTCAAATTTTTTAGATAGTCATCGAGTTTTCTAGTAAGAACTGAGACTTAAAACGCAGCAGTCTGGACATTTGAAGTAGTCAGGTAAACTTCTATGCCTCTGCTTTGTGTCCTTCAAAACTTACTTCAAACATAACTAGTTAAGCAAATTAGGTTGATTAACCAAATCACATGCCACCACACTGCCAGAGGAAAGATAGCTTTAAACTTTTATACCAAAAGAGGTGAATCTGTCTTGACTATAGACCAGGCGAGATGGTGATGATGGCTGAAGGCACAACAAATCCTAGGGTACATACTAAAACTTGTTTCCACTTAATTTGAAAATATTTGTTTAACAATTATTTCAGTAGCATTCATCCATGTTTCACTTTCAAAACTCAAAAACTTGATCAAATTTCTGAGGTGCATAGTTGTGAGTGGATTGCGGCAGTGGGTGCTTCAGGCCTACCTGACTGCAATTGTTCTAATCAGTATAAGAGATTTATGTTAACTCTTCCCACCTACCTGTCAACTTACCCACGTGTGAAGAAATTATAATTACCTATTAGAAAGACCTAACTTTAAATACCTTTGATATTTTCAGAGCAAGACCCTCCTCCATCACATACTTTAATTGCTTGAAATTCTCATGTTCATCAGTCTGTCGAATATGTGCTCTGTCATAAACACTGTCATCTTTAATTTGTTGGGTTTTTTTTGTGTTTTGTTTTTTGTTTTTTACTCTTTCCTCTACACTTAGAAATGGATGGCATGAAAATTAGGGAAACTTGTTTTTATAATCTAAAAAATAGCTTTAGTCTATTAATTCCCCTGGGTTTTTATTTTGGAATAATTTATTAAACTTCATTCTCAGTATGGTGATCTTTTGTTCTATTATTTTTATTCATTAGCAGAGCTTTCCTCATTTCATTGTTCTTCAGTGAAATTATATTTTAAAATGACTTTAGGCAATTGGTTGTACATTTTTACATTGTAACTTCTGTATTAAAGCATTCGATAATTAGTTTTAAAAGAGATCTTTATATCATTGATGGAAAGGGACTCAGTCATAAATTTTAACCTTACAGTAAAATTGATTAAATCAGAAATTATGAGACACTATGTATAACAGTTTTACCCTTCTCTGAACCTCAAAGGTCCTATTCGGACAGACATACCATCTGCTATGCATATCAAAAGGTACTGATAGTACTTTAATTATCAATATTGCATAGGATGAATTCCAGGGAGTTCACACCTGTGATACAAAGCTTGGGACCCAGTGCTTTTCCAGAAATGTTCACGTTTTTCAGAAACTGTACCAAGTCTTTGTCAGACTGATGAGGATTCAAGTTTGGCTCTTTACGACATTCTCTCACTGATACCATTTTGGTATGAAGTGTAAAGCATCAGTGTATTAAGTGCTAAAGGTCTACTTAAGAGCTAGAATTGTGGAGAAACACAGAGGCCCATTAAACAAACTCTGACTATAGACTTAGTCTATGCCAATATGATATTAAGCATATCTATACTGGGCTTACTCAATCTTATCTGACCACCAATAGCACCTTATTTAGTTTGATCTTAACTTATAACTTGCCATGCTTCACAAGTCAAGTTTCTTTCCTCTAATGAGTGCGTACTTTTATGTGTAGCATTCAGGTACGCCTTCAGCCTTACCTACCAAGTCCTCAACCTTGCCTGGAATTTTCATAATTGATATTTATTTTGATATAAGACTTAAAATATTTGCTAAGTCAATTCTGTTATCCTTGAGTTGCAACATGTAAACTAGCACTGTATTTCTGTAGCAAGAGTTAATTCATGTGAGTATTGCCTCTTAGTACTGTGTTGAGTCCAGGCAATTTATCGGGGTAGGTGGGACAGAGGTTCAGTACTCCATTGGTGCCTTGAGAACCAGGGTGGATTGACTAGAGTCAGGTCCTCTGGGCAGCCAGGTGATTTTTACCACTCAGGTAGAAGAGGAAAAATAGAAGAGATGGCTCCACGATGGGAACGAAACAAGTATTAGAAACACATTACACCTTTGGTCCATCAGTATTCTTTCACAACTACATGCAAATGAAAATACCAGAATAATTTACGATTTTTTTTTTTCTTTTTGAGATGGAGTCTTGCTCTGTTGCCCAGGCTGGATTGCAGTAGCACAATCTCGCCTCACTGCAATCTCCATCTCTCGGGTTCAAGTGATTCTCCTGCCTCAGCCTCCCGAGTAGCTAAATTTATGATTTTTTCCCCTGCTATAAAGCAGAATTATTTCTGGATTTCTCAGAAAGCAATTCACTAGTTTATGGATTATCTAATCTTTTTGTTTTTTCTTTAACCTCTTTCCATTTCTTGTTGTCATTTCTCTTTTGTCTAGAAAAAGGATGAGGTCGAGAAAAGGCTGAATTAAATTGTGAGGTTTTCTATTATATCTAACTTAATGCAGATGAAATGTAATTATAATAATTGAACCAGATATCTGGAAAAGTATAATATGGTAAGGTAGCCTAACCTCCCACCCAACAATAACATTTTGTCTTAAATCTTCAAATGCTTTTTAAATAAGCTATTGGATCTAATATTTGCCAAAGTACTAAATCATTTACTACAATAATAACAACCATAATAATGATAGTATTCTTAGTAAAGTAATATGACTGCTATTTAATGAGTATTGTATACTAGGCACTGCATTTAGTGATGAACATAATTGTTATGAGGTAGATAATATTACTATTCCCCATTATATGCCTCTATTCAATGAAATATTTTCTCTTTTATGCAAAATAATAATGAATAATCTTATCATTTATACAAAATAGTAATATGCCTAGAATAACTTCCATACTGGTTGCCATTCTACATGCAACTGTACTGCCTCCTTCTTTCAATGACATCACTTCGTGATAATTTTTCAAAACAAGTGTAATTTCCCCCAAATTTTCTTTCTCTCCCATAATCATCTCCTTTCTTCTGTCCATTATATTATGCTGCACCTATGAATCTTCTTCAGGATTTCAACATCTCCTTTATACTGTGCTTCCCAGAACTGAACATAGCACTACAAATATGATCATGCAATTGCATTTAATTTCCACTCTACAGTTGAAAACCGGCTTTCATACAATTGAACAGTGTTCCAAATATTGTGTTCAGATACTGTTTGAAGTTTGGGAGCAAGTTCTAAGACCCAAAAGTTTTTTATTGAGTTATGGACATTTTAATTAATAAATAACATTTTCTTTATCACTTAGTTAACATATGCACCTAGTTAGAATTAATATCCAATTAGTAGTATAAATTCGCAAAGAATATATCTAAGAAGAGATAAGGGTGAGGAGTATACCAGCTTCTCTGTACTGATTGTGCAATCTATGTGAATATAAATTTGTCTCAGCATTAAAAATTAAAAATAAAAGTTAATACCTAGTGTTAGTAAGAATGCAGATAAAAGCAAATATTCTCTTGCAAACTACCAGTACAAGTGAGTCCAGCTGGCATAAGAGGTTAGAGCTAAATTTAGTAGTAAGCATCTAAGGCCTTGAAAATGTATATGCTATGATCATAAATTCCTCATAGAAAACTTAATCCTGAAAAACTTAAGGTAAATGTGTTAAATATTTATCTACATATATTATTCTATCATTATAGTATCAAATTATTAGAAATCTCCAACCTTAGGAAAATAAATGAAAAATTATAACTATGAAATAATGTATTATATCAAATAATGTTATAAAAAATATGTGTAAAGTACATTTTATTTTAAAATTTTGCAACACATACATTAAACATTTTACACTTTATTTAAATATTTGTAAAATAATTTCAAGCACTGCTATAATCACTTTACAAATATTGATATGTTTATCCCTCTTACAGCTCATGGAGTGAGTATAATTAAAATCTTTATTTTAGTGATGACAAAACTGAGGCACAGAGAGGTTAAACAAGTTGTTCGAGGTCGCACAACTTCAGTGGCAGGATTTGATCCAGGTTGTCTGGCTCTAGAGCCTATAATCTTAGCAATCACATTTACTTTGTTTACCAACAATCAAGTGAAAAAAATAGTAATGTGTATGCTATGACTATGTAATCTAGCAAAGAAAACAGGGCTGCAAATATTTTTAATCGAAATCAGCACTGACAATTTTACTCTGAAAAGGAGCAGCAAATAAGACCTCACTACCCTCACTATCACTTTAGAGGGTTTTTACAAACTGCATATGGGGTGGAAATTAAGAAAAAATAAAATGTAAAAGAGAAAAAGAAAATCCATTGGTAATATTATTTGCAATTAAGGCAAAGAATAGTGGGCATACAGAGACCAATGTTATTTCTTACAAAACATGTTGTTATAATTCCAATTGTTATTTGCATATAACAAAAAATTAGGGTTGAATGCTTAAAGATAGCTCTGTGGTTTAACAAAAACAAAACTACAATAGTGGGAGAGTCCTTAGCTTTTTATATTGAGTGGAAGGGAAACACAACAGAGAAAATCTGCCCCATAGGATAGAGAAGAAAACATATTTAAGTAATCTTATTAGGCCCTTTGTTCAATTTAAAGAACCAGTTCACTAACGTGTGCTGTGTGACTTATTATGTTATAAATTTAGTTTCTTATCAGTACAGACTAAGATTTTTCAAAGCACAAAAGCTAAGTGAACAAATATTTTTGCACATAACGAAGTTGCTTTGTGTATGTATAACATGATTTTTAATCCTATGGTTCCCGTTTAATACAAAGCAGGGTAAAAAGGAAACAAATAATTTTTATTTCATATTGCTTTTCAGATAAAAATAAGACCAGTTCCACAAAGCATATATCAGCAATGAGCCCATAATTTTTAACTGCTGAGTACATTCATAGTCACAGTATCTCCCAATACCTGCCAAAACCCTAATGGGCCAATAGAAAATAGTCATTATCTTAAGAGATATTCTTCACCAATACTTGTACGAGTCCCCAGTTACGTTCATGCACATACTCTGGCATTCCTCAGACCTCACCAGTTTTGTGGGCCAGAGCAATGTCACTCTACACTATTACGTTTTCCCCTAAGACTGCAGGATTAATAATAGCCTCCACCTCTCTGGGAATCCCCAGGGAGAGATGGCGCCTCAGCCATGGTCAGAGGTCTTTGCCTGGCCATTTCCTCTCTCCTACTCTAGCTGCCTCTTTATAGACTGATGTCTTTCTGCTCATTTCAGGTCATTCTTCCTGCCATTTGCTTAGCTATCTGTACTGCTAATATCCATTTAGTCCATAAATTCCTTGCCACCTTTGACTTTCAACATCACTTGGGTTATATGGCATTGCTTTGTCTGCAGCGACAAGTTTCAACACCACTTGGGTTGTGTGACATTGCTTTCTCTGCAGTGATGATAGAAAACTCTTCATTGTGTCCACTTCTCTTAGATAGGGTTCCCATAACTGAGCTGCTTGTAAGAGATGTGTGTGTGTATTTCTATATATATGGTTATTATTGTCACATGCATAATATAATATACATATTATTAGTTAATATATTTATGTTTAATTTCTACCATAGTCTTCTCTATTCTAGAGCAGAGAGATACTCAGGGTTACAAGGCTGGGTTTAAATAAATGTGAAGCTACTGAACTATTATTATTATTATTTATTATTATTTTTTGTGACAGAGTCTTGCTCTGTCACCAAGGCTGGAGTGCAGTGGTGTGATCTCAGCTCACTGTGCCCTCCACCTCCCAGGTTCAACCAGTTCTCCTTCCTCAGCCTCCTGAGTAGCTGGGATTACAGGCAGGTGCTACCATACCTGGCTACTTTTTTTTTTTTTTTTTTTTTTTAGTAGAGACAGGGTTTCACCCTGTTGGCCAGACTTGAGGTCTCAAACTCCCGACCTCAAGTAATCCACCTGTCTCGGCCTCTCAAAGTGCTGGCATTACAGGTATGTGCCACCTTGCCCAGACTGAAGCTGCTGAATTATATTTATTAAAGTGGCACTATATGTTCCGCATGGTCTTGGTCACTGGAGAATAATCATAAATAGGCCAGTCCTGAAACCTTAAGAGATTCCTCATCGGGTTGGGAGACAAAATTTACTCACAAGGTAATAATTTACCTTAATGGTTCTAAATATGAATAAGTATCAAAATTACTGAGAGTAGCTTCTTCAAAATACAAATGCTTGGTCTGTGTTAAGATACAATAATCAGAATTTCCTGAGGTGGACTTAAGCAGGGATATGTATTTATAAGCAACTCACGGGAGATTCTCGACTATCACCTAAGAGCTGAATTGTGTGCTATGTATGATCTCTAACTCAAAGCAGTTTTCCCTTTCCCCTGAATACAGTAAAACTCCATCATAATACAGTAAATGTGGTCCAAACATTCAACCACTTATTAAAAGACTAATGAAATGACTGTCAGAGACTGGCCTGTATAGCTGGCCTGCTGAAATTTTTGAGTTCCATCTAAGATTCATTCTAATGCTGGCTATTCTAGTGTCTTTCGTGTTCCCTGCCATAATTGGGAGGAGGATCTATATCCTGGGCTGGGTAGGAGTTCCTGGACAATAGCAGATATTCAGAACTCACCAAGATAGTGAGAACTCACAATTCACTCTATCCAGGAAGATTTGAACTGAATGAATTTGAGTAAAGCTGCCAATCCAACTTCCCAAGACATAGTTACCTAACCTTTCCCCATCTGCCTCATCTTTCCCTCTTCATTTACAAAAGATAAGGAGTTTAGCATTTCCCCATTTGAGAGAGTGGGTTGAGATGCATTTAGGTACAAATTAGCTAAGGCCTAATATCTAAACTAACAGTTATATGAAAATTTGCAGTATCACAGGTGTGTTATAAAGAATGCTTTTCTTGAATTCTTTGAATGATCGATTATTCCACATTTACAACATACAAATAAACATATTTAAGAAGTTTGATTTTTTAAAAATTCTTCCAAATAATTTCAACATGGACATTGTTATTTGTAATGTAATATCTCTAAATGATTATAAAAATTGAATGGACTTCTAGAGTGCATATTTTCTTTAAAAGCCATCAGAATCTAAAAGGCAGAAAGCTCAGGTAAAGCAGCCAGAATCACTCATAGATTTTTCATTTGTTTGAGTTTATTAAATAAAAAATATATCTATTGTTCCAACACACAGATTCAAGCCACTCTTTAGGATGAGTGATTAATAAAAGCTTTACCTAAATCCATAAAGAAAAATTGGAGTCAAATCCTAATCCAAACATAAACCCTGTTTGCAAATTAGAACCCAAATCCTAATCCTTCTGAGGCTTGTCCATCTCTACTCAAAATGGCATTGTTGTTCTGATTTAAAATCTAGCCTTCCATAACATCTTTTAAAAGTGATTGCTATTTCTTTGTCTCATTAAACACAAAGGCTTTTAAGAGATTTTTTTCTCCAAAAATGTGCTCATAAATAAAGCTGAATATTCAGCTTACCTAAAAATGAGGAGAAATGTGCTTTAAAAGAAAACTGTTAAACCGAGACCATAGATAAAATATTTTTTGCTCAATATGACTCAGTTTTCAGGTCTAATTTTGATAGATGAACTGAAACTCACATAAACCCAAATTATTTACACCAATGATCTCTCTAAATTGCGGGTAATTCCTAAGATGTATCCATTAAGATTAGATTTAGCTAATGTGACAGTGACTTCCTTTAATTTTCAATAATCCCAAAGATAGGGAATCCAGAACCGGTGGAATAATTCCACAAAAGATTCATGAATCCAGGAAACTTTCAGCTCATTATTCCACAGTCTCTGTATGTGACCTCTATTCTTGGGTTCAAATGGCCTGTTGAACTCCAATCTCTCAACTACATTCCAGGTTGGATGAAGAAACAGAAGTGGAGGAGAAAAGAATGTGCCTTTTTCTTACCTTATAAAGTAAGTATTTCATAGAACAACCACTTAACAACTTAATCTTTCCACTTATGTTACCCAGTTGTATGGTCACAACAAATAATAAAGACAGCTGGAGAATAAAGTTAGAAAGTCATGTGACTAGATAATTATGTTTTACTTAAGTAACAAGAGGAATATAGATGTTAAAGATAACCTGAAACTTTTGCCACGGAAGTGCAGGGCAATAGTGTTTAGAATAAAAAAAATCTTGTATGTGCAATTAAGATCATAATATTTATTGTGCATGTACCATACTTCCTAGTCCTCAACTAAGATAGGTTTCAAATGGCCTTGATTTCTTGCCCTCCCAGACACGACAATTGTCTATTCATCTTTAAATATCTAAATAGGATGTGACTTCTGGGAGAGAAGTCTGGGCAGATGGCAGAATAAAAAACACCAGGAAACTGTCTTTCTACCTAGACAAAAATGCACTGGCAGAATCTGTCTGATGTAATTATTTGAGAATTCTGGATCCTATTGAAGGGTTGCAACTTTGAGGAAAAGGCTTGGAAAGTAAATTGTGGTAAATTTAAGCCAACTTAAGATCTTAGTCCAGTAGATATTACCTGTCTTCCACCCCAGCCCTGTGGTGGGCAGCTGTGAATTTCTTCCTAAATCAGCTTATACACAGCCCTTGGGAACCAGGATGACCAAAAAGGATCTTGTCCTCCAATTACTGGAGATCAGTATTCTGATTGCTGATTGCTACTTCTAATCACCGAAATGCACAAAGAGGCAGACTGCCATTGATGTTGTACTTCCTGTCATTTTTGTGAGCCACCCCTTATCCCCTGCAGTTGAAAGGATCTCCAGAGGATTTAGGGCCAGCATTGTCCTCCCCACTTCATTTCTCCCACCTTTCAGAGCCAGACTTACAAAGACTAGAACATTTAAAAACAACTCCATACACAGAGAAAATTAGAACATGACCACACATGCCCAGGGAGAGGCTCAAAAACCTGAGAAGAACTTATGTTCGTACTGCAGGCTGAACCTTAACATAAAGACAACATACAACATTGAAAAAAATTACAAAACTCAACAAATCCTTGGGAAGGTGGAGGATCTGCTTTCCAGTTACCACATTTGATTGAAACGTCCAGGTTTCAAAAAAAAATCACAATGTATAAAAAGAAACAGGAGACAATGGCCCGTTTGAAGGAAAAGATCAACAGAAATTGTTCCTGAAAGAGATGTGATGGCTGATCTACTAGACGAAGACTTTAAAACAACTGTCTTAAAGAGGCTTAAAAAATGAAAGAAATATGTGGTGAAAATCAAGAAAATGATGGATGAACAAAATGGCAATATCAATAAGGGAAATAACTAAAAAGAAACCAAAAAGAATTTCTGGAGCTGAAATATACAATGACTTAAAATTAAAAAAAATCAAATCACTAGATGAGTTCAAAGGCAGATTTGAGCAGGCAAAAGAAAAAAATCAGCAGACTTAAAGATAGGACAATGGAAATTATTGAGTCTTCCAAATGAAAAAAAATGATTGAAAAAATCAAATAGAGACTCAGAACTGTGAGACACCATCAAGCAGACCAATGTATGTACTGTGGGAGTCTCAGAAGATAAATGGAGAGAGAAAGGAGAACAGAGAATATCTGAAGAGATAATTGCTGAAAACTTCCCACATTTGAAGAAAGGCAAGAATACAAATATCCAACATGCTCAACAAAATCCAAGTTAGAAGAACTCAAATAGATCCACACTGAGACACGATATAATCAAACTTTTAAAAGAGAGAATGTTGAAAACAGCAAGAGAAAAACTTCTTACATATAAGAGATCTTTAATAAAATTATAGTCATCCCAATAGGATAATTTTTTCAACAAATATTACTGTGAAAACTAGATATCTGCATGCAAAATAATACATTTGAATCCTTACTTAACAGATACATAAAAATTAACTCACGGTGGATCAAATACCTAACTGTAAAACCTAAAACTATCGAACTCATAGAGGAAAATGTAGGGCAAATCTTCATGACATTTGATTTAGCAATAATTTCTTGATTATGACACAGAAGACGCAGGAAGCAAACAAAGACAAATTTGCACTTCAAGAAAAAATTTTTAAATTATGCATCAAAAGACAATAAACATCAATAAAAAGACAATTGTGGGATTGGAAAAAAATATTTGAAAATTATATATCTGAAAAGGGATTAATATCTATAATATTTAGAGGACTACTAACATTCAATAACAAAAAATGTGATTCAAAAATGGTCAAAAGACTTGAATAAACATTACTTTAAGGAAGATATATAATTGGACGATAAGCACATAGAAAGATATTCAACATCACTAACTTATTAGGGAAATGCAAATCAACACTATAGATATCACCTCACACACACTAGGATATCTACTCTTAAAAAATCAGAAAATAAATGTTTGTGAGGATGTGTAATTTTTTTTTTTTTTGCACTGTTGATGGGAATGTAAAGTGGTACAGCTACTGTAGAAAACCTTATGAAGGTTTTTCAAAAATTAAAAATAGAATTACCATGTGATCCAGCAATTTCACTTCTGGGTATGTACACAAAAGATTTGAGAGCAGGATCTCAAAAGATATTTGTACACCCATATTCATAGCACAATAGCTGAAACCTAGAAGCAGCTCAAGAGTTCAGTGACCAGAAGAATGGCTAAGCAAAATGTGGTATATACACACAATGGACTATTTCTCAGCCTTTAAAGGAAAGGACATTCCGGCATATACCGTAAGTTGAATGAAACTTGACGACTATGCTAAGTGAAATAAGCCACATACTTAGAGTAATCAAAACTATAGGAGCAGACAGTAGAATAGTAGTTCCTGGGGCTTGTGGGAGGGAATAATAGGGAATTATGGCTTAATGCATACAGAGTTTCAGTTTTGCAAGAGTGAAAGATTTCTAAGGATGGATAATAGTGATGTTTGTATAGTATTATGAATATAATTTACACCATTGACCTAAACCCTCAGTGAGGGTCAGAAGAGTTAATATGGTAAATTTTTTATTATATGTATTTCACCTCATTCAATTGAGAAAAAATCTTTCTTCAGAAAGCTCTCCTTTACCACCAGACTCTAATCTAGCACGAGTGACTCACTCTCCTCTGTACTCCTATGTCAGATTTCATAGCTGCTGAATGTAGAATAAGATGCCAATATGACATCAAATTGCTGCTCAACTCAAGTTCTGTATGGTTATAGTTTGTCAGCTCTTAATGTGATTCTTAACAAGATAACTTGTGAAGTTAAATTCCTGCCTCTGTTTAGTCAAAACGTAGGAGTTACAGTATATCTGTTGTCCTCAATTGGAAGATGTCCCCAACTGGAAGCTATGAATCTCAAACCAGGGTGCAAACAGCTTTGTCTAAGTCAGATGTCAGTAACCAATTAATTAGTGTGTTTCTTATTGGTACACTTGTTTAAAAAATTCTCTAAACTCATATTTTTAATCTGCATTTACTTAACTTCAGGTGATTGTTTCTTATCTTTCCAAACTTTAGACTGTTTCTTTTGCTGGGCCCTAAGTTCTTTACATATTTCACCCCTTAAAAACTAAGGACCTGACTTGAATCCACCACCTCCTTAGATATGCAACATCTTCTAGAATCTGAATCAGGCAATTTTCTTAATGAAATTAATTGCTATTTTAAATTTTGCTGGAAAACATATGAATAGGAGCTCTCTTGGGCAAATGGCGATATACAAACATCCTGGAATAATGGAGAAACTAGAATCCTATAATTTAGAAGATACTTTGGCTATTCTTCCACTGGGCAGTGTTCTGGGAATAAATTGTAGTAGGAGAGCCTAATAGCTGCAGCAAAGAGAGTTAATATATATATTTAAAAAAAAAGCTCCAAAAGTCAGGACAAAAAAATATTATAAAGGCATTCTGTGACACGGGCATGCACTGTTTGAGACTGTAATAGCTCCCCAGACCATGTTGTATAAGCATGACAAAGTAGGGTTAGGGTTTTTGTTTCTGTTTTTATTTGTTTTCCTTCTTGTGCAAAGGCATGGGGTAGATTACATTAGACAGCTAAAGTCTTAAACATTGCCAGTTCCAAGAAATAAGCTGCACATCCCAGCTGTAGTTTTGAAATCAAAGGAAAGCGTTTATGTGTGTTTAATATGGTAAGGGGGAAATAAGCAGGTAATGTCATTTCAGCTGCTTCAAATACTTTCTCCTGACCCTTATGTTAACAATTACGTATATTTTGTGACAAAGTTAATTTGTGGAAAAAAACTTGTAAAGCAAGTTTGATAAATCTGATGTATTTTTTAGAGGCGT
Organism: Homo sapiens; assembly: GCF_000001405.40. Taxonomy (NCBI): domain Eukaryota; kingdom Metazoa; phylum Chordata; class Mammalia; order Primates; family Hominidae; genus Homo; species Homo sapiens. Next base: position 106,485,971 of record NC_000001.11, on the reverse strand, counting down.
TTTCTTTTTCAAAATAACCATTTTATTATCACTCTTTATGTCTACTCTCTCAATGCCCCCTACAAACATGAAACATAGAAACATACTCTAAAAACCTGGAGTTTTGGAATTTAAAATGTTGCATTGGAAAGAATTTAAAGAAGAGGCTTTGGTGCCAATATGTATAGCTTTTACCATTATCCCAGAAAAGTTCCCAAGGTTTCCAAGCTGCCTGAATTTCCGTTAATCTGGACTAGGCTAAATTAAACATAAAATAGTTCAGCTGTGTTTGTTTTTAATTTGCAAAGGAATTTAGTGTTCCCGAAAGTGAGGAACTAGCAAATGAGGCTTCAATCAATCAGGAATATTTTGGGCATCTCTGCCAGTAGCTTTAATGGGAAAGACTTGCTATTATAACCCAGAAGTTCTTTGGCAGGTCCTGAAACGAGATAAAAATAAATTTATAAGAGAATATGAAGCCTAAAAACTGGTTAGGGAAAGAGTTGGTAAAACTAACATATGGAATTTTAGCTGAGGTGCAGGAGTTCTAGGGTTGAAGGAGCCTTACATTAGAGTGTGGGAAGTTTTTAAAGAAATGCTATTTAAAAATGAATGTACAATTGTATCCATTTAGGCGCACCATTTAAAATTTCAAGTCCTACTACAAAATCCTGAGAACACAGTTTCATTCTCCCTGACCCTGTCACGCTCCTCAGTGAGCCATTTCAAATTGTTTAATGTTTTCTTCTGTTATTTACCACCCTATTTCTAAATACTAAACTTGTACTGCTTTCTTAGTTCCTAAGCACCTGATGTTAGCCAACAATAAACTATTACAGGAGATAAGAATTTCTTTCACCACCTTTTTCCCTCCTAGGAAGAGTTATAACATAGATTTTATTAAATACATACTTATCATGATTTTTTAAATGTGGTTCACTGCTGAGTCATATAATACAATATGATTTTTTCCTTATATATATTATTGTTTTCTTGCAGTAATTATGCATTTTTTAAAAGTTCACTTAGTTTTTACTTACAGTAAATTTTTCATAATGCTCAGGATCATGGATTAAACTCTTCTCAATGATATTTTCCAATACATGAAATAATTTATTGGTTCTATTTCTTTTTCTAACAGTTTCTTTCCTGTAAACCTCTGACCCACTCATCAATTTACACTGTTTTCTGTAGGCTGCTGGCATAGCTATTCTCCTGGGTTATCTTTTATTACTCACTTTTGTTGGAGCTCTTGATTCTGCTCTCCCAATATCTTCTTTTTTCATTTACTTTCTTATTTTCAAGGAGCATGTCCTCCAGGAGTTTCTTGAAAAAGAATGCATGGGTGGTTAAAAAAAAAAAAAAAAAAAAACAGCAAAACAACAACAACAACAATGTGACAATTCTGAAGTCCTAAAAATATTCTTGTTGTCCCTCACGCATAAGGGTTAGCTTGGCTGAATAAAGGCTTCTGGATAAAGTTAAAAACATTTTCCTCTTACACTTATGCAGACATTTGTTTATTTTTTTCCTCTAACGTCTTGTGATGTAGATAATACCTGACATCATTCTAATTCCCAAAATTTTACGTATAACCTTTCCCCGCACTACCGCCAAAGCTTTTATGATAATCATAATAGTGATAAATTCTTGATTTCTTTCCCTAAGATACTACTGCAAGAGCTTTGTGTGCATTTAAATAATTTAATCTTCAGAATAGCCTTAGAATAGAGATAGTATCAATATCACACCCATTTTACAGATAGGAGATAGAAAACCAACATGTCCAGTGAATGGTCCAAATTCCTGCAACTGACAAGTGGTAAAGATGAGCACTGAATCCAGGCAATCTGGCATTAGATTACGTATGCATAGTCACTATACCATCTGCCTGTCTTTCACAGGAGTTCTGAAATCAGTAATTGTTGGACTTTCAATTCGGATACATGCCTCAGTGTTGTGAAATTCTGTTATGTGATTATTTTTCTTTATTCTATTAGTGGGATGGGGAAACTCTTGATGAAACTTCTAATTTAAAAACTCATTATTTTGCTTTTATTTATTTATTTGTTTTTTGAGACAGAGTCTTGCTGTGTCACCCAGGCTGGAATGCAGTAGTAGCATGATCTCGGCTCACTGCAACCTCTGCCTCCCAGGTTCAAACAATTCTCCTGCCTTAGCCTCCCGAATAGCTGGGATTACAAGCATGTGCCACCACACTGAGCTAATATTTTTGTACTTTTAGTAGAGATAGGGTTTTTTCACCATGTTGGCCAGTCTGGTCTTGAATTCCTGACCTCAAGTGATCTGTCGATCTTGGCCTCCCAAAGTGCTGGGATTACAGGTGTCAGCCACCACACCCAGCCTGCTTTTAACATTGTAAAAACAGTTTTATACTTCTTTTCAAGAAATTCCATAAATCTTCCAAACTTTCCATTGCCATTATTATTACAAGTAATAGTATATAATTTCACTGATCCTTGTTTTTAATTTTCAGGGGACATTTTCTGTTTCTTGGCTTTTCCTGTTAAATACATAGTACCTTGCATTTCTTTATTGATACGTAATAGTTTTACATGTTTATGGGGTACATGAAATATTTTTTATATGCATAGGATGTGTAATGATCAAGTCAAGAAATTTAGAATATCCATCGCCTCATGTACTTATCATTTCTGTGTATTGGGAACATTTCAAGACTTTTCTTCTAGCTCCTTTGAAATATGAAATACATTATTGTTAACTATAGTCACCCTACTCTACTATCAGACTTGTAGATCTTATTCCTTTTATCTAACTGTACGTTTGTACCCATTAACCAGCCTCTCTCACCCTACCTCACCCACACTCACCCTTTGCAACTTTTGGTAAACAGCACTCTACTCTCTACCTCCATGAGATCAATTATTTTAGCTCCCACATATGAATGTGAACATATATTGTTTGCATTTTTGTGCCTGGCTTATTTCACTTTAGATAATAGTTTATCCAGCGTGGGCAACATAGTGAAACCCTCATCTCTACAAAAATTAAAAAAATTAGCTCACCGAAGTGCAACGATTGTGTCACTACACTACAGTTGGTTTGACAGAGTGAGACTCTGTCTATGGAAAAATAAAAAAGAAAGAAAGAAAAAAATAATTATTTCCAGTTCCATTCATGCTGCTGCAAATGACATGATTTTATCTTTATCTTTTCAATTACTAAACAGTATTCCATTATGTACATATGACACATTTTCTTTTTATTAATTAATATTATTATTTTATTTCAATTATTCTGGGGGTTTGGTTATTTGAATAAATTCTTCAGTGGTAATTCCTGAGATTCTTAGTGCACCTGTCACTCGAGCAGTATACTATACCCAATATGTAGTACTTTATCCCTAACCCCCTCCCAACATACCCTATCTGAGTCCACAAAGTTCATTACATCACTCTGTATGTCTTTGCATCCTCATAGCTTAGCTCCCTCCTATAAATGAGAATTTATGGTATTTGGTTTTCCATTCCTGAGTTACTTGGAATAATGACCTCCAGCTCCATCCAAGTTGCTGCAAAAGACATTATTTCATTCATTTCAATGGCCGAGTAGTATTCCGTGGTGTATGTATACCACGTTTTGGTTTTCCACTCATTGGTTAATGGGCACTTAGGTTTGTTCCATGTCTTTGCAATTGTGAATTGTGCTGCTATAAGCATCTATGTGCCTGGGTCTTTTTCATATGAACACTTCTTTTCCTTTGGGTAGATACCTAACAGTAGGATTACTGGATCAAATGGTAGATCTAGTTTAAATTCTTTAAGGAATCTCCATATTATTTTCCATAGTTGTTGTACTAGTTTACATTCCTGAAAACAGTGTAAAACTGTTCCCTTTTCACCACATCCACAACATCTATTGTTTTTTGACTTTTTAATTAATGGCCATTCTTGGAAGCGTGAGGTGGTATCTCATAGTGGTTTTAATTTGAATGTCCCTGATGATTGGTGATATTGAGCACTTTTTTCATGTTTGCTGGCTGTTGGTGTATCTTCTTTTGAGAAATGTCTTTTTGTGTTCGTTGCCCACTTTTTGATGAGATATTATTTTTTCTTGCTGATTTGAGTTCCTTGTAGATTCTGGATACTAGTCCTTTATTGAGTGCATAGTTCGCTAATATTTTCACCCACTCTGTAGGTTGTCTGTTTACTCTGCTGATTCTTTCTTTTCCTGTGCAGAAGCTTGTTAGTTTAATTAGGTCCCATTTATTTATTTTTTCTTTGGTTGCATTATCTTTTAGGGTCCTAGTAATGAATTATTTGCCTAAGCCAATGTCCAGGAGAGATTTTCCAATGTTATCTTCTAGAATGTTTATGGTTTCAGGTCTTAGATTTAAGTCTTTGATCCATCATGAGTTGATTTTTGTATAAGGCAAGAGTTGGGGATACTTTTTTATTCTTCTACATTAGCTTGCCATATTTCCTAGCATGATTTATCAAATAGGGATCTTTCTCCAATTTATATTTTTGTATGCTTTGTCAAAGATCCATTGGCAGTAAGTACTTGGCTTTATTTCTGTGTTCTCTATTCTTTCCCATTGATCTATGTGCCTGTTTTTATACCAGTACCATGCTGTTTTGGTAAATATAGCCTTGTAGTATAATTTGAAGTCTGGTAATGTTATGCCTCCAGATTTGTTCTTTTTGGTTAGTGTTGCTTTAGCTATTTGGGCTTTCTTTGGTTCCATATGAATTTTAAGATTTTTTTTTCTATTTCTGTGAAAAATAATGATGATATTTTCATAGGAATTGCATTGAATCTGTAGATTGCTTTGGGCAATATCATTATTTTCATAATATCGGTTCTTCTCATTAATGAGCATGGGAAATGTTTTTATTTGTTAGTGTCATCTGTAATGTCTTTCAGTGTGTTTTGTAGTTTTCCTTGTAGGGATCTTTCACCTCCTTGTTTAAATGTATTCCTAGATTGTTTTTTTCTTTTTGTGCAGGTGTTGTAAAAGCAATTGACTTCTTGATTTTTTTCTCAGTTTGGTCATTATTGGAGTACAGCAGTGCTACTGACTTGCGTACATTGATTTTGTAACCTGAGATTTTACTAGGCTCATTTATCAGATCTAGGAGCCTTTTGGATGAGTATTTAGGGTTTTATAGGTATACAATCATGTCATTGGTAAACACTGACAGTTTGACTTACTCTTTTCCAGTTGATTGCCCTTTGTTTCTTTCACTTGCCTGATTGCCTAGGCGAGGACTTCCAGTATTATGTTGAATAGAAGAGAGGAAAGTGGGCATCCTCGTCTTGTTTCAGTTCTTAGGGAGAATGCTTTCAACTTTTCCTCATTCAGTATGATATTACCCATTTGTTTGTCATAGATGGCTGTATTAGTCTGCTTTTTTTTTTTTCTGCTAATAAAGACATACCCAAGACTGGGAAGTAAAAGAGGTTTAATGGACTTACAGTTCCACATGGCTGGGGAGGCCTCACAATCATGGTGGAAGGCAAGGAGGAGCAAGTCGTGTCTTACATAGATGGTGGCAGGCAGAAAAAGCTTATGCAGGGAGACTCTTTTTTAAAACCAGCAGATCTTGTCGGACTCATTCACTATCATGAGAACAGCACAGAAAAGACCTACTTTGTGATTCAATCATCTCCCGCTGGGTACCTCCCACAACATGTGGGAATTATGGGAGTTACAAGATGAGATTTGGGTGGGGACACAGAGCCAAACCATGTCATTCCTACCCTGGCCCCTCCTAAATCTCATGTCCTCACATTTGAAAACCAATCATGCCTTCCCAACAGTCCCCTAAAGTCTCAATTCATTTCAGCATTAACTCATAAGTCCACATTCCAAAATCTTATACAAGACAAGGCAGGTCCTTTCTGCCTATGAGCCTGTAAAATCAAAAGCAAGTTAGTTACTTCCTAGCTAGAATGGGGATAAAAGCATTGGGTAAATACAGCTGTTCCAAATGGGAGAAACTGTCCTACTACAGGTCCCATGCAAGTCCAAAATCTAGCAGGACAGCCAAATCTTAAAGTTCCAAAATGATCTCCTTCAACTCCATGTCTCACAGCTAGGTCGCACTGATGCCAGAGGTGGGTTCCCAAGGTCTTGGGAAGCTCTGCCCCTGTGGCTTTGCAGGGTACAGCCTCCCTTTTGGCTCCTTTCATGGGCTGGCATTGAATGTCTGCAGCTTTTCCAGATGCATGGTGCAAGCTGTCAGTGAATCTGTCATTCTGGGATCTGGAGGACAGTGGCCCTCTTCTCACAATTCCACTAGACAGTGCCCCAGTCGGGACTCTGTGTGGGGGCTCTGACCCCATATTTCCCTTCTTCACTGCCCTAACAGAAGTTCTCCATGAGAGCCCCACCTCTGCAGAAAACTTCTGCCTAGACATCCAGGCATTTTCATACATTCTCTGAAATCTAGCTGGAGGTTCCCAAACCCCAATTCTTGTCTTCTGTGCACTGCAAGGCTCAACATCACATGGAAGCTGCCAAGGCTTGAGGCTTGCACCCTCTGAAGCCATGGCCCAATCTCTATTTTGGCCCCTTTTGGTCATGGCCAGAGTGGCTGGGACAGAGGGTGCCAAGTCCCTAGGTTGCACACAGAACAGGGACCAGGGTCATAGCCCACAAAACCACTTTTTCCTCCTAGGCCTCCAGGTCTGTGATGGGAGGCGCTGCCATGAAGACCTCTGACATGCCCTGGAGAAAATTTCCCTATTATCTTCGGGATTAACATTCACCTCCTTGTTACTTGTGAAAATTTCTGCAGCTGGCTTGGATTTCTCTTCAGAAAATGGGATTTTCTTTTTTATTGCATTGTCAGGCTGCAAATTTTCTAAAACTTTATGCTCTGTTTCTCTCTTAAAACTGAATGCCTTTAACAGCACCCAAGTCACCTCTTGAATGCTTTGCTTATTAGAAATTTCTTCTGCCAGGTACCCTAAATCATCTCTCTCAAGTTCAAAGTTCCACAAATCTCTAAGGAAGGGGCAAAATGCCACAAGCCTCTTTGCTAAAATGTAACAAGAGTCACCTTTGCTCCAGTTCCTAACAAGTTTCTTATCTCCATCTGAGACCACCTCAGCCTGGATTTCATTGCCCATATCATCATCAGCATTTTGGTCAAAGAGATTCAACAAGTCTCTAGGGAGTTCCAAACTTTCCCACATTTTTCTGTCTTCTTCTGAGCCCTTCAAACTGCTTAAACTACTGCATGTTACCCAGTTCCAAAGTTGCTTTCACATTTTCAGGTATCTTTCCATCAGCACTCCACTCCTGGTACCAATTTACTATATCAGTTCATTTTCATGCTTCTGATAAAGACATATCCAAGACTGAGAAGAAAAAGAGGTTTAATGGACTTATACAGTACCACATGGCTGGGGAGGCCTCACAATCATGGTAGAAGGCAAGGAGGAGCAAGTCATGTCTTACATGGATGGGGACAGGCAAAGAGAGAACTTCTGCAGGAAAACGTCCATTTTTAAAATGATTAGATTTCTTGAGACTGATTCACTGTTGTGAGAATAGCACAGGAAAGACCCGCCCCCACGACTCAATCGTCTTTCTCGTGTTCCCTCCCACAACACCTCGGAATTATGGGAGCTACAAGATGAGATTTGGGTGGGAACCCAGAGCCAAACCATATCAATGGCTTTTACTATTTTGAGGTATGTCCTTTTTATGCCATATGTGTTGAGGCTTTTTATCATAACAAGATGCTGGATTTTATCAAATGCTTTTTCTGCATCTATTGAGATTATCATATGATTTTTTCTTTTAATTCTGTTTGCATAATTTATCACAGTTTTTGACTTGTGTATGTTAAACCATCCCTGCATCCTTGGAATGAAACCTACCTGATCGTGATGTATTATCTTTCTGATACTCTGTTTAATTTGGTTTGCTAGTATTTTATCAATGATTTTTGTATCTATGTTCATCAGGAATATTTGTTTGTAGTTTTCTTTTTTGTTATGTCTTTTCCTAGTTTTGTTATTAGGGATTAGGGTGATACTGGCTTCATGGAATGATTTAAGGGAGGATTCATTCATTCTCTATTTTTAAAATAGTTTTAGTAGGATTGGTACCAATTCTTCTTTGAATATCTGGTAGAACTCAGCAATGAATCCTTCTGGTCTTGAAATTTTTTGCTGGCAATTTTTAAATTGCTGATTTAATCTTGCTGCTTGTTATTGGTCTGTTCATGGTTTCTATTTCTTACTGATTTAATCTAGGAGGGTTGTGTGTTTCCAGGAATTTATCCATTTCCTCTAGATTTTCTAGTTTGTATGCATAAAGGTATTCACAGTAGCCTTGAATGATATTTTGTATTTCTGTGGTATTGACTGTAACATCTCCAGTTTCATTTCTAATTGAGCTTATTTGGATCTTCTTTTCTTGGTTAATCTCACTAAACGCCTATTAAGTTTGTTTATCTTTTGTAAGAACCAGCTTTTTATTTCATCTATCTTATATTTTTTGTTTCAGTTTCATTCAGTTTTGCTCTGATCTTTTTTTGTTTCATTCTGCTTGCTTTGGGTTTAGTTTGTTGTTGTTTCTCTAGTTCCTTGAGATTTCAACATCAGGTTTTCAAATTATGCTCTTTCAGACTTTTTGATATAGGCATTTAATGCTATGCACTTTCCTCTTAGAACTTCTTTTTCTGTATTCCTGAAGTTTTGATTAATTTTGTCACTATTATTGATTCTAAATAATTTATAAATTTTCATCTTGATTTCATTGTTAACCCCGAAATAATTCAAAAGCAGATTATTTAATTTCCATTTATTTGTATAGTTTTGAGGGTTCCTTTTGGAGTTGATTTTCAGTTTTATTCCACTTAGTCTGAGAAGATACTTTATATAAGTTTAATTGTCTTACATTAATTGAGACTTGCTTTGTGACCTAGCACGTGGTCTACCTTGGAGAATGTTCCATGTGCTGATGAGAAGAGTGTATATTTTCCAGTTGTTGGGAAGAATGTTCTGTAAATATTTATTAAGCCAATTTGGTCTAGGGTATAGTTTAATTCCATTGTTTCTTTGCTGACTTTCTGTCTTGATGGGCTGTCTAGTGCTGTAAATGGATAGAAGTGTCCCACTGTTATTGTGTTGCTATGTATCTCATTTCTTAGGTCTAGAAGTAATAATTTTATAAATCTGGGAGCTCCAGATTTAGGTGCATGTAAATGTATGATTGCAATGTCTTCTAATTGGACTGATCCTTTTATTATGTATCAAATGATAAATGATGTTGTCTTTTTATTTTCTTATTGTTGTTGTTTTAAGTCCTGTTTTTTTCTGTTATAAGACTTGATACTCCTGATCACTTTTGGCTACCATTTGCATGGAATATATATATATATATATATATATATATATATATATATATATATATAATATAGATAGATAGATAGATAGATACAGAGCCTTGCTCTGTCTCCCAGGCTGAGGTACAGTGGCACAATCTTGGCTCACTGCAACCTCTGCCTCCTGGGTTCAAGTAATTCTCCTGCTTCAGCCTCCCTAGTATCTGGGATTATAGATATGCACCACCATGCCTAGCTAATTGTTGTATTTTTAGTAGGGATGGGGTTTTTCCATGTTGGCCAGGCTGATCTCGAACTCCTGACCTCAGGTGACCCAACCACCTTGAACTCCTGACCTCAGGTGATCCACCCACCTCGCCTCCCAAAGTGCTAGGATTACAGGCATGAGCCATCGTGCCCAGCCACAGAATATCTTTTTTCATCCCTTTACCATGAGTTCGTATGAATTATTATGGGTTAGGCTAGCCTCTTGAAGACAGCAGATTTTTGGTTGGAAGATTTTTTTAATCCATTCTGCCATTCTATATGTTTTAAGTGGAACATTTAGGCCATTTACATTCGATGTTAATATTCAGATGTGAGTTACTGTTGTATTTATCATATTAGTTGTCACCTAGATAGCGTGCTTTTTTCATTGTGTTATAGTTTTATAGGCTCTGTGAGTTTCACGCTTTCAGGAGGTTCTACTTTGGTGCCTAACAAGCTTTTGTTTTTAGATTTATAACTCCTTTTAGTATTTTTTGTAGTGCTGTTTTTGTAGTGGCAAATTCCATCAGCATTTTTCTAAAAAAGACTTCTCTCCTTCATTTATGAAGCTTAGTTTTGCTGGACACAGAATTCTTGACTGACAATTACTCTGTTTAAAGAGGCTCATGATAAGATCCCAATCCCTTCTAGCTTGTAAGGTTTCTGCTGAGAAGTCTGCTGTTAGACTGATAGGTTTTCCTTTATAGATTACCTGATGCTTTTGTCTCAGGTCTCTTAGAATTCTTTCTTTGTGTCAACTTTAAGATAGCCTGATAACTATGTGCCTTGGTGATAAGGTGTGTGACATATGCCAAGGTGATATTTGCGATAAATTTCCCAGGAGTTCTTTGAGCTTCTTATGTTTGAATATCTAAATCTCTAGCAAGGCCAGGAAAGTTTTCTTCATTTATTTCTTCAAATAAGTTTTCCAACCTTTTAGATTTCTCTTTTCCCTCAGGAAGATCAACAATTCTTAGGTTTGACTGTTTTACATAATCCCATATTTCTTGGAAAATTTGTTCATTTCTTTTGATCCTTTTTTCTTTATCTTTGTCTAATTAGGTTAATTCAAAAGCCTTGTCTTTGATATTTGAAATTATTTTTTCTACTTGTTCTAGTTTATTATTGAAATTTTCCAGTGTTTTGTAGTTGCCTAAGTATGTCTTTCATTTCCAGAAGTTCTATTTGGTTTTTCTTTATGATATCTGCCTCTCTGGAAATTTTTTATTGATATCCTGAATTGTTTTTTAAATCTCTTTATTTTGGTTTTCACCTTTCTCTGGTATCTCCTTGAGCAGCTTAGTAATCAATCTTCTGAATTCTTTATCTGGTATTTCAAAGTTTTCATCTTGGTTTGGATTCATTGCTGGGGAGCTAGCGTGATCGTTTGAGAATATCATAGAACCCTATTATGTTATATTAACAGAATTACTTTTCTAGTTTCATCTCATTTGAGTAGAGTATTTTTTCAGTTATTCTTGAATTTATTTTTTATTTGACTGTGTTTTTAAATTTTTTTCTCTCTTAAAGATGTGATTTTAATGTGTATAGTTTATTATACCCTAGTTTGCTTCTTGGTGCCTGGTTTGACTCTGTATGAGTACCTTGGTTATAGAGAGTCTTTGTGAGCTGACTTTCTCAAATGCTGGTTGTAGTACTTATGTACTTGGTGTGTGGGCAAGTTCACTGTCTCCTATGGGGTTGAAATAGCCTGAATATCTTAAAGCTTATCTCATTCCCCTGTGTTGTGTACTTTTTTATTCACTTAATTTTTTCCCCAGTATTTTTATGTAATGAGTTGATGGTTTAGGATTTAGGCCAGCAAGAGATCTAGGTCAGTATCCCTGGGTAGAAACTGGATGTAGCTAAAGCAGGTGGGTAGATGCAATAGCCAATGGTGGACAGAGTTTCCAGCCTTGATGAAGGTGGCTGAGGGAGCTCTCAGTTAGATGCACTGAGATTTTACCAGGGAGAAGAGTGGAAGCTACCTCAGCTCCCCTGCCAAGCCAGCAGGAAAGCTATACACCTCCCAGCCTCCCTCCTGTCCCAGTGTCCTGGCTATTCAGATCAGACAGGTACCTCTTTTTGTCTATAGGAATGTTGATGTTCCAAGTAGAAAGGAACTGTGACTCTGACTCTCATGCAAGCCTGAACCTGGACAGTGCTCCTCCTGGGGGGATGCAATCACCCTGAATTATTCCAGGAATGCTGTCTATAGGTGCATCCATGCTGAGTTCCTATGGGAAAAGCCCCAACTATGTCTACAGTGGTGGACAAGGGAACTACAAGAATCTCTTCTCCAAGACCTTTCATGAACATGAAGGTTGCCTGACTGTTGGGGTAGAGATGCAGACTTTCCTGGCTGTGCCTAGCACTTCAATTGTGACTCTGCTATAAGAAACTTCCTAGCAGTGGAAAGATATGGAACTCAAGGACTGCCATCCAGATTCCTTTATCCCACAGGGTTTTCTCTTGATGTGCTCTCCCTCTTCTTCTAGGTGTAGGAGTTTCTGACAACCAGACTACAGTGACTGCTCTTGCTCTCCTTGTCTAGCCATCCAGTGGGGCTGCCACACTCTGTGCTGGCACTGGGCAATGTCTTCAAGGGATCCACTGATGTAACCTGTTTTCAAATCTCCCAGCAGTGGGTACCAGCACCAGCTCTGCTGGAGGTGTCAGGAAAGTGACATAGACTCTGTGTGATTTCTTAATTGTAGATAGGTTTAGTGTGCTGGCTTCCTTTAAAGCTGGTTATAATTTTATTGAACTTTTCATGTGGACAGACTCAGAACCTCTGGTTAGCCATGGTGTTGCAGGCAGTGGTGATAGCTGAAGTCATTCATTTATTTTCTGCTTCCTGGGCACAATATTATTCTACCTAGAGGTGCTTTAATGGACTGTGTTGGTTGGCCTCCAACCAGGAGGTGATGGTTGTAAAATAATACCAGCTGTGCTAGTAGCAATGGGATATGAGCTTGCCCTACCTAAGTTGCCAAAGAGAGGTAATTTTGTTTCTCTGGTGTTGGAGGGGCTACAAAATTCCCAAAAGTTTATATCCTACACTACCAAGGTGGGTGGAGGGGCACAATCAGATGTGGGCAAGTTTAAGTGGGTCTGCACTCCGACACTCCCTTAGTGGGGCCATCCGTGGCTCCTGTGAGGGTTGCAGATGGTTCTCAGGCTGCTGGAGTAATGATCCAGAGCTCAATATAACTACCTCTGCCACATAAAAGAGAATGCAAAGGAGTGGAGAGTAACAGGCCACAGTAACTCTCACCCAGCTCCCAGGCAGATAGCAAGGCTCATCTCACTTCTGCATTGCTCCACTAACAGCACTGGGTTAAGACCCAGGCAGTCTGGGAGTCAGACCCGTCCCAGGCCATAAACTCCCTGTAGAAATAGGAACCATGAATTTTAGGCTATGCCCCTCCCCATCTGCCAGCAAAGCCTGGTGCCCAGCTCCTGCACTTATGTCTGAAATGCATTCCCCACTTGCCACCTTGCCCACTGTAATCAGCTTCTTATTGAGGGGGTTGGGAGTTTGTCCCCACTTGAGATTAAACCACAAAATCACAAAATCACAAAATTCAGTTGGGAACTTCTTTCACCCTGCATCCCCTACCTGAGCTAGTTGGCTGCCTTCCACAAGGTCCCCTGTGAGATGGATTCAGGTGTGGCTTCCCTCAGTTCATGCTGGAGACCGGGAATGCCTGCAAGTCACTTTCTGCTGCTGCTTCTACCTTTATATTTCTTGCTGCTCCCTAAATCAGTTCCATCGCTGGGTAGGGTCAATTCCTTCTCCAGTGGCTTGTATTTTTAGATTCCCTGGTGGGCATGTGTATTCTGGAGGCATTCTCTCCCCTTCTCACACTCTTGGAACTAACAGCTTTTCATCTGTCTTACGGAATAGGCTGCATCCCAACACTTCTTTCATAGGGTCTTTGCATTCTTTCAGTTTTCCTGTTAAGTTTCTGCATTGCTTCTTGAAAAAATGTGTACACTGTGAATCTCTACACACCATTCTGTCCTTCCAAGTGAGTAAGGCATGCTAACATTGCCTCCAACCACCATCTTGGGAAAAAATAAAACCCCCTTTTTTTTTTTTTTGAGACGGAGTACTCACTATGTCACTAGGTTGGAGTTCAGTGGCATGACCTCAGCTCACTGCAACCTCCACCTCCTGGGTTCAAGTGATTCCCCTGCCTCAGTCTCCCGACTAGCTGGGACTACAGGCGCACATCACTACGCCTGGCTAATTTTTTGTATTTTAGTAGAGACGGGGTTTCAGCATGTTGGCCAGGATTGTCTTGATCTCCTGCATCATGATCCACCCACCTTGGCCCCCCAAAGTGCTGGGATTACAGACATGAGCCACCGTGCCTGGCCACATTTTCTTTATTCACTTATCTGTAGATGGACACTTAGGTTGATTACATATCTTTGCTGTTATGAATAGTGCTACAATAAACATGGGGATGCAGTTATTCTTTAAATTTCTGATTTTCTTTTCTTTGGATAGATACCAAGCAGTGGGATTGCTGTATCCTATGGTAGTTCTATTTTCAGTTTTTTTAGAAGCTGCTATACTGTTTTCCACAATTGTTGCACTAATTTACATTTATACCAACAATATATGAGTTCCCTTTTCTCTGCATTCTCTCCAACATCTGTTATTTCTTGTCTTTTTGATAATAGCCATTCTAGCTTGGGTAAGATGATATGTTGTTGTGGTTTGGATTTGCATTTCCCTGATGATTAATGATGCTGAGCATTTTTTTCATGTAACTGTGGGCCATTTGTATGTCTTCTATCTTCTTCTGAGAGATATCTACTAAGGTCTTCAACCGCTTTTTAATAAAATTATTTATTTTGTTGTTGTTGAGTCATTTAAGTCCTTTGTATATTCTCAATATTGGTCTCCTGTTGGATGAATAGTTTGTATCTGCTTTCATTCAATAAGTTGTCTCTTCACTCTGTTGATTGTTTCCTTTGTTGTGCAGAGTGTTTTAGTTTTATATAAAATCATGTGTCTACTTTTGTTTTTGTTGCCTGGGCTTTTAAGGTCATAGATATAGAATCATTGCCTAGACCATTATACTGAAGTGTTTCTTCTAGGTTTTCTTCTAGTACTTTTAGTTTCAGATCTTACATTTAAGTTTTTAGTTCACTTTGAGTTGATTATTTATATAGTGTATGAAAGGGCTCAAGTTTTATTCTTCTATATATGGATAATCAGTTTTCCCAGCACCACTTATTGAAGAGGGTGTCATTTCCCCAACATATGTTCTTGGGGTCTTTGTTAAAAATCAGCTGGTTGTCAATATGTAATTATATGTCTGGGTTCTCTATTAAGTGTGTATTTTTATACTAATACCATGCTGTTTTGCTCACTATAACTTTGTAATATATTTTAAAGTCAGGTGGTGTGATATCTCCAGCCTTTATTTTCCCCCCTCAGGATTTCTTTGTCTTTGGCCATTGGGGCTCTTTTTTGGCTCCATACAAAGTTTAGAATTTTTAAACAGTTTCTGTGAAAAATGACATTGATATTTAGATTAAGATTGCGCTGAATTTGTAGATTGCTTTGATAATTCAACATCTCAGTTGAATATATTCCTATGTATTTTCTTTCCTTATTTTTGTAACTATTGTAAAAAAGATTGCCTTCTAGAATTATTTTCTAGATAGTTCATTATTTGTGTAAAGCAATACTACTAATCTTTGTCTGTTGATTTTTTATCCTGAAATGTCATGAATTAACGATAACATCATGTCATCTGAAAAGAGGGACATTTTGATTTCCTCTCTTTTAATTCGGATGCCTTTTTTTTTTCTTTCTCATGCTCAACTGCCTGGCTAAGACTTCCAGTACTATGTTGCATAGCAGTGGTAAAAGTGGGCTTGATCTTTTTTTTCAAATTCTTAAAGATTTTCAGCTTTTCTCCATTCAGTAGAATGTTAGCTGTGGGTTTGTCATATATGGCCTTCATTATGTAAAATAATGTTTATTCTGTTCCACATTTATAGAGAGTTTTAATCATGAAAGGATGTTGAATTTTGTCTAATACTTTTTTTGACATGTGTTGAGATGATTATATGATTTTGTCCTTTTTTCTATTGATGTTATCATATTAGTTGATTTGGGTATATTGAGCCAACCTTGCATTCCAGAGATTAATCTCACTTGATCATGGTGTTGATATGCTGTTGGATTTGTTTTCCTAGTATTTCAATGAGAATTTTTATGTCTATGTTCATCAGGGATTGTTGCTATTGTTGTGTCTTTATCTGGTTTTGGTATCAGGGTAATGCTGGCCTGATAGAATGAGTTAAGAATAATTCCTCCTCTTCAATTTTTTGGAATAATTTAAGGAGAAGTTGTGTTAGGTTTTTAAATATGTTTATGTTTTCCACAGCAGTAAAGCCTTTGGGTCCTGGGCTTTGCTTTGTTGATAAACTTTTTATTACTAATTCAATCTCATTTTTATTGGTTCACTAAGGTTTAATTTTTTTTTCGTGGTTCTATTTTACAAATGGTACGTTTCTAGGAATTTTTATTTTCTTTAGGTTTTGTAGTTTCTTAGTGTATAGTTGTTCATAATAGTCTCTGATAATCTTTTGTGTTTCTGTGGCATCAATAATAATGTCTCCTTTTTCATTTTTGATTTTGTTTATTTGGATCATTTCTCTCTTGGTTAATTTAGTAGTGGTTTAACAATTTTGTTTATCTTTTCAAAAAACCAAATTTACATTTGTTGATTCCTTGTATTGTTTTTGTAGTATTTATTTTGTTTAGTTCTCTTCTGATCTTTGTTCTTTCCTTTCTTTTACTAATATTCAGTTTGTTCCTGTTTTTCTAGCTTTTCTAAATTCTCAAGAAGCAAGAATATTAGGTGGTTAATTTGAAATCATTCTACTTTTCTCATTTGGGCATTTATTGCTACACTGTTCCCTGTTAGCATTGATTTTGCTGTGTTCTGTAGGTTTTGATATAATGTGTTTCCACTTTTATTTGTTTTAAGAAGAAATTTTAAAATTTTCTTAATTTCTTCATTGACCCAGTGGTTGTTCAGGAGCATGTTCTTTAATTTCCATATATTTGTACATAGCTTCTAAAGTTCCTCTTGTTTTTGACATCTAGTTTTATTCCACTGTGGTCTGAGAAAATACTTGATGTGATTTTATTTTTAAAAAATTTGTTGAGGTTTGTTTTGTGTCCTAACATATAGTCTACCCTGGAAAATGTTTTATGTGCCAATGAGAAGAAGGTGTACTTTATAGCTTTGCACAAAATATTCTGTAAATGTTTATTAGATCCATTTGGTGTAAAGTTTGAATCCAATCTTTTCTTGTTAATTTACTGTCTAGATGAGCTGTCCAATGCTGAGAGTGGAATGATGACATTTGCAAGTATTGTTATATTGTATCTTATCTCTTTAGATATATTATTATTTGCTTATGTATCTGATGTTAGGTACATATATATTTAGAATTGTTATATTCTTTTGCTGAAATGAATTCTTTATCATTAGGTAGCAACCTCCTCTGATTGCTCTTTTGACCTTCTCTTTATTTTCTGGAACAACCGAAATTCAAAATATTTGTTTGCTTTTTGGTGCCCCATATGTTCCTTAGGCTTTATTTGTCCTTATTTATTCTTTTTTTTCTTTTGTGTGTGTGTAATTATTTCAAAAGACTTGTCTTCAAGTTCTGAAATTATTCTGCTTGATTTAGTCTATTGTTGACACCCTTGATTGTATTTTTTATTTTATTTATGAGTTATTCAGTTTCAGTACTTCTGGTTTACTTTTTTAAAATGATATCTATCTCTCTGGTGAATTTCTCATTCATATCCTGAATAATTTTCTGATTTCTTTGTATGTTTATCTGTGTTCTTTTATATCTCACTGAGCTTCTTTAACAACATTATTTTAAATTTCTTTTTGGGAATATTATAAATGTCTTTTTCATTGAAATCTGCTGGTGGGGAATTATTGTATTCCTTTGGAGGTGTCATACTTTCTTGCTTTTTCATGTTCCTTGTGTCCTTAGGCTGATATTTGTGCATCTGGCATAAGAGTTGCTTCTTCCAAATTTTCTTATTGGCTTTTGTGGGAAAAGATATCTTCCTGAAGATGTGTTTATGGTGATTGTTGTATTGGGTACTTTAGCTATGATTCTGGATGAATGCAGTAGTGTAGTATTTTTATGATTTTTCAGCTGTGAATAATGCCAGTGGTGTCTGTGGTTTCCTCAGTGGCTTGGCTATGCTTGGTAGTGGAGGCTGTGGTGAGGCTTTCTTGGGGATGTGGGTTCCAAGTGGTCCAGTTTTGGGGCTCCAGTGGTGGCAGCAGCAGGCCAAGCATGTCTATCTTTTGGTCCTTGGGTACCATATTTTACTATCATTTGGCCCTTGGGTAGCATGATTTTACAATCATTAAAGCTGGCATGAGTATCAATGTTAGTGGGTCCTGCTGGGTCAATTCTTGGGCCTCTGTGCATCTTGTTCAAGTGAGAGCAGTGACATCAGTGAACCTGGTGGGTGAGGTGGACCTCGGGCCCCTGTGCAGCATGCATGGCATGGGCAATGATAGTAGTAATGGACCCTCAGGCCGTGCTTGCTAAAGTTATTAATAGGTGTGACTGTGACATGCCGGGTGAGTTAGGCCCCAGGTTTCCAGCTGATTCATACAGGTGGGTGCTGGAGGTGGTGTTAGCAGTAGACCGGGTGGGCATATACAAAGGTTCCAAGAACGAGTGAACAGATGACAGTGGTGGTGGACTGGGCAGGGTGATCCCCAGTCCCCAGGCAATGTGCTCAAGCATTGAGGGAGGAGAATGACAGGCTTGCCAGGCGTATCCTCAGGTTCCCCAGTGGTATTCATGGGCACAAGCTGTTATTAACAGAAGGTGATGATCCATGGTGGTGACTGGGGAGAGCCTCTCCTCAGGGTGCATACAGATGTGCAGCAACCCTGTTTCTGACAGTGGGGTTGAGGACTTGTCAGTGGATGTGGCCCCATGTATGAGGTGGCTTTCAGGCTCTGGGGAGTGTGTGCTTCAACCCTCAGTTGTAGTGGCAGCGATAGCAGTGTGCAGAAAGAGACTGTCCTTTGGACATGTGCTAGTGCACAGTGCCTGTGGTATGGGGAATAAGTTTGCAGTCAGTGAGAGTGGCCCCAGGCAGGCTGGTGGCTTTCAGGCTCTGCCTTTCTGGGGAATGTATGCTTTGGCTCATTTGCTCCTACAGGCAGCCTCCCAGGTGAACTGCACTGCCTGTTCCCTAGGATGTAGGACTTTGTGAGGGCTAGTTGTAGAGACTATGCTAGTTAATGACATGCCAGGACCAAACTCAGATTTCTCAGCAGCAATTATGCATTAAACACTTGTTGATATTCATGAGTATTGACCAGGATCTGTGATTCTTTCCATGGCACTAGTCATTCATGTTAGTGTTATTTATTTATTACTTTTCAATAATTGTTACCTCGCATCAAACCTAATTTGGAGTTCAATATATGGGACCACTGATTAAATAAAAAGAAATGTTCAATTTTACTATAATCACTATTTTCTAGCATTTATTGCCTCCTATATGCTGGACCATATGTTAGATAATTCACTTTTGTTTTCTCATTTAATTATTACAAGACCATGATGCTGCAAGTATTAATATATTTATTTTACATATGTGGAAACTAAAGGACTAAAGTTGAGAAACTTATGCAAAATCACAAAGCAATTAAATTGCAGTGTTAGCCATCAAACTCTAGTTTTTTCAACCTTCTAAGTCTTCTTACACTATATACTTTGACTTTTTTGTAAGTATTATCAATGAAAATTCACTTTTGACTTTGACTATGTACCAATTCCGTTAGTTAAAATGCAATATATTCTCATTTGTGGAACTTTAATTTGGCCTTTCTAAATAAAATTGCTATTTTATAAAAAAAACTTGTCAATACGAAGCAAAACAACATCCTCGTGTAATATGCATTATTGGGTGCACATTATCATTTCTGAGTTGCTATGCCTATTTCTTCTTATTAAAAAATGAATGCACAACTAATGTTTACTCAAGAGATGAATTATTTTGCAAATGAAAAATTATAATTGTTATATTCAGTCACATTTCAACCTTACATCACCAAAAGAGAGCCTTTCACTTGGAGCTCTTTTGCAACAATGTTTTTCTAAAGCTCTCCAGCCAGCTTTAATGATTGTAAAATATTTAGGTATTTTTTAAATGTTGTAGACCAAATAGAATAATGCATGAAAGCAATAAATAAATAAGCAGACAAATCACATCTAAAGCAGACTGATAGTGAAGCTTTTACAAAAGGGTCGACCACAGAGGTTTTAAAATCCGTTTGATAGTTTTTATTTGTGGTAGACAGATTCTTACACAGCTGAACCTCCCTGCCCTTGGAAGAATACAGAGGAAGCAGTGATTAAGATATTATTATCAAGCCAGTGAGACATGTTAACCACAATGAAAAATACTGAGCTTTCTGGAAGGAATACATAGTGAAGCTACCAACTTTTGGCTACCTTCCAAATCCCAATTTATCTGTAGGCATGCCTTACCCCAGGGAAAATAATCCTCTTTGGCCAAGCAGGCAAATTCTGCCTCATCATTGTCTACAACCTGGAAAATGCTTTTAAAAAGACTGCTCTAGACTTCTCACCAATGTGGAGTTAGGTCTTATTCACACAATGCCTTTGTACCATAGACTTGTCCAACACCGTTGAAATTAAGGGTTTACCAGAAGGAATCCTTTTGATTTGGAACTCCTCTTACTTTCTTTCTTTGTCTTGTAATGTTTTTATATTTTCAAAATATCCACAATGGCATTTCGACGTGTCTGTGTTTTCTCCAGTAAGTACTTTCCGTACTTCAATCACCTCTATTTAAGAGAAAAATTCTGATATGTCCAACTTTTGACATACACTAATTTTTGATTACGAATTCATATGACAAACATGCTACCTTAGTCTTAATATTAATGTGTTCATTGAAAATGACATAGAAGAAAGGGCATTTAGCCTTACAGAGAATTAATTAGCATGTAATTCTCAGCATATCATCTAGTGTTAATTAGCAGTTAAACCATCTTCTCGTACATGACCTGCTGATTTCAATACAGTGTTCTATTTTGGAGGCCCTAGGGGAAAGCAACTTGAAAGGATATTCTATCTTCTTTTTTTGAAAATAAAATGTGAAATCACAACTGTGATTTTCCTGTGTTTTGTTTAACTAACAGATTTTCCTCATTTTGCCCTTTCCTAGATCGATGTCATAAGCGTTATCCCTTCCCTTTCTAATAAAACAGTAGTCAAATCACTACACATTGATGAGTAAAATTAATATTCACAACTAAGTCTTTTTTAAAGCTAGAGCTTTTTCTGTTTTTTTTCATATTTACAATTCTTAGAGGAATGTTTGATATGATTGCTAGGTAAAACTGTGAATGAGCTGATCTTACTGTTTTTTTTTATGTTTATATATATATATGTTAGGTGACAAGCAGCTTTTTTAAACAAATAAATGCATTAAGAAATCTGATAAGTCATCATGAAAAATAAATTTTGAATTTTTTTTTAGCACACTCATATTTACTTATCTCAATAGATGCCAACAGAGTAAGACCATGGCTAATCTATTCAAATCATTCAAATTTATCTTTAAAATGCATAATTAAGGCCAGGCGAGGTGGCTCACACTTGTAATCCCAGCATTTTGGGAGGCTGAGACAGGCAGATCACGAGGTCAGGAGATCAAGACCATCCTGGCTAACACGGTGAAACCCCGTCTCTACTAAAAATACAAAAAAAAATTGGCCGGGCATGGTGGCGAGCACCTGCAGTCCCAGATATTTGGGAGGCTGAGGCAGGAGAATGGCATGAACCCTGAAGGCAGAGGTTGCAGTGAGCTGAGATTGAGCCACTGCACTCCAGCATGGGTGACAGAGCGAGACTCTGTCTCAAAAAAAAAAATAAATAAATGCATAATTTAATGTGTATGTATGATATGTCAGAAATTCAAAATACTTACAAAAATGAAGAAATGTCATTTTTATCTTTTTGAAAGATGCCACCCTACAGACCTGCACTGCTGACTCAGTGTTCATGGGTCATTGTGCCTCATTCTCCCCTATCTTTGGGTTCAGGCTTGGCTCTCCCCGTGATGGAACCAAATACTTGTCCCTGTCCTTTGACTATTACTTTAGTTCACAAGTTTCTTAGATTGGTAGTAAGACCAAAGATGTCAAAAATACATTATTTTTTCAAGGCTCTTATGGCTTTTTGATTTATACTCATCTTGAGAAGAGATTGGTTATTAAATTATCTTCTTCACTGCAAAAGAGCAACTTATATTTGCACAATCCACAAAGCATTTTCACACACATTATCTCATTTGATTCTCACAAAAACTCAGAGCACGTATAATTACTGTCATTTTACAAATGAAGAAAAGAGTCTCAGAGAAATTAAATGATTTTCCAAGGTATCAAAAGTAGATAGTGGTGAAATCAAGAGAAAAACTTAGGTTTTTGACTTTGGCATACAATTCTTTTCCCCCTTTATTACACTTCAGGATATAGACATGAAATCTTGTTTTTTTTGTGAACTCCCATTAGGCTGCAGGTCTTGGAAGATGATAAGGTAATCAAATAAAGAAGAATAGAAATAAAGTGATCTGGATTGAATTTCATATAAAGTTTCCTATTATATGACATTATTTCTGTATCCTGGGGGAGCAGGATTATTTGTTCCCTTTCAATATTATTTCTCACATTCTCCCTTAATGATATAGCTTTACTTAAATCTATGATGCCATGGCTACAGGTTGACTTTGAGACAAGCACCAGAAAGACACTGCTGTCATTAAACACAGTTTTAAAGAAATTGAAATGTTCCTATCTTTATTTTATAATTTGAATAGATATGGGCTTCTGAAGTGTCTGAGGCTAAGACCCCATTCTAAATATCTTCAACCACTAAAAATTTAAATTCTGCTTACCTAAGCTGCATATTTAAATTTATAAATTTTCCAGGCAAGGCTTTGGAAAATATGAAAATTGCAATATTTGAACAATTAGCTCCATCACTTTAATTAAGAACTTGAACTAAATTTATTTCAAGTTATTTATACTTCTAGCTTCATATTTTTAGAGTTACTCATGAGGACAGAATAAAAGCTCAAAACACAGGCTTTGACTTCAGATGAACTAGGTTCATAAATATTCTTATAGTTACTGAATTGTTGACTTCCAGCAAGACAATTGATATCTGTGTGCTTTGGTTTGTTTTAAAGATTAACTAAGGTGGTGCACTTGTAATTAATCAAGACATGGTGTCTATTTTTTTTACTATTATATATTCAAGGAGAATACAAAAGTGCCTAGCATCTTAAGTCATCTCTTATAATAATGGTGTTTTGAGAATGGTAACTTGATCCTTATTTATTTATTAATTATCACCACAGCTTTTATATTTCTATACAAATTTTCAGTAATTTTGACCATTAGTTTAGATATATATATATATATTTATACTTTTGTATTTGTGTAAGGCATAGGTAAAGCCTTCCATACTATTTCCATGCTATACCCAGTCTTTGAAAACAGGAAATTTCCTACATTTGCAAATACCTTTAGACATATAATACCAAGTGATTTATCTTACATTTAAAATTTTAAATACATGTAATTAAGACTTTTTTGCCCTTTGCTAGATAATTGAATTGAATTAATGTTGGCATTTTATATGCCTATCTTGAATTAGGCATTTTTGTTGTTTTTGTTTGTTGTTGTTGTTGTTGAGATGGAGTCTCGCTCTGTCTCCCAGGCTAGAGTGCAGGGGCGCGATCTCGGCTCACTGCAACCTCTGCCTCCAGGGTTCAAGCAATTCTCTGCCTCAGCCTCCTGACTAGCTGGGATTACAGGTGGGTGCCACGACACCCGGCTAATTTTTGTATTTTTAGTAGAGATGGGGTTTCACCATCCTGGCCAGGCAGGTCTGGCTGGTCTTGAACTCCTGACCTCATGATCCACCCGCCTAGGTCTCCCAAAGTTCTGGGATTACAGGTGT
This sequence comes from Homo sapiens, assembly GCF_000001405.40. NCBI lineage: Eukaryota > Metazoa > Chordata > Mammalia > Primates > Hominidae > Homo > Homo sapiens. The sequence goes on along the minus strand of NC_000001.11, from coordinate 106,462,305 downwards.
GAGCCACCTCATCCGGCCTGAATTAGGCATTTTTAGAAATTGTTTTTCAGCTTCTTAAGATATCATTAATACGTATTTCTGATAGTGGTTTGAAAATATTCATGCAGCTTTCAAAATTTCTAATTTATTTCAATATAGTAGATTACATATTGGAAAAATCTAATTCAGCATGACATATTTGCAGTAAAAATTACTTTGCCATAATAAATGTACTTAAAATATATTTGTACAGAAAAGTTTTTTCTCTTCTTTCAGGTTTATTTCTCTTAGAGTTCTTATTGAGCCTCTCATTGTGATGACTACACAGGGAGTTTTATGAAGAGCTGTGATGTGCTGGACATAGCTACCTGGCTATCAAGGTTGTCACTTCAATTGCAGAAGCTAAGCTTCAACTGTGCAAAGGTGGTCCTCTCATTATTCTTTTATTACTCCTTCCTTTGATGAAATCATTCTACAAATATTTGATAATTTTTGCTTTCAGTTCAGAGTCACTCTGGTTTAGTCTTATGAAAAGATGAAACATGCTTTTGGACATGTGATTGATTATATATCGTCAATATAGAAACTGAAATAATTTAATCCAATTCACAGATTCCAAATCAAATATTACACATACCTAAAGAAAACTAGAGATGATAGCTTTTTTTTTTTTTTTTTTTTTTTGAGACGGAGTCTTGCTCCCAGGCTGGGGTACAGTGGTGCGATCTCGGCTCACTGCAACCTCTGCCTCCCGGGTTCAAGCGATTATCCTGCCTCAGCCTCCTGAGTAGCTGGGATTACAGGCATGCACCACCATGCCCAGCTAATTTTTGTATTTTTAGTAGAGATGGGGTTTCACCATGTTGATCAGGCTGGTCTCGAACTCCTGACCTCTGATCTGCCAGCCTCGGCCTCCCAAAGTGCTGGGATTACAGGTGTGAGTCATTGCGCCCAGCCGGATGATAGCTTTTTTATCTCTCTGCTTTCTTCCTGTGTCTGTTGTTTTTATATGATCTCAACAAACTAGTCAGTTCAAAGTTCCGGTGAAGGCTGGGCAAGGTGGCTCATGCCTGTAATCCCAGCACTTTGGGAGGCTGAGGTGGGCGGATCACGAGGTCAGGAGTTCGAGACCAGCCTGGCCAATATGGTGAAACCCCATCTCTATTAAAAATACAAAAATTAGCCAGGCGTGGTAGCAGATGCCTGTAATCCCAGCTACTTGGGATGCTGAGGCAGAAGTGCTTGAACCCAAGAGGCGGAGGTAGCAGTGAGCCAAGATCATGCCATTGCACTCCAGCCTGAGCGACAGACAGAGCAAGACTCCATCTCCATAAATAAATAAATAAATAAATAAATTTCCAGTGAGATCTATTACTCGCATGGTAGTAGTATAATAGAGGTTAATGAGATGTGGTCAAGAAGTCTATATGAGTCAAACATTTAAACTGGTTGGCTTCTTTATAAAGCCCTGGTAGAGGAATGGTGTTAACAAGGAAGAAATTGAAACATAAACATTTCCTTCTGAAATGTTTTGTTCTATAAAGTGGAAAACAACGTTTTATATTTTTTGCTCTACTAGGTGGTAAGGCAAAGTGTAATATATTTTTTTGATACAGATGAGTTAAAAGCTGTCTTGCTCCTATTATAGATGCCCAAAGGAGGTGGTCTACAATTGTTGAGGTAGCCTCAGGGCTTTCTCCTGAGATACCTCAAAGACTCTAAGGGTATGTCTTTACTGAGATTACGAGTATTTGGATAAATCTAATCTTTGGAGTTTTATTTGGAAGAGACCTCTTTAAAAATATAAACTTGTTCTTTTTAAAAGGATAATGTTTTTCTTTCATTCATTCCTGAGTACCTTTATCATTCTTTTCATACCCAAATACGTGACAGGTACTTTGTTAAGTACCTGGGAGAATAGAATGAAATGGAAAGAACCTACTTTCAAGATATTTTATATGACTATCAACTTGCAAACTATACACAAACTAGACTAAACTTGCTTTCACTTTTCTGTTTCATGTCATACAACCACGTGACAGCATTTAGTTTCTCACTTCCAGTAGCCAAGTTTAGAAAATTAAACAAAATTGTGCTCTTGGAAGTTAGATTTTTGTTAATCCCAATGCATGTACTTTGAGTTATTTTTGTAATTCCTTTTTCAATTAAAAATAAATATTTATTTTTAGATTGACAAATAAATATTGTATATATTTATGATGTACAACATAATGTTTGGATATATGTCCACATCGTGGAATGGCTAAAATAAGATAATTAATATGTCCATTAACCTCAGATACTTAATCAATTTTTGTGGTGAGAACACTTAAAATGTATTCTTAGCAATTTTCAGCTATACAATAAATTACTATCCACTATAGTCATCTTATTGTACAAGAGATTTTGTGAATATATTTCTTCTGTCTTACTGAAATTTTGTATTCTTTGACAAACAGTATCGCATTTCACCACTTATCCCCTGCTCTGCCCTCCACCCTATCAACCATATTTCTCCTCTGTTTTTATAAACTTGACTCTTAGATTCCACATATAAGTGAGATCACTCTCAATAAGTGAGATCTCAAATACCACATGATCACTTTAACTCTTAAATGCAATTTATCTATTCCAGTTGCTTTTATACTGGACAATATTATGTACTGGAGCAAAGGTTAAATTAGAATATTTGCTTCAGGTATTACGCAACTAATAAAAATTACTTGATGCAACAAGAGAACGTTCCCACCTATCTCAGACCATTCTACCTGCTTCTAAACTCCTGGTGCAACCTGGTACATGAAATGTAGACCTGGTCTCAAATCAATGAGAGCTACTTTGCTACCTCCCCAAATCTATGTTACTTAGGTAATGGATTCTTGAAAGACATGCTATGTGGACAATTTAAATTTAGCTATAATAGAAAAGTTATTTCTCATCATATTACAGATATGACTATTCTCTTTATGACTTTACAAAATAAAATTACAGTATGTTTCATAATTTCAAAATATCCTAAAGTGAAATTCTAAAATCATTGTTTTGATTCTGAGGATTCCATAGACCATTAAAATCAAGTTAGCACCTTCAGATATAAAGTAATAACTTACTCCCATCCTTGTATATTACATGTTTTGAAAATGAAGGTCAAGGCTCTGAGGTTGCCCCATCCTCTTTCTGAAAAGCATGGTGCGATCTTTAACTCCACTTGAGCAGCCACTAGAGGTAAGTGGATAAGACCTCAGTTTAATGTCTCAGCTGAAGGGCAGACAGGCAGAGCCATTATTAATGCCTGACAAGCCGAGAACTCTGCTTCTGTGCAGTTAAAGCCTCAGCAACAGGCAGTGGAGGTTTATAATTTATAAGAATGGAAATAGATCGAGACTCTATTTCTGGGAAGAAAATAAAGTCATAATGCATTTACAACTGATGCTTAGTTGCACTTAAGTGCCCCCGAGGGCATTCCATTAATGAGGACCTGAGATTACAAGAAAGATATAGATATATAAAAATGTTGAATTAACATATTTTTCCTTTATTTAAACTTGAAAAAGCGTATAATGTCCTTTCAGCATATTTGACAAACATATACCTAAAGGCAAAACTGTTACTTACAAAAGCCATAATACTATGTGAAACCATATGGTAAATGGTCTTTCTTGGTGATTACAAATCCCAGTTTTATAGCACCCTAGAGATATCATAAAATTTGGAAATTATTTTTAATTAAAAATGTATAATAACTTCAATGTAACACATTCTCTGTATACCAGATTTTCCTTAAAACAAATTTACCTTAACCTCTGTCTAGATGGGCTTTGTACCAAGAAGACTTCATATTAGAGGTATTTATATGGAACCAATTTGAAGCATTGATATGGGAGCCATTATTAAATCACATGTTCTTTAGGACTGAAATGGCTCAAAAATCAAGTAGCACACAATAAGATACATCAAGTCTGAAAGTATTCAGAATGACTGAGCCAGAAAATACATATTTCATTTTCTACTTTTTTTTTAAAAAAAAAGTTTTTCTAATGTCTGCCTCACTCAAAATATTTGAAATAATACCTCCTGTCCTTGGAAGAGACTTAAATTTTAAATCACGTAAGTCATATATATGTGTGTGTGCATATATATATGTGTGTATATATATATGTGTATATATATGCACACACACTTATATGTGTGTATGTATGTGTTTATATAAATATTACACACACATACACACACACATATGTATGTATCTATTTAAAACCAGAATACCAGAATTTAATACTTCCTTTGCATGATGACAGCAAAGAGTGTTCTTAAAGCCATTCTTTCCTTTCCCAAGTAGTTTTAGGTTTAGATATGCTTCTAAGTTAACAAAAAAATGGATACATTTTAGGTTGACTTGATTCACCTCTAAGGTGTACAAGCAAAATAAGAGCCCCTCAATCTTTCAAATGATATGTAAGAATCCAATAGAAAGACAATAGAAATTAAATAAAGAATTAAGCTAAAAAAATTGTTTGCTACAATAGCCAGCTTTGGGGCCCAAAGTTTACTTGCAATACTGTTAAATGAAGAAAGAAATTAAGTCCTTTTTTAAATTATTTCTCCAGGTAGTCATACATTAAAAGAGAAAAAAAATGGCCTGAGCCTTTGTAATTATGGCTGTTGTAGAAAGTCACTGGGAGAAATCATAATTCATACATTTTATCACATTAAATACCTGAAGCCTGATGAAACTAGATAGTAATATGTGTGCAAACATCAATTATTCCATACTTTGATGTAAAGATTCATCAGTGTCCGGAGCAGCAGCCAGACAATGAACCATGGGCAATGTGTTTTTAAATTGGTCTCATATAAATTTTATTTATATTTTAACTTATGGTTTCTATTAAACCACAGAGCAGTGATTCTTAACTTTTTATATATTTTTTCCTTAATTCATAATGAAGATTTCTCATTTTCAGTGAGCAGAGAGAAGAGCTGCAAGAGATAGGTATTAAATTAACCCTGCAAACATGTGCTGCTTAACCACACTGATTGCTATTCCTCTGTCTCACATTTGCAAAGTGTATGAATAAATACAATAATGACATGCCACTAATGACTATAATCCTACAGAACCCTCATTCTTGCAGCTTATTCCTAATAGTTGTACAAATATTACTCTATTTGTGCTTCATGGATTCCTAAATATATCTTCGAAGATAAAAGCAATTTCTAATTCCTAGGGCACTTTTATTTTATTACAGTCATCTACTCATTTATCCTTCAGTCAAATGCACACTAACTGCCTGCTTATACTGATACTGTGCTTGACATTGAGGATTTAAAGTAAAACGTAGTCTCTACTCCTGAAGTGCTACCAGGGTTGTAGAAGGTGACAGACATATAAAGAAATAAGAGGAATAAATTACTGTAGAGCCTATCACAGGAATGTATGCATTACAGTCAAGAACAAAGAAGGAAACGTTTATCTCCACCAAGAGTTAAATAATAATACGGAGGAAGAATTATGCTTAATGGGTATCTATAATTGAAAATACAAACGAATTAAGCAAAAAGAAGAGTGAGTGAAAGTGAACACAACCAAGGGAAAAAGACCATTAAAAAATAGATTTTCACAGAAATAAGATGAGAAAAAGGCTTACTGAGAAAACTTTTAAAATGTTATTAAAAATAACTGAAAATGAATGATAAAATATCTTTTAGATTTTCTTCTATTCTGGAAAGATATTGATGATCAATCAATTATGGAATAGATCCTTATTGAAATTTATGTAAAGATTCTGGTTTATTTTTCCAAACACATTTCTGGAATAATACTCTGGGATCAATAATTTTTCTCAGTAGATGTTTTACTTTAGTCTATTTGTTAATTCTGCAGTAATACCTATTCAATCATCACATGGATTGAATCACGTCGTATGCAAGTTAAATACACACATGTGTAAATCCATTAAACTAGTATAGCAGGTTTGTTAAATGGCTGGTAGGATATGTTCTATAAAAAATTAATTAAGATTTTAGAGTCAGAAACATTACGGTTTTTGATGGCTAATACTGAGTGTCAACTTGATTGGATTGAAGGATGCAAAGTATCATTCTTGGGTGTGTCTGTGAGGATGTTGCCAAAAGAGATTAACATTTGAGTCACTGGGCTGGGAGAGGTAGACCCACCCTCACTCTGGGTGGGCACAATCTAATTAGCTGCCAGTGCAGCTAGGATAAAAGCAGGCAGAAGAACATGGAAGGACTAGATTGGCTAAGTCTTCTGGCCTCCGTCTTTCCCCCATGCTGGATGCTTTCTACCCTCAAACATCAGACTCCATGTTTTTCAGCTTGTGGACTCTTGGACTTACACCAGTGATTTGCCAGGGGCTGTCAGGCCTTTGGCCACAGATTGAAGGCTGTGCTATCGGCTTTCCTACTTTTGAGGTTTGGGGACTTGGACTGGTTTCCTGGCTCCTCTGCCTGCAGCCTCCCTATTGTGGGTCTTCATCTTGTGATCGTGTGAGACAATTCTCCTAATAAATTCCCCTTCATATATACATCTGTCCTGTGATTTCTGTCCCTCTGGAGAACCCTGATTAATACATGGTTTTTGCATGAAATAAACTAATTCAGAATACTGCATATGTAGTAGTGGCAGAAACCATTGCTAACAACTGGAATAATAGTATGACATCCTTTAATAGACAGCTTCCATGTTGGATGGCATGAAAGGCAGAGAATGTCTCCTGCTACATTAAAAAGCAAGAAATTTATATACAAATTAAATCACCAGAGCAACTATTTAAATATGTATTTTTATGTCTAATACACTCTGGCACTAGGTAATAAGTGTTTTATAATTCAAGAACTTTTCCCAATCATAAGTTTTTCGGACTTGGCAAGATTATTAAAAATATTTAGTCAAGGCCAGGCACGTTGACTCGTGCCTGTAATCCCAGCACTTTGGGAAGCCAAGGCGGGTGGATCACTTGAGGTCAGGAGTTCAAGACCAGCCTGGCCAACATGGTGAAAACCCATTTCTACTAAAAGTACAAAAATTTTCTGGGTGTGGTAGCACAGGCTTGTAATCTCAGCTCCTAGGGGGGCTGAGGTAGAGAATTGCTTGAACCTATAGGGCGGATGTTACAGTGAGCCAAGATCACACCATTGCACTCCAGCCTGAGTGACAGAGCAAGATTCCATCTCAAAAACAAACAAACAAACAAACAAACAAACAAAAAATATATATATACACACACACATATATATTTAGTCAAATGCCTTGTGCTATGGGTCATTAGTTATTGTGAATCTGAGTCACAAAGAACCAGGGATAAGAAGCCCTAATCTTGGAACTTAATTGGTTTGAATGAAATTGTCAGTAAATTATATGGTTAATATTTGGAGTTTTAGTCTTTATTTTTTATAATTTCCATGCATTTGGGCTATATTATGTGCAAACAAACATGATATTGAACATGGAAACCATGGAACCTGACTTAGAGAAATAATATCACACTTAATGGAAACTAAACCCACTTATAAAGTATAATTTTTATTTTTTTTTTGAGATGGAGTGATTTCTGTCCCTCCGTCTTGCTCTGTCTTGCTCTGTCACCCAGGCTGGAGTGCAGTGGCGCGATCTTGGCTCTCTGCAAGCTCCGCCTCCCAGGTTCACGTCATTCTCCTGCCTCAGCCTCCCGAGTACCTGGGATCACAGGCACCCGCCACCACGCCCAGCTAACTTTTTTTTTTTTTGTATTTTTAATAGAGACGGGGTTTCACCGTGTTAGCCAGGATGGTCTCGATCTCCTGACCTCATAATCCACCTTCCTCGGCCTCCCAAAGTGCTGGGATTACAGGCGTGAGCCACCGCACCTGGCCTATAAAGTATAAATTTTTAATAGTGTTAAGCAACAGGTCAAAATGTGATGCAGTGTAACTCTACAAATTGAAGGTCTGAGGGCTGAAATAATGAGTCAAAATGGAATAATGAGGCCAGAATAAGACTGATTTCCAAAATGTTCCCAGAGTTATTGAATTTTGTAGCTTAAAATCATGACATTTATCTATCTGATAGCTTTGTACAAAATTAACTATTGGAACTACAATTCCTATTATTACTTTTGCAGGTTAGTTTTGGCCTCAGGAGAGATTTGTGTGAGATTTGCAAGGCAAAAGTGTAGCAGCAGCCACCACTCTCTGAAAGTCAGTGTAGGGGAAAGCACTACTATATCTCACACAAATTGTCACTGATCTTCTGTCACACAGAGATGGTGTAGGGCAGCAGCCAGGGTTGCAGAGATTACAGATCCCACTGGATCTCTTTCTTAAGTTTCCCAAACCGTGGTCCAGATGAAAAGTATCAGCTTCTTTTCCACATCACTGTATCACCAAGCTGGCGTGTGGTGAGAGACAGAGGCGGGGTTTACAATGCTCTGCGCTCCCCGATGCCTTATGGCTGGCGTTTTATCTTGACTAGTGGCCTTCCTGATCTACAGTAACTTCATTCTCTTATCACAGTCAACAACTTTCTATAGTACTCACAATTGCATATGGTGGATTCCCTATAATTAGCCCTTTATTATATAACTCAGTGGTTCTACTTCTCTGACTGAACTGCAAATTATAGAGAAATTCATATTAGAAAAAGTTCCAGGGGAAAAAAAAACTTTTTGGAAGTGTTCTCTGTAATGGCTCTGGGCTATCTGGAATTGATATTTGATCTAATTATATTTCAAGACATTAATGATCCCACGGAGAATGGTAATATGGACACCGTTAATCCATGGCAAAATTATTACTTATAATAACCTGTAGACACCTGTAATCAAATGTTTATAAAAGGAAAGGTTTTTGGTGACAAAATACTTTCTGCCACAGATTACTTTATAAAAATAAGGAGGGTAATGGGGTTTGGTTAATTACTTCTGATTGTGCTTGAGGACTTGGGAAAAGTAAATAATGAGTTCAAAGTTTTAATTTTCCAGTCAAATACAAGAAATGAGAACACTTCTAAGTCTTCCTTAAAATAAACTTTTGTATTCTGTAGCCAAAGGACTGAGATTTCTGAAAACCTCACCAAAACTCTAACTCTGTTAGTAGCTAAATTAAAAAGCAATTAAATTTACAACTTCACAGGATCTTTCATATTAAAGTTAGGATATTCATAAGGAGTTATACTCTGAAAATATGGATGGGATTATATGAAACAAATTCTAATGAAGCTAGGGAATTTAATCCTAAATTTTTCTGTGCTTCTTTTATCATTAGAAACATCCTTTCTCCCTTGTTTGAAAAAGTTAGTTTTCTTCTGCCTAAGGAATGTGTAACAGCCTCTTCTGAAGTATTTGAATTACAGGGGACTGCTGATCTTTAAAACATAACCCTTAACCTCTCATTGGTTCTAGACCTACAATCAGACTCTAATCCCAGAGGGTGAGATTATAAAAATGTGGCCTATGTGAAGGTGAAAACCATACCAAAATTCTTAAAATTTTGCCAATTAGTATTGTCAGAAACCTGAAGAACATGTGAGAAATAGATCCTCATGAATGTTGGATCAGATTGGAAGGAATATAATGTTAATATTTTTCTTGAATTTGTTGGTATGAATATTCTAGACCACAGATTCTAAATTGAATTTGAAATGTTAAGTATCTAAGAGTGACTCTGATTGCTTGCTTGCTTGCTTGTTTCATTAAAGGATTACTCTCACTAAATGAAGTTAGGATGCTTGAATTTTCTTGGTACGGAGAAATGCATCAAATGGCTTAGGAAGATTGGAAGAGTAGGGTGGATTTATCACATATGACAGACAGTTTACCTCTAATTATGTGTCCCCAAAAGGACCCCAGAAAATTCCCATCTCCAAAGCTGTAAGAAAATAAATTTGGGGAGGAGATGCCCAGAATCTGTGAAGAATTCAGTGCAGATATTCGCTGCAATGACAGTTAGAAATGCTGCCTTTTAAGTGGGCACCTTGAAGGCAATCAGGCTGATGGGATCCCAGAGTGTCAGGGCCAGCTGCCATCGTGGTTACTGCAATAGGTTGCAGAGCTGGAGTGTCCCAAATGCTTTGATCTGCAGAGATCTCTTGCATTAGCTCAATGGTCATGGTTCTCTAGAATTGAAATGCGGTGGTAGTCTATTAAAATCCTCTTTGATTTGTGTAAGTAGAAAAGTTCTAAACATAGTAAAAAGAAGTTTGACTTGAATCAAAATTCTCACCCTCCAGGCAGTCACAGATCCACAGCCCTTTGAATGAAGGGGAAGCTTGTCTCTTTGAGGAAGGACCTTGCCCACACAGTCAAACATGTATATCTTCTGTCTTTCTCCCTGCATTCTCCAAAAGGAACTGTCACATTTACCAGGGTGTGTCTGTGCATTGAAGGTAGACAAATAAGCACGCTTTTTCAGGGATCACTGGGGCCCTGGTTCTGAAATAATATGAATTCCTGGAGACATAATACGCCATTTTGTTTTACTGGTAGTCAAAATAAAGGCTTGGGGAGTAAGATTATCAATGTAATTTTTGCTCAGATTCTTATTTCAGTGGAACCTGTGGTTCCTAAAACCTACTTTATGATTATTTCCCTAGTTCAAAATGCACAGTTGAAATACACATGTGATATGCTTGCTAGATGTCAACTACTTAGTGGGTATTAGACCTTGTTCTAAGTACCACTACATATATTGATTTATTTCTCACAATATGCTAAGACCTAGATACTATTAGCAGACAGGTTAAGAAACTCACCCAAAGTTATGAAACAAGCACATACTGTATTCAGGATCTGAGCCCAAGTAGTCTGGCTACAGAGTCATTGTTCTTAGGGTGATATGGTTAGAGACAAGAGGTTTGACTTCAGACATTAGAGTCTATAAATTTATAAGATAGTTGTAATAAATTACACAAGAAATAAAGTGCAGGATTTAGTTAATACATCTTAAAATGTATTTATATTTTTCCTGAAATTTTCACACGTCTTTTCTCCATTCCACATACATTCGGTCAAATGATTGTCCTTTTTAAAGAACATATTAGATTTATTGCAGACAAGAAAAAATAATCCCCAATCCTCACAAAATTCTGTGAAAGAGAGGGTCTGAAACAGATCAATAATATGATGTAAATCTTCTGATAAATGAATAGGAAGCAGTTGAAATATTAATTGAGTGTGAGAGAGAGAGGGAGAGGTGAGAATAAGCTCCATTCTAAAATATGACTGCATATGTAACACATTTTATATTTTCACAGTAAGATTGATGTATATGTTTGTGTATTTGTGTGTATGTGCATATGTGTGGGCATGTTTGTGCACATACACTTTATGCTGTTATTCTGTCTTATCCTCAGACTAAACTCTTTGGAAGATAGCAAAGGCAGGCAAGCATTATAAATAGCTGTCCTGATAGACAAACCCAGACTGTTTCCAGGAGTGAGCTTCTAACTTTTCCTACCTTTTCGGTTGAGATGCTGATGAATAGAACAGGACACATAATAGAGATACTGCTATAGGATGTCACAGCTAAACTGATCTACTTCGGAGACACAATGCTTAGGATGTGTCTGGATGGTCTGCTGAGCACACAGAGTTGATTCTTTCACATAACAGCATAATTATGTCCCTTCATGAACTTGATATGTTGGAACATCACCCCTTTCAAATTTTCTTTTGTTTCTTTTCCTTAAAAGGAGATAGAGAGACATATAGAGAAAACATATAATTGTGTTTTACTTTATTTAAATAGAATTAGAAATTTCTTCATTATTATGTTAGTTTTTTATTGCTATGTATTACCATAAACAATATTGCTACAACTTACGATAAATTTGGTAGATGAAAACAATAGATATTGGCCCTATAGGAAAAATCAACGAACATTATATTCAACAGTGAAAGACTGAAATATTTTCCTCTAAGGTCAAGATAAAGGTAAGGATGCCTACTTTTACCACTTCTATTCAACATAATACTGGAAGTCCTAGCCAGAGCAATCAGGCAAGAATAAAGAATAAAAATGGGCTGGGCTTGATGGCTCACACTTGTAATTTCATCACTTTGGGAGGCCTGGGCAGGAGGATCGCTTGAATCTAGGAGGTTGAGATCAGCCTGGGCAACATTGTCAGGCCCTGTCTCTACAAAAATTTTAAAAATCATAAAAAAATATTAGCCAGGTATGGGTGGTGCATGCCTGTAGTCCCAGCTACTTGGAAGGCTGAAGCAGGAGGATCATTTGAGCCTGGCAGATTGAAGTTACAGTGAGCCATGATCACGCCACTACATTCCAGTCTGGGTGACAGAGTGAAACCTTGGAAAAAAAAAAAGGAAAGAGGGAGGGAAGGAAGGAAGGAAGAGTCCAAATTGAAAAAGGAGATGTAAAATAAACTCTGTTCATAAATGGTAAGGTCTTATATGAGTAAAATCTTAAACATCTCCAAAAGAAAACCTGTTAGATATAATACACAAATTCAGCAAAGTAGTATACAAAGTCAACACACAAATATCCTGTGCATTTCTATACACTAACAATCTGAACAGTATATTATAAAAACAATTCCATTTACAATAACATCAAAAAGAATACATAGTTAGGAATTAACTTAATCAGGGAGGTGAAAGCCTTGCACAGTAAAAACTACAATATATTATTGAAATAAAGATTTAAATAAATGAAAACACATCCCATGTTTATGGGCTGGAAGACTAAATGTTGTTAAGATGTTTATACTACCTAAAGTGATATAAAGAGTCAATGCAAGTCCCACCCAAATTCCAATGACTTTTCTTTTTCTGCAGAAATAGTAAAAACTGATTATAAAATTCATAGAAAACCTAAAGGGACCACCCCAGATGTCAAAATAATTTGAAAAAGAACAAAGTTGGAAGACTCATACTTCCTGATTTCAAAAGGTAGTAGAAATCTAGAGTAATCAAAACAATGTGGTGCTGGCATAAAGACAGGAATATAGATCAATGGAATAGAATAGAGAGCCCAGTAATATAACATCATGTATATAGCCAAATAATTTTTGACAGTGATTCCAAGACCATTAAGTAGGAAACAAAAATCTTTTCAACAAATGGTGTTGGGAAGTTGGGTCCTTACTTTACATCATATTAAAATTAACTAAAAATGGAATTATGAGCTAAATGTAAGAACTAAAAACATAAGACTCTTAGAAAAAAAGCATAGAGGAATAGCTTCTTCACACTGGATTTGGCAATTATTTCTTAAATATGACACTAAAGACATAAATAACAAAAGAAAAAATAGATAAATGGGATTATATCAAAATTTAAAACTTTTTTGCAGCAAAAGACATTATTAAGAGTATAAAAAGTCAACCTGTGGAATAGAGAAACATATTTGCAAATTTTATATCTGGTTAGAGATTATATAAAGAGATTATATATCTGGTTATATCTGGTTAGAGAACATATAAAAACCCCAACTCGACAATAAGAAACAAACCAATTTTAAAAAATTGACAAAGGCATTGAATAGACATGTCTTCAAAGAATATAACAAATGGTCAATAAGCACAGAAAAGATGCTCAACATCAGTCTTCAAGAGGAAATGCAACTAAAATTCACAATGCGATACCACTTTATACTTATTAATATGGCTATTATCCCAAAACAAAAAACAAAATTAAAAACAACCAACAGAAAATAATCACTCTTGGGAAATTGGAATACTCACACATTGCTGGTGGGAATGTAAAATGGTGCAGCTACTGTGGAAACCATATGGTGATTTTTCAAAAAATTAAACATCAAAATACTCTATGGTCCAGTGATTCCTGTTTGAGGTATGTACCTACAAAAGAGTCAAATGCAGGGACACAAACAGGCACTTGTACACCAATGTTCACTGGAGTATTATTCATAGTAGCCAAAAGGAGGAACCAATTCAAATATTTATTTAAAGATCAATAAATAGACAAATAAAATGTGATACATAGACAGTGGGATATTAATCATCCTTAAAAAGATATATGTTACAACGTGGATGAATCTTGAAGACATTATGGTAAGTGAAATAAGCCAGACATAAAGATACAAATTTTACATGGTTCCACTTATAAGAGATACATATAAGAGTTAAAATCATAGACAGAAAGTAGAAGAGTAGTTACCAGCTGTTGAGTGGAGACATGTTGAGGAATTCTTGTTTAATGGACACACAGTTTCAGTTCTGGAGATGGTAGTGGTGATTTGCAGCAGTGTGAATGTATTTAATTCTACTGAGCTGTGCACTTCAAAATGGTTAAAACGGTAAGCTTGATGTAGATATATTATCACAGTTAAAAAACAAGATACCTTTATTACCTCACAGTTGTGTAGGTTGGAATTCTCTGTTTCATTTCTCACACAGCTTAAATAATGGTGTTGGCTGAGGCTGCAATCTCCTTAAGAACCTTCTGCAAGTTTTTTTTTTTGTTGTTGTTGTTAAACATAATTCAGTTTCTTGTAATCATAAAACTGAGGTCCCTATTTTGTTGATTATCAACTGGGAGCCATTCTTACTCACTGTTTCCTGTCACCAGATTCTCTCCAAAACAGGGCAGGTTGCTTCTGCTTCCTGTCTTTTTTAAAGGTTTACCTGATTAGATCAGTTCTAACTGGGATAATCTTCCTTTTGATTAGCTCAAACTCAATTAGATTAGAGACCTTAATTATATCTTCAATATCTGTTTCTCCATAAAGCATAATCTAATTTTATGAGTGATAGCCCATAATATTCAAAGGTCCTGCCCATACTCAAGGGGAAAGTATTTGTGTAGGGCAAATACAACAGGGAATTAGACTCTTGGCAGCCATCTAAGAATTTTGCCTACCATATTTATACCCATCAGCACAAGAAGGAGATACACTTTTAATGCAAGAAAACACAATCTAAAATAAAAAATAACACATAAATATGTTTGTACTAAACAACAAAATATCTACTTTATAAGCAAAATGTCTAAATAGATTTGAGAAGACATAGAAGCATGATAATAAGAGTCTTTAACATGCAACTTTCAATACACATCATTTCAAATGGACAAAAAGAAAACATAGAAGAGATAACCATCATTAATAACACAAAGCATATGGACATATATTGAACATTACACACTGGTTATGAAAAATACACCTTCTTAAGTGTATATGAAACAGTTACAAAATTGATAGGTTATTAGACAATAGTGAAAACATGAATGAATTCCAAAATGTGGAAATATTTTCAACATTTTTTCTCGCAATGCTATAGGCTAGAAATTATTAACCTTATAAAAAGGACTAACAGTCTGTTAAACAAAACTTGTTTGAAAAGAGAAATATAAAAATGTAAAAATTTAAATTTTAAATTAAAAAATTAAATTCCTAAAAACAACACTAGTAAAAATACATATATCATCATCTATGAGATACATTTAAAGCAGTGATTACATAAAAATGCTAGCCCCATATACTTGTATTTTTAAAATTAAAGAATGAAAATAATTGAAATGATTTCTGAAACCAAAAGTGCAGAAACAACAAAACATACCAAAAGAAAATATGAGAGGAAATAGTAAAGCTGAAAGCAGGAATTAATGAAGTAGAAGAAAATATATTTATTAACTGAATAAATCAAAATTCTATTTTTAATTAGTATTATATAAAGCATTAGTTGACTACAGAGTGAAAAAGAAAGAAAATATACTCCTGCATCTTATGTAATACAGAAACAATAGAGACATTTCCACTAAGATTAGGAACAATCCCCACTACTAATCAATATTGTAATGAAAATATTAAACAGTGCAATTAAACAAATCTAATAGAAGAATAATAACTGGAAAAGAAGTAAAACTATCTCTGTTTTCATACAATATAACAGTAAACCTGAAAAACAAATAAATGATAAAACTATCTCAAGAAATGTAAGAATATAGTAAAATAGAGTATAAAATTAACATACAGAAATCCATATCTTTCATATACAAAATTAATAACCAGTCAAAGGATATAATGGCAGAGAACCCAATTTACAATAACAATAACAAAGATAAAATATTTAGAAATATAATTAACAAATGTTCAAAAACTCTATGAACATAGACAAAATTTAAACTTTTGAAAGATACAAAATTAAAATTGTACAAATGTAAATAATTTTTTCTTGTTTTTAGATAGAATCAAAAGCATCATAAAGATTTTAGTTCTGCTTAATTTATAAATGTTGCACTATCCAAATAACTATAGCAACAATGTATTTTCTGTGGATATAAGTTTATATAAATAAAAGCAAACACGCGAGAAAAGAAAACAATGGGAAAAAAAACTCATGAAGGGATATAATCCTTTCAGACAAAATATACTATAAATTTTATGAGTAAAATATTTTATACTACTGTCTGAGTAGACATACTTTAGAAAATAATAGAAAGACTAGAAATAGACATAAAACACATTTTATAAAACATACAAAAAGGTTTTTAAGAATTAAAAATTAAACCTTCCTCATAATTAGAGAAATGCAAATTATAACACTGATCTATCACATATCACATATAAAAATTGATGAATAATTAATGGAATGACAACACTTTTTATTGACAAGTTTGTGGGGAACCACAAACTCATATATTTCTGGTGGCCCTAAAAATTAGTATGAGCTCTGTGGAAAAAAACTGAAAATCCACCCTTATATAAATAGATAAATAGGAGTAGGAAAGCTTTTCCTGTAATAGAATTCTAACTAACCTACACACACACACACACACACACACACACACACACACACACACACACGTGTATATATATAGTTTATATGAATAAACATATACATATATATTGTTAGTATTTGTGGAAGAAAGGAAAGGGGAATGAGAAAGAAGAGAGCACAAACTTGAGTTATAACAAAATGTTAAAGTTATGAGAAAGGGACCACTATTAAGAACACTATTGCAAACATTTAAATTATTTTTTGAATTAATGACATTGCAGTAAAAATTGGAAAGAAAACAAGGTTGAATATTTTCAAATTATTACCAAGTAAATTTGATGGTACTGATAAATATTTAGAAAAGGAGAGGGAAAAAAAACCTTCTAAAAATTTAGTGAGACCAAGGATATCTTTTAACACTTCTCCAAACAGAGAGATCTGATAGCTTGATATAAGTTTCTAGAGATGTTTTGGAGGAAATTTATCTCTAGGGAGAATTTATGCCAATGAAAAAGAGAGTCAAAAAATTTAGAAAATTTACTATAGTGAAAAATTTTAGGGTAAATCTCTACTATTTAATACATGCTTTAAATCCAGGTTTTACTATTCATATAAATAGGTAATTCTCCAAAAAAGCACATTTCATTATTTATATATGATTATTTTATTCATAATTCTACATCAATATCTGCCATATTTCTGAAGTAGAACAGAATTTATCTTTTAAATTTACACAAATATATGTTTTGATGTAGCTATAAGATTTAATCACTTAATTTTGTACCCATATAACTATAAAATATTGCATATATCAATGGGTGGTTTTCTTCCTAAAGTACAGTGATAACTTGGCTATCATGCCCCATTAGTGAATTTTTTTGAACACTGGTTATACTAAAGCAGAACCGCTTAAAGTTATGGGAATATAAATGTAGCAGATAATTAAATGTGTACAGAATCTATTAATGTGTATAATTAAGATAGAACATCATTGGAGTTTATTATGAAACTATAATACCCTACAATCATCCTGAAAGGCACTGCTTGTCATGTCATATTGCTTAATTATAGCCAAGTAATTCATATAACTTGAAGTTACAGTAATTAAAACAATTAGTCTATAGTTAGACTGAGTTATAAAAGTTGTAATAAAAATATTAGAAAATTTAAATGTGAGCGGAAGAACTAGATTTTATCATGCACATTTCTTTGGAGATTGATTAAATTTATTCTATTGCACCGTTCTCAATTAGGAAGAAATGGCAGTGCTCCATTCCACTTAGTAGTTGTTAGTGCATAATATTATAAAATATTTTTGTGGACTTTAAAACTGCTAAATCTAAATGAAAACTTTAGATATAAAGCATCTCAATTAATTTATAAATAATGTCTCTTACTGGCTATGTAATATCTGTATGCTTCACTGTCATGTGCAAATTCATGATAATTCTCAAAAGGTTTCATTATGAGGATAACATATACATATGTATATACACACTTATGTGCAAGCTATTGTTACTACTATTACTATTATTACTGGTTTACTCTGATGCGTTTTCTTTTACACATTTTATTGGACTTAGAATCCAGAAAATGACATTTTCTTGCCCTTTTGATTTAATGCATCAGAAATTCCTTCCTTTTACATGTATGACTAATGGAATCTGAGACTTGAATGACCCTTGAAGTTGAGTCTACAAATGGTGTGTGAACTAAATGATTACTAAAATAATTCTTCTTCATTTGTGTCATGGTCTATTTTATACAAAGAATAGGAGAGTTCACATATGACCACCATTTGTCTTCACAGAGACTCACTCCCAAGCTAACATATGATGTTGAGAATTTATCTTATTTTCAGAAACCCTCAGAAAAGGAGACTCTATGAATTCCAACAATCTCTTCTCCTCTCTTCTGCATCATCAATATTCCTTCTGTGCTGGTAATTTTGACAACGGTGGTCTCCAAGGAATTGTGGGAATAAAGCTATGATTAGAGTAGGTTCAAGAGAGAAGAGAAGAAAAAGTGAATTCAGCATATATGAGTATAGATTTTGGGAAGATTTGTTTGAAAGTTAAGAAGAGAAACAATGAGGTAGATAATGCATAGGATAAGCAGAGAGGTTTTATTGGCTTTATAGTATGTTAGTCTTCACAATAAGCATTGAAGAGACAAAGCAGGTTGCTGAGAATACATGCTCACTTGGCATGGAAGGCTTATCTGGAAGCCTCTGAAGAGAAACTGTTTATCAGATTTGTGCACAAGAATGAAAATGAAGAGGGATTTATATTTGCAGCTCTCTTCCATCTCCCATTGGTCAAGGTAGACCTTAAGAGTTGCTCACTCTCCCAGCATTTTGTGATTGTGCCCTCCACCCCCATTTGTAGTTGCTCAGGAAGCCAGATTTCACACTCTGAAATGTGAAGCTTGATCCAAGACAGAGATGAAGGGACGATCTAGAGGTAGGACATTCATCAAAGGGAAAGGTCAAAGGTATCTCAAAAGTTGCAAACCTTTATGGCTCACATAATCCCTCACACCCAGAATGCCCAATCTCTTTTCTTGTATTATTTTTCTCCTTAAATACACTGATTTGTTGGTTGTCTGTTTACCACTCCTGGAATGTAATCCCTACAAGCCAGAGATGGAAATTGAGAGTATTACCTGTCTTTTCGTTGTTGGTGGTGGTAGTGCTGGTGTTGTTACATTTTGTCTTGTTTTACTGTTCCAGTTTCTATTATATATTAGGTGCTCAGTAGATATTTGTTTAAAGAATGAAGCACTGAAGAAAATTTTATTAAAATTGTTCATAGTTGAAGGAATATATGAAAGCATCTGATCATATGCAGATAAACTGTGCTAAAGCCAAATCAAGAATACTAGGCAAACAGGCTGGGGGCGGTGGCTCACGCCTGTAATCTCAGCACTTTGGGAGGCGGAGGCGGGTGGATCACGAGGTCAGGAGATCAAGACCATCCTGGCTAACATGGTGAAACCCCATCTCCACTAAAAATACAAAAAATTAGCCGGGCGTGGTGGCAGGCGCCTGTAGTCCCAGCTACTCGGGAGGCTGAGGCAGGAGAAAGGCGTGAACCTACCTGGGAGGCAGAGCTTGCAATGAGCCAAGATAGCGCCACTGCAGTCCGGCCTGGGGGAAAGAGAGAGACTCCATCTCAAAAAAAAAAAAAAAAAAAAAAAAAAGAATACTAGGCAGACAAAGACAACTCCCTCATCCCTGATCTTCAATTTAAACACCCACTTACAAATTCTGATAATATTCAAGATTTTCACATCACAAGTTAAAAAGTAAAATCTCAAAGAACAAACAATATTCCTTTTTGGTTTGCATCTGAAAGATCTGAAAAAATATTTTATAATTTGGGGCTTAGAGAAGCAGTAGTGAATTTTACTTTGATAAACCTTTAAAAGATCAAATTAGTGGTTATAATTCATTCAAATATGACAAAAGCAATCTTTAGCTAAATAGTACTTGGAAGGAAAAAAATTACTCTGGGTTTCGCCCAGGTAAATTGGTCAGAACTGAAAATTCATGTCTATTTCTTGGCTGGACCCTGAATTTTAACAATAAAGGTGTTTGTCACTGGTTTATTTGAGACAGCCATGGTAAGAAATACCTATCTATCTTGTTTTGAGGTTGCACATTACAGAGAAGATCATTTCATTTCATTTAACAATATACAGTATCAGGGACTATGGAAAATCTTCCAAATTGATTATTTGCGTAGGCCTTAGAATCCCAACTTGGAAACCAATGGGAAGATATAGTTATTTTAATGAGAACATGCTTTCTTGTAGTGAATTTTTATAGCAAGGAAATGAAGATGTCATTGCTAACGGGGGTAAAAAAGACCTCTGGAGTCTCAGCTCATCCAGCTCTTGTGATATGAGATGCCATTAACTACTAAATTAATGCAAATACAGCTTAATGAAATGTTTCTCATATTTTGATGAGAAAATATTTCTGCACAATACCACTCTGTACTTGATAAATATGAGAGTCAAACCAGAATACTCCACATATTGATTTTCAAAAACTATGAATATATTCCACATACTCTTTAAACACTCCTATGATCAACATGAGCCTCAAAGGTCGGTCTAATTATCAGATGAATTTGAATTGATTTAACATCAACTCTGTCAAATGGATAGCAACAAATTCAATGATGATAATTTTGGTTACAATGAGACCATATTGTAGGATGACAGATGAAAGCAATGTCAGAAACATAGGTTATGAGGCCCTCACTGAAATAAAGATTTTATTCCCATTCCTTTTGACCAGTTTCTGTAGGCATATGCAGGACCATTGCTACCCAGTGTGTGTTTCTCAGACCAATTATGTGCTGACATTTAGAGTACGCTTTTAAAAACTTTCATGGCAGTTTGACATTGTTGCACCATGCAAGTACATGATATTTTTAGAGCAATTAATTTTAGAGCATTTTACGAAAGTATTGGAATGCATTGGATTGCAGATTAAAAAGTAATAATAATATGTAATCAATGATAACTTGAGAAACACAGTCCTGGGATTTATAACTGGAGAGTATTTGCTGAGTGTGAGTCAGAGATTGTCTGAAATATAGTGTGGCATATGAAAGAGAAGAATTGAAAAAAATCTAATTTCACCCCCAAAAAGCATTGTTTGGAGCAAGAAGCATAAAATTCTTATGATAGAGCCAAAATCACAAGTTATAGTAATGTTTAAAAAAGAGCCTCCAGTGATCATCGTGGAAATTTGAGTGCTTTTGATTGAAAAAAATATTATCTTTGTGTGGATGTTTGGCTGTAAGAGAGTAAAAAGCAGTGTTTATCAAGTTGAAGGATAAATAATGTTATCATAGATTTTAAAATTATAAAATATTCCCAGAACATAGAAACGATATCACCTTCTCAGAGCGTAATGAGTGATATGAGCCAGCTGTTCAATTCACTAACCCATAAAAATTGAGTAGATTTGAAATTTCTGAAGAACTAAGAAAGTATTTTAGGCATTTGAAAAAATATTATAAATGAATAAAAAAACTAATAAAACTAATTATGATCCCCATAGCAGGGAAAATTTACATAGAGTATAAAAAGGAAACCTTGAATACTCAGGTGTACGTACACAGAAGACAGAGAAACTGCTTGCCTGAAATTACATTATAACCTGTATTAAAACAAAAAGCCGGGTGCAGTGGCTCATGCCTGTAATCCCAGCACTTTGGGAGACTGAGGCGGGCAGATCACAAGCTCAGGAGTTCGAGACTAGCATGGCCAATATGGTGAAATCCCATCTCTACTAAAAATACAAAAAGATTAGCTGGGCTTCCTGGCTCATGCCTGTAATCCCAGCTACTCCGGAGACTGAGGCGGGAGGATTGCTTGGAACCTGGGAGGTGGAGGTTGCAGTGAGCTGAGATTTGCGCCACTGCACTCCAGCCTGGGCAACACAGTGAGACTCCATCTCAAAATAGTAATAATAAAATATAAACAAAAAATTATAATATAATAAGATAACTGGTAAAACAGAAGTATGTTAAAAGGGAAAAAAAGTTGGCTAAGAAATTATGGAAAGGTTTCCCCTAGAAGTTAGCATTTGATCTGGAATATGAAATATAAAGAGTTTGTACGGTGAGCAGAGACACAGTCAAACTCAGTATCTTCTTATCTTTACAGTTCCATTCCTAGCATGTAGGAAGTTCCTTGAACTTGTGGATAAGTAACAAGAGCATTCTTAACTGTAGAGCAGGAGTGGTTCACGGGCTTGCATAAAACTGCAATAATAATAATGCAATGGTAAATTTTATAAATCAGCTTGGCTGGGCTAAGGGATGCCCAGATACCTGCTACAACATTATTTCGAAGTGTGTCTGAGAGGGTTTTACCAGAATAAACTAGCATTCGAATTCACAGACTGAATAAAGATGACTCACTGTCACCAGTGTGGGCATGCGTCATTCAACCTGTCCTTCTGGGGCTGAATAGGAAGAGAGTGAGATGAAGGGTGAATTCTCTTTCACTTATTTAGTTGAGGCATCTATCTTCCCCTTCCCTCAAATACAGGAGCTACTGGTTAGGTGTCAGGGACTTACACCAGCCAGGTCCCCATCTTTGGCAGACTGTGGCCTCAGACTGGAATTTACATCATCAGCTCCTCTGCTTTGCGGGCATTCAAACTCAAACTGAATTACACGTCTGGCTTTCCTGATTTTCCAGCTTGCAGACAGGGCACATTATAGGACTTTTTGGCCACCATAATCATGTGAGCCAATTCTCATAATAAATCTCCTCTTATAGATCTCTATATATCTTATACCAACAATTCTATGTCTTTGGAAAACTCTAAAACAAATAATGAAGAAGATAGGTAACATATACTGATAACTTATTATAAGCCAAACACTGTCCTAAGCAAGGTTAAGGTATCAATTCATTTAATCCTTCCATCTGTGAGTGACAGAAACTCAAAATTAACTGTGTGTTCTAACAAAAGAGCAGATGATTTCTCTCATATAAGAAAGCCAAATTTAAAAATCTTCTGTAATGGAAAAATGGTAGAATGAAGAGGTGAGTCAGTTCTCCTACAGGTAAGAGACGAAATCTTGAAAAATACATATTATTACAAAAGAACTGTGAAAAGACCTGGAAAAACATTAGAAAGAAGACAGAAACCAAAGCAGAGTTATTCTTGAAATAGTTCAACTAGAAAAACAAAAATAAAAGAAAACAAGGAGAACCCAGAAAAGATGTAAGTTGAAATGTGTGAATTTGATCCACTACGTATCTTCTTCTTTTTTTTTTTTTTTTTTTTTTTTTTGAGACGGAGTCTCGCTCTGTAGCCCAGGCTGGAGTGCAATGGCGCGATCTCCGCTCACTGCAAGCTCCGCCTCCCAGGTTCACGCCATTCTCCTGCCTCAGCCTCCTAAGTAGCTGGGACTACAGTCGCCCGCCACCACTCCCGGCTAATTTTTTGTATTTTTAGTAGAGACCAGGTTTTTTTTTCCTTTTTAATTGACCACATTCTCCAACTCATCTACAACTTGGTCAGCAGGAAGTTGAAATCTTACAGGTTTAAGATATAGGAAGACAACACAAAAAGTTGACAAAGAAACAATAAATTGAGAGTGGATTTCCAGTAATCAAGAAAGCCTCAGAGATGGTGAGACACTAAATATGAGTAAAATCAGCTCTTTATTTTCATGGGTTTCAAATCCACAGATGTCACATTTCAATATTATTTGAAAAAATTAACTGTGCAACAATCAAAAATAATATTAACAACTGTTAACGCAGCATTAACGTTGTATATGCTATAGTGAAAGAGATGATCTGGTGATCATTTAAAGTATGTAAAGGATGTACATAGGTTAAATGCAAATACTACATAATTGTATGTAAGGGACTTGAATATATATGGATTTTTTTTTTTATTTATTTTTAGACAGGGTTTCCCTCTTGTTGCCCAGGCTGTAGTGCCATGGCACGATCTCAGCTCACTGCACCCTCTGCCTCCCGGGTTCAAGCAATTCTTCTGCCTCAGCCTCCCGAGTACCTGGGATTACAGGCATGTGCCACCACACCCAGTTAATTTTCTATTTTTTAGTAGAGACGGGGTTTCTCCATGTTGCTCAGGCTGGCCCCGAACTCCCGACCTCAGGTGATCCACCCACCTCGACCTCCCAAAGTGCTGGGATTACAGGTGTGAGCCATCACACACTGCCCGTATGTGGATTTTTATATCCTCAGGGGTCCTGGAATCAAACCACATGGATATTGAGGGATCATTGTATATACTCTCTTCAAATCCTTGGCCGACCCTATTTTATGCAAGCCTATGGCAAATGCCAAGGAACCAGGCTAAATAAAATAAAATAAATCAGCAGCTGAAACTGTGAGACTTGAGTAAAGATATCAGCTACTGTACAAGCGGTGGAAGGGAGTTTGTAGTTTAAATCTGTACAAATTAGTTGCTACTAGAATTAAAACAAGAGCAGCAGCAGCCAACAGCAAAAAACCCTAATACTCCTCTAAAGAAGGCATCTTAGTAACAGTGATTTTTCCTCTCATGTGCCCTATGTTATATAACATCTTATTTACTTTTTTCCTTTGAGAGTACTTTTCATTCAAAAAAATAGAAAAGAATTCTAGAATTAAAAAAAAGAAATTGAAAATAAGCACATGTAATACAATTTCTAAACATTTTACAGTTTCTCTATTTGAAAGCAAATAAAAACATTCTTTTTTTTTTTTAGAACTTGGGGAACACTTTAAAAGTATTTTTCATGTCTTGATTTGGGGAAGAAGAGAGAAATATATTCCTAGGGGAGAGGAGATTTGGAAAGTCTTTTCTTGTAAGAAGAAGACTTTGAAGAGAAGTCACTTTATACAGAATATATTGTGAAGAGAAGACTAATGCCCTTACAATCCAGAGGAACCTAAAGGTCACCTTTGGTCACTTCGGAGGGATAACGTCATGGAACTCTCAAGAGTATTCATGTACCTTATCCCTTATTAGGTGAAAGGGTGTGATGCTCTTGTATCAAGTCAGAGGGCAGATTTTAGGTTTTCCTCACTGTGATTTTAGCTATCAACATTAGTGAACTTGCTATTCAAAGGCTAAATGTGGTTTCACATTTTGATAGTCAGATAAGATTAGATACAGACACAATTCCCAAATGTGGCAAGTAATAATCTTTTTAGAAAAGTCTAGGACTTAGTAAGTTCAACAGCTGATGTAAGGCCTTAAGAATTTGTATTAATGGCATTAAGTCAAATGCAGAAAATTCTGTAGGTAGCAAGAACTTTTGTTTCGAATTTATAAATAGAAGTATTTTTTGTTTCTGTTTTTGCTCTTACAATTCTCAAGATATTCTGCATTTTCATTGTCTCTGTGTGAGAGAATAGTGAAATTTTCAGGTAAAAAGAATACAATAATCACTACTGAAGATATAAAAACTCATATATGAAGAGGATAAAACTGTGCAAACTAGAAGACCTGTGTAATCATTTAATCACATAGCCATCTCTTTGAGAAGATAGGATTTAGTTATCATCAAAGTGAGTGGCTACATGAAGGATTGCATTATTTATGTTAGCTTAAGTGTAGTATTTCCATAGCAGAGGCTGAGTTCGAGTCTGTTACCACTTGCATTCATTTGATAGACCATGAAGTATTATCTTCCAGATGAAGCAGCTTGCATTTTAATGAGTATCCCTGGGAAGTGCCAGATAAACAATCAGAAAATAGGATTATGTTTAGTAAATGCTAAGGAAATGACTAGGACAGTAACATTTCAAACGCAAGAGCTATGAACAGTCAGTATAATACATTTTTCAAATAGCTAACAATGTATACATTCATAAGACAATAATCACTTATTTGGGGGGAATTCATCCTCTAAAAAGGTGCCTCTTTTATCAAGAGAATTTATTCAACTAACTCAACCTTGATGCTTTTTAGTAGCTATATAGAAGTGCACAATAAGTGTAGTGAAAATAATGTGGATTCCAACAGATCTGGGTCTGAAACCTAGCTCTATTGTTTATTGGCTCTGTATCTTGGATATTTTGTGTATCTTTTTGGACTTGAGTTTCCTTTCAATAATACTGGAATAATAATAAATACACAGCATGGTTTCAGGAAATATTATGTGAGAAGATTAACAGAAAAAGTTAAACATTTTACCTGACAGAGAAGTTTCCTAATCCTTACAGATAATTAACCCTGTAGAAATTATCTAATGCAATGTTAAAAAAAGTACACCCTTTTCTAAAGACACACTTTACAGAATTCCAAGACTATTATACAAAACAAATCCATTCACCCATCTTTTCTGAGTGTCATTGTCTATATAATAGTGTATATACATCCTCCTTTATAACTGAGGAAACTGAGATCTATTAATATTTAAATAATTATCCTCTGTTAAATTAAATTAAACTTGGCCTAAAGCTCCCTCTTTACCTAGTGAACTGCAACCAAACTTAGTATAAACAAATTGCAACCTAACTAAGAGTATATACTTGTAACAAATAGATAAGTCTCAGCCAATTATAGCAGCCAAGTTTTAACCAATCACAGGCTGCCAACTGATCAGACCTGTCAATGTAAGGCAAAAACTTCATCACACCATGTCCAAATAAGGGAAATGCTGAGCTGTAACCAATCACACTGTTTCTCTGTGTCACTTCCTTTTTCTGTCTACAAATACTGCCTGCCCACATTGCTGAGTGGAGCTCGCTGAACCTCTCCTGGTTCTGAGTGTTGCTCAATTCATAAATCATTCTTTGCTCAGGTGAATTATGCTAAATTTAAATTGTCTAAAGTTTTTATTTTAACACCTCAAACTCCCATATATGCATATATATATATTTTTTTTGATACAGAGTCTTGCTCTGTTGCCCAGATTGGAGTGCAATGGCGCAGTCTCGGCTCACTGCAACCTCCTCCTCCTAGGTCCAAGCAATTCTTCTGCCTCAACCTCCTGAGCAGCTGGGATTACAGACACACGCCACCACGCCCAGCTAATTTTTGTATTTTTAGTAGAAATGGGGTTTTACCATGTTGGCCAGGCTGGTCTTGAACTCCTGACCTCAAGTGATCCGCCTGCCTCAGCCTCCCAAAGTGCTGGGATTACAGGCATGAGCCACTGTGCCCGTCCAAACTCCCATAGATATTAAAGTCACTTGTCCTCCAATTCAAGGCTATTTGTACTGAAATATACTTTCCTATCTTTTACTCAATTAAAATATTCTCTTTTAACGAATGAGGCCAAAATTCACCATCTCGTGTAGAATAACCGCTATTTGCAAACCAAATGAGAAACTGCTCTTATATAATTCTAGACACTTTAATAGAGTAAGATATACTATGACTTTCTTTTCTTTATATTTTGGAATAATTATTGCCATATGTAGGCATGGATCTTGGAGTCAAATGTCAGTGTCATTTTTTGCCATCTGTGGGACTTAGGGCATACATTTATCTTCTTGAATAGTTTCTTTATTTGTAAAATGGGTCAAATAATACATCTCATTTACAGTTGTTATGAGAATTGAAGGATGTATTACCTATATAACTCTCATCCTAGTGCTTGGTGTAGAGTAGATATATACACTTTATTAGGCACTCAAAGCAGTCCTCAGATATTATTTACTTATTCTTGACACATTTGTAACAGGCAAATAGGTAGCAAAATAGCAATTCTTATATTTCTAAGAAAAAATTAACATCGTTTTCCACCCATCCTCTGTAATATTCTGCATAATGTCATTGTCACCACTAAATGTAGGATGGGCATTTTAACTCAGTATTCTATGCTTTTCATTTAGAATTCCTAAACTGAAGTATCTATGTGGTTTTTGAAAGCTAGAGGATCTATGTGGTCAATGTGATCATATAACACATAATATTCTCTTAAATAGCATGCAGATTAAGGGGTAAGAATGAGAAGAAATAATAATAGCTAATATATAGGCTTAGCTGGCATAGTGCATACTATGTGCCATTTCCTGTTCTAAGTGCTTTACTCCTATTAAAATATGTAAATATTCAGTACCCCCAAACAACCCTCAGAGGAAGGTTCTATTAATATCTATTTCTATTAATTATTAATGTGACAATAATTTTACATATATGGAAACAGAGGCACAGATAATTGCTGGCAGTAAGCACAGCTAGGATTCAAACTCATGATGTCTGACTACAGAAACTGCTCTGCTCCTAACCACTATGCTAAGTTGCATTTTTAATCATAAAGTATTTTTGTAGCAATCATCCATAATGATATCAAAGTATGCATCTATGTAATTAAAAGTTCTGAATACTGTATTTTTAAGAATGATTGAATCTTACTTTATTAATCTTTTATTAATTATTTTTCTTTTTAACCAGAAGTTGTTATTATGTTTCCTGGTGTTTTTCACTACTTTTATCATAGAGTAGAATGTTTTCTGAATGTTTTTTTGCAAAAAAAAATATTTTCTAGAATAAAACATACCATGTAACATCTTCATTCTTTTATTAGAGGAGTGTATCTGAGAAAATCTTTCAGCTCACAAGCCTCAGGAAGGAAAGAAACAGGTTCTAAATGCCATTTAGCTGACTAGGAAGATACACTCTAGCAAGCACACAGATCTCTCAACCTCAAACAAACTCCTCTTAAACACTCTGGAAATCATAGGAGGGCAGGATTTGGGGCCTGGTAGAAAGATAATCTAGGTTGTTCATTTTGTTATGGAAGTATTTCTTTAGAGTTTAGCCGAATAATGAAACGAGGTTGCAGGCAGAATGTAGTCTCTGGACATTGACTTTGATAATGTTAATAATTTAAATGTTGTAAGGGACTGAGTTTGTTGCTTAATAAAACAGGCACTTTTTGGCCTACATTCTTTTTCTCCTGTATTTTCTTATTTGTTTGTGAGAGAACAGGATTTAGTAGTAAAAATGAACCTTGTGAATGTATAATGTGTAGCATTACAAACATTTAAATAGGAACATGTTTCTAAGTTATTATTTCTTGAATTTTATAATTGTTTTTATGTGAATCATTACATGATTTTAATGTATTTTTGAGTCACATATACTAGATGTAGAAGAATGCCATATTTCTATTCTTCTCCTGACACTGTTTCCAGTACATCTACTGGCCTATAAAACATGTTAGACATTTAATGGGTTATCCCAAAGTTAACATGTTCAAAATAAAACGTTTACTTCCTCTCCACTAAAAGTTTCCTCTACCTCAGGCTTCCCCATCACAATTCATAGCACTACAATTTACTCAGAAATTCTGTCCCATATGCTATGATCCTTGATTCCCCTTTTTCTTTCCAATGCCACTTCCAATCCATCCTCTCCTCACCACCTCCTTCATTATCCCCATAGGCCATGTCATTAACCTCCGCCCCTGGGCTTATTGTATTAGATTTCAGTAGACCCCCTGCTTTCACTATTACTCCTCTATAAGACCCCAAGAGTGACATTTGTGAAAGAATAAATTGCCTTACTCACTCTGCTTAAAACTCACCAATGCCTTCCAATTACAATTAGATTAAATTCCATATGTATTAGCATTACTTACTTTTTGTTTTGTTTTGTGTTTGGGCCCTGCTACTTCTTTCACTATCTCCTTTCTTTCTCTGTTTTAGTCTCATTTTATTTTAGACACACTGATCTTTTTATTTTTTTCAAACATGCTAATTTTTCCCCCCTCATTTCAGGGCCATTGCATTAAGCATTGCCTCTGCTGGGACGTAGTATTCTCAGATCTTTGCATGATTTTATTTTATTTTTTTTGAGAGAGAGTCTCACTCTGTTGCCAGGCCGGAGTGCATTGGCATGATCTTGGCTTGCTGCTACCTCTGATTCATTCTTTTTAATCATCCACGTCTCTGCCTAGACATGGCTTCTTCTGAGATAACTTCTCTAAACCTGTTCTCTAAAAGGCACCTCAGCAGACTCACTCTTTATTACTGTCTAAAATTACATCCTATTAGTTTTAATTTTCTTATTTTCAGTGGCTGGTTATATTTTCCAAAGATGGTCCTAACAATATTTTCTGTTTCACACGCTCTTCTATACAGGCCACTCTCCATCAAGAAGCACAGTCTAGTTTTCCTCCTTTTGAATCTAGGCAGCTCATGACTGCTTCAACTAATACAGTAAGGTGCAAGCAATGCTGTGTGGCTTCTGAGGCTAGGTTATAAAAAGACTGGCAAGTTTTGTTGGTTCTCTTTGAAGGTTCACTGTAGGAACACTTTATCTCATAATCCAGCTTCAGTGCTGTGAGAAGCCCAGGCCACATGGCGAGGCCAAACACACGGGCTCTGCTCGCCAGTCCAAGCTGAGCTCAGCCTTTGGGTCGTTCCAGCTGACCCGAAGAATCCTCTAGTCCAGATGATTCCAGACTACAGCTCTAGAGTTTTCTCAGATAAGTCCCCAGACATTGGGCACCTGAGATAAGCCATCTTCTCTGCCTAATCCAAATTCTCACCTACAGAATCTGTAAGGACAATAAAATGGTTGTTGTTTTACACCACTACCTTTTGGAGCACTTGGCCATATGACAATGAGTTACCGGAATATTGTCTTTCTAACCCATTACAAGTTCCATGAGAGTCGAAGATTTTATTTTTGACAAAAACAGTGCTTAATAAATTTTTAATTGAATTTATATTATATATATAATATATATATTATATATATTATATATAATATATATATTATATATATTATATATAATATATAAGTAATATATAAAAATATATTTATATATAATAAATATATAATAAATGTAAATATATATAAATATATATAAATTATATATATTATATGTGTATATATTATATAATATATAATGCATATTATATGCAATATATAATATATAATGCATATTATATGCAATATATAATATATAATGCATATTATATGCAATATATAATATATAATGCATATTATATGCAATATATAATATATAATGCATATTATATGCAATATATAATATATAATGCATATTATATGCAATATATAATATATAATGCATATTATATGTAATATACATAGAACAATATATGATATATATTATATATTATACATATTATATATATACACACACACATATATAGATATATCTATATTACACATATATATATATATATAAGTTTATTAAGTAGTATTAACTCACAGGATCACAAGGTCCCATGATAGGCTGTCTGCAAGCTGAGGAGTAAGGAAGCAAGTCCAAGTCTCAAAGCTTAAGAATTTGGAGTCCAATATTCTAAGACAGGAAGCATCCAGCACAGGAGAAAGATGTAGCCTGGGAGGCTAAGCCAGTCTAGCCTTTTCATATTTTTCTACCTGCTTTATATTCTGGCCACACTGGCAGCTAATTAGATTATGCCCACCCAGGTTAAGATTAAGTCTGCCTCTCCCAGCCCACTGACTCTAATGTTAATCTCCTTTGGCAACACCCTCACAGACACACACAGGAACAATAATTTGCATTCTTCAATCCAGTCAAGTTGACACACAGTATTAACCATCACATACCTATATAAAATTGGTTCTGCTCTGGAATTTTAATTTCCTTAGTGTGCATTTGTATTCTTTTATCTTAATTTACTTATTGAGTTCTCTGTATTATAAAATACTAATTCAATTGAACATAGGGACCCAAAAGAAATTAAAAAATCACAAAATTAACTATTTGGTACTCTTACAACTGCCTTATTTAAGGGAAGAAAAAATGAAAATACAAAGTGCCTCTGAAGATATATGAAATTATTTCCACTGCACCCTTGAAACTTGAGTACCAATTGATTTTTTTCCAAAACACTTTTTAATGTTGAAATTTGGGAAGAAGAAAGGTCAATGCTATCAATGAAGTCATATAGATTTTGAGTAAGAGAGAGTAAATTTTTTAGTAAAGTGATGCAATCATGTTTAATAACACACACATTGTGATTTTGAATATAATATATTAAAATTCACATTAAAATGTATTGAAATTACATTGATTTTGAATTTGTATATTAAAATGTATTCAGAAGCAGAATATGGCATTGGCTATAAAATGAAGTAATAAATTCTATATCTGAAGTCTGGATGTCATGGGAACCATAGAATTTCTATTTAAAAGTTATTAATGATAACTTTTAACATATGCCATTATTCTATCAATTCACTGGACAGATTTTTCACAGATGTAACAAATTTATTACTCTAATTTTGCAGATGAAATAAACTATCTAAGACAGCAAGGTATTTATCTTCATTGTATAAGATAAAAGAAAAAATACAGACATAGATCAGGTGTTTAAATATGCAGCAAAGACAATTATTTCTCTCACTCTATGTTTTTTTTTTGGGGGGGGCGCCTAGGTTAGATTTTAGCTGAAGATCATGTGGCAAGGCCCTCAGCGTGCTACCAAAATCCCACCTCAGCATTCACATATATTTGCTTTTTCTGAAGGTAAAGGAGCACGTATATCCTGTGGTTAAGGCAGCACAGAAATGGACACTAATATGATTTGGTTGTGTTCCCACCCAAATCTCGAATTGTAGCTCCCATAATTCCCACATGTCATGTGAGGGACCTGGTGGGAGGTAACTGAATCAGGGGGATGGGTCTTTCTTGTGGCTGGTTTCATGATAGTGAATAAGTCTCATGAGATTTGATGGTTTTATAAAGGGGAGTTTTTATGCACATGCTCTCTTTCTTGCCCACCACCGTGTAAGACATGCCTTTTCCCCCTTTCACCTTCCACCATGATTGTGAGGCTTCCCCAGCCATGTGGAACTGTTGAGTCCATAAAGCCTGTTTTTCTTTATAAATTACCCAGTCTTTGGTATGACCTTATTAGCAGCATGACAAAGATGAATATAGATATTTAACATCTTTGGAAGTCTTCCTAAACTGATTTGTAGGATTCGATAGATACTTGCTTTGGCTTCTTGTATTTTAAAGGAATAATTATAAATTATAAATTTAATTCTCCATGGTTATTCAGAACAATTCAATTAATTGACACACAAATAAAACCACATGTATACACATCATATGAACTACTGAAAACTAAATTACAGACACATATCTTATTATCAGAGATAATAGATACACTGTAAACATTGGAATAATGATAAGAATAACAAGAAAAGAAAATAAAGAGATAAGATACTGAAGCAATATCTTTAAAGAGTTAAAAGAAGAAAAAAAGTGTCAAATCAGAATTCTATATTAGCAAAAATATTCTTATGACTTAAGGCAAATTCAAGTTACAGAGAGACTGAAAGAATGTAAACTCAGAATATATGTACTGTAAAAAATAGTATCGGATGTTCTGAAAATGAGAGAAAATTATATATATGAAATCTGATGGAATTATGTACCTGTAGGAAGGAATGAAGAACACCAGAATAGGTATAAATTTGGATAAACATAAAATTCAATGTGTGTATTTGTGTGTATGGGTATATAATTTTTTAAAAGACATTCTTTAAAAGAAAATTAATAACAAATGTTGTGAAGCTTATAATATACATAGAAGTTAAACAAAAGAAAAATTATAACCAGAGAACTAAAAATAAACAAATAAAACAGGTGGGAAGTTATCCATTGAATTGGACTGCTGTTATTTTACTACATTGTATAAAAACTAGTGTAATATTATTTTAAGAGAAACTATGGTAATTTAAAGTTTCATACTGTAATTTCTAGAATAACCACCAAAAATAACAAAACAAGTTATTGCTAAAAAGTCAAGGGAAGAGAAAGGAAGGAATAGTAAAAACAATGATTTAAATCCAAAGGTTACAAGCAATGAAAAATAAAAAACAACAAGAAAATAATTGAATAATTTGGAAACAATTACCATGATGGTAGACTTAAGCTCAACTATATCAATAATTACATCAAGTATCAATAAAATAAACACATTAAAAAAAGGCAGAATTTTTCAATCCATGTAAAAACACAAAAACACAAGACCCAACTATGTTTTATTCACAGGAAACCCACAGTAAGTATAAAGATACAGACTGTAAGAAACAACAGGGTAAAAACAATATACCAAGACTTTTTGTTTTATTTACACTAACAAAGTAGACTTCAAGAAAGACTGTATTAGTCTATTCTCATGCTGCTAATAAAGACATACTCAAGACTGGGTAATTAAAAAGTAAAGAGGTTTAATTGACTCACAGTTCTACATGGCTAAGGAGGCCTCACAATCATGGTCTAAGCGAATAAGGAGCAAGTTACATTTTACATGGCAGTAGGCAAAAGAGAGCTCATGCAGGGGGACTCCCATTTATAAAACCATCAGATCTCCTGAGACTTATTCACTACCATGAGAACAGTATGGGGGAAACTGCTTTGTGATTCAATTATCTCCACCTGGCCCCACCCTTGACATGTGGGGATATCACAATTCAAGTTGAAATTTGGGTAGGGATGCAAACAAACCACATCATTCCATCCCTGGCCCCTCCTAAATCTCATGTCCTCACATTTCAAAATTCATCATGCCTTCCCAACAACAGTCCCCTAAAGTCTTAACATATTTCAGCATTAACTCAAAAGTCCAAGTCTAAAGTCTCGTCTGAGGCAAGGCAAATCTCTTCTGCCTCTGAGCTTGTAAAATCAAAAGCAAGTTAATTACTTCCCTGATACAATGGGGGTACAGCCATTGGGTAAATATACGCATTCCAAATGGGAGAAATTGGCCAAAACAAAGGGGCTACAGGCCCCATGAACGTCCAAAATTCAACAGGGCAGTCATTAAACTTGGAAGTTCCAAAATGATCTCTTTTGACTCCATGTCTCACATCCAAGTCATGCCAATGCAAGAGGTGGGCTCCTACAGCCTTGGGCAGCTCTGCACCTGTGGCTTTGTAGAATATAGCTCCCCTCATATCTATACATATCTATATATAGATACGTATCTATATATATATAGATATAGATACGTATATATACGTATATATACATATATACGTATATATACATATATACGTATATATACATATATACATATATATGTATATATACGTATATATACATATATATAGATATATATATATGTATATATATATGTATATATATATACACACATATACATATATATATAGATACGTATGTATATATCCATATATATATAGATATCGTATATCTATCTATCTATCTATATATCTGGAGTGCAATGGCGTGATCTCAGCTCTCTACAACCTTCGCCTCCTGGGTTCAAGCGATTCTCTTGCCTCAGCCTCCTGAGTGGCTGGGATTACAGACATGTGCCACCATGCCCAGCTAATTTTATATATTTTTTTATTATTATACTTTAAGTTCTAGGGTACATGTGCACAACGTGCAGGTTTGTTACATATGTATACACGCGTCATGTTGGTGTGCTGCACTGATTAACTTGTCATTTACATTCGGTATTTCTCCTAATGCTATCCCTCTCCACTCCCCCCACCCCATGACAGGCCCCGGTGTGTGATGTTCCCTTCCTGTGTCCAAGTGTTCTCATTATTCAATTCCCACTTATGAGTGATAACATGCGGTGTTTGGTTTTTTTGTCCTTGCGATAGTTTGCTGAGAATGATGGTTTCCAGCTTCATCCATGTCCCTACAAAGGACATGAACTCATCTTTTTTATGACTGCATAGTATTCCGTGGTGTATATGTGCCACATTTTCTTTTTTTTTTTTTTTTTTACAGTTTTATTTTATTTTATTTTATTTTTCACGTATCAATAGTTTGTTTTTTATTGATGCATAGTATATTCTATTTTTTTTTTTAATTTTTTTTATTATACTCTAAGTTTTAGGGTACATGTGCACATTGTGCAGGTTAGTTACATATGTATACATGTGCCATGCTGGTGCGCTGCACCCACTAATGTGTCATCTAGCATTAGGTATATCTCCCAATGCTATCCCTCCCCCCTCCCCCGACCCCACCACAGTCCCCAGAGTGTGATATTCCCCTTCCTGTGTCCATGTGATCTCATTGTTCAATTCCCACCTATGAGTGAGAATATGCGGTGTTTGGTTTTTTGTTCTTGCGATAGTTTACTGAGAATGATGGTTTCCAATTTCATCCATGTCCCTACAAAGTATATGAACTCATCATTTTTTATGGCTGCATAGTATTCCATGGTGTATATGTGCCACATTTTCTTAATCACATTTTCTTAATCCAGTCTATCATTGTTGGACATTTGGGCTGGTTCCAAGTCTTTGCTATTGTGAATAGTGCCGCTATAAACATACGTGTGCATGTGTCTTTATAGCAGCATGATTTATAATCCTTTGGGTATATAGCCAATAATGGGTCAAATGGTGTTTCTAGTTCTAGATCCTTGGGGAATCACCACACTGTCTTCCACAATGGTTGAACTAGTTTGTAGTCCTACCAACAGTGTAAAAGTGTTCCTATTTCTCCACATCCTCTCCAGCACCTGTTGTTTCCTGATTTTTAGTAGAGATGGGTTTCTCCATGTTGGTCAGGCTGGTCTAGACTCCCAACTTCAGGTGATCTGCCCACTTCAGCCTCCCAAAGTGCTGTGATTACAGGCGTGAGCCACCGTGCCCCGCCAGTATATTTTGATACAGGCATAAAATGCATAATAATTGCATCAGGGCCAATGGGATATCTATCACATCAAACGTTTATCCTTCATGCTACAAACAACCCAATTAAAATATTTTAGTGATTTTAAAATGAATAATCAAATTGGTTTTGACTATAGTCACCATGTTGTGCTATAAAATAATAGGTCTTCTTCATTCTTTCTAAGTATGTTTTCGTACACATTAGCAGTCTCCACTTCCCTGCTGCCGCCTGCACCACCATTCTCAGTCTTTGATAACCACCCTATTCTCTGTCTCTGTGAGTTCAACTGTTTTGATTTTCTGATCCCACAAATGAGTGAGAACATGTGATCATGTGATGTTTGTCCTGCTGTGCCTGGCTTATTTCACTTAAAATAAAACCTCTAATTTTGTCCATGTCATTGAAAAAGACAGGATCTCATAATTTTTTATCACTGAATAGTACTCCATTGTGTATAAGCACTATAGTTTCTTTATCTATTTATCTGTTGATGGACAGTTAGGTCGCTTCCAAATCCTGGCTATTTGAACACTGCTGCAACAAGCATGGGAGTGCAGACATCTCTTTGATATACCGTTTTCCTTTTTGGGGGGTTATATGCCTAGTAGTGGAATTACTGAATCATGTGGTAGGTCTATTTTCAGTCTTGTGAGGAACCTCTAAACTATTCTTCATAGTGGTTGTACTAATTTACATTCCCACCAACAGTATACAAGAATTTCCTTTTCTCTACATCCTCTCCAACATTTGTTATTGCTTGAATTTTGTATAAATGCCAGTTTAACTGGAATGTGATGATATCTTATTGCAGTTTTGATTTGCATTTCGCTGATGGTCAATTATGTTAAGCACCTTTTCATATGTCTGTTTGCCATTTGTATCTCTTCTTCTGAGAAATACCGGTTAAGATGTTCTGTCCAGTTTTAAATCAGATTATTAGATATTTTTCCCATAGAGTTGTTTGAGCTCCTTATATATTCTGGTTTTTTGTCCCTTGTCAGATGGGTAATTTTCAAATATTTTCTCCCATTCTGTGGGTTGTTTCTTCACTTTCTTGATTGTGTCCTTTGCTTTGCAGAAGCTTTTTCACTTGATGTTATTCTATTTGTCCGGTTTTGCTTTAGTTGCGTGTCCTTGTGTGGTATTATTAAAGAAATCTTTGCCCAGTCCAATGTCCTGGAGACTTACCCCAAGTTTTCTTGTAGCAGTTTCATAGTTTTCAGCCCTAGATTTAAGTCTTCAATCCATTTTTATTTGACTACTGCATATGGTGACAGACAGGGGTCTTGTTTCATTCATCAGCATGTGGATATCCAGTTCTCCCAGCACCATTTATTGAAGATACCATTCTTTCCCCAATGTGTATTCTTGATACCTGTGTCAAAAATGAGTTTACTGTAGGTGTTTGAATTTGTTTTTGGATTCTCTATTCTATTCCATTGGTTTATTTGTCTCTATGCCAGTACCATGGTGTTTTGGTTACTATAGCTCTGTAGTATAATTTGAAGGTAGGTAATGTGATCCTTCTTTTTGCTTAGGGTAGTTTTGGATATTCTGGGTCTTTTGTGGTTCTATATTCATGTTAGGACTATTTTTTTTCTATTTCTGTGAAGAATGTCGTTGGCATTTAATAGGCATTTCTTTCAACTTGTAGATTGTTTAGGATAGTATGAACATTTTAACAATATTTGTTCTTCCAATTCATGAACATGGAATATCTTTTCATTTTGTTATGTTTTCTTCAATTTCTTGCATCAATGTTATACAGTTTTCATTGTAGAGATCATTCACTCTTCTTTGGTTAGGTAAATTCCCAGGTATTTTATTTTATTGTAGCTATTGTAAAGGAGATTACTTTCTGGATTTCTTTTTCAGATTTGTTCGCTATTGGCATGTAGAAATGCTACCGATTTTTGTATGTTGATTTTGAATCCTGCAACTTTACTGAATTTTTCAATTCTAATAGTTTTATTGGTGGGGTCTTAAGGTTTTTCCAAATATAAAATTATCCCTTTTGCAAACAAGGATACTTTGACTTCTTTCTTTCCAATTTGGATGCTCTTTACTTCTTTCTCTTGTCTGAACACTCTAACTAGAATTTCCAGTACTATTCTGAATAACAGTGAGAAAGTGGGCATTCTTGTGATCCTGATCTTGAGGAAAGTTTTTCAGTTTTTTCCTCAGTCAGTATGATACTAGCTATGAGTATGGCATACATGGCTTTTATTATGTTGAGGTAACTTCCTTCTATAGCCAGTTTATTGAGGGTTCTATCATAAAGGAATGTTGAATTTTATTAAATGCTTTTTCAACATCAATTGAAATGATCATATGTTTTTTATCCTTTCGGTTGTTATAATGTATCACATTACTTTATTTGTATATGTTGTACATTCCTTGAATCCCTAGGATAAATCAAACTTGTTCCTGACAACTGATCTTTTAAATGTGTTGCTGAATTTGGTTTGTTAGTTTTTTTTTTTTTTTAAGATGGGGTCTCCCTCTGTTGCCCAGGCTGGAGTGCAGTGGTGCGATCTTGGCTCACTGCAAGCTCCGCCTCCCAGGTTCATGCCATTCTCCTGCCTCAGCTTCCGGAGTAGCTGGGACTACAGTCGCCCACCACCATGCTCGGCTAATTTTTTGTATTTTTAGTAGAGATGGGGTTTCACTATGTTAGCCAGGATGGTCTCGATCTCCTGACCTCGTGATCCACCCGCCTTGGCCTCCCAAACTTCTGGGATTACAGGCGTGAGCCATCGTGCGGGCCGGTTTGCTAGTATTTTTACATCAACACTGATCAGAGATATCGGCCTGTGGTTTTCTTTTTTTTTCTTTCTTTCTTTTTTCTTTCTTTCTTTTTTTTTTTTGATGTGTCTGTGTGTTTTTGGTATCAGGGTAATGCTGGCCTTGTAAAATGAGTTTGGAAGTATACCCTCCTCCTCCATTTTTTTTTGAACAGTGTGAGTAGGACTGGTTTTAGTTCTTCTTTAAATGTTTGGTAGAATTCAGCAATGAAGGCATGTGTCTGAGGCTTTTCTTTGCTGGGAGATTTTATTTATATGGATCTTCTCCCATTTTTTCTTAATTAGTCTGGCTATAGGTTTGTAAATATTATTTTCTTTTCAAAACACATTTTTTTAATCTTTTGTATTGTTTTCTTCATTTCTAATTCATTTATATCTGCTCTGATCTTGATTGTTTCTTTTCTCCTACTAATTTTCTGTTTTGATTCCTCTCATTTTTCTAATTCTTTAAGATGCAACATTAGGTTGTTTAAAGTTTTTCTTCTTTTCAGCTGTAGTCACTTATAGCTATAACGTCCCTCTTTGTAATGCTTTTACAGTGTCCCCTAGGTTTTGGTATGTTGTGTTTCCATTATCATTTGTTTCAATAAATTTTTTCAGTTTCCTTATTAATTTCTTTATTGACCCA
The DNA here is from genome assembly GCF_000001405.40 of Homo sapiens. Lineage (NCBI taxonomy): Eukaryota > Metazoa > Chordata > Mammalia > Primates > Hominidae > Homo > Homo sapiens. The sequence continues at coordinate 106,422,069 of NC_000001.11, read as the reverse complement.
CTAGTTATTCAGGAGCATGTTGTTTAATTTCCATGTGTCCATGTAGTTTCCAAAATTATTCTTGTTATTGATTTGCAGTTTTATTCCATTGTGGCCAGAGATGTTTGTTTTCTGGTTGTTTAGTGGTCTTATCTTCTTTCTTTTTTCCTTCCTGTCTTATTTTTATTAAATGTGACTTTCTTTGCATGCTTTAATTTCTTGCTTTTTATTTTTTATGTATTCATTGCATAGTTTTGGATTTGAGGTTATCATGAGGCTTGTAGATACTATCATAATACCCATTATTATTATTATTTTTGAATATTTGGAGAAAATTAAAGTTAATATGTGTCTGTGTTTTAAGTTCCAGGGTAATGTGCAGGATTTGCAGATTTGTTACATGGGTAAGTGTGTGCCACGGTGGTTTGCTGCACCTATCAACCCAACACCTAGGTATTAAGCCCAGTATGCATTACCTATTTTTCCTGATGCTCTCCCTCCCGCCACTCCCCACCTCACAGGCCCCAGTGTTGTTCACCTCCCCGTGTCCACGTGTTTTCATCGTTCAGTTCCCACTTATAAGTGAGACCATGTGTTGTTTGGTTTTCCATTCCTGTGTTAGTTTGCTGAGGATAGTGGCTTCCAGCTTCATCCATGGTCTTGCAAAGGACATGATCTCCTTCCTTTTTGTGACTGCATAGTATTCCATACTACCCATTATTTTAAGCTGATAATAACACTCTTTTGCATAAACAATCAAACAAGCAAAAAAAGAAAAACTAATAAAAACTCTATGTCTCAACGTCATCCTGCCACTGTTTAACTTTTGGTCATTTCTATTCATACCTTACTGTACTGTCTATGTCTTGAATAGGTTAAATAGTTAACGTGCACAATACCCTGGAATATAAACACACACACACACGCACACACATTAATTTTAATTTTCTCCAAATCTCCAATAATAATAATAATAATAATAATAATAATAATAATAATGGGTGTTAAGATAGTATTTGCAAACCTCATGGTAACCTCGAATCCAAAAATATACAATGAATACACAAAAAAAGTCATAAATAGTAAAACTTTTGTTTGGTTCATCTTTTAGTCTTTCTACTTAAGAATAGTTTATACTCCACAGTTACAGTGTTTTTGTATTGTGTTTTATTCTGTGTACTTACTATTACCAGTGAGTTTTGTACCTTTGGATGACTTCTTATTCCTTACTAACATACTTTTATTTTCTGACTGGATACTCTAGTATTTCTTGTAGGACAGGTCTGATGTTGATGAAATCCCTCAGCTTTTTTTTTTTTTTTTTGCTCTGGGAAACTATTTCTTCTTCATGTTTGAAGAATATTTTCACTGGCTTTGCTACTTTATGGTATTTTTTTTTCTTTGCTTTAAATATGTCATGCCACTCTCCCCTGGCCTTTAAGATTTCCCCTGAAAAGTCTGACCTTAGTCATATTGGAGCTAAATTTTATGTTATTTGTTTCTTTTCTCTTGCTGATTTTAGGATCCTTTCTTTATCCTTGACCTTTGAGAGTTTGATTATTAAACCTCATCTAGTAGTCTTCCTTGGGTTAAATCTACTCATCGTTCTATAGCCTTCTTGTACTTGGATATTGATATGTTTCTCTGAGTTTGGGGAATTTCTGTGTTACTATCCCTTTGAAGAAACTTTCTACCCTTATCTCTTTCTCTACCTCCTCTTTAAGGCCAATAACTCTTGGATTTGTCCTTTTAGAGCTGTTTTCTAGATCCCGTAGGGGTGCTTCATTGTTTTTTATTCTTTTTTCTTTTGTCTCCTTGGACTGTGCATTTTCAAATAGTCTGTCTTCAAGCTCACTAATTCCTTATTTTGCTTGATCAGTTCTGCTATTAAAATCTCTAATGCGTGCTTCAATATATCAATTACTTTTCAAAGCCAGAATTTATGCTTGATTCTTTTTAATAATTTCCATGTCTTTGTTGAATTTATCTGATCAAATTCCGAATTCCTTCTCTGTGTTATCTTGAGTTTCTTTGTGTTTCCTCAAAATAGCTATTTTTAATTCTGTGTCTGAAAGGTCACCAATTTTGGTTTGTCCAGGGTTGGTCTCTGGTGCCTTATTTGATGAGGTCATACTTTCCTGGATGGTCCTGATGCTCATGGATGTTCATCTGTGACCAGGCATTGAAGAGTTAGGTATTTATTGTAGTCTTTGCCATCTGGGCTTTTTTATACCCCTCCTTCTTGGGAAGGCTTTTCAGGTATTCAAAATAATTTAAGTGATGTAGTCTAAGCCATATCTGCATTAGGGAGCACCCCAAGCCTGGTAACACTGTGGTTTTTGTAGAATCCTAGAAGTATACCTTTACTGTTTTTGATAAGATTTAGAAGAATTATCTCAATTATTATGCAGAGAATCATGTTCTCTTCTCTTATCCTGTCCCAAACAATTGAAGTCTCTCTCTGTTCTGAGTCTCCTGGAGGTGGGGGTGGGATGACAAACACACCCCTGTGGCCAACACCACTGGAAGTGTGATGGATCAGATCTGAAGCCAGCAAAGCACTTGCTGCCACCCAGTGCTCACTTTAACCCCTACCTGGTTACCATTTATGTTTTCTCAAAGCCCTGGGGCTCTACAATTAGTGGGTGGCAAAGTCAGCCACACTTGTGTCCTTCCCTTCAGGGTGGCGAGTTCTCTCAGGCGTTGGGTGGGTCCAGAGGTGCCACTTGGGAGGCAGGGACTAGAGAAAAAAACTTAGAAGTCTACCTTGTGTTCAATCGTACTGTGGCTGAGCTGGCACTGAAACCATGAGACAGAGTCATTCCTCCTCTTCCCTCTCATTTTCATAGTCAGAGGAGCCTCACCCCATGAACACCACCATCACAGGCATATGAGGAGTACTCCCAGGCTACTGCAGATGTTCTCTTCAGGCCCAAGAGATCTTCATTCAGTAGTGGTGAATGCTGCCTGACCTAGGACTCACACTTCAGGGCAGTAGGCTCCCCTGCGGACCAGAGCTAGTCCAGAAATGCTGTACATGGGGCAAGGCCTGGAATCGAGGTCCTCAAGAGCCCACTTGATGATTAACTCCTCCGTGGCTAAGCTGATACCTAAGGTGCAAGACAAAGTTCCCTTTACTTTTCCCTCTGCTTCTCTCAAGCAGAAGGAACTTCTTCCCATAGGTACCCAAGCTGGGAATGTGCTGAGTCTCACCTGAGGCCACCAAGTCTTTGAGCCTCACTTAAGGTCCATACATACCCAGGTAGGGTAGTATTCAAGGCCCAAGGTCTCTTTAGTAAGCAGTTGATGAATCTTGTCAGGACTGGATTTTTCCCTTCAAGGCAGTATGTTTCCTTCTGGCCCTAGGTGTATCTATAATTTTTTTCATGGAGCTAGGGCTTGTAATAGGGGTCTCATGATTCTGAGTGGTGTCTTGTCTTCCTGTGCCTCAGCTGGTATCCAAGATGCAAGACAAAGTCCTCTCTACTCCTCCCTCTCCTCTTCTCAAGTGAAAGGAATGGGTCTGTTTTGGGACTATGAGCTGTGTAACCTAGGGTTGGAGGAAGGGTGGCCGCAAGCACTTCCTTAGCCAACATGGCTGGTGTCTCAGTAGGTTGTGTGCCTTCCATGTCCATTGTCTCTGAGCCTAGTTGAGCATTAGGACTTGCCTAGTAGTTGCCGTCCTTGTAGCCTGGACTGCTGTCCTTATAGCCTAGACTTCCTTTCAAGTTTATGTGCAGGCCCAGGGCACTTTAGCCCACATTGGTGATGCTTGCCGGAACTCAAGTTCTGACTGGTAAGATGGGTAATTTCCCTCTGGCTAGGGCTGGTTTAATGTTAGTGAGCATCAGCTGAATTTTGCCTTGTTTTGTTTTTTTCTGCAATGGAGCAGCACTGAATTTTATGCAATGTCTCACAATTGCTGAACTCTCCCTATCCTAAGTGCACAGATTCTCTCTCCATGTCATGTGGCTGTTGCTTGGTGCTGGGGAATGGGTTGCATTGACTATTCAAGACTGTCTTTTGTACCTTCTTCAATGCCTCTTTCAGTGATATGAAGTTAAAACCAGGCACTGTGAGTGCTCACCTGATTTTTGCTTCTTATAAAGGTGCTTTGTGTGTGCACACAGCTGTTAAATTGGCTTCCTTGTGGGTTTGGGGGAAGATTGTTGAGCCTTCTATTTGGCCATCTTGCACTGGACCTCTGGAATTCTTTTTAAGCCTCACCCTGCCTTTTATTTATACATCTGGGCAGGCTAGTAAGAAGGCTGTAAGTTTGCCTCTTCCTTTAGTACTGGCAGAAAATTTAAGTTTCTCATGTGTGAAAGTTGTTGTCTAGTTACAACCCCTAGCCATTCTAATGGAGTAAATGTACTCACCTTGGTTTTGCCTCAGCCAATTGTTTGCTCTCACTCATCTATTCCCATGAGTCCTTTGTATGAATAAATACGTTTTCTCATAAACTCTCTAGGTGCATTACATGTCACCAGACTCCACATCTGAACTGAACTTTGGGTGGAAATCCATCTTGCTTTTTTAGGGGGAAGTGGGTATAAAACAATTACTTCTGGAAAATTTTCAGCTAGTTTCTCTTTAAAAATGGTCTCTGCTTTTCCTTCTCTCCTAAACTTTAATAGAATAGCTTTTGGGAGAGTATAGTTATTCTCTATCCAGTGTTTTCCATTTAGATAGAGCTCTGAGATATTAATTGATGTCAACACTTAAGGACAAATGCTCATTTAGGGCTACAAAGAGATTATATCATTTTATAAAATTTTAAGTCTACTTCTTAACAATTATTAAAATACATTGAACATTTAAATCCTTACTGCACAGTGAATTTCAAACAGCCCATATAATAACTCCTGTAGTATCAGCACAAAAGAAACACTCTCATAATTATAGCAATCAAAACATTCTATTTGACAGTAACAAAAGCATTGTTTAAAAATAGTTAATAATCATCATACCTATCAAAGTGAACTTCCAAATCCATTTCATGACAAGAGGCAGATTTCTACCTTGCTTCCTCTAGTATCCCCCTTTTTTGCCGAGGTCAAGTTGTCTCTCTGAAAGAAATTTTTCACCATATTTTTTGGTGGTGCACTTCTGAAACTTTTTCCTACCAACTGACTCTCCCACTCCATTTGGAGCCCTTACACCTATGTTATCAGTAAGAAAATAAAGCCCAAAGGGGAATCTCCACCAACTCACCTACCAGCTTCCACATTTGCTCATATCTCCTGCATGTCTTCCTTTATTCCCAGAGAAGTTCTCTACTCTCATCAAAGGCTTCCTTTTGCGCCATGGGATCCTTGTCCTCCATTATGAAGGACTTTCCTCCTTCTTTAACCTGTTTTCTCTCCTTCATTCTCAATATTTCTATCTCTGTTAGATAATTTCTATCAACACACAAGCACATTCTCTTATTTCCTCTATTGAACAAAAGAAAACAAAAGGAAAAACATCTTCCTTGACCCAATTACTTTTCTAGCCTATATGTGTATTCACTGCTCTTAATAGTGAAGCTTTGCAAATGATTTGCATTGCATTCACTGGGTTCATTATACTCTTCAACCCACTTCAATTAGGTTAGAACCACTCTTGTAAGAACTTCTAATTGCCACATGATGTCAAATACAATGCATGGTTTTCCCTTGCTTGACTTCAACTGCCTTTAACACAGTTCTCTACACTATATGAGTGACACTGCTCTCATGGCTTTCCAGACTTGGTGCTACCCTAGCTTTCCAACCTCAAGTCACCTCTAACTTCAGAATTTTTTAGGCTCAGCCATTTCTTACCTTTAAATTATATCAGTATGTAGATGACTCCAAAATTTAATCTCTACCTAAATCCTCTCCACTGGTCTTCAGATTTGTATCAAATTATCTACCTGAAATTTCTTTTCTTTCTTTCTTTTTTTTTTTTTTTTTGAGACAGAGTCTCACACTGTCCCCCAGGCTAGAGTGTAGTGGAGTGATCTTGGCTCACTGCAACCTCTGCCTCCTGGGTTCAAGTGATTCTTATGCCTCAGCCTCCCGACTAGCCGGGACTACGGGCATGCGCCACCATGCCCAGATAATTTTTGTATTTTTAATAGAGAAGGGGTTTCACAGTGTTGGCCAGGATGGTCTCGATCTCTTGACCTCGTGATCCGCCCGCCTTAGCCTCCCAAAGTGCTGGGATTACGGGCATGAGCCACCGGCGCCCTGCCGTCTACCTGAAATTTCTACTTGGACACTTTATAGGCATTTCACACTTATTAGACCTTCTGGTAGGCAGAATAATGGTCCCCACAAAGAAGTCCATGTTTTAATCCTTATGCCTGTAATCATGTCACTTTAAATGGCAAACGAGACTTGCAAGTATGCTTAAATTAAGATCTTGAAATTGGAGATTATCCTGGATTATCTAAGTGAGCCCAAAGTAATCATAAGCATGCTTATAAGAGGAAGGAATAAGCATCAAAATCAGAGAATCTGATGTGATCCTGGAAGATGATTTTCATCTTTTAGATATTTTCTTCCAATTCACTAGCTCTGTTTCGGCCTGTGGCTTATCTGTTACTGAATAGGTAATGATGGTTTTGTTTTGTTTGATTTGTTTTGCTTTATTTCACTTATAGAATTTTATTCTATTTATTATGTTATAATCCTGAGGCACAATCATCAATATTCTCTTTTATCTATTTGAATACAGTAAGCATATAAATGTGTCTGTATCTGAAGTCTGTTAATTTATTTCTATTGTTTATTTTTTCTTCTAATTTTTGTCTTTGATTTTCTTATTATTTTACATTAAATATTTGCAAAATTGTTTGTAGAATAATTTAAGAGGATTTATATATGTTCCGGCCAGGTACATGACAGCAATAGGAATCTGGGATCACCTGGATATAATTTCAGTAATTGAGCTCTGGAGAGGCAGAGATTCAGCAAATGCAAAAGATTATCTAGTTTGATTTGCTTGTATTCTGAGAATGTCTCTTTCATGACTCAATCTGAATAAAGAGGAATTTGACAGAATCTTATCTTCTCAGTTCTGGATTCCAGTGTCTCTCCTCCCAGCTACTTTTGCCTGTCAAAAGGACTGTTTCATTCATCCTCTAAGCCACCCGGTGTCAGCAAATGCCTTAGGGGAAGAAAAGAGCCCTAACACTAATACTGGACAGGTCTCCTTGGGCTTCTCCTCTACTGGTATCTGACTTATTTATTTTTCATTATCATGGTAGTTGTCTGAGACATTCACACAGATATTTTGTTCAAGCTGTCTTTACTGGAAAGGTCAGAAAATGTTACCTATCCTACCATGATTAAAGGCAGAATCCATTTTAATGTTCTTAAAATAATTTAATTGATAGATAAATTTTACTACTTTCTAAGAAATGACAAGACAATTGAAATGAAATGATTTTTGAAGAGTGATTTAAAAAATTAATTTTGGAGAAAATGCATCACATATGTATTTTCGAATTGGTTCAAAATAAGTATGTTCCAAATATAGTCAAACATCTGTCTTCAGTGAAATCCATAGGTAAAGCAGAAAACAAACTAAATACAACAATTTAACATAATGAACAAAAACAGTGAGGGAAAATGGTGAAGAAAAGAATCATGCAGACCTTGGAACATGAGAATTGTATCTGAGGATAGTTTTCTTCTAGGCACCAATTAATAATGGTCAAGAACATATTAAAGCCTCAAGTTGGCCTGAATGTTAGCAAAAGTAGTTAATGTATGGGTATCTTGTAAGAACAATAAGTGGAAGATAAGGGTAGGTAGTGTTGTCTTCTGGTCAGTGGATTGTTCTAAAGCTAGTTGGTTCACATCTAGTTACAGTGGAGCTCAGATAATATTCAGAAGCATAGTAAAAAGAATCACCCCTCGAGAAACAGAAAAGCTGGCAAAATCTAGGGAAGATTTTGTTCCTCCTACTTGCAGACTGGAGAAAGATGTTGTAATTAAATCATAAATTGGGAAGGAAACCCAAGTATAAGTACAAGAAAAACATTTGGTGAAGAAAAGAGGACGGTACATTTTGCAAAATAAGCAGATCACTGAGGAGATGGCCCCAAATTCCTGCATAGCAGATCTAAAAGTTGCATGACTACTGTTACTTCCTACCTATGTGTTTGGATAATTTTGTGACTGTTCTTCCAGGATTTGTTAGGATTGGCTCAGGCCTTGGAGGTCCTATGTTGGCAGATGACGGTTTTCTTAACTGCAGGTGAGCAAACTAGGTGGGTAGGGAATGCTGTATCTCCTTACTCCATAAACAAGCAAAAATCTCAAGACTATAGGGGTTTATTTTAGAGCATGAGATTCATCCTTCTACTTAATTTCTTTTTACTGTTTTAAAATTGTGTTTATATTTTTCAATATATATTTCGTCTTAATCTTTGATGAATTATGTATGATAAATTCTTTCTGTGATATCAGGATACTAGATATTGAATCTAAGCTAAATTAAATTTAAAATAATTAATGAGGAAATGGCATAAAAAACTATCCTTCAAAAAGAGAATAAATACTTCAAAAATGAATTTATTTTTATTTCATAAGGGAAATAGCCCATGACTTTTTCTTTTAAAATGTCCAAGATTTATAACTAATAGATTTGAAATGCAAGTCTGAATCATGTGACTCCCTACTCACATGACATTGGAGTAGAATGAATGTTAATGATCAGTTTTTTTTTTTTTTAGTAGGAGATAAAGAATTATTTTTTATTTATTTATTTTTTTATTCATCATTCTTGGGTGTTTCTTGCAGAGGAGGATTTGGCAGGGTCATAGGACAATAATGGAGGGAAGGTCAGCAGATAAACAAGTGAACAAAGGTCTCTGGTTTTCCTAGGCAGAGGACCCTGCGGCCTTCCGCAGTGTTTGTGTCCCTGGGTACTTGAGATTAGGGAGTGGTGATGACTCTTAACAAGCATGCTGCCTTCAAGCATCTGTTTAACAAAGCACATCTTGCACCGCCCTTAATCCATTTAACCCTGAGTGGACACAGCACATGTTTCAGAGAGCACAGGGTTGGGGGTAAGGTCATAAATCAACAGGATCCCAAGGCAGAAGAATTTTTCTTAGTACAGAACAAAATGAAAAGTCTCCCATGTCTACTTCTTTCTACACAGACACAGCAACCATCCGATTTCTCAATCTTTTCCCCACCTTTCCCCCCTTTCTATTCCACAAAACCACCATTGTCATCATGGCCCGTTCTCAATGAGCTGTTGGGTACACCTCCCAGATGGGGTGGTGGCCGGGCAGAGGGGCTCCTCACTTCCCAGTAGGGGTGGCCGGGCAGAGGCGCCCCTCACCTCCCGGACTTGGCGGCTGGCCGGGCGGGGGGGCTGACCCCCCCACCTCCCTCCCGGACGGGGTGGCTGGCCGGGTGGGGGGCTGACACCCCCACCTCCCTCCCGGATGGGGCAGCTGGCCGGGCAGGGGGCTGACCCCCCCACCTCCCTCCCGGACAGGGCGGCTGCCAGGTGGAGATGCTCCTCACTTCCCAGACGGGGCAGCTGCTGGGCAGAGGGACTCCTCACTTCTCAGACGGGGCGGCTGCCAGGTAGAGGGTCTCCTCACTTCTCAGATGGGGAGGCCGGGCAGAGATGCTCCTCACCTCCCAGAAGGGGCGGTGGGGCAGAGGCGCTCCCCACATCTCAGATGCTGGGCAGCCGGGCAGAGACGCTCCTCACTTCCTAGATGGGATGGCGGCCGGGCAGAGACGCTGCTCACTTTCCAGACTGGGCAGCCAGGCAGAGGGGCTCCTCACATCCCAGACGATGGGCGGCCAGGCAGAGACACTCTTCACTTCCCAGACGGGGTGGTGGCCGGGTAGAGGCTGCAATCTCGGCACTTTGGGAGGCCAAGGCAGGTGGCTGGGAGGTGGAGGTTGTAGCGAGCTGAGATCACGCCACTGCACTCCAGCCTGGGCACCATTGAGCACTGAGTGAAGGAGACTCTGTCTGCAATCCTGGCACCTCGGGAGGCCGAGGCTGGCAGATCACTCGCGGTTAGGAGCTGGAGACCAGCCCGGCCAACACAGCGAAACCCCTTCTCCACCAAAAAAATACGAAAACCAGTCAGGCGTGGCGGCGCGTGCCTGCCATCACAGGCACTCGGCAGGCTGAGGCAGGACAATCAGGCAGGGAGGTTGCAGTGAGCTGAGATGGCAGCAGTACAGTCCAGCTTCAGCTCGGCATCAGAGGGAGACCGTGGAAAGAGAGGGAGAGGGAGACTGTGGGGAGAGGGAGAGGGAGAGTAATGATCAGTTTTATGAGAAAAGATAAAACTCACACAAGCTTATGACAGAAATATTTACTTTCTCCTTATATCTATGCCAATATAAAATAAACCTCCACTGTCATTTCACAATGAAAAGTGAACTTAGTATCTTCACATTTGTTAGGTGAAAGTTTATATCTAGTACTTGCTTCCATGTATTAAGACTCCCCAGACTGTTTTTAATTCTTTTTGATTCGAGTCCTTAATCACCAAGTTTCCCAGACCCTTACGTCCTATTCACCCACTGTTTGAAAACATAACTCATGTAAAAGTCTCTTAAATTAGATATACTTTCCATCAAGTTGTTTTGAAAATATTCATCTCCAGTGGCACCTTGTTTAGTGAGCATCTTATAAATCAAATATTTTTGCTTTCTCTTTTGACCTAAGGATACAAAACCATGTCTGTTATTTAAAGACTGAGCTATTTGGTGGAGACAAAGGGGAGAAATCAAATTTGTTTTTATATTAAATCTTTCTGATTAACTTATCACCAAACTAACCTGAGATTTATTTTTCCTTCAAGTTCCCTGTAACTTGGAATTAATTTCTATTAATTTGGATCTGTATGAAATAGCAACTAACATTTCTTGAAAATTTACCCTATAAGTGTTTAGCTCTGAGTGAAATCCTGGATATTGTTTTTATTAAGTCTTGTAACACTCATCATGAAATCAGTATAAAGATATTCATTTTTACAAATTAGAAAAACTTACACATTTACTTCTGACTTTTAAAATATTCAGAAGTAACCCTAGAAGAATTTTTCTGCTAATGTAATTAGGTTTAAAAAATTTTTCTTTAAATAGGCACAAAAAGAGACAGCAAGAAATTATTATTAAAATAATTTTCAGTACACTAAATATTACTGGAATAAACTAAGTCATACATAACATATTAAGTAAAAAAGATAAATCCCAGCTGAGAACATATTTACAACACCTGAAATATGTAAAGGCTTAATATTGAGAATTCAAAAGAAGCTTCTAGAAACCAACAATAGATAGTCATTCCAATGTAATGATGGGCAAAGAATTTTATCAGACAGTATACAAAGAAAGAAGTCTGCATAGTAATCAGATATATAAAAAATTGTTCAAGTTTACTGGTAATTAGGAAAAAGCAATAAACAAAAAATAAGATACCATTTTATAACTATCAGGCTGATGAAATTAATTTAAATGTGATAAATCAATGTGTTGATAAGTATACTTTGAAGTACAATTTGAAACTATCTATTCAATTTAAAGATGCATATCCCAAATGTACATTTTGAATATATTCAGTGATAGAGGCAATCCACTTCTATGTGTTCATTATAGGAAAATTATTTCGCATCTACAAAAGAAGTACATAAAAGTTTGCTGGAGCACTTTTCTATTAAAAAAAACAAAGCAAAACAAAACAAAAACCAAAAAACTAGTAACAATCAAAAAGCCCACTAGCTGCAGAACACATAAACTGATGTATATACAAAAACTTTTACAATGGATAAACATAGATTAACTAAATCTACATATTTATATATGAATGAATTTTCAAAAATGTAATAAGGGAAAATCTGCAACTTGATATTATTTATTTAATTTTGAAACTGAAAGCTATATTATATACACTGTCTAGAGGCAAAAACATGTAGAAAGGGTATAAAATCGTGCCTGACAATTAAATTAGATAAGTTAATGCTAACTATGGAACAAACACTAAAGAAGTTTATTTGTTGTTCTGAGTAAGGCCCAAATAATTGCTCATACATGGTGAGTATTTTACCCAGAGTGAAAATAAAGTGGAGAAGCCTGATATTGCTTTAAATTGGAAATCAATAGTTGTAACACTAGATACTTATGTAACATTTGCTATGTGCCAGACATTTTTCTAAGTATTTTACGTGTTTTAGTTTATTTATTTCTCCTACAGGTACTATCATTATGAAGCCCATTTCCTAGATGACGAAAAAAAAAAAAAACACAGGGAGATTAAATAATGTGTTCAAGGTAACTCAGCTAGCAGGTTTGAGGCCTACGATGCTAACTCAAGTCTGCCTATAGTCTGTGTTCCCAACCATTAAGGTATCCTGTTTCCTGCTAATACATTCACTACTCACTGTGATTCGAATTCAATAATAACAGAGAAACATTGCCTGGATAGGGAAATTCCTCAGACAATCCAAAATCACATTTTAGCCTTTTCCCTCATAAAATGTATTGAAATTCTCCCTTCCCAACAGCAAAGAAGATATGAAAAGCATCAGGACAAACCTGGTAAACAGTCAAAGAGAAAGACAGGAGACAGAAAATTAAAAAAAAAAAAAAAGCATACTGAATAATTAAAAGCAGCTTAGTTTAATTTAATGGAAGCATAGATTTGTTGATGGTTTGGTTGTGCATCAAACATTCAATACTATTAGACACTCAGCTTAAATAAAATGTTAGATAAAAGTTTTATTCATTATTCTACTTTGGTTAGCCCTTTTTTCTTTTAAGAGAGACATTTTAATGGCTTAGGATTTGCTGAGAAGCAACTAAAATTTTGAATGAAATGCAATCACACACAAGAAAAATATCTACCTACATAATTAGATCTACTGAGACTTAAATTCCTTTGGATGTTGCCTCAGCAATTCTTCTCCTTTTTCTTCATTTATTTCTTTTCCTTTGACTGATTAGTTTTGCAGCCTGTGGTTTGTTTTCACTGATTAATTGTTTTTCATGTATTTCCAGGAGTCAATCAAGTTTTTTCACCAGTCTATAAAATAACCAGTTATTTCTCACACTTCACTTTCTCCATCTTCAGAAAGACCTTGGGAAAAATTTTGTGATTGCACTGTGTGGTCTTGTATATACATCAAATGAGTATTTATATAGAAACTGATGGTATTTATCAGGCTTCTCAATTACAGAAGCACCTACCAAGAAGCTTACTCTGACTGACCTCAATAGAGAGTTGCTAATTTTGGGATTACAGTATTTTGATTTGTCTTTGAATAAGAAAATATTCAGGAATTATTCATATACATAATTAAGTGATTTTTAAAAATCCATACTAAAAAAGAAATTCCACTCAAATTTATTTACCCTAATTCAATTATTCCCAGGTAAAGTATCTATAATGTACAAAACCTTTAACTATCTTCCTACAATGATTTGATGAGTCTTTTTAGCCCATCCTCACAAGGAGTATCATGACTATTTTTAACTGCTGCTTTTGCAGGGGATATTTTACTCAATAAATCATTTCTCTTAGGAATTAGCCAAAGTATATAAGCATTCTTCAAGCAAGATTCAAAAATCCTCTTCTTGTACTTCTGATTCAAGCTTTATTGCTTACTTACTTATTAACATGGGAACAAGCCTTTTCTTTTGTGCTTTGAAGGGAGAAAAAGAGATTTTTTAGCTTCTTTGGGAAGAAAATTTTCTTCACATTGGTATAGAAAGAAGTTTATGAGGGACAAGGCATTCCCCAAAAGCTGTCAGGAAGATCATAAAAATGTCAGTATCTGAAAAGGAAAAACTGTTTCTACCAGGAAAGTGGTCTATTTGGGCACAAGTATGAGAAACAAAGTTATGAATTGGTTGCAGATAGAAGCTGGCAAGCAGGAAAAGTGAAGCTAATTTATATTGACATTTCAGGTTGTCCAAAGACCACAACAAGACCATTAGTATTCTTTCATGGCCATCCAGGAGACACTGTCAGGATAAAATTTTACTTAGGCTAATAATATTAATTTTTTTGGTATGCTTTAAATATGAAAGAAAGGAAAGATTACTTCCATCATGGTTATATCCATGGACCACAGGAATTTGAATATGAAGTTGATTTATTTTCACTTTGATTTTTAGATGATCATCATTCAAAAAATGTCTTTTAATTTCACCTGATTTCAGCCACTTTACTTCATTTTCATATTTTCCATCAGGGTGATTTTCTAATTCATAATTAAATATACACAAATTAACTTAATCACTGCTTCACCAAATATTTATTTAGTCCTCATATGTGTCTGTACTACACTAGGTACTGAGGATACAAAATAAAAAACTGATTTTATCCTTAAGGAATTTACAATTTTACTTGGAAAGAAAGGGTAACTAATTTTCAAAGTCAAGTATGGTAAAGTGCTTTGAGTATTTTAGAGCAGTTGCCTGCTTCCAGTCTGGGGCACCTTCACTGCCGGAGGGGGCATCGAGTTGCACCTGGATAGTAGGTAAGATAAAGATAAGAAGCAGAGAAAGAGGTTAGTCACTGCTGTGTTCTCTGGGTCCAGATGGCGTGACCTCTAGAATCTCACAGTTCCTGGTGTCAGACTTATATGCTATTATGTGATGCAGCCAAAACACTCTCTTGTTCTCTTGACATTCAGCAAGAGCATCTCAAATCCATTGACTACATATCCATTCAGCTATTTCTTCTGTTCCCATGAAAAATCCTATTACTTTTGAAGAGCTGACCTTGGAAAGTGAGTACACAAGTCACCATTGCACTCAGACCCTAAACCTATCTTGGGATTACTTAATCATATATCTTCTTTTGAGATCCACCTTGGAAAAGGAATAGTAGAAAAGTACAGGATCCTGCCTAGAGGTCATAGGCCAGTTTCTATTTCATAGTTTTGCGTTAAATTATTTTTTTCTCCTCTCTGCTCCCAGGACAGAAAATATAACGTATTGTACCAATACCTTACGTTTATGTCCTGATACTTCCTGGCCTTAGGTTAAAAAATAATCTAACTACCAAAGTTTTAAAAACTGAAATCTCCTTTCTTTCTTTGCTTTCCTGAAACATTGAATGCACCTGATTAA
The DNA here is from genome assembly GCF_000001405.40 of Homo sapiens. NCBI lineage: Eukaryota > Metazoa > Chordata > Mammalia > Primates > Hominidae > Homo > Homo sapiens. The sequence goes on along the minus strand of NC_000001.11, from coordinate 106,406,998 downwards.
ATAGTGGGAGCATGGGAGAACATAAATCTAAGGAAGAAATGTTGGTTCATATTTCAATAAATTACCTTTGAGATGAGGGGGCTTGGGTAAGGAGGTTGAGAAATGTCTTTGGTTACTAGTATAGCTTTCCCGCTTGTTATACTGGGTAATAGGTAAAATAAAGGAATAAACAAAGTAGTTTGAAAGCCTCTACATATGGAAGGCATGAGGAAATAACAGAGAATAGCCTGGTCAGGAACGATTTCTCAGAAGAAGTTGCATTTCACCTTATTTTTCCATTCTACATATGACGAAACTGAGGCTCAGAGACTGACTCCTTTAAGGAAATCATAGTTGTGTTTCTCCATCTCATTATGCATATTCTTTTACATTGTTGTGTCAGTGGTGAAACCTGAAGTTCTCTAGTCAGAAACAAATATTTTTCAAGTTTTAACTATATGCTTTTCTAAATAGAGATTTAGGGGCTATCTGTGATGAAAATATAAGCAGACTAACACTAGTTGGTTTATGCCAGCCTAATTGTTTTTGTCCCCAAATCCCCATTGGCTGTTTTGGAAAAAGAATGTTATTTAGATGCCACATGCTATTTATCTAGACAAAGATCATAACTCTGCCAGCAGAAATGAAAACTCTATTGTTTCCAGAGGCCAAAATGAAAGCTTTCTGTGGGAAATTTTACTCTCTAATTACAGGTAATTTTATTATAATCTTGTTTAGATCATTGTGGTGTCAGATAAGGTCTCAATATTTGCTAAAATCAGTTTGAATGCACTGGCATAGCTGATGTCCCTGCGATGCATTTCCTTTTTCAAAATCAATGTTTGCTTTTCAGAGCTTGTCTACAATAGTCACAGCCTTTATTTCACAAAGCCATTAAAGTAAAGGCATTTGAAAGGGAAGGCAGCTATAATAGCAGGGACCTAGATTTCACTATTAGCATAATTCACAATTATTTTCCAGTTCCAAAAACAGACATTTGACAGTTACTCTTGTGTTTCTGCTTTCATAATATAATGTACCCTCCTCTATTATAACACTTACCAGGTTGTGCTCTGCATTTTTGTTTATCACATCAGGCTGGGACCTTCAAAATGACAGGAACTGAATGTATTTCCTTCTCTAGTTCTCGTCAGTGCCTCACACAGTGCTGATCACATTGTTGAGGCTGAAGAAAGATGGTTTTGGATAAAATAAAGATGCACACGTAAATTAAAGTGAAGGAAGAACCCATTTGGTTACCTAAAAACAAAGCTTTGACTTCCTGAGGTGTTTGTACAATCATGTACATTTTAAATTTTGCTATATAGAAATCAACACAACTGTATTGACAAACTTTGAGTTATCTCAGCAAAGAAAGAAATTTTGTTTCTTATAAGAAAGTTATATATGTTCTCTGTGAATATATTTTTGCATAGTAAAAAAAAGTATAGGTGGGGGTGACAGTGAATTGAAGGTTTATAGTAAATTAAATATGTTGAGATACTGTATCTGGGTGAATAACCTAGGGCTCATTAGATAATTTTAGAAAAAAAAAAAAGTTTTTGTAAAATACAAGCAGTCCTGCTGAAAAGTTGACTATAATGATTATTTTAAAATAATACTCTGCTTTAATTTTCATAGACCAAATAAACTCTTTTGAATTCTATTATACAATATATCAAAAATTATACTATGTACTTGTTATAGAAAATAAATGTTCCATGCCCTCAAAGATCTTACAGTCCAGTTTATAAACTTGGCATTCAAGAGATATAAAAGATCAATTGATGAGTATTAAAATGGAAATTACAGTTAAAATTCCATTAAAATGGAAAAGTACAGTTCTATGTGAGCACAGTGGCATAATAAAGCACGTGGCAAAAAAGGATGTAACATCAGAAAAGGTTTCACAAAGGCCAAAAATTTTACTTATCGTCTGCTCCCTAGAGAGTTTAAATATCTCTAATTTGGCTTTATAATTAGTAATCATAGAACCAAGATTTGAATCTAGGCAAGTTTGACTTTAAAGCCCATTTTCTTTATACTCCACTTGTCTTTCTGCTCCTCATTCCCACAATATAATGACCCTTTCAAACGGGTTAAATTTTATACTCAATTTGTGCAGTGAAAGATTGCTTCTTTATGTGGTATGTTTTCTATGTTATTTCCTATACTTTCCGTGTTTTGATGTTATCAACTTTATGAACATGGGACATATAGACCAGATGAAAATGATAAAAACATGATGGATAATGATAGGCACATAATGTCTCCTAATTAAAAAAAGATTTTATCCACGTATCTGTTGCAAAATTCAGATGCATGATTGGTGCCTGATGTATTATATACCACTTTATTATGTTATAAAACAAGCCATGTGATATTAAATTGAAATGTGTTACATGAACCACCACTAAGATGAAATCGCTATGTGGTGGTGAAAAGTTTCTTCCAAGTTCGTAAACAATGTTATGAAGTTGCAATTCTGAGGCATATGCATGCTAGCTAGTTACTATTCAGAGAGCTAGACCAAGAGGAAATAGCACCGGTTTTCGTCTCTGAACACATTAAATTGGAAGATTTAGGAATCCCATGGTATTTTGTAAATGCTAAGAGAATATTTTTATTGCAAAATCCCTTTTCGCCAACCCATTTCGTCCTCTCTGCCATCTTGTGTGAGAAAGCATTTTTATTTTTTCAGGCGGAGTTTTATATTTGTAATTTCAAAAGTACTGCATAGAAAGGCTTGGATATTTTTACTAGAATGTATTTAATAGTATAAAGCTAACCAAAATTTGATTCTTACTAAACATGATTTCAGCAGCCTGCTTTTTGTTCTAGGATATGTTGTTCTCCAGTTTTACTTGTTATAGACTTGGTTGGAACCTTGAGATTGAAAGAGTTATGGTACCTGAAGTGATTGTTTAGATGGCTCTGGCTATAATAAAGAAGCATTTAGAGATGACAAAGCCTTACACAATTGCAAGATTTCATTAAATTGTGACTGGTATTTGAACAAAGTAAGCATTCATTAAATAAATAAATACATTTTGTAAAGTAGGTCTTATGGTTTATCTTTCAAAATGGTGTTGATCTTATAAATAGGTGTTAAATACATCCCCAATAGAAGCCTTCTTGTCAAAACAGAAAAAATGTTTTGTAAAGCTTAATGCATTATTTTTCATATCTTCCTGTTGCATAGTTCAAGCCTTTGCAATCAGCTGGAAACTGAATAAATGATGCCATTCATGTTACCTTCAGTTGCCCTTTTCCTCCAGGCTAAATTCTCATTCTTTGAGGGGACAGCTCACATATTTCCTACAATGTCAAATTTTCACTGCTTTCTCAAAGCAGATTTAGTTTCATCTCTTTCTTGGCTTCATTGCACTTGGTATCACGGAGTTTTACAATTAATCTGTTTGGCCAAGTGACTCTATACTGACCAAATAAAATCTCTGCAGTCAGAAAAGCCGATACAAATATCAGCTGTATGGACTGTGACTTGGGAAGTCTACTTAATCTCTCTGAGTTGCGACTTCCTTTCTGAGAAAAAGGGTACATATACCAGCCCACTGAGTTGTAGCAGTGAAGTGAAAACCATATATGTGCCTGATCCAGCAGTACCTGGAATATTGTAAACACTAAATAAATGTTGTTTTCCTTTTATTTTCCTGTATCTATCACAGCTTATAAATGGATTCCAGAAGGAGAAGTATATATAACCCCAACATCTAGCGCTGTGTCTCACATGTGCTTTGTGAGTCTTAATTTCATATAAGAATAAAAGGCAGATGACTTGGTAATGTTTGGGAAGGATATGGAGTTTCATGTCCTAATGCTATTTTTCTTAAAGGAATTTGAACTAATTTTCCATTGTATTATGTAGACAAATGAAGAATCAAGGGATCCACTTAAAAATATAATTTAGTATCTTATTTCTACTTCTTTTCTGCCCAGCGGGCATCTCCTCTTGAATGGGCCCTTTAAAAAAAGGCTATTGATGTTGAAACTTATAAGCAGGTCCACCCTTCTCTTTTCCCTGTAGTAATCACATTTCTGACAGCAATTTACTTTCAATTAAAAGGGCTGATGAAGACCATTTTTATCTTGAAAACACAAACACTATCAGGTCTCAAAGTCACTGTCAGCATGTTTTTAAAAACATTCTGCTACTGATAAAAGAGTGGGGCTAGACTTCCCTGTGGCAGCAGAAAAGTAATAGTACTTATCTTCTTACAGAAAGGGGCAACCTCAAAAGAGAAGCCTCTTAAAGAACATTCGCTTATTTTTTATCCAAGAATTTTATTTTATTTAAGGATATAAAATGTTTATTAATAATGATAGTAAATAGAAGAATTAAGCCAGGTTGAGTTAATCAGTGAATTCTTCCTAGAATAGATTACTTCTTTTCCATAAGTTATTGGGGTACATGCAGTACTTGGTTACATGAGTAAGTTCTTCAGTGGTGATTTGTGAGATTTTGGTGCACCCATCACCCAAGCACTATACACCCAACCATATTTGTAGTCGTTTATCCCTTGTCCCCTTCCAACTCTTCCACCCAAGTCCCCAAAGTCCATTGTATCATTCTTAATGCCTTTGCGTCCTCATAGCTTAGCTCCCACATATCAATGAGAGCATACGATGTTTGGTTTTCCATTCCTGAGTTACTTCACTTAGAATAATAGTCTCCAATTTCATCCAGGTCACTGCAAATGCTATTAATTCTTTCCTTTTTATGGCTGAATAGTATTCCATCATATATATATATATAATTCCATCATATATATATATATATAATTCCATCATATATATATAATTCCATCATATATATATATATAATTCCATCATATATATATATAGGTATTTTATATATATAGGTATTATATATATATATATACACACACACATATATATATACACACACATATATATATACACACACCATAGTTTCTTTATCCACTCGTTGATTGATGGGCATTTGGGTTGGTTCCGTGATTTTGCAATTGTGAATTGTGCTACAATAAACATGCGTGTGCAAGTATCTTTTTTGAGCAATGACTTCTTTTCCTCTGGGTAAAGTACCCAGTAGTTGGACTGCTGGACCAAATTGTAGTTCTACTTTTAGTTCTTTAAGGAATCTCCATACTGCTTTCAGTAGTGGCTATACTAGTTTACATTCCCACCAGCAGTGTAGCAGTGTTCCCTGATCACTGCATCCGTGTCAACATCTACATTTTAAAATTTTTTGGTTATGACCATTCTTGCAGGAATATCACATTGTGGTTTTGATTTGCATTTCTCTGATCATTAGTGATGTTGAGCATTTTTTTCATATGTTTTTTGGCCATTTGTATATCTTCTTTTGAGAATTGTTTATTCATGTTCTTAGCCCACTTTTAGATATGATTGTTTGTTTGTTTGTTTGTTTTTGACTGATTTGTTTGAGTGTGTTGTAGATTCTGGATATTAGTCCTTTGTCAGACTGTAATTGTGAAGATTTTCTCCCACTCTGACATCCAAGAATTTTAGAACTAGAAGAAAACTTAAACATTGTGTGTCTCAGATCCTTCATTTTACAAATAAGCAAAGTAAGATCTAGAGTTGTTTAAAGACTAGCTTATACAATTGGCTTTTAGAGGGTGATATTGTTTGGCTCTGTGTCCCCACCGAAATCTCATGTTGAATTGTAATCCACAATGTTGGGGGAGAGACCTGGTGGGAGGTGATTGGATCATGGGGGTGGATTTCCCCCTTGCAGTTCTCTTGATAGTGAGTTCTCACAAGATCTGGTTGTTTGAAAGTGTGTAGCACTTCCCCTTCTCTTTTTCTCTCCTGCCACCATGCAAAGATGTGCCTGCTTCCCCTTTGCCTTCTGCCATGATTTTAAGTTTCCTGAGGCCTCACAGCCGTGCGTCCTGTACAGCCTGTGGAACTGTGAGTCAAGCAAACATCTTTTATTCATGAATTACCTAGTCTCAGGTGACACTTCACAGCAGTGTGAGAATGGACTAATAGCAAGGGAAACCCAAAATATAGGTGTGTTTGGTATTTCAGTCCAGCTATTTCTATATGGAAACTTTCGGACTTATCTGAAATAATTCTAGTATGGACTTAACAGTGGAGCTTGGGTATAATATTAACTGGGTATGTATTATGTATATGTGTATATATATATATATATATGTTTTTCAAATATAGTTATTTCTTTCTCACCAAATTTTCATTCATAATTATATATTCATTTGGCTTACATTATAAATGTGTCTCTATTTGCTGTGTGCACACACTGGCAGAATAGCAGTGTTGAGGTTCAAGAAAGCCCTATTTTTGGAAAGTCTGTATAAGATAAGCAATCTGTCTCAGAAAACCCAGAATTAGGAGAAAATAGATGATTCTCCCATCAAAAATGGGTTGAACTGAATAAGAATGAGAAAAAATGCATTTGTGCCTAACTAATGTCTTTGCTGTTTAAACTTGAATAAATCAATCTATAGGAAGAATTAATTTAAAAATAATGTTGCTTAGCTAAAATTAGGAAAAGAAACACTTATTATTATTAACTTGTGGTCACAACTCTCCTTTTACGCAGTGCTGACCCCATATCAGCCCCTTTGTTCTCAAGCAGTCTCAATGCTTTCTGTTGTTACACATTTTAGCCATCTGCTTTGTCTTTCATCTTATGCTCTACGACTGGGCTAATCAAAATGTCCAAACACCAGCAGCATTGATATCACCAGGAACTGGTGAATGGGGGTTCAGAATCTGAAGCCCCATTTCAGACCTATGGACCCAGAAACTGTATTTTCTTAAGCTCCACGGCATTTGCAGGAATCTTAACATTTGAGAAACACTTTTTTGAGAGAATACATGTTCTATTTTCCGCATTCATAGCCTCCTTCTTGGCTTGATAAAAGGGACTAATATTTTAACTCTGCCATACCTAAGGTTTTCAGGAGACACATAATGTCAGCTGCAGGAGAATCCCTTCAGGAAAACCAACCCAATGGTATTTTCTGATTTCCTCCCTGTGCTTCACCCCTTGGGTCCCTCCAGCAAGCCCAGAGCACAACACTTCCTGTGAGTTATAGGCACATACATAGTGTAGCATTGAATTTTTATTTCCTTCAGTCCTCTTCCTGCTTTCTATTTGTTGCATAAGAAAAGGTTGAAAGTGGCTGCAATACACTCTGCTTTCTTTTTAAATTATAAAAATATTTGCCACTTTTTGCCTTTATTGATATGGTAATTCCTTATATCACCATTAAATTCATCTGGAGGTCATCACCTTTATGTATGAAGCCAAGTGTAATAGCTTTCAGAGAGGCTGAGTAGGGACATTACTAGCGTGGACCAATGGAGAAGAAAACCTCATTAGAAAAAAAGTTATCTTTTCCTTTAATCCTCATCCCTGAGCCTTTAAAGTGGTCAGTCTCTATTCCGTTGTGTTATCACAGAAGCATCCGTTAGTGTATTTCAAATCTCAGATAGAAAATGCCCACCTTTCACTGTAGTCACAGGATAGTGTTCTCCCTATTGCCATAAAATCTATTGATTGTAATCTGTCAGTACTAACAAATAGAAAGTGGTGATGGTTATCACAAGAAGCACGATATCGCCTAAGAATCTTAACTCACTTTAGAAAATGGACTATTAGTAGAAGCTTATTTAAAAGAAAAAAAAAAGCTATCCTAGCACTGCTATAATGTAATTCCTGTCATCTGTCACCCTTCCCTGTAAGCTTTTTTAGGTGAGGGATGATCCGTCTTGTGAGGCCCACCACGTATTGAGTGTATGACCCACAGCAAATTATTTTCTAAATGTTCTGTTTTAAGATTTCTCTTATTTGGACAAAACAGCTTAATAAGCTTCCTCTCAATTTTTAATGCACATGTATTTTAGAAATTATTGGATATATATATAATTAAAGATATCCAATGCAAATGTAAATTAAGTACTGTAATTAAATTACAATTTTACTTAATAAGTCCTCCTTGCACTAAATCAGATTGTTTACTCTAATTTTTAAATTCTCTGCTTGTGATGCTGGTAATACACATTTTGGCACTTCAGATAATTTTACTCTGTGAAAATATTTTCTGCTTTTTGTTGAAATTTAGGCTGAAAAGGTGCTGATGATTTAATTACATGCTTTACTTTTTGAGTAGAGTTAAAAACCAAGTTGCTTTTAATTCAATCAATCCTAAGCCATTCCTTCACGTTAGATTGTCTTTTTGGAAAAAATAATAGAATGATTATAACCAAGGCGCTTCCTGCCTTTTCATATCCTTGACATATGATAAGGTTTTATAAATCTTTCTGTCTTCATGATATGCTATGCAATTAGCAGCTTTCTTTAGGGGATTATTCAAATACGTGGATATAGTTCATGTACAAAGTTATCTCACCAGTAGAGAAAGATTGCGAAATACTTTTTATCTTCACTAGTGACTGCGTATCTCTAAGTCAACCGAGGAGAGAGTGCTTCAGTTCTAGTTAGACAGAATCATCTTAGTGCATTTTTCCTTTTAAGTCATTAGCATTTTAGTAGCAGCAGAAATATATTTATGAAAATAGCTATAAGCTCCTCTGATAGATTATAAGTGCTTCATGTACAATGGCAATGCCTTTTCTTTGTTTATTTATTTAAAATTTGAATGTCACATATAAAAAATCCAACACAAATAAGAGAATTCACAAGCATTTGATTCAATAATTGATGACTAGTCAAGTTCTTATGGTGGAACCAAAAGAAATAACTACAGAAGAGAAAAACTGAATTATCTCTAAAGAGAATATATCAAAATTAACATAACTTCAAATGTGTGTCTGCTTCATAGTGGCCTGAAATAACTGATTAATTTTCATAAGTTGATGATACTGCCTTTGTGTTTGCTTATATATTTATATTTTTATAACAGCAGCAAGCAAATCCATTGGTTAGCAACTATATTTAGCATGGTGTATGACCAGTATGAAAAATATAAACTTAATTAGCTTGCTACTTTACAAAAAAAATTGCTACACATTTTTCTGTGATAGATATATTTGTAATTGAAAAAAGTTTACATTTTCTATCTCATTAGCAAGCAACACAAATGTATGTATACGTTTTCTTTTTTCTTTTCTTTTCTTTTTTTTTTTTGAAACAGAGTCTTGCTGTCGCCCAGGCTGGAGTGCAGTGGCGCGATCTCGGCTGACTGCAAGCTCCGCCTCCCAGGTTCACACCATTCTCCTGCCTCAGCCTCCCGAGTAGCTGGGACTACAGGCGCCTGCCACCACGCCCGGCTAATTTTTTGTATTTTTAGTAGAGACGAGGTTTCACCATGTTAGCCAGGATGGTCTCGATCTCCTGACCTCGTGATCCACCTGCCGCGGCCTCCTGGGATTATGAGTGTGAGCCACCGTGCCCAGCAGCATATGTTTTCTATATGTATACAAATATATATTTTTATTAAAATATATATGTATAGATTCATTCATTTATTTGTTAATTCACTCAGGTTATCCACTCACCAGTTATAATCCATGCTAAAAATAAGCCTTTTGATCTTCACATTTGAATCACTTGAAAAGTTCAAAGAACTTGGATTCCAAGTCTAGAAATACTAATTTAATTAGTCTAGGAGTTATCATGGACATTGGATTTTTAAAACCTCCCAAATGATTCTGATTTGCAGATAGACTTGAAAACTACTTTTTTATAACACTACTTCTTTAAACAAAGTTCCATATTACAGCTAGGAACAGAAACTATATTAAATAGTTTCAGTGGTATCACCACATAGATAGACATTGAACTTACGGGTATCCCAAATTAAAAAGTCATGTAAGTGCATACTTTATTCATTTGAAGATCCCAAAGCACAAGGAAATGTAATTGTAGTCCTCATGGAATTTGAGATTTAATTGAAATGCAAAACATGAAAGAGGTTGTCTTAAAAAATATGTGTGCGGTCACTTATTTTATGAATCAAATACTCTCAGTTTTCTTGACACTGCTTGCTCTTAGTCATACACTTAAGTGGATGTTGGTGAGATGTAAAGGTTTACTAGACCAACACATTCTCTACAAGCTAGCTTTCTAAAGAAAGAGCTGACCTCTTGCAGAGCAGTTTGAACAACAAAACCTACTCTAAGGACACTGATTAAGTGCTCAAGCCCATCAAACTACGGAGAATGCTGAGGTGGCAGGTCAGGACTGAAAGTCCCTGGTAGCACAGGACCTACAGCTGTAGATGCAAGTCTTTGAATGCAGCCCTAGATCACAGCCAGCACAGGAATGGTTTGCTCCAAGGCCTGAGTGGTGAAGTGATGGTGAAGGTCTTGAGGCCAAGGTTCTAGACAAGTTATAGAGGTAAAATTATGCAACTTAGATTCCAGCCCCTGATCATGCCAGAAGAGAAGTTGACTGAAGCCCAAACATGCAGACTAAAGACGTCACATTCCAGGGATTGAGCTCTCTATTTTGGCATCTTTTAGCTAGATTTTGGTGCCTGAACCTAGGCTAAGGATACAACAGTGAATAAGCTATGTGCTCAACTTTCGCTGTTTATAGTTTAATAAATGTGTGTGTGTGTGTGTGTGTGTGTGTGAATTTAAAAAAAAATCCTCCAGCACAACCAGCTTTTGTTTGATTGTTTGCTTTAGACTTTTCCAGGGAGTCAGAAAACCCAGAATTAAGATATACATTTACAATATATCTCACAGGCCATTAATAAAAGCTTTTAGGTATTCCACTTCCTCCTCTGTTAGTTAAATGTTAGCAAGATGATTAATAAAGTTTGTCTGTCCTTTAAGATTAATGATTTTACCCAGCATTTTTTCCTGGATGTGATATTGTCAGCCTGTGCTGCCTGAAACAGAGTTCATTTGGCTGATTGGCCTGACTAGGGGAGCAGATCTTTCTTTGACCACAGTTCTTCTATACCTCTTTTTTTAATCTTCAAGTACAGTGAAGAATCAGGGGGGCATTCAGAACAAGAATGCATGATGGGAATATGAGAAGGCAGGTTTTGTCACTGGCTCCGAATGCCATTCTTTTCTATTCTTGAAGAGGTGACAAACCAGATTGAAAGTGGAGCTCCCACCCAAAGGCCTGGCTCCTTGCAGAGACAGGAATTACAATAAAATGACACTAGAGCAAATTGAGTATCTTTGTGAACCCTTTCATTTTCTTCTTACTGCTTAGATATCACAAAATAAACAGTTGGAACAAGTTTATTTTATCTTCAAGTAACAGTTGGGAGTATTTAATAATCAATACATTTTACAAAAAAATAAAATAAGAACCTATGACAAACTGGTGATTTTATATTGTAGACTAAGTTCAGCCTTCTTCCTTGGACATTCATTCACTAAATTTAATGTATATGCTTAAGAATTAATATCAGGAGATAATGCTTTATTTTGCTTAAGATTATGGCCTTTATGAAACATAAAACTACATTTGCATCTTTGATCTTGCATTAATTAGCTGGGTTATTTTTAAGCAGATGACTTTATGTCATAAACTTTAATTTTCCATTTATAAAATCTAGTTAACATTTTTTTGTAGAATACTTTGGATAGCAAATAAAATATTGCATTTGATAAACCAGGTGGTTTTGCCAAAGCCAGACATTTAGTGAATTATCAATAATTGAAATTATGTAATATGATTTTCTATTTATCATATATATGTATGCTACTGCTTTATATATAGGTAGAAGAAAATAAATGTAAATTAATAAGATAAAGGAGGTACTTGCTAAGATGTAGCCATGTGTTTTTTTCATTTTTCTACTGATTTGTAGCTGAAATCTCATAAGATGAATGAATCTTAATAGGCAGAGCAAAGGGGATGAGGGTGGGAGGCGCCATTGCTGCAGAAGGAGTTATCTTTAATATTGCTCAGGAAGATCCTTTGTCATTTGCTTGAAAGTCACAAACTGAAGGCTAGTTTTCAAGAGGAAAATGTAATTGTAAAATATGACACAAATTTGGTGAGAAAGATTTGTCATATCTAGTGGAAGAGCAGGTTAACAATTGCTAGATGTTTTTCTCCTCATCCAAACCATCAGCCTTGGTAAAGAAGCCAAAAGTTTCAAAAAGGAAAGTTTCAACATGCAGTAGCTTTAAAAAATGCAAATTAAAGCCACTTAACTCTTCCTAAGGGAGTAGAATGAAGAAAAGGAGCACTGGCAGAGGAGTGTGTCAGGTCAAGCATCAGTTGTTACCAAGTGTGACATATGCTTGAGTGCAGGTCACAAGTGCTGGAGAAGAGGGGAGGAAGGTAGCTGGGCCAGACAAGATTGTCAGCGCTGGGGAACCTTAATGGATCCCTTAGGAGCATACCCACCATTTCATCATGCAAGGCTCAGTAATTGCCCTGACTTCCTAAACGGATCCTTAAAGATAGTCAGATTGTAGTGTGGATGTGGTTTTAATCTATACATTTTAACTTTTGTCCCTATTCAGTTGCTGGGACCACAGGACACAAGGTCAGGATGCTATATCCCTCCTATTACCTAACACACCCCACTCTCCAAACTCCTTTTACCCGTGAATTAAATTTTCCAGATAAGGGCAGGATTTCAGGAGCCCAGACAAAATGTGAGAGGTTCAAGGTTCCATGTGAGGCGCTTAAATGAGTGATCTGAAATAATGACTGGGAAACCTGTAAATCAGATAAACATGGGGAACAAAATTAGGCACATCACAGAGTCCTCCACAACAGGGTTCATTTACTCATAAAGCTGGGGCTGTCATTACACAATCTGAGGACATCAAAGATTGAAAACTGCCCAAAAGACTTCTATTTTTTTTCTTTAAACTGGTATGAGTTTGAGACTAACTTGAGTGAGCCCATTCTGACCTCCTTAAGGGTACTTCTGCCTGTGCTTATCTTCCTGTGCCTTTAGTCATTTCTACTCTCAGTTTTTGCCCACTATGTACTACAGTGTCAATTCACCAAATATTTATCAAGTGATTGTTATGCACAAGGCATAGAAATTGTCTTGTTCACGTATCCTTGCTAGTGCTACATTATTATTTTCTTTTTTAGAACTAGAAGGGAAATAGAAGACCATAGAGTCTCACTTTTCAACTTACTTTCACATAAGTGCTTCTTATAGGAAAATATAGGCAAAAATCCAGAAAGCCTTGAAAAGAAAATAACATTATTCTTTTATTCATTCTGTTATTCCTTGCAAAAAGCTACTCTAAACTTAATTGTACCCTAAATACCTGCAATGTACAGTTGTAGGAACACAAAAGTTATGGAAACACTCACATTAAATCTTAGTAAGCCAGAGAGTCCTAATATGAATTAAGGTTCAGAATCTGCAAATGGCTTGTCCAAGTTCTATTGATTACACTTAATTTTATTTTCATGGCATTTCTGACTGAACTGGCTTAATTAAGCCCTTAAAGTTCATTGGGCATTTCATTTGGCCACATTTTGGAAATCTATTTATTACACAGATAATCTTCTGGACTTCTCCCTGAAACCTTTCCTTGTTTTTTTTGTATGATTATGGGCAAAATTGTTGTTTTTTGTTTTGTTTTGTTTTGCTTTTCACTAAGAAGCCTGGAATCATCAAAAATTCTTAGTTTTTATCACTGAAATCAAACCTAGTCAGAAAAGATTTCGCAGTGCATGCTGGTTATATAGACACAGGACAATTGTAAATTAGTATTTGACTAAGAAATGGTCTATATGTCATTGGGGTATTATGTCTGAGTAATAGAAGTAAATGTACCTTGAAGCTAATTTGAATCCTCCCTCACCCCTGCCATCACTCCAGAGACAATCAGAAATGGCTCTTAGCAAAATAAAACTGCTTTGGAGCCTAAGAATAACTAGAGAAAGGGGTGACTGCTGAAGACTAATGATTTATATACACAGTAAAATTACCTACCTGGAGCAATTAAGATAGAAATGGAAAATGGAACATAGCTGTTATCATTACTTTATTATTGTACATTTATACATTTATACTTTTCAACCTGAGCATGAGTGCATAAAACCAAATCTGCTGAACAAAATGCATACCCTTTCTACCACTAAGGGTGAAGAAAATGAGCTTTTTTTACCCAGATAAATACCTATGTTTCTGAAGCTCTGAACATAGAACAATTTATATCTCAACCTCTCTAACAGGGTAGGGTATAGATTGTAAGTCATAAGTCATGCCATCAACATTTTTAGCATCTTTTTTTTTTTTTTTTTTTTTTTTTTGAGACGGAGTCTCGCTCTGTCGCCCAGGCCTGACTGCGGACTGCAGTGGCGCAATCTCGGCTCACTGCAAGCTCCGCTTCCCGGGTTCACGCCATTCTCCTGCCTCAGCCTCCCGAGTAGCTGGGACTACAGGCGCCCGCCACCGCGCCCGGCTAATTTTTTGTATTTTTAGTAGAGACGGGGTTTCACCTTGTTAGCCAGGATGGTCTCGATCTCCTGACCTCATGATCCACCCGCCTCGGCCTCCCAAAGTGCTGGGATTACAGGCGTGAGCCACCGCGCCCGGCCGCATCTTTTATAATCTAGCCCATTTGAAATTATGTAGATGGATGATATAATTGGTTGCTTGGATTTTCTCAAAAGTCTTTAAGCCTTGTTAAAGGCCATCTATTTATATGTTAATGAAACTAGACTGTGAATTGATAGTTGACAATGTAAGCAAGTGTCTACAGATCCCATGAATGTGCAGAAAGAATAAAAATCTTTGGAATAAAATATATACAACAGATGTAGGATTAGAATCAAGACTTATTTTTTTCATGCTTTTTTGTAACAAGGTTGGAGATTATAAAGCTCCTCTTTCAAGTACATTTAAGATGGTTAGAACAACTCTTGCATCTTTAAGAATCACAAGAGAGAAAGGTACATGTCACAGTTACTCATAAATATCATGTCAATTAATTGATAGATTCCGAAATATATATAACTGCTCAGGTAGAAAAAAAAATTATGAGGACCATCATTGAATGGAAGTAGCAGAAAGTTAGCAAAGAGGATAACTGGGAGTCTTAGACTGACTCCAAACTTCCTTTGTAACCTAACAACTCTGTGCCACAGGTCCTCCAAATGTAATTTGGAAAAGATAAATACATGTTATCTTACTAATTGTATGTAATTATTTGACAAAAATACGTTGCCTATGGATGAAAAGCCTGCAAATATCTGTTATTGTGAGATTTTAAACTTTTTTGTTTTTCTACTCTTACATATTTCTGATAGAAATAGGGTTTCATAAGAGGAAAAACTAGTCAATTACATTATTGCTTCCAGTTTACTGTCAGAGGGAAATCCATAGCTGATGATATTTAGACAGCAACTTTTATTTTCTATATTTCTTTATTTTCTAATTTCTGAAGTGAATGTGAAATATTGTATATTTTGAAGGAAAGTTGCTTTATCTCTTTTAATACCTTGTTGTCTTATAAGAATAAACAGTTACTTTATTTTGTCCTATTTTATTTTACCTTTTTGCTTGGGGTAAATTGAATATACACTTTATTCTGAGAAGAAAATGTATTTACTTAGACTTACATTTTAAATTTGTCAAGCAATCCCCCAGTTTTATCAAAGAACCACTAGGGGATGTTAAAATAACATAACATTTCTAAATTCACATGACTCTTGAAAGAAAATGTAGGCTTTGGAAATTATTTCTATGAAATATCTGTATACACAGATATTAATCTTTTATATATTTTATGGTAAAGATTTATATGTGCATGCACACACAAATGATTTCAATTTTCAAGATTTTTTATGTTTAAAATTGGACATAAGTTACTGTTTGTCTGCTCGCTCTGTGAGTTTACTTCATTAGGATAACTATTTTGACATTTACAACTCCAGGATGCAAAATAACCATAAGTATATAAGTCTGTTTTCCAAGAAGATAAATAAAATTTTACACTAAGATTTTATATGGCTGTTGAATTGACCTATAACAACATGGCCTTTTGAATTAGATTCTACTCTTCTTCTTTTTTTAAATCAAGTTATGAATAGGACTTTATCAGATTCCACTCTTTTCATACCCACTAGGACCTGCCACTCTGACATTCTTTTGGTTTCTTGAGCATTTGCATTTATTTATTTATCTCCCTGGAGTCCCTTTCCCCCAAGATTTTCACATGATTTACTCCTTCACTGTTCATACAAATGTCCTCACCTCAGTTTGCCCTTTCCTGATTATAACATGTAATATTATCCTACTTCTCCTCAATCGCTCTGTAACATAATTCTGTTTGATTTTATTCATAGAGATTATCACAATCTGAAAAATAGCTTAGTTATCTCTATAGGTACCAATAAACTGTTGCTAAATCACTGATTGTTGGCTATTCTGTGAATTTTTAAGTCACCTTAGAAATAAGAATAGTGAGTAAAGCAGGATGCTGCACTTATTCACCCATCCATCTTTTGCTTGTTTTGTCCTGTCTCCTTCACTGGATTTTGAAATTTGTGGGAATAGCAACTTTGGCTTGTCTTATTCAGACAGGTCATATATCCTCAGAAGGACATAGGAACTTTACAAAATGGGGAAACTTAATATAGATTAATTCTTCAAATATTAATATGCTTATCTGTTAAATTGTTATAGTAGTAGAACTACCTCATAAAGGTGTTATAAAACTTCACTAATTAATAAGTAAATTTTATTGAATATTTATTACATCAAAAACATTGCGGTGGGGCTATAGAACTGAACAGGACACAAACTTTGTCCTCAAAAACTGTGTAGTGTAGCAAAATAATACAAGTAATGTACCCAGGATAGTCAGACATTTAATCAGTAACAGTATATGCTACTTTCCTTTTCCTCCTTCAGATGTGACTCCGTTAACCCACACTATCTGTGGGGCTGTAAAGAAAAACATAATTAATAAGTTGGTTGATGGCTCTCATTTATTCAGATTCACTCAAGTTTGGTATTTAGTGTAGGCTTAAGCAGTCTTCCTGCATGATGAAGGCCTAAAATATAGTAGCCCAGAAGAAATGTGACCGGTCTCATGGAATCTGGGAGTACAGTGAATGATAGTTAGGTTTTCATATATGTGATTACACTCCTGAGGCTATTTGATTATTTTTACCTAATAAATTCCTTAATAAAACATATAATATAGACCTAGGTAAGAAATAATGTAAGCTGGGAGAAGAGCAGTATGGATGAAGGCAAAATAAAGAATTGCTTTGAGATATATTTAGAGGTAGGAGAAAGGGAACTTGGTGACTATTGCAGTATGATGAGATAAAGGAAAGAGATGAATCAAGAGAAAAACTTTTATTTCAGATTTTGGTACAAAAGTGGTTAGTAATATCATTCACTCTAAGGTGGAAACAGGATAAAGAGAAGTTCACAGTGGGAGAAATGATGAGCTCACTCACTTGGAGGAAGCTGTATGGGGTAAAATGAAAAGGGGCACAAGTAATATCTTGGTTTACACCAGCAGTTAAGGAATGTCTAATATAAGAGTAACCACTGCCCTCGAAATAAAGGAAGGAAGGAAGGAGGGAAGGAGGGAGGGAGGGAGGAAAGAAAGAGAGAGAGAAAGAAAAAGAAAGAAAGAAAGAGAAAGAAAGAAAAAAGAAAAAGAAAAAGAAAGAAAGAAAGAAAAGAAAGAAAAAGAAAGAAAGGAGGGAGGGAGGGAAGAAAGAGAGAGAAAGAAAAGAAAGAAAGAACGAAAAAGAAAGAAAGAAAGAAAGAAAGGAGGGAGGAAAGAAAGAGAAAGAAAGAAAGAGAAGAAAGAAAGACGGAAAGAAAGAAAGGAAGAAAGGAAGAAAGAAAGAAAGAAAGTGAAGAAAGAAAGAGAAGAAAGAAAGACGGAAAGAAAGAAAGGAAGAAAGAAAGGAAGAAAGAAAGAAAGGAAGAAAGAAAGAAAGAAAGAAAGAAAGAAAGAAAGAAAGAGAAAGAAAGAATTGAGAGAATTGGAAGGCAAATAAGAGAGTGATGCTTGAAAGCCAAGGGAGGAGAAAATTTCAAGACAGCTTGAGTGTTCCCAGCATAACTCAACACTGATAAGTTGTTAGAAGTGAGCTAGATACTGAAACTGCGAATAATAAAGTCCCCAGTAAATTTACAATATTCAATTTAATAGCCACTTGCCTACACCGATAATTCAACTTACATCTTACTGCCACTGAGGTTTTTAAAAGGTGGCTAAAGGTTTTTGAGCAAACCCAACTGACTAATTGCATTATCTTTCCACATATCTAAATGGCTTGAGTATTCTGTGAATATGAGACCACAGGCCATATTGTAGAGAGAAAAGGAATGAAAATCAATGGGAGAAACAGAGACTAGAAGGAGATAGAGGAGCCTTTCAGAAATTCATCCAGAGCAGATAAATGAAGAGGTAGGGGTCCCTACTACTTCTCCTTCTCCTTTTCCTCTTTCTTCTTTTGTTATTGTAGAATTCCCTAGTTTATTAATTTAGAATCTTAAAAATCTAAAAAGTCAATGGTTTCCTAATACTTCAGCTTTGACTAATAATCATTAATATTTACATATTTATGAAGTATTTTTCTCTATAATATGGCTCTGTGCTATTTTTTCTTATTTAATTATTTTCAAAACCCAATAAGTTACTTTTTTTTTTTTTTTCAGATGGAGCCTTGCTCTGTTGCCCAGGCTGGAGTGCAGTGGTGTGATCTCGGCTCACTGCAAGCTCTGCTTCCCGGGTTCATGCCATTCTCCTGCCTCAGCCTCCCGAGTAGCTGGGACTACAGGCGCCCGCCACCACGCCTGGCTGATTTTTTTGTATGTTTTTAGTAGAGACGGGGTTTCACCATGCTAGCCAGGATGGTCTCGATCTCCTTATCTTGTGATCCACCTGCCTCGGCCTCCCAAGAGCTGGGATTACAGGCGGAGCCACCGCGCCCGGCCATAAGTTACCATTATTATGCTCATTTTACAGGTAAGAAAACTAGGCCTTACAAAATATTGGCTAGAATCATATTGTTAATGCAAGATGGAACTAGAAATCAAATCCGTAACTCCATAATTCCAGATTTGTTTTTAAGCCATTGGTCTATACTGAATTTCATAGATAAGTATTTATCATCTTTGATATAAAAAATTTTAACTGTTATTTTTCCCTCCCCATTTTTATTGAGGGCTTTATGTAATTAAAGATTCTTTAAGATTTAGCAAGTTACATATTTAACATTGAGTAAAATTGTCTATTTTTTAGAACATGTATACACCATACAATGAAAGTTGTGGTATTTCTCCATCTCTTGAAATTATAACTTCTAATTTTTAAAAAGATTGTAATGTTTATTATTTATATTTTGACTATATGAGAATATTAGAAAAATGCAGATAGGCAAAGCTAAAGAAGAAAACAATGTTATATTTTGACAAAAATAAAAAGGAAAAAAGGAAAGAATGTTACTTAGACAAAACAATAAAACTATGCATATAACAAAATAGTGTTGTAAAGAATTGGTAATAAACGTCACTTAATTGTATAAAAATATTGCAAAGGTAATAATCCACATTAATGGTGGTGGGAAAATTAACAAAATGGAAAAGAAATGCTGCCTAAAGACCGAGCCATTGCATTTGCGGAGAAATTATGACAGTGAGGCAAAACAAACAAACAAACAAAAAAAAACTAATCGTTTTCAAATTTGTTCGTTTCTGAGTTCTGTTGGCAGAAGATGTGGCGGGATTAGAATGAGGACAGGATTAAGTTCAGGACACTGGCAACTTCTTCATGGCTTTTGGTTCATACCTTAAGCCCTCATACAAAATATGGTGGTTAATGAACCTAAGACCTATTATAAAAAAAGTGATCTAGGGTGACTAATGAATTAAGATGTCTTGTATGATGTTGGTCAGGGACCATGGAGGCTGGGGATTGTACTAATTTGTCCATTTGTTGTGTTATTGAAGAAAAAAATATTATAAATATATGCATTAAAGTAATGTCTTAAATTTAGTTATTTTCAAAAGATCATAGTGGCCCTTTTATTCAATTAAAGTGAGATTCAGTGGTTATCATTGAGGGTAAATTATTAGAAGCCATATGGAAATTTTAAAAGGTGTAGTTTTTTGCCTTATTATGAAAAAATTTATTTACAGTTTAATTTTTCTTTTCTTTTTCTTTTTCTTTCTTGAGATGGAGTCTCACTCTGTCACCCATGCTGGAGTGCTGTGGCATGTTCTCAACTCACTGCAACCTCTGCCTCCCAGGTTCAAGTGATTCTTGTGCCTCAGCCTTCCAAGTAGAGGGGATTATAGATGCATGCCACCACAAAGTTTGGTATTTTCAGTAGAGATGGGATTTCACCATTTTGACCAGGCTAGTCTCAAACTCATGACCTCAAGTGATCTTCCTGCCTTGGCCTCCCGAAGTGCTGGGATTACAGGTGTGAGACACTGTAACTGGCCTATTTATTTTATAGTTTAATATTTTTAATTTTTTCTTTGATTACCTATTGGAAGTCTAAAATAATCTTTCTTCAGTTACTTTAATAAAATTTCCTTTAGAAAATGTTTCTTTTATGCCTTTCATCATAAGGTATTTGTCATAAAGAAGACCATCGATGAGATTTTAAAGAAATTTTTTAAGGAAATCTTAAATTGGAATAAATTTTCTGCTTTTTCTCTTGCAATTATTAGTGAGAGGGCAGATGCAAAACATAAGAAAGAATATATTTATTATTCTCTAAACCTTTTTAATTCAATTGCACTTTAGTGCTTCCAATCTAATATCAAAATCAAGTACTTCCTTAAAAAGTGATTTCTGAGATTCCATATCTTGATTTATTTTATTTAAATACATTTATTCAGGAGGAGGTTAAAAA
Organism: Homo sapiens; assembly: GCF_000001405.40. Classification (NCBI taxonomy): domain Eukaryota; kingdom Metazoa; phylum Chordata; class Mammalia; order Primates; family Hominidae; genus Homo; species Homo sapiens. Next base: position 106,386,210 of record NC_000001.11, on the reverse strand, counting down.
GATACTTTTGTATTTGATTATTTGAGCTCATTTTGTAAATAACAATATCACCAACTTTGCAGAATTGTTGTTATTACTGTCATATCTGTACAAAGTACTTAGCACAGTGCCAGACCCCTTATGTGTATCAAACACATGTTAATTGTTAATTACTTTATTATTATTATCATTTTTCTAAAAGGTACACAGTCCACTTTTCCACCCTCACTCTTTTGAAGTGTGTTATAATATACTAATATGTCCTTACTATATCTTGTGGTGTATTACACTATAGCATTACTATAACTAGTAGCTGCCTTCAGGAAAACACTACAGTAGAGTGAATTCACATAGACATAAGCTTTCTCTGATTTAGATCCATAAACAACTCAGATCATTTATTTAGTGCTTTTCTATGTTCCCAATTCCTTATTCTATAAATTTTAATGAAATCGCGTTAGAGAGTTTTGCTTCATGAAGTCAAAAGACTTTCTAAAGTAATTATTGCAATAAATTACAAATAAAAGATACCAAAAATAATAAAGAAATTGAACAAAATGATTACTTGGTGATGAAAATGTTGTGGAAGATGAGCACATCTTGATAAAATATGACAATAATGAAGGTAAAAAGGATTCTACAAAGACTTCATAGTTAAAAGTGACCCATTTGGACACTTGGATAAACTGAAAGAGCTAATATTACTTCCAAAGTGTTAATGTTTCTGGTTGTTATTATTTATTCAGTGGAGAAAGTGCTAAACAAGAAAAAAGCTATTTGTACTACTGGTAAACCAGAACTATCTTTCTCTCCACAATCTTTGAAGATATTTTTAAATGAGCTCGACTGTATTTACTATTATAAGCTAGAGTAGAAGGATAGTGTGATGAAATACAGCCCCTCTATAAAACCATGCCCCAAGCACTGTTGCTCTCAACCAAATGTCTACAGCTACAGCCTTAAAGTATCAGGCTTATCTATTACTTGATTACACATTTACAACATATTAACCTCATAAAGCTCAGGGAAATGAAATACATCTCAGCTTTCTATGGTGCAAACCTCGACACTAGCATTAAGACCTCTGAGTTTGCATTTAACGAGTCTTCTGATGTCTGAATTGGGCAGTCCAAGGTTTTTTATTTAATGAAATTTAACCAGAGTGTTTTCTTTCTTAATGGGAACACACGACATAAGTTTCACTTCTAATGGTGTTCAGGTAAATATGTATATGTGTGTTCATATAACTTGTGGTTTGGCAAGTCTGAGATTTTATTCCATTATCTTTACTTGTTTCTTTTTGAGTTGTTGTTATCATTACTAAATCTTGAGAAAAGTTTAGCTTTTGCAAATTCCTGCCAAAGTCTAGTGCCGAAGGCTATCCAGGTTTAATGTGTAATTTTATTAACTGCCAATATTAAGGAATAAGGGCTAAAGTACCAGGATTTGACATATTAGGTGCTTAGTAGCAGGTTTTTCTTAGTATCTGATAGACTTTCTATGTTTTGGTAATAAAGATGTCAATATTATTATTATTCCAAATAGCTTGGAAAATAATTAATTTCTAGGTGATATTTTAAATATATTTTTCTGGAGAAAAATAATCATTTCAACATCAATGGCACTATGAGTGAGAAATTACTGAATGTTTCAGGGAGCATTTACATTTTAACAAATGGAGTGTTAGTAATTCATGCTGCAATATCCTTGTGTACTAAATTTGTATTCTACCTGTTACGAGTTTTATTGTGCTTGTCCTCAAATTTATATGTTGAAATCTTGACCCCCACTACCTCACAATGTGATCTTTTTTGGAAATAGGGTCATTGAAGATAATAATTAGTTATAGTGAGGTCATTAGGATGGGCTCTTACTGAGTATGACAGGTATCCTTACAAAAAGGGAAAATTTGGGCACAGAAGATCACATACAGGGAGAATGCCACGAAAAATTGAAGGCAGAGACTAGGGTGATGACTCTACAAGTAAAGGAATGCTGAACATTGCCAGACAACCAGCAGAAGGTAGAGAACAGGCATGCAACAGATTTTTCCACTCAGCCCTCAGAAAGTATCAACTCTGTTTACTTTTTGATGTTGGCCTTTTAGCCTCCAGAACTTTGAGACAATACATTTCCATTGTTTAAGCTACACCATTTGTGGCTTTGAAACACCTCTACAGCACCCCTACCAAACTAACACATTACCAAACCAGTACACACTACTGAGGCATAATGAGTTATTTAAAATGAGTGTCCAAATTAGCTTGTCATTAATTTTTCCTATTGGGTTATTCTGTTTTACCAGTTTTTATATTTGTGAATACCACCACTGTTACTTGTCTCTCAGCAACTATTCTTATGCGAGAAGCAAGACTACAGTTGAGCCCAGATACTGAGCTTCAGTTTCCAGATTTGTAAAGATATTAGCATAAATGATATTTAAGCTGTCATAGTATTCTGATGTTCTCTGAATTTATAATTCTAGAAATGGCAACAGACAAAAAAAAGCTTGGGCCGGGCACGGTGGCTCACGCCTGTAATCCCAGCACTTTGGGAGGCCGAGGCGGGTGGATCACGAGGTCAGGAGATCGAGATCATCCTGGCTAACACGGTGAAACCCCATCTCTACTAAAATTAAAAAATTAGCCGGGCGTGGTGGCGGGTGCCTGCAGTCCCAGCTACTCGGGAGGCTGAGGCAGGAGAATGGCGTGAACCCGGGAGGCGGAGCTTGCAGTGAGCCGAGATCGCGCCACTGCACTCCAGCCTGGGCGACAGAGCGAGACTCCGTCTCAAAAAAACAAAAACAAAAACAAAAACAAAAACAAAAACAAAACTCAAAGAAATTGAGCTTGATGAATGACACGTGTCCAGGAAGTATCGGAAGAGGGATTCAATTTAAATCTTATTCCAGGGTTTTTCAATTTGCCACTGTACTCCTAACATGGCAAATGCTCCTAACATGTGCTCCTAACATGGTCCAAACTTTGACCAATTATATTATGACTATACCATTGTCATAATATAACTGGTATAATGAAACATGGGTATAAATTAAAGCCCGGCCAAGTGGGTTCATTATATTGATTGTCAAGAAAGTGATTGTTAACATACTTTTTAAGTTAAAAGATAGGTGTTTCCAAATATATTGTAATTGTAGGCTCCATTATAAATGTTGCTGTGTAATGGATGCCCTTGAAGGAAAAGAGTTGCTCAAGCAAAGCCAGCTGAAAATCAGCAACCTGTACTTAAGGATTACTTCTATGGTTGTAAATAGATTTTTAGAGTTTACATTTTATTTCTGTGTTTTTATAGCAATCAATAAGAAGCCATCTACAGCATTTAGGTGTTCCCATGCTGATTGTTGCCACAGCTACTGAATCACTGCTAGGAAATTCACTGTGTTAACAAGTTATATTGGCTAGCTAAACACATCACTTGAACAAAATAGAAAATAACAGTAAAGGATCAATGTAAACTAAAATTATAAATGTCTGCTTACCTGGGGAATATATGTGAGCTTAAGGAAGTTGCCTAAATTTTCTCTTAAGGTTTGAAACTCTCAATGGTATTAATATTAAATAATATGTCATAAATATACATTAACAGTAATTCCAAATTTGGTCATCGTCATATATTCTGCAGGAACTAAAACTGAATTATTGCAAAGATTACATTGAAATTTTGATTTTTTGTGTTTTTGATACTGGTGTCTAGTGGTGCTACAATCATCTTTCCACACACCCCTCTAAGTAAGTGAAAGCCTATGAAAATTTATTGTTCCATTCCCTAAGTATCAAGAAATTTGACTTTATTGGGACAAATTATATTTTATATATGACCTCTCCAAATTAAATCTGAGAATTCTGGACAAAAATGTCTCAGAGATTACAATTTTCTTGGCACTAGAATTTTAGAAAGTATTCTCTAAGATGGGTAGAATCTAAACTACAAAGGAATTTATATTTCAAACTGTTACGTTGGAACCATGTACAAGCAGTCTTATTTGGCTTTTTTTTTTTTTCCATTAAGGGCCATTGAGTAAACCTAAGTGACAGAAAAGCTGCCACTGGATTGACATTTAGTTTGGAATGGTCTTTAAAGGATGCTTCCCGGGATGAAAGTTATAGTATGATTAATCTGGAAAAAGTAAAAAATAATTGTGACACACTTTGAAAGTCTGAACAAGAACATCACAAAAGAATAGAGATACATTAGGTCATTGATTTAAAAATTATCAAGAAAATCAAAGTGACTAAGAAAAATTAAAACCTATAATATCTAAATTTTATCTAAATTAAATTAGATAAAAATCTAATAGTTCAGATGTTTGCATGCTTGTTTTGAAAAGTTCATCTGAAAAATTTCTAAAACATTGTGGTGAAAACATTAATATATTCAGAGATTTTAAAAATGAATTGGATGATATAAAGCAGACCTTTGTTTTTATGCTTATTACCAGCATATTACTTATTTGGTGTATGAGGTTCTATTGCCTGTGGAGAATAATGAAGTGGGGCAATGTAATTGCATTTTTTAAAAGGTATATAGCAGTCAGGTAGATGTAACAAATTCATGTGTTTATTCAAATACATAGAGATTCATGGCAGTTATAAAAAGTAAAATAATTAAATTATTAGAAAAAACACTATGATTAATTAATAATTTTCTGGTTCTTTTCTAGAAACATTCTCTTTTTTTTCATTTTGGGTTTGTAAAATAGAGGTAATCTGTGTAATTTAAGTATGAAATGTACTTCAGTATTTTAAAATTAAGGAAAAAATAGATCATTGAATTTATATAAAGAACAAAGGAAGGTCATTAAAATATCTCTACAAATGATTTTATGTTTTTCTGTTAATTGTGGTATTTACAAACATATTTTTATTTGAATTATCTATATTTAAATTATGAATAAAAATCCATCACTACTTAATATGTGGTCATATTAAATTATTAAGTGGCTTGCTAGTATGATTTATTTTGTAATAATCTTAACTTCCTCAGGTTATTTTGGATATCTTTGTATAGAGATTTAAGGAAAACTTGACCAAAGGAAAGTAACTATAGAAAAATGTAGAATTATAAATGTATTTTTAAGTTTAGAATATCATATAATGATATTGGGTAAATTATGTATTCCTTGGTAATTTTTAGGAGGATATATGAGCTGAATTTTGATGCGTTTTTTTAACACTGGTTATCAGGTTCTTCATTCCAAATTCATTATGGGTTTTGAATGTCTTTCAACAGACTTCAAAAAATGTTTCATCAGCAATATTAATGCTTCTTAGGATAATGTTTAATTATTAATTTTATAAGATTTCTATCTTGATTTATTTTGCTGTCTTAGTAAAATAAAAAAGAAAGTGCAATTATAACTGCAGAGAAAATGGATCCAGTAGATTAAAAAATAAACAAGCCAGGCCAGCATTGAAAATATGTTAATGTTTGGGGAAGACTGAACTGTCTCCTGAATCGGTGTTTTTTAATCAGATCCTGAAGTGAAAAACTCTTTTATTTTGGCATTTGCAAAATTATGCTATAAATTGTTATCATTAAAATTTTTTTTAACCTTTCAATCTGGCATGTAAGCTTAGAGGTCGCCACTCTATCCTAACAAGTTAGATTTGTCAGAGAAGTGAGATTGCAGGGCAAATTGCTGACCCTAAAACTGAAAAGACAAACAACGGATACAGAGAATGACAATTTACCAAATCAAAAGCTCATGGGCAGAAACCTTCACAGGATCCAGTATTGGGGTAGCAAAACATAACCTGTCATTTATGATGTGCTGGAGGCTCAGCGTGGTTGATTCTGAGTTTAAAACCAAGGGGACCAGTCACTGGGAGGCTACCCACATTTTTGTGAGTTTTATCTCTGGGGACCAGATCTAGTTTCACAGAGAGTGTCTGAGAAAAAAAAAATCCCCTCATACTTCTGGAAGGAAGAGAAAAAGGAACAATTTTAAAATACAAATCACAGCATTCTGTTTTTCTTAATAAGGCTTGCCCTCAGAAGAAACTCTTTTGTCAGAAACTGACCTTCTGTGGTTTTATCAGAGCCAACCAAGTAGGGAAAGAGAAATATCCAACTGTAACGCCCTATAGCCATCCTCTCTCACCTAAGGGAGGTGTAGGGACTGAGAAGCACTGGTGAAGTCCACAGCCCAGGTCACAGGCTCACCAAAAGAAAGACTGAGACATAATCACAGGACTACAGAGGCTTCTCTCCACCCACGCCTTACCACTACTTTAAAAGGCCAATTTAGTGAAGTTCCTTTTACCAAGTACATCATGATCACCTTTTAATAAGAAATTACAAGGCATTCAACAGGCAAAAAACACAGTTTGAAGATACTGAACAAGCATTAGAGCCAAACATGGCAGAGATGTTGGAATTATTAGATGGGGCATTTAAACACCTATAACTAATACGCTAAGGGCTTTCATGGGAAAAGTAGACAACATGCAATAAAAGATAGATAAAGTACGCAAAGAGATGGAAATTCTAAGAGTGACTTAAAATAAAATGCTAGAGATCAAAAACACTGTGACCAAAATGAAGAATCAATTTGATTCTTTGATTAGTAGGTAAGACACAACTGAGAAAGAAAATCTCTACGCTTGAGAATATGGCAAACAGAAACTGCCAAAACTGAAAAAGCAAAGAGAAACAACAACAACAAAATGAGCAGAATATACAAGAACTATGGGACAACCAAAAAGTTGTAACATGTGGATAATGGGAATACAAGAAAAAGCAGAAGGAGAGAAAGGAACAGCAGAAATGTTTAAAGCAATAATAACTATTTCCCACAAATTAATGCCTGACATTAAACAAAAGATCCAGGAAGCTCAGAGAATATACAGTAGGGTAAATGCCAAGAAAACTACCCATAGGCATATCATATTTAAACTGCAAAATATTAAAGATAAAAACAAATTACTGAAAGATGCCAGAGGAAAAAACAATAGAGAAGTAAAAGATAAATTGCACATCTGACTTATTTTCAGAAATCATACAAGCAACAAGAGGGTGGAGTGAAATATTTAAAGTATTGAAAGAAAAATAAAATGCTAACCTGGGATTCTGTGCCCTGAATAATTATCATTCAAAAATGGGATAGAAATAGACTTTCTCAGACAACAACTGAGAGAATTTATTCTAGTACACCTGTCTCCAAGAAATGTTAAAATAGGTCTTTCATAAAGACGAAAAATAATAATATAGGTCAAAATAGACTTACAAAAAGTGAAAACCATCAGATAAAGAATAAGAGAAAGTAAAATAAAAATTTAATTTTTCTTATTCTTATTGTTCTGCAAGATAGCATTTTGTTCCAAATAATAATAGCAACAATGTACTTGATTATGTATGCTTCGTATGTGTTTATATATACATATATAAAATTATATATGTGTATGTGTAAGTGAAGTAAATGATGTCAGTAATAAAAAGGACAGATGAGAAAAATTAGAAATATTTTGTTAGTATAAGGTATTTGTTATATCCATAAAGTGATATAATGTTATTGGGAAGTGGACATGCATTAGATAACCACTCAAAACATAAAAAGAAAAAGAAAAGAATTAATATCTTAAGAAAGGAGAGAAAATGGAATTATATAAAATATACCATTAAAACAACAAAAGGCAGAAAAAGTGTGGAAGCCAAAATTAGGAACAAAGAACAAGGACAACAAATGTAAAAGAATAACATATGGTAGATACTAATCTACAACAATAATTGCTTTTGATGTTGTTGGCCCAAATACAACTGCTAAAAGACAGAGATTATCAGACTGAATCAAAACCAAAACCTAATAATATGTTGTTTACAAGGCATCTATTTTAAATATAATGCCATTTATAGATGAAAAACAATGGAATGGAAAAAGATATACATGCTAACACTAACCAAAAGAAAGCAGGATTAGCTATATTAATTTCAGGCAGGCTGTACTTCAGAACAAGGAAAGTTATCAGGGATAAAGAACACAGTACATAATGATACATAGATCAACACTCTAGAAGATATATCAGTCTTTAATGTGTATGCAACTAACAACAGAACATCAAGATATATGAAGCAAAGAATGATTGAAATAAATGCAAGGAGAAATAGATGAATTCACTATTATAGCTGCAGATTTCAACATCCCTTTATCAGAAATAGACAGCTTCATCAGACAGATAATCAGTAAAGACGCAATTGAACCTAGCAGCACCAGTCATAAACTGGATATAGTTGACAACTATAAGCTATTTTATCCAAAAACAGCATATTGTACATTTTTTTCAAGCTGAAGGTAAGATTTACAAACATAGACTACACTCAGGGCCATAAAACATATCTTAACAAATTTAAAATAATTGAAATCACAAAATATCAGTTCTTAGTCCACAATAGAATAAAACTAGAAATCAATAACAGAAAAATAGCTAGAAAATTCCAAAATACTTTGAGAGTAAACAAAATATTTGTAAATAATACATGGGTCAAAGAAGACATCTCAAGTAAAATTTAAAAATATTTTGAGCTAAATTAAAATGGAAATACAATTTTTCAGTTTGTGGGATGTAGCAAAGGAAGTGCTTAGAGGGACTTATAGCATTGAATGCATATACTGGAAAAAAGAAAAATCAAAAATTAATAAACTAAGCTTCTACCTTAAGATACTAGGTAAAGAAGATCAAATGAAATCCAAAGTAAGCAGAAGAAAATAAGTAATAAAGATTACAGCAGAAATTAACAAAATAGAAATCAGTACAGAAAATAACAAAGCTAAGAAGTGGTTCTTAGGAAAGGTCAATAAAACAGATAACCTCTAGCCAGGCTAACTAAGAAAAAATAAAGAAGATATAAATTACTAATATCAAATTAAAAAGGGGTCATCATTACCGATTCCATGGACATTCAAAGTATAATAAAGGAATATAATGAACAAGTCTATGACTACACATTTGATATCCTAAATAAGATTGGCCAAAACTCACAAGAAGAAATAGACAATCTGAATAGAATAGACATATAGCTATTAAAGAAATTGTATCAACAATGTTCCAAAATAGAAAAAAAACTAGCTTAGAGGTGTTCACTGGTGAATTTGACACAACATTTAAGGAAAAAATTATGCCAATTCTCCATAATCTCTTTCAGACAATAGAAGTAGAGAGAATACTTTCTAACACATTATAAGAGGCCAATATTACCTTAATACACCACCAGACAAAGTCATTACCAGAAAAGACAACTACAGACCAGTATTGCTCATGAGCTTAGATTTAAAAATCCCCAACAAAATATCAGCAAATTAAATCCAACAAAGTATAAAAGGAATTATACAGATTGACCAACTGGGATTTATTCCGTTATTCTCGGCTATGTCTACATTCAGAAATCAATTAATGTAATCCATCACACCAACAGGCTCAGGAAGAAAAATCACATAGTCTTATCAATACATGCAGAGAAAGCATTTGACAAAACTAAATGCCCGCTAATGAAGAAAACTTTCAGAAAATTAGAAATAGAGAGGAAAGACTTCCTCAATTTGATTTTTAAAAAAGCATGCACACTCAAAATGTACCTACAGTTAACATCTTAATTTATGTTGAAAGACTTAAAGTTTTTCAACACTCTCACCACTACTTTTCAACATTCAACTGGAAGTTCTAAATAATGCAATAGATTGAGGAAAGGAAATAATGCATACAGAGATAGGGAAGAAAGAAATAAAACTGTTGTCTTTTTTACATGATCATCTATGCAGATGAAATGATAACCTATGTAGAAAATCCGAAAAGAATCAACAAAAACCTTGTTGAAATGAATATGTGATTATAGCAAATTTGAAAAACACATGGTTAATATGAAGTCATTTTTTCATATATATTAGCAATGAAAATCTGGAATATGACATTCAAAGCACATTGCTATTTTCATTGGCATGTCAAAGGATGAAATATTTAGGTATAAATCTAATATATACATTTATGTAAGGAAAACTACAAAACTCTCATAAAACATATTAACGGCTAAATAAATGGAGAGAAAGTTCCTGTTCTTGGATAGGAAGACTCAATATTGTCTAGAGAAACACAAAATACAGACCAGGCAAGCCAGACACCAGGAGAAAAAAATTGCAAAAGCCACATTTGATAAAGGACTGTAATTTAAAATATAGAAGAAACTCTTAAAACTCAACAATAAGAAAATGAATAATCTGGCTAAAAAAAAAGGTCAAAGATCTAAACAGACACCACAGCAAAGAAGATATGCAGACAGTAAATAAGTGTGTATGAACATGCTCAACATCATATTTTATTAGGATATTGCAAATTAAAACAACACTGAGACACCACTATACACCTATTTGAATGCTAAAATGCAAAACACTGAACACATCAAATGCTGGTGAGGACGTGGAGCAAAAGGAACTCTCGTTCCTTGCTGACTGAAATGCAAAACAGTACAGCCACTGTTTTGACTACCAGTTTGTAAGACTGGTAGTTTCTTACAAAACTAAATGTGCTTTTGCCATGTAAACAAGCGACCATGCTCTTTGGTATTAACTCAAATAAATTTAAAACTTATGACACAAAAGCGTGTACAGGGATATTTATAGCAGCTTTATTCATAATAGCTATAACTTGAAAACAATCAATATGTTCTTTAGTAGATGAATAAATAAGTAAACTGTGGTACATCCAAGCAGTGGGATATTATTCAGCTCTAAAAAGAAATGAGCTATCAAGCCATGAAATGACTTGGAAGAAACTTAAACGCATATTAGTAAGTGAATAAAGCCAATATAAAAAGGCTACATACTGTATCATTTTGACTATATAACATTCTGAGAAAATCAAAACTATGAAGACAGTAAAAAGATCTGTGGTTTCTAGGGATTAACAGTAAGAGAGGGATAAATGAGGAAAGAACAGATCATTTTTAGGGCAGTGAAACTATTCTGTATGATACTACAATGGCAGGTATAAGTCACTGTACATTTGTCAAAATTTATAAAATATACAACACCAAGGTTGAACCCTAATGCAAACTATGCATTTGAGTGATAATGATGTGTCAATGTAGGTTCATATTATAACAAACTTACTACTATGGTGGAAGATGGTGATGGGGCAGGCTATGTACATGTGGTTACAAGAGGTGTATGCAAACTCTGTATCTTCTGCTCAATTTTTCTTTAAACCTAAAATGGCTCGAAAAAATAACGTTTATCATTTACATAAAAAAGGAGTTTGCTTCCTATATGAGACTAACAAGTAGCAGAGAATATTGAATTTTCTGAAAAGTGTAGAGTATTTTGAAACTTAGAAGCATTCTAGACAGTAGCATAAAATGTTTACATGCTAATTTGTAAAGTTTTAATTTGCCTATTAAAGGGTACAGAAAGAGTAAAAGAGCCTGCCAATTAATGTCATTTTCATATGCTTTCACTGTAATTGTATTTGAGGCTTTAATTGTTTGACATTCAATTTTTATAACATTTATTGTTATAACACAAAAATTGCATGATAAATGGCATGTGAGTCATACTTTTAAAAAACAATGGTGCTTTGAGTATTTTTAATAATAGTAAGATTGATAATCATAATAATGCTAATAGTTTATATTTATTGAGTGCCTAATCTCTACTATGTCTTATGTTTAGCAGGTAATAAGCATGATTGCACTTTCCCTTTTAACAAATGATTGAGCTATTTACTATTATATTATCTGTCTTACTTTATACTTCAATGAGAGTTTACGCAACATCACACAAAAGTAAAATAGTTTTTCACTTGTAACCATTTTAAAAATATTTAGTACTCAAAATAATGAAAAAAGTGATACATCTGCAATATGAATGTTGGACTTAAAAGTTCATATTATGAATTACTGTTATTTACTGTCTTATAAATTATTATCTTTAATTATCCTGCCCTAGTAGGCCTTTAATGATTTTATAGAGAAGATATCAAGAATATACATTATTATGGATATTTTGTTCGCTCTCTATGTAGAAAGTATATATAGTTTAGGGAAACTAGATTGTCTTTGTTTCAATAATATTACTATGAATTATTTTTTGTTTTTGAAACTCTCCAAAAATTTGAATATTGATTTGCCTTGTGATATGGGTGATATCGTTTGGTTCTGTGTCCCCACCCAAATCTCATCTCAAATTGTAATCCCCACGTGTCAAGGGAGTGACCTGGTGGGAGGTGATTGCATCATGCGGGGAGAGGTTTCCCCATGCCGTTCGTGTGATAGTGAATGAGTTCTCATGAGAGTTGATGGTTTTAAATTGTGGTGCTCTCTCTCTCTCTCTCTGGCTGCCATGTAAGACATGCCTTGCTTCCTCATCCGTCATTATTGTAAGTTTCCTGAGGTCTCCTCAGCCATGTGGAGCTCTGATAGTCAATTAAAACTCTTCCCTTTATAAATTACTCAGTCTCAGGTAGCTCTTTATAGCAGTGTGAAAATCAACTAATACAGAAAATTGGTACTGGGATAGCGGGGCGTTGCTATAAAGATAACCTGAAAATGTGGAAGTGACTTTTGAACTGGGAAACAGGTGTATGTTAGAACAATTTGGAGGGCTCGGGAGAAGACAGGAAGATGTGGGAAAGTTTGGAACTTCTTAGAGACTTGTTGAATGATTTTGATAAAAATGCTGATAGTAATATGGACAGTGAAGTCCAAGCTGAAGTGATCCCAGATGTAGATAAGGAACTTATTTGGAACTAGAGGAAAGGTCACTCTTGCTATGCTTCAGCAAAGAGACTAGTGGCATATTGCTGCTGCCCTAGGGATCTGCGGAATTTTGAACTTGAGAGAGATGATTTAGGTTATCTGGAAGAAGAACTTTCTAAGGAGCAAAGCATTCAAGATGTAACCAGGCTTTTTGCAAAAGCATACAATCATATACTTTCATGAAGAGATTATCTGAAATTGAAACTTATATTTAAAAGGGAAAGCGTGCATAAAAGTTTGGAAAATTTTCAGCCTGACCAGGTGGTAGAATGATGCAGAAATTTGCATAAGTCACAAAGAGCTGAATATTAATTGCCAAGACAATGGGGAAAATGTCTCCAGGACATTTCAGAGATCTTCAAGCAGCCCCTCCACACATCACAGGTGGGAGGTGTAGAAAGAAAAAATGGTTGCATGGTCTGGGCCCAGGGCCCTTCTGCTCTGTTCAGCCTTGGGATATGGCACCCTGCGTCCCAGCTGCTCCAGCTCCAGTCATGGCTAAAAGAGGCCAAGGTACAACTTGGGCTGTTGCTTCAGAGGGTGCAAGCCCAAGCCTTGACAGCTTGCCCATGATGTTGGGCCTTTGTGTGCACAGAAGACAAGAGTTGAGCTTTTGCTCGGAGCCTCTCCCTAGATTTCAGAGCATGTATGGAAATGCCTGGGTGACCAGGCAGAAATCTGCTACAGGAGCAGATCCCTCATGGAGAACTTCTACTAGGGCAATGCAGACGGGAAATGTGGGGTTGGAGCCCCCACACAGAGTCTCCACTGGGGCACTGCCTAGTGGATATGTGGGAAAAGGGCCACCATTCTCCAGACCCTAGAATGGGAGATCCACTGATGGCTTGCACCGTGTACTTGGAAAAGCCACAGGCATTCAACACCAGCCCAGGAAAGCCACTGTAGGGACTGTACCCTGCAGAGCCACAAAGGTGGAGCTGCCCAAGGCCTTGGGAGCCCACCTCTTGCATCTGCTTGAACTGGATGTAAGACATGGAGTCAAAGGAGATTATTTCAGAGCTTTAAGTTTTAATGAGTATCCTGCTGGGTTTCGGACTTGCATGGGGCCTGTGGCCCCTTTGTTTTGGCCAATTTCTCTCATTTGGAATGAGAACATTTACCTAATGCCTTTACCCTCATTGTGTCTTGGAAGTAACTAACTTGTTTTTGATTTTACAGACTAATAGGAGAAAGGGACTTGTCTTGTCTCAGATGAGGCTTTGGAATTGGACTTTTGACTTAATGCTGGAATGAGTCAAGAATTTGGGGAACTGTTGTGAAGGCATGATTGGTTTTGAAATATAAAAAGGACATGAGATTTGGGAGGGGTCAGAGGCAAAATGATATGTTTTGGCTCTGTGTCCCCACACCCAAATCTCATCTCAAATTGCAATCCCCACATGTCAAGGGAAGGACCTGGTGGGAGATGACTGGATCATGGGGGTGGTTTTCTCATGCTGTCCCTGTGATAGTGAGGTCTTATGAAAGATGATGGTTCTAAAGTGTGGCACTTGGTCACTCTCTCTCTCCTGCTGCCATGTCAGATGTGTCTTGCTTCCATTACCACCATCATTGTAGGTTTCCTGAGGCCTCCCCAGTCATGCGAAACTATGAGTTAATTAAATCTCTTTTATTAATAAATTACCCAGTCTTAGGTCATTCTTTATAGTGGTGTGAAAGTGGACTAATACACCTTGAAAATTCAAGGTGTAGCCAGGTGACAGGAGATACTGCTGTACTAACCTCTCAGCTATTAAAGATGGGTTGTGAATCATTTGCTTCTTGAGTAATTTTGCTAGAAGCTCAGCTTTTTGACCATGAAGAGTCCTCATTTATGTCACTAATTATTTATAGTTTCATGGATCTAAGAAAAAATGCTGACACTGTCCACAGGGATAATAAAACAGTTTCTGAGTAATTATTATTGTTATTACTATCATTGTAACTAGTTTATGGTTTTTATTTATTATTGCTATTATTAGGAATTTCAGATAAGCCATTTCTTCCTTTTCTTAAATGTAGGCACTCTTACCTGGTGGAGAGAAAACTACGCTGGGAATAAAGAAGCAGAAATCCATTCTCAGTTTTTTCTCTTTTTTTGTTACATTGCTTTGCCTTAGAATTATTATGTTAGACATTTACTGTGAAAATTCATCTTGTTTCTAAAATTTCAGTATAAATGTAACACAAGTTATAGCACCTCATGATATAAAATAAATATCAGACATATTCATTGATCATTTAAGTGCTATAAGATTCTCTAATTATGTTTAAAAATGGCTGATTTAGAAATATAAACATTTGTTTTAAAGCCCAGACTGTTATTTGATCTGATTCTGAATCTAGTTCTTTTTTGTGCTTAAAAATACAGTTTGATTTGGTTTTAGTTTTCAAAGGAGAACATTAAATTGAAGGTGACATTGTCTGGAGCATTTTTCTCTTGCCAAAGAGAGAGTATATGGACGAAGAGCGCAGGGAAGGCTTACACGACAGCAGTAATTTCTATCTGGTATAATATCCCTGCATTCAAAGAGCAATGAGTTGTGCTTTTAGTGCATTAGAAGACTCGTCCCCACAGGCATGGATAAAAATGCAAAAGATCTTTCCACTTGCACTTGTATTTGGGATTGTTTGGCATCAGAATACTGAGACAAGTGAGAAAGATATTAAGTTTGGAATGTGGTCCCTATCTGCCCTCGAATTTCACATTCACTACTCTTTTTTAAAAGCCCCCATAAGAGACCATTTCCATATTATTCCTCTTTATGCTAAACTTGAATAGTCAAATATGACTATTTGAAGTGTGGTCTTCAAATATAAGAACCCAACCTGGAATTCAAACACAATTGTATAATAATCTTTGGGCAGAATAGAATGCAGCAAACTTTCAATGAATTGAAACACCTGCTTTACAGATACCCCATGGAGGACAAGACATACACATGTGAGCAATTCAACAAATTTAACAAGACCCAATGAGCCTTGAAACTGTAATTTAATTCTTAATTTCTATGAAGTAAATTTAGTAATGACTGATAAGGATCATCATCATCCACACTTAGAGAGTCATTAACAGGAAAGTAGAAACACCTGTCCTTTTATGTAAGGCACTCTGTTCACTTTATCTGAGATTTGGAGCTGCTGTCCCTTGTATGAGAGCAATAAAAGAAGATTCCAGGGTTAAAGTTATCCTAAAAATAAAATTCCATACACAAAGCATGATGATCATTAAAATCAAATTTCATAGCTACAATGCTAAGGTTAACAAATGCTTCATAACCTGTTGTATGGCCAGGGATGAATAGGCCTAGTATGATCTATATCCCCTTGGGTGATAGTTGCTTACATAATGATAGTTACAAAGAATAGATTTGCTTTACACAGTTGAGTTCCAGGATAAAATCATGTTCTTGTATTGGGTTTTCTTTTTTGCCATCACAATGAACCCCTGAGCATTCTTTCTCTAAAATTAATGTTTTACTGTAAGGTTTTGTTGTTTTGTTAGACAAAGATACTGACCATATTCAGAGTTCCTTAAGCCCATAATTGTAAGTTGAAGACTGAGAAAACTATTCTAATATTGACATTTAATACTTATTAGTAAAGTGAAAGAGCAATATTATAATACCCATTTTCCTTGTCATTTATTTAACGTGATTTCTCATTTCCATGTAAATGCTTGATAAAAGTTCTAACCAATAAAAAATGTTTATGTGTCCTATTCTCTGCAATATTCTTTCATAAGTACACTCAAGTAAATTAAGTATCAAAAGCAATTTTGAAAAACAAATTGTGTTACAAAAGTCCAAGAGGCAATGTAAACTATTTGAATTGATGAAAGACCAAATATCAAGCCTTGATTCTGCCAAAACTCATTCTATTTGTGTGATGACTGCACTGGCAGAAATAAGTTAAAATCCTTTCCAATTCTTAATTTCTCTGTGACTCAGTTTCCTCATCTATAAATAAAGACTTTGCTTAATCAACCCAGGGTTTCATTGGATAGAACAATAAACTATGTATCTAAAATTATTTTATAAATGGTCAGAATTATGTGAATTTATCACTATTTTGACATTCAGTATTTCATTTATTAGGCAAATGTAATACCTAGTATTTACTATGATCCAAGGAGAAATGTGAATAGAAGGTGAGACGGAATTTCTGTTAAGAGGGTGGTGCTCCAGACATTTTGAACAGCTATCCAGGAAGAGCAAAAATTGTTTCCTTTATTATTGTAAAATATACAACAATAAGCATATCTGAAATTATTAATATCAATAATAGTGTTAATACTTACTATTTTATTTGGTTTAAAACCCAATGAACATTTACAAATAGTGAATGAATAAATAAGAAATTACCGGATACTGATAGGATTATAAGGTTATGGAGTTAAAGAAGTAGAGCACCAAAGCCATGTAAGTCAGAAAAGAGAATAAGATGGTAAGAAAGTGGGAGGAGGAAAGCAATAACTGTATTATTGGGGTGAATCTCATGGTTCTGAAGAGATGATGAGATGTAAAATCAGCTGGCCTACATAGCATGGTTACTATCTAAAGAGATTGAAACTAATGTGTAATAGGAATCACCTGGGATTCTAGTTAATGTGCAGATTTCCAGGGTGAATCATTCAAGACTGTTTAAGTAGTAAAGTCCTAGAACTAAGGAACTGGGTCATTAGGTTATGTAGTTAGTGTAAAGACCACACGGAAAAAATACTGAATGAAATTTACCTGAACTAAAAAAATCAAAATCAATAAAACTGTTCTCATCACTATTCAGTTGAAACATTTATTTTATAAGTAGGAAAACAATATTGTCTTCTGGAAACGAATAGCTACATCTAGTATTTGTTTTTGTGTGTTTATTTCGGTGAGCAGAAATTTTTAGGTGATGAAGTTTAATTTACTAAATATTCTTATGTATGTCCAAAGAAGATTTTGCCTACCCCAAACCTTGAAAATATGCTCATATTTTTTTTCCAGAGGCATTATAATTGGTTTTATGCTTTGGTTTATGACTTACCTATAATTAATAGTTGTAGATGGTGTGAGATAGGCATCTAATTTGTTTTCATTCCCCTATTGTGAATATTTGTTGAAAGTATTTCTTTTTATTGGATTCTATTGTTGCCTTTTTAAAAAATCATATGACCATGTAAGGTTGGGTTTATTTTCTGGGCTTTCTATTCTGTTCTATTGTTATATTCATTTATTTTTATGCCAATACCAGGCTCTCTTGATTGCTGTACGTTTATAGTAAGTTTTGAAGTCAGGTAGTGCAAGTCTTCTTTTTTTTTCCTTTAAAAAATTCTTTTGTCTGTTGTATTTCTTTTGCCTTTCCATATACATCCTAATTCAGATGGTTGACTTCTACATAAATCCCTGCTAGTATTTTCACCCAGACTGTATACAATCTACACATCTAATTAAGACAAACCAATGTTTTAATATTAAGTTTTGCAATCAGGGAATGCATATTTCTCTCTATTAATTTAGGTCTTCTATCATTTCTTTCATCAGCATTTGTGATTTCACCATACTAATCTTGCATACATTTTCTAAAGTGTATACCTACATATTTCATAGTTTCCTGGCATCCAGAAATAGCAAACACCCCAAATAGAAATGTTCTGCCTACTGTATGATCTTGTTATTTCATGGCCGCAGTTCTCTAATGCCTTATTTATTTACTTATTTTTAGTTTTTAGTTTATTTCAGAATCATTAGTCTGCCACAATTCTTTTCATTTTAGTTAGGGGCAGACATTCCTTTTTCTGCTTTTAATTAACAGTACTATTCTCTCCCTCTCATTAATTAATCTAGTTTCTTTATGATACACATATCATCTTAAACATTATTTACGATAAGCTGAAAGTTTCCTTTTGTGGGGTGCATGCTCTTCAACCATGATAAAAAGACCAACCCCCTAGAAAGCATTGGCTCAGACAAATTTATTTTTCTCCCATGGGGCAGTGTAGACATACGGTCCTATCTAATGTGACTGAGTCCTACTTTATTGTTAAATCAACATATTCTGGTTCATTATATCATGTTGTTCCTTCTGACAGAATATTGTTGTCACCTTTATGTTTGTAAGTGTCTCTAGAATCATAGCTTTCAAAGTCTGCATTCTGCTAGTACAGTTTTGGAAGCCGTTGCTGCTTTAGGGATAGAGCCATCAGAAGCTTTTTGCAGGTAAGTTTTATGCTTTATTTGACATGAACATTCTCTAGAAATGTAGGTTTCTGGTTCTCTCCCTCTCTCTCTCTCTCTCTCAAATATCTTCTGAAACTAACCACAGCCAAACTTCTTATCTTGTCACGGTTCTTGAGCTTGGAGAATATTGTACTTATTGGTCTCTATGTCAGACACATGTTTTCCTCAACTTAATGATTACCAACTTGTGACAAAATGAAAACTACTCTTAACTGGGTTGTTTCTCCTTCCATATTTGTCTACAAATTACGTAATTTTTTTCTGACTTCATCTCACTTTGTAGAGTTTTACTAAAAGCAATGATCACATTCCATTTTTGCAACTTATGCTAATAAATTCCTCTATAACAGAAGTCCCTAACCCCGGGGCCACTGACCTATACTGATTCATGGCCTGTTAGGATCTGGGCCTCACAGCAGGAGGTGAGCAGCAGGCAACAGAGCATTACCACCTGAGCTCTGCCTCCTATCAGATCAGTGGCAGCATTAGATTCTCAAAGGAGCAAACCCTAACATGAACTATGCATGTGAGGGATCTAGACTGCTCACTCCTTATGAGTATCTAATGCCTGATCTGAAGTGGAACAATTTCATCCCAAAACCATTTGCCTCCTCCCATTCCCAATACATGGAAAAATTGTTTTCCACAAATCCATTTCGTAGTGCCATAAAGGTTGACGACCTCTGCTTTAAAATACATAAAAAGCTTGGTGGTAACATAGTCTATCTTTTGTGTTAATAAAGACAATAGGATTACAAAAAGACTTATCAGTTTCACTTCTACAGTATCTATTTCTTCACCAACTGCCCATCTTCTGAGACAATTCCACACATTTCGGATTTATGCTATTTTAGCACTCCATCTCCAGGTAAAATTTTCTGTAGCAGTAAATTTTAACATATTTACACACCTGTTCTCATACAACCGTGTATTTACATTAAAACTGAAATAAGGTAAATAATTTATACAGAATCTACACCAGGTAAGGAACTTTTAGAACAAGCCTCTTGTTAGATTAACAATGCCAAGTATAAATAACAAAAATATTTTGCATGCATGAGTAGATTTCAGAAGTCAGGAGAAATAACTACAAGAAATGCAATATATTTCCACTTACAGGTAAAACTAATTTTTGTTTTATTTAACCATTCTGAATGTTGAATCATTTATGTTAATTCTATGTTAATTTAAAAACAGTTGGTTTATTGACACTGTTATGTCTTAAAAGTCAATAGTGAGAACACAGTAAGAAATTTTCAATTAAAACAATGCTATATTAAATTTGGTTATTGATTATTCTGCTCTGATAGGCACTAGGTTTGGTCTCTTAACAAGCGTCCACAATCCCATGTACCTTTCTTCAAGACATGATTTGAGATTTAATTATGACAGCAAGTACAATTTTTTTAATAATGTGCGACTTTATTCAAATTATTAAGCTGATCACCAACTGGTTTATAACGCATCAGTTCCCAGCCTAATGAACCATATATCCTTGTCAATTTTAGTAATGTTTTGACAGTTTTTGCCTCAGTGCCTTTGAATTACAAGTATGTACATGCATTGCTTATTGCTATCATATGTTTCTCCCTAAGGATATGGTAGGTCATGATTTCTGATTTTGAATTGTTTAAGCAATAACATTTGATTATCCTATCAAAGGAAAAGAAAAACATGTAGTTTCATGATCTCCATTAACATTTTAGTCCATTATAAAAATCAGATAAAAATAAGTTATTTAAATATTTATATGTGTGGCAAAAATATGTGTATTTAAAAACATAGTATTGATTGCACCCAAGATAGTCCAAAAAGTCTTTTCAGCAGTTGTACAATGTAAAAAGCTCTGTAAAGCAAATTTTAAAAATAATCTATTTGATAGCAAAATTCATTCTGAATTAAAGTGAGGGTATTTATTGACTTTATTTATTACACCAAATGTGTATATTATTAAGTTTTTGTTAAAGAATTTTAATGTGCTTGCTCATGGGGTGCTGTCACAGCCTATGTCATGGGTGGTAATTAATATTTAATATATACACTAAAATTATCTATGTATTTATATAGATCATACATATAGGTTTATGAATATACACAGCTTATCTGATATATATGTGGATATAGGTATTAATAAATATATATGAATTATAAAATATATTGGACCCCCAAATTTTAGATAAGAGATTGTGAATATGAAAAATATAATGCAACACAAAATATTATCATTGTAGTTCAAAAGGTAGGTATTGGCAATTTCTTGTCCTTCTATTTAATACATTTCTGGATTACTTAAAAGTAATTGTAGGCAAATTATTTTATTTTATATATACAAACATAAAGGATAAAACTAAATCTTTTGTTAAAGCTATCCACTGAAGAAAAAACCTTAACTCATAAATAATTATTAGCTTTTATTTCCATTTATAGTTCACATTTTCCACCAAATTCCCTGCTGTACTTCTAATCACTGTACTATTTGACCATCGTTTCCTCTGGTCTTGTAACTTGACTACATCTATTAATAGTGTGCTGATATTCAGGCATGAAACCTCAGTTAGACTTGACACCAGTTTCTTGCTTGCTACTTGTATTAGTCTGCTCTTACATTGCTATGAAGAACTACCTGAGACTGCGTAATCTATTAAAAAAGAGGTTTAATTGATTCACATTTCTACAGGCTGTATAGAAAGGATGGCTGGGGAGGCCTCAGGAAACTTAGTCATGGTGGAAGGTGAAGGGAAAGCAAGCACATATTACCTGACTGAAGACAGAGGAAGACAGTGGTAAAAGGGGAGGTGTCATACAGTTTTAAACAATGAGTCCTCAGGAGAATTCACTCACTGTCATGAGAACAGCAAGGGGCGAATCTGTCCCCATGATCCAATCACCTCCAACCAGGTCCCTTCTCTGACACTGGGGATTACAATTAAGACATGAGATTTGAGTGGGGACACAAATTCAAACCATGTCATTTTATTCCTGATCCCTCCAAAATCTCATGTCCTTCTCACATTGCAAAATAAAATCCTCCTTTCTCAAAAGTCTCCCAAGTCTAAATTCATTTCAGCATTAACTCAAAGTCCATAGTCCAAAGTCTCATCTGAGACAAGCAGGTCCCTTTCAACTATGAGCCTCTAAAATTAAAAGCAAGTTAGTTACTTCCAAGATACAATAGAGGTTTGGCATTGGGTAAATACATTCTTCCAAGAGGGAGAAATCAGCTGAAACAAAGGGGCTACAGGCCCCACGCAAGTCTGAAACCTAGCAGGGAAATCATTAAATCTCAAAGTTTTGAAATAATCTTCTTTCACTCCATGTTTTATATCCAGGCAGCATGATGTAAGGGGTGTACTCCAAAGACCATGGGAAGTTCTGCTCCTGTGGCTCTTCAGGGTACAGCCCCTGTGGCTGCTTTCAGAGACTGGCGTTGAGTGCTTGTGGCTTTTCTAGGTGCACAATGTAAGTTGTCAGTGGGTCTACCATTCTGGTGTCTGAAGGATGGTGGCCCTTTTCTCACAGCTCCACTAGGCAGTGCCCCAGGGGGGACTTTGTGTGGGGGCTCCAACCCCACATTTTTCCTCTGCACTGCCCTAGTAGAGGTTCTCCATGGAAGCTGTACCCATGCAGCAGACTTTTGCCTGGTCATTCAGGCATTTCCATACATCTTCTGAAATCTAGGTGGAGCTCCCAAGCCTCAACTCTTTCCCCTCTGCACACCTGCAGACTTAACACTATGTAGAACCTGCCAAGGCTTAAAGCTTGCACCATCTGGAGCAGAGGGCTGACATATATCTGGAGCAGCGAGCTGAGATGTATCTGGGCCCTTTTAGCTATGGCTGGCGCTGGAGTGGCTGAAATTCAGTGTCCCAAGGTTGCGCAGAGAACTGTGGCCCTGGACCTGGCCCATGAAACCTTTCTTCCCTCTTAGTCCTCCAGGCCTGTGATGGGAGGGGCTGCCACAAAGGTCTCTGAAATACCTTGGAGGCACTTTCCCCATTGTCCTGGCTATGAAGATTCTGCTCCTCTTTACTTATATCAATTTCTGCAGCCAGCTTGAATTCCTCTTCAGAAAATGGGTTTTCCTTTTCTACCACATGGTCACGCTCCAAATTTTCTCAACTTTTATGCTCTGCTTACCTTTTAAATACAAGTTCTAGTTCCAGATCATCTCTTTGCTCACACATATGAACATGTGCTGGTAGAAGTACACAGGTGGCATCTTGAATGCTTTGCTGCTTCAACATTTCTTCTGCCAGATACCATAAATTATCATTCTCAAGTTTGAAGTTCCACGGATTCCTAGAGCAGGGGCACAATGCCACCAGTCTCATTGATAAAGCATAGCAAGAGTGACCTTTACTCCAGGTCCCAGTAAGTTCCTCATCTCCATCAGAGACCATGTCAGCCTGGACTTCATTGTCCATATCACTATCAGCATTTTGGTCACAACAATTTAACAAGTCTCTAGTAAGTTCATAAAGCAGTTAAATGGAGGAAAGGTACTCTTTTCAACAAATGCTGCTGGGTTAATTAGAAATACATAGTCTAAAAAAATTACCCTCAAAATAAGCCTCAAATGTCACAGGAAAAAATTATCCAAAATTGATCTCAGACTTAAATAAAAGATAATACAGCTATGAGACATTTTAGAATAAAATGTAGGAGAAAATTTTGAGGGCCTGGAACTTGGTAAAGATATTTTGTAGGTGAAACAGAAGGCATGATCCATAGACAAAAATTAACGTATTGAACTTATAAAAATTAAAACCTTTAATCTACCAAAGAGACCATTCAGATGGTGAGAAGACTAGCTACAGTCATTTACATGAAAAGAGAAATGAACAGACATTTCACCAAAAAGGAAAAACACAAAGACAAGTAAGCACATGAAAATATATTCAACATCATTAGTGATTAGGCAAATGAAAGTTAAAACCACAATGAAATATTATAACTCAAATATTACAAAAATTAATAAGGTATAATAGTGACAATGTAAAATGCTGTAGAGGATGCAGAGAATTTGGAGCTCTCATACGTTGCTAATGAAAATGAAAAATGGTACAGCCATTGTGGAAGTGGGTGTAACAATAAAAGGTAACACCAGGGAATTATTTGTGATGGGACAGTTTTAGTGTGGTGGTGGTTACATGAATGTACACATATGACAAAATTGCATGGAACTATATACACATACATATGTACCTACACATACAAGTACTCATCTAGGAAGACAGTGCATGAAAAACTGGGGCAATCTTGAATAAGGATCTTACCAATGTAAGTTTCTTGGATTTGTTATTGTATTATAGTTATATAAAATGGTATTAGGGAAAATGGTGTAAAGAGTACAGTGGACCTCTCTGCATTGTTTTTGCCACAATCTATAGTACCATACTGAATGGGCAAAAGTTGGAAGTATTCCCCTTGAGAACTGGAACAAGACAAAGATGCCTACTCTCAGTTGCAGGTATAAGCTGCAAACAATTCAGGCTAGTGATTCTCTCTTGGGGCAGGAAAAAAAAATGTTAATGTTTGTCATATTTTATTTATTGGACATGCATTTTTAAATCACATATGACAACTTGTTAAAATTTGTAAGTGGTGAATGATGCATGTGACAGTATTCCTTTTGCTATTTCTATACTGTTTTGTAGGCTTAAAATGTTTCATGGAAATAAAATTCTATTGGCTAGTATTGTATAAATGGAATAATTTTGAAACCCCTCTCACCCTTGAGGCAGTTTTCTATGAAAAAAAAAATCCAACAGTAAATCGCCTTGTTTAATCGTAAAATTTAGTATACAGAAAATCTGCTTACAATAAGGCATAAATACAGATAGATTGATGAGTTGCACAGTGGACACATCAGGGCAATTATGTGATTTCTATATTTCTATTCATAATTTATGTTAGATATGTTTTTCTTATCATGAATTAAATATTAGACCAGGAAAAAGACATTTTTACTAATGGAGATGTATTTCTTATGAGGAATAGCTTGATTTTATGAACATATTTTAGTGTTTCTATTATCAATTTAATGAAAATTAAAATATTGCATTCTTTTAGAGTTCACGGTTTTTAGATTTATTTTTCCATTTGGAATCAACTATTGCAAAAGGAGAAAATGTTTAGAGGATGTAATAACAAAAAAATTATTTCATTTACCACTGTAATTCTGACAAGTTGATATGAAGATGAGCTAAAATTGCTAGTAATGTCTGTGCATAACAGCTGTGCTTACACTCTGTGTGGGAGTTGGAACTAAGGGTGAACTGCAGAGTTCAGAAGTACCTTTGGAGAAGTAGTTGGAGGTAAAAAAGAGTCTGATTTGATTTAAATCAAATCGTGTCTTTTTTGTTGTAATTATAGTTGCCTGCTGATCTTAAAAAGGATAATCTCTTCATAGGTTGCCACAAAAGTCAAGTCCCTACTTTATCCTCTTAGCTGGTTTAAAGAGAGGATAACACAATTTAAATTGGACTTAGGATGGCTGTACATAGACCCCCCAAAAAATAATCAAGGTGAAAATAATTTATAAGGTTGGTAATCACCATTGCTATGAGATTATTCTACACACCCATCAGGAAAACTAAACTTTAAAAAGTGAAACAAATAAAATGACGAGATTAATATCAATTACCTGCAAGTATAGGAAGCACTTGACTTTCACTCTGCTTTTGGAATTGTAATTTGTTAAAACTGCTTTGGAAAACTGCCAGTGTCTATGTGTCTATTAGTGCTGAACATATACATATTCTACAGATGTAATTCCACTCCTATCCACCAGAGTATGTGCACCAAAAGGCACATTCAGGAATATTCATATCACTATTTGTAATAGCGAAAAACTTGAAACAATAGTAGAATAGATAATCTGAAATGTAATTATATTGATACAGTAGAATACTACAGAGCAACAAAAAAATGAATAAACTATTGCTATATACAACAACAGGAATAATTCTCACAAATATAATAGTCACTGAAAGAAGCCATGACCAAAAGGGTACATGTTACATTTACTAGTTTTCCATTGCTACATAAAAATTGTCACAAATTTAGCATCTTAAAATAACCTATACTTACTATTTCATAGTTCCCATGAATCAGGAATTTGGGAATAGGTAGCTGGATCCTTTGCTCAGGATGTCACCAGGCTGAAATCCAGAGGCTGGCTGAAACTGCAATCTTATTTGGGGCTTGCAGTACTCTTTCAGACTCATCTAAGCTTTGGCAGAATTTGGTTCCTTGCAATTATAGAATTGAGGTCCATGTGTTCTTGCTAGCTGTTGACCAGCCTTTTTTGCTGGCTATTGGCCAACTCTCAACTCCTCAAAGTCACTTTCTTATAGGAAGGCGGTGTACTTCTTCAAGGTAGGGAGGAAAACATCTATGGCTTTAATGTTTTGAAATTCTTTCTTAGTAAGGGCTCAGTCACTTTTAAAGTTCTACCTAATTAAGTCAAGTTCATCAAATATAATCTCCTATTTGAATAACTTAAAATCAACTAATTAGTAACATAATCACAGGAATTAAAATCCCATTATATTCACAAGTCCTTGCTGCACTCAATGGGACTGTACAGGCCTTTAATACCATAAAGATGGAATTCGGAGCCATCTTAATTCTGCTTATTTGTACTATAATATAACTTTACTTATATAAAGTTTAAAACCCAAATTTCAGGGAAGAAGTCAAACTTTGGTAACCTTTAAGGGGGAATAATAGCGATTGGGATGGAGTTCATGGAAAGCTTCTAGGGTGCTAATAATGTGGAGTTTTGCTTTTTTTTTTTTTTAACAGAGTGAATACAAGGATTTGTTCATTCCTTAAGCTGTTCAATTATGATTTGTGCATTTTTGGCATGTATCGTTATAATAAACTTCATTATGTTATAATTCCATTGAGTTTTTTATTTTAAAAAGAGAACCGAAATACTACAGTATTGTGGGAAGTCAGGGACCCCTGAACGAAGGGACTGGCTGGAGCCGTCGCAGAGGAACATAAATTGTGAAGATTTTATGGACATTTATCAGTTCCCCAAATTAATACTTTTATAATTTCTTACACCTGTCTTTACTGCAATCTCTGAACATAAATTGTGAGGATTTCATGGTCATTTATCAGTTCTCAAATAATACTCTTATAATTCCTTATGCCTGTCTTTAATCTCTTAATCCTGTTTTCTTCGTAAGCTGACAATGTACCTCGCCTCAGGACCATTACTGTGTTAAACTGTACAAATTGATTGTAAAACATGTGTGTTTGAACAATATGAAATAAGTGCACCTTGAAAATGAACAGAATAACAGTGATTTTAGGGAACAAGGGAAGACAACCATAAGGTCTGACTGCCTGTGGGGTCAGGCAGAATAGAGCTATATTTTTCTTATTGCAGACAGCCTATAAATGGATGTGCAAGTAGGGAAGATATCACTGAATTCTTTTCCCAGCAAGGAATATGAATAATTAATACCCTGGGGAAGGAATGCATTCCTGGGGGTAGGTCTATAAATGGCCACTCTGGGAGTGTCTGTCTTCCGCGGTTGAGATAAGGACTGAAATAAGCCCTGGTCTCCTGCAGTACCTTCAGACTTATTAGGGTGGGGAAGAAACCCCACCCTGGTAAATTTGAGGTCAGACTGGTTCTCTGCTCTCGAAGCCTGTTTTCTGTTTATCAAGACAATATGTGCACAGTTGAACATAGACCCTTATCAGGAGTTTCTGATTTCACCCTTTGCCTTGTGATCTTAGCTTTGCCCATTGCCTTGTGATCTTTATTGCCCTTTAAAGCACGTGATCTTTGTGACCTACTCCCTGTTCATACACCCCTCCCCTTTTAAAGTCCTTAATAAAAACCTGCTGGTTTTGTGGCTCAGGTGGGCATCACAGTCCTACCAATATGTGATGTCACCCCCGGAGGCCCAGCTGTAAAATTCCTCTCTTGGTACTCTTTCTCTTTATTTCTAAGCCAGCCAACACGTAGGGAAAATAGTAAGAACCTACACTGAAATATGGGAGAGGGGGTTCCCCCGATACTACAGTTTCCTCGTTCTCCAAAAATATACATAATTGGACATATATAGAATATAGTAGCATTCTCAGTTAAGATTGAGCAGGGAGAAATTACTTATAAGTGAGGAGTGATTTGATGGTGGTAACTCATATTTGTAGTGTAACATATGTGTAAGTCAGTCAAAATATTTTTGAGTCCACTGTCAAAAAAAACAAAACAAAACACAAACTTTTAATTCCAAAGACTAAAATACATGTGGCCCTCTTTTTTTTTGAGACGGAGTTTTACTCGTTTGCCAGGCTGGAGTGCAATGGCATGATCTCAGCTCACAGCAACCTCTGCCTCCCAGGTTCAAGTGATTCTCCTGCCTCAGCCTTCCAAGTAGCTGGTATTACAGGCATGTGCCATCACCCCAGGCTAATTTTTGTATTTTTAGTAGAGACAGGGTTTCACCATGTTGTTTAGGCTGGGCCTGAACTCCTGACCTCAAGTGATCTGCCCACCTTGGCCTCCCAAAGTGCTGGGATTAGAGGCATGAGCCAACACACCCGGCCATGTGCCCCTTTTAAAAATCCTTCCTTAATGTGCATAGTCAGAATGAAATATTAATATATTATACACTGCAAAAAAAATGCTGTGCTACAAGTCCAATTTGCACAAGTCAATTGATGATTGACTTTCAACTTCTGTTAAAGGCCCTGCAAAAAGGATGACTAAACTCTATTTTGGCTCAAATTTTAGTTTACTGGTGATGATAGGAGAAGTGTAGTCAAAAAGTGTCTCTGCCTCATGATTATTTGGGAATTGTCAGTTCTGTATACAATTAGTTGCATACCGTATAAATTCCATTGTCCCTGCCTTTGTACTTTTTTGAAACATTACCGTGCAATTAGAAATTTTTGTTTTAATTTAGCCTTGCAAAAAATATGAATGATGCTCCCCCATATGTGTCATTAATTTTGGACCTCAAATCCCAAATAGTGATGAGTTTTGCTAAGTATGCTTTCTCCTATAGCCTACTCATATATTTTTTCCCTCTTAGAGTTTGTACCACTGGGTACGTCAATAAGGTAGATGTCCTTGGGTTCTCATTTCATGTTTGAGAGAATTTTCTCTTAACCCTCCTAAAACCCTCAAGCATTGTATTTCATTCCATCTAATTGTTAAACCCTCTATTCTTCAGTTATGGCTATCTTCCAAACTGCATCATTCCTCCTCATTTTTCCATGAGTTATGCCCTAGCTCAGAATCACTCTCCAATTACTTCTGTCATAATTCTTGGTGTAGATAACACTACCTCCACCTGGCCTCAATTTTATTAAAATAATCTTGTCTTCCACCATACCCGCACCACTCACTCCCTAGATATTCCCATTACCAATAAATGTAGCCACTCTGCAACATTTATTCTTTGCAGCTCATTTTCTGACAGTTTGTGTCTTGTTTCTATTTTTGTGTATTTGTTTTCCTTTCTAGGATTCTGGCTGGACCATTCACCCTACACTGTGTTTCTTTTCACTTTATTTTAATCTCACTCCAGTTAGGCTTTTGTCCCTACAGCTCCATCAGAATTTCTCTCCCTGAGGTCAGCAATGACCTTCGACCAGCTAAATCCAATAGTAGATTCTCAGTTCCCATCTTAATTTACTTACTAGCCGCATGCTAACAACTGCTCCTTTTTTCCTTGCTACATACTCTTCAGTTAGCTTTTAGGACACCAGGTTTCTTGGGTTTTCTTCTGCTTTACAAGGCACTTCTCAGGCTCTTTGGCTGCTCCTTCTTTTTACTTTGAAAGTGTCAAGTTAGTTTGCCTCAGAGATCAGCCTTGTTTTCTCCTCTCTATG
The DNA here is from genome assembly GCF_000001405.40 of Homo sapiens. Classification (NCBI taxonomy): domain Eukaryota; kingdom Metazoa; phylum Chordata; class Mammalia; order Primates; family Hominidae; genus Homo; species Homo sapiens. The sequence goes on along the minus strand of NC_000001.11, from coordinate 106,356,385 downwards.
AATACTTACTCTCTCAGTGATCTTATCCACTCTGGTAGCTTTAAGTGTTGTCTACATGACATTGACTCCTAAATGTATATTTCAAGCACAGATCTCTCCTACACTACAAATTTCTGAAGCTATCTGACTGTACATTTTCACTTGGAGTTTGATAGACATCTCAAACTCAAAACTATTTGAATCTACAGCCTTAATTTTACCAAATCTCCCTTCCCATAGCTTCGCTGAGAAGTTAGATGTAATTCTTATCTTTGTTCTTCTTTATGTTAAGGGGTTCCCTACTCCCCTATGGCTTCGTTCAAATTTTTTTGTCTTGATTTCCTGTCCAGTGTAGTTTTGTTTTGTTTCTCATTTATTCTGCTTGGCGTTCTCTTGGATTCCTGGATTTGTGGTTCTGTGCCTGGCAATAATTTTGAGAAAATCTCAGTTATTATTGCACTAAATATTTCTTCTCTTTCTCTCTTTCTGCTTCTTCCTATATTCTCATTACACATGTGTTACACCTTGTGTAGTTGTCCCACGTTTTCGATATTCTATTCTGTTTTTGCCATCTGTTCTCCTTTGCTTTAAAGTTTTGAAAGTTACTATTGATATACCCTAAAGATCAGAGATTCTTTCTTCAGCCATGCCCAGTATATTAATGTGCCATTCAAAGGCATTCTTCATTTCTGCCTTAGTGTTATTGATCATTAACATTTCTTTGACTCTTTAATTTTTTTTTATCTCTCAGCTTACATTGCCCATCATGTTGTATACTTTTTCCATTAAGCCCTTAGTGTGTTAATCATAGTTGTTTTAAAGTCTCTATCTAATAATTCCAACATCCCAGACGTGTCTGGTTCTGATGGTTCCTCTCTCTCTTCAAACTGTGTGGTTTGTTTTTATTGCCTTTTCGCATGCCTTGTAATTTTTTGAAAGTCAGACATAATAGACTGGGTAAAAGAAACAGGCAAACAGGACTTTAGGAATGTGGTCATAAAGTATGGGGCAAGGGGAAGTATTCCATAGGTCTAACTTTAAGTTTCATTCTTTTAGTGAGCCTGTGCTGCTGTGCTGTGAACTTTAAAAATACTTCTCATTCTGACCCCATTCCATCCCCTAAGTGGAACAGGATGAGCAGAGGAGGTTGGAGTTGGGTACTTCTCCTCCCCTTAGGTTGGTTAGGCTCTAATAAAAGCCCAATAGGTTAAGTTCTGATAAAATAGTTTCTCTTGAGGGCAGGCCTTGATAAAAAAAAGGAGAATACTCTGGTACATTTCAAAATGTTCACTTTTTTCCTCCTCAAACCTCATAGAGCTCCTGGATTTAAAACTCACAAAAGTGCAGAGACTCCTTTAAGACAGATTTGTCCACACTAAGCCTTCAGCAAATGTTCAGTGGGAGTTTAGATTTTCCTATCCTGGTACTGGTTCCTGCAGAGGTTCCTGCGCATGGGTTTTTGTTCCAGTAAGTTGTCTGTATTCACCTGTCATTTTCTCCCATTTTAGGGGACAGTGATTTTGCTTTTGACATCACTTCTCTGACAGATCTAAGAAGAGTTGTTGATCTTCCAGTTTGTTCTGCTTTTTTCTTGTTAAGACAGAGTGAAGACTTCCGAACTCCTTATATGCCAGACTAGACATCAGAAGTCCCTGTTGCTTCTGGGAAATGAGAAGTTTTCTTTTTCATTTGATATAATGGAAACTCTATTGTTTCTATTGATGAGGTTAAAATTTTTTTTTGCAATTATCTTTGATTTCTGTCATGTTTCACATCTTAATAAAATGCCAGTAAATCCTGCTGTCTCCACCTTATGTATGGATCCTGAATTTGACCACATCTTGTCATCTCCATTCCAACTACTCTCCTAAATGACTAATGCCTTCATTACAGCAATTTAGCTTCTTAGCTGGGTTCCTTGCTTCTACCTTTGCTCTCCTATAGTCTAAATCTTAAAAGATCAATAAGATTATTAATAATATTTATAAATTGTGAGTCAAATCAGGCCATTTCTTTGCTGTAAACATTTCAATGTCTTCCATTTAACGCAGAGTAAAATGGAAAGTTTCTTAAATTGCCTCTAGCACCATGCATGAACTCTGTTACCCTCAACTTCATTCCCAACATAATTTACCTTGCTTACTCTGCTCAAACCACACTGGTCTTTCTGTGGTTCCTGGATCCCATAGCATTATCCTGATTTGGTGCTATAGTGTTGGATGTTACTGCTGCTTGGAACTTCCTTAGTACAAATATCCATATTACTAGCTTCCTGGTTTTCTTCAAGTCCTTACTTAATATCATTTTCTTGATAACAGCTGCCATGAATGACCAGTTTAAACTTTGAACACATTCCCCTAGCCCCTTGTTTTCTAAATATCCTTTACTCTGTTCTACTTAAAAAATATTTTCAACAGCAGTTATCACCTTCTAACATATACACTTATTTATTAAATTAATTGTTTGTAGTCTGTCTTCTTTGGCCTCCTTTCATGTACAACATTATACTAGAATATTAACATTATTATTAATAATTATAGTAAACTCCATAAGGAAATAAGGCAGATATTTTTGTCTGTTCTATTCCTTTATATAGTCTAAGCACCTAGAATGATGCCTGGCAAAATAATAGACACTTGGCAATTTGTGGATTGCAAAACCAGAGATATGATATCATTGTGTGTGTTTATTTTTAAAATAAATTTTATTCTAAATTGTGATACCCACACACACAAATACATATACACATACACTCAGATATATAGTGTCTAACATTTGCAACCCGACCCCCGCACCCGGCCACAGCAACAAGTATAGTAAATGTATATAATTCTGGTGTCCTAAAATATTTGTGGCATTATATTTTATTTTAAAATACTTCAAAATTATTTTAAAATAACAGGTGGATTCTTTCATAATAACATAATGGTATTTTTAATGAAAAGGAGCATTAATAATTATTCATGGTCAATCATTTTCTGTATTTCACTTGGACTTAAAAAATCTTTTCTTCCTGTGACTACTGATAGGAATGTATTATTCAAGTTGTTCCTTACATACCTGCTGTCTACTTACAGTACCAGAACACATGTCCTGAGTTTCATTGTTCTTTTCTTTATTAATAGTTATACTTAAATGAGCTGATCTAGGGCTTTCTATTAATCTCTATTAACTAATCATGACATTTTGATTCCATTTAAAATTGATTTTGTATTTTACTAAAATATCTAGAATTTGGGTAATGCTGAAACCCTAAAGATAATTGTGAATTAAAGTGATATCTCTCTAACATTAAATCCAACATATTTTAAAAACATAATTATTTAATAATGTTTTCAAATGATTCCACATGTGAATAGCACTGAAAACTATAATAAGGGCAGTGATGATAATATTCAGGCTATCATTCCAGGCACTCAGCATACCCATCTACTTGAAGATCATCAATTTATAAGAAATGCTCTGTTTGATAGCATTGCTCACCGATTCTCTACCAATACATTTATAAGATTTATGTGTGCCTTCCAAATTGGCTTCCTACTCCAGATTCTTAGACAAAAATACATATTGGATGGTTAATAAAATTCATTCTACTTTCCATTTATTACAAGCTATACTTGAAAAAATTTATTGAGCACTGAAATACATACTTGATCTACTGTAATAGAAAGGGATCCTTGATGTGCCTAAAGAAGAGAATGTAACACTACTCACCATGAATTAGTCCTTGTGAAAAAAAAAAGAAGAAGAGAATCTGTTAACAAGTTGGAGTGGTAATGACATTTCTATTCTGAAGAAAGAAATGTTTCAGAAACTCTCAGTACTTATTATTTAATAAAAAAATTGTTTATTTGTTCCTAGGCTTTATTCCAGCAAAGATCTCAATAGAAAAATTATAAAATGATGTCTTTAATTATAACTTAAATTTAGAAAGAAAATTTGGGATCAAGGACTGTCCGTTGTTAGTTTCCTATACTTTTGGGACAACAAAGAACTACATAGCTTTTTTTGCTTGTTTGTTTGCTTGCTTTTCAGATGTAGCATCAGTTGTTGCTTGCTTTTGGTTACATGAGCTTTTATTTTAGGACAGTTTTATATTTATAGAAAATTAAAAAATAGTTTATAGAGTTCATGTGTAACATACACATAGTTTGGCTATTGTTAAGACCTTATATTAGTATGAAAGATAAGACAAAACTAAGGAATGATATTGATATGTTAGTATTAGCAAAACTTCATATTATACTCAGATTTTCTTAGTTTTTATCTAATGTTTTCTTCTGTTTCAGGATCCCATCCAAGATACCATATTACATATTATCATGCTGCCTTAGGCTTATCTCAGCTGTAATGCTTTCTCTGATTTCATTGACTTAGAACTTTGAGTTTTAAGGAATACAGGTCAGGTGTTTATAGATAATGTTCTTCAACAGGGATTTGTCTGATATGTTCTTATGATTAGAGTGGAGTTATAGGTTTTGGAGGGAGGAAGATCACAGAGGTAAAGTATTATTCTCATCATATTATATCATAGATATATATTATCAACATGAGTTATCACCATTGATACTAATCATCTTCAGCTGACTGAGATATTGGTAAGTTTCTTCACTGTAAAATCTCCCTCACAACTTTCTATACTGTCTTATTTGGAACAAAGTCACTATGAATAGCTCATGTTTAGGGTGAAGAGTTATAGTCCATCTTCTTGAGGGGGCAATATCAACATAACATATATGGATTTTTTCTAAATGAGAAATCGATTTTCTTTTATTCATTTATTCCGTCATTTATTTTTGTCAATATGAACTTGTAGATATTTACTTTATGCTTTAGGTTATAATCTAATACTACATTATTTATTTTGCTCTTCAAACTTTCCAAATTTGGCAATTCAACTCTTTCAGTTAGCTCCTATGTCCCTTTGACATGCTTCAGTAGTTTCTTTTCTTTTTCTTTTTTTCAACATTTCCTTTCATTTTGACAATACCTCTAGGATTATCCTGTATATTTCCTGTTCTTGTTTTACAATCAGACATTTCTTTCAAGGTGACTGATTTCTTCAATTGCAGAGGAGTATTAGAAACAAAGATCTGGGCAATGGGTGTATTTACTCATAATGACTTGGGTGTTGTTGCTTCTAGGATCCCTTGGCAACAGATTTTGGAACTATGTGTGTGTATACTAGCCCTTGTATACACATTTATCTGTAACTGGTTTTCTATTTTCCCATCTGTAGCTATGTTAGGTTAATCCTACATTCATACGAATGTCTCCAACTCTAACCCAGTATCATGACTCACTCTAGCCTTCACCGCTTGATTACATTTAACAATCACTCCAACAGTGAGAAGTCTGGCTTCCAACATTTGCAATCCATTTACTGATTTATCTGATCCTAAAGTATAACTTTAGTAGTACCAGAATTGTTAACAGTAAAGAAACAACTTTGCCAACTGGAGGACAATGCTTATATACAGTTCCTGTTGTCTTTAGTCTTAAAGTCTCCAGAAATGTTCAAATTTGCTTAGTATCTCCCCCCACCCCACCCTTCTCAATGAGATTACATCATATGTTTGCAACACAGTTACATTATTTTGTCACAGTAGGCATCTTATCATGGGATCTGTCAGTGTCCCAATTTATTTTTTAAATTTGCATACATTGTCTCAAACTTTGTGCTATAAAGTTTTAGGGGTTTTGACAAATGAATAATATCATGTAAATGCCAGTATAGCATCATGCAGACTATTTTCAAAGCTCTAAAAACAAAATAAAACAAAAAAAATCCCACAAGAATTTAACCATTCAAAAGTATCCCCTCTATAAACCCCTAGAAGACACTAATTTTTTTCCTTCTACAAAGTTTTCCATTTTCCAGGATGTCATACAAACAGAATCATACAAAATGTGGCGTTTTCACACTGGCTCCTTTTACATAGTAATATGCATTAAGATGTATCCACTGTATCATGCAGAGTGGTAGTTCATTCCTTTTAAATCACTGAATGGTATTCAATTGTATGTATATACCACAGTTTGTTTTTCCACTAACCTCTTGAAAAACAACTTGGTTGCTTCCATTCTTTGGTAATCATGAGTAAAGCTGCTATCAACATTTGTGTGCAGGTTTTTTGTGTGACTATAATATTTTGGATTAGTTGGGTAAATACTTTTTAGTGTGATTGATGAATTGCATTGTAAGACTATTTTTGACTTTATAAGAAACTACCAAACTGTCTTCTAAAGTGTCTGTACCATTTTACATTCCCACCAGCAATGAACGAGAATTATATTGTTCTATCCACTCCAGCAATTGGTATTTTCAAATATTTTAAATTCTAGTCATTCTAATAAAGATGTAAAGTTATTTCATTGTTTTAATTTGCATTTCCCTTATGATAAATGATGTTGGGTACTTTTATTTCGTATGCTTATTTGTCATCTCTTTGTCTTCTATTCTTTTATGGTGAAATATTTGTTGCCATCTTTTGTCCATTTCAAAATTTTTGTTTGTTTTCTTCTTGTTAGTTTTTTCTTTTTTTCTTTTCTTTTGGTTTGTTTGTTTGTTTTTTTTGAGACAGAGTCTCACTCTGTTGCCCAGGCTGGAGTACACTGGCATGATCTCAGCTCAATGCAACCTCTGCCTCCTGGGTTCAAGTGATTCTCCTGCCTCACCCTCCTGAGTAGCTGGGATTACAGGCATGCACCACCATGCCTGGCTAATTTTTATATTTTTAGTAGAGATGGGGTTTCACCATGTTGGTAAGGCTAGTCTCAAACTCTTGACCTCATGATATGCCCATCTCAGCCTTCCAAAGTGCTCAGATTACAGGTGTGACCCACCATGCCTGGCCTTCTTGTTAGGTTTTAAGAGATCTTTGTATATTCTAGACACAAGTTCTTTTCCAGACATGTCATTTGCAAATATTTTCTCCAAGGGTCTTTCACAGAGCAAAGTTTATAATAAAGCCCAACTTTTCAAATTGCTCTTTCATAGATTGTATAATTTTGAGACAGCCAGGCGGGAGAGGTTACCTGAAAACTCCAACCAGCCTGCCCACTGAGGTGGAGAGTTGGGAAGTTCAGGACATTTGCAGCAGGGAGGGGCCTGGCCCCTCTTCTTCCTGTGTGAAACCTGGGATTCAAACTGCTGGGTGGGATGCACTCTACTTGAGGGACTCTGGCCTTGTGAGGGTCCCTGTTTCCCTCTTTTTTTCCATTTTCACACAATAAAACCCTGCTTTACTTACCCTTTAAGCTGCCTGTAAATTTTCATGGCCATGGGAGGGACAAGCACCCCATCTTTAGCTGAACTAAGGAAAAGTCCTGCAACATTTTTGGCACCCAATGTGGGGCTCAAGAAGCGGTGAGTGAAATGGTGACTCAAAACCTCTTACTGTTGCTTCTAATCCTTTTCATTCTTGGACTTCTGAGGAAACCAATGCCTTCAACCTGTGTTGCTCCCAGGCTTTTTCATGGCCTTTTTCTTCCTTTTTCAGGACCCACCAGTGAGCAACAGCTTCCCGCCACTCCCCTCTTCCCACCGGGGCTGGAATGCATGGCCCAAGGGTCCTGCACAGCTGGCTGGCTGGTTTCCAGCCACACATCGCTGCTGCAGCCTTCCCCTTCCCTGGCCAAGGGGTTTAACTCTATGGAATAGAAATTATGCTTAAATTTTTCTCCCTAGTGGAGGAACCAGTTGCAAAAAAATAAGAGGTTCTTCTCCAGGCATTTTTGAACTGTTTTTTTCTTCCCTTTCTCTATCTCATCAGCAGTTAACCTTTAATTTTTTTTTCCTTTTAGAAGACATTTTTACTAAGCCAGGCCCTCCAACTACCAATGTGTGTACCCTCCGTAAAGTTTTGGTTGTGAAAAAGGATCTCGTGGGGACTGGGATATTGTGGGGACTGGGTTTTCTTCTGCCTGTCTCTGTGCGTGTTGTGTGAAATGTCTATAAAAAGAGCTCCAATTAACTTGGCCTAAAGAAAGAGAAGTGCTTGGATCAAATGCTTTTTTTTATAGGAAGGTAAAAGCTGTGGTACCTTTCAGCTCACATGACTTTAATCTTTGAAAAATAAAAATAGACCTAAAGACTATAGTTAAAATGCAGGTCAGATGCAAGGTTTGCTAAGTGCTTTCAGGTTACAAACCACTTTTTGGCTTTTGAGAACTATTTGACTTGCTGGCTTCACAACTGGTAAGTACTGGGGATATACGGAACCTATCACGCCCTTAACTAAAAAGGCAAACCTTGGCTGTACTTAGCACACAATTTAAGCAACTTACCAAGTTTTACCTTAAAGTTAAAAATTTCTAGGAGTTAATTGAAAGTACTAGTAATAGATTTACATGCAAGGTGTGTAAGAACAGTGAAATGTGTTTTATAGTGAAAAGTTATATGGAGATGTGGAAATGTAAACTTTGGCATAGTGTTAAAGGATTGTGTTAAGTTAAATTAGGAAAAACTGAAGGTTCAAAGAAGTGGTGGAAGGATTGTGGAAATTAATCTTACAGAAGAGATTCTCTGCTTGAACACATTGACTAAATTCAAAAAAGGGTATTACATGGTTTTTCTCTAAATTGAACATTGAAATAAAAGCATAACAAGGTTTCCCCAAGGTGCTAATCTGCTCTTTGGCAAAATTTGTAAAGGGCTATGAAAGGTTTTTGCTTCTTTAAAATTTCTGAGTCAACATTTTGGCAAAATAAATAACTTATGGTAATCTGGAATTCTATTTCATAATATCAAGTGTTTTAAACCTTGCACACTTTAACAGCCTTCCCAAAATCAAACTTCAGTTTTAAAATTGTCTTCCCTGGCACCTAGCTTTTAAAATACTTCAGAGGGCCCCTGAAGTGTCCCGAAAAGAGAGGTAAGCAGGATTATTTTATATGTTTAGGAACAGGGGATTGCCAAAATGATGCTCATTCTTCTCTAGGTTATATTTTTGTGAATAATGCTAATATATGTTCCAAAATTGTATGAGATTTCTAAAATTCTAATGTCTGAGTATATGCTATCAATTATAATTAAGGTTGTTTTGTTAACTTATTGTAAACCACAGAGATAACCAAACTTCTTTGTCAATTGTGTTTCTAACTGTAACTATACTTGCATTTTGCTATTCTCAGACAGTTGTAATCTTGTTATAATCCTTTTTAAAACATGGTTTATAATAAGCTGTAGGACTTCGACAGGCACACTCAAATAGAGGCTTCTGATAAATTTGGATATTATGACATTAGAATACAGAAAAATGTGCAGGACTCATGAAGAGCTGAAATGCTCACAAATATCAAGCAAAACAAGAGTTAACTAAATGAACTGAACTCAGGAAGCTGAAGCAAATCTTTTTGACTTTTGCTTGGAATATTGCCGATCCTTGTTTTGTTTTTCATAAAGGGATCTTATTTTGAACTATCTATGGCCTTTAATAATTAAGTAAGGTATACACTCCTGTGACCAAAATTTGGAGTGTGTTTGTTTCTTTTTGCCTGGTTCCTCTAGAATCTGGAAACTATGAGTATTCTTAACTTATGGCAATACAGTTGTTTGCATCAGTGCAATAAGAGTACATTTTTCTTTTGCAACAGGACACAATTGGAATAATTGGTTATTTTACCAGGGCTTTGATTGGAAGGGTATGTTTTCCTTTAAGGAGTCAATCTTGACTTGCAGACCCAATAAAAGCCCAGTGGGGAAACTGGCCTCTTACCTCATCTACACAGTCTCTGTACAGGGTTCCTGACCTGTGGTCAGTAAAGAATGTCACTTTCTAATAGGTGTAGGAGCTCCAGGTTTATCTCGGGACCTTAACAGGCAAGAAGCACCCAACTCACAGGTGTTTGAGGACACAAACCCATGGTTGGGCTCAACTTTAACAGTTCTTACCTGAGACTTCTTGTGGAACAAACTTCCATTGAAGCCAATCCAAAAGGCCTATGTAAAAATAATTATTCTTGCTGCACTTCATGCAAATAATTAGGCTAAGTATAAGACTAAAGTCTATTTTGCAAACCATTCAGTCTTATGATAATTTTTTAACAAAAATGAGGATTGGAGAGAGAGAAATTATATTTCAAACTTATCATACAGTTGTCATTAAATTCTAAACTCATTAGTTGTTTTTAAATTTTGCCTACGTTTTAGACTAACCCTGCTTGTTCCTGTGAAACTACCAGAAATCTCTGGGTGCTGCTCAGAAAGAACAAGAGGGATGGGTAATGTAGAAATCTGGATCAATATTGTAGTTCTGAGCAACTATCCTGCACATTCTGCCAGGTGATGAGATAAATAGGGAACAAATAGAGAGCCCATCACCTGGAGGTTTCCTTTTGGGAAAGTAAAACCAAGAGAGCTAACCAAAGTCAAGCACCATGCACCCAAATCCTAGCAAGCATAACTACAGCCACCAGTTATCTGGTTGTGTCACAAAACACCTTTTCCTCTCCTTTGTTGGAGGAGGACTTTGTTCCACAGTTGCACCTTAGCATTCAGCTTATGATAAGGAGTCCATGCAACCCACAACCGAGATACATTTTTGTCCCAGACTCAATTCCAAGCCTTGGGTCAAAGCCCTAGGGAAGAAAACTGGATCTAAGGAATCCAGAGGCAGATGACAATAGGGGTTAAAAGGCACAGCACAGGTAAGCATAGCTAATTCCTGCCGATTAAGCCAAGCCCAAGCTTCCTATTTCATGGATAAAGGCCACTTTAATATCCATGGCATAAATGAGTTCTAGAGAATGCCAAGGCTACTGACAGTAGGTGGAAAAGAGAGATAGGTGAGAGCAGATAATTCCTATTCTCTAGGTCCCCCTGTTTCATGGGTGCAAGCTGCTTTGGTACTCATGGCAACACCTGCCAGGGTTGCCTGAACTCAGGGATGCAAGGATGGAAGACAGAAATAGGACTCTCTTCCCTCTCTCCCTCACATTCCCTGGGTATCTTCTAGGAAGAGAAGGAACCAGGGAGAACTACTCCCTTCTTTCTAGATGGGTAGCCATTCCTTTTCAGTCTGTACCCCTTTAGAATGCCTCCTGAACCCCTGGGACTCCTTTGAACAAACACCTTTTTTTTATTCCTTTCTCCTTCTCTATTCTCTCTTCATTAGTAGGTAATTGGGTATCCATATTATGGGACACCCCTCTCAGATGCATCCTCCAAATTGGAAAGAGTTATCTGCCAAACCTTAAACTGGTTGGCTTAGGATTGGGCTCAGGGGAAGGGAACCCAGAAGTCTGAAAGTTGGCAAAAGAGTAAAGGTTTTTTTAAACAACTGGGCTTTTGGCCTCCCTCTCCCTGTGCAAACTGGTAAATGGCCTCAGAATTTTTGAGCTATCCTTGTCCCTCAACTTGTTTTGTTTTGATACATGTTTTCTAATAACCCCATTTGGCTGTTCTTGCCTTCAGGCCATCAAACTCCAAACAGTCATGCAACTGGAGCCTCCGACGATGGCCCCTTCTACTGGGAACACTTAGATCAGCCTCAGAGGGAGCTCTGACTCCCATTTCCCCAAACAGCACCGCTTTCAGCAGGAAGCATTTAAGTTTGGTCTTTGTTCTTATTCTTCTCCTAATGGCAGTTAGATGTCATTCTTTAGAGAGGGAATGAGACAGCCAGGTGGGACGGGGGCCCTGCAAAAACTCCTACCAGCCTGCCCACTGAGGTGGAGCTTCAGGAAGTTCACAGCATTTGCAGGAGCCCAGCTCCTCTTCTTCCTGTGTGGGATTCAAACTGCCAGGCAGGAAGCACTCTAGTGGAGGGACTTTGGCCTTGCGAGAGTCCCTGTTTCCCTCTTTTGTTCCCTTTTCACCCAATACAATCCTGATTTACTCGTGCTGTAACCCATCTGTGAGCCTAAATTTTCATGGCTGTGGGATGGACAAGCACTCCCTCTTTAGCTGAACTAAGGAAAAGTCTTACAACACTTATATAGTGTTGTATCTAAAAATGGACCTCAATACCAAAGATTACTCCAATTTCCTCCTATGTTTTATTTTAGAATATTGTTCAGTCTATAGCCTATTTTGAGTTAATTTCTGTACAAGTTGTGAGGCCTATACCTAGGTTCAATTTTTTACAAGTGGATGGATACCCAATTGTTTTAGTACCTTTGTGGGAAAATTTGCCTTTTTCCATTAAATCTTTGTGCTTTTGTCAATAATCAGTTGACTTTATTTGTGTAGATCTATTTCTGGCCTCTTTATTCTGTTCCATTGATTTATGTGACTATTATTTCCCCAGTAATGATCTGCCTTGATTACTCTAGCTTTAAATTATGTCTTGAAATTAAGTGGTGTGAGTCCTCCAACTTTGTTCTTCTTTTTAAATACTTTGTTGCTTTACTACATGCTTTGACCTTCCATATAAATTTCCAAATCTGTTTGCTGATGTCTATAGAAAAAGGTTGCTGGGATTTTGATTAGGATTGTATTGAATCTGTAAATAGTATTTAAAAACTTGACAACTTAATAATATTGAGCATCCTAATCCATGAGTACAGAATATTTCTTCCTTTACTTAAACCTTTGATTTATTTCATGATTGTGGTTTTTTGTATACAGATCCTGTACAGATTTTATTTATACATAAGAACTTTTTTGATGTTATTGTAAATTGTACTTATTTTTTAAAATTGATTTTCCAATTGTTATTTGCCTGATCATAAAAAAAGCAAACAACTTTTGTATATTGACCTTGTATTCAGTGACCTTATTATACTCAGCCTATTAGTTTTCTATATTCTTTGAAGTGTTCTATATAGCCAATCATGTCACCTGAAATTAAGGACACATTTAATTTTTCCTCTGAATCTCTATGTCTTTTTAAATTCTTTTTCATTGTACTAGATAGGACATTCAGCTGATGTTTAGGACATTCAGCTGATGTTTAATATGAATATTGATAGATGACTTACTACTTAGTTTTTGAACTTAAGAGGAATGCATTCAGTCTCATTTTATTAAGTATGATGTTAACTATGGATATTCTTGTATATACCCTTTATTAGTTTTAAAAAACACCTCCATTTATAGTTTTTTTGACAGTTTTTATCACGACTGTGTGATAAAGTTTTCTGCATCTTTTAATATGATGTTTTTTCCTTTTTCAGTATGTTAATATGAATTTCAATAATCAAAGTACATACTTTGTGTAATTTCTATTCTTTTAAATTTATTAAAATGTTTTTAATAGCTAAGATGTAATCTGCCAGTGAATATTCCATTTATGCTTGAGAAGAATGTGAATTCTGCTATTTCTGGATGAAGTATTATATAATTATCAAGTAGATTAAATTGATTGATACTGCTGTTCAGGTCATCTATTTCCTTACTCATTTTCTGCCTAGCTGATGTATCAATTATTGACAGAGATGTGCTGAAATCTCCAACAAAAAGTTAATTTGTCTATTCCTTCTTTTAGTTCTATCACTTTTTGCCTTATATGATTTGGTGCTCTGTTGGTAGGTGCTCACGTATTTAGGATTGTTATGCCATTTTGATTAAATGATCCCTTTATTTTTATATGCTTCTCTTTATTCGTGATAGTCTTCTTTGTTTTGAAGTCTTTTTCAAATTGGTATAGCTACTCCTGTGCTGTTTTGATTGGTGTTATGATTCTATATTTTTTTATATTGTTACTTTAAATGAAGATTATATTTAAATTTAAGTAATACACATAAAATTATAAATATTTTTATACTTAAAGTGGGTTTATTGGAGACAACATATAGTTGCTTTTTTAAAAAAAATTCAGTCCAGTAATCTGCTTTTTAAATTCAATGTTTAGAATATTCACATGTATAGTGATAACTGATATAGTTGGATTTAAACCTACCATTTTAATAATTGCTTTCTGTTCATTTTGTTCATCTTTTGTTTTCTTATATCCCTTCTGACTTTCTAGGTTTCAACTGATCACTTTTTAAAATTCCATTTTATCTCTTCTCTTAGTATATTAATTATATTTTTTAAACACATCAAAGATTGCCTTAGAGCTTCCAATATACATTTTAAAGTAATCTAAGTGTACATTCAAATAACACCATTTCCCTTTATTTGTAGCACAGGTAGCTTATAACAGAGTAGTCCCAATTCTTTCTTTCATCCTTTGTGCCATTGCTGACATTCAACTCACATATCTGTATATAATAGTCACTGAATACGTTGTTAGTGTTATTTCTTTAAGCAGTTACGTTTAAGAATAACACACTAAATATTTTTATTTTACTTGCATTTATTTTTTGTTTGATGCTGTTTTTTTTTTTCTTTAGATAGATTCCATTTTCTGGCCTATATTACCTCCTGCCTGAAGAGATTCTTTACTGAGCAAATTAGCTAGTAATGAATTCCCTCAAGTTTTTTTTTTTTTTCTTTATTTGCCTTTTTTTTTTTTTTTGCCTTTTTTTTTTTTTTTGGAAAGCCCTATTTCTCCCTCACTTTTGAAGAAGAATTCTTGGTTTGTGGTTTTATTTTTTCTTTCAACACTAAATATTTTATTCCACTGTCTTACTTGTATAAGTTGTATTGTTTTAGTTTGTTCTGGCTGCTATAATAAAATATCATAGACTGAGTGGCTTATAAACAATGTATTACTTACAGTTCTGAAGAAAGTCCAAGACTGGCCCAGCATGGTGGCTCACGCCTGTAATCCCAGCACTTTGGGAGGCTGAGGCGTGCAGATAACTTGAGGTCAGGAGTTGGAGACCAGGCTGACCAACATGGTGAAACCCCGTCTCTACTAAAAATACAAAACTTAGCCAGTCGTAATGGTGGGCACCTGTAATCCCAGCTACTTGGGAAGATGAGGCAGGAGAATTGCTTGAATCTGGGAGGTGGTGGTTGCAGTGAGCTGAGATCATGCCACTGCACTCTAGTCTGGGCGACAGAGTGAGACTCTGTCTCAAAACCAAAACAAAACAAAAGTCCAAGATTAAGGTGCAACCAAATATGACCTTTAGGGAGGGCCTTCTTTCTAGACAACCATCTTTTCACTGTGTCTTTACCTGTCAGAAAGAAAGAGGCCTCTGGGTTCCTAAGAATACTAATCTTAATTATGAGAGTTCTGTCTTTATGACCTAATCATGTCCCAAAGGCACCCCCTCCTAATACCATAAATTTGGTGGTTAGTATTTCAACATATAAATTTTGGGGGAATAAACATTCAAACCATAGTAATTTGTTTTTTTAATAAGTAAAATGATTTTAAACCTTTTGGCTTCCAAGTTTTTCTGTTCTTCTAGAAGTTTGAATATCATATACTTAGGTGTATATTGTTTGGTATTTATCCTGCTCAGTGTTCTATAAACGTTCTGAATCTGTAGACTGTTTTTTTTTTTTTTGGAAAGTTCTGAGTTATTATTATTTCAAATATTCCTGTACCATTCTCTCTTTAGTCTCTTTCTGTTTTTCCAATTTTGTTACTTTTACAACTTTTTATACTGTAACTCAGTTCGTGGATGTCTTGTTCTAGTTGTTGTACCTTTTTTCTTTTTGCATTTCTGTTTCAGAAGTTACCATTGACAAATCTTCAATTTTATAGCTTTTTTTTCCTTTTGTTCATTGAGTGAACTGTTGAATTCATTGTGAAAATTATTCATTTCTCCTTCTGTTTTTTATTTCTAGTTTTACATTTCATTTTTTACTTCTAGTTTTCATCTCTCTCGACATTACCCATTTGCTCGTGCATGTTTGCTGCATTTTCTGTTTGAGGCCCTAACAATAATAATTATTTTAAAATTCATTTTCTGATAATATTGTGTCCTATGTGAGTCTGGTTCTCATGATAGCTTTGAGCTTCTAACTTTTTTCCTTGCCTTTTGGTATGTTTTGTAATTTTTTTGTTGAAAGCCATACGTGCATAATGGATATTGAGCTGAATAGGCCTTTAGTTAAAGATCTATGTTAATTGTGCTAGGAGTTCAGATTAAAATTCCTCTTATGTCTTTGTTTCTTTCTCTCTCTCTTTTTTTTTTTTTTTTTGGTGGAGGAAAAGGATTCTGTTTGTATTGCTACTCAGATAAAGACTGACTCTTCCAACTCCTTCAACTGCAATCCATTGGAGGCTCTCTGGTGTGGTGGTAGGGTTTGAGAGAGGGAAGTGTTTTTATTAAAAATAAATGTTAATTTTCTGATAAAACCTTAGTATTTTCATGGGCCTATGTCTTGGAATATGGTTTTACCAGTATTCCTCTTCCTTCTCCAGGGATTTAGCTTTTCTCTTTTTGCCTCTCTTTCTTCACTGTACGTTGCTCTTTTCTTGGGCTATAGCAGACAGACCCAATATATTTTCCTGGAATTTTGCTCCCTGTTGTGTACACTTTTGTTGTTTTTCTTTAGATGAGACAAGTAAGTTGGAGAGGGACAAAGTTGGATAGAAATTCTCCCAGGTAGCCAGATCAAATAAGGTTTTCATATAATGTTCTAACAAAATCTTTTCCCCTGCAGAATAGGCATTTGTTTGGGTAAGGAATCTGGGGAACTTTCACCATGTCTTATCTTCCTATCTCCCTGCCATGGACACCAGAAGATTGTTTTTAGATCCTCACTGTGAGGATCTAAAATTGTGTGGATCACCCCTCTGATTGTGAACCTAGGTTTTTCAAACTCTCACACTAGTCTAGTCCACAGGAATTCAACACATTTGCTAATAAAGTAAGTGATCATATTACTTATGATGTCCAGCACCTTCTGCTTCAGGTAAGCAGATCCCTGGGATGGATCTCTTTGTTGATCTATGTTTTGGGGTATGGATTCACACTGATCTTAGTGCCTTCTTCCGTGTCTGACTGAGGATAGGCAATTGTCAACATTCAGGACCTGAGTTTCAGAGGAGCTTGGTTGAGGCATTGAGTAGAATTTCTTCTTCATTTAGTTCATTCTAAATGAAGTAGAATATCTTCATTTAGTTGCATACAATGAAAGAGCAACAAAAACTAATACTATGTCTTGAAAATATGCTAAATGATAAATATGAGAGGTTATTAGAATCCAAGTGAATTACCTGAAAGCAAATGTAAATATACAAGGTGGCAGAGGTATTGATATAAGAATGCTTGAAAAGTTGAAATAATTGAAACTATGAAAAGCAGAGTGAACAAAGGAAGGTAATATGGAACAAAAAGAGATAAAGAATGAATATTCATACTTTCTGAAAATAAAGTAGCTTTATACTGCTTAACAGATTATTAAGGTCACTTAAAGATACCAATAGATAAATGCTTTTCAAAAAAATGCCTTTTCTCTGCTGAAGTCAAACAGCGCATTTCAATTAATATTACAATGATTCAATAAATATTTGTATTATTTAATAAATAAAATAAAAACCTATCTATATGCCAATAGTGAATAATATGTAAAGGAAACCCCAAAAGTAATCCCATTAACAAGAGCTACAAATAAATAAAATACCTAGGAATATACTTAACCAAATAAGTGAATGATCTCTATAATGAATATTACAAAATATTGATGCAAGCAATTGAAAAGGGGAAAAAAAACAAATGGAAAGATATTCCATGTTCATGGATTGAAAGAATCAGTATCGTTAAAATGTCCATACTACTCAAAGCAATCTATAAATTCAGGGCAATCCATATCAAAATACCAATGACATTCTTCACAGAAATAGAAAAAATAATCCTAGAATTTATATAGAAACACAAAAGACCCAGAACAGCCAAAGCCATTCTGAGCAAAAAGAACAAAGCTGAAATAATTACATTACTTGACTTCAAATTATACTACAAAGCTATAGTAACCAAAACAGCATGGTACTGGCATCAAAACAGACAGATGCCAAGAATATACACTGGACAAAGGTAAGTCCTTTCACTAAATGGTACTAGGAAAACTAGGTATCCATAAGAAAAGAATGAAACTAGGCCCCTATCTTTTGCCATATTCAAAACTCAAATCAAAATCGATTAAAGACTGAAATCCAAGGCCCGAAATTATGAAGCTACTAGAAAAAAAATAGGGAAAACCCTCCCAGATGTTGGTTTGGCAAAGATTTATTGAATAAGACCTCAAAAGAACAGGCAACCAAAGCAAAAATAGATAAATAGAATCACATTATGCTAAAAAGCTTCTGCACAGCAAAGGAAACAATTAACAATGTGGAGTGACAACCCACAGAATGGCAGAAAATGTCTGCAAACTATTCATCTGACAAGGGATTGACAAACAGCATATATAAAAGCTCAAAAAACTCAATAGAAAAAAATAATAATCTGATTAAGAAATGGGCAAAAGTTCTAAATAGACATTTCTCAAAAGGATACATAAAAATGGCCAACAGGTATATGAGAAAAATTCTCAACATCACTAATCATCTGATAAATGAAAATCAAAACTTTAATGAGATCTCTCACTCCAGATAAAATTGCTTTTATCCAAAATATGCTGGTGAGAATGTGGAGAAAGGAAAACACTTACCCTCATACACTGTTGGTAGGAATGTAAATTAGTACAGCCACTATGGAGAACAGTGTGGAGGTTACTTACAAGGCTGAAAATAGAACTACCATGTGATCCAGCAATTCCACTGTTAGGTAGATATTCAAAAGAAAGAAAATCAGTCGATCAAAGAGACGTCTGCACTCTCATGTTTATTGAAGCACTATTCACAGTATCCAAGACATGGGATCAGCCTAAATTTCCATCAATGGATTAATGAATAAAGAAAATGCAGCACATATGCAAAATGGAAAATTATCCAACTATAAAAAAGAATAAAATCTTGTCATTTGCAACAACATGGATGGAACTGAAGGACATTATGTTAAGTGGAATAAGCCAGTACAGAAAGACAAATATTACATGTTCTCACTCATATGTGGAAGCTAAAAGGAAATTGAACTCATGAATATTGAGAGTAGAATTATTGTTACCAGAGGCTAGGAAAGGTATTAGGGAGGGGGTACTGAAAAAAGACAAAATGGCTAATGGGTACAAAAATTCAGTCAGATAGAATGAATAAAATTTAGTATTCACTAGCACAATTTGGTGACTACAGTTAATAATAATATTTTGTATATTTTAAAATAACTGAAAGAGTGAAATTTGAATGTTTCTAACACAAAGAAATGATAAATGATTAAGGTGATAGATATTCTGATTACCCTGATTTGATAATTACACATTATATGCTTCTATCAAAATATCACATGTACCTCATGAATATGGACAACTATTAAGTATTCATGGTAATTAAAAATTAAAATTAAATTTAAAAGTATAAAAGTAAATAAATAAAATGCTAAAAAACATATCAGAAGAAATGAAGTGTTATGCAGGGCAAGTGAATCTTTGGTATTATTACTTGTTACCTTAATTCATTTTATGATAAGAAGCAGTATAAATTATAGCTAATGTTTAGCAGAAATAATTTTCTTGGTTTGTTGTTGGTTCTCTCCCTAATGGACAATTACATATGCAAAAAGCAACTTATAACTTCAGTTTTGCAAAGGTAATTCCAGATTTTATTAGAGAGTAACATTCATAGATAATATTGAGAATTTTAGAAAACTACTCACAATATTATGCTTACTTAGGTAGGCAGATATGTATACTGATGGGTCTGGGCAAACCATTGTTAAATCATTGTGGAAACCCACCTATGCCCAGTATAAAGTGGTGATGTGATTTTTTTGCAGTTTCTAAATAATTTATAACTTTAAATTGTGTTTGAATATTTAATATTAGATGCATAAGCCTTTTTTGATTAAAAGAGTTGAGTGATGATCTTATTAAGTGATGTGATCAGAAATATTTATCTAAATTGAAAATAGTACAGGAATATGTAGCAAACATAACCATTCCTTAATGTGGGCAATTTTAACAGTAAATTGGTGATCAAACAAAAATAAAGCAATAGTAATGGTATTTTATAAAATTCATTATTCGTTACTGCATTTAACATTTTATTTAGCTAATATGTAATTATCTTTTCATTCTAGGATGTTCTATGTGCTCTTTTCTGTAAAAATTGTGTGAATTTCTGAAACCTATTAAGTTTAGAAATAAATTTTTCAACTTTTCTAAAGTTAACAATGGGGAAGATCTTCATGAAATCAAAACTCCAATCTATTTTCATGATTAAAAATATGTCAGAATACAATGTTGTGTTTATGATACATTTGTTAATTATTAATAACAAGAAGCCAAAATTGATGATCCTATTATTTTTATTTTGTATTAGAAGAAACTAAAATGTAGAAATAGCCAACTATTTTGACAATTTACATTAACAACCTGTGTGGATAAAATAGTACTGTCTTTGAGTATCATGAGTTTTGGAGCAATAAGTCAGTTTACCACAGAGTAAGAGATGTATTACATAATTATCTGAATTCTTCATAAAAATACTTTTTTTTCAACTAAAATCTAATAAAAGTAATATTATTATATCTTGCACATCTGAATAGCTACTTCACTATTGAGGACTATAATATAATCTCAAGGCCCATCTTATTTGTGTTTACTGTTACATTTTTTCTTAACTCTATTGCCTGGTTATTATGGGATAGAGAGATAAAATCAGAAGTTGATTTTATGTGTAGGATGCACTATACAAACAAAGGATTTTGCAGTTATTTTAATAGTTAAATTTGGTGGTATAAATGAAACTTAACAAGGTGATAAAGAAATGTCAAACAGGTAGGAAAACTCTTTTTTTAAGGAATTAATATTTTTGTTGAAATGGCACTTGTTCTTAGTAAAATATGTATTTTTAATGTAATTAATTTGAGATTTTATTGTTTGTCTTTGTTATGCTCAATTTGTCAAATCATTTCAGCTTTAAAATTATAAAAGGGTGATTATCATAAGAAATCTACATGTAATTGTATGTCTACATATATATTTTTCATTTTTTTAATTAAACTTTAAGTTCTCGGGTACACATGCACAACATGCAGGATTGTTTCATATGTATACATCTGCCATGTTGGTGTGCTGCACGCATTAACTCGTCATTTACATTAGGTATACCTCCTAATGCTATCCCTCCCCACTCCCCACACCCCACAACAGGCTCCGGTGTGTGATGTTGCCCTTCTTGTGTCCAAGTGTTCTCATTGTTCAATTCCCACCTGTGAATGAGAACATGCAGTGTTTGGTTTTTTGTCCTTGTGATAGTTTGCTGAGAATGGTGGTTTCCAGGTTCATCCATGTCCCTACAAAGGACATGAACTTATCATTTTTTATGGCTGCACAGTATTCCATGGTGTATATGTGCCACATTTTCTTAATCCAGTTTATCATTGTTGGACATTTGGGTTGGTTCCAAGTCTTTGCTATTGTGAATAGTGCCTCAATAAACATACGTGTGCATACGTCTTTATAGTAGCATGATTTATATTCCTTTGGGTATATACCCAGTAATGAGATGGCTGGGTCAAATGGTATTTCTAGTTCTAGATCCCTGAGAAATCGCCACACTGAATTCCACAATGGTTGAACTAGTTTACAGTCCCACCAACAGTGTAAAAGTGTTCCTATTTCTCCACATCCTCTCCAGCACCTGTGGTTTCCTGACTTTTTAATGATCGCCATTCTAACTGGTGTGAGATGGTATCTCATTGTGGTTTTGATTTGCATTTCTCTGATGGCCAGTGATGATATCCATTTTTTCATGTGTCTTTTGGCTGCATAAATGTCTTCTTTTGAGAAGTGTCTGTTCATATACTTTGCCCACTTTTTGATGGGGTTGTTTATTTTTTTCTTGTAAATTTGTTTGAGTTCTTTGTAGATTCTGGATATTAGCCGTTAGTCAGATGAGTAGATTGCAAAAATTTTCTCCCATTCTGTAGGTTGCCTGTTTACTCTGATGGTACTTTCTTTTGCTGTGCAGAAGTTCTGTAGCTTAATTGGATCTCATTTTTCAATTTTAGCTTTTGTTGCCATTGTTTTTGGTGTTTTAGACATGGAGTCCTTGCCCATGCCTATGTACCGAATTGTATTGCCTAGGTTTGGTTTTTATGGTTTTAGGTCTAACATTTAAGTCTTTAATCCATCTTGAATTAATTTTTGTATAAGGTGTAAGGAAGGGATCCAGTTTCAGCTTTCTACATATGGCTAGCCAGTTTTCCCATCACCCTTTGTTAAATAGGGAATCCTTTCCCCATTTCTTGTTTTTTTCAGATTTGTCAAAGATCAGATAGTTGTTGATATGTGGTATTATTTCTGAGTGCTCTATTCTGTTCCATTGGTCTCTAACTCTGTTTTGGTACCAGTACCATGCTGTTTTGGTTGCTGTAGCCTTGTAGTATAGTGTGAAGTCAGGTAGCGTGATGCCTCCAGCTTTGCTCTTTTGGCTTAGGATTGACTTGGCAATGTGGGCTCTTTTTTAGTTCCATATGAAAGCTAAAGTAGTTTTTTCCAATTCTGTGAAGAAAGTCATTGGTAGCTTGATGGGGATGCCACTGAATCTATAAATTACCTTGGGCAGTATGGCCATTTTCACAATATTGATTCTTCCTATCCCTGAGCATGGAATGTTCTTCCATTTGTTTGTGTCCTCTTTTATTTTGTTGAGCGGTGGTTTGTAGTTCTCCTTGAAGAGGTCCTTCACATCCCTTGTAAGTTGGATTCCTAGGTATTTTACTCTCTTTGAAGCAATTGTGAATGGGAGTTCATTCATGATTTGGCTCTCTGTTTGTCTGTTATTGGTGTATAAGAATGCTTGTGATTTTTGCACATTGATTTTGTATCCTGAGACTTTGCTGAAGTTGCTTATCAGCTTAAAGAGATTTTGGGCTGAGACGATGGGCTTTTCTAGATATACAATCATGTCATCTGCAAACAGGGACAATTTGATTCCCTCTTTTCCTGTTTGAATACCCTTTATTTCTTTCTCCTGCCTAATTGCCCTGGCCAGAACTTCCAACACTATGTTGAATAGGAGTGGTGAGAGAGGGCATCCCTGTCTTGTGCCAGTTTTCAAAGGGAATGCTTCAAATTTTTGCCCATTCAGTATGATATTGGCTGTGGGTTTGTCATAGATCGTTATGATTATTTTGAGATACATCCCATCAATACCTAATTTATTAAGAGTTTTTAGCATGAAGGGCTGTTGAATTTTGTCAAAGGCCTTTTCTGCATCTATTGAGATAATCATATGTTTTTTATCTTTGGTTCTCTTTATATGCTGCATTACATTTATTGATTTGCATATGTTGATCCAGCCTTGCATCCCAGGGAAGAAGCCCTCTTGATCATGGTGGATAAGCTTTTTGATGTGTTGCTGGATTTGGTTTGCCAGTATTTTATTGAGGATTTTTGCATGGATGTTCATCAGGGATGTTGGTCTAAAATTCTCTTTTTCTGTTGTGTCTCTGCCAGGCTTTGGTATCAGCATGATGCTGACCTCATAAAATGAGTTAGGGAGGATTCCCTTTTTTTCTATTGATTGGAATAGTTTCAGAAGGATTGGTACCAGCTCCTCCTTGTGCCTCTGGTAGAATTCGGCTGTGAATCTGTCTGGTCCTGGACTTTTTTTGGTTGGTAAGCTATTAATTATTGCCTCAATTTCAGAGCCTGTTATTGGTCTATTCAGAGATTCAACTTCTTCCTTGTTTAGTCTTGGGATAGTGTATGTGTCGACGAATTTATCCATTTCTTCTAGACTTTCTAGTCTTTTTGCGTAGAGGTGTTTATAGTATTCTCTGATGGTAGTTTCTGTGGGATCGGTGGTGATATCCCCTTTATCATTTTTTGTCGCATCTGTTTGATTCTTCTCTTTTCTTCTTTATTAGTCTTGCTAGTGGTCTATTAATTTTGTTGATCTTTTCAAAAAACCAGCTCCTGGATTCATTGGTTTTTTTGAAGGGTTTTTTGTGTCTCTATCTCCTTCAGTTCTGCTCTGATCTTAGTTATTTCTTGTCTTCTGCTAGATTTGAATGTGTTTGCTCTTGCTTCTCTAGTTCTTATAATTGTGATGTTAGGGTGTCAATTTTAGATCTTCCTGCTTTCTCTTGTGGGCATTTAGTGCTATAAATTTCCCTCTACCCAGTGCTTTAAATGTGTCTCAGAGATTCTGGTATGTTGTGTCTTTGTTCTCATTGGTTTCAAAGAACATCTTTATTTCTGCCTTCATTTTGTTATGTACCCAGTAGTCACGCAGGAGCAGGTTGTTCAGTTTCCATGTAGCAGAGTGGTACTGAGTGAGTTTCTTAATCCTGAGTTCTAGTTTGATTTCACTGTGATCTGAGAGACACTTTGTTATAATTTCTGTTCTTTTACATTTGCTGAGGAGTGCTTTACTTCCAACTATGTGGTCACTTTTGGAATAGGTGCGGTGTGGTGCTGAGAAGAATGTATACTCTGTTGATTTGGGGTGGAGAGTTCTGTAGATGTTTATTAGGTCCACTTGGTGCAGAGCTGAATTCAATTCCTGGATAACCTTGTTAACTTTGTCTCGTGGATCTGTATAATGTTGACAGTGGGGTGTTAAAGTCTCCCATTAATATTGTGTGGGAGTCTAAGTCTCTTTGTAGGTCTCTAAGGACTTGCTTTATGAATCTGGGTGCTCCTATACT
Source organism: Homo sapiens (assembly GCF_000001405.40). NCBI lineage: Eukaryota > Metazoa > Chordata > Mammalia > Primates > Hominidae > Homo > Homo sapiens. Next base: position 106,331,860 of record NC_000001.11, on the reverse strand, counting down.
GCGTGCATATATATTTAGGATAGTTAGCTCTTCTTATTGAATTGATCCCTTTACCATTATGTAATGGCCTTCTTTGTCTCTTTTGATCTTTGTTGGTTTAAAGTCTGTTTTATCAGAGACTAGGATTGCAACCCCTGCCTTTTTTTGTTTTCCATTTCCTTGGTAGATATTCCTCCTTTCCTTTATTTTGAGCCTATGTGTGTCTCTGCATGTGAGATGGGTTTCCTGAATACAGCACACTGATGGGTCTTGACACTTTATCCAATTTGCCAGTCTGTGTCTTTGAATTGGAGCATTTGGCCCATTTACTTTTAAGGTTAATATTGTTATGTGTGAATTTGATCCTGTCATAATGATGTTAGCTGGTTATTTTGCTCATTAGTTGATGCAGTTTCTTCTTAGCATCGATGGTCTTTAAAATTTGGCATGTTTTTCAGTGGCTGGTACCAGTTTTTCCTTTCCATGTTTAATGCTTCCTTCAGGAGCTCTTTTAGGGCAGGCCTGGTGGTAACAAAATCTCTCAGCATTTGCTTGTGTGTAAAGGATTTTATTTCTCCTTCACTCATGAAGTTTAGTTTGGCTGGATATGAAATTCTTGGTTGAAAATTCTTTTCTTTAAGAATGTTGAATATTGGCCCCCACTCTCTTCTCACTTTTAAGTTTCTGCCAAGAGATCAGCTGTTAGTCTGATGGGCTTCCCTTTGTGGGTAACCGGACCTTTCTCTCTGGCTCCCCTTAACATTTTTTCCTTCATTTCAACTTTGGTGAATCTGACAGTTATGTGTCTTGGAGTTGCTCTTCTCGAGGAGTATCTTTGTGGCATTCTCTGTATTTCCTGAATTTGAATGTTGGCCTGCCTTGATAGATTGTGCAGTTATCCTAGATAATATCCTGCAGAGTGTTTTCCAACTTGGTTCCATTCTCCCCGTCACTTTCAGATACACCAATCAGATGCTGATTTGGTCTTTTCACATTGTCGCATATTTCTTGGAGGCTTTGTTAGTTCCTTTTTATTCTTTTTTCTCTAAACTTCTCTTCTCGCTTCATTTCATTCATTTGATCTTCACTTACTGATACCCTTTCTTCCAGTTGATCGAATCGGCTACTGAAGCTTTTGCATTCGTCATGTAGCTCTCGTGCCATGGTTTTCAGTTCCACCAGGTCCTTTAAGGACTTCTCTGCATTGGTTATTCTAGTTAGCCATTCGTCTAATCTTTTTTCAAGGTTTTTAACTTCTTTGCGATGGGTTTGAACTTCCTCTTTTAGCTCGGAGGAGTTTGATCATCTGAAGCCTTCTGCTCTCAACTCGTCAAAGTCATTCTCTGTCCAGCTTTGTTTGGTTGCTGGTGAGGAGCTGTGTTCCTTTGGAGGAGGAGAGGTGCTCTGATTTTTAGAATTTTCAGTTTTTCTGTTCTGTTTTTTCCCCATCTTTGCGGTTTTATCTACCTTTGGTCTTTGATGATGGTGATGTACAGATTGGGTTTTGGTGTGGATGTCCTTTCTGTTTGCTAATTTTCCTTCTAACAGTCAGGACCCTCAGCTGCAGATCTGTTGGAGTTTGCTGGAGGTCCACTCCAGAACCTGTTTGCCTGGGTATCAGCAGTAGAGGCTGCAGAACAGCGAATATTGCTGAACGGCAAATCTTGCTGTCTTATCGTTCCTCTGGAGGTTTCCTCTCAGAGCAGTACCCAGCCGTGTGAGGTGTGAATCTGCCCCTACTGAGGGGTGCCTCCCAGTTAGGCTACTTGGTGGTCAGGGACCCACTTGAGGAGGCAGTCTGTCCGTTCTCAGATCTCAAACTCCGTGCTGGGAGAACCACTACTCTCTTCAAACCTGTCAGACAGGGACATTTAAGTCTGCAGAGGTTTCTGCTGACTTTTGTTCGGGTATTCCCTGCCCCCAGAGGGGGAGTCTACAGAGGCTAGTGGGCCTCCTTGAGCTGTGGTGGGCTCCACCCAGTTCGAGCTTCCCGGGCCGCTTTGTTTACCTACTCAAGCCTCAGCAATGGCGGGCACCCCTCCCACAGCCTTGCTGCTGCCTTGCAGTTCCATCTCAGACTGCTGTGCTAGCAATGAGTGAGGCTCCGTGGGCGTGGGACCCTCTGAGCCATGCGCAGGTTATAATCTCTTGGTGTGCCATTTGCTAAGACTGTTGGAAAAGCACAGTATTAGGGTGAGAGTGACCCGATTCTCCAGGTGCCATCTGTCACAACTTTGCTTGGCTATGAAAGGGAATTCCCCAACCCCTTGTGCTTCCCAGGTGAGGCAATGCATCGCCCTGCTTCATCTCATGCTCGGTGTGCTGCACCCACTGTCCTGCACCCACTGTCTAACAAACCCCAGTGAGATGAACCTGGTACCTCAGTTGGAAATGCAGAAATCACCCATCTTCTGCATTGCTCATGCTGGGAGCTGTAGACTGGAGCTGTTTCTATTCCTTGTATGTCTATATTTTAATTGTTTTCTAATGAAAATATATCATTGAAGGATTCATAATTTTTTTCTTAATAAAAATTTAAACTTGAGAAACACTATGATATGGTTTGACTCTGTGTTCCCACCCAAATCTCACTTTGAATTGTAATCCCCATGATCTCTGTATGTCAAGGGCAGGACCAGGTGGAGGTATTAAATAATTGAATCAAGGGGGCAGTTTCCACCATGCTATTATTGTGATAATGAGTGAGTCTCACGAGATCTGATAGTTTTGTAAGGTTCTGGCATTTCTCCTGCTTGCACTCACTTCATCCTGCTGCCCTGTGAAGAAGGTGCCTGCTTCTCCTTTGCCTTCTGCCATGATTATAAGTTTCCTGAGGCCTCCCCAGCCATGCAGAAATGTGAGTCAATCAAACCTTTTTCCTTATGAATTACCCAGTCTCAGGTGTTTCTTCATAGCAGTGTGAGAACAGGCTAATACATACTGCTATTTAAGAAACATGAGAGATCCAATTGTGTGATTTAATCCATAACCAAGCAGTTATCATATTATAAGAGTAGTGATTAAAGACTTAACAGTTTCTAGAACGTATATTTTATAATACATCAAACAATTTGCTTTTGTCATTGATTGAAAAAGAAGGCCAACACAAAAAAGCCATCAGGGCAATAGCTTAGTAATTAAAATCTTATTTTTATTTTTGCCTTTAAACTGGAAGGAAAAACACCACTTTGTTTGGAAAGCAAAGCTGTCAAATGTGACATACATTGTTCCTCAGATCTATTATAGAATGTTCACATTAAGTGCAATTTTGTCACATGCATTAACATTATTTTGGAGCATCCAGGGCATGGATAAAAATTTTGGTTCACATGAAGACTTTATTGTAAAATAGATATGGGCTATGTAAAATAACTAGGTCTATGTTATTAAAGCGAAGTTATTGGACAATTTAGGTACCCATTTTTACCTAGGTCGTAGGAAGATTTGGAGTAGTACATTGTAATTCATTTTGAGGTTCCCATAGATATATTAACCTCAGAATTTTCTTTGTGAGACTATATGTGTCAACAGTGTTTAAACTGTTAAACCATTATGCTGGTTAGGAGTACTATAAATTGGGTATGCAGCCAATCTCAATTAAACCTTCCCTGTGTTCAGCAATTTTTTTGTAGGTATCACACATGATCTTCTGTGTCTTTTGGCTTTAATTTATTTTCAAACTTTTGTTTAGCCTCCTATACAAGTGGTTTCACAATTGCCTCCACCTTAAAATCACCAGGAAAGCTTAAAAAATATCCTGATGCTCGACACATAATACAGACGAACCAAGTTTGCAACTCAGAATAGGAAGCAGTCATCAGTAGTTTTTAATACTCTCCAGATGATTCCAATTTACAGTCAAGATGGAGAACTACCACCTAAAACCGTACTTCCCTTACATAGAAAAATATTTTCTTTTAAAAGAGAGGCAGCCAGACTCCATAGACTTTCATATTCCTTTTCAATCAAGAACAACTATGCTATCTTCATTATTCCTTTCCTTCTTTGCCTCATTTAGAGTGAAGTGTGTGTATTCTTAGAATAATTAAACTTCTGCATCCTGGGTCTTAATCCGAGCACTTTATGACTCTTCCAGGACCTTAGTGCATCAATTAGCTCCTCACTCATTTGCAGTTTTACTTTATCATTTTCTGATTAGTTTTTTTCTGCCGAGGTTCTTTTCTTTCTAAAATATAAATGATAATATTTTTTAAAGTGAATAGAAGGGGGTTTGGAAATAAATTGGCCCAATAATAAACATGTTGAAAAGAAATCTTGTGTCTCCGGCCTGGTATAGGATTGCGGGGAAAAAATATTTCCCTTGAACATATTTATTCCCAGTACTGCTGTCCTGCGGTTTCGGGGGTTGACTTGCCACTACATGCTTTGTACAGAAAAGCAAAAGTTAAACAAAGAAACTAAGTAATTAAATCCTACAATGGTAGATTACTGAAACACCTGTGAAAATAACCCGTTTTGTATAGGAGGACATCATCAATTGAGACACTGCAGGATATTCACAGACAAGTTTAAAAAGTTTTAGTACAGAGTAAAAACTTTAGCAAAGAGGAAGATTCCGTGAGAGCCAGTAGTACTTTTAGATAACTTTCAAGAAAGGACGTGCCTTTCCTGCCAAGCAAACTATATACCAGCATCCCTAACAATATATGGTCATATCAACAAATTTATACCAATTGAATAGGTATAAAGTGACCTTTTCCTATTTAATTTGCATTTTTGTTTACCATTGAATGTGAATATACTTCTAAGTATCTTAGCATTTTGCGTTTCATCTTCCTCATCTTTTTTGTGCTGTTGTTCATACCAATTTTTCCACTGGCTTTGACTTTTTTTGTTAATTTGTTGAAGTGCCTTAATAGTTATCTTCATCTATATCACTTATCCATAAGTAAATTTCTTCCCAGTTTTCTTTAAAACTGGTTTATTAGATTTGCCTATAAAAAACATTTTATGTGGTTATACTGTCCTTTGAAAGCAATTTTGTTTTTGACATGGAATTGCTTTAAATTTCCTGTTTCTGGCTTATTAAACAGACTATGCCAGTTATCTTCTAAAATGTTCCATCTTATAGATTTATCTGGTTTGCTATGTGATGCCATTTAGGCTGTTTACCTATTCTCTGTATTCACGTTTAAAGGTTTGATAGAATTAAGTTGAACATACTTGCCTAAAATGCATCATAAATGATGTTATACACTACCTCAGGGGACTTATCTAATATACTTACTACTAATGATGCTAATATTGACCTCTAGAGGCAGGGTGGTGATGAATGTACCCTTCATTACGATTCCTTTTCCTTTCTTGAGACTAGAGGGTAACTGTGTGGCATTACTTTGACACTAGACATGTAATTGTTTTCACTTCAATTGATAATCATGGTATAAGTTAATTTTATTAACAGTTGTAGAACAATAATGTCTTTCTAATTCTACCAATAAATTCAGCAATATTCTCCTGAAATATTTCTTAAAGTGGAGCTTTTCCCATATAAAGTATCCTTGTTCAGTTACTGTAAAGTGTGGAAACAAAAGGAAAGAAAAATACATACTTAAACATATTTTAATACAATTTGAAAGAAAAGAAGTGTTTTACCAATGACTTTGAATAGTTTATTTTTCTAGATTTCTCTTCAAGTATCATTCTATAATTATGAATTTTAATTGACTCGCTATGTTTGTAATTTTTAACGTCACTATTATTTTAGACGCACAAATTGTGACAATTTTACCCTGCAGTCTGGCTCCTGATCCTTTTGATGTGACCCCAACATTTAGGTTTTTTTTTTTTTTTTTTTTTTTTGGGAAAAGTCTTTGCTTTTTTGTACAAAAAAGATATCCGAGGTTTACCTTATACCTTACGATCTTAGTCCATTTTGTGTCGTTATACTGGGTAATTTAGAAAGAAAAGAGGTATAATTGGTTCACAGTACTGCCAGCTATACAGGAAGCATCATGCTAGCATCTTCTCACGTTCTGGTGAGGGCCTCAGGAAAGTTTAAATCATGGCAGAATGCAAAGGGGCAGACAGCCAGCGTGTCAAATGGTAACAGCAGGAGGGAGAGAGAGGAGAGGAAGGTCACAGACTCTTTTAAACAACCAAATCTTGTGTGAACTAATTGAGGGCGAACTCACTTGTCACCAAGGGGATGGTGCTACAACATTGATAAGGTTTTCTCTCCTATGATACAATCACCTCCCACCAGGCCGCATCTCCAACATTGGAAATCACATTTCAATATGAGATTCAGAGGGGAGAAACATCCAAACTGTATCACTTACCTGATTCAAATCTGCAATCAGTCATGTCTCCAAAGACTCTTGGTTTGAATTTTCTGAAGAAATTGAGATCAAAATGAAAGTTTTAGGGGCACTCATTTGCTCCTAGGTTGGCATTGATTTGGAGTTAATTTAGTGGTCAGAATTACATATTATATATTTTATATATGTAATTACATGTTTTTAAACATATCAATTTGCTATCATTGCTATATATTTTATATTTAAAAGTTGATTGTATCATCACTTTTTACATTAAAAATCATAATCCAAAAAGTATAACTGATCTGCTATAAATTATAATATAAAAACATTTCTAAAATAACCATATCACTATAAATACAAAATTTAAAATTACCATGTAAAGATTATTTCTTCTAGTTCCTTTTGCTCTTAGGATGTATTTCACTAAAATGTTACAGTTAAAACCCCATGTTTTAGAGTTATTTATGATCAATCCTTGCTCTGAGCTTTGTTACCAGTTTGATATATGGTGGGGATCATTTGTTTTTATTTTACTTTTAATTTTAGACATTTGTAAATTATTTAAGTTTTGAAAAGACAATTTTGTTTAGTAAATCAAAAGCAAAAACTCTTTAGATGGTTTTGTTATACAAGAGTCTCTGGTCCCATAGTTACAAATTGTTATTTGTTTCAAATCTATCATCTATCTATCTGTCTATCTATCTATCTCTCTATCTATCTCTATCTATCTATCATCTATCTATCTATCTTTTTCTTTTTATTGAGACAGAGTCTCGCTCTTTTGCCCAGGCTGGAGTGAAGTGGCATGATCTCCGCCTACCGGGTTCAAGTGATTTTCCTGCCTCAGCCTCCTAAGTAGCTGGGATTACAGGCGCCTGCCACCATGCCTGGCTAATTTTTGTATTTTTAGTAGAGATGGGGTTTCGCCATGGTGGCCAGGCTGGTCTTGAACTCCTTACCTCAGATGATCCACCTGCCTCGGCCTCCCAAAATGTTAGGATTACAGGCATGAGCCACTTTGCCCAGCCTATTTATCTGTATTTTTAAATCAAAACTGAATGTATATCTATAAACATATTGTCTAATTTCCTTCATTTCTTACATAAAATAATCATACTGAATATACTATATGCACCTTGCTTTTAAAAATAAACTGTGTATCTCAAAGATATCAGTTGAAAGAGACTACTCCTCTTTTGAGACAGGGCTCACTCTTGCCCAGGCTGAAGTGCAGTGGTGCAATCACAGCTCACTGCAGCCTTGACCCCTCAGGCTCAATCAATCCTCCCACCTCAGCCACCAGAGCAACTGGGACTACAGGCATGTACTACCATGTTGGCTAGTTTTTGTATTTTTTGAAGAGACAAGGTCTCCCCATGCTGCCCACGCTGGTCTTGAACTCCTGGGCTCAAGTGTACCACACACCTCTGCCTCCCAAAGTGTTGGGATTACAGGAGTGAGCCACTGGGCATGACTCATTTCTTTTTATAGCTGCTAGTACATGACTGTGTGGTTGTACCATTTAACCACTCTTCTGTTCTTGAACACTTAAATTCTTTCCAATATTTCAATATTAATTTAATATCATAATTATTAGCCCTGCACATATATCTATGCAATTGTTTCTTAAATGAAAACTTCAGTGCTGTTCATATTTAATCCCTTGTACTAAATACACTTTTTACTTTTACCAATTATTTCACTTTTATCTTTTTCATTATTCATCCTTTTTTATGATGCAGTGTTTGTGGTGTTATATTGCAATTTTGGTCTTAGATTATAGGATATTTAAGTTGAATTTTCATTGAACTAGATGAGTTGTTAAATCACCTGGTGACAGAAATGGTGAATAATGGAACTGGGGAATTAAGACTATGTCAGTTTGCATAAGGTGTAGCTGAATCATATTAGAGAGAATTTATCATATCATTATTGTATGCATTGTCTATTGTATTGTTGATAAGAATGGTTGCTTATTACTAAAAATGGTGGGCTATGGTGGCTATTGGTTGGTTCTAAATTTTATTTTTACTCAGCCACGATTGCTTCTCTATAGTATGGGTTTGAAAACATGCACACTGAATTTTCAAATACCCTTGTAAAGAGGATTCCCATGAAGTTCCAGTGGGAGGTAACAAAATGGTTATTGGAAGTAGAGGAAAAAAATATTTTCCTCTATTTATTTTTCTTCCAGCAGTGATTTTGTTAATAAGAATAGTTACAGACAAATGCAGACTTCTGGGTTTCCCTTCAAGGAGCAAGTTTCTAGTATTGTCGATGGCCAACAGACCCACAGTGGTCTCAGCAGGAGAATGTCTAGGGCTCCATCCCCAATAGCAGCAGCAGCAGCCTCAGCAGCAGCAATTGTGGACAAATGCAAACTTAGAGGCTTAGATGCTTTTGCATCAAAAGCAGAATTGCAGGCTCTTGGTTCTGGTGATGGCTGGGTTTCCAACATCAGCAGCAGAGGGTAATTGTGCACTTGGTAACACTGTTTTTCATTTTATGATTCTCTAATCTAAGGATCACAACACCTCCTGAAGTTATAACTTTTGGTATAATCTCATCTTACTATTTTTTCTCCTCTAACCCTACCAACATTTTCCAGCTTTATTATTTTTCCTTTGAAAAATCTGGAGAGGCTTCTATTTTCCTGTCTGGGAACAAAATAATATATAATAAAATTAAAACTCTAGTTCTATTTTTATTTATATTTACCTGGTGTATATTTGTCCATATATTGACTTCCAACCTATCTATTTTCATTGTGGACCACCTATGCCTAGATTTTGTTGTATCTTTTGATACCATCTTAGAGTCTGTACAGATACTCCTCTACTTAAAATGAGGCTACAGTTTCTACTGAATGTGTATGCTTTCACACCATTGTAAAGGCAAAAAAATCGTACTTTAAGCAATGTAAGTCAGGAACCATCTGTATTTAATTTTTGAATTCATCGTACTTAAATATATTTTAATTCTCCTTTTATATTAGTAATCATTCCTACCATCTTATTTACATCTTACATTTAAGGTATTTCATGTTTTCTTTCTTTTTTTTTTTTTTTTTTGTATCTCCTTTCCTGCTTCCCACTTGTTTGACTTACTTTTGCTGGCTTAAAATTATACATTCTATTTTTAATTTTCTTTTTAGTCTTGCCCTAGCTTCTTTCATTTCTATTGTTGCCTCATCCGCTACCTCATTTAATTTTTGTTCTTACTGGCATTATAGTAGTTAGAATAAAAATATAACTACTGGTATTGGTAGATAAAAATATAAGACAAACTGAACTCCTGAAACTTAGGATTTGATATAGAAAATTTATTTTACATTTTCTGATATGGCTGAAATTCAGTAAGAATATGCTATAAGCCTTCTGTAGAGGTTTGGAAGACATAAAATATAAATATATAACCTAAAATTACATATATATATCTAAGATTGTATATATCTGTGTATGTATAGAGAGATATGTATATATGTATATATAAATATATATACATAATATATATGTGATTGTATGTGTGTGCGTCTATATATATATATACACATGCATATATATATATACACATATGTACGTGTGTGCGTCTATATATATATACACATGCATATATATATATATAGACGCACTCACATAAATACATAAAGCATGTTATTTATTTAGTCACCCAGACACTGTTGCCTAAACTATGAATGTGCAATAAAATCAAACTACTGGTAGAAATGTTTGGGAGATAATAATATTACACATGCTTGGTACATAGTTGGCACTGGATAAATGCTAGCAACAAGAGTTTGTGCTAATAATATGTCATGAGTATAATAGAGATTTTTTTTTGATAGCTTCAAATTACGTTACACAATTTAATGTGTTCTTAGCAGCACAAAATAAATAATAATTGAAGTGGACAGTGTTATTCGTCACTCCTGATTCTCTTAGAATTGACCGGAAGATGAAACATATAATTTTCACATTGTATTTTCCAATATGAAATTTGGAATATAAACTTAGCAGGCACTCACACTATTTTACATGCCTTCTTTTTGTTTTTAGCCAGTGATAGGTGATGGTGACTTGGTACTCTGCTTTCATAAATTTTTTAAAAGATCAGTTTACTTGATAGTAGTTTGTTCTTGAAACAGACTGAAATTTATCACATTATGGGCCTCTTTCTGTTATGATGTCTTCACAGCATGTGTATTTTTGGAATCCCTGTTCTGAAGTAAAAGATAAACTATCATCCAAGACATATAGTACTTTACATAAACAGCATAAATCTCTTGTGCTCTCCCATAAATATCCCTTAGTGACTGGATCTTGGGATTTCCTAGAACAAAATGTGCTGTTGGTAATTGATACTCTTCAGCTAACATCATTAACCAACTGAGTTTATAAGCAAAAAATATAAGACGCCTACTGATATTTTTCCCTAACTTGCTAGATGAAAAGTCGACTTTAGCAACTAGAGCTTTTAGATGATTTCAAGATGTCCTAGGGGATTTTATTTCCTTCTCTTCCTGTTCAGCTTGCCTACCCACCCCAATCCTTATCCTCCTCCTCTATAGTTCTTCTTCCCAGGATGGAAAAAAAGCCTATTTTGGAATATATGTCCTTTAAATTCAACTACGATGATGAAATAAAGAACATAACGTCTTACTAGAGGCAGCAAAATGGCACAGTGGTTTGTGCATGGGCACTGAAAATAGTTTTCCTGACTACAAAATCTCACTTCCACCCCTCACTAGTTATGTATTCTTGGACAAAGAAAATACTGTTTCTATGTTGCATATTTATAAAAAATGGAAATAATATTTACCAATTCCATGGGGTTATTTTAAAGGTTAAATAAAGTCATTTGCATAATGTTCTTAGTTTTGTACCTGGTTTATAATAAAAGCCTTCAAATTCTAGTTTTTATCAATGTAAAAAACATCAGGTGTTTATACACTTCAGTGTGAATTCATTTCAGCTTCTTCCTGCTTTTGACTGACAGTCACACTTTCATATGATTAGAAGGACCAGAAATGTGAACTAAAATGACAGGAAAACAGAAATAATAGGGGAGGAAAGCAAACAATTTCACATATGGACAATGCTGAGTAAGAGTATGGTGAATAATTCATTGAATTAATCTTAATCACCGAGGCTTTTTCTATCTCATTGATATTTTTAAATGTACAAAGAAAATTTAACCCTCAGAAAAACAGAAAATCAAGATAGTCAAATAGAAATTAAGTAATTAAAACACCTCAATGTTCACTATCCAGGAATGAAAACGACAAAATCTTTTTGGAAACTCTTCAGCCTAATTCACAGAAAAATGTATTTCATTTAAATTAACATGTCAGTAATTGGGCCACACCATACTGTATGCTGAATTGAATTTATCATTTGACATACATAAGAATATATCCACATCAGTAAAACCTAATAGATTCATGTCATCATACTGATAGACTGCAGAGGATATCAACTTTAAGAATATTTCATAAATTATTACCACAAGTCCCCCTTATTGGACATTTAGGCTATTTCCAATTTTATGTTATATATATGTAACATTGAACTCCCTAACAGGCTACAGTTAGGGCTTCTTATCAAACCGGAGATTAACAAGGATAGGACGGTCAACCTGGACTTATGGAAAGTTGGTTGAATTACATAGTACAGACATGGCCAGTGGGAGAAAGGACAAGTAGCTATATGCTCACATGCTGGCTCTGTATGTTCCATATGCAGTTGATTCTCATAATAATCAGATTTCACATTTGCAAATTTGACAACTCAGCACAATTTATTTTTAATCCTTACATCAATGATTGTGGTGCTTACAGTCATTTCCAGACATGCACAAAATGGCAAAAAGCTGGAGTCACCCAACTTTCATGATCTCAGCTGAGGTAGACGGTCCTCTGCATTTTGTTTCAGCCCTCATGTGCCAAACAAGTTTCATCTTTGCAGTCTATTTAGTACCATTTTTTCCACATTTTTGTCCTTTATTGTTTCTTATTTTGCTGTTTAAAATGATCTCCAATCATAAGGTACTACCCAGTGTTCCTAAGTGCAAAAAGTCTGTGATGTGCCTTACCAGGAAAATACACGTGTTAGATAAGCTTTTATTCAGATCTGAGTTATAGTGCTGTGGTTTAATGAACTAACCATATATACTAAATAAAGTTTCTTTGAAAATAAATACACTTGAAGCAAGTTTATGGGTTTTTTTGTTTTGTTTTATTTTGTTTTTGAGACAGAGTCTTGCTCTGTTGCCCAGGCTGGAATGCAGTGGTGTGATCCCCGCTCACTGCAAGCTCCACCTCCCAGGTTCATTCCATTCTCCTGCCTCAGGCTCCCGAGTAGCTGGGACTACAGGGACCATGCCCGGCTAATTTTTTTGTATTTTTAGTAGAGACAAGGTTTCACCATGTTAGCCAGGATGGTCTCCATCTCCTGACCTCGTGATCCGCCCGCCTCAGCCTCCCAAAGTGCTGGGATTACAAGCGTGAGCCACCAAGCCCAGCCAAGTTTATGTTTTAATCAATTGAAAAAACATTGTGACCAGAGACTTGCACAATCTAACCCTGTATTTTTCTTTAGAACAATGATTCAGTATTCTCTAATTCTATGTATTTGGAGACTTTATGGAACAAAACACAGTGAATACACAAGAATCCATTGTATTTCCATCCAAGTTCCCCCCTACGTTAATGTCTTCTTTATCTTCTATTTTAAACACTTCTGAGATGTTCCTTAATATGTGCTCCAAAATAGAATTTGTAGGATTTTGCCTTGAATGGCCCAGAGTTACTATTTCATTAATATGTTCTTACTTAATAGTATGAACAGTAGAGGGATAGAGTAGTTATCCCTATACTGTAATCAGGAGAGAAATAGAGTTCTATAACCAAAGCAACAGAGAATGTTGCTGTGATAGTTAATATTGGGTGTTAACTTCATTGGATTGAAGGATGCAAAATATTGTTCCTGGGTGTGTCTATGAGGATGTTGCCAAAGGAGATTAACATTTGAATCAGTGGACTGGGAGAGGCAGACCCTCCCTCAATCTGGTGACACCCTCTAATCAGCTGCCAGTGTGGCTAGAATAAAGCAGGCAGGAGAAGATGGAAGAGTAGATTTGCTGAGTCTTCTGGCCTTCATCTTTCCTCTGTGCTGGATGCTTCCTGCCCTTGAATATCAGACTCCAAATTATTCAGCTTTTGGACTCTTGAACTTACATCAGTGGTTTGCCAGGGGGTCTCAGGCCTTTGGGCACAGACTGAAGGCTACACTGTCGGCTTCTCTACTTTTGAGGCTTTGGAACTCAGACTTGCTTCCTTGCTCCTCAGCTTGCAGGCAGCCTATTGTGGGACATCACCTTGTGACCGTGTGAGTCAATACTCCTTAATAGACTCCCTTTATATATACATCTATCCTATTAGTCCTGTCCCTCTGGAGAACCCTGACTAATACCAATACTAGCTTAATCTTGGTTCCCATCCTATTGTGCCGTTACCTAAACTCACTTATTTTTTTATCTGCATATTTACATATCACACCTATATTTTCATGTATATTTTGGTTCCAGGTATATTTTTATCCTAAATCCCCTAGTTTAGTACCTTCTAATTATACCAACATCATAGACATTATATTTGAAATAATACACAGATTTGGCCTTGTGCCACCATAATTAACTCTACTTTCCTAATGTAAATGTAGAAACCCAAATTCTAGGAAGCCCCTTCAATCAGGTTATAAGTGTATGATTGAAGGTCTGATGTAAACCAATAAGATTTCAATTCCGAAGTAAGCAGTTTCGAAAATGATTCTATGTGACACTTCCATTTTTGCTTTCATGTGTGATGGCAAGCATATTAGTGTTTGGTGGTTGGAATCATAGCGCCAGCAGCACTTTGTCAGTGGTCAGAAAACAAAATTCCTGGTGTAAAAGCTGGAAAGTGAAGAGAGCGGTGATTTATTTGTGGTTATTTATTTATTTCTTTATGGTTTATTTATGGCTCTCAAGTAACAGATTTATTATTAAGTCACATCTCTGGTCTGGTTTAGGGGCTTTGGTCTTGAACAATTTGCTTTAAAGTTGGTTTGAGAGCCTTTGGTATGTATCATTTTATAAGCTACATCTATGTAAAAGCAATTGAGATTATCTTCTCTTGCTTGTAAATCTGAGAACATTGACTCATAGATTATATTAGTGTTCTATTGCTGCCATAACAAACAATCACAAACTTAGTGGCTTAAAGAGACACAAATTTATTATCTTACAGCTCTGTAGGTTAGAAGTCTAAACCAAGGTCTCATCAGCTGAAATCAAGGTGTTGGCAGCGTTTCATTCCTTCTGAAGGCTTTAGGGAGCCACCAATTTCCTTGCTGATTTAGGTGATTGTTAGAATTTATTTCCTTGTGGTTATGAGACTGAAGTCTTCTTTTTTCTTTGCTAGCTTTCAGGGGAGGGGCATTTCCAGTTCCCGGATGCTGCCCCCATTCATTGACTCAGGGTTAACGATGAATAAACTGATGGTTTTTTCATCTTCAAAGCCAGCAATGGAGGACTGATTTTATCTCATGCTTTAAATATTTCCTTGTTTATTTCCCCGTTATTTACAACAAGGTTGAAGGAGTCAATGTTAATATACAAGTGCCAATTAGTTTCTTTTTTTAACCATTTTTATTGACACAAAATAATTGTACATATTATGGGATATATGTGATATTTTGATACATGCATACAATGTATAATCATCAAATCAGGGTAATTAGGATATTCATCATCTCAAACGTTTATCAAATTTTGCATTGAGAACATTTCATGTCTTACAGCTATTTTGAAATGAGTAATAAATTATTATTAACTATAGTCACTGTACTGTGCTATTGAATACTAAACCTTATTCCCTCTATTGATCTTATGGTAGTACCCATTAACCAACCTTTCTTTATACTCTACTTCTCTACCTTCTCCAGCATTTGATAACCATCATTCAAATCTCTACCTTCATGAGATTAATTCTTTTAGGCTCCCCTATGACTTAGAAAATGTGATATTTGTCTTTCAGTGCCTGGGTTATTTCACTTAAGATAATGGCATCTAGTTTCATCCATGTTGTTACAAATGAAAGGATTTTATTCTTTTTTATAACTGAATAGTATTTTTTTGTGCATTTATACCACATTTTCTTTTTTCTTTTTTGGGGGGTGGGGAGTGATGGAGTCTTGCTCTGTCGCCCAGGTTAGAGTGTAGTGGCATGATCTCAGCTCACTGTAACCTCCGCCTCCCAGGTTCAAGCAATTCTCCTGCCTCAGCCTCCCGAGTAGCTGGGATTACAGGCACCTGCCACCACATCCAGCTAATCTTTGTGTTTTTAGTAGAGACAGGGTTTCACCATGTTGTCCAGGCTGGCCTTGAACTCTTGACCTCATGATCCACCTGCCTCAGCCTCCCAAATTGCTGGTATTACAGGCATGAGCCACCACACCCGTCATATACCACATTTTCTTTATCAATTTATGCACTGATGAGCACTTAGATTGATTCCATATCTTGACTCTTATGAATAAACACAGGAGTGCAGGTATCCCTTTGATATACTGATTACCTATCTTTAGGATAATTATTCAATAGCAGGCTTGCTGAATTGTATCCTGTAATAGTATGAGTTTTAGTTTTTTGAAAAACCTCATATTGTTCTCCACAGTGGCTGTACTGGTTTACATTTCCACCAACCAGTGCACAAGAGTTCCTTTTTCTCTACCTCCTCATCAGCATTGGTTATTTTTTGTCTTTTTTATAATAGCCATTCAAACTGGGATGAGATTATATTTCACTGTGGTTATAATTTGCATTTCCCTGATGATTGGGAACATTGAGTATTTTTTCATATTCGTGTTGGCCATTTGTAAGTCTCTCTTTGACAATTGTCTATTTATGGAGGTAAATAGAAAAAGTGTGCCTACTTTTTCATGGGCTTATTTGTTTACTGTTGAATTGTTTGGGTTTCTTGAATATCCTGAATATTGGTCTTTTATCAAATGAATAGTTTACAAACATTTTTCTTCCATTTTACAGGTTGTCTTCTCACTCTGTTGATTGATTGTTTCCTCTGCTATGGAGAAACTATTTACTTTAATATGGTCCCATATTTCTATTCTTATTTTTGGTGCCTGTGCTTTTGAACACTTAGCTATAAAATTTCCAACAAGATCACTTGACAAAACAGGACAATGTCCTGAAGCTGTTCCTCTGTGTTTTCTTCTAGTACTTTTATAATTTCAACTATTACATTTAAGTCTTTATGATGAGAAATAGGGGTCTAGTTTCATTCATTAATATATGGATATACAGTTTTTCCAGCATCATATATTGAAGAACATGTCTTTTTCCAAATGTATAGTCGTAACATCTTTATTAAAAACAAGTGGGCTGCAAATACATGGATTTATTTCTGGGATCTCTATTGGGTTCTGCTGATCATTGTGTTTGTTTTTATACCGGTACTACACTGTTTTGGTTACTGTAGCTTTGTAATATATTTTGAAGTCAAGTAGTGTGATGCCTCCAGCTTTGCTCTTTTTGTGGAGAACTGCTTCGACTAACTTTCTGTCTTGTTGCTCTGTCTAATGTTGACAGTGGGGTGTTAAAGTCTCCCATTAATATTGTGTGGGAGTCTAAGTCTCTTTGTAGGCCTCTAAGGACTTTCTTTATGAATCTGGGTGCTCCTGTACTGCGTGCACATATATTTAGGATAGTTAGCTCTTCTTGTTGAATTGATCCCTTTACCATTATGTAATGGCCTTCTTTGTCTCTTTTGATCTTTGTTGGTTTAAAGTCTGTTTTATCAGAGACTAGGATTGCAACCCCTGCCTCTTTTTGTTTTCCATTTGCTTGGTAGATCTTCCTCCATCCCTTTATTTTGAACCTATGTGTGTCTCTGCACATAAGATGGGTCTCCTGAATACAGCCCACTGATGGGTCTTGACTCTTTATCCAATTTGCCAGTCTGTGTCTTTTAATTGGAGAATTTAACCCATTTACATTTAAGGTTAATATTGTTATGTGTGAATTTGATCCTGTCATAATGATGTTAAGCTGGTTATATTGCTCGTTAGTTGACGCAGTTTCTTCCTAGCATTGATGGTCTTTACAATTTGGCACGTTTTTTCAGTGGCTGGTACCGGTTTTTCCTTTCCATGTTTTGCGCTTCCTTCAGGAGCTCTTTTAGGGAAGGCCTGGTGGTGACAAAATCTCTCAGCGGTTGTTTGTCTGTAAAGGATTTTATTTCTCCTTCACTTATGAAGCTTAGTTTGGCTGGATGTGAAATTCTGGATTGAAAATTCTTTTCTTTAAGAATGTTGAATATTGGCCCCCACTCTCTTCTGGCTTGTAGAGTTTCTGTGGAGAGATCAGCTGTTAGTCTGATGGGCTTCCCTTTGTGGGTAATCTGACCTTTCTCTGGCTGGTTTCTGAAAAGATCAACAAAATTAACAGACTGCTAGCAAGACTAAAAAAGAAGAAAGAGATAGATGCAATAAAAAATGATAAAGGGGATATCATCACTGATCCCACAGAAATACAAACTACAATCAGAGAATACTATAAACACTTCTATGCAAATAAACTAGAAAATCTAAAAGAAATGGATAAATTCCTGGACACATACACCATCCCAAGACTAAACCAGGAAGAAGTTGAATCCCTGAATAGACCAATAACAGACTCTGAAATTGAGGCAATAATTAATAGCTTACCAACCAAAAAAAGTCCAGGACCAGACAGATTCACAACCGAATTCTACCAGAGGCACAAGGAGGAGCTGGTACCAATCCTTCTGAAACTATTCCAATCAATAGAAAAAAAGGGAATCCTCCCTAACTCATTTTATGAGTTCAGCATCATGCTGATACCAAAGCCTGGCAGAGACACAACAGAAAAAGAGAATTTTAGACCAACATCCCTGATGAAAATCCATGCAAAAATCCTTAATAAAATACTGGCAAACCAAATCCAGCAACACATCAAAAAGCTTATCCACCATGATCAAGAGGGCTTCTTCCCTGGATGCAAGGCTGGATCAACATATGCAAATCAATAAATGTAATGCAGCATATAAAGAGAACCAAAGATAAAAAACATATGATTATCTCAATAGATGCAGAAAAGGCCTTTGACAAAATTCAACAGCGCTTCATGCTAAAAACTCTTAATAAATTAGGTATTGATGGGATGTATCTCAAAATAATAATAACGATCTATGACAAACCCACAGCCAATATCATACTGAATGGGCAAAAACTGGAAGCATTCCCTTTGAAAACTGGCACAAGACAGGGATGGCCTCTCTCACCACTCCTATTCAACGTAGTGTTGGAAGTTCTGGCCAGGTCAATCAGGCAGGAGAAGGAAATAAAGGGTATTCAATTAGGAAAAGAGGAAGTCAAATTGTCCCTGTTTCCAGATGACATGATTGTATATCTAGAAAACCCCATCATCTCAGCCCAAAATCTCCTTAAGCTGATAGGCAAATTCAGCAAAGTCTCAGGATACAAAAGCAAAGTGCAAAAATCACAAGCATTCTTATACACCAATAACAGACAAACAGAGAGCCAAATCATGAGTGAACTCCCATTCACAATTGTTTCAAAGAGAATAAAATACCTGGGAATCCAACTTACAAGGGATGTGAAGGACTTCTTCAAGGAGAACTACAAACCACTTCTCAACAAAATAAAAGAGGACTCAAACAAATGGAAGAAAATTCCATGCTCATGGATAGGAAGAATCAAGATCGTGAAAATGGCCATACTGCCCAAGGTAATTTATAGATTCAATGCCATCCCCATCAAGCTACCAATGCCTTTCTTCACAGAATTGGAAAAAAACTACTTCAGCGTTCATATGGAACCAAAAAAAGAGCCCTCATTGCCAAGTCAATCCTAAGCCAAAAGAACAAAGCTGGAGGCATCACGCTACTTGACTTCAAACTATACTACAAGGCTACAGTAACCAAAACAGCATGGTACTGTTACCAAAACAGAGATAGAGACCAATGGCACAGAACAGAGCCCTCAGAAATAATACCACACATCTACAACCATCTGTTCTTTGACAAACCAGACAAAAGCAGGAAATGGGGAAAGGATTCCCTATTTAATAAATGGAGCTGGGAAAACTGGCTAGACATATGTAGAAAGCTGAAACTGGATCCCTTCCTTTCACGTTATATAAAAATTAATTCAAGATGGATCAAAGACTTAAATGTTAGACCTAAAGCCATAAAAACCCTAAAGGAAAACCTAGGCATTACCATTCAGGACATAGGCATGGGTAAGGACTTCATGTCTAAAGCACCAAAAGCAATGGCAACAAAAGACAAAATTGACAAATGGGATCTAATTAAACTAAAGAGCCTCTGCACAACAAAAGAAACTATCATCAGAGTGAACAGGCAACCTACAGAATGGGAAAAAATTTTTGCAATCTATTCATCTGACAAAGGGCTAATATCCAGAATCTACAAAGAACTCAAACAAATTTACAAGAAAAACATCCCCATCAAAAAGTGGGAGAAGGATATGAATAGACACTGCTCAAAAGAAGACATTTATGCAGTCAAAAGACACATGAAAAAATGCTCATCATCACTGGCCATCAGAGAAATGCAAATCAAAACCACAATGAGATACCATCTCATACCAGTTAGAATGGAAATCATTAAAAAGTCAGGAAACAACAGGTGCTGGAGAGGATGTGGAGAAATAGGAATTCTTTTACACTGTTGGTGGGACTGTAAACTAGTTCAACCATTGTGGAAGACTGTGTGGTGATTCCTCAAGGATCTAGAACTGGAAACACCATTTGACCCAACCATCCCATTACTGGGTGTATACCCAAAGGATTATAAATCATGCTACTATAAAGGCACATGCACACGTATGTTTATTGCAGCACTATTCACATTATCAAAGACTTGAACCAACCCAAATGTCCATCAATGATAGACTGGATTAAGAAAATATGGCACATATACACCATGGAACAGTATGCAGCCATAAAAAATGATGAGTTCATGTCCTTTTTAGGGACATGGATGAAGCTGGAAACTATCATTCTCAGCAAACTATCACAAGGACAAAAAACTAGACACCGCATGTTCTCACTCATAGGTGGGAATTGAACAATGAGAACACATGGACAGAGGAAGGGGAACATCACACACAGGGGCCTGTTGTGGGGTGGGGGGAGGGGGGAGGGATAGCATTAGGAGATATACCTAATGTAAATGATGAGTTAATGGGTGCAGCACACCAATATGGCACATGTATACATATGTAACAAACCTGCATGTTGTGCACATGTACCCTAGAACTTAAAATATAATAATTAAAAAGTAAAAAAAAGAACTGCTTTGACTATTCTGAGTCTTTAGTGATTGCATATGAATTTTATATTCTTTCTATATCTGTAAATAATGTCATTTGCTATTTTGATAGGGATTGAACTAAATTGATAGGTTGCTTTGGGTAGAGTAGTCATTTCAACAATATCAACTTTTCCAATCCATGTGCATATGAGGTCCTTCCACCTGTTTGTATCCTCTTTAATTTCTTTCTTTATTGTTTGAACGTTTTATTGTAGAAGTTTTTTCACCTTCTTAGTTAAATTTATTCCTCAGTACATTATTTTAGTTTTTGAATCTATCGTAAATGGGATTGCTTTCTTGATTTCTTTTTCAGCTAGTTCATTATTTATGTATGGAAATGATACTGATTTTTGTATGTTTCGTATTGTATCCTGCAAATTTACTGAATTCATTTATCAGTTCTCAGTGTTTCTTGGCAGAGTCTTCAGGTTTTTCTATACATAAGATCATGCCATCTTCAAAGAAGAACATTTTGATTTTCTATTTTCCAATTTAAATACATTTCTTTCTTGCCTGATTTACCCAGCTAAAATTGTTAAAACCATGTTCAATAAGAGTGATGAAAGCGGGCATCCTTGCCTTGTTCCAGTTCTTAGAGGAAAGACTGTCAGCTTTTCCACATTCTGCATGATGTTAGCTGTGAGTTTGCTATATTGTGTTGAGGTGTAATCCTTATATGCCTAATATTGAGAATTTTTAATCATAAAACAATGCTGATTTTATCAAATGCTTCTGTGTCTATTGAGATAATCATATGGTTTTGTCCTTTATTCTGCTAATGTGAGGTATCACATTCATCGATCTCCGTATGGTGAACCATCCTTGCATTCCCTGTATAAATCCCATTTCATCAGGTGTTTTTTAATGTATTGTTGAATTTGGGTTGCTAGTATTTCATTGAGGATTTTTACATCTATGGTCGTCTAGGAGATTGTCCTGCAGTTTTCTTTCTTGTTTTTTTCTTTTTTCTTTTTTTTTTGCCCACTACAGATTTTAGTATTCTAGGGTTATGCCAGGCTTGCTGAATGAGTTAAGAATTTCCTCCTCTTTATTTTTTTGGAATTGTTTGAGAGGAATTGGTGTTGGTTCTTCTTTTTAAGTTTAATAGAATTCAGCAATAAAGGCATTTGGTCCTGAACTTTTATTTTTTTTTGAGAGGGGAAGAATTATTATTTCTGATTCAATTCTATCACTCACTATTGGTCTGTTCAGATTATATATTCTTTTCTAGTACAATCTTGGTAGGTTGTATTTGTCTATTAATTTATTCATTTCCTCTAGGTTTTCCAATTTGTTAGCATATAGTTGTCTATAATAGTCACTGATACTCCCTTATATTTCTGTGATACCAGTTGAAATGTCTCCTCCTACACATCTGATTTTAGTTATTTAGTATGTTATTTTTTCTTAGTTTAGCTAGCAACTTATCCTTTTACCTTTTCAAAATAACATTTTTGTTTTATTGATATTTTCCATTTTTTTAGTGTCCATTTTGCTCTGATTTTTATTATTTTTTTTCCTCTAATAATTTTCGATTTGGTTTATTCTTGCTTTTCTAGTTTTGTGAAGTGCATCATTCAATTATTTATTTAAACTCTTTTAAATTTTTTGGTGTAACTGTTTATTGCTATAATATTCCCTCTTACAACTGCTTTTTCTGTATCTCATATATTTTGACACCTGTGGTTCCATTTTTATTTAACTTTTTAAAATTTACTTCTTAAATTTGATCAACCCATTGGTTATTCAGAGGCGTGTCGTATAATTTCCACCTATCTGTACACATTTCAAATTTCCTCTTATTGATTTCTAGTTTTCTTTCATTGTGATATGATGAAATACTTGGTATACCTTTGATTTTTAAAAATTTGTTGTGGTTTGTTTTGTATCCTAATATACGGGTCTATCCTAAAGAATGTTACACGTGCTGATGAGAAGAACATGAATTCTGTAGGAGCTAGATGAAATGTTCTGTAAATAAATGTCTGTTAGGAACATTTGATTGATAGTACAGATTAAGTCCAATGTTTCTTTGTTGATTTTCTGATAAAATAATCTACCCAGTGCAGAATGTGGGATGTTGAAATGTCTAATTATTTTGTATTGGAGTTTATCTCTCTCTTTAGCTCAAATAAATTAGCTTTAAACAACTTGATGCTACCATGTTGGGTGCATATAAGTTTATAATTTTTATATTTACTTGCTAAATTGGTCCCTTTATAATTATATAATGACCTTCTTTGTCTCTTTTTATGTTTATTTTTGACTTAATGTTTACTTTTTTTCAAATATAGGTGTAGCTACTCCTGTATGCTTTGGGTTTATGTTTATGAGAAATAAATACTTTTCCATCCCTTGACTTTAAATTTATGTGTGTCTTTACAGGTCAAGTGATTTTCTTGTAAGCATTCAGTCTTATTTTTTATTCATTCAGCAAGCCTGTATCTTTTAATTAAAGAATTTAAACCATATACATTCAAGTTTGTTATTGATAGGTATAGACTTCTTCCTGCCATTTTGTTAATAGCTTTCTGATTGTTTTCTATATCCTATGGTTCTTTTGTCCTCCTTTATTGTTTATTTTTAGTTTTTTTTTATACTGTTAACGTTTGATTCCTTTTAATTTCTCTGTTTTGTTTCTTCTCTACCAGTGAATTTTATATTTTTGTGTACTTTCATAATGGTAGATATTGTCCTTTCAATTTCAGATATAGGACTCCCTCAAACAATTCTTGTAGGGCTGGTCTCATGGTGATGAATTCCCTGTTTTTGCTACTCTGGGAAAAACTTTATTTCTCCTTCATTTTTGAAGGATAGTTTGCTATATGTAGTATTCTTGGCTGGCTGTTTTTCTTTTCTTTCAGGACTTTGAGTATATAATATCATTATCTCCTGGCCTGCAAGGTTTCTGTTTTTAAAAATCAGCTTGTAGTCTGACAGGAATTTACTTATATGTGACTTGGCAATGTTTTCTTGCTGTTTTTAGAATTCTACCTTATTCTTTGACTTTTGGCAGTTTGATTTTAATTCACCTTGGAAAATACCTTTCTGGGTAAAAGTTATGTGAGAATTTTGAATTTTCTATACCTACATGTCTATATCTCTCTCAAGACTTTGAAAGTTTCCATTATTATTTTGTTAAATAGGATTCGTATGCATTTTCCTACTTTTTCTCCTCATAAATATTTTCATATTTTAAAACTTATTTGTTTTATGGTGTCCTATATGTCATGTAGACTTCCTTTATTCTTTTTAATTGTATTTTGTTGTCTAACTGGGTTATTTTTAAAGACCTGTATTCAAGTTCAAAAATTATTTTTCTCTGGTGGATTTAGTCTATTGTTGAAGGTCTTGACTGTATTTTTGTTTCATTCATTGAATTTTTTACTTCCAGGATCTTTGTCTTTTATTTTTAATATTTATCTCTTGCTTGAATTTCTTATTCATATCATAAATTATTTTCCTGATTTCTTTGGATTGCTTATCTGTGTTCTCTTGTATCTCATAGAGTTTCTTCAATAACATTATTTTAAGTTCACTTTCATGTTTTTCAAATATTTCCTTTTCTTGGTGACCTGTTACTGGAGAATTATTGTGTTCTTTTAAAGGTGTCATGGTTCCTTGCTTTTTATATTCCTTATGTCCTTATGTTGATATCAACACATCTATTGTAACAGTTGCTTCTTCCAGTTTTATGGTTCTGCTTTTGTATGGAAAGATATTTTTCTGTAAATATTTCTATAGTGTTGCTTGGATATGGTGCTTTGTCTTTGATTCTGAATGGGCACAGTACTGTCATCTTTGTATAATTTTTTTTTCAGCTGTAATCAGTGTTAGTGGTTTCTGAGACTCTCTCAGTGGTTTAGGCTGCAGTTATTAGTAGAGACTGGTGATACTTTTCTGAGGATAGGCACCTAAGGTGGGCTGGTCCTTGAATACTAATATTAGCTGTAGTGGGCCAAAGTTACCAATTCTCAGGCCACTGGGCTATGTATTTGGGCACTAGTGGTAGTGTGTCTTGTGGATCAGTCCTCAGACTTCCAGGTGGCTTGCTCAGGTGCTAATGATGTCAACAGTGGGCTAAGTGGGTGGATCCTAAGGTTGCAAGGTGGCATCCAGGATGTGCTAATCCTTAGCCATGTGTACAGGCCACATGAATAGCATGCACAGGTGCTGGCAGTAACAGGTCTGTCCTCAGGCCACTGAAATGTGTGTTCAGATGTCAGTAGTGGCAGATGGGGTGGATTGATCCTCAGGCCCTCTGGATGACATGTGTGGTCACCAGCAGTAGCAGCAATAGGTGGGGCAGGCCTACCCTCAAGCCCCCTGTTGGTGCGCATGGGTGCCTGGCCTATCCCTAGGTACATGGATGGCACGCTTGGGTACCAGTGGCAATGATGGTAATAAGGGCAGACATATGCTCAGTCCCTGGAGGGTGCGCCCTTGTACCATTTCAGGTAGTGTCACAACATTTCAGCTCTCTTGCTGGATGTAGTGGAGTATGCAGCTCTCCGGTGATGTGGAGATGTAGGAGCTGTTGGGCTCCAGGGCAGGATGTAGCCCTGTGAGGGCTGGGCTCTCAAAATGGCTTTGTGCTACAGTTGCTTGGTTCTTGAGGAATGGGTGGGACCCAGTGTAAACTCCCTCTCTGGAACAATTCTATCATGTGGATTCCAGGCAACTATCTATACTATTCTCAGGCCCTGAGAGTGTCAAAGTGTTCTCCTATGGCTAGGGTTATAGGAGCCCACAGTAGGAATGGGGCGTGCTGGAGATTGCTCATTTACTTTTCTCTGCAATGGGGAGTTCTTCCTGACTCCAAGCCAATCTTAGCCAGGCTGGATGCTTTGCTTTCTTCTCCTTCCATGTCTCAGAGGTGCAAATTAACTTCCTTGTTGAATTCCAGTGTTTTATCTTAGACATTGTATTCTATGTATGTTTACCTACTCACTGTTTTGGTCATTCTTTATGGAGGAAGTGAGTGCAAGGTGCCTCTAGTCAGCCATTTTGAAGCCCCCTCTTTCAATTGCTTTATATATTCAAGCAATGAACAATTGGAATTTAAAATTGAAAACTCAATACCATTTATATTAATTCCCACCTCAAAGTAAAGAAATACCTAGGCATAAATTTAATAAAATATGTATAAAAGCTTTATGAGAAAAAGTATAAAATTCTGAAGAAAGAAATCAAAGGTCTAAATAAATGGAGAGATATTTCAGGCTTATGGATAGGAAAACTTAACATTGTAAAGATAATAGTTCTTCTCAAATTGGCCTATAAATTCAATGCAATCCCAATCACAATTCCAGCAAGTTATTCTGTGCATATCAACAAACTGATTCTAAAGTTTATATGTGAAGGCAAAAGACAGAATAGTTAACACAATATTAAGGTCAGAGGATTGCTCACACTCAACTTTAATTCTTACTATTAAATTACAGTAATTATGACACTGTACTTTTGACAAAAGATTAGTGAAACAGAACAATGAAAAAGATTATGAAGCATAAACTGATACAAGTATAGTTGATATAGTTTGGATATTTGTCTCCTTCAAATCTGATGTTGAAGTGTAACTTCCAGTGTTGAATGTGGGGCATGGTAGGAGATGATTGAATAATGGAGTGGATCCCTAATGAGTGGTTTAGCACCATCCCCTGGGTGATAAGTGAGATCTTATTCAGTTAGTTTACATGATATCTGGTTGTTTAAAAGTGTATGACACCTCCCCACTTACTCTCTTGCTCTATCTCGCCAGGTAATGTGCTGGCTTCTGTCTTTGCCTTCTGCCGTGAATGAAAGCTTAGTGAGACTCTTACCAGAAGCCCAGAAGACGTTGGTGCCATGGTGATACAGCCTGCTGAACTGTGAGCCAATATAACCTCTTCTCTTTGGAAACTACCCAGCCTCAGATATTTCTTTTCTGTGTCACAAAAATGGCCTAAAAATGGTAAACTGATCTGTGATGCAGAAGCAAATATATTTAAATAGACAAAGGATTCAACAAATCATTCTAGAACAATTGGACATCCACGTGTATTCAATTAAAAATAATGTAGACATATCTTATACTCTGTTGTGATTTGAATGTTTGCTTCTTAGAAATTCATGTTGAAACTTAATTAAAATGTGGTAAAATTTAGAGGTAGGGCCTTTAAGAGGTGATTGGGTCATGAGGGTTCTGCCCTCATGAATGGATTTAATACATTCATAGGTTAATGGAAAATAGATTAATGGGTTACCAATAGAGTGGGACTGGTGGCTTTGTAGAAAGGAAAAGAAAGACCTGAGCTAGTATACTCAGCCCCCTTACCATATGATACCCTAAACAACCTCAGGACTCTACAGAGAGTTCCAATCAGCAAGAAGTCTCTCACCAGATGTGTCCCCTTGACTTCTCAACCTCCAAAACTATAAAAAACTGATACATTTTTAAAAATGAATTTAAGCATATAAATATTAAGTTTTAAGTATTCTGTTATAAGCACCAGAAAACAGATTAAGATAGAAAATTTGTGCAATGAGTTGGGTTGTTGAAAATATAGAAGCAGCTTTGGAACTGGGCAATGGGCAGAGGCTGGAAGAATTTGGAGGAGTAGGCTGTAAAAATCCTGCATTTTGGTGAATTCAGCATTAAGAAAAATTTTGGTAAGGGCTCTGAGGACAAGCAGACTAGGGAAAGTTTGGAACTCTTTAGAGATTGTTTAACTCTAAGGAGTTAGTTGTGATCAGAATGATGGTGGAAATGTGGACAGTGAAGGCCAATCAGACAAGATCCGAGGATCAAGTTTTGGAAGCTTAAGTAAAGGCCATCGTTGTAAATTGGCAAAAAGCCTAGCTGAACTGTGTTCATGCCTGAGGGTTTCATTGAAGTCCAAACTTGAGAGTGACGAAATAGGGTATCAAGTGGAAAAAACATCCAAGCAGGAAAGTAATCAAGCTGCTGCATTTTTAACTTTTAACTGCTCACATTAACCCATGAGAGGGATAAAATAACTTGACAATTCCATTCATAATCAAAAGAAGCAATTTGGAAAGATAGCAAAAACTCTCAGCTTGGTAATGTAAAGAATGAAAAAGCAGGTTCAGGAAGGAAAACCAAGGCTGTAGCTTAGATACTGTTTGCCAAAGATGTTCATATGGATTGAAGGAAGCCAGGTGATATTCCTAGAGACAATGGAAGGGAGATCTTAAAGGTATTTTGCAGATCTTCTAGGCTGTTCCTCCTATTGAAGTACAGAGGCCTATGAAGCCAGAATGATTTTGAGAGATGGGCCTGAGCCCTCCACAGGCTTGCTGACCACTACTCACTTAGGTCTCTTTTCCCCAAATTCCAACATAGGGTTTCTTGCTTGTTCCAAGGGCCTTACGAATTCTTAGCAGCCTCCATCCAGATTTCAAAAGACGTCCCAGAAGGCCTTGGGATCCAAACAGAGACATGTCTTTGAGGAGGAGCCACTACAGGGAGCTGCCACTAGAGCAATGCAGAATGTAAAAATGAGACGGAGCTGCTGCAGAGGGCCCCAACTAGGGCAATGCCTAGCAGAGACTTGGTAGCAGGACCACCATTAGGTCTCCAGAACTGTGGAGTCACTGTCAACATGCAATGCTCACCTGAAAAAGCTTCAGGACTCTAACCAGCAAGAGCAGCCACATGGGCTGCATCCAGCAAAACCACAGGGGTGGGTTTCTCTGAGGCGTTGGGAGTATAACCTCCACTCCAGTGTATCCAGGAGTTGGCCCCTGGTAAGATGGATTATTGTCCAGCTTCAAAATTTAAGTCTATACTGCTGAGTTTGCTTGCTTTGGGCCTGTTCCTCCCTTATGGAATTGAAATGTCTATCTTATGCCTGTACCGCTGTTGCATGTTGAAAGCAGATAATTTGTTTTGATTTCACAGCTTACACATGAGCTTTTGAACATTAGAATTTGGAGTAGGTGCTGGAGCAAGTTAAGACTTTGTGGCTATGGGGATGAAATGAATGTATTTATACTTGAGAAGGACATGACTTTAGGGGAGTCATGGGAGGAAGGCTATGGTTTGAATGTTTGTCTTTCTGAAATTCAAGTTGAAACTGAAACTCCAATGTGGCAGTGTTGAGAGATGGGTCCTTTAAGAAGGAGCGGGACTGGTGACTTTAGAAGAAGAAGAAAAGACACCTTGCTCAGTCCCCTCTCCATATGATCCCGTGTGCAACCTCAGGATTCTGCAGGGAGTCCCCAGCAGCAAGAAGGACCTTATCAGATGCAGCTCGTCAACCTTGCACTTCTCAGCCTCTATAACTGTGAGAAATAAATTGTTTTTTCTTTATAAAATACCAAGTTTCAGGTATTCTGTTATAACCAATGGAAGACTAAGGCACATGCTTCACAAAAGTTAACTCAAAGTGGATCATAAACCTGAGAGTAAAATGCAAAACTATAAAACTTCTAGCAAATAACATAGAAAACCTGGTGACTTTGGGTTTGTTACTGACATTTTAGGTACAGCAGCACAATCACAATCCATGAAAGAAAAAAATCTGTAAGTTGAACTTCATTAAAATTAAAATTTTCTCTGCATAAAACACTGTAGAAGAATGAAAAACCAAGATAAAGCTAAAATTGAGAAAAAATCTTCACAAAACACAGCTCTCATAATGGACTATAATTCAAGATATCCAAAAAGCCCTTAGAACTGAACAATAAAAAACCAAATAATCCAATTGAAGCATAGGCCAAATATCTGAATAGATACTTCACCAAAGAAAATATAAAGATGGCAGTAAGCATATTAAAAATTGCTCAACATCACACATTACTTAAGGAATTGCAAATTAAAATAACCCATAAGATACTATTATATACTTATTAGAATGGCCAAAGTGCAAGAACGTTGACAATATGAAATGTTGACAAGAATGTAAAGCAATAGGAATTCTCATTTATTGCTGGTGGGAATGCAAAATTTTACAGTCATTTGGAAGACAGTTGATAGTTGCTTATAAAATTAAGCATACCTTCACCATACAATTCAGCAGTTGTGCTCCTTAGTACTTATCCAGATGAATTAAAACTTATGTTCACACAAAACCTGCATGGAAATGTTTATAGCATTTTTATTGATAATTGCACAAATTTGGAAGCAGCCAAAGTGTTCTTCAAAAGATGAAAGAATAAATAAATAAGCATTGATACATCCACACAATGGAATATTGTTCAGTGAATAAAAGAATGAGCTATCAGGCCACACAAAGGCACGAAAAAACTTTAAACACACATTGCTTTTTTTAAAAAGCCAATCTGAAAAGCCTATGCACTATTGATTGCAACCAAATGACATTCTTTAAAAGTTTGAACTAGGGAAAGAGTAAAAAGATTGGTGTTTGCCAGAGGTTAAATGGGAGGGAGGAATGAATAGGCAAAGCATGGAGAATTTTTAGGGCAAGGAAGCTATTATTTTGTTTGATACTGTAATAATTGATACATGTAATTATGTATTTATCAAAATCTATAAAATGTACAACATAAAGAGTGAACCCTAATGTAAACTATAGATTTTTGTTAATTAAAAAAACTTTAATGTAAGTTATAATCTCTAAGATAGAATTCATTTGAAGAGAAACACAATGAAATTGAAAATAATATGAAATCAAGTAATTTCAGATAACTGAAAGCAAATAGCAGTGATGATACCTGGAAGATCAATCTGAAACTTGATCTCATCTCTTATATGAAGTTCCAAAAGAAGAAGCTTGTCAGAAAGGAAAGAAATAATACTGAAGATAGAGTTGCTGAAATTTGAAATCATATACCTTTAGATCAACATTGCAATCACAGTTTAAAGAGAATGATGGTACACTGAAACTACAGAACAGCGAGGATAAAAAAAATCATGTAAATCTGTCAGAGATCAAATAGATTGTCTATACATAAATCACTCTTTGGCCAAAAAAAATCAAAATTCTCTTTCAGTAAAAAGGACATTATAGAAGATAATAAAGTAAAATATTCATTGCTCTGACAAAACAAATCTCAACTTTGATTTTTATACCAAATAAAATATCATTTAAGTATATAGCCAAAATAAAGTTATTTTCATTGATATAAAGACTAAGGAACTTTACCATCACATTTTTCCACAGGTTATATTTCAACAGAAATATAAGTGAAATGATAGAAAGACAGGAATGGCAAAATCTTTAGGTATTATTTTTGTCAGAGATTCATACAGTCTAAACCTCAAAGAAAAATTGAGATTGGTGAGACCTAAGGCTTGTAGAAAATTATTATAAGAGGTGAGGAAACAGTGGAGAAAAACAGATGATAAACATAAAAGTCAGTTATTTTATATATTAGTGGCATTGTTGTATAGGTTTTTACTGCGAATATTTTTCAAAAACTTCTAATTTTGGTTTTTGATTTTGCCAATTGCAAATGACAAGCTTTTTGCTTGTAAATAAATTTAAAACTCTCATTTATTTTCCAAACTATATTAAAATTCTATTTGTTAAGGTTTAATAAATTACAAGCCACTAACAGCCAGCAGTCCCAGAAGCAAGTTCTCATTTCAGAAGTAATTTACATACTAGGTCATATCATTCTTTAGCATCTTTCCAGGTAGTATCGTTAGAGATTGATGCTCTATTTCAAAGAGCTAGACCACCTTATTTAAACTTAAAAATTATATATACATATATATGTATATATAGATACACAGACATATATATTTACACACAGATATGAATAGACATATATATGTATACACACACATACATATATCACTTTTTCTTCCTTGCAATCTCATTCATAGCAACATTTCCAGTTAGTTAGGTTATGATGTTTTCGTTTTTAATCTTTTTTTTCCTTCTCATACTTACTTCAACTTGGCTAAAATTATTCTCTGCCTCTGGGATAGTCAGCCTTTAAATATTAGTGGATAGCTATCATGTATAGCTCTCATTTAGCTACTCCACACCCATTGTCATTTGTGGCAGTCTTTGTCCATAAATCCATCTCTCCTTAGTAAGAAAACTGAATAAAAAATAGTATATCACTTGCTTTCGAGTCTGATGGTTTTTCTTACGGAGATTGGAATAGCAAACTCAAAGTACAAAATTGCAGACCTCACTTTTAAAACTTACCACTGGCTGTAAGGGGCATGATAATATATAGCATTGCTGAAAGACCCTTAGTATGTGACATTTCTGCAAATTTTTACCTGACCTAATAAGCAAATCAGTTCTTGATGGGCAAGGAGGGGTCAGAGAAGGATTGTTGTGAATGATTGTTACACAGTTCTGTACTAACTGGCAATATGATCCTTAGAGTTAATAAGAGAAAGGTTTATACATTCTTTCTTTCCATATTTTTATTCTTATTTCCTGTTTTTAGTGCTGTTATGATTTATCAAGTGCATATTAAAAGTTCTAATACAAATGAATAGCTGATCACTTGCTAAAGTTCATTTAACTTCTTTGAGTGAAATACTCTTAGTATTTATCATGGTGAAATTAAGGCTTTAGGTAATTAATATATTCTAAACTCTATTAAAATGATTCTGTGTAGAATTTCCTCTTTCATAATCAGAGGCTTCTTTTTTATTTTTTTATTGTACTTTAAGTTTTAGGGTACATGTGCACAACGTGCAGGTTTGTTACATATGTATACATGTGCCATGTTGGTGTGCTGCACCCATTAACTCTTCATTCAACATTAGGTATGTCTCCTAATGCTATCCCTCCCCGCTCCCCCCACTCCACAACAGGCCCTGGTGTGTGATGTTCCCCTTCCTGTGTCCACGTGTTCTCATTGTTCAGTTCCCACCTATGAGTGAGAACATGTGGTGTTTGGTTTTTGTCCTTGCCACAAAATCATAAAAATCAGTTACCTTGCTCTGTTCTTTCTGTTCTTAACCTCAACAAACCTCTTATATTGCATGCTCATGCGTGCGGGCGCACACACACACACACCTCTTTGACAACACCAATTCCCCAAATAAAAAGTGTTTGTCTATATCAGCTCCATCTCACCTTCTCCTTTCTTACTATATTATTTGCACATTTACTCTGCTATTTACAGATAGAGCTCCTCTTTTTTCTCTATTTGGAATATAGGTTTTATTTTCATCATTCACCCCCCATACTCATTTCAACCTCTCTAAAATTACAGTCTGCCCTTGGGCTGTTCAGCCTTTATATAAGTGGAAACCTGTCATTTGTAGCTCAAATTTAGTTGAGCCACACTTACTGTCATTTGTGGCTGTCTTTGTCCACAAGTCAACCCCCGCTTAGTCAGAAAACTGAATAAAATTATGTATCAACTGCTTTCCAATCTGATGGTTTTTCTTACTGAGAGTGAAATAGCAACCATCTATACAAAATTGTCAATCTTATTTCAGAAAGTTACCACTGAGTGCAAAGGACATGATGGCATTGTTGAAGAGCTTAATAAGAAGACCATTCCCGGCCAGGCGCGGTGGCTTACACCTGTAATACCAGCACTTTGGGAGGCCGAGGCGGGTGGATCACAAGACCATCCTGGCCAACACGGTGAAACCCCGTCTCTATTAAAAATACAAAAAAATTAGTCTGGCGTGGTGGCGGGCGCCTGTAGTCCCAGCTACTCGGGAGGCTGAGGCAGGAGAATGGCGTGAACACGGGAGGCGGAGCTTGCAGTGAGCCGAGATCGTGCCACTGTGCCACTGCACTCCAGCCTGGGCGACAGAGCGAGACTCTGTCTGAAAAAAAAAAAAAAAAGATCGTTCCCTTCTTAGCTACTGCACTCATAACCAATACTGAGTAGAAGTGGATGAGCCAGAGCAGATACAATAAACAAAGGATAATTGACAGGAGAGGATGACAGGTGTTTTCCTCTCCTCTACTCCCGCTGTTTGTGCACCCATTCCTTACCATTCTGGAAAGAACCCCGTCACCAAGACTAGAAAGCAAAAGTTCAGATAAAATTGACCTCGATTTTAATAATAGCATTTTCCTTGTCTTGAAATGCCATCTAGGCTGAGGTTTATCCATTGCTTTCTGCTCACACCGCAATGATCCTTAGGAGAAACAGCGCTAGGCTTCAGGAAGCACAGTCGTAGAAATCAGGAAACCTGATGTTGAGCTCTGGGCTTTGCCAATAAAAACATCTATGTTCCTATATATTTATTTCATTTGTTTTCTGAATTTCATATTTTTTTCCTTCTAATCATAGGTTCTATCACAAAATGTGTAGGGGTGAGGAAAATAAAAGAAATGGTACAATTTAAAGTGGTCAGTGATTCCATATGTACCCACAAGAATTGGTTGTATACCGAATAGAGAAAATATCTTGAACATACTTGTATTAATATAATGACACTATTAAATTTGTACAAGCTTTTTCTCAATCCTTGCGTGTTTTCTAAATCAAGAGAAACTGAAAGTACAACTTTTTTTGCTCGATGTTAAAAATACTTTCATATTTAATAAATTTCAAGACTCCGAAACTAGATATTCTCTGTAACTCTTTTTGTCTGAAACTAAAGGATTTATTGACTCTCACTATATTGATGGTTTTAGCCAAAGTTTATAAGAGTTTAATTCACCATTCACACCACTAAAACAAATCTATTTTTATTCTATATCTCATCCTATTTTCAAAAAATACATCAGAGTTCTCATTCCCTTTTTACCTCTATTTAGTAAAGTATCATTATAAAAAGTTCTACCATTTACTTATCTTTTCTGTGTAATATTTTCTTTCGTGGGACTATTCAGAATTTTCTTTGACTCTGCTTGAAGCATTTCTTTTTTGTTATAATGGCAATGAATTGATATCTACGTGTCAGGTCCCTAAGGTTTGAACTGGTTTTGACATCCAGACACTTGACTTTTAAGTGAGTTCTAATGCAGTCAACATGTGCTCTATCCCCGGGCAACACAATTCTTTCAATAGCAGTTACATTAACAATTACTGCAGGGCACCTAAGTGGATGCTGTGCAGTAAATAGAAGAGGGATGGACCGCAGCTAGCAAAGCCTGAAAGTGAAATTGGATCAGAACACTTTGAAAAATCACTTCTAAAGAGAGAGACATCATCGTTTTTATAAGTCTGGAAGCCATAGCATCCTACTGAGTTTCTCAGGCTCCAGAAATAAGATGATAGGGAAGAATTTTGTCCAAAAATTTAGAAAAAGAAGAGTCATAATGAAATATCTTTCCCTTGGTAATGCATCTGTGTACTTTGAAACAAATAAACAACAAACATTTACTTTCTATTTTTTCGTCAGTAGTAATTCTCCAATTTATTTAGAGGTGGTGTGTGTGTGTGTGTGTGTGTGTGTGTGTGTGTGTGTGTGTTTTGTGTAACTACTATGTACCCATCTCTACATCAGGCATCCATATGACAAATTATTAGTTCCTTGTATCATGTCTCCTTATCTTTCAGGAATTTATACTCTATTTGAAAAAATAAGACTTCGCAGAGAATGTTACTTGCTAAGTGCATTTGTGTACAGAGAAACAACTAAAGAAGCTACCAAAATTGCTGAATTTACTCTTAGAAGTGATGACACATCACTTTAAAAATGTGGCCTAGAGTGTTTCACAGAGAGCAAAATTTAAAAAATGACTAAATTTTTTTAGCCAGAAAAATAACAAATAATTTAAAAAATTGTTCTTCTATTTACCTTTTTATTTCTGAAATTTTAAATTATTTTAAATAAAATAAACTTCTTTAACTAAATATTTTTGTATCAAAGTATTGGAAAAACATTTCTTGGAGTGAATAGCACCAGTGAAATTCGAACAGGTGGATTTATTAATAACCTTATTCCAAATATAGCCTCTTACATATTCAGCAGTAATTGTTTTAATAAGAGTGGAAATTTAACTGTATAAATAATTTATTTAAGTTCTCTTGCTAGATGAAGACATTGGCTTGAGATATTCTGTGGCACATACTTAGCTCTGAACTCTCTCTCTCTTTCTCTCTCTTCAGCTCACTAGGTGCTATGAATAGAACATGGATGAAATGTGAAGAGGAAAATAGCTAAAGTTGTCAAGATTTTCAGACTAATGAGACAAAAATATTTGTTATTTTAAACACAAATTTAAAAGACAGAATCAATCTTTAAGGTGCTGGTTGAGGCTAGAAATATAGAAGTAATTATAAGTAAATTACTGATTAATAATTGTACTGGAGGGGTGAGGTGCCATAGAATTGGACCACAGCTTGGAATTCAGGTACAAAAAATGTGTGAGGTAGGAAAAAAATATGACTGGACGCTAAACAAGTGAACAGACAAATGAATCACTGGGAATGCTTGGAAAACCAAAGGATGTCAGAAGTGATGGCTTGTGAGCCCAGAGGTCCTCTAATTTATCCAGGTGCCTGCTAATTCACAGTGTCACCCACCAGGAGGAAGCCTCCTCTTTTCAGGGGACTCTAGCTAAAATCTCTGGGTTCCAGGTCCATATTCGAATGTTCTGGGTTGCAAGAAAAGTGTTGACTTAGTTTACAATTTCAAAATCCTGAAATTATTCTAGTAAAGCTTGTGCAATACTCCATGTGTCAGGTCCCCAAGACCACTTCCAGGTTTGATGATCCTATAGGAAAACTCTCAAGACTCAGCATTGAATCATATTCAGAGATATGGTTGGTTACAGCAAAAAAGAGACCAAGCAAAATCACAAAGGAAAAAGGCACATGGAGGAAAGTCAAAGTCCTGAGGAAACCAAGCACAAGCTATCAGAGTCTCCTTCCCATGCCTTTACACAGGATGTGCTTATTTCCCTCAACAAGGAATTATGACAACTTATGTGAAATGTTATTGCCTCCCGAGAAAGATTGTTACAGACTCAGTTCCCAGCGTTTTTATTAAGGGATAGTCTCATAGGCACTCTGCTTAGCATGTACTAAAATTCTAGACTGCCAGAAGGAAAGCAGGTATTAAGTATAACTCTTGTTTGCACAAACGGTTCAGGCACAGTGAGACATCTTTATAAGTCCTAGGGATGATGCCACTCTCTTGAAATCCATGTTTCCAGGTGCCAGCTAAGGGCCAGCCTTGTAAGCAATAGGACCTTGTGGCCCTATTTAAAAGGATGACATTCAAGCTTTTTATGTTAACTCTTCTCTGCACACCAAATCACTAGAGATTCTACTTTTAGTTAAATAAAGGGGGTGTTTCCCAAATACTTTCTTTTAAAAAATCAGAAAAATGATAATATTTGAAGACCCACTGGGGTAAATAAATCAGGGTGTCCAAAGAGGCAACAGGTCTGGGCCTTGTTCCCCTCTCCCACCAGCTACTCAGATGCCTGAGGGTGTGACCATATTGACACACCTGAAATCCATTTGTCACACTGGGGATAGTCTCTGCCAGAGAGAAAATATTGAATTTGCGCACAATGAGACTATGTAGGAAATAGTTTTTTGTAACCTTATTTTTAATATTGAAAAATTGGAATGACTTAAAAGTCTATAAACTGGATAATGAGTTAAAATCTTACATTAATATATTACTGCATATCCAAAAATGAAAATAAATGGCCAAAATATGCCTGTGTTAGTTTGGATAACTTTAACAAATGTAAGGTTGGATGAAAATGATTAAGTTGCAGATGGCTACTCTTTATATAAAGCAGCAAACTTGCCAACAATACAACATATTACGTTTTGGTGCCTACTGATGTAATAGGAGTTTAAAAGATCCATAGGAAAAGTAGACACCATATCCAGGTGGCTCTTCTCTTTCCATTAGGAGGATAAAAATGAGATCTGGAAAGGGAATATAAAGGATTTCAACTAAATCTGTGTTATATTCTTTAAAAAATTCCAAAGTAATTATGGAAAAATTGTAAAATGTGATAGAGTTGATGGGTAAAAGCATATATATCTATGATTTTGTTCTCTGGAACAAAATGTCTAAAAATGTCTTCTAAAACAAATAAAAAATATATTTTAGTACCTACATGTCCACTCATTTTGAAAGTGTTTTAGCCTCTTTCATTAACAATCATTTAAAAGCATATAATTGGATTTTTTTAACACAAAGGACAAATGCTTGAGATGATTGATACCCCATTTACCCTGATGTGATTATTATGCAATGCATGCCTGTATACAAATATTTCATGTACCCCATAAATATATACACCTACTATGTACTCACAAAAATTAAAAATAAAGAATTAAAAATTAAAACAAATAAAGGGGCAATTGAAACTCTTTATAATGGTCTTTGACATAAAGTTGTTTCCATTTCTAAGCACCATAATGATATTGGGAATATTCTATGTGAGTTAGAAAAGTATGTTCTACTAGGCCTAACAAGAAAAATAGTGTTGATTATACAAGGAGAAAAAAAAAACAGTAGGTGACCTATACACTAGAATATTTTATCAAAATATATATTGCTCTGAGTAGTTAGTTAAAAGTGGAGATAGCTTTTTATTAATTATAGTTTGCTTCTAGTGAGACCTGCAATGAATTGACGAGGGGACATCTGAATCCTCAAATTCCATGTATCTAGCCCTCTATTATATGCTTTTTCTGCTAATGCCAGATCCTCCTACTTCCATGGGGGATTTTGTGCAGAATAATTTCAACCCTCCGTACCACATCCCCATTATCCCCAGGCACACTGTTATCCTTCCATCTTCTGTGTACATATTTACCTTCTCTGTCAATAGTATATCAGAAACAATATTTTGCACACAGTAAGACCTCAAAGAATTATAGCCATGATTTCTACTACTATTTTTGTTCTACCATCTGATGTAATATTGTTGTTTTTCTTAATAGCACTTTAACTGATATGCATCTATTTATTTATTTATTTATTTTCGACGTTCTCCACTAGAATACAAGTTATGCAAACAGGAAGTTTGTTGTTTGTTGTTTGAGCTTGTTGTTTAACATTATATTCCAGAGTCTAGAACTGTATCTTTTAGGTAATAGGGGCTCAATCAAATCATTGCCCTCAAAAAATTAGGATTCGGTTAGAATGAAAGACCAGAACAAAGAGGTATAAGGAGACTAAAGTAAAGAAAAAAACATTTTTTTTTTCGATATTTAGGGCAGATCTAGATGAATCCATTAATCTTAGGCCTTCTCAGAGATGTACCCCTTCATATTTGAGTAGGCCCTAATTTTGTGCTCATTTCTTGGAAGACTAAGGCTCCAGTGTGATGAGTCCCACGAGAGGCTGTAATGGGAGAGTGGGCGATTCCGAAGGTATAGAAACAAACTCAGTCTTAGTATCTTGTGCTTTGATTTGACCCATCGAAAGAGAAAGAATAAAAGGATGAAGAAATCTTGAGCTCCTCTTTTTGGTAGGCATGTACCACTAACTAATCATCTTAATGTTTTATGAAAAAAATACAACTGGATAAATAAAGGATTTGAATTATTTTTGACTTAGATAACTATTGTGCTTTGAGAAAACTAAGTGTTCAACCCTTAAAAATAAAGTCGAAACACCCTTATCACTCTATTAGCAGTTTATCTAAATTTTAGTTCAAGTATCTAGCAGAATGTTACGCTCTGAGGAAATCTAGATTTACCAACCCAAATCGATAATTACCACTAGACATTCCAGTGATACTGTCTCTTTATTATCATATGTATATTACTTTTAATTCACATATTAGTCAAGCAATGTGAGTGTTATTAACACTATTATACAGTGGAGGAACTGTATATAAAAACGTTTAAGTAGCCATTTGAAGGTCACAAAATAAGTAAGAGTCAAAACCACCATTTACATCACGGCCTATCTGATTTCAAAGCCCAGAGCTCTTTTCTATTATGCCATGTGGCTTCAATTAAATTATGACAAATATCCCAAAGTGGAGAAAATTAAAAATATATCATTGATGTTTCATATCTCAAGCTTAGTTATTATTGCTGATGCTGTTGCTATTTATGTGGGGATGGCTGAAAGGGGAAAAAATATGAATCACTGTATATACATCACTGTTGCTAATGTAGTCGCTGTCTCCAGAGCCTGTCACTGTTTGTAGTTGTGCCATTTTCCTTCACCAGCTGTCCAGCGCCTTTGCACAAAATGAGCTATTCCATATCTGATCACTAAATTTCCGAATAGTTGGCTGCTCTTGACCTTCAGTATCCCACGGTTATGCCTCAGTGCTTGAGGTTACTTTCTAGTATACTTTGTAGATCTTCTGTTTTGCATACCCAGAGCAACTAAACAGGTGTCTTTTTGATGCACTGAAGCAGTAATTTGAGCAACAGGATCAAGGCTACCTCAAGGATTTAATGCTTTTCCAAAGGTGCCGGATATAATTTGCTGAGAAAATTTGGCTTTGTTCTGCAAGAAATCAATTCATGTATCAGGATACAAAAATAAGCACTTTAAGTATTTAAAACCAATCCTTTAATCCTTAAAATTCATTTTCCCCATATTGAACTGAACAAATATTCAGAGAATCACATTTTCTGTATGTATAACATGACAATTTAACGCTCTATGTGTCGATAGCTTTAGTAAGAACTCTTGGTCAGGACCAAAGGTCATTCATTTGATTATAACACAGTGAGAGCAGAAGTAATGTGCTATTGTGACCGTCTTGGTGGTGGGAGGAAGATTGTTTTCCTCAAGTGACCTAGCTCTGTAACTTTTTGAGATTCGAAGAGCAAAAGCCAGAAAATTGGTTCATTTGCATCATTGCACAGTGTTTCAATGTGACACTTGCTGATCCTGTTCCCTCGCTGACTTTCTCATATCAGGGCCAAGTGTTGTGCGCTTTCCCATGAACTCCTTGCTTAAGTAAGGTCAGGGAGCAGCTGGGCAAGGAAACATCAGAAAGCTTGGCAAGCCGTGCCATAGCTACGTGCCTCTTGTGGCAGCTGGTGTTCATCTGAAGCATCTGATCTGAAAGGGAATTAAAGCAGCAGCGCTGCTGAGATTGAGCAACTTGTAATCCTTGCTGTGAGGTACCACAAACTAATTTAATTCCACTGTTGGTCGCAAAGGCTGCGTTTTGCCTGAGTTATAAAAAGAATCGTATTGAGCCTTTTAGAATGCGGACTTTTATGTGGATTTCTAAGCGTCGGATTTTGTCAGTCTATCACACAGTTCATGAAATGCCTTCTTTCTGGGACATGCTTTGCACAGAGCTGGATGGAAAGATTTGGAGATTAATTTGAACTCTAATGAAAATTAGCTGTGCTGTTTGGTTTCATGTTGTGATTGTCATCATGGAGGTCAGTACTAATGATGTGTCAGGCTCTCTTTGACAGTTTGCATACAGGCACAGTTTACTCAGAGCTCAGCAATGCCATTCTCAGAAGATGAGGAAGTATTGAACTGTCAAACGGGGACTGCACAGGTGACAGGTGATGCATTTTAGATCAGCTCTCTAACGAAGTGAGCAGCCTTTTCCATCCTTCCTCCCTCTAATAGCAAAATAATTTATTTTATCAAGTCACTAGTGTGTTTATAGTAAATATTTTCCCACCAGATCTTTTTGAAATCCTTATGAATAGAAAAAAAAGCCAATTAGAAAATGTATGCAGTAAAAGATGAAAATATTTATTACATTGTGACTTAATTATATTAATGTTCTTTGTGATTGCAATTCATTTGTATCAATACTGAATTGTTTCAGAAAAAATAGGTAAATATAGATATTGACAAAAGTACATTTGTTTGCATAGGACATTAATAATTCCATATTAATAGATTTAATAATAATTTTATCTGTGTTAAATAAATTTCTTTTGTTCCTTACTGTGAATATTGTAACACTTTGGAAACATAAATACTAATAATAAAGCTAAAATAAGTTTTAGTTCAATGCTTGTCTCTAATTACCAAGAAAAATAATACGAAACAATTCAGAAAGAGAGGCGACTACTCCTACATGATTTGTGTATCTTATATTTTTACCTCTAAGCATAAATTTCCAGGAAAGCTATGTATGAGGAGACAAGCCCTTTTTACATGCTAATTTTTAATATATCATTTGAAAAGCCCCATTTGTGTCATTGGGAAAAAATTGCTATTTGACTTTAATAATTGACATTTTCTAACAGGAAAGACAAAGTCCTATTCATAAAACCATTATATTTTGTAATAGTTTAATAAAATACATGCATACACAAAATATTTTAGAAACACTATGCGATCAAGTTCTAAGAGGTTAAGTTTATTTTCATATGCTTTTTATGAATCTACTAATTTAAGGTATACTTGGAATTGTTGAAAATAACCCTGTGAATCTACAAATTATGTTAGTTAAACTAGGTCAGGCAATACAATTCCATTTGGACATAAATAGACATAACAGAAATTATGCTGAAGTCACTTAAATGGTATTCTCTTTATCTTTAGTGCAGCAGGGAATTCAATACAAGTAGAGATGATTGACATTTTTTTCTAACCTCTCTGTCCTTTCCTCATGAAAATGCTTAGCTGCTCTTGGGAAGCACAGCTGTTGGACAAAGCACAGGGTCCAAGGCTGTGCCTTTGGGAGGGCTAACTGAGAAATTTAGCCAATCAAAAGGCAGGCTGAAGAAATGTCAGATCAGATATGCCAATCACCGTAAAAAAGGTGATGACCCGAAGAGGTGATAGTGCCAACTTGATGCTGAACTTAATCTATAAAGCACAATTCTCTTGCTGCTGATTTTACTTAGTTATTTTTGGTAATAGCAGAAACATTTGCAGAAAATATAAGATGATATATGGAATTAATGCTTCATAATATTGCGAAATCTTTTAAGAAAGGTAAACTCTCTTTTGCCAAAAGAAAAATCCCATATTATTGTATAAGTAAAAAAACACAAAAGCTTCTGAATATAAAGATTTCCATGCAGAAAATGTGCACTTATTTTACCTTTAATGCAGCAGAGATATAACACATTACCAAAATATGAAAAAGGCCCTTAACATAAAAACCTTAAGATTTTAAAAAATGTTGGAAGCCTTCTTGTCTGGTAATATTCACCAATGAATTTGAGATAAACATTACTGTATAATAATAATAGTAATGAAACATTATAAAACCAAACAATGTAATTACTAGATTAATGCATTAGCTAATCAATGTCCAGTGAGAAGAGATAGGAATCTGCTCTAAGTTTTTAAATTGTTTTTAACTAGCTTTTTTATTTTGAGGGTTTCTTAAATAGAAAAATATTAGAATGCATTGCTATCTACCACACTTGCCACTATACTTACATTTCAATTACATTTTAACATTAGCTTCAAAACATCCTGAGCTGTGTAATGTTACCAATTACAATGTTAGTAGGTTATATAATCTGCCAATTACTACCAAAAATAAATGCCAGGTGTTTCAATCCCAAGTCATTAAAATGCACATGATGGGCTGGGACTGACCCTGGAGCTGTCTTACCAGCATAAAACATAAAAATCACAGGAAGAAGGAACAAAAACACAATCAAGTGTACAAAAAAGGCAGGAGTAGAGGGCAGTTAGAAAGAGAAAAATGTGTCTTTGGAGGGTGGCTGAAGTTTTCTTCCTGCTTGTCTGTTTCTCTATTTACTCTTTTGTTTCTTGTTTTGTAGTTGCACTCTGACCAATAGTAGAACACATTTTTACAAACTTATAAATTAACACAAATGTTGGAAGGAGTATCGTCTATCCAAAAGGAGACTATTTAAATTGTATTACATATTAGAATGTTTTCTTTTAAACATGTGAAGGAAGAATAGTAAAAATTCCAGAATGCTTCTTACAGCAAATCTATCAATTCAAAATGTGGGAAAACTAAAATAATTTAAATTTGCAAATAGATTTTAAGTGACTTTATCCTAACTGTATACTTTTTTATTCTTAGTTATTTTCCAGAAAATGTAGAATCTGGAGTCTACTTTTTAATGCACTTCAATTTTTGTTTTATACTGTCTTCTTCATTGGCCTATATAAGGATGTCAAATTTTAAAACATTTACCAAATAGTCACCAAGAAGAATGGACAATTGTGTGAATGAGCACAACTATGCTGGGTTATGTTGCATGTAGTTTAAATCCATAGCTATATCCATATCATCTGCCTTCTATGAACTATTCATGATCCCAGCTAAAGTCAGTCCTTCCATTTATACATTTTCCACTTACTCAAGGACAAGACTCCAGCAATTGTATCCTCTGATCTTGGCATCATCAATTATCTATCTTTACTTTTTAGTCCAAGATCATAAAACATGGTACAGCGTTTCTTATTTTAAACAAAATGGACCTTACATCCCCTTATTGCTGCTGCAGCATTTCTCTGCTACCTTTACAGTAAAACTCCCCAATGAATGTGCTTTATTTCTACTAATTATCTCTTAAATTCAGACTAGTCAAGCTTTATCCCTAAACATTCTATCAAAACAGTCATTGTGCAGGTCTCAAATGACTTCCAGGTAGTAAATACAATTTTTAGTTCTCAAGGTAATATCTTAAACAAGAAGAAGCAATAGCCAAAGTTGATCATAACTTGCTCTTGAAACATTTTTTTGTTCCACTTAAAGTCGTCACTCTTCACTTGTTCTCCTTCCACTTCGCTGGATGCTTCTTGCTACACTTCATTACTGGTTTCTCCCCCTCCTACTGATTTCTCAACTTTGATCAGCCTTGATCCCAGTGTTCTAAACTCTTTTCTCTTTTATGTAAATTCACGCCCTAGGTAAGAGCATAATCTCTCGTGATTTTAAATAACATTTCTTTCTGATGACAACTAAATGTATATCTTCAACTCAGGGCTCTCTCCTGAATTCTAAAGGTGAAAATCAAATTCTCCACTCAACATCACCATTTCAATGTCCAAATGAACTCTTGTTTTCCCTCACCAAAAGTCTTTCCCATCTAACTAAAATGTAGTTCCATTCTTCAGTTAATTTGGCCAAAAATCATTCAGTCCTCTTTGACATTTGTCTTTTTCTTGTACTGTACTTTCTGTTCGTCTTCTGTCTATTGGCACTGCTACCAACATGATCTAAACCTTTATAAGTTCTTACTGGTGCATTTGCAGTAGTTCTTTATCTGCTCTCTTTATTGTCACCCTTGTCCCATTCTCTCCATTGTTTTTTCCCCTCAGTGCAGCCAGAATTACCATTTAAAAGCCTAAGTCAGATCATGTAACTACTCTGTTTAGAA
This sequence comes from Homo sapiens, assembly GCF_000001405.40. Lineage (NCBI taxonomy): Eukaryota > Metazoa > Chordata > Mammalia > Primates > Hominidae > Homo > Homo sapiens. The sequence goes on along the minus strand of NC_000001.11, from coordinate 106,287,067 downwards.
CTCTCCAATGGCTCCCATCTCATTCAAAATAACTTAGAGTACAATGATCCACAAGATTCCCCATGATGTAGTTCCGGAGAACTCTCTGCTTTAACCCCAATGACGTACTCGATATTCTGCAAACATGCTGAATCTGCTTCTGCCCGAGAGTCCGCACCTGTTGTTCCTTTTGATATAACACTCTTTTGCTAAAGTGCTTAGTTTTTGTTTTGTAGCTTACTTCTGGTCTCTGAACAAATGCTGCTTTATCAGAGGAGTCTTACTCTAGCAACTTATATGAAATAGTATCCTGTAATTTTCTATTCTCCTTTACTGTTTCTTTTTCAAAAACACTTATTGCATCTAATATATATTCATTTCTTTACATCTTTTGTCTGCCTCCTCAACACGCAAATGTAAGAAGCTAATGACATTGTTTGCACTTTGTTTTATTGCCATATCCTCAGTGGTTACAACAGTGCAAGGTGCATGCTAAATGTTAAATAAAGATGCTTGAATGATGTGTGAGTAAGTAAGCAAAATGAAAACAAAATTATTTGGCACATGTGAAATACTTCAGTCCATGTTAAACAGTCTATAATGAGCTTTTTGGGGGGTATAGATTTTTACCAGCAATCTATCTATCAACATTTTTACAACTAACATCTCTCTACAATCTCTCTACAAAGGCATTGAAACTTGTTGAGAATACACATATTATATATATATATATATATATATATATACACACACACACACACACACCCACACATATAATATATATATATATATATACCGACACATATATATATATATATACACACACACATATATATATAGACACACGCACATATATTAATTCCATGAGAATTACTTGTTTAAAAACTCTGTGGGGGCTTTTAGAAAACAAGATGTTTTATTTATTTAAATTTTTTTGCTACATGGTCTTTCCATTTGGGGCTGCTATTGATGACATTTTTCTCTTTCAGCATTTCCAAAGAATCTCTTTAACGATTGAAGCTAAATTAGTGTCTTTTTTATTACTACCCTTTAATTATGAAAATAAATTAGGTAGTTTCATTTCAACACTGCTGCATTTATCCGCCACCTCACATTACATAGCTCTCTGATTCTCTCTGATTGAAAAATCCGTATTAATTACTGTGTCACTGCCTATATGAAATCAACTCCAGTATATTATGATGTAATTGATAAAAGCCATAAAAATAAATTAGCTGAAACTTGCTAAGCACTTCGCTACTGTGTAAACATTTGTTTTGAATTTCCTCCTACTTTCTTGTGCTTGTGATTTTACTATTTGCGGGCTGACATTTGTTGAAATTTTCTCTACAGAAGTTCAAAGATACATTGGAGTGGAGACCCACATACCCTCCACACAGGTAACATCACTCATACCCTATGTGTATATTAGGGTGTGTTTATCCAAGAAGATTTATGTTGGACTTTTCCTGGTACTTCCTGAAGTATCATCTCAACTGGATGATTTGGGATGTAAACATTCAGGCCCTAAACACACATAAGGTAGTTAATGCCTTTGAAATACTAGAAAGGAGGGGGGACCTTTTTTATTTGTCTTTTAATCTACCATTAAGAGCACACAGGAAACTATCTTTTAAGTTAATGATTTTCCTCAAGATGTAGCTCTTTCTGATTCCCTTATTTTTAAGGTGTAGTTTCTCTTCCTAGCACTAGTCCAAGGCTTAGCTCATGGTCTCTCCTTTCTCCTTCTCTGTGCAGGCTCTATACATGGAAGGCTTAATTCCATCAGGGTATTTCGGCATTACTGCCACTCACTTACTTTCCTGGGTGGGCAACTTTGTTTCATTGCTAATCTCAAAAGATTCTCCTGCTTTGTTGCAGTATATTCCATTTCTTGAAATAATATATTTTTTAAGTTTTTGCATGTCTTATAGGCAGCAAATTTGGAAATCTCCAATCTAACAGATTACTTAAGATAGAAACACCTGGCTGCATAAACACATGAAAAAATGCTCATCATCACTGGCCATCAAAGAAATGCAAATCAAAACCACAATGAGATACCATCTCACACCAGTTAGAATGGCAATCATTAAAAAGTCAGGAAACAACAGGTGCTGGAGAGGATGTGGAGAAATAGGAACACTTTTACACTGTTGGTGGGACTGTAAACTAGTTCAACCATTGTGGAAGTCAGTGTGGCGATTCCTCAGGGATCTAGAACTAGAAATACCATTTGACCCAGCCATCCCATTACTGGGTATATACCCAAAGGACTATAAATCATGCTGCTATAAATACACATGCACACGTATGTTTATTGCAGCATTATTCACAATAGCAAAGACTTGGAACCAACCCAAATGTCCAACAATGATAGACTGGATTAAGAAAATGTGGCACATATACACCATGGAATACTATGCAGCCATAAAAAATGATGAGTTCATGTCCTTTGTAGGGACATGGATGAAATTGGAAATCATCATTCTCAGTAAACTATCGCAAGAGCAAAAAACCAAACACCACATATTCTCACTCATAGGTGGGAATTGAACAATGAGATCACATGGACACAGGAAGAGGAATATCACACTCTGGGGACTGTGGTGGGTTGGGGGGAGGGGGGAGGGATAGCATCGGGAGATATACCTAATGCTAGATGACCAGTTAGTGGGTGCAGCGCACCAGCATGGCACATGTATACATATGTAACTAACCTGCACAATGTGCACACGTACCCTAAAACTTAAAGTATAATAAAAAAAAATTAAAAAAACAAACAAACAAAAAAAGATAGAAACACCTTTTAATATTCTCTTTAAAAACATTGTTTACTTATCAATTTGTATATGATTCTCGTTGATGAAATAAATCAAAGTAAACAATAAGTCAGAATAGTGGCATCTTGGCCTCATTTTGTTTTACAACATGATTATTTTTTATCCAGGAAGAATGGTGTTGAACACTATGTGTTCCATGGCTCCTAATTGCAGAAAACTTAAAAAAAATTGAATTGTTACAGTAACATTGATGGCCATTTTATTGAGAAAATAATTGTGACTGAGAATAAACTGGAATTCCAGAATAACCTTCAAAAAAATTCATAGATAGTGACTTTCAAATCAATTGTCCATTATAACCAGAGCCTCTGCTCTTTAAAACCTCTAGATTACATGATAGAACACTGTAATAGGCACAAAATAATATTTTTACATTTTTAAACATATATTTTCATAGGATAGCTATCTACTCCTACTACTGATTTGCCACAAATCATGTAAAACAATTCAAAAATCAGAAATTTTTTAATTCCTAGACTAAGACCAACTGTGTTTTTTAACTCTGAAAATTAGGTAAAATTAGCTTTCTTTAGATCCTTTTACAGACTTTGAAATATACTAATTTTTATTCCAGCAATGAACCAAGGATCTCAGACATTGACCTCTTGTAGTTCTCATTTTAATGTTTTGCTCTACACAAAGATATTAAACTACAAGGAATAAGTTATAGCTACAATTAAAGTACTTTGTTAACTTAAAGGCATGGTTGATGCCAGGATGGCATTAACCTATGAACTTTGAAAGAACTGACAAGATAATGAGACTATAAATTCCTGCGAAAATACAAAAATGTACAGTGCCATTTTAGACTCTCTTAACTATTGTGTATTATATGCTAAAATATTGGTAAATTACTGAACATACAGTTTCAATTATCTTAAATATTTAAATATATTTCTTAAAAAGAAAGGTGCTTTGCTTTATCACAAGATTATTTTATTCCTTCAAAGATGATTCAGAATAATGAATATAAATCATCTATAAAGGCAAATAGTGTCATGCATTTCACATGATCTATCTATTTATCATCTATCACATATCTCCCGATCTCTTTATCTCTATTTCTATATAATTTTAGATATATTTAATTTAGGAAGTATATAGATATTTTATACCATTTATTCATTAATAACATTTCATTCATTTCACATATTTACACTTTTACATTCAGTTACAAAAATCTCATTGGATTGGCAACCCTAATTCTTTTGGAAAAATATGATTGGGAACAGTAACTGTACCAGCATTTCCAAAAAAAATTGCATTAGTTAAACATTATTACTTCAGTTTAATTTTTAAAAATTCATTGCAAAATCATGACAAAATTATTTAGGACTAAGTTTTTATAAAATTTTAAAATTTATGCTATTTATCAATTTACATACATTTTGTACATGCTACTGTATGAAGCATTTCTCAAACATAGAGGGTGAAATGCTACTTGTAATGGCTCATTATTCTCCATAAAATGAAAGTTTATCAATATAATTCTCTTATGGATCATTATTTTGATATCACATTTAAAGATTATTTGCCTAACCTGTGGTCATAAAGATTTTCTCCTATGTTATAGGTTGGATAATGTGAAGTGACTTTCAGATATTAAACTAGCCTTGCATTCCTGGAAGAAATCTCATCACTTTACTCAATTTGTTAATATTTTGCTGAAGATTTTTATGTCTTAGCTTATGAGGAATATTAGTCCATAGTTCTTGTCTCTCTCTTTCTGTTATTAATGTAATATTGCACTAAAATGGTTTAGTAACTGTTTCCTTCTTTTCTGTTTCTTAGAAGAGATTTTGTAGAACTGGTGTTATCCCTTCTTTAAATGGGTGACAGTATTTTCTATTGAAATCATTTGGGCCTAAATATTTTACGTTTGTCCAGGAGCTTTTGAAATATGTGTGTAAATTATCTAATAGTTATAATATTCTTCATGGAATAGCTTTCCTGAGCTTTTTCCTCTCTAGACTCTCCTTAGAACTAGCCAGTTTCCTGGAGTCCTCTATTTGGTTCTCTTACCAGAAATCTGGGGCTTTAGTTACCCCATTCTTCTGTATAATTCTGCAATTGCTCTGCATTCAAAGGCAAGCAGTAAGAGAACAAAAACAAAAATAATATAATGAGGGTCCACCCCACTTGCTTGGAACCACAGTGCCTCCAGAAGCAGAGAGAATGAGGGTTGTCCCTTAGAGTTATGGCTCCTGCAGGGGCCTGTCACAGCCAGTGCTGGTACCAACAGCATGAGATTGCCTAGGGGCTATAAGTGAGAGATTAAATAGAGAAAAAGAGGTAAAAAAATAAAAAGGGAGGGATTTATGCATTCCCTCAGAGTGTTGGGTGTTTCCTTTCCTGTTCCTCAGACCAAAATTAGAGGGCTTCTACAGCTTTGTTTGTTCCAGTGCTCACTTCCAATTTTCAGGCTGTACTGAGATTAGCTTAAGGGATATCAGAGAGAGAAGAAAACACTGTTTCAAATTCTCGTCTTCTTACTTGATATGTCATTTACTTTCTGGTTCTCAAACTGCTGCCCCTTACATTCTGTCCAGGTTTATATCTTTAGCTAGAAAGAAAGACAGGGTAAAATGTGCTCACGCCGTTATGCCTGGTGTTAGAACTTCGCTCCTTTCAATTGGCTTCTGAGTCTACAGGAATTTCTTCCCTGTCTATTTTACTTTAGTTATGTTGTTTTCATCTCTCCCATATTCTACAGCTAAACCTGAAGCCTCTCTCCCTCACTGTTATCTCATTTCTAATGCTTCTCCCAGGCATATCATCAATCTGGATTTTTCAATTTCTTTACACTAATGGACATTCCACACTAATTTTTCACTTAGGAATAAGTGCTCAAGTACACTTAAACTTGTTGGCAGTCCAGTCTTCTCTTGGATAGAAGAAATAGCTGACAATTTCATACCCCATACTCCTCTCTTGTTCCATTATTTCCAGAAGAGAAGCAAAAAGAGCACATTCAATAACAATTATTTTCTTACTTTGAAAACTTTTTCCAAGATGTATTTAGGAAAACTTCTGAAGATTAAAGTGTGCCATGTTATCATAGTTAAATGTTTGTTAACCTTTGAGATGGAAAGCATGTAATTATTGGTATAATCCTTACTTTTTATTTGAGTTTCTTCTTCTCTGCCATGTTTAGATTGGATAATTTTATTAGTTTTTTTTTTTTTTTTTTTTTTTTTTTTTTTTTTTTTACTAACTTAAAATAGCCTCTCTGGACCCAAGGTGTCAATTGTAAAGCATGGAAATATTTGATGCACTGAGAGTCAAGCTGGCTTTTATAATAGTTCCACTTTCATGATAACTAATCTATTCCCATAATAACCCATTAATCCACTAACCCACCAATTTATAAATCTATTAATCCATTCATGAGGACAGAGCCCTCATGACCTAATCACTGCTTAAAGGCCCCACCTCTTAATACTGTTACATTGGAAATTAAGTTTCAACATGAGTTTGGGAGGGGACAAACATTCAAATCATAGCACTGTTACTATCACAGTAATATTCCCGTGGTGCTGCTTGACTTTCTCATGTATATTTAGACTCATAACCACATTTCACTGTAAGTATAAAGTTTGAGTATTTATAATAAAAATACAATTTCGTCACAGAATAATACTTCTCATAGAAGGCACTGCTGGGTCCATGGCATCATTGGTTAAAATCTATTAAAAGGGCTTGAAAGTATAACGAGAATATAAGTGTAATCTAAACATGATATTACACTTAAAGAATCACAACAAAATATTATATTAAAATAATTCCAAACTTCCTTGCACTTTTTGAAGAAAATTAAATGGATCAAATTAAGAAGCTAGAACAATTTTTCTTAAAGTGTATTTCTCCCCACCATTTCTTGTGAATATATACAACATGTAGTAGATTCTTAATGAATGTTAGCTATTTTCTGAGACCCTGAATTGTAATAAGGTGATCTACAGTTTTTCTCAAAAATGTGACTGGGCTAATTGGAAAAATTTAAGATAAATTAACAAAGAAACTTAGTTATCAACCATTCCTTCAGATTTCATTTTATTTGGTATTCAAAATTATACTACCAGACACTTTTATAACTAAAAATTATTTATTTAGTTCTTTGGAGAACTTATTTTTCAAAGTCATTATGTCTATATAAGCATCCTGTCTGCTTATTAGTAAAATTATATTTGGAAACTTATTCCTTTCTTGTTTGATGTCATTGATGGAAAATCTATGTAATTAAGCCTTTTGAGAGTTTATAGGGAATGAAAAATTTCTTCTAACCAGCTAGTATACTTCTTACTAATAATGAATATTTTATAGCTAATTATGTTTTTATTTATGCTTTCAATTCCAGGAAATGCAGAATTAACTTTTGTTCTTAATACCAATGATAATACTTGACCTACATTTTCTTATAATGTTGTCTACACTTGCTTTTAAAAATGTGACACTTGTTATTGGATAATTTAATGAGATTATCACATGATTATTAATATATATGCTTATTTTGGAAATGAGTGGAAGCAGTTAGCTAACTAGGCAATTAAAATTTTATATAAAAGTAGATATAGACATTTTGTTCAAGATTTTATTATACTCCACTTAGCAATATTCTTTCTGTTCACATTTTTTTTTGGCAATCTGTCACTCAACTTCTCAGTACTGAAACAGAATGCTATTTTATAAGATATTGTGACATTCATGTTAAATTATGTTCAGGATATTTTGTAAGTCTAAAATTATGACCAAATCTGAGTACATCAAATATTTGCTGTAAGTGGATTTGTAACATGTAAGAAATACATTTATTACGATAGGTAATTGCTTAAAATGTTAAAGATTAGAAGAAAATGAACAAAAAAGTTTTTGGACTAGGGCTAAGTGAGGACATGACACTCAAAATGTATGATATGCTTTTTAAAAAATATGACTTCTACTTCGTCAAATATGAAAACATTTGTGCTATCAAAGACCCTATCAAAAGGATAAAAAAAAGTTATTTACTGCAATCACATATTTGCAAACCACACTGAACATATGCAGACAATAAAAATAAGTCTCAAAATTAATCTGTAAAAAAATGTAATTACAAAATGGGCAAAAATAATGAATGGATAGTTCACTAGAAAAGAGATAAGAATGGCACTTAAACACATACAAAAATGTGCAGCATCATCAGCTATTAGGGAAGTGCAAATTAAAACCACAGAGATTCATCACTAAAGCACTCATTTGAACGGCAAGGAAAAGAATGTGTGTGATGCTTAATATTAGATGTCAACTTGACTAAGTTGAGGAATGCCTCAATGGCTGGTGAAGCACAGTTTCTGGATGTGTCTGTGAGCATGTTTCCAGAGGAGACTGAAGTATGAGTCAGTGGACTGAGAAAGACGGACCTGCCCTCAATGTGGGTGGGCACCATTTGACTGACTGCTAGTGAAGCTAGGACAAAGCAGGCAGCAGAAGGATGATATTTAACTTTCTCTGCTTCCTCACTCTGTCTCCCTTCCTGAGAGACAGGCCTTTTCTCCTCCTGCCCTCGGACTTCAGACTCTAGGTTCTTCATCCTTTGAACTCTAGAGTTCGCACCAATAGTCTCAAGTGCTCTCAAGCTTTCAACCTTGGACTGGTAGCTACACCCTCAGCTTCACTGGTTTTGAGGCTTTCAGACCTGGACTAAGACATTCTACTGCCTTTTCTCATTACCCAGCTTGCATATAGTCTATCATGGGACTTCATCTTTGTAATAGTGTAAGGCCAATTCTAATAAATGTGAGATATATAAACATACACACACATTTTATACATATATATATATACACACACACACATATGTACATGACACTTTTAAACATACATTATATATATGTTTTATATATATATATATAGTGTGTGTGTGTGTGTATATATATATGTAAATGTTCTATTGGTTTTTGTCTTTCTGGAGAACCTTATTATATGGTTTCGCTCTCTGTCCCACCCAAATCTCATGTTAAATTGTAATCCCGCATATTGAAGTTGGGGCCTGGTGAGAGGTAATTGGATCATGCAGGTAGTTTATAACAGCTTAGCACCATCCCCCTAGTTAAGGGTGAATTTTTTAAATTGGTTTTGAGGTTTCTGGAATTGGCTTTCTAATCTGATTAGACCTAAAAATACTGAAAACTCTACTTCTAATAGTATGGAGAGCACTGATAGTCCTTGGTGTGAACTATCTATAGCGCTCCACAAAGTAAATGCATTAGATACTGCTGATTCATCATTTTTAAAAGACAAGAAGTTTAGTTACTCTGTACATGACGCTTTTAAACATTTGTGGATAACTGAGGACTATAATAAAGTTGATTGGCCGCTCCCAACATCACTAGACAAAGTGATGAAAGAAAATGATGAACTCAGCTGTCTGAACTCCCAACTTCAGAAGCACGTAAATAGCCTAGAAGCTTTTAAGTGCTCCTTGGTTCTAAGAAAATTGTCTTGAGTTTCATATGATACTTCATACTTTGGGCTGTTAAGTGGATGTTGAAACAAGTTAAGACTTTGGGGGATTATTGGGAAGGGGTGACTGTATTTTGCAATGCGAGAAGGGCATGAAATTTGGTGGGGTAGGATCAGAATAATATACTGTAGATATTTGTCCCCTCCAAATTTCATGTTGAAATATGATCCCCATTGTTGAAGGTGGGGCCAAGTTGGAGGTGTTTGAGTTATGGAGTCACATCCCTCATGAATGTCTTGGTACTATTTTCATGGTAAGGAGTGAGTTCTCACTATTAGTTCCTATAAGATCTTAGCTTCCCATGGTTGTAAAAAAAAGCCTGTCACCTCACTCCTCTCTTTCTCTTGCTCCCTCTCTTACCATGTGACACATGGGGCTCCCATCCCCTTATGCTATAATTGAAAGCTTCCTGAAGTTTTCATAAGAAGCAGAAGCTGGTGCTGTGCTTCTAGTACAGCCTGCAGAACTGTGAGCCAAATGAAACTTTTTTTCTTTATAAATTACCCAGCCCCAGGTATTCCTTTACAGGAATGCAGATGGACTAAGAGGCAGTGATAATACCAAATGATGATGACGATGCAGAGAAGCTGAATCTTATTACATTGCTGGTGGAAAAGTAAAATGGTTACAGCCAGTCTGGAAAATAGTTGGCAGTTTCTTTTAAATCTCAGTAAGCATTTTCCATATGACTCAGCAATCACACTCTTGGGCAGTTATCCCAGAGAAATGAAAAGTTATGTTCACATAAAATCCTATACACAAATGTTCATAGTAGCTTTATTTATAATAATTTGAAAGTAGAAACAACTCAAATGTCATTCCATAGATGAATTGTGCAATGGAATACCATACAATAGAAGAAAACAGAAAACAACAAAGTGTGTTGAACTGTTGATGAGTGCAACAATCTGAATGGGTCTCAAGAGCATAATGCTTAGTTTTAAAAATTCTCAAAATAATTTTACACTGTATTTGAGCTCCTATTTTTTTTAAATGTCATCAACATAGTAGAACTATGAAAATGAAAACCAGATTAGTGCTTGCCAAGGGGCATGGATGGGAGGTGGATAAGTAGGTGGGTGCAAATATAGAAGTACAAGGAGGTTTATTTGTGGTTGGGTTGGTTAATTTTATGTGCCAAGTTGACTGGGTCACAGAGTCTCTAGTTATTTGTTCAAATACTACTCTGGTTGTGTCTGTGAGGGTGCTTTGAATAAGATTAACTTTTAAATTGATAGAATGAGTAACATAGATGGCCCTCCCTATTGCGAATGGACCTCACTGAATTAGCTGAATATATTAATAGAAATTGGCTGATTCTACCCTGGGTAAGAAATAATTGTATCTTGACTGACTTCCCTTGCACAAACATCAGTTTTCTCCACAACGCTTTGCACAAATACATCAGCAGTTCCTAAGTCTTGAGTTTGCTGGCCTTCAGAGAGAACCACACTGTCAGCTTTTTTTGATCCTTGGGCCTTTAGACTCAGACTAGAGCTAAACAATTCAGATCCCCTCAGCCTCTAGCTTGCCAGCTCACCTTACAGATCTTGGGACTTTCTCGCCTCCACAGTTTTCTAAGCCAATTACTTATAATAAATCTGTTTATCTATAAAGAGATTTGTATTGTCCTATTCTCTGGAGATACAGCCATATCACTTAACAATGGGACTACAATCTGAGAAGGGGGTCTAGTTGATTCCATCACTGTACTAACAATATGAAGTGTACTTACTCAATCTAGATGGTGCAGACTTCTACACACCTAGGATATATGGTATAGCCTATTGCTCCTAGGCTACAAACCTATACAGCATATTACTGTACTGAATACTCTAGGCAATTGTAGCACACTGGCAAGTATTTGTATATCTAAACATGGAAAACGTGTGGTAAAAATACAGTAATACAATCTTATAGAACCGTTGTCCTCTACTAGGTCCATTGTTGACTGAAACATTGTTATGTGGAGCATGACTCTGTGTGTGGTGTGTGTGTGTGTGGGTGTGTGCATGTGTGTGCGTGTGTGCATGTGTGTATTTTTACCGTCCTCTAGAAGACCCTTACCAATATTGTGGTGGTATAACTTTTCTGCATCTTGATTGCAGCATTGGTCACACAAAACTATGCGTGATTTAAAATTGCATAAAGCTACATATGTACATATATGTACACACACAAATGAAAGATACTAAAAATGAAGAAAAACGATTACGTTATATAATTTATTTATAAGGGTTGTAACAATGTCAGTTTTCTGGTTTTGCTATTATATTATAATTTTATGAGATATAACCATTGGGGTAAGCTGGTTGTAAGATATACAAGATTTTATATACTATATTTGTAACTTTCTATTGGAAAACATAAAGTAAAAAAATGACAAAACAAAAACATTTCAAGGATGTCTGCTGTGTTTGCTTAGCATTTCAAGCTCATTCAAATTCCTGTATTTAGATACTGCGGTATTAAATGGGCATATTAGATATAGTTTCACTAGACTGAAGTAACATTATAGAGCCTATGAAGACCTTTGATCCAGAACTACTTGTTACCTGTGATAAACCTGAATATTTGTAAAGTTCTCTATAATAAACCACTATTTATTAACTGTGCATTATTGTTCATTGCTAAAAGGTTTTATCATTTAATCTGACTCCATCTTCCCAAATAATAACAAAGATGATAATTATATGTTGATGTTGCAGATGAGAAAACTGAGATTTAGTGGTATTTAGAGATCACCGAGCTAATCATGGGATTGTAAAGATTCAAGCCTGGCTTTTAGACTTAGCTGTTATTGACTCCAGTAACATCTTCCTAAGATTGTCCAAAGACACAAGCAACAGTAAACGATGTTTCTACAGTGGTCATTATAACTTCTACTATACTGCTCTTTGATAATTCTAAAACTATAACTTTCAAAAAGTATACTGATCCTGATTAAAAATATAATTTTACATATCTAGAAATTTGGATAAAATGGAATTGTTTTGAGTATTTTATTTGTGTTTAGTTATTTTAGATGGAAAATATAATGATTTAAAGTAGGGATAAACAAACATTTTTTTCTTGCCCTGTGTTGTTATATTATAAAGTCTTGGCCATCTACTGCCTATTTTCTCTTGTCCACATACCGTCATCTTAAAAAATTATGGCAACTATATAATATTTCTTATAATTTCAACATGCAAATATGAGTTATTCTCAATAATATCCATGAAAGATTGTATTTCTGTTCTTTTGTTCTGTTAGGTACTATTGAATTTGTATATAGTCATTTTTTTAAATTTAAAAGGCATATAACTTAGCTATATATAAAACGTTCATTTTTGTAAATCATCTGCTGTTTTTTAAAAGTACAATATTACTATTTTTTCTTGCAATAAATGAGTTAGAAATTCAATCATTTTCATAATGAACTTTACACATGTAATCTGGTTTCTAAATATAGTCATATTTGCTACTTACCTGCAGAGAAATCTGTTATTTGTTTATAAATTGTGCATAATGGCCAAAGTAACTGTCTAGAAATAAAACACATAATGTTCAAATTTATAAACTCATAAGAAAGGTTTTATTGCTAGAACCAATTGAAATCATTTATGGCCAGTAAAATATAAATTAATCATGAGTACTGAGTGAAATTGGGAGAAAAACAAAAATTTCTGAGGGTAATACTAAATTGGTCATTAGTAAAAACACTTTTAGAAACAAGTTATTAAAGTACACTGAATAGGTCAAAAGCCCTATAGTGTAAGAACATCCTAAGATATCTTATTTTGACAAACTCTTATTCCTTTTTGAAGGGAAGTTTCTATATCTTGATGTTACTGAAACAGGACCAATGGAAGCTCCATGTACACTTGAAACAAGCAACTCTGTTTTTTGTGTGTGTGTGTGTGTTTTTTGATTTAAATAACAAATGTAATTTCTTTTAATTTAACTAAAGTGGCAAATTCTATGGTTTATTATTCTGCAAAAATATTCAAAATAAAGTGATTCATAACTAGGTTCACTTAAATAGTTTTGACAGATGCACCTACCATTAGGCTGGCTATTTTTTCTTCATATTTCCAGATGCATAAACAGTGGCATAGAAAGATTCTTGAGAGAAGATACAGGGAAGAAAATGTTACTGGGATGAACCTGGGATGGAGAGAAGATTCCAACCTCCACTTCTTTTTCATAAATTATAATGATCCTACTTTGTCTAATTTCACAGAGTATCAGGATGTTCTATGCCTTTGCTTTAAAGTTTTCATATTTGTGGAACTTGAAGGGTTCGTAAATAGGGACTATTTGTGAAGACCTTTGATTCAGGACTATTTGTTACCTGTGATAAACCTAAATATTTGTGAATGTCTCCATAATATAACCATTATTTATTGAAGATACAATAAATAGTGGTTCCATCATCTGTGCATGATAGAATAAATATTCCATCATCTGTGCATGGAACAACTTACAAATTCCTATTTGTATTCCTATGGTAGGGAGTTTTGTTTTAAGTCTGGGAGAAATTGGATAATGTACCTCTTTATTTCACAAAATTTGGGACACGTATATACATTTACAATTAACTTAACAAGTGAATGTTGAGGGTGTATTTTAATTTAGGCACTGTGTTGGGAATTATTGACACCAATATCACTAGGACAGAGATCTTCCTATCAGAGTTCAACATCTAAAGGTAGACCCAGAAAAGTAAATTATTGCTTATTGCACTTCACAGTAATTATAATCACATTCCATAGAGTACTGTTGGGATAAGGGGCAAAGCAAAAGAAGGAAAAAATGAATCCTAGACAAAACCAAGGAATAACTTTTTTTTATTTTAAACAATTTTTATATATGTCATCCCTAATACCTAGAACAAACAAAAATAGGGAAATATTCCTCAAATGCCCTTAGCGCATTATTGATTACATCATGTATTTTAGCAACCTTATATGACCTTGACCACATGGAAGCAACATTATCCAAACCGTTTTCCTATAGTGAATGTGGAAGAATGCAAAATATCTGTCTGTCCCAGTCAGAATCAAGGGTGTGTATATAGTTCATAAGCTCAGTGAAATAGCCAAGATAATCCTGGCTCTTTATCTGAACTAGTCTGCATACACAGTAAATTCTCAACTCTGATTTATTATAATGCAACTATAACATTAAAAAAATAGAGATTTGTTTTATTTCTACCTTCCTAGTAACCCAACACTTCCTGTTTTTTATGGCATTGAGATTTAAATGAGACAGTGAAAGTGAAGAGCTGCATCATTAGCTCTCAGATTGCAGAGAATACGTGCTAAATATAATTCCTTTAAATAGTTTAGGAGCAAAGAATCACAATACAACTCTTTTGTGTAGAACTTAAAGTAAAAAGAAAAAATCCAGAAAGCTAAAGTTTCAAGAGCTAAACTAAAGTCTGTTATATAAAAGTAATAAAGTAAAAATATAACAGTACTTTAACCCCAGACTCAAATTTTCTAAGAATAAGAAAAACAAAACATATCACAAGAATTTATTTTGGCCTCAGTTAAGAATACAGAGCATCAAAACTAGTAAAAATAAACAAAAAAGTTCATTATATAATGATAAAAGGATCAATTCAGCATGAGGATATAACAATGCTAAACATTTATGTACCCAACACTAGAGCACCTAGAGAGACAAAGCAAATATTATTAGGGAAACATAGATTCAAATAAAATCATAGTTGTGAACTTCAGCGTCTCACTCCCACCATTAGACACATCTTCTAGATATAAAATTAGCAAAGAAATGGACTTAAACTGCACATTAGATTAAATGAACCTAACAGACATTTACAGAACATTTTATCCAACAGTGATAGAATACACATTATTCTCATCAGCACATGGAATATTCTCCAGGATGGACCATATATTAGGACACAAAACAAATATCAACAACAATGGAATAAAACTGGAAATAAACAGCAAGATGAACTTTGAAACTTAAAAATACATGGAAATTAAACAACATGCTATTGAATAACATTGGGTATAGAAATTAATTAAGAAGCAAATAAAAAATATTCTTGAAACAAATGAAAACCAAAAGGCAACATACTAGAACCTATGCAGCATAGCAAAAGCAGTGATAACCAGGAAGTTTATATCAATAAACACCTCTACCAAGAAAGTAATACCATTTCAAATAAACAATCCAAAGGTGAACCACAAGAAAGTAGAAAAACAAGAACAAACAAAACCCAAAATTAATAAAACAAAAGAAATAATACAGTTCAGAGCAAAATAAAGCAAGCGACTAAGAAAAAAATGAAATAAAAAATCGCTTTTTAAAATCAATAAACAGCTAGTTAAACCAACAAGGCAAAAAAGAGAACCAAATAAACAAAATCAGAAATGAAAAAGGATACATTACAACTGAGATCATAGAAATACAAAGTATCACCAGAGACTATTATGAACAACTATACCCTAACAAACTGGAAAACCTAGAGGAAATGGATAAATTCTTAGAAACATACAATCTACCAAGATTGAACCAGAAAGAAATAGAAAACCTCAGCAGTCCAATGACAAGTGATGAGATCTAAGCAATAATAGTCTCCCAACAAAGAAAAGTCCAAGACCTGATGTTTTCACTCCTGAATTCTACTAAACTATCGAAGAAGAGCTAACATGAATTATCCTCAAATAATTCCAAGAAATTGAAGAGGAGGGAACTCCCCATAACTCATTCTATGATACTCTAATACCAAAACAACAACATGCAAATATATATCAATCAACATACAGAAATAAATTACACTTCTACACACCAATAATAAACCCATCAGGAAGCAAATAAGCCAGTCTCATTTACAATTACATACACAAAACAACCCATATATACCTAGGAACAAATGAAACCAAGCAGGTGAAAGATCTGCACACACACACACACACACACACACACACACACACACACACACACAAATCAGAAAACACTGATGAAAGAAATCCAAGAGGGCACAAACAAATGAAAAAACATCCCATGCTCATGGATCGGTAGAATTAATATCATTGAAATGACCATACTGCCCAAAGCAACCTCCAGATGCAATACAATACCTATCAAAATATCAATAGCAGTTTTCATAGAATTAAAAAAAAAGAGATCATAAGATTTATATAAAACCAAAAAAGATTTCACATAGCCAAAGCAAGACAAAAGAAGAAATCTAAAGGCATCTAACTAACCAACTTCAAAATATATTACAAGGCTATAGTAACCAAAACAGTATGGTATTGGCATAAAAACAGACACATAGACCAATGGAAGAAAATAGAGAATCCAGAAATAAATCCATGTAATGGTAGACAAATGATGTTTGACAAAGGTGCCAAGAACATACTTTGGGTAAACGATACCCTCTTTAATATGTCAGGCTGGGCACACTGGATACTCATATGCAGAAGAATAAAACTTGACCCCTATCTCCCATGGCATACAAAAATCAACTCAAGGTGGATTAAAAACTTAAAAATAAGTCATGGAACTATAAGACTAACAGAAAAAAAACAACTGAGGAAAACACTTCAGGGCAGTGGTTTAGGCAAAGATTTTATGGCTAAGACTTCAAATACACAGATAACGAGAGTAAAAATAGACAAATGGGGCCATATTAAATGAAAAAGCTTCTGCACAACAAAAGCAAACCATCAGCAAAATGGAGTGACTATCTGTTGAATGGATGAAAATATTTGCAAACTATTCATCTGACAAGGAAGTAATATTTAGAAAAAAAAGAACACAAACAATTCAATAATAAAAACAAAATAAAACAAATTTTTTTTGTTTTCATTTAAAAGTGAGCAAAGGACATGAATAAATATTTCTCTAAAGAAGATATACAAATGGCAACAGGTATATGTAAAAATGCTCAACATCGCTAATCCTCAGGGAAATGCAAATCAAAACCAAAATGAAATGTCATCGTACCCCTCTCAGGATGGCTATTATTAAAAATACAAAAAGCCGAAAAACAAAACAAAACAAAACAAAAGAAAACATAAAAACACAGGAGATGCTGGAGAGAATGTGGAAAAGGGAGCTGTTACACAATGTTGGCAAAAACATAAGTTAGTATAGACAGTATGGAGAACGGTATGGATATTTCTCAAAATGTAAAAAAATAGAACTACCAAATGATCCACAATCCCACTAGTTCATATTTATTCAAGGGAAAAGAAATCGGTGTATCAGAGGATTACCTGCACTTCTATTTTTATTGCAAAGCCACAATGCCAAAGGGATGGAATAAAGCTAAGTATCCATCAATGGCAAATGGAAAAATAAAATGTAGTATATATACACAATGAAATACTATTCATCCATAAAAAAGAATTAAACCATGTTATCTGCAGCAACATGGATGGAAGCAGAGATCATTGTTTTATGTGAAATAAGCCAGATTAAAAAAAAATAGAAATATGGCACGCTCTTACTCATAAGTAGGAGCCAAAAAAGTTGATCTCGTGTAGGTAGAGAGTGGAATCATTGGTACTACAGGATAGGAGGTGTGTGTATATAGGAGGTGATGATGATGAGAAACTGGTTAATGGGTACAAATATACAATTATATAGAAGGAATTATTTCTAAAGTTCCATAGCAGAGTAGGGTGACTATAGTAGACAATAGTGTGCTTTATATTTAAATTATTAGCTAATTTGAAATGTTCCCAACACATAATAATGATAAATGAGGCTAGGTGCAGTGACTCATGCCTCTGAGCACTTTGAGATGCTGAGGCAGGAGAATCACTTGAGGCCAGGAGTTCAGACCAGCTGGGGTAACATAGTGAGATCCTGTCTCCACAAGAAAATATAAATAAAAAATTAGCCAGTAGTGGTAACATGTGACTCCCAAGTAACAAATTACTTGGGAGGCTGAGGCAGGGGGATCATTTGAGGCCAGGAGTTCAAGGCTGCAATGAGCTATGATCATGCCACTGTACTCTAGTCTGGGTAACAGAGTAAGACCCTGTCTCAAAAAGAAAAAAAAAAAAAGATAAATGCTCAAGGTGACAGATACCTCAAATGCCCTGACATGACCATTACATACACATGTCAGAAATACTCACATATACCCCATACATACATAAAATATTATTTATTAATTAAAAATATAAAATTTGAAATGCATTATGTTTTTTCCCTACAGTCACAAAAACTGGAAATTCTGACTTTTATCATATTATCTTCAATATTCTCTCTTCTTTCCTCCTTCTTATCTTACTCATAAAACAGTCTTTAATATCAAGATCTTCATATCTTCAATTGTTGAACTCACTTATTTTCTCCCATTTTATCTGAATCTACACTTACTTGTTTCCCTTTCAAGGCCGGACTACATTTTTATCATTGTTCACGGAATCTCTCACTTCCTTGTCATTCCCTATTGTTCAATGTGTCCAACCCCCACTAGGAGTCACCTCCGCACTGCACAATGTAGGCTTGACACGTCTCACACTCCCACGATTATCTTTCTCAATCTGTTTGCTGTTTCCACACTGTCCCTGGAACTTCTAGCTTACACATCAGTGCCAGCAACCTACTTACCAAATTTATGAGCTTCTTATGAGACTATATTCTCTTGACCTTCATATAGCATTGGGCATGTTTTTTCTCCATACATATGCATTTTGGAAGTTTTTCCACCAATTACTTCAGTGACCCTTTACTTTTCTATTTTTTCTTTTAAAATATTCTTCATCATGTCATTTTCTCTCTCCTACTCTTGAGTATTAGTATGTTCAAGGTTAGAGTTTATTTTTTCACTCAGATATCTCTTCACTATTTATCTCATTCATCTTCACACCTTCAATTCTGACCTTCGTATAGAAGACAACCCAGGCAAGTCTAAGATGAAAAAATCAGGATATGAAATAATCTGAGAATAATTTTTTCCCATGATTGTAAGAATTAATTATTTGAACAATTTATCTTAAAGAAGAAAGCCACTTCTTCTTTTGTGTTATGTAACTTGAAAGTCTTTATCTCTTTCTCTCATAAAATTTTTCTGATAGCTGAGCCTATATCCTCATCTGCACCATATATTTTTCTATCTAGTTGTACTTCAGCATCTCACAATTAAGATTAGCATTCTCCCAATATTCCCACAAATCAGCTCTTCTTTGTGATTTTGCTGTCTTGATATTTTTACTTTCTCTCCTATTCTTTTAAAACATGAAATGTGGACGCATCTTTGATTCAGTGCTCTTCTTTGTCTTTTTAGCTAGTTGTAATTTGCCAACTATTATGGATGATTTTTTCCTTTCATTATATATGATAATCATTTTATTACCTTTTATTTGAAATAGTCAGGCTACAACTTTTCTCTATGATTCTAGTATCTACTAATTGTTTTCCTTTTCCTATTCCCCTTCTTTCCAGTTTATATTGAACAATTCTGCTAGACCTATTTTTCTTAAGCACAACTTTCTATCATTTTCTCTAACATTCAAAAGCAATGACTGACCAGCAGGGCTGGCTCATGGACATGTGACCTATGCATCCCATAGGGCTTCATGCATAGAAGGGACCTACACACGGATTAATGTTCTGCTGTAGCCATTTGGAATTCCTAATAACTTTTAAACAAGGATCTCTTCATTTTTATGTTGTACTGGGCCCCGAAAAATATGTACTGCATCCTGCTTCCAATGACCATGAATAAATTTGATACCAGCCTCCTGCCTAAAGCTCAAGGCCTTTCATACCCAGCACTTACTCATCCCTAATCACCATACCACTCCTCCCTTACTCGTCAGTGAAACCAGACTACTAGCTGCCTTCCATATATACTTGTTTATTTCCTACTTTTGTCCTTTTATTATCTCTTAATATAATCTCAATTTAGCTCCTCAGAGTTTTACTCAAATTCCTTCTTCATGTCTTGTTTTTCTTATTTTTATTTTCTGAGTCCCCACAATGTTGTCTCCTTTAAAATTTTTAGTGTTATGTTTATTTTTTTCCAAGAGCAAATATTTATCATATTTCCTTTAATTTTGGGGGGAACAGGGAGAATAAGTGTCTTGTTATCCCTATTAAATTGCAGATTCCATGAAGATAAGGATAAACTCTCTTATCTATCTATATATTACATACAGTGTTTAAGATATAAAATATACGCAATAAATGGTTTCTGCATTTAAATATTATAGCAAAACTGTTGTTTATGACAATAAATAAAAATATCTTTCATTGTAGTAGACAAGAATGTTTCTCATCTTTAAATAAAAATGTGTGTGTGTGTGTGTGTGTGTGTGTGTGTATGTGTGTATGTGTGTATTTGGCTTTCCTGATTCCCCAACTGTATAGTTTTTGCTTTTGAATGAAATAGGAGAAGACTAGAAAGCCAGGTCACAATAAATTTACTGATGAGCAGACTTAAAATATAAAAGAGGGAGAGAGGAGAAAGAAAAGGAGAGGGAAAAAATGAGAATATAGATACAAACATATAAATTCTGCTGATTAACCTGTTCCCTCGTTGTAATCACTACCCTCTCTGACGTTCCAGAAAGGTGATACATCTTTTAATGTGCCTTGTCTAGAACAGCAAAGGAAAAACTTGGAAAATAAAGTTGGAGATGATGTAGCTAGCCTCCAGCATTTTGTTTATGAGAGCATCCATTCGTGTCTGCTTGGACTTGCTGAATAATATCCATTCTGTCCTTGAGGCATACATCAGGCAATGAAATTTTGTTGTATTAGTTATTTCAGGCTTTCTACTGATTCCAGAATATCTGAGAATTTCTTAGTATAAAGTGGCTATATGTGTTAAAAAGTCTTGGATATATCAGTGGTCCTATTATTTTGACTTTAACAATTTCAGATGAAAGCTATATAATGGAGAAAAAACAGAACTAAAGCAAGAATACGAGCAAAAAGATGAAGAAATACATTTTTCATCTGGAGTGTTACTCAAGTACCATTCAAACCAGTTCCATTATTTAATTTCCTGGTTATACTCTTTCCTCATCCACTACTTTTCACAGCATAAAGCTTAAAAAAGAAACATTTAACTGTTAGAAAGGAAAACATGACAGCCAAGTTATAATTTTGTTTCTGTTGAGTTTTTTATACATTTAAGAAACAATTCTGTTTCTTTGTTGTTGTTTGTTTGTTTGTTTTCCATTAACATGGCTGACGAGAGGCAATGCACACCAGTTCTCCTCAGAAAGAAGAACCAAAATTACAGGTAAGTAACCATGGTCCAAGTGAGATACTGAGGGATGAGTGAGGAATCTATTGAAGAACCCACAAGAGGAAGCTGGATGCAGTAGAAGAAGGAAGCAAGAGTTTGGCAGAGATCAACTCCCAAGGAATTTGGAGTCTCATGGAAAAGGTAGGTAGGGGTGTTTTTGCTCCCCTCACCCTTGTGTCACAGTGCTGACTTCTCAGCTGTTGGAGAGTTCCCTTGCAATCCCTGTGGGAAGGGATTTGGGAACTTGGGAGCAGAACCAGCTGTGCAGTCTTCCTCATCCTCTCCCCAGACCAGAGTGGAGGCACAATGCCAGTTGTACAGCTGCTGTGGGCCTCTATCCTTTCCAGAGAGTCTCATCCCTTGTATCCACACACCACTAGATCCCATGTAAACATTCCCCACAATCCATTCAGACTGTGGCAACCGCAAAGGACTGGTAGGATCCTAGGGAACTGTGAGATTTCTGGAGGTCTAACTTGCAGGGCAAGATACCCCTGGGGGAAGGGAGAACACAAATTGCCAAAGTGCCCCTTAAGAAAAAGAAACTAGATTGTACACTCTGTACCCAAGAGCTCCCTGCTTGTGAGCAGAAGGTGACTGTGCCCTCACCCTACAGAGACACGGGTGGAGTGTGAAGCTCTATAGGGGAGGAGTGTGGTTCTGTCTCAGTGGCTAGGTGACACTGGTGCCTGGAAACCGATGTGGAGAGGGGAATTTCTCCTACTGCCCCCCTGACACTGCTACAAATGCAGCCACGGCTGTTCATGTGGGGAGTGGGTGCTGGTGTGCATTGGGATGCCAATTCCAGAGTAATTGGGCACAGCTACAGTCCCACTGATAGTGTCTCTACCAGCCTGGGCTTGCATGAAGGATGTGGTCCATCTCCCTTCCTACAAAGGGCAGCAGAATTACTACAGTAGAGTACCAGTGACCCATGAAGCTAAGTGTATTGGGCTGAGGGAAGAGGTTCTTTCCCAAGGCCAATTCAGTTGTAGCTACAGGATAAACATTTTCCATGGCCCTCAGTTAAATTGTGGCCTACAGATAAATGAAAATTTCCATTTGAACAGAAAGTTATGAGCCTTGCCACAGGGTTATGTTAAGGAAATTAATCATGTTTCTGCTTTCCCAGGATGTGGATCTGGTGCAATGTCTACACTCCCACTGGTGAAATAATGGCACATTATACCATGAGCTCTCTCTGCTACCCTTATCAGAGAAGGTGGATCCAGTCTTCACTGGGTTATCTTAGGATGAGCTTGGCAGTCCAGCTGTCTCCACTTTTGGCTCCCTACTCCAGGGCTGAGCTGGGAACTCAGGGCAATGGACATCCTACCGACCAGCAAATCCCATGTGATAACATAGAGCTCCTTCCCGTAAACAAGGATCAAGCACATACTCAGTTGCTTCTGCCCAGGTTGCTCTTACTTAGAGATGCACCCACTGGACTAGAGATTAAACTGATCAAGTAAAAACATGCAGAAAGATAGGCATAGTGCTGCAGGATGAGATAAGCTTCTGGAGACATCTGTAATCCCAGTATTGCAGAAGGCAGTGAGCCTGGTCATATGCCCAGTAAATTGCTACCATAATCAACATGTGAGAAAGCCACTGCACAAAAGCTATCTATGACCAAAAATCTCAACAGAGACTTGGTTCCCTGAAAGCAGCCAGAATCAAAGTTAAATGACTATACACAACACACATCATAGTCATACCCTCAAAGAAAACAGAAAGTCCAACCCAATGAAAGTGAATTCAAAACAAGAAGTGACAGCTTCTCCATATAAGAAGGAATTCATGTAGAAATTATGGCAGTACGAAAAAATAGAGTGTTTATACATTCCAAAAGGACTACACTAGCACTCTAGCAATGGATTCTAACCAAACTGAATATTCTGAAATGACAGATGACAATTTCAAACGCGGATTGTAAGAAAGCTTAATGAGATCCAAGAGAAAGGTAAAACTAACACACACAAAAAATAGAAAAAACAATTCAGGATATGAATGAGAATATACTTTAAAAAGTTAGGTATTCTAAAGAAACAGAACTTCTGAAAACAAAAAATTCACTGAAGCAGTTGTAAAATGCAATTGAAAGATTTACCACAGTCTAGAACAAGCAGAACAAATAATTTAAGAATAAGCCCCCCTCAGACAAAAATAAAGAAAATTTAAAAATAGACAATGCCTCTGAGAAATATGAGATTATGTAAAGAGACTAAACCTCTGAGTTATAGGCATTTCTGGGAGAGAAGAAGAAAACGTAAGAGTTTGGAAAACTCATTTGAGAAAAGAATTCAGGAAAACATCCCTGGTCTTGCTAGATAATTAACTTCTAGAAAAAAGAAACACAGAAAACATCTCAGAGATACTTTGCAAGACAAATCTCATTAAGGCAAATAGTCATCCATCTCCAAAGTTAATGTGAAGAAAAAATTTCTAAATGCAGCAAGAAATCACTTGTAAAGTAAATCCCATTGACTAAGAGCAAACTTCTCAGCAAAAACTTTACCAATGAGAAGAGATTGAGATCTTCTTTTCAGCTCTTAAAGGAAAAAAAAAATGCTAGCCATGAATTTTTCATAAATGAAACTAAGCTTCATAAATGAAGAAGAAATAAGGCCTATCCCAGATAAGCAAGCACTCAGGGAATGTGTCATAACTAGACTGGTTCTATAAGACATGCTCAAAAGCGTTGTAAACCTAGAAACAAAAGTAGAATAACTTGCCATTATACAAGCACATGAAAATATAAAACTCACAGATCCTGGAAAGCAATTACACAGTTGAGACTGCAAAGCAACTAGATAATAATTAACATTAAGACAGAAACAAAACATCACATATCTGTATTAACTTCAAAGTAAATTGACTAAATACTCCATTTAAAAGATAAAGATTAGCAAAAATAATTTTTACAAAAGACTAAACCATATGTTGCTTACAAGAAACTCAACTTAGGGGTAAAGACATTCACAGACTCAACATAAGGGGGTGGAAATAAATGTTCCTCATAAATTGAAACCAAAAGCAAGCAGGACTACCTATCGTTATGTCAGATAAAATAGACTTTAAATCAACAACAGTAAAAGAGTATCAAAGAAGGTCATTATATAATGATAAAAATATGAATTCAACAAGAAGATGTAAAAATTTAAAGTATATATGCACTCAACACCAAAGCACACAGATTCATAGAAATATACTATTAGACCTAGGAAAAGACATAGACAGCAATACAATAATAGTGCGAAACATGAACAACCTACTGACAGCATTACACAGATTATCAAGGCAAAAAAACCATCAACAATAAAAAAATCTCTAGACTTAAACTGGACTCTAGAACTAATGGCCCTTATAGATACTTACAGAACATTCTACCCAATGACCACAAAATGTACATTCTTCTGTGCAGGAAACATTATCAAAAAGAGACCATATTCTTGGCCATTAAGCAAGTTTCAATAAATTTAAAAAAATGATGTATCAAATATTCTCAGACAACATTGAAATAAAACTAGAAATGAGTGCCAAGAGGAACTCTGAAAACTATATGAATACATGGAAATTTAACAACCTGCTTCTCGGTGATCTTTGGGTAAATGATGAAATTGTAGCAGGAATTAATTTTTTGAAATGGATGAAAATAGAGACACAACATAGGAAAAACCTCTTGGATACAGCAAAAGCAGTGCTAAGATGAAAGTTTATAGCATTAAGTGCCTACATAAAAAATATAGAAAGATCTCAAATTAACAACTTAATGTCACACCTCAAAGAACAACACCAACAAAAAAACAAAGTTAGCAGAAGACAAGAGATAGATTAGACAAAGGTCAGGTCAGAGTAGAACTAATGATATTGAGTCCAAAAACAAACAAACAAACAAAAACCAAAGGTTCAAGAAATGACAAGTTTGTTTTTTGAAAAGATAAAGTAAATTTATTGGCCAATAGCCAAATTAACCAAGGATAAAAGAGAGCAAACTCAAACACAATCCAAAATGATAAAGTTGAGTTTACAACTGATAACACAAAAATATAAAAGATCATCATAAACTAGTATGAACATCTCTACGCAAACTAGAAAACCTAGAAGAAATGGTTAAGTTCCTGGAAACGTAACACCTCCTAAAATTGAACCATGAAGAAACAGAAATCCTGAACACACCAATAATGAGCAACAAAATTGAATCAGTAATACGAAATAGCCCAATTTAAAAAGCCCAGGACTAGACAGATCTGCAGCTGAATTCTACCAGACAAACAAAAAACTGATTTCACTTCTACTGTAATTGTTCCAAAAATTCGAGGAGGGAATCCTCCCTAGATCATTGTATGAAGCCAATATCACCCTGATACCAAAGCCAGACAAAGACACAACAAGTAAAGAAAAGTAAAGGCAAATAACCCTGATGAACATAAATGCAAGTATTCTTAACATAATATTAGGTAAGCAAATCCAACAACATATCAAAAGATAATATAACCTGATTAAGTCGGCTTTATTCCAAGGATGCAAAGATGGTTCAACATATGCAAATCAATCAATGTGTTTCACCCCATAAATAGAATTAGAAACAAAAATCATATGAATCATATGATCAACAGATGTAAGAAATGCATTTGATAAAGTCCAGCATCCCTTTATGATAAAGTCTCTCGACAAATTAGTTAACAAAAGAACATACCTCAAAATAATAAAAGTCATATATGACAATTCTACATCCAACATCAAATTGAATGAGGAAAAGTTGAAAGCATTTCTCTTAAGAATTAGAACAAGACAAAATGCCCATTCTTACCATTTCTATTTGCCATAGTACTGGAAGTCCTAGCCATAGTGATCAGGGAAGAGAAATAAATGCATCCAAATTGGAAAAGAAAAAGTTAAACTATCTCTCTTAATTGACAATATGATTTTATACCTAGAAACCCCTAAAGACTCCTCCAAAAGACTCCTGTATTTGTAAAGTTTCAGGTTACAAAATCAATGTACAAAAATCAGTAACATTTCTATAAACCAGTAATATTCAAGCTGAGAACCAAATAAAAACTCAATATCTGCAAAAAATAATAACTAGGAATAAATTAAACCAAGAAGGTGAAAAATCTCTACAAGAAAACTACAAAACTGATGAAAGAAATTGTAGATAACATGAATAAATGGAAAAACATCCCAGAATCATGAATCAGAAGAATCATAATCTGCACAAAGCAATCTATAGGTTCAATGCAATTCCTATTAAATTACCAATATAATTGCTCACAGAATTATAAAACAATTTTAAAATTCATATGGAAACAAAATAGAGTTTGAATAGCCAAAGATATCCTAAGCAAAAATAACAAAGCTGGAAGCATCACATTACCTGACTTCCAATTATACTACAAGGTTCTAGTAAACAAAACAGCATGGTACTGGTATAAAAATAGACACTTAGGTCAACAGAACAGAATAAATAAAGAATACCTACCACCAACTTATCTTCAACAAAGTTGAAAATACACACACTAGGAAAACATACACTGGATAAAGGATACCCTATCCCATAAATGATACTGGGAAAATTGCATAGTTATATGCAGAAGAAAGAAACTAGACCAAAATAAAGCAAAATAGATCAAAGCCTTAAATATAAAACCTGAAACTATAAATATTCTAGAAGAACACCTAGGAAAAGTATTCTAAACATTGGCCTGGCAAACAATTTATAACTAATTCCTCAAAAGCAAACACAGCAAAAAGAAAGATAGAGATACGGGACTTAATTAAACTAAAAAGCTTCATAACAGCAAAAGATATAATCAACAGAGTAAATAGATAACCTGCAGAATAGGAGAACACATTTAAAAACTGTGCATCCAACAAAGGGCTAATATCCACAAGGAAGTCAACCAAGTAAATAAGAAAAAAATAACCCTATTAAAAAGTGAGCAAAGGCCATGAACAGACATTTTACAAAAGAGGACAGAGAAACATAAAAAAATGCTCAACATCAGTAACTGTTAGAGAAATGCAAATTTAAACCACAATTAGGTACCATCTTACACTAGTCATAATGACTGTTATTAAAACGTCAAAAAAATAGACTTTAGCAAAAATGCAGATACAAGGCAATGCTTATACACTGATGGTGGGAATGCATGTAAATTAGAATGGCCTCTATGAAAAATAGTATGGATATTTCTCAAAACATTAAAAATAGGACTGTGTGATTCAATCCAGCAACCCCACTAGTGGGTATCTACCAAAAGTAAAAAGAACAATAAAAGATTATATAAAAAGGACACTTGCACTCGTATATTTATCACAGCACTATTTACATTAGTTAAGTCATGAAATAAAGCAAAATGTTCATCGCGAATGATTATATAAAGAAAACACTACAGAACAGTATTCAGCCATAAAAAGAAATGAAATAATGTCTTTTGCAACAACATGGGTGGAAATGGGAGCCATTATCCTAGATGAAATCATGAGGAAACAGAAAGTCAAATACTGCATGTTCACAGCTCATAAATGAGAACTGAGCAACAGGGGTACACATGGACATACAGAGTGGAATAATAGACATTGGAGACTCCAAAAGGTGAAAGGTTGGTAGTGGGGTGAGGAATGAAAAATTACCTATCAGATAAAATGTACACTATTCAGGTGGTAGATATACTGTAAGACCAGACTTCATCACTATACAATATATCCATGTAACTGAACTGCATTTGTACTCTCCAAAACTATAAACATAAAAACAAATAGAAAACAATATTGATATGTGCATGCAATATAGTATCAAAAAGTAATAAAGCAAAAGAGATTCTTTGTAAGGAGGGTTAATATTGGTATGTATTAATCCATTCTTTCACTACTATAAAGTAATACCTTAAACTAGGTAATTTATAAAGAAAAGAGATTTAATTGGCTCATGGTTTTGCAGACTGTATAGGAAGCATGTTGCTGGCATCTGCTTGGCTTCTGGGGAGGCTTCAGGAAGCTTAAAATTATGTCAGAAGGTAAAGAGGAAGCAGGCTTGTCTTATATGGCCAGAACAGAAGGAAAGAGAGAGGGGAGGTGCCGCATAGTTTTAAACAACCAGATCTCAAGAGAACTCACTATCAAGATGACAGTACCAGGCGGGAATAGTGTTAAACCATTCATGAGGACTCCACATGCATGATTCAATCACCTCCCACCAGGTCTTACCTCCAACTGTGGGAATCAGAATTCAATATGAGATTTGGTTGGGACACAGGTCCCAACTATATCATGATACATATAAAGATCCTAAATAATCATAAGTGTTTTTATTTGGTTCTTCTAGTCAATGCATATTCCCTTGATGATGCAAAGATTGGGAAGCAGAAAGCATGCTGTATTTCAGGGATTCTTAAACCTTACCTCTTCAAGGTCCTACAGAAGAAGCAGCAAGGCATTGGAGATGTTAACCCTGAAAGAGACAATGAAAATTACCTAATTTATCCTCCAAATTTACTAATATATAATGAAATTTGAAAGTATGCAATTTTGCCCTTTTTCCAATACTTATACCTCATTTCATTCTAATTGCCTCAGCTATGTGGTCTACAGTAAAGTTAAGGGATCATAATAGTTTATATAAGGATTGTATACATGTATATTATATTTATATATTTTAATGTATTATTCTATAAAATGCCTTTTCAACATTTATTGAGATATTATTTTTCTCCCTTAATCTATTAATATTATATTGTTTGTATAAACTTGATGTAGTAGAATTCCAATATGTTCTAAGTCTATATTGCCCTCATCTGTCTTTTTCTTATGTAACTAATATAAGCTAGATCTTAAGTCACTTGTTGGCCCATTTTCATCATTCCTTCACTGTTGTGAATATTGCCTAATTTTAAAGCTCAGTATGAGCCATCCAACTACTGAGGCTTTTAGGCCCTGACATAATAGGTTTCAATGACATTTTCATCCATTACTTTTCAGCCATGATCCCTAATTTTGTTGGTATCTATAGCAGATCCTCATTCAAAACCTTCCTTTACACCCTCTGATTGCCTATCCTCCATTATCTTTTTAGCTCAATATTCCCTCAATATTCCCATTCCAACATTTCTTCAGCTTCTCTAAGAATCCCATTTCTCGCCGGGGCACAGTGGCTCATGTCTGTAATCCCAGCACTTTGGGAGGCTGAGGCAGGCGGATCACTTGAGGTCGGGAGTTCGAGACCAGCCTGACTAACACGGAGAAATCCTGTCTCTACTAAAAATACAAAATTGGCTGGGCATGGTGGTGCATGCCTGTAGTCCCAGCTACTTGGGAGGCTGAGACAGGAGAATCGCTTGAACCCGGGAGGCAGAGGTTGCATTGAGCCAAGATTGTGCCATTGCACTCCAGCCCAGGCAACAAGAGCGAAACTCCGTCTCAAAAAAAAAAAAAAAGAATCCTATTCTCAAAACTACCCTTCTGCAACTATTCATCCTTTCTCTAGTCACTAACATCCCATGTTCTTGTTTTTGTTTGTTTGTTTGTTTTTTCTGACCAGCTTAGATTCCAAGATCCATCATTGTAACAAGTATCTGCTTCTGGTCAACGATAGGGTATTAGCCATTATAATTTTTGCTGAATTGAAAGTTACATGAGGATTTTTGACTGTGCAGAATGTTGGCACCCCTGACCCCCATATTGTTCAAGGGTCAACTGTAGAACATGAAGAAACTTTCTCATTTTCTTAGAAGCCTGTTTGCATATAAATATTCTGTGCTTAATTTTTTTTTTTTTTTTAACCACCAGTGAATGTTTCTGGCCCTACCTCAGACCACACTTTTCCTCAAATGTGCTCTAGATCTCATAAGCTCTTGCCTACTCAAGGCATTTGTATTTCCTCTGCATCATCAATATTTCCTCTCTACTAAATTATTTTTTATCAACATGCATATATGCTGTTATAATTTCCAGCTTAAAACAAACAACTATTTAGAACACAAAACAGTGACAAAGTATTACCCTCATATGACTTTTTCTACATCTTCCCCTTACCTAGTACCTTTTGTTTATTATAAAACTTTTTTGGAAGATTTGTCTGAACTCATAGAGTTTGTTTCCTTAGATTCTATTTTCACTTTAACCCAATTCTTATCCTACTGATACACTAAATTTACTCAGGTTAAGGTCATCAGCATCTTCCATCTTTTCGAATGCAGTTATCTTTGTGTAATTCAATTTCTCTATGAAGCATTTGGCACTTTTGATCAATTCCTCCTTCTTGATATACTTTCTTTATTTGCATTCTATGACAATGCTCTCTCCTAATTATCTTTTTTTAAAAAAACACAGTCTTTTGTGGTTTTTGTCTTCTATATATCCCTTTCCTAATCTCTGAAATTTCCATACCTCCAACCTTGCTTTCAGTTCATTTCTTTTCCCTATTTGAGCATTCTCCCTATGAGCCTACTTCACTCTATAGGTATTAAATTCCAACTATATATGGATGACAACAACATGTAAATGTTAGATTTCCTCTTCCCTGAGCTCCAGCTTCACATGTTCAGCTTTCAACTAGTCAGCTCAAGATTAACAAGATCAATATGGAGCACTTATTTCTTAGTCTTCACAGAAACCTGCTTCTCCTAGTTTTTCCAAACTCAATGAATTTGTCTTTTTATTGGAATTCACTTAAAATCATGCCCCTATAATCAGTAAGAGACACCCGCAATATGTAATTTTTTGTGGACCCTGAATAGTTCTGCCATTAGATTGCTTTCTCATCTGCCTTAATTATTATTAAGATGAATCACTGAGTGGTTGGAAGTGCTCATAATTGTCACTTAATCAATAAGAGTCCCTTAATTTATTTTTTACTGAATCATTTTTATATTCAGTCCACATATTCTGAAAGTTAAAGTTAACAAGCATAAAATTCAATAAACAATAGTAGGTTTGTTCTCCTCAACCAAGTCATCAAAGTTGTGGACAAGATGGTGCCATAGGAGATGTATCATTTAAAGAAAAATAACCAGAGAATGATGTGCTAAATGTATTGTGGTAGGAAATACTTGAAAAAGAGACACACTTATAAAGCTAGTGAATTTTCCATTGAGATCATGAAGATCCTTTCAAAGGCATAGTAATTATGTATCCTTCACTTTCTTAATAACCTTTCACTGAGTTTCTACTATTTGCATCAGAATGTGCTAGTAAATTTGTTCTACCAAGGGCTGGGTTTAATATTTGGTAACAATGACACATCGATGTAAAATAAACTAGTTTACTAAAATATGCTTAAATGAATTATTTTCTAGTTAAAGATACTAGTGTACATTCATCTGGAGGTGGAGGGGTGCTTGGTATGGAGGGAGACACATTTCCCTGGCTTCCTAAATAGAGATGTGCTGGAGTTGGTGGTAATGAAATTCTGCCTTCCAGAGTAACACCATGCTAGGCTGTAGGAAGCAAAGAATAGGAGTTTAGCAAGCACCTTCTTATACCCCAATTACGTCACCATGAAACTCCAGCAAAATAACCTCATTTGTTTTCAAAAATTGCATTTATCAAGTCAGAATACTAGATCTCATTTTTGGATTCTAAATAGGATTGATTATGCCATCAGCATTATCTTGCTACATTGCTCAATGGTTACATAATAATGACTAAGCATCCCATGTACACACTTGTATCAGGACTCTATAAAGATGATCTGTCTGCAGGCTTGCATAAGCAATAATTTACAAGCCTAGAAGTAACTGATGGTGGCAGCTCTTGGCAACACTTTCCACAGCTAAACTCTTTATAAATATATAGATGAACAATTAGAATACAGGTATTAAATTAATGTCTAGCAAAAGAAATATCAAAAATCATGTATAGGAAATAGAAAACTTGTTTTGTAGTAAAGTAGATATATTCAAAGCATGCTTATTCTCTTGATGTAGTACTATGGGGTTCAGAATCAGAGGTTGTATTGTATAGCAGAAGGGAAAATTTTATCTCTTGGTTAATAGGAGGTAGCAATGCAAGTTTTGACTAGGGCTGTTTGTTTAAATTTAAACATATTTCACGTCTAATGTGTCTGCAAGTCTGAATTAGAAACTCACTGAACCTTGATTGCATGACTATGAAACTGATTTATTAATAGATATAAGAATCAGTAACTCAATTTTACATAAGAACAAATAATGCTGTAAATAGCTGAATGCTATACTTTATTTTTGGTGATCTATCTCTCTGAAAACAGTCATATATCTAGATAGTACTTCTAAGTGATGAAATTCACCATTTGATTATGGAATTAGTTGATAGTGTGAAAGATCAAAGAAGAAGAATTCTCAATTGAAAATACTCTAAATAATTTCTTCTGTATTTTTTATACAGTGAGATATCTGAAGTACCCAAACATTGCAAAATATTTCACTTTTTCTATTTTTGTTTTCTAATAACAAAATACCTAATAATAGATACCATGGTACTATCAACATCAAAGATTTTCATTTGTCATGTTAAATAAGAATCCAGAAAAGTTTCTATATATACACACACACAAAATGTCTCATTTTCTCTCCCTCTGTCTCACAATATTGAAGGGAGTCAGAGAATCTGACATTCATGTCCTGGCAAAGTGAACCACGGACTGAAATCCTATAGCCAACTCATGCATCATGATGAGTTAGCATCATGGGACTTTTGGCATTAGAAAAAAAAAAAAAACTGTCTATCACCAAATATGATTAATGACTGAGAAGTTTTTTTATTTTTATTTTTATTTTTTATGAATGAGAAGTTTTAAGATATGATATTCTAATAATCTCCTAATAGTAAGTACATCTATTTATATTGCTATGATTTTCAATAGGAAAATATGTATTGAATTAATGTGAATTCCTTTTTACCATCTAAAGATAAAAATAACAGTTTCACTACATTGACATATTGGCAGAATAAATTATATCAAAAGAATCCTTAAATAAAATACCCTTACATTTGTAAAATGAACTGTACTTAAACACAGTGTTTTATTGCTTGAAGATCTTTCAAAATTCAGTGGGTTTTTTTTTGGTATTTTATGTAAAAATATTTTTATCAACAAAATTTGTTTGGTCTGTAGCTTTCTGTTTGTGTTATCCTGTTTCTTTCTTTTTATTTTATTTTTTTGATGTGCAGAATATGTTAGCTTGGCAAAATTAAAATGTCTAGTACAT
Organism: Homo sapiens; assembly: GCF_000001405.40. Classification (NCBI taxonomy): domain Eukaryota; kingdom Metazoa; phylum Chordata; class Mammalia; order Primates; family Hominidae; genus Homo; species Homo sapiens. The sequence continues at coordinate 106,253,314 of NC_000001.11, read as the reverse complement.
AGGTAGTAACTAATCATTGCTGTATCTGTTCAGTCTACAACTCCCTCTTCTGGACCAGTTTTTGACTTTATTTATGAATATTGATAACCATGTTTGGTTTATATCACGTGCCATCTGTCCATAACTTCTTGGACCAAGAGAGAGTAAGAGACCCAAAGTGTTCCATTAAGAGTCTCTCTCCTGAAAACTTAAATATGGGATTTAAAGACATTAATTGATATTCCCGGCCTCTTCAAATTAGGGCGCATAAATTTAGGAGCTGAGACAGCCTTTGGAAGTCTCAAGTATTGAGGTAGAATGTGCTGGTCTTCACTTGGCTGCCTAAAGAAAGACCGTATTTTCCAACTTCCCCAGCAACAGAAGTGTCCGTAGACTAAATTCTCACCATTGGAATGTGTTTGCTTTGGTTTTAAGGCACTATGTGAGCCCACGTCTCCATGTACTGTAAGGTGCTGAAAGAAACTATCTATAGTTCAGCCTGAATTGCAGAAGATAATATCAGAGGCTATATAAAAACTAAAATTTTAAAAGAATCTGAGTCTTTCAATGATCGCCAACATGAACTGTTCACTTTGGGACTTTTATATTTGAAAGGCAGGGTGAAAGCCTTCTTGTTTTTAAGCTATTTTACTTTGGATCTTTAAAAATAGCTGCTGAGCCTTTATCCTGAGTAGGCTGAGCATACGAAGTAAATACTATTAGGTAGAAAGAGAGTGAAAAATGAAGTGGACAGAGAGAGACATAGAAGCTAAAAGCATACAAATCCAAAGAGAGAGTCTAGGGTCTGTATGTTACAGTGCTTTTCTATAGTTAGTCTTTGTAGGTTATAATAAATTCCTCTTTTACATTTAAGCTAGATTTAGTCTTCCTTCCAAACAAATCAGCTAACTGAGAATTTTTGCCAAAGCCGAAGATAGCAAGTAACATACCTCAGAGACACACCGGAAAGGTGAGTAGAGGGAGTAAAAATTTGTCTGTCTTGGCATGTAAAACGGACTACATATTTGCATCAACCAAATCATTTTCTCTTACCTTTTGCACCCAGATGATATTCCCTAATAAAGCAACAGTTGGAGAGGCTTAAAAGCCGGATAATCAAAATGTGCTGATTAGACCATAAATAATCCATAGTAGGAAAGAATACAACTAAAATCCAAAGCTCCTTGGCTGGAAATAGAGAGAAAGGGAGAAAAACAGATCAATGCACTGAAACCACTGAGATCCCAATTAATTAGATTGATAATATTTATAACAATAATGGTAGTTTTAATGCATAATTACTGGGAGCTAAGTAGTTCATATGCATTATTGTATGTAATTGTCACAAAAATTCAAAAAGTAGTTTTTTTAAAGCAATTCTTGTATATGTCTAAGTGAATTGAGGTCTAGAGTGTTAATAAATTTTCCCAAAGTGTTATAGATGGATTAGATTCCAGTTCTGCTTTACATCACAACTGTTACGCTTTCAACCACTAGACTGTATTGAACACTACTAAGAAATTAAATATGCTCCTTGCTGAATTTTGATGGCTAAATTATCTGTTCCTATTTGTGCCTAAGGTGCAGGTTGATTCCCTGTTTGAAAATGAATAAAACCTTAGAAATTTTCATGGGGATGATTATGAGAAGTGGTAGAAACATGAAACAATGGGCCCCAAAACACGTTTTGTAACTAAAATGAACTCTCAGTATAGAATGTGGGTTAAATCATATTTTATTATTGAAACATATTCTACCACTCTAAATATTACCAACTATTATGAAATATTAACTCTGGTCTAGCTAATAGTTTTTCCTATAGAACTCTAGACTAAGGTTATTAAATACACCAAAAATAATTTGCAAGTATTATGTGTATTTTAGCTCATAAGAAACCCGGATATTAACGAACACTCACTTTGTTTGATTCAAATCAAAAGAGCAGAGAATCTTGGCTATTCACATTATTACTGACCTTGTTTATGAGTACAATGGATATCAATACTAGCCGAACGCGATCTACAAACCCCTTCGTGTTATTGACCCTCTTCACTGACCTTAGAAAGATTTGGTTAGAGACTTTTTTAAACAGTTGTCAGAATCCTAAGAAACCAGATTTTCTGACCAATGAAATTTACCCCAAAACCGTTGTACTGATACAATGAGGCTCATGAGAGTCACCGGCTCTATTACTTTTTACATTGTATATGTCTCCCTGTAGAATATAAATGGTCTCAACTAATGGTCAATGTGTGTTGCTATTCTAGCAATTTTAGCCTTTCCAGCTTTTTGAGATGGAAATTGTTAATGCACTTTGGTTGTTTTTACTTCCCTTATATTTTGGGTTTTGAGGTACAGCAAACATCAAAAATTCTCAAAATTTACAATGCAAATTAAAAATCTGAAAACATGGTTATAAAACAGGTACCCTCTATATCCTGTCTTAATAGGTTTAGGGTAGAGGTTACACACACAAGCACACACACACGCACACACATTTTTAAGTTTTCCAAGTGATTGTGATGCGTACCAAAGTCTGATTACCAATTTAGATTATGGTGAATGCATGAATGGTGAGTAGTTCACAGCAGGCAGCAGGAATATATTTAAATAAGATTAAGTAAAGAAAATTCTAAAATGGGAGAAGTGACCATGTTTAAATGCAGGAGATTGTGTATATTTACAGGCAGTCAAGGGTTTCTTGATGTAGTAGAGACAGTGATTATATCACTATAATATTTATTATTTATGTAACTATATTGCTAGATCTAATCGTCCATCATAAGCAAGATTTCACTCAGATCATTGTGCCCTTCCTTTGAAAAGAACTTTTAACTTGATTTTCAAGTCAGCACAGTTTCTTGGTTTTCTATCTTTCTCACTAGTCAGTCCTTCTGTCTCCACAGTGTTTGCACACTGTGTATTCCCTCCATATTGACCAATCCAATGATCAGGCTTATATTACTCAATCCCACAGTTCAAAGATGATTAGGCATAACTATTCACTAGACTCCAACTCAATCATTCTATCATACTCCTAGAAAGTGATAATTAAATTTGAAATGGTCAGTCTCTGCTAATGTTTATCAGAACCCAAAAATTTACATTACAGGCCTCATTTGGCAATATGTCTAGTGATAGAATTTTGTGATGGCCCCTTCTTCTTGAGTGACTGTGAATATAATGGATTTATCGCCAATGATTATATATGAGAAAGGAGGAGAGATTTCTCAGATGTAGCTATGGTTCGCAATCAATCAACTGTGAGTTAATCAAAAGGGTGATAATCCTGGGTGGACCTGGCCTAATCAGGTGAAGACCAAAAGGGACTTGGCCCTTCTTGACATAAGAATTTAGAAGAATGAGAGAGGCTCTCCTGCTGATGTCGAAACATTCAGCTGCCTTTACTTCTAAAACCACAAGGAACTGAATTCCGGCAACAAACAATGAGCATGGAATACACCTTGAGCCTCAGATGACACTATCGCTCCAGCTGATACTGTGATTTTAGCCTTGTAAGACCTGACAAAGAGTCCAGTTAGCCTGTATCTGTATCCAGACTCCTGACCCTGAATGCACTGAAATAATAAGTTAATGTTGTTTCAAGCCCCTAAGCTTGTGGTAATTTGTTATGTAACAATAGAAAAACTCACAAATTTTTTAAGCAGAGACAACCAAAATAGGCTGAAAAAAATAAATTAGTTAAACTTAGAGACTCATAGAGAGAAAGAGAGAGGAAATATGACTCTGATGACTTTTCAGTTCCTGATTCTAGTTTCTCATAAGATTTGTCTACATTTTTTGACCTTGTGATAGTGATAATTCTGACTAGCTGAAGGTGCAGCCTCCTAAATTAAGCCAGCTTATGTAGACTCCTGTTGCTTGGAATTAAATGTCTTAACTAAGACCTCATAATTTTTTCATTTGTACAAATAGGATGGAAATAGCCTTTTGCTCCAAATGCTAAATTTATAAAACAGTGCTTTGTAAAGTTGGTGTTGGGAAGGAGATATGCAAATATTAACTTCTTGAATGACTTAATTTATTATATATTTTCTCACATGAAGACGCTGGCCTGACATTTCCATAGGGTTTTTTGTTTGTTTGTTTGTTTTCAGTACTCAGTAGCTCCTATCCCATTCCATCCTTCAGAATAACTATACTACTGTTCTGGCAAATAAAAACGTAACAAAAACTTTCTCTATTTTCCATTTATCTATTATCAAAGTGTCTTAAAACAGTTTTGGTAGACAAATATCTCATATTAAAGGAAGAAACATAAATTATAGCAGATGATACAGGTGCCCAATCCACATTATCCCAGCGCTCACCTTTAAAATTGCAGAAAGATTCTGCCAGATAACTTTTTTTTTTTTGAGATGGAGTTTTGCTGTTGTTGCCCAGGCTGGAGTGCAATGGCGCTATCTCGGCTAACTGCAACCTCCGCCTCCCGGGTTCAAACAATTCTCCTGCCTCAGCCTTCCAAGTAGCTGGGATTACAGGCATGTGCCACCATGCCCAGCTAATTTTGTATTTTTAGTAGAGTTGGGATTTCACCATGTTGGTCAGGCTGGTCTTGAACTTTTGACCTCAAGTGATCCACCCACCTCCTGATCTCAAGTGATCCACCCACCTCAGCCTCACAAAGTGTTGGGATTACAGGCATGAGCCACTGCTCCCAACCAAGGAGAACATTTTTGTCCTTCTGACTTCCACCCAAAAGTGGTTGAGTGTTCATCTCACACACAAAGAAAATGGGAAGTACCTGAACTTGATATCTCAATGACAAATGAATAATAATAAATACATATTTCACATTATCTGCCCTTTTCTTGGGATAATGCTAGAGGATGTTACACAATACCTTCTAAATTTCCTAATAAGATTGAGCCCTTTCTTATTGCCCATAGTGATAATTTAATTAAATATGTGTCTTTTTGCTTCCTTCTCTCTACTACCTTGCTTTCACATCCCCTCACTCTATTCTTCCTCAAATCTGCTTGCAACAGACATTGGTCTCTGTCATTCCACCAAATTACTCTTGAATCTTTAGCGCTTATCTCTATATTATTAAATTTAATGGTTAATTCTGGGTAACATTTCTTTAACGGATCATCCCTTTCCCTTAAAGATAAGGATAAATCTCTTTTTTGTTGTTATTACTTTTAGTCATCATAGTTGTTAGTTTTCTTCCTCACTAGTCACTTCTACATCCCTTTTGCTTGTTTTCATTTAATTTTCTTGATCTAACTTACAATGGCTTACAACTCAGTTCTTGGACTTCATTTCTCTTTCTATGTACACTCATTTGGTTATCAATTTCTGCCTCAAGGCTTTTAATATCATCAACATGATGATTTTCCCTAAATGTATATCTTAATCCCAAATATCTTCCAGAACTAAATTTTTATGTTTGACTTATTTACCTTTCCACTTGGATAGATAATAGACATCTCAAATTTAATGTATAGAATATCAGACATCTGATATTCTTATGGTCTTCATCACCTGAATAGATGTAAATTCATTTTTCCAGTTGTTCAGACCACACACAAATATCATTTTAAACTCCACTTCTTGTATGCTATTCCTCCAAAAGTCTTCAGAAACCTAGTTGGCTTTACCTTCAAAATAGATTCAGGATCTAGCCACTTGTCATCATTTCTGTAGCTACCATCTTGTTCTAAACCACTATTATCTCTCATCTAGTTACCTGTAATAGTTTCTTTACTGGTATATTTGTTTTCTCCTTTATTTCTCCTCCACTAAGCCTGCTTACAACAGAGGTCCATATGAACAAAACCTAAGTCAGATTATGTCCTCCCTTTGCTTAGATTTTATTTATGTTACTTCATTTTCTGGAGTAAAAGTCAATGTTTCCTTAAATGATCTCTAATTCCCAGTGGGGCCTGGTCTCCCATTTGTTTTCTGCCTTTATTTCATATTACTGTCTATTATTTTCCAGCCACACTGGCTTCTTTGTTCTTTCTGAAACAAGCGAAATATGCTCAATTTTTAGTCTTTGTCTGGACTGTTTCCTTTCCCTGGAATGTTTCTCCTCCAGATAACCTCATAGGCTAGCTACTTCTTCACTCCAAGTCTTTGCTTAAATGTTATTCTCTCATTATAGCCTATCCTGACCACTCATTACATTCAAATACCACCCTTTGTCTGTCTTTATTTTTACATTGTTGATGACTTGAAAACTATATTTTATGTATGTTTTATGTACATATTACATATATTATTTATTATATCTCTAGTCAATTGGCTATAGGTTACAGTCAATTGAATAACAACAAGGACTTCTGTCTATTTTGTTTTCTATTTTATCCCCAATGTCTTTAATAGTTTTTGGCAAGAGTTGGTGATAATAAACGTCTGAAACATAAATTAAAGCACAAATAATTTTCTTTAAAACTTTTCTACACAGGAAAAAATATCAGTATGCAGTAAGAAAAATAAAATCTTTTCTAGGTGTTTCAAACAAATAAACTTTAATACATGAAATTAGTTTATAGATGATAAAAGAACTGAAGATCCAAAGAGGGGATAACTGGGCAACCTAGAAATTAGAAAGAGCAGGAAGCTCAAGAGGCAAATAGAAAAGGTAGATTATGCAATCCCAGAAGCTGGTGTCTCTAAAGAGAACTAGAACCATAGTGGCAGCAACAGCTTAAAATAACTGGAATTAAAGTGGGAGGAGCAGTTCTGCAAAAGCTGTGACCCTGGAGAAGGTGCAACCAGTGCTGGAGGCACCCTCTAAAACAGCACAAGACAGGGATAAATATTGTCCTTTCTCCCCACTTCCAAGCCTTCTGTGAGCATCTACCATTGGCTGCAATCACCTAAAGGAAGTTGGCAGGAGAGTCTGAGAAATGAAGTTCTCTACATTAGTGAACAGAGCAGGGGAAGCACAAGTAATATATCTTGAAGCAAATAGGCTGCAGAAGCCATGAAAGTAAATTCCTTAGACTTCTTTCTGCAGAGGTCATAATTGATCAAAGATGCCACCTTCTGTGCTCTGAAACACAGCATTGTGTTTACATAAAGAATGTGCTTCACATGAGCTGCTCCCAACAAATGACAGTGTGCAGTATGGATACCATGGTAGACCTATTCCTAGGTGATGGGTGATTCCTCTGTTTGGTGACTTTGGCTGTGGACTTCCCATTGGCTTTGACAATGCTTTCTTAGAACTTCACTATAGTCCATGACTTTTACTACCCATTGTTTCTTGTTCCTTTCCTCTTCAGTAATTAGATTTCCATTGTCATCCAACTGGCTCCTCCAGCCTTCCTGGACATGCTCCCCATGTTATTCCATGGTTGTTTCCTAATGTATTTCTTGCACATCTAATTCCATTTTGCTTTTATGATTCTCAGAGCTCTCACACTCAGGCATACATGCAAATGAATAAATTTAAAGACACAACAAACTAGAAGAATGTATTTTCAACATAAAAGCAAACAGAGAATATTAAATAAAAAACCTATAAACATGAAGAAAAGATAGAAACAGTGAATTCATAGAATGAATATGAATGAAATACAAAATGACCAGAAAAAATGCAAAATATTTTATTTTTCTTCATTAGGAAAATAACTATATTTAAAATGAGATACCATTTTCGAATGGTCAAAACGTAGAAGATGCTGATAATATTCAATAATGAATATGGCTTAGTTACTCTTTTATATTATGGCAGAAGTGTTAAAAATGTAATATTTCTATAAGTAAATTTGACAATACCTACTGTATTTGTTTGCTGGAACTGCCATAACAAAATACCACAGACTGTGTAGCCTAAAAATAAATTTATTGGCTGGGCACGGTGGCTCACACCTGTAATCCCAGCACTTTGGGAGGCCAAGGCAGGCAGATCACGAGGTCAGGAGTTCGATACCAGCCTGGCCAACATAGTGAAACCCATCTCTACTAAAAATACAAAAAAATTAGCCGGGTGTGGTGGTGAGTGCCTGTAATCCCAGCTACTCAGGAGACTGAGGCAGGAGAATTGCTTGAACCCAGGAGGTGGAGTCTGCAGTGAACCAAGATCACCCCATTGCACTCCAGCCCAGGTGACAGTGTGAGACTCCATCTCAAAATAATAATAATAATAATAATAATAATAATAAATTGTTTTCTTACAGTTCTTGAGGCTTGAAGTCTATGATGAAGGAGCCAGTAGATTTTGTTTTTTTCCTGAGCCTCTCCTTGGCTTGCAGATGGCTGCTTTCTTGTTGTGACCTCACATGGTAGCTCCTCAGCCTGTGAGTTGCCTGGTCTGTGTCTTAATCTCCTCTTCTAATAAGGACACTAGTCATACTGGATTAGGGGCTCCCTCCTCCCACATGAACTATTCTTATCTTAATTGCCCCCTTAAAGGTCCTTTCTCAAGAGACAGTCATATTCTGTGGTACTGAGGGTTTGGACTTCAACACAATAATTTTGAGGATGCACAATTCAGCCCATAACAAATATCAGATCTCAATATGAGCATACCTTTTGTCTCAGGGACTACACAGGAATACACAGTTTGTAGCTCTTTTCCTTTAGGAAATAACCCCTCCTCTAAACCACCTAAATCTTTTACATCTGTGTTGTTTCATTCGGGCTAGATCCATGTTCTCTCATTCAGGCTTCCTTGACTCAAATTTGGAGATAGGATATTCCATATCCTTATCCACAATAATTGCGTTCCACACTCTGGACATATATGACCCACACTAGCCCAATCAGTATTTAGTGGATCTTTCCAAAATATTTGTTACACTCCTTTCTTTGGATGTAAGCTTGGATCACTGGATACTGTCTTCCTATTATATTTAGTGACTCCATCTCAGAATGAAACAAAAGAGAGAAAAGCTGAGATATAGATAGACATTGCCTGATACCATTGTTTAACCCCTAAATGTAACAGTTTTTGAATTACATTGTACCTTTTAGCTTCTCAATTATTTTAGCTAATATATTGTTTTTGTTTAGCTATTTAAATTGCACTTTTGTTTTGTGCAACCAGAGTCCTGACTTAATACACACACTTACTCAAAGTTTTAATTCCAAAAATGTTCATTAAAGTATTAATGGTTAAAAAGAGACATAATTTGAATTCCTTTAATATGAAGATGATTTAACATATTCTGTTATAGTTTTATCAAGTAATGAGGTGAATCTATATTCAATGACTTGTAAAACCTATAATAAACTTATTAAATATAGTAAGAAATCGTTAAATAATGTTAAAGTATGATCCTACTTATGTGTGAATGAATCCATCCATACATATATAAGACACAGATATAGTCATTACTATGGCTGAAGGAATGGGGTTGGGGTTAGTTTTGAGACGATGTAAGATTTTTTTTTAGTTATTATTTGTGTTTGCATTTCTTTTTTATTTAATGATTAATCTTACAATAGTTTTTAAATGATACTCTTGAGCTTTTGAATTACTCTAGCTCATATTGTCAGTGCATAGATTGAATACATGAGAGATAATTATAGATCCATGGATTTGAAGGTGTGGAAAGCAGAATAATGGCCCTTCAAAGATGACCATCATCTAATCCTTGGAACCTGTGAATATGATATTTTCTATAGCAAACAGGACTTTGTAGATTTGATTACAGTTAAACACCACGACATGGAAAGATAATCCTGGATTATCCAAATGGGCCCAATCTATCTCATGGGTTTTGAAAAACAGAGACCCTTTCCCAATTGCAGAGAAACAGAGACTGCATCTTTATTAGGACTCCACTCACTATTGGCTGGATATGAAAAAGGAGGAAGCAGTCCATGAGCCAAGGAATGTGCATGGCCTGCAGTAGCTGGAGAAGCTGGAAACAAATTTTACTCTAGAGCCTCCGAAAAGAAATTCAGTCCTGCCAACACTGCTTTTTGCCAAATGAGACGAGTGCCACTTTATTGTCTAAGACAATAAAATTGTATTGTTTAAGTCACTAAGTTTGTGGTATTCTGTTATAGCAACCACAAAAAAATCAATAAATTAGTTCCAGAATTTGCTATGTACATTATATTAAAACCGCAGAAGTCATTTTGATAGCAGTCTCATTTTATTTATTCTATATTTTGTGCACCTTTGACGTGCCCAAATCTTCCATATATCTCATTATTGTAAAAAAAAAAAAACAAAAATCTGTGCCCGCAAGAAAAGCAAGGTGGGCTGTGTTTAGTGTAGAGAGGAACACAAATACACAATATATGACAGAAAATGTGTGCTTTAACTTGTATCTTAAAGTAATTAAATAACTCACATATTTGAACCTCAAATTTTAGAATGTTTCTTCAGAAGGCAGTCAAATGGGAGAATGCCCTAGATTTAAAAATGGAACAAGGCCCAGATGGATTCATTGAAAGACTGCAGTCCTCCTCGAAGAGTGCATATACAGATTGTTAACTAGATATAAGGGAGCCATTCAATAGAAAGTTTAAAATGCAAAAAATAACAGTTTCAGCCCAATTCTCTTGTGAGCAAGAAATTGTTCTTTAAGTAACTGAAGTAAGATGAGCTGAGGGAGGGAAAAATTAATTGTGCAGCTGCATGTTCAACAAATAGCATTGTAAAGAACAGAAACTAACAAATAGTGATATGCTTACAGCAGTTTAAATCATAAGATTGAAGGATATCTACATCGTGACATATCTGTTAAAGTTTCATGTATAGATCTATTAATTAGAGCATGTGAGAAAGATTAGCAAAAGATGAAAGATAAAGCTTATTTTTTTATACATGTCAATCATATTTATTTATTTATTTTATTTTTTAGTTTTTTTAATTTTATTATTATTATACTTTAAGTTTTAGGGTACATGTACACAACATGCAGGTTTGTTACATATGTATACTTGTGCCATGTTGGTGTGCTGCACCCATTAACTCGTCATTTAGCATTAGGTATATCTCCTAATGCTATCCCTCTCCCTTCCCCCACCCCAAAACAGTCCCTGGTGTGTGATGTTCCCCTTCCTGTGTCCATGTGTTCCCATTGTTCAGTTCCAACCTATGAGTGAGAACATGTGGTGTTTGGCTTTTTGTCCTTGCGATAATTTGCTGAGAATGATGGTTTCCAGCTTCATCCACGTCCCTACAAAGGACATGAACTCATCCTTTTTTATGGCTGCATAGTATTCCATGTTGTATATGTGCCACATTTTCTTAATCCAGTCTATCATTGTTGGACATTTAGGTTGGTTCCAAGTCTTTGCTATTGTGAATAGTGCCACAATAAACATACGTGTGCATGTGTGTTTACAGCAACATGATTTATAATCCTTTGGGTATATACCCAGTAATGGGATGGCTAGGTCAAATGGTATTTCTAGTTCTAGATCCCTGAGGAATCGCCACACTGACTTCCACAATGGTTGAACTAGTTTACAGTCCCACCAACAGTGTAAAAGTGTTCCTATTTCTCCATATCTTCTTCAGCACCTGTTGTTTCCTGACTTTTTAATGATCGCCATTCTAACTGGTGTGAGATGATATCCCATTGTGGTTTTCATTTGCATTTCTCTGATGGCCAGTGATGATGAGCATTTTTGCATGTGTTTTTTGGCTGCATAAATGTGTTCTTTTGAGAAGTGTCTGTTCATATCCTTCACACACTTTTTGATGGGGTTGTTTGTTTTTTTCTTGTAAATTTGTTTGAGTTCATTGTAGATTCTGGATATTAGCCCTTTGTCAGATGAGTATGTTGCAAAAATTTTCTCCCATTCTGTAGGTTGCTTGTTCACTCTGATGGTAGTTTCTTTTGCTGTGCAGAAGCTCTTTAGTTTAATTAGAACCCATTTGTCAATTTTGGCTTTCGTTGCCATGTTTTTGTTGTTTCAGACATGAAGTCCTTGCCCATATAGTGAGAATGTTCAAGTAAAGAAATATTAGATGGGATCCAGTTTCAGCTTTCTACATATGGCTAGCCAGTTTTCCCAGCACCATTTATTAAATAGGGAATCCTTTCCCCATTGCTTGTTTTTCTCAGGTTTGTCAAAGATCAGATAGTTGTAGATATGCAGCATTATTTCTGAGGGCTCTGTTCTGTTCCATTGATCTATATCTCTGTTTTGGTACCAGTACCATGCTGTTTCGGTTACTGTAGCCGTGTAGTATAGTTTGAAGTCAGGTAACGTGATGTCTCCAGCTTTGTTCTTTTGGCTTAGGATTGACTTGGCGATGTGGGCTCTTTTATGGTTCCATATGAACTTTAAAGCAGTTTTTTCCAGTTCTGTGAAGAAAGTCATTGGTAGCTTGATGGGGATGGCATTGAATCTATAAATTACCTTGGGCAGTATGGCCATTTTCACGATATTGATTCTTCCTACCCATGAGCATGGAATGTTCTTCCATTTGTTTGTATCCTCTTTTATTTCATTGAGCAGTGGTTTGTAGTTCTCCTTGAAGACATCCTTCACGTACCTTGTAAGTTGGATTCCTAGGTATTTTATTCTCTTTGAAGCAACTGTGGATGGGAGTTCACTCATGATTTGGCTCTCTGTTTGTCTGTTATTGGTGTATAAGAATGCTTGTGATTTTTGTACATTGATTTTGTATCCTGAGACTTTGCTGAAGTTGCTTATCAGCTTAAGGAGATTTTGGGCTGAGACAATGGGGTTTTCTAGATATACAATCATGTCATCTTTAACCGGGACAATTTGACTTCCTCTTTTCCTAATTGAATACCCTTTATTTCCTTCTCCTGCCTGATTGCCCTGGCCAGAACTTCCACCACTATGTTGAATAGGAGTAGTGAGAGAGGGCATCCCTTTCTGGATCCCGTCCTTACGCCTTACACAAAAATTAATTCAAGATGGATTAAAAACTTAAACGTTAGCCCTAAAACCATAAAAACCCTAGAAGAAAACCTAGGCATTACCATTCAGGACATAGGCATGAGCAAGGACTTCATGTCTAAAACACCAAAAGCAATGGCAACAAAAGCCAAAATTGACAAATGGGATCTAATTAAACTACAGAGCTTCTGCACAGCAAAAGAAACTACCATCAGAGTGAACAGGCAACCTACAGAATGGGAGAAAATTTTTGCAATCTACTCATCTGACAATGGGCTAATATCCAGAATCTACAATGAACTCAAACAAATTTACAAGAAAAAAACAAACAACCCCATCAAAAAGTGGGCAAAGGACATGAACAGACACTTCTCAAAAGAAGACATTTATGCAGCCAAAAAACACATGGAAAAATGCTCACCATCACTGGCCATCAGAGAAATGCAAATCAAAACCACAGTGAGATGCCATCTCACACCAGTTAGAATGGCAATCATTAAAAAGTCAGGAAACAACAGATGCTGGAGAGGATGTGGAGAAATAGGAACACTTTTACACTGTTGGTGGGACTGTAAACTAGTTCAACCATTGTGGAAGTCAGTGTGGCGATTCCTCAGGGATCTAGAACTAGAAATACCATTTGACCCAGCCATCCCATTACTGGGTATATACCCAAAGGACTATAAATCATGCTGCTCTAAAGACACATGCACACGTATGTTTATTGTGGCACTATTCACAATAGCAAAGACTTGGAACTAACCCAAATGTCCAACAATGATAGACTGGATTAAGAAAATGTGGCACATATACAACATGGAATACTATGCAGCCATAAAAAAGGATGAGTTCATGTCCTTTGTAGGGACATGGATGAAATTGGAAATCATCATTCTCAGTAAACTATCTCAAGAACAAAAAACCAAACACCGCATATTCTCACTCATAGGTTGGAATTGAACAATGAGAACGCATGGACACAGGAAGGGGAACATCACACTCTGGGAACTGTTGTGGGGTGGGGGGAGGGGGGAGGGATAGCTTTAGGAGATATACCTAATGCTAAATGGCGAGTTAATGGGTGCAGCACACCAACATGGCACATGTATACATATGTAACTAACCTGCACATTGTGCACATGTACCCTAAAACTTAAAGTATAATAATAATAAAAGAAAAGAAATGTTAGATGTGATCCTAATAGTGATAATAAAGAAAACTACTGACTACCTTCTCACATATAGCATAGCCAGTGTATCCAAAATTAAGAAATATACATCTTAATTATTGCTGTAATAGAAACCATAATTAATTGGGAAATTAAATATTTAAGATATATTCATAATACCAGAAATGGATTTCCTGTTATTTTGCTTTAAAATCTAGTCATATATATTTGAATGTGTGAAAGAGTCTGGCTCTGTCATATAGTTACTACTATAAGACATATTAGTGTGTATGCTAATCGACCCTAATTGTTATTTGTTTTCCTATTTTATTACACATCAAAGAGCTTCAGCAATACATATTCGTTTATTTATTAGCCTTTTGAAACTCCAAGAGGTCAAGCTCCTTGCCTTCAATGAAATAAAGATAATTTATATTTTTCTTTCTGTTCCACATTGATTCCACTTTTTATTACTCATTTTTTGCACATAATCTTAACCACTTCCTGTATAATTATACTCTTACTTTTTTTCAAAGCTTGGTTGACTGTTCTCTTTTCATTCTACTCCTCCCTCCCTTGTTCCTTCTTCTTTTCCCTTTTTTTCCTCTGCTGTATTTGAGGATCTATTATGTGTTAGACATTACCTTTAGGATATACAAATGAATAACAACCTTAGTGAACTAACATTATTTGCAAAGACAGTCTAATAAAACCAAAAGTTATAATGGAAAGCTGAAAGTATTATGAGAAAAATGCTATGGGAACAGAGAGGAGAGACAGAATACCTATGTTTGTTAGGAAAAGCTTTGCCAGAAGTGATGTTGATTGAATAGGGTTTTAATAAACAAGAAATGTTGTCAGATTTTTAAAAAAGAGAAACATGATTTTGCTTTCCAGTGTATTTTCCACAACTGAAAGAGAAATGTTTGTTTTGTTGTTTTCTTTTTGTTTTACATTTTAGTCACAGAATCCTGAAAAGCTTGATACCCCAACCCCCCAAAACACAAGTTGTATCCTGATAGCTGTAACATTCAAAGTTTAATGTAATGAGGTAGATGAAGAATTTTAAGAAAGTATTCTGACTATCCTTTAATTTGATTGCTGTTTTTCTGGTCTGCTTCTTCCAGTACAACATGAACTTTGGATGCTGACCTTATATTTGGCAACTTGCATTGTCTCCACTTCTAACTAAAAGTTTTGTTTCTGACTTAATACAACTTAATATTTTCCAATAATTATGATAGCATAAAATTAGACAATACACATAAACCTTCACCACAGTGCTTTGCATATAGTACTTCTCAATAGCAAAATAATCTATGTCAGATAAAGAAATTTTAAAGCTGAAAATAGGGAAGACATTATGGTTTGAAGTTTTAGTTTTCGAATTCAAAATTAAATACCAAAACATAGAGTTCCTGGTTTGTAGAATATGTATAATTTAAGGTTCACTAAATACAAAATTTTCCTCAGGACAGCTGCATCTGTTTTCATAAAGATTTCTAGAGCTGGAGGACCTTTATTATAATTTGGAACATAAGTATAGGTTCTCATGTTAAGACTTTCAAATGGTTTACTTTGTTTCATGTCTTTTCAAACATTTCTCAGTAGATGTATTTCCACTTATATTTTCTGAAAATAAAATCAGATTTTATACATACAATTATTCTTGCATGATTTATTTTAGCTACCTCTTCTATTTATTTATGGGTGTGTTTCTCAATTTCTTTTACTTTTAAGCTTTGTTATATCATTTCTCTAAGCATTTTGCTCTGATCAGGTACCTATTTATACTATATATTCAGGGGAGCTGTTAATTGTAGCACTATTTCCAGAACTAGATTGGGGAAAGAATGTGTGTGTATTACTGAAATGGAGGAAAAAAGATTGGTGAATGTTTTACTTAAACTCCTTCATTTCATTTTTCATCTTAAGCTCACTTAGGAGACCATGTACAAAACAGCTCATGGAGTTCTTGATTGTAGAGTGTACTTTGTATTGTGTGCAGTGAAATTATTCTTGTAGTAAAGAGTACTCTAAGATGGATTCACCTACACTAAAAGTCTCACATATCTACAATTGAATGATAGCAAAATACCTGCAGATGGAAAATAGAAAATTAAATTGATTTACACTGGTTTCAGTAGCTTCAGTGAAATAGTTGTTGTATGAAAGTGTATCTTTTATTTTTCTCCCAGGGGAAAATATTTTTCTACTTTTTCTCCAAATTTTAACCACATAAAATAACACATAAAAGAACATCAAGTTAAGATGCAGAAATAAACAGTGTTATGCCATTGTCTGTCTTTGCTCTTATGAAAATGGTTAACAAAATATTTAAATTAAAGGAAAACTCATGCAAATCTGCTAAAGGGAAATTATTGTCCACATGTAGTATATAATAAGAAATGAGTACTTGATACAGTACATATTGAACTTGACCAGAGAAATTCTCCAAGGAACACCCTATATCTGATCCTTTTCTTAAAAACCGTAATGTTCCAGGGAAATTATTATAGAACCCCTAAACAGAAGCCTATTAAAAACAACTAATTTGTAATGAGACCTGGAAGCAAGAGAAGCCTTGAGTCATACAGGGGGTTTATGATTTAGACTTATTTTTGTTATCCAAATACAATGTAGTGTTGAAAAACAATGATAATGACAATATATTGTAATTTGGGGAGTGGCTAAAATAAACAGACAGACAGCAGGACATAGAGTTGGTACACCAGCGTAGTGGAGACAGCAACAGAAAAGATATGCAGCAAAACCACAAGTTTGACTAGTATAGAGTTTGCCAAAACAGAATGATAGACATAAGAAATTGACTCCCTTTTTTTACAGGTTCACCATTCCCTGAGAAGGTGAGACGCAGCTATGATGCTCCTCTTTTAGGTTATTCTAGGGTTTCTTGCTGGTTAACTTCAGGTAGCTTTATCTCCAAACTGATAGTGCAATTTTATATCAACCACTTCTACGGCTTAACATTTCTGTTTTGAATGGACTTAGAATGAGAAGGAATGCTTGGATCTGACAGATAATTTAATGACATAAGCAAGAATTAGAGATACCATTTAACAAAGCAATAGATGAGTCATAAGATATGAAGATAGGTTTGCTTTTTTCCTGTACTAGGTTTTATGTTATTCTGGTCATAAGAGTCTTTTTTTTTTTCTTAATTTGAGGAAGTAAATTTTTGGAGGTAAGTTCAAGATTCCTTGGAATTTTTTAGATATATTAAATTCAAATAGCAACCAAAACATGCTTCCAGGATAATAGATTAGCATACGTCACACCACTAGGACACACCTACACTTCAATCTTCAAAATCCTGAATCAATCAGATTCAAGCATCTTCTCTGGAAATTGTTAGACTGTTGACTAGTTTGGGGATTGTTCTGGAGGTTCAGAGTGAGATGATAAATTTGAACGTTTCCTTTGGGTCCCAGGAAAACACATATAAATGTCTGGTGGTATGTGACATAACCCCATAAACTGTGTGTCATTCTTCCTTCCTCGCAGAGTCTGGCTTATATCTAAGAGGCAGAAAATGCGAAATACATACTTTCTTCGTTTTTCTTGTTGAAATGTATGTAATGGAAACAAATGCTGGAAATGTTTTCTTACATAATAAAGACTCATCCATGAAAGCACCCCCTTGACAACTGCAGAAATTGTTGTTCCTATGTGTGATGCCTGGAAGTAATGGAGCCATCCTATGTGCAAGAAGAGAGGCATCACCAGCACATTGAAAACTGCAAAGTAACTTTATGTTTAATATAAAAATGTTTGTCTATTCACCTCTGGAACTCTCTGCCTCTGATCTTTTCATCAAATATTATAAGGCATAAGTCTTCAAGTGCTAGTTTTCTGGCTTCTGTTGATTCCCTTCCCTGATGCCCATCCTGGTGAAAATGAACAATTGTTCCAGTTTTCATCATCTTTCAAAGGCATCTTTTCTGCAATCTCAAATGTCCTGTTCATTAGCTACTGATTTTATAGTTTTGATCCCCTGGTTCTGTAATAAGAAATAATGTCAGAAGAATTATAGAAATTATAAAAAAGGAAGAAAGATTATTAATATATAAACATTTATATTGTAGCTCACATTTTTAAAACTCAAATTTAGTCAGTTTCTTATTTTTAGAGCTACAAATCTGAGCAACTTCTTCAATTATATCCTGGTAAAAATTAGGGTGACAGTTTCATCTTAGGCATTTAGAATGGCAAATGTCAAGTTTTCATGAACCTAGGTGTGAAACAGGGCTCTGTGTTAGTATGCCTGTGATGTGGAATCTAACAGCAATCTACCAGATGATAAGAACCAGAAGAAATTTTTCATTTGATGCAAATTATATCTCTGAATAGATCTTTCTATTATTAATATTATTAAACAGAGAAGAAAAAAGCCCTCAGTTTTAACCTATGAAAAAATTCCACAATGACAAAAAAAGGATGGTTATATCATTCAAGGATAAGATAAAAGGGGGCTTTGAAAAAAGAAAAATGTTAGAATATATCTGTCCGTGTTTTCAATGTAATTAAATATAACTTGGATCTAGTGTAATAGATGAAATGTGGAATGATGAGACAAAAGACATATCACAAAACTTCTCGCTGAGAGTCAGATTGAAATAAAGTGGAGACGGATGAGATAGGGAAATATTGAAATTAAATTAAATGCAGTAGCAGGGGAAAATGTCTGATACTTTAAGAAAAGGAAATAACAGCGTTGATACTATGGAAAGTGATGTGAAGAAAAAAAAATATGTCCCAGAACAGGGAGGGTGGGGCAAAGTGATGAAAATAACAAGCACAAAGGGTATGTATGGAACATCAAAAACAGAAATACACCTAGAGAAAATTAGTGCTCCCTAGAGAGACCTTTGAGACTCCTGGAGTCTAAAATAATCTCCCAATTGACGCTATGTCCCACATACATGGCATACTGGTGTAAGGTTTGGGATGCTAAGCTTTGGGCAGTTCCACCCCTGTGGCTTTGCAAGGTTCAGCCCCCATGGCTGCTGCCATGGGCTAGAGTTGTATGTCTGTGGCTTTTCCAGGGGAAGGGTGCAAGGTGCTGGTGGATCTACCATTCTGGGATTTGGAGGATGATGATCCCCTTCCCATAGCTCCAGTAGGCAGTGCTCCATGGGGATTGTGTGTGGAACCTCCAACCTTCTACTTCCCCTCCACGCTGCCCTAGTAGAGGTTTTTTGGGGCAGCTTTGCCCCTGCAGCAAGCTTCTGCCTGGACACACAGGCTTTCTCATACATCCCACAAAATCTAGGCAGAGGCTGCTAAGCCTCTGTCACTCTTGAATTCTGTCCATCTGCAGGATTCACACCACATGGAAGCTGTCAAGGCTTACAGTTTGCACCTTCAGGTGCTGGAGTTGCAGACTAAGCTGTAACCAGACCCCTGTGAGTTGAGGCTGGAGCCAGAGTGGCTGGGATTTGGGGAAAAGTGTCCCAAGGCTGAGTAGTACCATGGGAATAACGCACAAATACATTCTTACCTCCTAGATATCTGAGTCTGTGATGAGAGATGCTGCCTGGGAGATCTCTGAAGTGTCTTTGAGGCCTTTTCTCCATTGTCTTGGCTATCAGCCCTTGGCTCCCTTCCAGTTATGCACATTTCTCTAGTAAGTGGTTGCTCCACAGCCTGCTTGAATAACACTACTTAAAGAGCTATGTATTGCGCTGTCACATGGCCAGGCTGCAAATATTCCAATTATGATCTGTTTCCTGTTTAAATATAATTTCAACCTTAAGTCATTTCCTAGATCCCATGTTAGAGCAGAGGTTGTTAGAAGCAGCTAGGTCACATCTTGAATGCTTTGCTGTTTAGAATTTTCTTCCACCAGATACCCTAAAGTATCACTCTAAATTTCCATCTTCCACAGAGCCCGAGGACATGAACACAATGCAGTTAAGTTATTTGCTAAAGCGTAACACATGTTACCTTTGTGCCAGTTTCCAATAAGTTCCTCATTTCCATCTGAGACCTCAGCAGCCTATACTTCACTGTCCATATTACTATCAGCATTTTTCTCCCAACTGTTTAATCAGTCTTTAAGAAATTAGAAACTTTTCTTCATCTGTCTTTCTCCTTTTGAGCTCTTCAAATTCTTCCAAATTCTGCCTGTTACCCAATTCCAAAGTTGCTTCCACATTTTCAGCCATTTTTCTAGCAATGTCCCACTCCTGGTACCAATTTTTTGTATTAGCCCTTGCATTGGTATAAAGAAATGTCTGAGACTAGGTAATTAATTTAAAAAAGAAGTTTAATTGGCTCATAATTATGCAGGCTGTACAAGATGCATCTGCTGTACATCTGCTTTTGCTGTGGCCTCAGAAAGCTTCCAATCAAGGAGGAAGGCAATAGGGGAGCAGACTCTTCCCAGGGCCAAAGCAGGAGCAAGAGCAAGAGTGTGGGGGGAGGTGCCACTCACTTTTAAATGACTAGATCTCATGAGAACTCACTCACTATTATGAGGACAGCACCAAGGGGACAGTGCTAAACCATTCATGAGAAATCTGCCCCCATGATGCAATCATCATCCACTAGGCCCCACCTCCAACACTGGGGACTACAATTCAACATGAGATTTAGAGGGGTCATATACCCAAACTATATCAGGCCCTAAATAAACTTTAAAAGTAGTCTTAGCCACAAGGACTGTAACTCCTAGGTAAGTCTTAGTGCTGAACTGAGTTCAGAGCCAGTAGACTTTGAAGGCACACAAATTACTGAGGCACCAGAAAGGATGGCTAAGGCAATACTTACACCACCTCTACCCCTACCCCTACCCCAGGCAGCACAGCTCATGGCTTCAAAACAGACCCCTTTCTTCCTCTTGAGGAGAGGAGAGGAAAGAGGACTTTTTTGTGCATCATTCTGATACCAAATCAGACACAGGAAGGTAGGGCAACAATCAGAGTTGTGAGTCACCCTTTCCATATCATAGCTTTCAGTTAACATTTCTAGACACATCCTGGGCCAAAAGGGAGCATGCTGCTTTGAAGACAAGGATACAATGCTGCCAAACCTGTCCTGCAGACTCTGGCCAAGCAATGAATGGAAGAATTACTCCTGTGCCAAACCTAAAATCAAAGGCCAATGCGGAACCTATGACATGGTGCTTGCTTTGGGAGATCAATCAGGCTCTTGGTGGGAGATTATGGAAGGAGAAAGTTATACAGATTTAGTTTCTCTTCCTGTAATACTTTTAATAGAATGGTGAAATGGCTTATTGAAAATTCAGTTATGGCACCTGCTAAAACAGTCCAGTGAAGGTAGGTACTGTCCTACACAATGTAATATATGGTGTTATTTCTTTCATAATCAGAATACACAAGTCTGAAAAGTAAGGAGAGGAAGTGTGCATGGTCCCTCTTACTAAATCATTTAACTATTAGCTCACAAAATATTTTTTTTTCTTTTCTCACAGTCTTAGATTTTTTTTTATCTAGGGTTATTAGTTCTTATTGGAGAAAAACTTTCAATATGGCTTGTGACATTGGTCTTGCTATTTTACGTTGAGTGTGACAACAAGATCCACATGCCATTGAACCAAAGATAGGACAGAATGATTGATTCCACATACCAAAGTGAAATAAGGCTGCTTGTGCTCAACAGAGGCAGGGTAAACTATGAATGGAATCTAAATCCTTTCCTGAGTACCTCTTGAAACTTCCATGGTAAATGGTAGATGTCAATAGAAAAATACAGGAATCCAATAAATGCAGATCTTAATGGACTCAGGTCCTTCAAAAGTAATTTAACTTACCCCATGAAGCAGATAATTCTAAACAGCTGAGATGTTACCTGAGGGTGATGGAAAAAAAGGTGTAGGTAAATACCAAAGGGAACAATAAATATCAACTATAGCCTTTTGATCAATTGCAAAATATAAACTGCATTACCAGAGTATATTTCTGTTATATTTCCATCAAACAAACTATTATCCATTTATGTATTTTCTTCTATGTATGTTTGCTGAAATAAATTTCTCTCTTATTTGGAATAAGGCTTTCTGGTAATGCTTAACTTTACTCTCATAGATCATCCAAAGATCACTAGAAGCTGTATCCATAACTAAGGAAGAAGAGATGTTGTCTGGAATTCCTGGAGTTGAGATGGTTACCATGACTGTTACACTTTGTGTCTACCCTTTCAGAAGAGATGAAGGATGAGAGTGTCTCCAATCTCTATTTTTGTTTCTTTCACCTATCTATTATATCTCTTTACACACATAGAAAATAGTGTAAAGAAAAATATCAACATTTTAAGAGTGTTTGCTCCTGAATTAGGAGTTATGACCTACTTTTCTTTCTTGTTTGCATGCTCCTGCTCTTTTCAAATTATCTACAATTCACTTCTGTGCTTTCTATTTTTGTTACTATACGTATTGTATTTTCTTATTATGTTCATTGACATAATAAGGAAAATAAAAAGGTAATATATGATTTCCTCATGTTAGTCAAAAGCATAAAGTTTTTGTATGATTGAAGGATTAGAATAGATGCTAAGTAGAACAAGAGAAAACATTTACTTGGTAAAAACACATGTTTAATGAAACAAGGTAATAATAAATTAAAAATTACATAAATACTTAACTCTAAGGGCTAAGAAGGTGGGAAAGAAGAAGAAAACATGAGTTCATTCAACAGTTCTGGTGGTGGTCCAATACTTCTGTTGGATTTGGAATTACTAGTGTTTCTTGTGTAATTATGTCTTAAAAATTTGATATACGTTACATGCATTCTCTTATATTTATCAAAAACGTCCTCCTTAATTATAACCTTCTATCCTCCTTGACATTTTAAACTTAGTCTTATGATATCTCTCCTTAAAATCATGTAAGGAATTATTTCCTAGATGCTGTATTCTCTCCTCATTCAGGCTTCCTCCCTCTTTAATTTTTCTTTATCCAGTTGGTGACATCTTTCTTAATTTAAACTATATATTCACCAAGACTTTCTATTATTTATCTGATTCTCCTTCCGAATCAATTGAAATGATCATTCTCATGTGACTTACTGCAAAAAACAGTGTAACTTTTCTTGAATTCCCAAACAAAATGAAACACCAACAACCATCTACCCAGTTCCCTAAAGAATTCTTACGCTTAATTTTTCAAATTTTTCCATCTTCACATTCACAGCAGTGGTTTAGAACACTGACATAATCTGCCTAGATTATAACTGCAAATTCTTAAATGTACTCAACATTTCATGCTCTAAGGTATAATCAAGGTGATCATTATAAATTGAATTTGTAAATTTTCTTATGACCCTTAATGGCATCTTGTTATAAGATAAATTGATGGTAATGAAATAATATGCAATAGCTAAACATGTTTCATAATGCTATGAAATGATATTAGAAAATATTCAGTGTATATTTGCAATTAATGCAACTCACAAAAACTTTATATAATTTTGATTTTAGTTTTTAAAAATATGTTTATGCATACATGTAAATCTGCCATCTATTTCTCCATTTATCTATGTACGTATTTTTTTCACCATATCTATTATTTCTCTTTGCACACATAGAAAATACTGTAGAGAAAAACATCAACATTTTACGAGTGCCTGTGCCTGAATTAGGAGTTATGACCTATTTTTCTTTCTTGTTTACATGCTCCTGCACTTTTCAAATTATCTACAATTCACGTCTGTGCTTTCCATTTTTGTTACAATATGTACCTATTGACATAATAAGAAAAATAAGTGAAAAATATAAATAATATATGATTTCCTCTTTTCACCTCCTAGTTAATAATGAATTTTTCGGCTTGTCTTCAAAAACAACTAAAATACTGCAGAGAAAAATGTACCAATGTTAGATCCTGTGAGATTCTATCTGATTTAATCCCTGCTCCATTGTACCAAGTAAATGTCAGCTAACTTCACATTGCCAGATGTGAGGCATTTATCTATGAATGTTTGCTCATTTGACAATATTAGCTCTGGCTTAAGTCAAATGTTACTTATAGGAGGAGGGGGAAAGCATTGATGTTTAAAGCCTCCTCAGCCATATATATATATATATATATATATATATATATATATATATATGCCATTAATACACACACACACAATCACACACAATTTTCTCTGCTTATTTCTAGATCATATCCAGCACTTTCTGCTCTGCTTTTTCTTCAAATAGAATTTTAAGCGTTTTCATTGCAAATTACTTTATACAAACCCTACCATCTAATTGGTCGTAGTGATGTGGCACTACAGTGGTAGTGTGAGCAGCCACAAGATTTCTACAATAGATTTGAATGATCACTATTAAGACATTAGAACACCAATTTTTCCTCTCACATCTCTCCCCCATTCCCGCCCTACTCAACAAAATTTAAAAAGTGCCCCATGAACAAATAGAGCATTTAGCATGCTTTAAATTGGTACACTTAATAATTGATGTTGTTTAACCATTTCCAGGTCCTTTAGCCATAACTGTGCTGAGTCTTATTTTTTAGCAAATGGTCAGTCAAGTATATACTATGTGACAGGCACTATTATTAGTTCTGGAGATAACATGCTTAGTAGGAGAGAATCCAAGTCGTCAAGGAGCTATCTTTCTGCTTTCCCTAAAACAATATAACTATTTCCTCTAAGGCAATAGTTTTGCATTCATGCCTATATATTCATTATTTAATTAAGGCTTGCATTGCATATAGTTCATAAAGAACATTTATTTCTCTCTGCCTTCTTGAAGATTTTTGAAGAAACTAGGGATGGCCACTCAAATTGATCTTGATAAGAAAGAAAATCTACATTTCTATATTGTGCCTACTTTCTTCCAAGTTTTAACAAAAATTTATAAATTTATACTTTAAATTATATAAACCATATTTGAGAAAGATATGTGCCTATATAGCCCAAACATTTTCTATCGCAGTAAAATATTTGGGTATCCATCATGTTAACTTATGCTTCTACATACAGGTTGTAGCTACTAGGAAACTTATAGATGGAATTAAAAATAAAACCAAGGCTGTCTACAGGCAATAATATTTTGTTCACTCGTTGAAAACACGAACAAATTTGCACCTTAAAAGTCAGAAAGACCTGAGCTCTAATCTTTCCTTTGCCAATTAGCATGCTATAACCACTAATAAGTTACTTTATTTTAATTTAACTGGGACAATAATAATCACCTTACAGAATTTTGAGAAGTATTAAATGAAATATCACCTATAAAGTGACTATCATCTGAAAATTAAAGCACTCAATAAATAGTATCTGTTTCCCTCTTTCTATAAATAGTTTAGGTTGTTAAGAGGAGTTTAATCTAGTGCTTAAGAGGATAGGCACTGGAGCTTTTTCTGGGCTTAAATTCTAGTCCCAAAACTGTGAAACTTGTGTCCTAATTGACAAATCCCTTGACTCTTAGACTGAAGGGATTAATGAGTTATGATATTTAAAGAGCAGTACTGGAGTGTAGTTAGGAAGTTGCTATCATTTTTATTATTACTGTTACTATAATTAATAAAGGGAGTCCTTTCCACTCAGAGATAACTTCTTTGTAGCTGCTATGTGTGCTAATCTAATAAGACGTGGAAGAAAATAATTTTTCCAAGTCTTATGTCTAAAATGATATCAGAAATCAATCAATATTTGTATTATTGATTTGATTCAACATGATCAATTCCTTTTATTAAACTCTAATACTTACTCTGACTTGGGGAGCTCATCAGAGAACCAAACTATCTTGTAATTACACATAGGAAATTAATTTCTCTGAAACAAAAACAACAGCATAGCCAAAACAAACAAAAACAGTTATTACTTCTTTTAGTCGTCAGCACAGTATATCCTCCCCATTCTGGAGTTTCTGGAGCTGCCCAGGACATTTCAGTTGACTTTGCTTCAGTTCATTATTAGCCCAGCTATTTCTCACCCTTTTCTTTCTTTCTAGTTTCTCCATCCCTTTTACTCATAAGATAACAATTTCTCAAGAATTTCTTCAGCAGTATTTCTTCCCTGAATTCTATTTCAGCCTGCTTACCCAGCTATTAGTCTTCTTCAATGAGAA
This sequence comes from Homo sapiens, assembly GCF_000001405.40. Taxonomy (NCBI): domain Eukaryota; kingdom Metazoa; phylum Chordata; class Mammalia; order Primates; family Hominidae; genus Homo; species Homo sapiens. The sequence goes on along the minus strand of NC_000001.11, from coordinate 106,227,290 downwards.
TTGAACCTAAACAATTTTGTCAGATATCTACTTTTTATTTAACAAGTGCTTAAGGGAATATCTTGCTGTTATTATTTTAGTCAACAGTGAAAAAAACTCTGTTACATTGTTTATTTTCTAGCCTTATTTTGAAAATAAAAATTTCAAATAATGCAGAAATGTAATATATGTGTCATATGTATTTACAGATATAAAAAATTTAAACTAATAATCCTCAAAAATATTTCCCTATTTTTTCTACCCTTTAAAATAAAGTTATGTATATTTTCTAAATAGCAACACACAATATTAAACATGAATATTTTGAGGTGATGGAATTAGCAATGTCTTAAACATGAAGATTAGTTTTGAACCCTCACATGTGCATGGATGCACACATATGCATAGACATTTATATTGTGCATTCCTTACTCCAACCTAACATCCATCCATGTCAAACTCTGAATTGTGTTAGGTAAGAGGGATGAAATTGCTGATTGAAGCTTCGGTAATAGACAGAACACATTACTCTGAGGGCTTCAGGAAAGCTTTTTACTCAACTCTCTTCCCACAGGAGTTTACATTTTCTGTTTTATCTCTGGGATAGAGCTTAGTGACAAGCACACATTGAAAGTTTGTGAGAAATGCCATGGGATCTGCTAACAACATTCAGGATGCAGAGATGGCATTTGAGTCCCCAGCATCTTGCTTCTTCTTTTGCATTAGAAATCTTAATCAGGTGAACCTATAGGGTAGTTGGAAAACAGGCTGCCTACATATCTGTTTCCACAGCAAAAAGATGCATTATATTTTTAATCAAATTTAAAGGTTAGATATCGGAATACTTTTCATTAAGTTAGCACGCCTAAAGCAGTAAAATGTCTGAGTTTTAAAATTAACTACATAGAATTTATAGTTTTATATAATGGTTGTACTATGTGGAATCATTTCACAAATTATGTTTTGCTACAGCTCTTTGCTTCATGATTCTGGGTAATTTTCTCTACACCAAGTAGCCAGCATGTTTAAAATTATACTGTTATGATATTTATTTGGCATTTTCTGAGAGAAAAATTAAGCAGTTGACTATTATCTGTAATCAACAACCAAGCTTGAAATGGGTACACATTTGTTTGTAAATTACATGTAATTTAATTGCAATGTTGCAGCAAATTTTCCACCATTAAATATGTCTACATTTCCAAGTCTAGCTGGGTGGCATAATATTAAGAGCAACGCAGACTTTTTTTTTTTTTTGCATAGTGGTAACTACAATATAATACATTTGGTACTGTGAAATTAAGAAAGGTATGAGAAAAGAATATAAAAGCAAATGATTGAATTGGGAAAATGATAAAAAGTAATCCCAGAAGCTGTGAGTTAAGCTGCATTGTGATGTTAGCACTCTAAGTGATGTTAACTCTTAATTGCTGAAATTTAAATTAATTTTGTATTGCATATTTTAAGATTCACATAAAACAATTGATTTAAATTTGAAATATCTGCAGTACAAAGCATTAACCTCACCCTCCAGATAAGATGTTTAAGGTTAAATATAATAGAAACATAAATCTTCTGTAAGTCTTATTAAAGGAGAAATATCCGCAGTATCTGAGTTAGATTTCTTTCAACCAAAAACTCCCATTCTGAAATGCTAGCATTCTGACACAGTGATAAATTGCTGGAACAAATGCTAAATAGTTAAATGGACAGGTGATGGATGGCCTCATAAGCCTTGCAGGGCAGGCTGTGTAAGATACTAATTGGTTCTGTGGAACTGGTTTTAGTCAATAAATTCGCTTGGGAGATTTTTTTTGTGTTAGACATCTTTAAAGAATGCATTGTTGTAGGTGACAAACACTCGCAACATATTAGGCCACCAACAGCTTTATTACATCCACTGTACAAGCTATCTCTTTTCTCAATTTGAGCCTATATTCAAACACTAAATATTCATTATTAATGAATCACTGGTGTAATTCCTTATGGGTTTTCCAATTTACCATTTGACTTTCAAGACTGCCTGTTTCTCTCACTCCAAAAATGTCCTTATTTTTTTTCTTCTTCCAGGAAGCATACCAACTTCAACCTTTTAAAATAAAATTTAAGTCATAGAATTTTTAATTATTCTATAAGGTCACAACATAAATAACTTTTTTCTTCTAAAATTTGTGAAATGTTAGCAGATGTAAACATTTTTAGGACAACTTGGTTCTCTTTTCTTCCTCTTTTAAAAAGTAATAAAATATTGTGTAATATTTACCAAATTCCTTTTCAAATTCCCAGAAGCTTTGTAGTGGAAAGAAAAAAAGGAATAAGAGAAAGAAGAGTGGAGAGAAAGAGGGGAAAAAAGAAGAAAGGAAGAAAGGAAAAAAGGAAGGGAGGAAGAGAAAGAAGAGAGGGAAAGGAAGAGTAAAGAAGGAAAGGAGGGAGAAAATATTAAATTCTAATTGACTGTGTCCCTTAGGAAGTCACTAAGAAACTACAAAAAGCTTTCTTGAATTAATAGAGATAAATGCTAACAAGAATTTATTCATTCTACATAATTTTCTCAGACCTTTTTGTACATTAACAGAGAAGGTCAGTTGCCAATTCTAATAGTCCATTGGCGAAGGCAAGTTCTTTTGAACCCCCAACTGTTTCTATTTTCAAAATTTCCAAGCATTCTGTCTTTCAAGACTGTGCTAGGACTATGAGTAATTCCTCTACCACAAATATCCCACCTATGCACAAAGAAGAAATTAAACATTGTGGAGAAGATAAGCTAACAGGCTCTGGAGATGAAATGACTGAGTTTAAATTTAACTCCAGGACTTAACACAGTATGAACTTGGGCAAGTTACTTTATCTCTTTGTGTTTTGGTTCCTTCATCTATAAAATGGAGATAATATTGGTACTTAACTCATACGTTTTTAAGTGATTTATATATACGTATATATCATTTGCTCAAGCATCCAGAACATAAAAAGCACATAATAAATTTCAGTTATTATCATTTTATGTATTTGTTTTTTCATTTATTTAAAAAATTTACCTTTGTAAGCCTGTGAAATAAAATTTTTAGAGTAGAGATTTGGCTTATTACAATAATCATTATGAAGTGAAGCAAAAATTGAATGGGAAACGACATGTATCAACTTATACATATAATTACATAACTATAAAATATTTGCCTTTCTGTTTTTTTTTGTTTTTTGTTTTGTTTTTGAGATGGAGTCTCACTCTTTTGCCCAGGCTGGAGTACAGTGGTGTAGTCTTGGCTCACTGCAACCTCCACCTCCCAGGTTCAAGTGATTCTCCTCCTCAGCTTCCTGAGTAGCTGGGATTACAGGCACCCACCACCATGCCAGGCTAATTTTTGTATTTTTAGTAGAGACGGGGGTCTCACCATGTTGATCAGGCTGGTCTCGAACTCCTGACCTTGTGCTCCACCGCCTCGGCCTCCCAAAATGCTGGGATTATAGGCATGAGCTTTCTGTTTTAAAGAAAAATTTTAGTATGGTCATATGTTCCTTATATATCTATGACATAACACCAAATTAGTGCTTGTTACATAAAATGAGACTTTATTTTATTAGCTTATACATTTCTGATAGCATGTGGAATTATTCTGGTAACACTAATTCTGCTGACCTTAGTTAACCTGATTGCTCTTTTTATGTTATGAATTTTAGTAGAAAATCAATCTTTTCTGCTTTTTACAAACAGCATAAATCTAACCATACTGTCACGTAATTTTTTTTAAAGAATGCTCATTGAAAGGGACAACTTGAAACAAACAACCAACCAAACAAAAACACACACCTGTTAAAAATACATTTAGCTAGCTGTAACAACATATACATCAATTAGAATCAATCCTAACTCACAGTTACTTAAACAAATAGGAGTCAGCATTTTTTACAGATGATGAAATAAGGAAGTAGGCATCTTGTGACTTTAGTTTAAAAGCCCAGTGATACTGGTCCCAGAATCTTGTATTTCTCTCTTCCTTTCCATCTTAATGGCATGAAGGTTGTAGCAGCTCTAGGTTTCATGTGTGAGTTTAAAACAAGAGGACAGGCTTCACTGGTACCAACTGCATCAGCTTCTAGTTTAAAAAATGCAAAACCCTCCTCAAAAGTTTTCAGTAGCCTTCTGTTTGCATTTTATTGATCAGATATGTGTCACATGATACACCTCAGAAGTGGGAAAAATTATTATATAGCCTTTCTAGTCTAGAGAGTGTAAAAAGCAAGAAGGAGTAGTGGATATGTAATAGGTTAGGCAATAAACAATACAATCACAATAATATTCATTTTTGCAGAAATCACAAAATTTGATAATATTTGAAAAAGCTTTTCCCCTTTCATCAAATAGGCTTTTTATAAAATGATTACCACCCATTTTTTAGTCTATATCAAAGTTACATTGTATAACTTTTGTTATAGGACCAACAGGTTTATATGGCCACTGCACAGTAACATACAATATACTAAGATGGCAGGGTTTGCAGCAGAGAAAGAGTTTAATGATCATAGGTCACCAGGTAAGGAGATGGGAAGAAACATTCAAATCTATCTCCCCACGGATTTCTGGGCTGGGATTTTTCAGAGGATCATAGAGGGTGACGGGCTGAAAATTGGGATTGTTGACTGATTAAGGTAAGGCGGATGAAACTTTCAGAATGAGAAAACTGCATTCCTTGGTGAGTCACCTCCTGGTGGGAGTTCTTCAGACCAGTTGACGTCAATAGATTCATCAGTATGCAGGACATGAAAGAATATCCCAAAGGGAATAAAGTGTTTCATAATATTCAAATTATCTATAGAGTAGTAAAGAGGAACTATAATCTTGAATCTATGGGATTCTAGAACAACAACCATCAAACAACTGTGAGGAAGCAGGTCAGAGAGCAAGCTGACCTAATGATTAATCCTGAATATGCTTTAAACTTGGTTTATTTCTCCACGTCTCTTCTTCCCTGATTAATTTTATAAAGTTTATAAGAACGGTTTCACTTTGGCCTATTAAGAACACTATTTTTTTTTTACATTGATGCATAATAGATGTACATAGTTTCAGGGTGCATGTGATAATTAAATACATTCTTATAATTTGTAAAGGTCAAATCAGTGTACTTAGGATATCCATCATCTTAAATATTTGTCTTTTTCAACATTAGAAACTAAAATTCTTATAGCTATTTTGAAATATACAATAGATTATAATAAACTATAGTCACTCTACTAATCTATACAACACTAGATTTCATTTCCTCCATCAAGCAATATTTTTATATTCATTAATCAATCTCTCTTCATACACCCTGCCCTACCTTTCCTGGTCTCCTGTAATCACCGTCTATTCTCTACCTCTATGAGACCTATGTTTTTGAGCTTCCATGTATGAGTGAGAACGCAATATTTGCCTTTCTGTGCTTGGCTTAATCCACTTAACATAATGACCTCCAGTTCCATCCTTGTTGCTGCAGATGATAAGATTTCATTCTTTTTTATACCTGAATAATATTTCATTGTTTATATATAACAAAGTTTTTTTAATCTATTCATCCATTAATGGGCACTTAGATTGATTCCCTATTTTAGGTATTGTGACTAGTGCCACAATAAACATGGGAGTGCAGGTATCTTTTTTATATATTGATTCATTTTTTTGGATATATACTTAGTGGAACTACCATACAAACTGATGAATCATATGGTAGTTTTATTTTTAGTTTTTTGAGGAATTGCCATACAGTTCTCTACAGTGGTTCTACTCATTTCCATTCTCACCAACAGTGTGTGAGGGTTCTCCTGTCTCCACATCCTTGCCAGAGCTGTTATTTCCTATCTTTTTAATAAAAATCATATTGACTACGGTTAGATTATATATATCTCAGTATAGTTTTGATTTGCATTTCTCTAATGGTTGGAGGTGTTGAACAATTTATTTTCATATACTTGCTGACCATTGGTATGGCTTCTTTTGAGAAATGTCTATTCAGGTATTTTGCCTGCATTTTAATCAGATTATTTGGTGTTTTTGCTATTGCCTTGTTTGATCTCCTTATGGATTCTGGTTACAAATCCCTTGTCAGATGGGTAGTTTGCAACTATTTTATTCCATTCTGTGGGTTCTCTCTTTACTTAGTTGATTTTTTTTCTATGTAGAAGCTTTTTAGCTTGATATAATTCTCTTAGTCTACTTTTGTGTTATTTACCTGTGCTTTTGAGTCCTTACACAAAATTTATTTGCCCAATGTCCTGAAGGATTTCTGCAATGTTTCCTTCCAGTAGTTTTACATTTTCAGGTCTCATATTTAGACCTTTAATCTATTTTCCATTTGATTTTTGTGTATGGCGAGAGATAGGGTTCCAGTTTCATTCTTCTGCATAGTTATTCAGTTTTCCAAGCATCATTTATGGAAGAAACTGTCCTTTCCCCATCGTAAGTTCTTGGCACATTTGTTGAAATCAAGTTGGCTATAAATGCATGAGTTTAAATCTGGGCTTTCTTTTTTGTTCCATTGGTGTATGTATCTGTTTTTATGCCAGTATCATGCTAATTTGATTACTGTTATTTTGTAGTAAATTTTGAAGTCAGAAAGTATTATGATAGCTCCAGCTTTGTTCTTTTGCTCAGGATTGTTTTGGCTATTAAGGGTCATTGTGGTTTCATTTAAATTTTGGATTTAAAAAAAATTTCTGTGAAGAATGTTTTTGGTATTCTAATAAGAATTGCATTGAATCTTAAATTGCTTTAAAGTATTTTCAAAAGATTAGATGAAAATGAGGTTACCTTCTTAAGCTAAGTAAGAATTAAATGACCCAACAGACAATAGCAAAATGATTATTACCCTTATGCTTAAGTTAATCAACACGTTCACTAATTTATATACCATAGATCAAATCCAGAAATTATATATAGGCCTCCCTAGAATCAATATATTGCTGAATTGAATTATCATAATTTGTTTTTTAAAATGGTGCATTAATCTCTTCATTATTCATGAATTAGTAAAGAGTGTTGTATGTTTCTACTAGTAGAAAAACTTTGCAACCATTCCAATCAGAATATAAATACTATAAATTGTAAACTGGATTTAGCGAAAAATAGTTCAAAAAGGTAAAACATCATAAGGAAGGCTAAGGGTTTATATTAGAAAAATTTCCTCAGTAAATAAAATTAAAAAGAATATGCATGCAAAAAGCTGAATCAAAATTCTGAATCAGTAGTTTATACTTTTTGAGTAACTTTGTTATTTTATTTTAATTATTAATGGCATAAACCACATTGATTTTAATGGCAAATGTGATCAATTCTTTGAGAAACCACCATTAGATATTTTTTGACTTTTCACCAAGAAAAACAATAAAGTTGTATTTATGATAATGTAAAAATCATTTTTATGTAGTTGTAGTTCACTTGCTGACAAAAAGTACACTAAATATGTTATACTTCCTAATTTATAATTTGGTTACATTTTTCTTCATTTAAAAATATACAGTCAAACAAACACGAGCCGTATAATAATGATTAATATATAATAATAAAATGACACATTAGTGTCTAAATATATTCTTATTAAAGAATCATCATAGAATTAGTTTGTTATAACTGGTAATCAATCAAATAGCCCTTTTATTGACATTTAAACAACATGTGATATTTAACTACCAACCCAATAACATTTAAGAGAGGTGAAATATACTATTAAATAGCATCTCTGTGGTGTTTTTAAGAAAATAAAAGTCATTATTGCTATTTATTACGATCAGAAATATAAGAGAAAAAGCATGCATAAAGATTTTATTAATTTTCTTGTCTAACAATGGAATTTAACTCTGTATGCTATAATCATAGTGGCTAACATTGCAATTTTTCATGAAAATTAACAAATTAGTATAAGCATCATAATGATGAATTATGAAGAAATTATTTTAAGCTTAAGAACATTCTATGCTTCAGTGGGGACATCTAAGAAACAAAGAAGAATTGATAATATGACAGGACACTAAAAAGAGGGAAACAAAATTAAAAACTGGTAATAATTAAGCACAAAAGAATGTACTCCAACAAGAGTTAGAAATTTTATTCTTAGTGTATTACATTCACATATTATACAGACATCCTCAACTTTTTATCTTATAGGCTTTATATAGTTACATAATTCTCTTTCTTGTTACTACATAATGCCATTGTTAACAATCTATATTTAGAAAAGTTTTTGGAAGAAAAATTGATGTATATATATATTTACGTATTTAAAACATAACATTTGCCACTTTTATGCATGTTTATATCTATAAAACCATCATCCAAATCAAGATAGCAATATTTTCATCACCGCTTTATATAGCTCTTTCTTCTTTTCCCACCCCCACTTTTTCCACAGGCAACTATTTACCTGCTTCGTCACAATTTGTTTGCATTTTCTGGGGTTTTATATAAATAGAATCATAAAATATACTTATTTTCCCCTGACTTCGTTCTCTCAGTGTAATTATTAGGAGGTTTATATTATGTGTAGAATTCATTCTGGTTTATTGCTAAGTTGTATTCCATTGTATGAGTATACAGTGGATTCCCATTTTTGAAGTTAGTTATTTTCTGTAAAATTCCCATAAACAAGGAATAATTAAATCCTGAATCATTTTCTGCCAGCTTTTGGTTTCAATATTTACCTCAACCAAATCAATACATAAACCTGTTTTATGTGGGTTTATGTTTATGGACACCTTATTAAATACATATTGTTGATTTACTAACACTGAACTCCTGGCCAATAGCACTATCACTCATGCCTGAATGATGCTTATTTAATAAGCGTATCAACTTTATGAGGCACATCACTAAACTGCTGTTTAGTATATGTTAAATATACTGCTAAAAGGAGACAACATGAAAGTTGAAACAAGAAGAAAGAGCATCATCTGCCTTCAATGAGAAAGTGTTTGGTGGGTGACTCAAATTTTTCACAGTTCTGTGCATGCACGTACACACAAATGCCCACGAAAGCTCTGCAAGTATTGACTTTGGGGTTACAAATAATTAGCCCATAGCCAGATTCATAGATATGGAGTACAAAAATAACAAGAATTGACTGTATCACCATTTGTTTATCCATTTACCTGTTGATTAATATTTGCATTGTTTTTCTGGATTTCAGTTACTAAAAATAATGCTACCATGAATATATGTGCACAGTTCACATAAGCTTTCTTTCCTTAGAGGTAAACATTTAAGAGCAGAATGGCCAAATAATATAGCATGTGTAGGTTTAACTTTAGGAAACTGCCAAACTATTTTCCAACCTAGTTGTTGCATTTTACATTCTCACCAGTAGGATATGAGAGTTTCAGCTTCTCTGCAGCACTGCCAATACTTGGAATGATCAATGTTTTTAATTGTATCCATTCCAATTGTGTGAACTTGTATCTCATCGTGGTTTTAATTTGCATTTTCCTAATGACTAATGATACCGAATATCTTTTCATGTGCTTTTTGCTATTATTAATCTTTTTTAAAGTGTCTTTTCAAATTCAATGGCCATTTTCAAAAAATTTTTTGGTGAGTTTTGAGAGTTTGCCTATATATTCTGGATACAGAAAATATGCTTAGCAAGTATTTCCTTCCAGTCTCTGGCTCATCTTTTTGTTTACTTTGTAAAAGAAGAAGTTTTTATGTTGAGAAAGTTCATTTCATCAATGTTTTCTATAATGAACTATGCTTTTGCTGCTATATGTAAGGAATCTTTGCATAAATCAAGGTAAAATATGCTCCTTTTACAATTTTATCTCACAAGTTTTATAGTTTTAGCTTTGGCATTTACAACTATGATGCATTTAGAGTTAATTTTTATATATAGTGGAAGGTACAAATTTCAGTTCTTTTTATATATACAGACTTTTAGTTGTTCCAGCACCATTTGTGGAGAATAATTACCTTTTCCTACTGAATTGCCCTTACAACATTTTCAAAAATAAGTTGTCCATATATATACGGGCCTATTTATGGATTCTCTATTCTATTCCTTTGACCTACTCGTCTATGTTTAAGTCAAAACTATATCCTCTTACTGAGTATTGCTTTCTGGGTCCTGAAATTAGGTACTGCTAGCCTACAATTTGGTTACTTTTCCCCAAGATATTTCAATTATTCAAGATACTTAACATTTCCATATGAATTTTAGAATGGAAGCATTAATTTCTATAAAAAAATTCTGATGAGGTTTTGATTGGAATTGTTCTGAATCTATTGATAAATGTGGGGAAAATTAGTATCTTATTATTGGGTGCTTGCAAGCTGTGCCATGGTAAAATCTCACTATTTATTTAGATCTTTAAATACTGTCAGCAATTTTTCATAGTTTTAAATGTGCAGATCTTGCGTATATTCTGTTATATCTGTCTCAAAGCAAATTCTATTTTTATTCTATGAAAATATTACTTTTAAATCAATTTTCTTGCTATTTATTGTTAAAGATATAGTATAATTGATATTTGTATATTGATGTCATATCTTGAAATTTTGCAAAAGTCACTTATCCCAGTAGCTTCTTGCAAAGGTTCATAAGTTTAGTGGGGGCTTAGAGTAGACCTGGCTGCTGCAGTCATTCTAACATAATGAAGACAGTAGAGAGGAGCCAAAGAGGAACCCCAGTATCTCTCCCAATTGCATAAATCTGATGAGACAAAACAATCACACAAGTTACATAAAGCAGGTCTACTACTCACAGTGAGGCATCAAAGATAAGCAGAAGCCTAGGATTCATGTCAAGTTGGTCCTCAAGTCTCAGGAAAGCTGGCTAGGGTGGATGGAGTCTCCTCTGCTCTTGTCCCATATCACACTTCAAATGAAGGACCCCAGAACCCCTCCACCCTGGGTATATATGACCTGGGTGTCACTTCAATCACTGAGCACAATTGTCACAGCACATCTGGTCCCCAAGTAATGAAGACGCCACCTGGATTGTTTGAACACCTCCTTATTTCAGGATGTTGCATTTTTGGTACCTTAACCTGGAATTGCAAGCGATAGAGGAAAAACTGGGTCAGCCAAGGTCATCTGAGGACCTATCCTTCTACATTTTTTTTGTACATATATATTAATGCCTCCTGCAAATAAAATTTTACTAATTTTTAAATATCATGGGAGTTATTCATGCCTTATTTTATTGGTTAGAAACTTCAGTACAGTGCTATATAGGAGGACTGAGAACAGACGTCCTTGTCTCATAACATTAAGTATGATGCCAGTTTTAGGTTATTGGTAGGTCCCCATTATTAAGTTATCTTTTATTCTTAGTTTTCTAAGAGCTTTTTATTTTAATTTTTGTTTGTTTTAAATCAAGAATGAATATTAGATTCTGTCAAATGATTTTTTCTGCATCTATTGAGACAATCATAGGGCTGTGTATGTGTGTGTGTGTGTCCTTGTTAATATGGCAGATTAGAATTTTGATTTTTGAATGTGAAATCAACCTTATATTCTTAAGTATGACCTGGTCATATATTTTATCCTTTTATTATTGTTTGACTACAGTTGATAGAATTTTTAAATGTTTTTTTGCATCTATGTTTATTGTGGTTATTGTTTATAGTTTTCTCATAGTACTTTATACGATTTTGGTATCAGAGCAACGGTGGTCTCAGAATGACTTGGGAAGCATTATGTTTCTTGAATTTTTCAGAAAGATTTGTTTAGAATTGGTATTACTTCTTGTTAAATATTTGCTAGCAGCCATCAGTGAATCCATGTGGATCTTGAATTTTCTTTATGGGAAGATTTTTAACTCAGTTATATAATGAACATTGGGATATTCTTTTTATCTGTTTATTCCTGAACGAGCTTTTGCAATTAGTGCATTTCAAACAATTTGTCCACAATATCTGAGTTGTTGAATATATTGTTACAAATTTATTTATAATATTTCTTTCTTATCTTTTAAATATCTGTAGGCTCTGTTGTGTTTACACGACTGATAATGTGTGTCTTCTTTTCTTTCTCCTTATAAGTTTGGCTAAGGTTTTTATCAATTTTATTCATCTTCTCAAAGCGTCAGTTTATGGTTTCATTAATTTTAGCATTGTTTTTCTATTTTCTCTTTATACAATATTTGCTCTGTTATCATTATAATTTTCTTGGTATTGCACACTTTAGAATAAGTTTCCTTTTATTTTTCTGTTACTTTAAGGTAGACACTGAGGTCACTAACTTGTGACCTCACTTCCTTTCTAAGCATTTGGTATAATAGCACTTAGTGCTATAAATTTCTCTCAGAGTGATAGGTTGTATTTTCATAGTCATTCAGATCAAAATACTTTCAAATTTCCATCTGATATCTTCTTTGATCCATGAGGTTTTTAGTATTGTCATTTTTAGTTTCCAAATATTTTGAAGGACCTTTAGAAATCTTTCTGTTACTGATTTCTAATTCAGAGAACATTGTCTGAGTTGAGTATTTTAAAATGTATTGAAATACAATTTAAATTTCAAATTTTGGTATATCTTTCCCTGTACTTTTGAGTTGAATATGTACTCTGCTGTTGTGGGATGATGTGTCCCATGAATGTTAAATAGGTAAATTTGGTTGATAATGTTCAAGTATTCTATATCTTTCATGATTTTTCTTTCTATCATTCTATTAATTATTGAGAACAATTTATTCAAAGCATCAAGTATATTTGAATATTTGTTAATTTTTCCTTTTATTTGATAAGGTTTTTTCCCCATATATTCTGAAATTCTGTTATTATTCCATTAATATTTATAATTTAGGGGTCTCTTTGATGACTTTATCTTATGAAATGACTTTTTTTCTGCCTTGGATAATATTATTTGCTCTGAAATAAACTTTTTCTGATATTTCTATTTTTTATCACTTTCCTTTTAACCTATTTGTGTGTTTGTATTTAAAGCTTGCATCTTGTGGACAGCATATAGGTCATACTTGTTTTTATTTTTTAATGCTCTGTCTTTTAATTAAAGTGTTCAGAAAAACACTTGGGAAAATATAATTCATGGGCCAAATATTGCTTGGCTTGTTTTCATAAATAACATTTTATTGGAACAAAGCCATGCCCATTCATTTACATATTGTATGGCTGCTTTTATGCTATAATGACAGAGTTGAATAGTCGCAACACAATCCATATGGCTCAGAGAGCTAAAAATATTTACTATTTGGCTCTTTTCAGAAAATGTTAGTGAACCTCTGGTTAGATGATTTATGTTTCAAATTTTCATTGATATGCTTAAGTGTGTAGTCTTTCTGCTTGTTTTCTCTTGCCTCTTCAGTTCTTTACTCTCCTTATCCACATTTTCTGCCTTATTTTAGATTGACTGTATCTTTCTTAATAATTCCAATTCATTCTTTTTTGGCTTGTTAACTCGATTTTTTTTTATTTTAGGGTTGTTATAAAATTGACAGTGTATATCTTTTTTTTTATTATTCTTTAAGTTTTACTGTACATGTGCATAACATGCAGGTTAGTTACATATGTATACATGTGCCATGTTGGTGTGCTGCACCCATTAACTCCTCATTTATCATTAGGTATATCTCCAAATGCTATCCCTCCTCCTTCCCCCCACCCCACAACAGGCCCTGGTGTGTGATGTTCCCCTTCCTGTGTCCATGTGTTCTCATTGTTCAATTCCCACTTATGAGTGAGAACATGCAGTGTTTGGTTTTTTGTCCTTGCAATAGTTTGCTGAGAATGATGGTTTCCAGCTTCATCCATGTTCCTACAAAGGACATGAACTCATCATTTTTATGGCTGCATAGTATTCCATGGTGTATATGTGCCACATTTTCTTAATCCAGTCTATCATTGTTGGACATTTGGGTTGGTTCCAGGTCTTCGCTATCGTGAATAGTGCCGCAATAAACGTATTTGTGCATGTGCCTTTATAGCAGCATGTTTTATAATCCTTTGGGTATAAACCCAGTAATGGGATTGCTGGATCAAATGGTATTTCTAGTTCTAGATCCCTGAGGAATCGCCACACTGACTTCCACAATGGTTGAACTAGTTTACAGTCCCACCAATGACAAAAACCACACGATTATCTCAATAGATGAAGAAAAGGCCTTTGACAAAATTCAACAACCCTTCGTGCTAAAAACTCTCAATAAATTAGGTATTGATGGGACGTATCTCAAAATAATAAGGGCTATCTATGACAAACCCACAGCCAGTATCATACTTAATAGGCAAAAACTGGAAGCATTCCCTTTGAAAACAGGCACAAGACAGGTATGCCCTGTCTCACCACTCCTATTCAACATAGTGTTGGAAGTTCTGGCCAGGGCAATCAGGCAGGAGAAGGAAATAAAGGGTATTCAATTAGGAAAAGAGGAAGTCAAAGTGTCCTTCTTTGCAGACGACATAATTATATATCTAGAAAACCCCATCGTCTCAGCCCCAAATCTCCTTAAGCTGATAAGCAACTTCAGCAAAGTCTCAGGATACAAAATCAATGTGCAAAAATCACAAGCATTCTTATACACCAATAACAGACAAACAGAGAGCCAAATCATGAGTGAACTCCCATTCACAATTGCTTCAAAGATAGTGTATATCTTTAAATTCCCACATTTTACCTTTAAGTTATTATACTGTTTTGACAATAGTATAAAAATTTATTATAGTATAATTCCATTTCTCCTCTCTTAACTTTAAGGCTATTTAAGTTCACATACATTTTATTTATAGATACAGATTTAACAAAAACAAAACAAGTTAAACTGTTCTTTTTTTAGAGACAGCATGATCATTTATATACAAAATCTTTTGGAATCTACAAAAACATTCATTGAACTTATAAGTGAGTTAGACAGCAAGATACACAATCAGTAAATAAAAATCAACTGTACTTCTTTATTTTAGCAATGATCAATTTAATTAAAAATTTAAAATATCACAATAACACAATACTATGAAATATTTAAAAACAGATCTAAGGCAAGCAGAACCTGTATCCCAAAATAGTAAAACCCTTCTGAGCAAAAGTAAAGATTTAAGTAAGTGGGGAAATATACAGTCCATGAATTAAAAGTCTCAATATCTTAAAATTCTGATTATTTCAAAGTTGATCTATAGATTGAGTGCAATTAAAACTAAAATCACATTAGTCTTTTTTCAAAAAATGACACTGATTCTAAAACTTTTATAGAAGCTTTAAAAAGCTAGAATACCCAAAGCAACTTTGAAAAAGAACAACGTGAGGACTAATTTCAATAGGCATCATCGAGGCAATATAGTATTTTAGTATTTGTTTAAAAATGGACACATAGATCCATGAAACATAATACAGAATCCAAAAATAGGCACACACATATTAGATCAATAGATTTTTGACAAAGATGCAAAACCAATTCAGTTGAGAAAGATAGCCTTTTCAATAAATGGTGCTAAAGCAATTGAATATCCATATGCCAAAACCAACAGAAATAAAAATCAATCTATTTCTTGCACCATAGGTAAAAATAAATTGCTCCAAATGTTTTATAAATCTTTAGTTAGAAACATAGATGGAAATATTGGTGACCTCAGGTTAGATCAAGATTTATTTGATATAACAACAAAATGAGGATCCATAAAAGAAAAAAAAAAGCTAAATTATACTTCAAATTTATGGACTTCTGGCTTTCAAAACATTTTGTTAAAAGAATGAAAAGACAAGCCACGTGTGGGAAGAAAATAATTTTAAATCAAATATCTGATAAGGGACCCATATCTAGAATATATAAAGAACTCTTGAGAATATAAAACAACACAATAAAAAAGATTGTCAGAAGAGTTGCATAGACATTTCACTAAGAAGATACAGAGAAGACAACCACATGAAGAGATTCTCAATATAATTAGTCTTTGGGAAATGCAAAATAAAACATAATGAGATGCTGTAACACACTCATTATAATGGATAGAGTTAAAAAGACTGAAGTTTTGGCAAGCATGTGAAGCAACTGTAGCTTTCATACACAGTTAGTGGGAATGTAAATGCTGCAATTATTTTGGAACTTACTTTGGCAGGTTTTTAAAGAGTTAATCATAAAATTTCCAAATGATGCAGGTTTTTTTTTTTTACTTCTAGCTATATACCCAAAAGTAATAAATGCATATGTTCATACTGAGACTTAGGCATGAGTTTCCACAGCCTATCGAAGTAGCTAAAAACTCATAACAATCCATATGTCCATCAACAGCTGAATGGAGAAACAAATTTTGTATATCCATATAATCGAATACTACTACATTACACAGGGTTGTCTAGTGTAATGGAACCAAGAAGACATACATATAAAGAGATCTATTAGGTATTGGCTATGAGATTAAAGAGACTGAGAAGTCCCATGATTTGTCTTTCTCATGCTGGAGATTGAGGAAAACTGGTAATACAGTTCAAAGGCCTGACAATTAGAAACCTGATGGTGTAAATTCTAGTCTCAATTTGCAGGTCTGAGATCCATAAGCACCAAGTACAGTGGAAGATCAATGCCCCAGCTCAATGGTCAGGCACAGCTCATTCAACTTTCTTCCACCTTTTGGTTCTAGTTCGGCTCTCAACAAATCGAATGAAGCCCACTCTAATGAGTGAGAACCATCTGCTTTACTCAGCCCACCCATTTAATTGCTAATATCTTTTGGAAACATTCTCACGACCACCCTCAGAAACAATTTTTAACCAGATATCTGACCATCCTATGACCAAGTTATGTTGACCCAGAAAACTAAGTTTCACAACTACCCACAACAAAAGTAATGAACTATTAAAAAATAGCATTGATAAATCTTAAAATAATTATACTGAATGAAAGAGGAGAGGAAAATGAGAATTTTTATGACTATGTTAATTTAAGTTATAGAAAATGTAAATTAATCTATAGTACAGAAAACAAATGAGCGATGGCATGGGGGTTGGGAGGAGGGGCTTGAGAGAGAGATTACCAAGGCAAGACAAGAAACTTTCACAATGAGTAATGGATATGTTCATTAAAGGTGATAAGCACACAGAGGCAGGCTTAAATACACTTCTCTTTAAGTCCTGCTAGGGATTCCGATAGGGCATGCCCCTTTGATATAGATCTGGCTGAATATCATTCTGTTTCATCATAACTGCAGATGAAATGAGGAGGGTCATTAAGCCGGCTACTATTTTAATCACAAGGAAGGGAATGAGAGATTCCACTGTAGAGCTCTTTGCCTACAGCATGTGGCCAGGTCTCTAAAATCTGCACTGTCTTGGTTGTGATAACAATTTCAAGGATGTGTATGTATATCTAAATGTAAATTTGTACATTTAAAAAGTATTAGATTATTGGGTTTCAATTATACCATAATAGATCTGCTGAAGCTAAACTAAACAAAAAAGGGGAATGTAGGACTTAAATGTTATATTTTAATAAATATTAACACCCCAAAATAAGCTTTTAAGCTTTTAATTATATGTAAATACAGAGTGAGAATATTATAAATTAATTATAGACATGAAGAGTCAGATGTGGCAAACTCAACCTCCAATTTAGTGAGTTAATTATGATTATGATACCCTTCTTAATTATTTGCATTTATTTGTTTAATGGGGTGATACATGGTTTCCTTTTCCTATGCGTTTGATTCTCAGTGTTTCCACCCTCCCCTCCTGGCCAGCTCTTCCTATATACACAGAAACAGCGATATAAAGGCAGAGAGGTTTCTAAATCTGAATTGTCACATTTCGTGACGTCCTGGTAGTTCTTTTTACTCCCAGGTGTGGCTACTGATCCTTAAATATCAAAGCCCCAGCAAAACTACTTATCCTGTGCTTGCAGATGATAAGAACACTGGGTCAGGCTGAAACATAGCTCTTAAACACACCTCTCTCTAAGTCCTGCTAAGGATTCTGATAAGGCATGTCCCTTTGACATGAGTCTGGCCAAATATTTCTCTGTTTTATCATAGCTGCAGATGAAATAAGGAGGGACATTAAGCCAGGTACTTCTTCAATCATAAGGAAGGAAATGGGAAATTCCAGTGTAGACTTCTTTGTCTGCACCCTGTGGCCAGGTCTCTAGAATTTGCACTGATGATTATGGGGTGCCATTAATAAGATTGTATTTCAACATTTAGAAAATAAAAATTAAGAAAATAAGATTGTACTTCAGCTTCCCACTTTGCTACTTTACTCTGTGTAGAGTCCTCCAGTCAGAAATTCTAAAATGGTTTGGCAGAGGACAAAATTGTTAAGATTGGGAATTCTAGGTTTCTAAGCTACTACCAATTATTACAGCAGAAAAATTCACCCCACCATTTTATCTGTGGAGCTAACTGAAATGTGATTTATTTTTCTAATTAAATCTACAAACTTCTTTCAGTCACATTTAAATGAACATAATCTGCTTTTATATTTTATGAAATTGATCTATTAAACACTTTCTTTAAAAATGCGTAGTCCTCTCCCTCCTTACCATAGCATTAGATACAAAACTATTTTATAGGTATTATGACATTTAGCTATGTAATTATATTCCTGGCTCCATTGGTTACAGAGTAAACTACCATGATAAGAACATAATTATTTACCTTTGTAACTGTTATGCTTAGTGTAAGATCTGGCACATAGTAGGCATCCATTCATTTAATGGATGAATGTAAAGAATTTTAGCATTCATACTGGAGAGATAATGACAGAACTGATATTTCTACACTGCTGCTTTCATAAACCATAGAAGATAAATCATGTAATAAATAGTGTGTGAAACTAAATAAACAAGGCTAAAGGTGGTCATACTCATTTTAATTGCTGTGTGGGGATTTTTATAGAAACAAACTTTTTACAATTTATTGAGAACCTCCATTGAGTACACTGCAGGAGACTTTATATACATTGTTACTGATTCTTGTGTTAGCTCTTCAAAGTAAAGTATTGATTATATTTTAACCTTGAGGGAAATAATTCTTGTAAAGCTAAACTGACTGGACTGAATTGGGACATTTTAAGTATTTATGCTTTCTGGTGATTTTATCTTTAATTTAAAACGCAAAATGGTGAAGGAAATGTATCACGTACATTTACTGAAGGGTAAGGTAATTTGGAGCCTGAGATATTTTCAGTGCCACAACTTTTGGACTAATTAACTTTTCTATGTAATTCTATCCTGGTTGCAGTCCAGCATGGGAGCAAGATATTGCCCTCCCTGAAATTTTCTTTCTTTACTAGTCGAGTCTTTCACATCACATATTTGTTCCCACTTCTTAGAACTTACATTTCATATCCCAAAAAAAGGTATTGCTGGTTCTGTCTCATAGTCCATTCAAATAAAAAAGATAATCCCATGCACTCTGAGAAGCATTCTGGTGCAAGCATTTCCCAAGGGTTGCAAAGTGGCTTGAACAGGCTTTTCTGACTCCCTAACTTAGCCATCTTACCTAAACTGTATTAATTCTGGTTGCTTTCTCTCTTGAAGCTCCTCAGCTTTGACTATTGTAGCCCCACATTCAGAGCATTTTCTCCTGGGCATTAATTGTTATCATAATATGTTTGAATATTAAATAATGAATTAATCTTAAATAAATGAGCGTTATATTCTTCCCAAGTCATCACAATAGACTCAAAGGTAAGAAGATTTTATTTCTTTAAAAGCATGCATGAAATATATATTTTTATAGAAATACATATTTTCACCTGAATAGTTTTATGTATGCTAAAGCTGCATAGGATTGAAACTTCAGGTTGTATATTATATTAATGTCACTCAGAATAGCCAATAATAAATGTCAATAAGAGCAATCTGTTTTCATAAAAAGTATCTTGCATTTAAAATTTACTGTAATAGAATTATTATTTTGTTAAATATCCATGTAATTTGATTTGAAGGCAATGTAAAAGCACATTGTTAACATATGTGTATGTGTTTTATATACACTGGAGCTTTATCTTGTAGCTAAAATACAGTAAATTGAATTGTAGTTGAGATTTCAGATATGCTTCTCTGTTTCAGTGCTGTGACCAAATAGGGGACATATTACAGGAGTTAAGAGCTAAACAGTTAAGGAAGATGAGCTGGATTTGTAGCTATCTGAGAGTCCACTGTAATGCTATGTACTTTCGTGCATTTAATCAGACTTTGTGGCTCCATAGTTTAGGCCTCAGGTCTCTCAGGAACTCATCTATAATAAATATTTTACTTTATTAATACTAGGAATTGTGGTCATACACCAAACTGAACAAACAACCGTTATGTGATTTCCAATACAAGGCTCTGTATTTATGTACCATAAAATCCAAGGGTAGTCTTATCTAGAATATTGAACTATAAAGCTTATGTACTGAATCAAATATAGCCAAAGACTAGGAACTGTCTAAATAAGTAAAATAATTTTATAGAAACACTTGCTTTAGTTTTTGTTATTTTTATAACCTCTTATTTGTGTCTTGAGCATAATTTAAATTTCACATATTCTAACATATACTGTAATGTATTGATGATTAATCTTGGCAACTAATGAATGTTTCTATTACAGTGAGATATTATACTGTGTCATTTATAGTTAGCCTTTACGTAATAGGACACCAAGTTTCAATAATGCTATTTTTTTCTCAGAGTCACATCGTAAAGCCTTTTTTTCTTTAGAAATTCATAACTCTTTGTCTCCTGTATTGTCTTATTTAATAATTGAAGTAAACATAAATCTAGACCCAACCAAGTTAAGAGATCCTTAAAAATTGTGATTTCACATGAAAATATATCACGTAAAGTTAAGCAGTATTCTATGGCTAGCTTTTATCCATGGAGAATGATGCTTATGAGATTTTCTTGGTGTTAAGTTAACACTGAACACTAATCAATGTCTCTAATTAATGTTAGACATTGCCAAAGAGGAAAATAAAAATTAACTGGAATTTATTAATCTTTTTCCACAAAATTCTGTTTTTTTAACTACAGTTGCTATTAATTAAAAAAATCATGGTGCACTTATTTTTAAAGAAATCCAAGTTAACAAAAATGAATACGATGTTTCTGACTGAATGTGAAATGACAGTTTTAAAATTTGAAAAATTAAAAAGTTAATACTGCCACTACATTCATATAAATTTACTTATTTAATTGTGGAACACTTATAGATATTATGTTTGAAGAAAAGGAAATATTTTGTGTTCTTTCATTTGCTTATTTTTAGCATTTCTATTTTTTATTAAATCCATGTAAAATTATAGTTCATATAGGAAAAAATTCTCTGTTAGGTAACCAATGACAAATTTAATAGTTTATAAAGTATATAAAAATATTCAAGCATTGCCTTTCTGCTGTGGAATAAAAAAGGCTTGCCAAAATTCAGTAAGTTTTTCATACATTCTTCATGTTTATTTACCAGCTAACAGCTTTAGAGTGTTATCAAGAGTATTACATGCAGTGAAAGAAGTAATAGGGGAATAAATGGTGATTACATGCTTTGGAAGAAAAAGGCAATGTAGAGATCATTTCTTTTTGTGCTGGCCATATCTAAGTCCTGTCCTTAATTCTTCATCAAATTTACTAACACATGTCTATATCATGCTACATCAGAAATCTAAAATAAATCAGATTAGTAGCGATCATGGTCACGTCTCTTTAAAATTTCACTCTGTAACCCAAGTGTCTCCTGAGAATGCTAAGTTGAGTTTCTTGGGGAGCATTTCTTAAGAGATATTTCTGAGGTCAATACAGAGATTGCAAACAGTGTGCTGCTAGTCTAAACATTTCAAAGTCAGGAGTAAGGAGACAGTCCATTTCTCCTCCTAGATTATGAAATATTTGAGGACAGCAACTGTGTTTCAATCCCTTTGAGTCTTCTAGCTTCTATCATAGAACGCAGAATGTGCCAGGGCTAACGTTTGTCACACTGACTTTAAACTATGGGTTGAGAGATAAAGTAGTAGAGCAAAGACTGAAGGAGTGCATAGGTTACAGTGTAAAAGCTTGAGGTGGGGTAATAAAAAGAAGAAGCAGGAATTATATGAAGGAACTGGCATTGGGGTAAGGTGTGAATGCATTGAATTCTCAACAGGAAATTTAGGTGGCACCATCTGTGAAGAGCTTCTACTTTTCCTTTTGTTTATGCTCTGATTACTGACAAGGATATGAATTCTCTATGTTTTCTTGACTGTACAGCCCCAGTGAAACAGCCTAGTCAATTTCATCATCATAGTTGATCCATAACTCATCACACCACCTTTGCCTTTCCCATTGTATTTATCTGACTAAAGAAGTTAACATCTGGCCCTCCTCTTCCCTGCGTCTTGTCCAAGTTAGGGTATGCAGCACATTATGTGTGTGGGGACTGGAAAGAAAAAAGGGGTAGAGGTCCTTGCAGTAATTTGAGCTTTTATAAGGTTAGGTTTAAGCAGGGCCCCCCGTTATCAGAAAAGTAAATACGATTCTGGCTATATTAACGGTGGAAGCCAGAATAGAAAGCAAGACAGGCAGCCACTGACAGTGACCAGCAAAAACAGAGAAAGATAAAAGAGTTGGGGGTTGGGAGAAGTAATAGAAAAATTTGATAGAAACTAAGAGAGACAGAAAGAGACAACTTTGGGGACACTTACAGAGTAATGAGTGTCCATCCTGCTAACTTTTAGGGTTGAAAAGCCTAAGAATATTATTTAAATTAGCTTTATTGAGATATACTTTATATATAATAAATCACTAGTGTTGAGTATATAATTCTATAATATTTGACATATATAAAATCATATAACCATCATCACTGTCAACATAAAGAATTTATTCACTAACTCAACCCAAAATGCTTCTTCTTGTTCCTTTGTAATCAATCTCCACCTCCCCGGCCTCTGACTTCCTTTCACTGTTAGTAAATCCTTTATTAAAAATCCTTTCAACATCTAAAAATATATAAGGATTAAAAACTCACCTCTATAGTTACCAGACATTTTTATCAGTTTTAATATGTGGGCATAATTTCTATATTTTAAAATATGAAGTATTACAGACAGAGTTAAACTCCATGTTGACTCCCTGAAAATTCCTCTCCCATCTAGAGATAACCACTCTCTTGATTTGGCATTTATCATTCTTATGCATATTTTTATTTATTTACTATCTAATTTTGTGTACATATGTCATATATGACTACTTGTCATTTTTTAAAAGTGAATATAGATAACATAATCCTGAACATATTCTGTCATTTTTTTCTCAATGTTATGTTTCAGGAAGTCTTGATAAAGCTTATTTACACACATCATTCACTTTACCCACCTAAGATTATCCCATTCTGCTTCTATTTATTTATCCCTTCTATTTATGGATAACTTAAATTGTTTCTAATATTCAGCAATTATAATCTATTAAGCAATTAACATACTTGTATGGGTATTCTTGCATCCAAATAGCAGAGGTTCTCTAAGATATGCAACTGGTAATGAATTGCTGACCCATAGAATGTAAACCTCTTAAAATCTTCTAAATATTGATAAATTGCTCTTCAAAGATATTGAAGATATTTATTCCACCTCAACACTATATGAGAGTCCCTGTAGTTTTATACACTTATCAATATTGATACTGAAGATTTGTTAGTGTTTCTACATTCTAAAGGGTATGGAAAGGTATCCATATTGTATAAACCATTAGTGTCCTCTCCTCTTTGGTCTTAGCATATTGTGCTATTGAATGTATTGTCTTTTTGTTATTGACTTATAGCAGTTTTTAGTATGTTCTAGATACTGTCTGCTGTTAATTTTAGTTGCATGTATTTTCTTTCCATCATTAGCGTGACTTTCCACTTTTATTTAATTGTAAAGATATTAATTTGAGTGTATTCACATCTCACATTCATTCCAGGTTCAAGTAACTGGTAGCAACATGAAACATTGCTGAGAACATACTCCAAGAATACGTGTCAATTTTACGGATTCATTTATTTCACATATCAGGTGTAAGTTAAGTATTTTATGAATATTATTGTATTAAATCTGACAAAGTTTTTTGAAGACAGATGTGAGAAATTGAGGTACAGAGTTATTTCCCCAAGGTCACACAGGTAAGTGACAGAGACAAGATTCCAACCCAGGCATATATATAGAATCCCTGTTCTTACTTAACATAATGTGTGTTCACCCTCCTTGCTTTAGATTTCCAAACAGTAAGAATTTCTCTAATCCTTACTTTAGTACCTTGCTTTAGTACCAACCAGAGTCACTTTTTTTGGATTTATGATAAATATCAGTTGAGATATTATTATTTTCCAAAGATTAAGAATTATTAATAGAAAATTAAGAATAAGCATTTTATAAAGAGCAAGACGGTGTAGTTAATGTTTATAGGTATGTGGATTTAGGTTGTGGTTAAAGTAGAAATGAAAACTTCACTTTGTGCAAAACTAGTGCACTTAGTTGAATGCAGAAAGCTGATTGCATTTAGAATGTAGTGAGCTGAGAGAGACTGTTGTTCATGCAGAGAAGTATGTCGAGGAAATTAGGAAATCAGCTACTTTATATAGAATGTATTCCATATATTTATTTGTTTGTGAATTCTTATTATTTTAAATGGCATATACAGCTTTGAGGGCTCTAGAGTTTATTATTATTAGTTTCACATTTAAATAACCATTGAGAAGAAGAACCAATATAACATATACCTAATTTAGTGTGGCCTAGTTCAATGGCATCATCCTCAGAGTCAACTTTATTGTACTTATATATATCAAAGACACATTCACTGTGGCAGACCTTGTTGGTGGCTAGCCAGATCCTCTTAATTAACGCTGCTATCCAGGAAAGGCCCACAGGGCCTCCAGTTAGCCTCTGGGACTCCAGGGCGGAAATCTTTCTCTCAGCATTTATGTACAGGCCAGCCTGAGAATTTTGAAGGGTTAACACTCTCAGAAGTAGTCCACATGCAAATGGAAATTGGAGCTCAAATGCCCCAGCTCCCTTGCCCTTTCAGATGGAAATTGAAACAATGTTCAGGCATGTTCTACTCTGCCTAAGTTCCCACAGGACTAGCCATAGTTTTCCAGAACACTATTGTATTCAATATCATGCTTTTCTTCTTCTTCCTCTTCTTTTTACCCTTCTTCTTCTCTCTTTCCAACTCTCCCTTCTTGTGTTCCTTGAAATTCCTTCCCAAATAAGCAACTTCCTCTCAGATCCTTTTCTCAGAGTCTGCTTCTAGGAAGACCCAAACTGAGACACATACCAACATTCTGATCACAATTTAATGAAAATACTTCCAGTAATTACATCCTATCTCATTACTTGTATTTTCTCGTAATTGTTACTCTACAGTTTATTTCTAACATTCAAATTTTCACTCCAAGTACCAAGGCTGGCTACATAACTTGTGAGGCCCAGTGCAAAATGAATGTGCAGAGGCCCTTGTTTAAAAAGCAAGAAAAAAGTGTCTCTAAAGATACTAAAATATAAAACTTTTTCATTTCTTCTAGCCATCTCTCTCACAACCTGTCAATATGTTTTGTTTGTTTGTTTGTTTCTTGCAATTTAATATAGCAGAATGCAGACCTTCAATGGTGCCCAAGACCCCTGCCCTACCACTTTGTACACTCTAGGTTACAGCCCACTGGCTGCTGGATTCCTGTTCTTATCATCCATTGCTGCACTGTGCCCTGGCCAGGTATGGAGAATCTCTCTTTCCCATGGGCTGGCTGTCTCAACCCACAGTGGATGCATAATTTCCAGTGGATTACAACCATGGTACCAGTCCACACTGGATACCTGATTCGGGGTGGGCTAAACGCTCACCCCCACCAAGTTATCTATAGAATGCCTTGGTGCTACAGGCCCTGGGAAGGGATGGCTGACAACATACTTTGCTCAGAAATGGCATGTGGTGTGTGCACCCAACCATGATTCCCAAACCAGTGCCTAGTCCCCTGCCAGGGGTGGAGAGCAGCACCAATGGATGAATGAACACAGGGAGGGGGATGCCTGCCAGGGCCAGGAACATCAGGGGGAAAGGGATAGGAAGTGTCACTGGGAGGACAGTGGGGAGGAGGAGGCAAGGAGGAACCTGGATAAGGTAGGTGGCTACAAACATTCCTGGTGAGGTGTGGAGGTGGCAGCAGGAAAGGATTCATGTCATTTGATGCACCAAGGTTTTGGCACATTTTCTATTGTCCCATTGGACTCTACTCACAAACACACATTCAAATATTAAATCATTAATAATTTCAAGATGGAGACCAAAAAGTATTAAATGTCAAGTGCCAGATCAGACCCTTCTGAGCAAAAGGACCTGCAATAAGCTGCATTAGTCCTGTATTTCTGAAGCCAGCATGGCAGAGCAAAAGTGCTTGACCTCATTCTCTCTACAAATTCTATTTCCAGCTTCTCAGTTATCACATTGATCACATTTGCCCTTGCAAAACTCTTCTGTTGAAGCTTTTATTATTTATTTATTTATTTATTTATTTATTTATTTATTTATTTTTGAGACAGAATCTCAGTCTGTCATCAAGTCGGGAGTGCAGTAGTGCAATCTCAGCTCACTGCAACCTTCGTCTCCCGGCTCAGGCAATCCTCACACCTCAGCCTCCAAAGTAGTTGGAACCACAGGCATGCACCACCATGTTCAGCTCACTTATGTATATATATATAAACCCTGGCAGACAGGGTTTCATCCTGTTACCGAGGCTGGCCTCAAACACTTGGCTAAAGTGATCTGTCCCTCCAGGCCTGCCAAAGTTTTCGGATTACAGGCATGAACCACTGTGCCAGGCCTGTTGATGCTTTTATATTTCCCACTTCCCAATTACTTTCAAAGAAGGATAGACATGCTATTTTTGTTTACATTACCTGCTTCTACATCACTATTATATCATTTTCCTCTTTCCAAGTATTAATACATAGACTTTCCTTCCAATACTATGTTCCTAGTCTACCAATTATTATCTACCAACTTAACAAGGGTATTCTTCTGTTGCGTAAATGTATGTGGTCACCTAATTTATTATTTCTTTTTTCAAATATCTGATATTATTCCTGGTGCCTTTAGTCTGTCTACTGACATCACAGTAGTCATAAATTTATTTGTCAACAATATTTCTAACAAACACCTTCTTCAGTTAATAGCCAGGCTCCTAATGTCAACCACGAGAACAATGCTTTCACCATTATCCCCATTCTGTTTAAGATCCTGAGCTCGTCACTATTATATGGGGTACACCAGATGTGATGATGGCCCTCTACTCAACAATCAACATCAAGCGCACAGCATATGAGCCATCACTGGTTACACATATAGGATCAGGAAAGTACGGTTATTTCTGAAAGACAGTAGTCAGTGTGGCTGGAAATCTAGGGATGATTTTAGAAACTGGAATTTGACCTGAGTTTTTAATAAAGTTTCTCTACTGCCACAAACACTCCAGGAGACCCCATTATTCACAATGCATAATTCTCCTTTTCATTTTACTAAACTGCTCCTGTTTGTTGGAGACAAACAAGAAAATGTGCTGACTGGCTTTACTACAAATTAATGCTATCTAATGTCATCTGCATTTTCATTAATTGTTGGCAATACTTCTGCCTATTTGTAAATGATTCCTTATGTCATTCTCAGTTTTTTTCCCCAATTTTTCCTGCTTGCATTTCAAAGCTTTCATGTCTCATTTTGCTTGGATGACTGCATGTCATTTTTTAAGAATCACCTCATTTATTAGCCCGACTGAAATCTCCCATGACATTCACATGCTAGTTATTAACATCAGCCACAAGTCTGGGTTGGCTGTTTCCTACATGACCTCCAGTCACTTACTATATATGCCTTTATTATAATGATCAATAAGTTTTTGTCAAATATACCAATTTCCTTCACCGAGTTATCTTCATTCTGACTGTAGAAAAAAATAATTTTGCTTCTAACTTTACTGAGAAAAATGCGAGATGCCTGAAACTGGCCTAGCTTTGCCCTGAAAGTCATAATCTTTAGTACCTTTAGATGTCTTTTGTGTCTTCTATTCCTAAGATTAATCATTCTATAGTCTCTTACTATTTGTGATAAGTACTTAGCCTCTTGTATAAAACATCAAATTAAGTTGGTTATCATAGATGATAAACTAAAATATAATCTATGAGAAAGAGAACTGAGGTACTTTACAGCTATTCAAAGAAAATTGACTTTAAATGAATTAATAGTGTTTTAAAAATATTTAACAATGTATCTTTGATGCATAGATTTTAGCACATATGTGCATCTTCTATGGTACAGTACCTAATCTTAATGGTTCATTTTTTATCACAGTTTTTCTTACCAGAAATTCTTTATTAATGTATGCCATGAGAATAGTTACTGAAATATTATAACTAAAAGTATTCTCCTTGTACGATATCTAAATGGGATATTATTTAAAACCCCTTTGTTAAAACTTGCTTTTATTCATATGTCTTACTTTTGGGAAATATACATAGACAGGGTATATAAAACTGTCTGGATTATCAAAGTGTAGTGTAAACATGTTCTTTTTTTCCTGTTTTATCTTTCTATATTCCCTGAAGTAAAATGCTAGAGGTGATAAAATGAAGTGAGAAGAAAAGAAACTTGGTAATAATAGAAATTCAGGAGATATAACAAAATTCTCACTTTTCCACCTTCATGTTCTAGCACTTTTAGCCTGAACTGTTAATTGTACTTACAGCTTAACATCTGAGTGCCAGCAAGAAAAAAAAAAGTAATATATTGCATTGAAAACAATTATCATTGTATTTATAGAGTAAGCAGGACTTTCATTTTAAAGCTTTTCCCAGTTTTTGTAAATGAAAATAAACGCAAATATTTACATATCTCGGTTTGCCCACCTAGTAGTCTGAGTAATATTTGAAAGCAATTTAAACATTTTCCTCTAAGTGGTAGTAGAAAAAGATGAGTAATGTACATGTCTCTCTTCTGAAATTAATTACGTGCAAACTAGACAGAATTTTTTTCTACTATAGATTAATAACTTTTCAATCTTTGAAATGATGTACAGAGAGCTTAAAAATTTATTTGAATAAGAAACAAAGTTCTTCAAAAAATAGCTTCAATTTTGTCAATTACTACCTAACCTTTTTATTCTCATCAAAAGAATTAAGCATCTTGTTCAATCTATCTTCTTCATATTTGGCTTCCCTTATCTAGTTAGAAGGCAGCAATTCAGATCATTGGTACCCTGCTTTTCTTTCTCTACCAGAAAGATAGAAGCAAGTTTGGATTATTCAAAACTACAGACTCACAAAATGTCAAAATCAAGACCCTTCCAGACCAGGGTGGCTGACCAAAGTGATTTTAGGAGACTGGGAAGGAAAATTAAGGGCAGTACTGCAAATTACATAATGGAGCCTAGAATTTAAGCACACACATTTTCATATTTAGCACCTCTCTGAAAGAGAATTTTTATAATAGTACTGATTTATATTTAGATCTGTATCATCCTTGGTTGCCTTGTCTGGTTCCAATCCTCTGAGGATACTCTATAAATAATAGTGACACAAAAGCCTCAACATCTTTTGCAGAGGTAAATGTTCTTTGTATACAAAGATTCTGCAGCAACTGGCTCATTCTTACTAGAACTTTCACTGTACCTATTTTAAGTGTGTCCTTATCTTGTGACTTTTTAAATAAGAAGCAGAAAAAATTAGGGATAAACTTTTTTTATACATTTGTATAAATTCAAGAGGTGCAACTGTAATTTTGTTACATGTCTATATTGTGGAGTGATGACGTCTGGGCTTTAGTGTATCTATTACCAGTATAATGTACTTTGCACTCTTTGAGTCATTTCTCATTTCTCACCCTTCTTCCATTTCCATCCCTTCCAAATCTCCAATGTCTATCATTCAACATTTTATGTCCATTTGTACATACTATTTAGCTTTCACTTGTAAGTGAGGACATGTATTTGACTTTTTGAGTTGTTTCACTTAAGATATTGGCCTCCAATTTCATCCATGTTGTTGCAAAGATAGAATTTCAGTCTTTTTATTGCTGAATTGTATCCCATTGCACATATATTTTCTTTACTCAATCATTAGTTGATAGATGCTTAGAATTGATTCCCTATCTTTGTTATTGTGAATCATGCTACAATAAACATACAAGTGCAGGTATCATTTTGATATAACAATTTCTTATTCTTTGGGTAGATACCTAGCAATGGGATTGCAGGTTCGAATGATTTCTATAAACATAAAATAAATGATGCTTGCTGATTCTCCTTTGAATGCCTGGCACATAGTAGGTGCTCAATAAATATTTTTTGAATGAACAAGCAGGGCAGTTGTGTTCCAATCAAGAATGGTTTTCTTGTTTTTTTTTCTTTTTAATTTCATTGGTACTTAGTAGTTGTATATATTTATGGGGTATATGAGATGTTTTGGCATAGGCATGTAATCTAAAATAATCACATCATGGAGAATGAAGTCTCCATCTCCTCAAGCATTTATCCTTTGAGTTACAAATAATCCAATTAGACTATTTGAGTAATTTGAAAATGTGCAATTAAGTTATAATTGACTATAGTCACCTTGTTGTGCTATCAAATTACAGGTCTTATTCAATCTTTCTATTTTTTTGTACACATTAACTGTCTCCACCTCCCCACTATGATCCCCTACTGTTCTTCCCACCCGCTGGTAACCATCCTTTTACTCTCTATGAATATGAGGTTCAATTGTTTTGATTTTTAGATTCTACAAATAAGTGAGAACATGGTATGTTTATCTTTCTGTGTCTGGTTTATTTCACTTAATATAACAGCCTGTGGTTCCATCCATGTTGTTGCAAATGGCTGGATCTTATTTTTTTATGGCTGAGTAATACTTTATTGTGTGTATGTACCACATTTTCTTCATCCATTCATCTGTTGATGGACACTTAAGTTGCTTCCGAATTTTAGCTATTGTAAACAGTGATGCAAAAAACATAGGCATGCAGATAGGCGATATACTGATTTCCTTTCTTTTGGGTATATAGCCAGCAGTAGGATTTCTGGATCATATGGTAGCTCAATTTTTAGTTTTTTGAGAAAACTCCAAAGTGTTCTCTATGGTGGTTGTATTAATTTACACCCCCACCAACAATGTGCAAGCATTCCTTCTTCTCTAGATCCTTGCTGGCATTTGTTATTGCCTTGCATCCAAAAGACAGGAACGTTATATAATGGTAAAAGGCCTTGTCCAACAGGAAAATATCACAATCCTGAACATATATGCAACTAACCCAGGAGCTCCCAAATTTATAAAACAATTACTAATAGACCTAAGAAATGAGATAGACAGAAACACAATAATAGTGTGGAAATTCAATACTCCACTGATAGCACTAGACAGGTCATCATGACAGAAAGTCAACAAAGAAACAATTGATTTAAACTATAACTTGGAACAAACAGACTTAACAGATATATACAGAACATTTCATCCAACAACCACAGAATACACATTCTATTCAACAGTGCATGAAACTTTCTCCAGGATAGACCATGTGATAGGCCATAAAATGAGCCTCAATAAATTTAAGAAAATTGAAATTATATCAAGCCCTCTCTCAGACCACAGTGGAATAAAATTGGAAATAACTCTAAAAGGAAACTTCAAAACCATGCAAATATATGGAAATTAAATAACCTGCTCCTGAATGAGCATTGGGTCAAAAATGAAATCAAGATGGAAATTAAAGAATTCTTGGAACTGAACAACAATGACTTCTATTTTTGTTGCACTATGGTCCAAGACTGTGTTTGGTATGATTTTCATTCTTTTGCATTTGCTGAAGATTGTTTGTGTTGAATTATGCGGTCAATTTTAGAGTATGTGCCATGTGGCAATGAGAAGAATGTATATTTTATTGTTTTTGGGTGGAGAATTCTACAGAGGTCTATCAGATCCATTCCATCCAATGTTGAGATCAGGTCCTGAATATCTTTGTTAATTTTCTGCCTCAATGATCTATGTAATACTGTCAGTGGAGTGTTGAAGTGTCCCCTATTATTGTATGGGGGTCCTTGTCTTTTTGTAGGTATCTAAGAACTTGCTTTATGAATCTGATTGCTTGCGTGTTGGATGCATATATATTTCGAATAGTTAGGTCTTTTGCTTGAATTGAACCCTTTATTATTATGGAATGCCCTTCTTTTTGTTTTTTAACCTTTGTTGGTTTGCAATCTGTTTTTGTCTGAAATTAGGATTGCAACCCCTGTTTTTTTTTCTCTTTTTTATTCGCTTGGTAGATTTTACTCCATCTCTTAATTTTGAGCCTATGGGTGTCATTTTATGTGACATGGGTTTCTTGAAGACAGCATACCATTTGGTCTTGCTTTGTTTTTCTAGCTTGCCACTCTGTGCCTTATATGTGGGGCATTTAGCTCATTTGCATTCAAAGTTAATATTAATATGTAGGAATCTGATCCTGTCATTGTGCTGTTAGCTGGTTATTATGTTGGCTTCCTTGTTTGGTTGCCTTATAATGACATAGGTCTCTGTGTTACAGTGTTTTGTTTTGTTTTTTTTAATTAGCTGACAGCAGTCTTTGCTTTCTACATTTAGTGCTTCTTTCAAGATATCTTGTAAGGCAGGTCTAGTGGTAACAAACTCCCTCAACGTTTGTATATCTGAATAAGATCTTATTTATTCTTTGCTTACAAAAATTTGGTTTGGCTGGATATGAAATTCTTGGTTGAAGATTTTTTCTTTTAGAATATAGGCCCCCAATCCCTTCTGGCTTGTAGGGTTTCAGCTGAGAGGTCCACTGATAGACAGATGGGGTTCCCTTTTTAGGTGACCTGCCTTTCTCTCTAGATGACTTTAACATTCTTTCTTTCATTTTGGCCATGGAAAATCTGACAATTAAGTGTCTCAGGGGTGCTCTCCTTCTGTAGAATCTTGCAGGAGTTCTCTGCATTTCCTGAATTTGACTGGTGCCCTCTCTGGCAAGTTTGGGAAGTTTTTCTTGGTAATATCCCAAAATATGAT
The DNA here is from genome assembly GCF_000001405.40 of Homo sapiens. Classification (NCBI taxonomy): domain Eukaryota; kingdom Metazoa; phylum Chordata; class Mammalia; order Primates; family Hominidae; genus Homo; species Homo sapiens. The sequence goes on along the minus strand of NC_000001.11, from coordinate 106,194,370 downwards.
TTCCAAGTTTTTTGCTTTCTTCTCCTCCCTTTCAGGGATGCCTATGATTTACAGATTTGGCCTCTTTACATAATAATTCCATACTTCTCAGAGGTTTTGTGGATTCCTTTTTATTTTTGTCTGGCTGTCTTATTTCAGTGACCTAGTATTCAAGTCCAGAGATTTTTCCTTCAGTTTGGTTTATTTTTCTCTTAATACTTGTGATTGCATTGTGAAATTCTTGTATTTTGTTATTCAGCTCTGTCAGATCTGATACATTCTTTTTGTCACTGGCAATTTTGTCCCTCAGCTCCTGTATCACTGTATTGTGATTCTTATTTTCCTTGGACTGGGTTTTGCCATCCTCCTGAATCTTGACAGTTTTCATTTCTATCCATATTCTGAATTCTATTTCTGACATTCTAGCCAGCTCATTCTGGTTGAGAACTCTTGTTTGGAGAACTGGTGTGGTTATTTGAAGGACATAGGTCACTGTAGCCATTTGATTTATTGGAGTTCTTGTGTTGGTTCTTTCTCATTTCTGTGTGTGGTTGTTCCTTTAACTGCAGTGTAGATTGAGTACAGTCAATAGACTTTTTTTCTGGATATTTTCACTGGTCTTTAAGCTGAGTTCTTGTCTGGTTTCAGAGGGGGATATTTTGGGTGTTACACCTTTGGGATGGCACATTCAGTAGGTGGCACTTGGGTGACTGGTCAGTTGGTAGACTCAGTTGTGTGGCTCTCCTATGCTTCCTCACAGTCGCAGCTGTGTTCCTTCTCAATGCTCTGAAAATGTGGGTTTCTCTCTCCCTTGAATAATGCCTGTAGATTGTGGCTTGGCACTCCTGGGCTGCCAACTGCAGCTCTGGGACAATCTCAGTGTTTCTGTTCCTTCTTGGAGGCAGCAGAGGAAAGGACCTTAGTAGTGGTTGTGGCCAAGGATCTTTTGCTTGTCTCCTGGGGGCTGCACACCAGAGGCATGTGATCATTGCCAGATGGAGGGTCTGTACTGTGGACCCAAGCCAGGGTTCACTGTCTAGTGATGAGCGGTGGAGGGTGTTTGGAATCTGTGGGGGACAGACTGGCCTCGTCTTCTTGGGTCAACTGCAGTTTGTTGGAGGTGTGGATAAAACACTTAGAATCTTTGCTTTTTCATTAGTCTGAGGGTAGGAGGGAAGTTCCACTGTACAGGCAGTGGCAGAGAGGATTTCAATTGCCCCTGGTGGCTCTGTACTGGGAGTTGCTGAGGTGCTCCTGGCTTGATAGCTCTGGCAGGGCGTTGCTGGAACACAGTAATGATAACCCATCCAGGGAGCAGATATGGAAACAGGTACCCACATAGCAGTCAGGCTACTTTTCCATAGGGCTGCTGTGGTATGCTTGGGGCCTGCTCCAGTATCTTGTCACCTTGGCTTTTCCAGTACCTGGAGGTCTGACTAGTGAAGGCTGAGAAACTGCAAAGAAGGCAACCTGCCCCTCCCTTTTGAAGCTCTGTCCCAGGAAGCTACGGACCCGTTGCTGGCCCAAACGCACCAGTAGAATTTAGCTGGAGATTCTGGTGCAGAGGTCTCGCCCAGTGAGGAGGAACAGAATCAGGTACCTGCTTAAAAAATCAGTCTGGCCATGTTTTTGTCAAGCAACTGTGTTGTGCTGGGGGTACACTTCAGCCCCTGGGAACCTCATACACTCCAAAGCCCAAAGACTGGAATAACTAAGTCACCCAAACATCAAAGATGGCTGCCTGCCCCGCCCTCTGAAAGCTCCATCCCAGGGAGATTTGAAACTTTCATCAGTCACAGAACACAAGTGAGGGTAGATGGAGAACCCAGTTGGGAGGCCCCATCAAGTGATGAGGAATGGAAGAGGGGACCCACTTAAAAAAGCAGCCTGACCATGTTTTCACAGGGCATCTGTGCCGTGCTGGGTGTCCACTTCATCTCCTGGTCCTCTTGGACTCTCCAAAGTCTGGAGACCAGAATAGCTAAGTTACCTAAACAGCAAAGATGCTGTCCCACCCCTCCCTCTGGAAACTCCTTCCCAGGGAGGCTTCATATCTCTGTCTGGTGCAGAACACTGGTGGGGGTGACTGTAGGCCCCCGTTGGGAGGCCCCTCCCAGTGAAGAGGAATAGGTTTGGAGAGTAGCTCAAAAAAGCAGACTTACTATGTATTTTTAGAACAGCCGTGTTGTTCTGGGATACCACTTCTACCCCTGGTTGTTTTGGACTCTCCAAAGGCTAAGTTGTCAAAACAGCAAAGATGGCTTCCTACCCCTCCTTCTGGAAGCTCTGTCCCAGGGAGGCTTCCTATCTCTGTTGGGTGGATAATGCTGGCTGGGTTAGTTTGAGGTCTGGTTGGGAGGTCCCACACAGTGAGGAGGTAAAGGATTGGGAACTCGCTTAAAAAAAGCAGTCTGGCCACATTTTTGTAGAGCAGCTGTGTTGTGCTGGGGTATCCTTCCTGACCCTGGTACACTTGGACTCCTCAAAGCCAAAAGGCTAGAATGGCTAAGTCACCCAAACAGCAAAGATGTCAGCCTGCCCCTTCCCACTGGAGATCTCTCCCTGGGAGGTGCAATGCTGCTACGGGTGGCTGGCTGGAATTAGGATACTTTCTTTATCCTTGGCCTTTGAGAGTTTGATTATTAAATGCCTTGAGGTAGTATTATTTGGATTATATCTGCTTGGTGATCTGTAAGCAGATAATAGTGATATGTTTCTCCAGGTTTTGAAAGTCTTCTGTTATCCCTTTGAATAAACCTTCTACTTCTCTTTCTCTATTTCCTTAATAAGGCCAATAACTCTTAAATTCACCCCGTTGAGGCTGTTTTTCTAGATCCTGTAGGCATGCTTTATATTTTTTACTGTTCTTTCTTTTGTCTCCTTTCTGTATTTTCAAATAGCCTATTTTCAAGATCACTAGTTTTTTTTCTGTTTGACGTATTCTGCTATTAATGGACTCTGATGCATTTTTCAGTATGCCAATTGCACTTTTCAGCTCTAGAATTTCTGCTTGATTTTTAAAAATTATTTCAATCTCTTCATTAAATTTATCTAATAGAATTTTGAATTCCTTCTCTGAGTTATCTTGAATTTCTTTGAGTTGTCTCAACACAGCTATTTTAAATTCTCTGTCTGAGAGGTCACATATCTCTGTTCTACAGGATTGGCCCCTGATACCTTATTTAGTTTATCTGGTGAGGTCATGTTTTCCTGTCTAGTGTTGATGCCAGTAGATGTTCTTCGGCATCTGGCCAGTAAAGAGTTAGGTATTTATTTTACTCTTCATTGTCTGGGGTTATTGGTAGCTGTCCTTTTTAGAAAGGCCTTCTGAATATTTCAAAGGACTTGTATGTTGTGATATAAGCTGTATCTGCTTATGGGGCCACCCCCAGCACAGTAATGCTGTGGTTCCTGCAAATGCAGATAGGTACCACCTTGATGTCCTTAGACAAGATCTGAGAGATTTATCTGAATTATCAGGTTCTCCTCTCCCAGTTTCTCCAAAACAAACAGAGTCTCTCTCTCTCTGTTATGAGACACCTAAAGCTGGGATATAATGACAAGTACCCCTGTGGCCACCACCACTATGACTGTGCTGGGTCAAACCTGAATCCAGCACAGTGCTGGATCTTGCCCAAGACCTGGGTCTTGCCTAAGGCCTGCTAATAACCACAACCTGCCTATTGCCTACATTCTCTCAAGGCCTTGAGCCTCTACAATTGGCCAGTGTCAAAGCCAACCAGGCCTGTGTCCCTCCCTTCAGTGCAGTGAGGTCCCCTAGGTCCCACGTGGGTTCAGAGGTGTTGTCTGGGAGTCAGGGTCTAGAGTCAAAAACCTTAGAAGTCTACCTGGTATTCTATTGTACTGCAGCGGATCTGGTAAACAAACTACAAGATGCAGTATTTCCCACTCTTCCCTCTGCTTTCCAAGGGCAGAGGAGCCTTACTCCATAGCCACAAACCAGCCCAGGCCATGAGGAGTAGTACCAAACTGTTGTGGATATTTTCTTAATACCCATTGTCTCTAAGTCAGCTTCTTCTGAATGCTGCTTGAGCTGAGACTCATGCTTCAGGGCAATGGGCTGCCCTGTGGCTCAGAACAGGTCCAAAAATGCTATCCAAAAGTCAAGTTACCAGGTGATGAGTTCTGTCAGAACTGGGCCCTTTTCTTTAAGTCAGTGGGTTCTTTTCTGGCTCAGAGAGTGTCCGGAAATGTTGTCTGGGAGCTAGGGCTTCAGGACTCTGATGGATGCCCTATTCTGCAGTGGCTGAGCTAGTATCCAAGATGCAAGACAAAGTCCTTCCCATTCATCCCTCTCCTCTTCTTAAGAGTAAGGAAAGGGTCTTTTTTGGAACCCTGAACAGTATAGCTTAGGGTTAGAGAAGAGGTGATGCCAGCACTCCCATAGCTACCCCTGGTGGTATCTCAGTAGATTGTGTGTCTCCCCAGTCTACTCTCTCTGGGCCTAGTTCAGCACTAGGACTTGACTAAAAGTTGCAGTCTTTATGGCCTAAACTGACATTCAGGTTTATTTAGAGACACAGAGCACTATAGCCCATGTTGGCAAAGTTTGTAGAAACTCAAATTCGGACCGCAGGGATGGGTGATTCCCCTCTAGCTAGGGCTGGTTTAAATGCTCCCTCCATGGGTGGGCATCAGCTGTGTTTGGTCCAGTTTCCCATTCTGCTCTTACAGGAGAGCATTAAGTTCAATGCCTCACAGTTGCTGTGTTCTCCCTCCCCAAGTGCAGAGAGATCCTATATGCACCATGTTGCCGGTAGGTGGGGGAGAGGTGGTGTCAGCAATTCAATATTATTTTTCTATCTCTTTAGTGTCTCTTTTAGCAAAACAGAGATAAAACCAGGTACTTTGCTATTGTAAACAGTGCTGCAATAAACGTACGTGTGCATGTTTTTTTTTTTTTTTTTTTTTTTTGAGACAGAGTCTCGCTCTGTTGCCCAGGCTGGAGGGGGTGGCATGATCTCGGCTCACTGCAAGCTCCACCTCCCAGGTTCAAGCCATTCTCCTGCCTCAGCCTCCCTGGTAGCTGCGACTACAGGTGTCCGCCACCACGCCCAGCTAATTTTTTTGTATTTTTAGTAGAGACAGGGTTTCACTGTGTTAGCCAGGATGGTCTCGATCTCCTGACCTCATGATCCGCCCGCCTCAGCCTCCCAAAGTACTGGTATTACAGGCGTGAGCCACTGCGCCCGGCTGCATATGTCTTTGTAGTATAATTATTTATATTCCTTTGCGTAAATACCCAGTAATGGGATTGCTGGGTCAAATGGTATTTCTGGTTCTAGATCTTTAAGGAATTGCCATACTGTTTTCCACAATGGTTGAACTAATTTACATTCCCACCAACAGTGTGAAAGCATTCATATTTCTCCACAGCCTCACCAATATCTATTATTTCCTGACTATTAATGACTGATGTGAGATGGTATCTCATCTTGGTTTTGATTTGTATTTCTCTGATGATCAGTGATGTTGAGCTTTTTTTCATATATTTGTTGGCTCCATAAATGTCTTTTTTTGAGAAGTACCTGTTCATATGTTTCACCCACTTTTTGATGGGGTTGTTTGTCTTTTTCTTATAAATATGTTTAAGTTATTTGTAAATAATTTGTCCATGACTATGTCCTGAATGGTGTTGCCTAGGTTTTCTTCTAGGGTTTTTTATGGCTTTGGGAACCAACCCAAATGCCCATCAATGATAGACTGCATAAAGAAAATGTGGTACATATACACCATGGAATATATGCAGCCATAAAAATGAAGGAGATCATGCCCTTTGCAGGAACATGGATGAAGCTGGAAGCCATCATCCTCAGCAAACTAATACAGAAACAGAAAACCAAACACCACATGTTCTCACTCATAAGTGGGAGCTGAACATCAAGAACACATGGACACAGAGAGGGGAACAACACACACCAGGGCCTGTTGTGGGGTAGGGGTGAGAAGAGGGAACTTAGCAGACTGGTCAACAGGTGCAGCAAATCACCATGACACACGTATACCTATGTAACAAACCTGCATGTTCTGTACGTGTATCCTTTTTTTTTATAGAAGAAATAAACAAAAAAAAAAACAGGTACTATGGTGGCTTATCTGATTTTTGGTTTCTATAAAGATGTTTTTTTCTGTGTAGATAGTTGTTAAATTGATTCTCACAGAAAGGACCATCAGTGCAGCCTTGTATTCTGCCATCTTGCCCTGCATCTCTCAAGACTGATTTTTCAATCTCAAGACAGCATTTTAGGTAGTTAGATTAAAAAACAGTGATTCTACATTCCTTATGTTGTTCTTTTTTTATTCTGTCTTATAATTGTTATTGACATTCTTATGTGTTCCCCAAAATATGAAGTATTTCATGAATGATTTTAATTACTATATATTCTCCAAAAGCAATTAATTTATTTACTTGTATCACAGATACGTATTAAGAATCTGCTAAATAAAATACATGAGGAATACAGCCCAGCCCTCAAAGAGCATATAGTGTAAAGGGGAAAAACGTAATAAGCTATCACATATTTATTTAGTCATAATGAATTTTTTAAAGAATTGTTTAGGTACTTTGACCTTTTTAAGTCCTTACTGAATAGATGCCAGTTCAGTATACAAGATTTACCATTTTTTGTTATATTTCTTGTACTTTTGGAACCTTGAAAATTAAATGCTGTTTATTTCCATTTTTAAGATGAGATTTTGTAAATAGAATATTTGAAAACATTGGACAATAGAGACTCCTCAGTGCTGTTACACACGCTGAAGTAAAACATAAAAAAGAATTGTGATTTTATTTTCTCTGTAGTTTATTATTTATGTTTAATAACTATCTTTTGAGTTGTTCCATTTTACATTCTGTATAAGAAATTCAAAACAAATATTAATGATGTAGTTCCTTAGGTGTTTTAATTTTATATGAGTTCTTTATATAACAAAAATCATCTTTGTTTATTCTGCTTTTCTCAATATTGTATCTGACACAGTATGCTTTTAAAAATGTTTACTAAATATGCAGCAGTTTTGGTTGTGTTGACTATCTCTTTAGATATTTTTTTGAAGTCATTAATTGTTTTCAGTAGTTCATTAAAATACTATAGTTAGAGATAATCTTAATGTAATTTTTGAAATGAAAATATTAAGGAATACCATAAAACAGGGATTTTATGTGGTACGTAAATTAATACTATTTTCTTTACATTTAGAAATGTCTTGTACCATTAATGCAACCCACAGCTAATCATTATGAAGTCTAAATTTAAAAATCTGTAAAGTATTAACACTCATAAAATACATTTCTGACAATTTTACAGCTCATTACAACTGAGATGCTGTTAGTTAATTGTTGGCAGTCATAGCAAAATGTATATAGATTTGAATAATTTACTGTAATTGAAATAATCAGTTATTTGTCTTCTTAATTGAAATTCAAAATCAGTTCTGATCATAGCAAAAGTGCTCAGGATTCTCTGTAGCACCTGACTTAGGCTGGTTACAGATAAAGCTTGATCTTTCTTCAATTACCAACAAACTACAAAATGCTCCCCCCATAGCAAGTTAAGTTGTTGATTGGTTTTCAATCCGGTGTCTGGCATGATTTCCTCCATTGTTCTCTCTATTCTTGTGTGAAAAAGTGGTGTTTTGAAAAGGCCTAAACTTTGTTGTCTGTGAATATGGAATTGCTGCACAATGTCACATATACTTACAAACTGTTTTCTTATTTTCACAGCCTTTCATGTTGCTTTTAGGATGTTTGGAAATTCGCACATTTAAGTGATTGTCAAGTACTTCTTTCACAAAGAACAGCTTTTTCAGAAGAGCTCACCCAAAATGTCAGTTTACATTGTGTCTATCTTACCATGAGTTTTTCTTGGGACAGACTTCAGCTCATCATTTAAGAGCCTAATAACCAGGCTGCATTGCTCCTTCTCATTGTTAGAATATGGCTTTCAATGCCTTACAATTCTACAAATGTGTTTCACTGTACTTCAGCAAGGGTGGCTTAAATGCTTCACAATCCTTAATGATAAGGTAGTATTTTTGCTATTAAATATTCTATACATTTACCATATAATTTTTGAAAATTACACAAATATGAATCACAATATGCACTTCAAGATGCCTCTCTCTATTCTTCATATTTTTCTTCGCAGACTAAACTATAGCTAAAATTTGGTATATCATTTCAGACTCCCAGCGTTCTCTACCCTCAAGGATACAAATATATTTCATAGATAAGAATTTTCCCACAGACTGCATTATATCAAAATAAATAATTATATTATTTTACTTCACAGTATATCTTCCAATAGTATTATGCGTAGATTGATGCTACTCTTTTGGACACTGTATTAGTCTATTTTCATGCTGCTGAAAAGACATGCCTGAGACTGGGAAGAAAAAGAGGTTTAATTGGACTTACAGTTCCACATGGCTGAGGAGGCCTCAGAATCATGGCGTGAGGTGAAAGGTACCTTTTACATGGCAGCAGCAAGAGAAAATGAGGAAGAAGCAGAAGCAGAAACCCCTGATAAACCCATCAGATCTCATGAGACTTACTCACTATCATGAGAATAGTATGGAAAAGACTGGCCCCCATGATTCAGTTTCCACCCTTTGCGTCCTTCCTACAACATGGGGGGATTTGGGGAGGTACAATTCAAGTTGAGATTTAGTGGGAACACAGCCAAACCATACCATTTTGCCCCTGGCCCTTCCAAATCTCATATCCTCACATTTCAAAACCTCAAAACCAACCATGCCTTCCCAATACTCTCCCAAAGTCTTAACTCATTTCAGCATTAACTCAAAAGTCCACAGTCCAAAGTCTCACATGAGACAAAGCAAGTCCCTTCTGCCTATGAGACTATAAAATCAAAAACAAGCTAGTTACTTGCTAGATACAGTGGGGGTACATTGGGTAAATACAACCATTCTAAATGGGAAAAATTGGCCAAAACAAAGGGGTTACAGGGCCCATGCAAGTCTGAAATCCAGCAGGGCAGTCAAACTTCAAAGCTCCAAAATGATCTCCTTTGACTCCATTTGACTCCAGATCTCACATCCAGGTCACACTAATGCAAGAGTTGCTTTCCATGGTCCTGGGCAGCTCTGCCCCTGTGGCTTTTCAGGGTACAACCTCCCTCTCAGCTGCTTTTGCAAGCTGCCATTGAGTGTCTGTGGCTTCTTCAGGCTCACAGTACAAGCTGTTGGTGGATCTACCATTCAGGATTCTGGAGGACAGTGGCTCTCCTCTCACAGCTCCACTAGGCAGTGCCCCAGTAGGGACTCTGCCTGGGAGCTCTGACCCCACATTTCCCTTCTGCATTGCCCTAGCAGAAGTTCTCCATAGGGCCCCACCCCTGCAGCTAACTTTTGCCTGGGTATCCACGTGTTTCCATACATCTTCGGAAATTTAGGTGGAGGTTCCTGAACTTCAATTCTGGTCTTCTGTGCATCTGCAGGCCCAACACCATCTGGAAGCTGCCAAGGCTTGGCAGCTTCCACCCTCTGAAGCCACAACCTGAACTGTACATTGACCCTTTTCAGCCATGGCTGGAGTGGCTGGGAACAGGGCACTAAATCCCTAGCCTGTACACATCACAGGGATCCTGGACCCATCCCACAAAACCACTTTTTCCTCCTAGGCCTCCAGGTCTGCGATGGGAGGGGCTGCCGTGAAGGTCTCTGACATGGCCTGGAGACATTTTCCCCATGATCTTTGAGATTAACATTAGGCTCCTTGATACTTATTCAAGTTTCTGCAGCTGGCTTGAATTTCTCCCCAGATTTTTTTTTCCTATTGCATAGTCAGGCTGCAAATTTTCCAAACGTTTATGCTCTGCATTTTTATAAAACCAAATGCCTTTAACAGCACCCAAGTCACTTCTTGAATGCTTTGCTGCTTAGAAATTTATTCCACCAGATACCCTAAATCATCCCTCTCAAGTTCAAAGTTTCACAAATCTCTAGGAAGAGGGCAAAATGCCACCAGTCTCTTTGCTAAAACATTAACAAGAGTCACCTTTACTCCAGTTACCAACAAGTTCCTCATCTCCATCTGAGACCACCTCAGCCTGGACCTTATTGTCCATATCACTATCAGCATTTTGGGCAAAGCCATTCCACAAGTCTCTAGGAAGTTCCAAACTGTCCCACATTTTCCTGTCTTCTGAGCCCTCCAAACTGTTCCAACCTCTGCCTGTTACCCAGTTCCAAAGTGGCTTCCATATTTTTGTGTATCTTTTCAGCAATGCCCCACTCACTTGATACCAATTTACTGTATTAGTCTGTTCTCACTTTGCTGATAAAGACATATCTGAGACTAAGAAGAAAAAGAGATTTAATTGGACTTACAGTTCCACATGGCTGGTGAGGCCTCAGAATCATGGCAAGAGGCAAAAGGCACATCTTACGTGGAAGTGGCAAGAGAAAATGAGGAAGAAGCAAATGTGGAAACCCCTGATAAGCCCATTAGATCTCATGAGACTTATTCACTATCATGAGAATAGCATGGGAAAGACCTGCCCCCATGGTTCAATTACCTCCCCCTGGGTCCCTCCCATAACACGTGGAAATTCCGGGAGATACAATTCAAGTTGAGATTTGGTGGGGACACAGTCAAACCATATCAGCCACATAATATTCCACAACATTGAATTACAATAACGTATTAATCATGTCATTTATGACCATTTGTGATGTGATATTATTCTTTCATATTCTTGAAACATTTGACCAGACTTTAATGATAACATAACAGAGTAGAAATGTTCCCTGTCATTTGGAGTACTGATTAGGAAGGCCTTTGCCAAATGTGATATAAGAATGGTTCAATGAAATACATCTTAATGTCTTTGCCATAAGTAGCTTTTGCCACAAATGCATTTTATATTAAATAGTCTATTTCTATATCAGCAACAAGGCCTTAGCAAAAGGTATCTGCCTATATTTGAACTGGAGGACTGAGTAAAAAGATGGCCCTCACTAATGTGGGTATACATTATCTAATCAGATGATGCCCTGATAGAACAAAAGGGTATAGGAAAGGTGAACTTCTTCTCTATTCTTGAGTTGGGACATCCATCTTCTCCTGCCCTCAGACATCAGATCACCTTTGCACTCAGACTGAATTACACCTCAGGTGTGCATGATACTCTAGCTTGTACATGGGAGACCTTAGGACTTCTCAGCCTTCAGAATTAAATGAGCCAATTTTAATAATTTATATGTAGATATTTCTATATTTCCTATTGGTTCTATTTCTTTGGAGAATCATGACTAATACAAGCACTTATTACTATCTATCTGATAATAAATTTTTAAAAAAGCACCACTTGAATTTACTTATGGCCATGTAATAGAAACAACAAATCAATAATTTTTTTTAGGTTTTGTATGTTATATTGTTAAATTTCAACGCAAGGACATAGACTGAGTAGGAAATTGAAGCTATTCTGATATAGAAAATTGATTGCTTTTCAATATATGTGATCTTCAATGTAACATAACACATCTTAATCTCTCAGTGTCAAATTATTTTTCATTAAATTTTACTAATTAATTCAGGTTTATTGCTATAGAGCAGAGGTTAGCTAAGTTTTTCTGTGAAGAACCAGACAGTAAAAAATTACCTACAATTGGCCATATTGTAACAGTTGCAATAACTAAACCCTTCCACTGAGTGCAAAAACAGCTATAGACAATATATACACTAATGAGCATAATGAGTCTCAATAAGCTTTATACAGTAAAACAAGTGGTGAAATATAATTGTCCTGCAGGCTATAATTTGCTGACCCTTGCTATAATTGAAGTTAAGATTCAAGGTATCTATATGGGCATGGGTTAACAGAAAAATACTCTCATATTAAAATCAAAGTATTAGATATATTTATGAGCTTAAAAAATTTTATACAGCTTTTCCTCTCCTGATTTCAAAATAAGGGTTCTAAAGCATTGGTTTCAGATGATAGTTCTGGGCCTCAATAGAAATTATTTCTCCATGTTAATATTTAGGTTGGCCTTTTAATATAATTGGTTTCAAAAATCCTATAATAAACAGAATAAAGAATAAAAATAATTATTACAGAGGTTAAATACTCATTGGTCTTAGATTATGGCACTGAGCTTTGTGAGAAAATATTTTTGAGGTTAATATTTTTTACTGGCCTTTAAGAAATTTAGAGAGTATCAATTTTATTCTATCCCTGAAGCATGCAATATGAATATCTTATTTCCAATCTGTGATAGATAGCATGACACTGTGGAAGAATACTATATTTCTCTAACACATTAGAAGTGAGGCTTGCTTTGACATGACACATGAATATAAGTGCCATATGTCACTTCTGAACATATAATTTAAGAGTTGTTAGGTGATTCTGCCATTGTTTTTTTCCTTCTGTTATGAGAATCTTATCTCTCAGGTAGAATATGCTCCTCTAGTTTAGATTTCAAAAAGAAAACATTTGAAGCAAAGTCACTGCTGACCTACAGCCTAGCATGTAATGACAGGAAAAAATAAACTTTAGTTGTTGTAACTTACTAAAATTTGCAGGATGCTTGTTGCCATAATATAACCGATTGAAAGTTGATATAAACATTTCTTACAGAAATTGGTTGATAGACAAATAAAAATCCTAAAACTTGTAAGATTGATTTTAGAACCCTGGAGTAGGTAGCAAGGAAATTGTTATCATAGGCTAGAAAAATGATGATCTATGTTGTGTATTGGGGAATGATTTGATAAAACCATTCTTGCCACTATGCCAGGCACATGGTAGTTGCTAAATAAATATGTAATAAATGAATGACATTAAGGCACTTTTTTTTCACATTGAACATGTTGAAAGTTAGGATGGTGTCTTACTACCACTGATGTCTTGGTGGCAGTTGTGACACAGCTGTTGCCTATGCATGTTCAAACTTGGTCATATGATGCAGAATTTTTCTTGGTCACTTTGCCAGCCCAGAATTCCACCCAATGACACCCCAACACCCAGGCCCTTCTCGGTCTCAGGTCTGCCACTGGAGGCACCCTACCCACTTGGCCCACCTGTATTATAGTTTGTACCCATGTTCAGCAATTCCTGAGCTCTTGTCCCACATCCAAGAAGAATGAGGATATATTGACAGTTGAAGAGTGAGGATGGATGAAGAAGAATTTTATTAAGCCACAGAACAGCTCTCAGTGGAGAGATGTGAGGGTCGTTCACCCATGCCCACAGTCTGGTGGTATGTCTTCCAGTGTGGTTGGCTCTGGGACTATTTATGGACTCAGAACACAGAGTGCCTGTTGATTGGTTTGTAAGTATGCAAAGAAGGTTAAAGAGGGGACGGCACTTAAAAGTGGGCAAGACAGTGTAGAAAACCAATTAGGAAAGAGCAGGTATATATAAAATAGGTGAACAGTGGGGATCAATCAGAGGAAAGTGCATGAAACAGGAAGACAAGTTCTCATTCTGGTCTGAGGATTTGACTTGTAGCTTTGTTTTAAGGCTTTAAACTTTGGCCTGGGGGTAAGGTTTCACCAAAGACCCACCCCTCTCTGCCTCCTGCCATTATCAATAGCTGTTTGTATTGTTGTCATTTCAATTGTGATAGTAGTCCACACTTATCTTCAGTTTTACTTTCTGAAGTTTTAGTTACCCATGGTCAACCATGATCCAAAAATAGATGAGTACAATACAATAAAAAAATTTTAAAGAAAGCTAGAGACTACATTTAAATAATTTTATTTTAGCATATTGTTATAATTATTTAGCATTTTATTATAGCATGTTGTTATAATTGTTCTGTTTTATTATTAGCTATTGTTAATATCTTACTGTGCCTTATTTATAAGTTAAACTAAATAAATAATAAATAAAATAAATCATATGTATGTATGTATAGAAAAAAAACATAACATAGTATGCGGTTCAGCACTACCTGCATTTTCAGGCATCCACTGGGAGTCTCGGAATGTATCCCCTGTGGATAAGGAAAGCCAGTTATGCTTGAAAGAAAGATAGTATACTAAATAAGACAGTGGCTTCAGGCAAGATTGTTGTAAAAGAGAATGGTACTAACATATGTGTGTACCTACTGGCTGTGCTTGACATAAAACAATTATAAAAGAGGAGACCCCAGAAGATGATTGGCTCAATGGCAACTATGAAATAGGGACCAGAAATTCTGAGATTAACAGGGTGAAAGAGATAACAGTGTCTCATATCTAACCAGTAAAAGATAAAGATGAGAATTACTTTAAATAAAAAATAAAATTTTTAAATAGGTTTGGATCAGTTATTTTGCTGGTGTTAACACCTCTGAATTTTTTAAGATAGTGCCTAGTAACACACAATATTGACTACATAGCTGGAGAAAAAAAAAATCTACAAGGATATGTGTGACTCTCCCACTGATATCTAATAAAATCATGGTATTTATAAGATGTCTAGAGAGAGAAAATAATTATGGATATGGTTTTGACTTATGCTACTGATTGAAAGCAAGGAGATTAAGACAAAATGTGAGAGGGTTATATTTCCCAAAGAGCTATCCACCTGAATAAAACACTGATAGCTTCTGACTTACAACACATTCTGGGCCTCTAAACTTTTATGGACAGGAAACAGGATAAGAAAATTGCTCAGCACCCCACCTTGGCATATTTTCTAGTACTTTCTTCATATGTAGCCAAGAATTATAATGGAAAAGTCAGGGCTACTCCAAGAGTAAACCAAGAACCATGCAGATCAATAAACTTTAAAGCTGTCCCAAGAAATAATTCAGCTATCTGAAGGAAGAATTTCTTTATACTGATAAAGAAATATTTCTCACCTTATAATTAATTTTGCCTAAGCAAGTGTTTGAACTTTCAGTGGGCCAATGACTGCCAATGTGTAGCACCTCTCATTCTTTCCTTTTATGAACCAGTGTTTATGGAAGATTTCCTGTCACCATTTCACCATGATATGCTGAGTGCCTGAACTGCAGATAATTTAGTTTTTTAGTTTATAGATATTCAGATTAGGAGGAGTTACATGGAAACCAACATATACACTGCAATGAGATCCTGGACTTTTAGTCTCTGTCATGAATAGACGGGACTTCTAGGAGTTTATCTCAGCTGAGGGAAGAAGGAAAATATCTATTTGTTACAAAAGGAATACAATATATGCGACCAAGTTCATTTAGTTGGACACAAATACTTTTTGCAGTACCTATAATAAGATTATCTTCCTCCAACATTGTCACCAAGCTTTGTTACAGACTTGATTTGGCCAAAATAATTTGAGGGGAAGAGGCAAATGCTACTTTTGAGCAGGAGCATTAGCTCACCATTGCCCTTTTCCAACTGCATTGAGACTGGCATGATGTTCCTTTGGCCTTCACCCAAGAATAAAAAAGCAGTCTCATGTTGCAATGACAGCTGAGAAAGAGCCAGCATTTGGGCTGAAAGCAACATATCTAGGCATTTCCCTTCTACCATGCCTAATGTTATGACAGTTATTAAAAAAATCATGAAATCCAACAAACTGTAACAACATTAATTATGGTGGAAATTTGAGTTGGTTTGTATTTTTTGCAGGCCTACTATAAATGGAGAGATTTGCTTATCAAAGTCACCCAAAAACAGAATCATTATATTAAAGGATATAATAAGATCTATGTTACTAAAAGAATCATTGAATCAGACACATGTATGATTTATTGCCCATAAAAATCTAAGCCAAAAATAAATTTTCAAAAGAAATTTCCTTTTTAAAAGTTTATTATTATTACATACTTGTCAAGGATTACTAAGACATAAGGTTGTATTTGTTTCCTTTATTTTTCATTGAGATCTAGGCTGCATAAAAACACACAATCACTTATTCTTTATCTAATTGCTTAAAGTTAAAGCTGCTCTATGAATCTGAATTATTGAATAATTAAACCTATTTAGAGCTCTAAATGAAGGTAATGCTGATGAGTTAATTGGTGTTTTCTCCTAATTAAAACTTTGCCAGCCGTTCTCTTTAAAATACCCACATTAAGATAACTTTGAAGCGATGATAAACCCTATTTTTAATAAATATGTTTTGTAAATAAAAACTCTAAAAAGTATGTTTTTGGAATGCACACAGAAAAATAAATCCCAATAAATATAATATAGACAATTGCATAAATAGAACTGTTTGCACAATTACATCCTATTTTCTCATTTTCTATATAGTTTCAGGTTGGAAGTTATATCAGAGCTCTTAGATATTTGAAAGGTAGTAAAAATAACCTTTTTATATCGATAGGACTTTAAAAAAGAACTAGTATAGAGGCTATATGTGTAACTTCCCCTAAAATGTCCAGCAAAGCCTCAACTAGAAACATGCTAGCCTGGGTTAATGTTATATTTGCTTATAGTCTAACAAGTGGAGTGAAATTTCCTCTAATTACAAATGCGTCTTTATCTTTGCTGTTCAACTACTATCTACTTTTTATTCTTTTTTGTTATTATTAACTCTTTTTCTGAAAGGTAATATTTTGTCAATATACCATATTTTTAATAGTCAGGTTTAAAATCCAATTAAACAAGAAGTTGAAGCAACACTGAATCTCTACTATAGAAGAATTTTTCTTCAAGATTTATGCCACGGAACTCATAAATAGCTTCTTCTAGGACTCCTGGTAGCTGAAACTAATACTGTACCATATCACATTTGTGTGTGTGTGTGTGTGTGTGTGTGTGTGCTGAATCCAAACGTTTGTCAACCATATCACATTTGTGTGTGTGTGTGTGTGTGTGTGTGCTGAATCCAAACGTTTGTCAAGGTGAAAAGCAGCTATTAATGACAAATTTTTAAATCACTTTACTTTTATAGTAAATTCTTCTATTTATTTGCCTACTTATTGAATATCATTTATATCATGTTTTTGCCATTTTATCCTTCCCTTTCTTAAAAAAAAAATTGTGACTACTCGTATTTAAGGTATGTAGGATAACCTACATTACTTTTTACTAGTTCATTTAACTGTCAGATGATAGGGTAAAATGATAATCTCTATATAGTCTATCTTTTGGATTTGAGTTACTTAGGGAAACATGAATCATTTATAACTTCATGAAACTGTTTTAGCTATTCCTTCTAGAAGGTGATAAGTATGTTATAAAGCAAACAACACTATAAAGAAATACTTATTAAAACCACATACCAAGCACTATTATATTAAAAGTTGTTTCGATATTTATGTTTCAGATTACATCTTTAAATAATAACCCTGAAACCTTTCAGCTTATCAAAAATAGGAAAAGTTTAATGAGACAAAGACTGAAAAAAATGGCGCTATTTTATCTGTCTTTAAAAGAAATAAGTTCAATAAATTCAAGGTAAAACATATGGCGGCAAAATTATTTTTTTCCAGCAATCACAATGTCTTAACATCATAACCTCATTTTTAGTGAATGTGTCAAGGTTAATAAATCTTGGCTTAGATGTGTATTCTATAAGATTGGAAAATACTTATCCCCATTTTACAAAAATGCCCACGAAGTTTTATTTTCAAATAAAGGCAAAATCAAATTATTCACAGGGAAGGAAACCAAACAAAACCAAAACAAAACAAAGTTTAAAGAGCCATGAAGTAAGAACCCTTTACAAAAACTTGCCCTGTATGTGTGCTCACACAACCGGTAGTAAAATTCATTACCAGTGCTTATTCTAGTTTCAAAGATTCACACCTCTAAGGGGTTATTGAAAATCATTTTAGATAAATTAGGTGGTTTTGCAAAGAATAAAATGACATATACTAAATTTACAGTTTCTAAATTTGATATTAAACTGTATTTAAACTAATTATCATAACATAATGCTTGATCTATCAATTCCATATTGCTTTTATTAGGAGGTTTGAATCTTTAATCAAAGTACTATAAATTCATTTCCAATAATAATTATTTGTTCAATAGTTGTTACATAATTTCATTACAATTAAGATAAAAATATTGCAAAGTCATTCATATACTGCCATTTATTTTTACACACACACACACACACACACACACACACACGTCTGATTCTGGTATTTTTATACAAATTGTAAGACAAAATAGATCAGTAGAATTTTTTTCTGCTTATATGTATTGCTTGAAATACTTGCCCTACTTGCATTTCAGCTATTGAAACTTAAAGAAACCATCTGTTTACCTGCAACTAACTTACATAAATAAATCTGAGATTTCAGAAATCAAAGCCCAGGCCTCATTAAGATGTTTTAAATATGGACACTTATTTTAGAGTAAATAAATCAGTGAAATGCTATTAAAAATAACAACAATAACAACAACAAAAACCCTTAAAACGTGTGCTTCTTATGTGAATAGTGGCTAAGAGATAAAATTAAACTCAGTGGTTAACGACAATCTTTGAGGTGGTTGAACAGAATATGGTACTTTCCTTTGGAAATGGAATAAAGCATTGCAAAATAGAGCCTACATCCAAATAACTAAATAAAACATATGGTTCAGGAGCTCAATATATACTGAAGCTTTAACTTTAGTACATCAATTTTTTAGCTTCCCTTTCTAAAGTTTGGTATAATCTAAGAATTCAAATTCAGAGTCACTTCTAATTTAGTTATTTCTGGAGAAGGAGTGAGATTTGGTACTCTCATTTACATTTATTCCAGGCTGTTAGGAACCTGTGCGTTCTTCATGCTAAATATTGCTCCCTGAAGAGTGGGGAAAAGTCCTCTAAAACATGCAGTATCTATCTTGATGTAATTTGTGATAAAACAATGAAAATAACAACCAGAGTGTGGAATCTAAGACTATGTCTACTGCATCAGTTTCCTTCTATATCCTCTATTAGCATAAGTTGAAGGATATTTTGGGAATGATCTGGTTTCTGGCTGTGTTAACACAAACCTTGAGTTAATAGTCTAGCATTCAGTAAAATGCTAGTTCTTAAGGATATGGTCAGCTGCTTCAGAAGTAAAGTAAAATAAAATTAAAAATGTCCAGTGTTCAAATAGTTTTGACAAGTGCTGCATAGTGATTTTCCTTCCTGGAGAAGCACAATGATTCAATATTTTACAGGCTTTCACTAGTCCCCATGTAAAGAAACCTGAGAGTCTCCCAGACAAACATAACCACAGGAACTTTGTACAAGGAGTATGTTAAAAGCTTGAGAAAGTGGTATTTTATTTGTTTTATTTTAAGTTCCAGGGCACATGTGAAGGATGTGCAGGTTTTTTACATAGGTAAATGTGTGCAACGGTGATTTGCTGCATCTATCAACCCATCACATAGGTATTAGCCCAGCATGCATTAGCTATTTATTCTGATGATCTCCCTCCCCATGCCCACAATAGGACCCAATGTGTGATTTTTCCCTCCCTGTATCTATGTGTTCTCATTGTTCAGCTCCCACTGATAAGTGAGAAGATGTGATGTTTGGTGTTCTGTTCCTGTGTTAGTTGGATGAGGATAATGGCTTCCAGCTCCATCCATGCCCCTGCAAAGTGCATGATCTTGTTCCCTTTTATGGCTGTATAGTATTCCATTGTGTATATATATCACATTTTCCTTATCCAGTTGATCATTCATGGACATTTGGTTTGATTCCATATCTGCTATTGTGATAGTGCTGCTATGAACTTATGCTTACGTGTATGTTTATAATAGAATGGTGAAATACCATTTTGTCCAGTAATGGGATTTCTGGGCAAAATGGTATTCCTGGTTCTAGGTCTTTGAGGAATTGCCATACTGTATTCCACAATGGTTGAACTAATTTACATTCCCATCAAGAGTGTAAAAGCATTTCTATATCTCCGCAGCCTCACCAGCATCTATTGTTTTTTTACTTTTTAATAATCACCATTCTGAGGGGTGTGACATGATATCTCATTGTGGTTTTGATTTGCATTTCTTTAATGATCAGTGATATTGAGCTTTTTTTCATATGTTTTTTAGCTACATACATTTCAGTGCAGACACAAACAAATGGTAAAACATTCCACGCTGATGGATGGGAAGAATCAATATCATGAAAATGGCCATACTACCCAAAGTATTTTACAGATTCAATGCTATTCCCATTAAACTACCATTGACATTCTTCACAAAATTAAAGAAAAAAATATTTTAAATTTCATATGAAACCAAAAAAAAGCCCGTATAGTGAAGAAAATCCTAAGCAAAAAGAACAAAACTGGAGGCATCACGCTACATGACTTCAAACTATACTATAAGGCTGCAGTAACCAAAAGAGCATGTTACTGGTACAAAAACAGACACATAAACCAATGGAACAGAATAGACATTTCAGAAATAAGGCTACATATCTACAACTATCTGATCCTCAACAAACCTGACAAAAATAAGCAATGGGGAAAGGATTCCCTTATTTCATAAATGATGCTGGGAGAACTGGCTAGCCATATGCAGAACATTGAAATTGGACCCCTTCTTTATACCTTATACAAATATTAACTCAAGAAGAATTAAAGACTTAAATGTAAAACCCAAAACTATAAAAACCCTAGAAGAAAATCTACCCAATACCACTCAAGACGTAGGGATAGACAGGGGCAAAAAATTCATGATGAAGACGTCAAAAGCAGCTGCAACAGAAGCAAAAATTTACAAATAGGATCTAATTAAACTAAAGAGCTTCTGCACAGTGAAGGAAGCTATCATCAGAATGAACAGACAACCTAGAGAATGAAAGAAAATTTTTGCAATCTTTCCATCAGACAAAGGTCTAATATCCAGAATCCATGAGGAACTTAAAAAATTTATGAGTAAAAAGAAACAATCCCATTAAAAAGTGGGCAAAAGACATGAAAAGACACTTCTCAAAGGATCTGGTATTTTTTTTCTTTACAACTTTATATCAGTCAAATCCCTGTCCCTTTTTTTATTGTACCTTAGATTATAGAGTACATGTGCAGAAAGTGCAGGTTTGTCACATGGGTATACACGTGCCGTGGTGGTTTGCTGCACCCATCAACGCATCATCTACATTAGGTTTTTCTCCTAATGCTATTGCTCTCTTAGCCCCACACCCACCAAAAGGCTCCAGTGTGTGATGTTCCCCTTCCTGTGTCCATGTGTTCTCATTGATCAACTTCCTCTTATGAATGAGAGCATGCGGTGTTTGGTTTCCTGTTCTTGTGTTAGTTTGATGAGAATGATGGTTTCCAGCATCATTCATGTCCCTGCAAAGGACATAAACTCATCCTTTTTATGGCCGCCTGGTATTCTATGGCCTATATGTGCCACATTTTATTTATCCAGTCTATCATTGATGGGCATTTGGGTTGGTTCCAAGTCTTCGCTATTGTGAATAGTGCTGCAATAAACATACGTGTATTTATAGTAGAATGATTTATAATGCCAGTAATGGGATTGCTGGATCAAATGGTATTTCTAGTTCTAGATCCCTGAGGAATTGCCATACTGTATTCCACAGTGGTTGAACTAATTTAGACTGCCACAAACTGTAAAAGCATTCCTATTTCTCCCCATCCTCTCCAGCATCTGCCGTTTCCTGACTTTTTAATGATATCCATTCTAACTGGCGTGAGATGGTATCTCATTGTGGTTTTGATTTGCATTTCTCTAATGACCAGTGATGATGTGATTTTTTTCTTATGTTTGTTGGCTGCATAAATGTCTTCTTTTGAGAAGTGTCTGTTCATATCCTTTGCCCACTTTTTGATGGGGTTGTTTTTTTCTTGTAAGTTTGTTTAAGTTCTTTGCAGATTCTGGATATTAGCCCTTGTCAGATGGATAGATTGCAAAAATTTTCTCCCATTCTGTAGGTTGCCTGTTCACTCTGATGATAGTTTCTTTTGCTGTGCAGAATCTCTTTAGTTTAATGAGATTCCATTTGTCAATTTTGGCTTTTGCTGCCATTGCTTTTTGTGTTTCAGTCATGAAGTCCTTGCCCATGCCTATGTCCTGAATGGTATTCCCTAGATTTTCTTCTAGGGTTTTTATGGTTTTAGGTCTTACGTTTAAGTCTTTAATCCATCTTGAGTTAATTTTTGTATAACGTGTAAGGAAGGGATGCAGTTTCAGCTTTCGGCATGTGGCTGGCCAGTTTTCCCAACACCACTTATTAAATAGGGATTGTCAGGCTTGTCAAACATCAGATGGTTGTAGATGTATGGCATTATTTTTGAGGGCTCTGTTCTGTTCCATTGGTCTATATATCTGTTTTGGTACCAGTAGCATGCTGTTTTTGTTTTGTTTTGTGTTTTGTTTTTTTAAATGTAGCCTTGCAGTACAGTTTGAAGTCAGGTAACCTGACGCCTCCAGTTTTGTTCTTTTTGCTTAGGATTGTCTTGGCTATGTGGGCTCTTTTTTGGCTCCATATGAAATTTAAAGTAGATTTTCCAATTCTGTGAAGAAAGTCAGTGGTAGCTTGATGGGGATAGCATTGAATCTACAAATTACTTTGGGCAGTATGGCCATTTTCACGATATTTATTCTTCCTATCTATGAGCATGGAATGTTTTTCTATTTGTTCGTGTCCTCTCTTATTTCCTTGAGCAGTGGTTTATAGTTCTCCTTGAAGAGGTCCTTCACATCCCTTGTATGTTGTATTCCTATGATTTTATTCTCTTTGTAGCAATTTTGAATGGGAGTTCACTCATGATTTGGTATTTTATATAGCGCAGTTCATGTAATCCTGTCATAAAAAATATAAAGAAGGGATTAAATCTGTTCTCCAGAGACCCTTGGATAGGATCAGCAATTAGACATTTTCTGTACCATAGTCATGTCTTCAACATAATTTACTTTACGTTATGGGCCTGCTCTTTTGACACACAGATTATTAGTATAACCTCTCTGAAAACTACACCCTTAATATCAGCCAATCATTTTTTAACTGCATGCTTTTTTGTCACTGTGCCAATGGTGGTGAGTTGGGAAAAGAAGGAGTGGGCTGTAGGTGATGGATTCAATTAGTAAAAACTTCTTGTTACTAAAAAATAATAAACCTTGAAGGCCTTTCTTTTATATATCTATAGTATCTACAAAAAATATACTATTTGCCAAGCTCTGTTCTGTTTCAAAGCAATGGGAACCAAATAAAGTTTCACTTTTCATGTGAATTTATATTGTAGTAAAGGAAATAGATATAAATAATATGACCACACAATTAAGTGCAACTGGTAAGCATGGTTGACATTTATGAAGTTAGATAAGAGAACCTGACATTGTTGGGCCCAGGGATAGGGGACTGTAGGGAGTAGACAGTGTGATTGAATATCAGAATTTTTATTTCCTCTAAAAAGTGATTTTTTACTGAGATCAGAAGGAATGATTGCATTTATTATTGTAGTAACAACTCATGAGAATGGAGGACAAAACTATAGATTAAACTAACTAAAAACTGCTTTTCTTTTATAACTCCTGAATGAGTTGCTTTTAATCAAGAAATCAATAATTCTTTATGGGATCTAAATATGAACCTAAAGCCAGGGAAAATACAGAAGGTAAATAAGATTTGGTCTTTGTTTCAAGGAACTTGCAAGTTAATAAATGCATTACTAAAATGAATATACATAAAAGGTATGTTAGTTTTCATGGATACAACATTTGGAAATACATATGAATAAATATCACACAGGAGCTGCAAAAATCCTTAAGATGATTTACTAAATCTTACAAGAAGCCTGCTTGCAGTTGTTCAGGTTCTCAGTTACACCTGAGAGCTGATTATTTTTGGGATATGAAGGCCTCACCAGATCTTTACAATACTTTCTGAGGAAAGCATACCTATGTAGTATTTCCCTGATGATGTATATTGTACCTTCCTTCTCCTTGTGATGCAAATTCTATTTAGCTAAAATTCTAAATAAATTATTCCTAGCTACAGAAAATGTATTATTGAAGATCATTACTGAAATTTCTTTCAAAGTATTGAGATTTACACACAAGTTTACCTATGTAATAAATCTGTGCTTATAGCCCAGAACATTAAATAAACAAAGAAAGAAATAAATCCTCATTATCATAAAAAAGAGATTTACTAAATCATGATTGATTATCCTTGAAGAATGGTGTTGCTCCACAGTTGTTCCTTCAGTATTCTCTGGTTCTTTAGACTGTAAAGATATTTTCATGATTCCAAATTATCTTCTTACTTATGATAACTATATTGAGAAAGAAAATATGATCTCTCTTTGATTCTTACTCTGTCTGATTTTATTTTTAAAATTTTGGCTACATTAACTTGTATTTCAATCATTAATGGCTATTTTATTATTCTTTATTCAGAAACATAGAGAAAAGAGAGTTTTTTGTTGCAAAAATGGGTCAATTAACTATTCAGTTTGATAAAAGTTATGTTAAAGGAGTAAAGAATGGAATTTAGATCATGTAATCAATGCTACTTTAAACTGTCTATGGAACAGCAAGAAAGGGTCCCTAGGGACACAGTTAAAGAATGTTCAAGGAAGGCCCTTAATCAACAGGTGAACTGTAATATCATTTCCAAGCTGTGTAGTTCCGATGAAAGAGTCATCATTAAAATATCAAATGGGCTGGGCACAGTGGCTCATGACTATAATCCTAGCACTTTGGAAAGTCTAGGTCGGCACATCACTGAGCCCAGGAGGTCCAGACCAGCCTATGCAACATGGTAAAATCCTGTCTCTACCAAAAATAAAAAAATAAATAAATCTCCCAGGTTGGTGGAGTGTGCCTGTAGTCCCAGCTACTCTGGAGGCTGAGGTGGGAGGATGGCTTGAGCCCAGGGAAGTCAAGGCTGCAGTGAACCATGATCACACCAATGCACTTCAGCCTGGGCAACAGAATGAAACTCTGTTTCAGTAAATAAATAAACAAACAAATAAATAAATAAAAAAATATTAATCAAAATCTTGTTCAAGTTGCTGATACAGAATTGCAATTTTAGTTTGTATTATTGATTTTTTTCTGTCATTATAGTAACAAGTTGATTTCTTTTTATTTATTTCTTTATTTAATTTTTTAAATTATACTTTAAGTTTTAGGGTACGTGTACACAACATGCAGGTTTGTTACATATGTATACATGTGCCGTGTTGGTGTGCTGCATCCATTAACTCGTCATTTAACATTAGGTATATCTCCTAATGCTATCCCTCCCCTCTCCCACCACCTGACAACAAGCCCTGGTGTGTGATGTTCCCCTTCCTGTGTCCATGTGTTCTCATTGTTCAATTCCCACCTATGAGTGAGAACATGCGGTGTTTGGTTTTTTGTCCTTGCGATAGTTTGCTGAGAATGATAGTTTCCAGCTTCATCCATATCCCTATAAAGGACATGAACTCGTCATTTTTTATGGCTGCATAGTATTCCATGGCATATATGTGCCACATTTTCTTAATCCAGTCTATCATTATTGGACATTTGGGTTGGTTCCAAGTCTTTGCTATTGTGAATAGTGTCACAATAAACATACGTGTGCAAATGTCTTTATAGCAGCATGATTTATAATCCTTTGGGTATATACCTGGTAATAGGATAGCTGGGTCAAATGGTATTTCTAGTTCTAGATCCCTGAGGAATCGCCACACTGACTTCCACAGTGATTGAACTAGTTTACAGTCCCACCAACAGTGTAAAAGTGTTCCTATTTCTCCACATCCTCTCCAGCACCTGTTGTTTCCTGACTTTTTAATGAGCACCATTCTAACTGGTGTGAGATGGTATCTCTTTGTGGTTTTGATTTGCATTTCTTTGATGGCCAGTGATGATAAGCATTTTTTCATGTGTCTTTTGTCTGCATAAATGTCTCTTTTTGAAAAGTGTCTGTTCATATCCTTCGCCCACTTGTTGATGGGGTTGTTTGTTTTTTTCTTGTAAATTTGTTTGAGTTCATTGTAGATTCTGGATATTAGCCCTTTGTCAGATGAGTAGATTGCAAAAATTTTCTCCCATTCTGTAGGTTGCCTGTTCACTCTGATGGTTGTTTCTTTTGCTGTGCAGAAGCTCTTTAGTTTAATTAGATCCCATTTGTCAATTTTGGCTTTTGTTGCCATTGCTTTTGGTGTTTTAGACATGAAGTCCTTGCCCATGCCAATGTCCTGAATGGTATTGCCTAGGTTTTCTTCTAGGGTTTTTATGGTTTTAGGTCTAACATTTGAATCTTTAATCCATCTTGAATTAATTTTTGTATAAGGTATAAGGAAGGGATCCAGTTTCAGCTTTCTACATATGGCTAGCCAGTTTTCCCAGCACCATTTATTAAATAGGGAATCCTTTCCCCATTTCTTGTTTTTGTCAGGTTTGTCAAAGATCAGATAGTTATAGATATGTGGCATTGTTTCTGAGGGCTCTGTTCTGTTTCATTGGTCTATATCTCTGTTTTGATACCAATACCATGCTGTTTTGGTTACTATAGCCTTGTAGTGTAGTTTGAAGTTAGGTAGCGTGATGCCTCCAGCTTTGTTCTTTTGGCTTAGGATTGACTTGGCAATGTGGGCTCTTCCTTGGTTCCATATGAACTTTAAAGTAGTTTTTTCCAATTCTGTGAAGAAAGTCATTGGTAGCTTGATGGGGATGGCATTGAATCTATAAATTACCTTGGGCAGTATGGCCATTTTCACGATATTGATTCTTCCTACCCATGAGCATGGAATGTTCTTCCATTTGTTTGTATCCTCTCTTATTTCATTGAGCAGTGGTTTGCAGTTCTCCTTGAAGAGGTCCTTCACATCCCTTATAAGCTGGATTCCTAGGTATTTTATTCTCTTTGAAGCAATTGTGAATGGGAGTTCACTCATGATTTGGACCTCTGTTTGTCTGTTATTGGCATATAAGAATGCTTGTGATTTTTGCACATAGATTTTGTATCCTGAGACTTTGCTGAAGTTGCTTATCAGCCTAATGAGATTTTGGGCAGAGACGATGGGGTTTTCTAGATATACAAACATGTCATCTGCAAACAGGGACAATTTGACTTCCTCTTTTCCTAGTTGAATACGCTTTATTTCCTTCTCCTGCCTGATTGCCCTGGCCAGAACTTCCAACACTATGTTGAATAGGAGTGGTGAGAGAGGGCATCCCTGTCTTGTGCCAGTTTTCAAAGGGAATGTTTCCAGTTTTTGCCCATTCAGTATGATATTGGCTGTGGGTCTGTCACAGATAGCTCTTATTATTTTGAGATATGTCCCATTAATACCTAATTTATTAAATACCTAATTTAATGCTTCCAGTTTTTGCCCATTTGGTATGATATTGGCTGTGGGTTTGTCATAGATAGCTCTTATTATTTTGAGATACATCCCATCAATAACTAATTTATTGAGAGTTTTTAGCATGAAGCGTTGTTGAATTTTGTCAAAGGCCTTTTCTGCATCTATTGAGATAACCATGTGGTTTTTGTCTTTGGTTCTGTTTATATGCTGGATTATGTTTCTTGATTTGCGTATGTTGGACCAGCCTTGCATCCCAGGGATAAAGCCCACTTGATCATGGTGGATAAGCTTTTTGATGTGCTACTGGATTCGATTTGTCTGTATTTTATTGAGGATTTTTGCATCGATGTTCATCAGGGATATTGGTCTAAAATTCTCTTTTTTTGTTGTGTCTCTGCCAGGCTTTGGTATCAGGATGATGCTTGCCTCATAAAATGAGTTAGGGAGAATTCCCTCTTTTTCTATTGATTGGAATAGTTTCAGAAGGATTGGTACCATCTCCTCCTTGTACCTCTGGTAGAATTCGGCTGTGAATCCATCTGGTCCTGGACTTTTTTTGGTTGGTAAGCTATTAATTATTGCCTCAATTTCAGAGCCTGTTATTGGTCTATTCAGAGATTCAACTTCTTCCTGGTTTAGTCTTGGGAGGGTGTATGCATCAAGGAATTTATCCATTTCTTCTAGATTTTCTAGTTTGTTTGTGCAGAGGTGTTTATGTTATTTTCTGATGGTAGTTTGTATTTCTGTGGGATTGGTGGTGATATCCCCTTTTTCATTTTTTATTGCATCTATTTTCTTCTTTATTAGTCTTGCTAGCAGTCTATCAATTTTGTTGATCTTTTCAGAAAACCAGCTCCTGGATTCATTGATTTTTTGAAGGGTATTTTGTTTCTCTATTTCCTTCAGTTCTGCTCTGATCTTAGTTATTTCTTGCCTTCTGCTAGCTTTTGAATGTGTTTGCTCTTGCTTCTCTAGTTCTTTTAATTGTGATGTTAGGGTGTCAATTTTAGATCTTTCCTGCTTTCTCTTGTGGGCATTTAGTGCTATAAATTTCCCTCCACACACTGCTTTGAACGTGTCCCAGAGATTCTGGTATGTTGTGTCTTTGTTCTCATTGGTTTCAAAGAGCGTCTTTATTTCTGCCTTCATTTCGTTATGTACCCAGTAGTCATTCAGGAGCAGATTGTTCAGTTTCCATGTAGTTGAATGGTTTTGAGTGAGTTTCTTAATCCCGAGTTCTAGTTTGATTGCACTGTGGTCTGAGAGACAGTTTGTTATAATTTCTGTACTTTTACATTTGCTGAGGAGTGCTTTACTTCCAACTATGTGGTCAGTTTTGGAATAGGTGTGGTGTGGTGCCTAAAAGAATGTATATTCTGTTGATTTGGGGTGGAGAGTTCTGTAGATGTCTATTAGGTCCACTTGATGCAGAACTGAGTTCAACTCCTGGATATCCTTGTTAACTTTCTGTCTTGTTGATCTGTCTAATGTTGACAGTGGGGTGTTAAAATCTCCCATTATTATTGTGTGGGAGTCTAAGTCTCTTTGTAGGTCTCTAAGGACTTGCTATATGAATCTGGGTGCTCCTGTATTGGGTGCATATATATTTAGGATAGTTAGCTCTTCTTGTTGAATTGATCCCTTAACCATTATGTAATGGCCTCCTTTGTCCCTTTTGATCTTTGTTGGTTTAAAGTCTGTTTTATCAGAGTCTGGGATTGCAACCCCTGCCTTTTTTTGTTTTCCATTTGCTTGGTAGATCTTCCTCCATCCCTTTATTTTGAGCCTATGTGTGTCTCTGCACGTGAGATGGGTTTCCTGAATACAGCACACTGATGGGTCTTGACTCTTTATCCAATTTGCCAGTCTGTGTCTTTTAACTGGAGCATTTAACCCATTTACATTTAAGGTTAATATTGTTATGTGTGAATTTGATCCTGTCATTATGATGTTAGCTGGTTATTTTGCTCATTCGTTGATGCAGTTTCTTCCTAGCCTCGATCGTCTTTACAATTTGGCATGTTTTTGCAGTGGCTGGTACCAGTTGTTCATTTTCATGTTTAGTGCTTCCTTCAGGAGTTCTTTTAGGGCAGGCCTCGTGGTGACAAAATCTCTCATCATTTGCTTGTCTGTAAAGGATTTTATTTCTCCTTCACTTATGAAGCTTAGTTTGGCTGGATGTGAAATTCTGGGTTGAAATTATTTTCTTTAAGAATGTTGAATATTGGCCCCCACTCTCTTCTGGCTTGTAGAGTTTCTGCCAAGAGATCAGCTGTTAGTCTGATGGGCTTCCGTTTGTGGGTAACCCGACCTTTCTCTCTGGCTGCCCTTAACATTTTTTCCTTCATTTCAACTTTGGTGAATCTGACAATTATGTGTCTTGGAGTTGCTCTTCTTGAGGAGTATCTTTGTGGCATTCTCTCCATTTCCTGAATCTGAATGTTGGCCTGCCTTGCTAGATTGGGGAAGTTCTCCTGGACAATATCCTGCAGAGTGTTTTCCAACTTGGTTCCATTCTTCCTGTCACTTTCAGGTCCACCAATCAGACATAGATTTAGTCTTTTCACATAGTCCCATATTTCTTGGAGGCTTTGTTAGTTCCCTTTTATTCTTTTTTCTCTAAACTTCTCTTCTCGCTTCATTTCATTCATTTGATCTTCCATCACTGATACCCTTTCTTCCAGTTGATTGAATCGGCTACTGAGGTTTGTGCATTCATCATGTAGTTCTCGTGCCGTGGTTTTCAGCTCCATCAGGTCCTTTAAGGACTTATGTGCATTGTTGAATCTAGTTAGCCATTCGTCTAATCTTTTTTCAAGGTTTTTAAATTCTTTGCCATGGGTTTGAACTTCCTCCTTTAGCTCAGAGTAGTTTGATCATCTGAAGTCTTCTTCTCTCAACTTGTCAAAGTCATGCTCCATCCAGCTTTGTTCCGTTGCTGGTGAGGAGTTGCACTCCTTTGCAGGAGGAAAGGCACTCTGGTTTTTAGAATTTTCAGTTTTTCTGCTCTGTTTTTTCCCCATCTTTGTGGTTTTATCTACCTTTGGTCTTTGATGATGGTGACGTACAGATGGGCTTTTAGTGTGGATGTCCTTTCTGTTTGTTAGTTTTCCTTCTAACAGTCAGGACCCTCAGCTACAGGTCTGTTGGAGTTTGCTGGAGGTCCACTCCAGACCCTGTTTGCCTGGGTATCAGCAGCAGAGGCTGCAGAACAGCAGATATTGGTGAACAGAAAATGTTGCTGCCTGATTGTTCCTGTGGAAGTTTTGTCTCAGAGGAGTACCCGGCCGTGATTTCTTTAATTATAAATCAAAGAATGTTAGGTAGTTGTAGCATTTCCTGAAGATATACATTTAATTTAATTTATTTGTTGCAATTAACATTGTTATTTATTCTAGTATTGCTAGTTTAGTTTTTATTTTTTTCTGACTGGGAAGGTTTTAGGAGTGTATTTATTTTTTCTCATTTGAACAAGTCCCAAAATCTATAGACATGGTTAGTGATATATTGTAAAATAATTTTTTTGTTTTAGTTTTAAATATAGGAATTCACTGAGTGGGTCAACTAATTATTCTTTATGAAGGTGTCTAAATGAAAATATGACTAGTACATTTAAATATTATATATATATTTCTGCAAAGAATTCTATAATCTACTTGAGCTCATTAACAAGTTCAAAGGTATTACAGTTACTTTAAGGCTTATTCTTCACTAGGCATAGATTTTCCAGTTCTTTTTTCTTAGTTCTAATTAATAAAAGTCTGTAAAGTTACCAGAAGTAAGGGAAGTTAAGAAAAGTAAAAAGCTAATTTAAAAAGAAAATTTTGGGCCACATTTGACTGACCATTAAAATAATGCTTCTTTCAAGTTTCAGTATTAGTTTATCCACAGTAGAAATCCCATTTTATTTATATAGATTTGGTTCTACTTTGTTATTCTTATTTTTCCCCCTTTTTCTTATCCTCCTTCCTCTTCAATTTTTACTTAAATAATTGATGAAGAATTGCACCAACATTTAAAGGAAATAAATCTAACTGGTAATATGGATGATCAGCAGTTCATAAGAGCTGAGGGAGTCAAGGGCTGGTGTCAAAGTACACTATGTGGTGCAATTTAAAGGATAACATTACTTCATGATAAAAAAAAAAGAATGTATATTCTGGTTGACTATATAATGGAAGTCTCCCTAGAGGATGCTGCATTTAAGATAGATTTTTAAAGTGGAATAGGATTTTGGTAGTCGAATAAAACAAAAGGACTTAGGTTGTTTGCTCACTGTGAACAAATATGCAAAGTTGAGAAAATGCAGGGCATATCTAGATATCTACCATTGATATAACTTATTTAACATTATTTCAGTGGACATTTAGTAAGGTGTATCAGCAGACTCTGAGGCATATAAGAACCTCATATGAGTTAGCATCTATTTTCAAAAGTACTTGTGTTCTCCCTAGACTATAGAGATATATGATGATTTTGAGTTTGGAAGTCCATAAACAGATAATTTTGAGTTTGGAAGTACATAGAGCAAAAAGAAAAGCACAGCATGATTTTTTAAAATAAGTATTAAAATTTTCACAGTTTCATATTCTTCATATTGGTTATCAAGTCACTGATAGACCCAGCCAAATTCAGCTGCAGGAAACTGAAACCATTCTATCCATCTTAATGGAGAGGGTTAAGTACAAGGAGTTTATTTCTTACAAAATCTTTGGAGGACATGAAGAAGCATGCTAGGTTGGCTTTCCAGAAATTACTCCAGTGCTCCACAAGGTGCACTAAGAGAACTGCTACTAGAAAGCCAGGCTTCATGGGACCTCCACTGAAAACTTTGACTCAAAGACCATCCCACAGTACCAAGTCTGGAAACTAAACCACCTCTATATCTTGAATCTTCCACAAGACTAATGACTGGAACACAGCTGAAGAATATCAAATATTTCAATGTTTGTATACAGCATCGACAAATTTCAAATCCTTATATCTCCCTTTTATGCCTTTCAAATCTCATGTGAGTGCACCAAATTGGAAGAATAATGCAGCTCACAAAGCTGTACCATCCAGGAAGTCACAATCAAAGGACATTATGGCAACTCAACATATCCACCACATACTTGCTTTTTCTTGTTTGTCTTTTATATGTATATATTATTGGGGGAACCAGCCCCCAGTATTTCAACATAGGTTCTTTTCTATTTTCCCTAAGTGTCAGCCAGTCTGAGAAATAAAGGGAAAGAGTACAAAAGAAAGAAATTTTAAAGCTGGGTTTCCAGGGGAGACATCACATGTTGGCAGGTTCGGCGACGCCCCCGAGCCATAAAACCAGCAAGTTTTTATTAGCAATTTTCAAAGGGGAGAGAGTGTATGAATAGGGTGTTCATCACAGAGATCACATGCTTCAAGGACAACAAAAGATCACAAGGCAGAAGGTCAGGGCAAGATAACAAGGTCAGGGCAAAACTAGAATTACTAATGAAGTTCCATGTCCTTCTGTGCACCTATTGTCATTGATAAACATCTTAACAGGGTTCAAGAGCAGAGAACTGGTCTGACTAGAATTTGCCAGGCTGGAATTTCCTAATCCTAGCAAGCCTGGGGGCGCTGCAGGAGGCCAGGGTGTGTTTCAACCCTTATCTGCAACTGCATAAGGCAGACACCCCCAGAGCGGCCATTTTAGAGGCCCCTCCTGGGAGTGCATTCTTTTCCCAGGGCTGTTAATTATTAATATTTCTTACTGGGGAAAGAATTCAGTGATATTTCTCTTACCTGTTTTCAGTAATAGAGAAATATGGCTCTGTCCTGCCTGGCTCCTAGGCAGTCAGACCTAATGGTTATCTCTGTTGTTCCCTGGACATCTCTGTTATCCTGTTCTTTTTTCAAGGTGCCTGGATTTCATATTGTTCATACACACATGCTTTACAAACAATTTGTGCAGTTAACACAATCATCACAGGGTCCTGAGATGACATACAGCCTCAGCTTATGAAGATGACCAGATTAAGAGATTAAAGTAAAGACAGGCATAGGAAATTATAAGAATATTGATTGGGGAAGTGATAAATGTCCATGAAATCTTCACAATTTATTTTCTTCTGTCACAGCTTCAGCAGGTCCCTCTGTTTGGGGTCCTTGACTTCCCGCAACATCTCTCCCTTTCTTTTTATATAAATGTGCCATGGCATTGAAACTTGTTCATTCTCTTGATTTTGACACAGGATTCTTTGACTGGTCTGGCACACTAAAAACAAGTCAATTAAACAGAGAAACATAATTCCAAAATTTACTACAGTGGAGCCCCCCAATAGACTTAATCCAAGTTGTGGGGTTTAGTCCAGAAAGATTTTCTGCCACATGATCTAATGCCTCAGCTCCAGGCACAATGGATAAATGAGCTTGAGAGGCTTCAAAAATCTGTTTCTTTAATTTAGTTATGTCCAATGACAAATTATCTTCCCTACCCAGAAGGTGTCCTTTGACCATTTCCCATGAATGATCAGTCTCATCATAGGAATACGCGGTGATACAGAAATACGAAGTGTTCCAATCACACTGCATTTGCATGCGATGTTCAAGACTCACTACCCGATCTCCAAGTCAAATAGCAGCCAATATTTGATCAATGCCTTGTTGAGAATTCCACATCTGGTTGGAATTGGCTTGCCAATCATTAGCAAAATGAGCCGTTTGAACAGATTGATGTAACGCCATTCCGGCAGTGGTGGCCAGTGCAGTGACTGTAATTAGGCCCATGATCACAGCGATTAAAGTGAAAACAAATCTCTTAGATCTTTTTAGAATTCGCTGTAACACTTCATTAATTAAACGTATTGACAGGGAGGATTCCCAAGGTCTGGGCAAAGTTACCAGAATCCAGATTCCTTCTCGAGCTAGAACCAACATTACACTTTTCCTGGAGTCAAAATGGGAGGTAATACAAGTGTATACATGACAATTAATGCATCGGACAGTTTGATTGTTCATCCAAATTTTGATATTTCCCACTAACAGCATATAAGGAGGCTTAACACAACTCTGCATGGGAACAGTCAGGTTGGAGGTAAGTAAAACAGAATGTCTGGATCTACACTGATACTGAGGGCGAGGGATGGTATCGGGGACAACAGAACACCCAGAACTTTGGAAATTGGCTATTGCCATGTCTGGACTGCGAGTATGGGAAGGGGAAACTATTCTGTCTGTTGTTCTGTGAGACAGAAAGTATAAGGAAGAGAATCATTAAATAAAACCTAGTTTAAGCGAGATTCAGTGCTGAAGGAGGATGAGAAGAACAAAGGGATGTTATTTTCAGGCTAATAGAAATGGTGAGATTTTTAGGTTTGTAAGGAGAAAAACAAAGGTAATCAGGAGAAGTGGGATTAGTTAGATGGGTCTCCGTTGCTACCAGGGAGGATTGAATCAGACCCATTGTGATTTGGTGTGCCAGCTTCTAAGGAGTTGGCACAGATCTCAACACGTCTGAGGGTGGTCTCTGACACGGACATCTTTTCCATGTGGTTTTCATTGTCAGTATTCACCCGAAGCTTGAGTCTCCTGATGGGTACCCAGACAGGGGATTGATGATCTCCTGGTGAAACACAAGCATATCTTCTTCCCCACATTATAATTGTGCCAGGTTCCTAGGTATTGGTTTGGGAGTTTTTCCATAACACTGGCTTGCCTTTGTTTAGGGAGAATTTTCTGCCTGTATAATGGCGTTCGTCTGCAGTTAGATTATCATCTTTCATAAATTCAAAAAATTTAAAGTAAACAATGCCAAATGTAATTGGGAGTGGGGGGTAGTTACATTACATTTTTGTTTTTTAGATTGTTTGGACAATTGGGTTTTTAAAGTGCAATTGGCCCATTTCACCACAGCTTGTCCTTGAGGATTGTAAGGGATTCTAGTAATATGGGAAATTCCCCACTGTTGCATAAATAAATCAAAAGCCTTACTAACATATACAGGGGCGTTGTCTGTCTTTATTTGATATGGAAGCCCCATAACTGCAAAGCAAGAATATAGATGTTTTTTAACATGGGCCATGCCTTCCCTTGTTTGGCAAGTAGCCCAGATAAAACTTCTTCTGTCACGGCTTCAGCAGGTCCAAGTCCCTCCATTCGGAGTCCCTGACTTCCCGCAACAATATATGCCATTCTTAACATTTTCATCCCTTTAAGAGTGTTCATATAGATAAAACAGTTTTGAGCTGGAATGTTAAGATAGATTACATATCTTGTAAAGTCAACCTATTTGCAATTAATTAACTGTGTCTTCCACAAAATGTGAAAGTCATACAGTTTAAAAATTAGTTGTTCATTGGGATCGGAAATTAGCAGTCATTGAAGGTGTTATTTTCCTTAGGAAAATCTGCAAGTCACTTGAATTCTTTTCCAGGTTACCTAATGGAGAAATTTCAAATTGTCTTGTATTCAATTCATTTGGTTCAAACAATCTCTAGCAGAGTCAGTTTATCCATGGAAACATTTTCATTTATCAAGATCCCTCTCTTCTTTTGATTGTTTCCACCTCTTTTTCTCTTTCTAAATCCATGCCAAATAGCAAGAGAATAATTCAGGGTGAATTCAGACAACAAGCATTCATTCGACTAATATATTTATGATGTCTTCAGATATACAAAGTGCATAATAGTTCATTCTATCACCACAAAATTTGGAATGTAATGAAAATTTTGAAAGTTAATGGTACTTTATATAATATATAAAACTATGTATTAATTATAATTTTTCCCTCCATTTTCTCCACTCATGCTTTTTGGACTGTACCTCCTTAGCCTCATTTTTGTTTTAAGAGCTTTTTCTTAATCTTTAAAATGTTGTGCCAGGTGTAGTGGCTCATGCCTGTATTCCTAGCACTTTGGGAGGTCGAGGTGGGCTGATCACTTGAGATCAGGAGTTCAAAACCAGTCTGGCCAACATGTTGAAACCAAGTCTCTACTGAAAATACAAAAATTAGCTGGGTGTGGTGGTGCATGCCTGTAAGCCCTGCTACTCAGGAGGCTGAGGCAGGAAGATGAAGGATTGAATGTGGAAGATGAAGGTTGCAGTGAGCCGAGGTCACTTCACTCCTCTGCACTCCAGCCTGGGCAACAGCAAGAGACTCTGTCTAAAATATATATATTTTATTTATATATATAATATATATATATTTGTTCAAACTCAGTTCCTGAGCAGATTTACAGATGATTAAGAAGTTTGCATACACATCTCAGAATTCTCACTTACCAATAGTGACACCAACTGTTGTTGATCTCTCCCTTAAAACAGTGTTACATTTGTATTTTTCTCTCTAAACTTCAATACCAGAGGCTTGGCCTTAATGGCTCTTTAAGCTCTTTCTGTTTTCTCAGCTTTCAGTTTCTGTACATATGTATCTATTTCGGTTTTTCTCTGCTTGTCTTTTCTCTGTCTCTGCCTCTCTCTCTTTGATTCACGTTGCAAATCCTTGTCAAAAGTAATCCTTATCAAATATCACTTTCTGATATCTCTATACCTAATAATTTTTGGTAGTTTGTTGCTCTTCATTGAATCAAATCATGGACTTACAGAAGCCTTATAATCTTCAAATCATGGATTTATAGAAAATACACCTTAAATTTTATCTTTCATTCCCATTTTGCACATGAGGAAATAAACCCCAGGGAGATTAAGTGATTTTTACACCAGAGCATTCAGTGCCCTCTGTATACGCATTCATTCAGCATTCATCAAACATTTATGCAGTACCCAGACCAGTTTAGCAAGGAATCACACACTTTCATCTTGATCTCCCCTGTGTAAGCAATTTTGATTTGATGGCTGAATAAATGTGAAATATTCTAAAAATCTACAAATTGCAACAGTCTTCTATCCTAAGTCAGCAATAGAAGATCTTCCTAAATTTCAAACTAGAGGACACTTAGAGTGGAACTCTTGCTTGTAACGGTAAGTCAGATTATCCATTTTCAAGCTGCATTTGTATAGCAAATTGCCCTTACATATTTCAGGTTGGTTTAAAGGGTTTAGTGGAACTTAGGGGATAATGCCCTCCAAGCCAAATTTTAGTGCTGCTACCTCCCATGATGAATCACGTGTTGCCCTGTAAAGAGATACATTTATACTGTACATTGCTGGTAGGCATTTACACAGCATATATTTATTGAGCAGATATATTAGTGGATAGAAGATTTCCAATCTTGTGGAGCTTACATTATAACAAGGAGACACAAACAATAAACATAATACATAAAACATTTAATATATCATGTTAGAGCATGATACATGCTTAAAGAAAAACAAAAGCATTGTAAAGTAAGGGTGGTTCAATGCTCTGGATAGGTCATGGAGACAGATGATAACATTAAACTATGGAGCGAGCCTTATTGGCAAGGTAGCATAAGAACAGAGTCTTGAAGAAATAAGATAGTGTTGCAAGCAGTGAGCAGGATTGAACAAAGCCTTGAGGCAGCAGCTTATATATAGTAGTTGAAGAAAAAAGATGTCAATGTGGTTGGAGCAAGGGAGCATTGGAGGAGAAAGGTCATAGACATAGAGGTGAGGAGGAAGCTCATCGTGAGGCTTACAGAGGATTTTAAGTGCTTCAGTTTTGACTTTGAGTGAAACAAAGAGTTAATTCAAAATTTTTAACAGAGCTCATTCCTACTTCTGCAGCATTTATTATGCTGTTCCCTCATTCATATATTCCATTCACTCATTTTTCATAAACACAGAACATACATCCAAAGACCGAGAAAATGAAGTTAGTATGTCAATCAGCTTGAATAAAAAGAAAAATTTAATAAAGAAATTAAAGTGGTAAAAGGGTAAAAATTTGGGGTCAAAGAGAGATATTAGACTTAATGATTTCTGAAGAAAAATGGTTCCAGAGATTACAATTTTTTTTTTCCTGTGGCATTTCAAATTTGAACTTGCATTGAAGTATTAACTCCTGCATTATGCTTAATCTAAAGTGAGACTGAATCTTCTCTCCTCCTCTGTTTTTTTTAAATTTACATAGTTGGTACATTTATTTTAATCAGATTTAACTCACTACATTCTCTGAGACTGTGGGCTATAATGGTTTAGAAGAGCTCCAGTTTTCCACGTAAGTCTGCGTATTTTCAAATTTTGATTTTACAACCTATTGCCTATGTAACCTTGGTGTACTACTCAACTACACTGGGCTCTGTTTCCTAATCAGTAAAATGTGCACAATTATAGTATGTTATTTCATAAGTTTTTATGTAAATAAAATGAATAAATACATGTAGAGTGCTCAAAACCATTCATTTCTTTCATTGTAATGATGACATCTCTGAAATAGATGACCCAGGTACTCCTGCCATGTGTAACACAGGAGATTGAGAATTTTCCTAAGAAGCAGCTTCTTTGTTTGTGATATTTTAACCTGTTACTTCATTATAGGCTGTCTTATGTACGGCCTAACCTCCAATATGCATATTATGCATATTCAATTTTCTCAGATTATATGCTCCAATGGAGTAGATGTGTGATAAATAAATCAATAAATAAAACATATATAAATATTCATATTATATATCATTAACATAATGTATGCATTTATATTTATGTTTACACATATATTTGGATGAAAGTATAGACTGGATATATATATTAGTTTTTATTAATTTGATTGCTTTATTTCTTTGAAGGTTATTGTTGTTTGTTCATGGGCTAAATCATATTTTTGCTTCTGAATATCATTATGTGACACTGCGAGTAACACTCTGGATATCAGAAATAAACGCCAAACTGTAGTTTCAAACTTAAGTCTTTGGTTTCTTGGATACACTTTAATTTTCATTCCTTATAAGCTACTTACTCTGTCAGGGTCCTTGCCCTTGAAATTAGTTACAAGATGTTTTCAAGTAGACATTTTACTGTTCTGTCTCTTTATATACCTAATGATGAATTTTCTGGGGATTTCTAGCAGCAATGTTTCCTCATCTCAGCCCTTCATACTACAATTGCCTAATATATTCAAAAGCATCTTCCCAATAGAGTTAACAACTCCTTTTTTCCCAAAGGTCTAGACTCCTTAGGGATATAACTACACAGTTACACATATACATGTGTATCATATGTATCTGATATTTCTATGTCGATGAATTCATTCTTTTTCTACTTTCTCATCATATTCTTCAGATTTTTGAAAGTTTAATTTATCCTTTGTGGATCAGAGGCAATGACATAAAACTGCCACTATTTATTTTTGCCACAATTTGGGTCCTATGAGCAGCAATACTTAATAACTGTTCTGGTTTCATTGCAATATGGCAGTTTAAGAAACACTGATTGGTGGGAGAGGTAATATTATGCCTAAAACAGAAAGAGTATGGCAATTGACATTAGATAGCCGTGCCAAATGGCAGACTAGCAATTTTCAGCACCTCTTAATAGCCTTAAAGTTCTTAGTAATTTACCATCTAAGTCATTTCTAGATTTTATTAGCAAGACATCAGGATTTAAATGTGTTCTCTGAAAATTTATCAACTGATTAACTTAAAATAGTACATTTATTAAAAGAAGTTTAGGCTCAATTTAAACCATATTCCTTAAATGTCTCTAAATAACAGGAATAAATATGGTAATGTAAAATTTAAATAACGCATATGTCATTTTAAACACTTGCTTAAAACAGTGAGTCTGGTGCTGCCTCTTACAGTTTATGAAGACTATATTACTGTATTGTTTGGATAGAAGGGACCATTGAGTATTGTCTTGACAAATGTCCCAAGCATTACAAGAGTAGCTGGCACAAAGTGAGTGTTCCATAAATACTTATAAAAAATTCTATGAGTTCTGTCATATAATATGTACTCATTTTTTTTCTCTTGAGATTCACTTGCATATGATTCATGTTCTTAGGTCATAAATACTGTGACCCTATAACTGACTTACTGCTTATAAACTAATAATTTTTTTATTTCACAAATTATTTCATAATTGTGTTCTCACATGCATGTGCTACTTTAACAAATATTTATTGAACATCTACTATGGGTCAGGTACTGGACGTGCTTCTAGAAGTCTTTGCCCTCCAGTAGCTTATGATCTAATGATGTATACTGGCAATAATGACATATGCTGAAAGAGTTAAGATAGGCTCATTATGCAGTGCAATGTCAGTATAAGGGAGGATCAATAATCAAACTTGGGAGGGGAGATTAAAAAGACTTCTTGAAGAAAAGGACAAAAAGTCTAAAATGGGGAAAACAAACAGGAATAAAACAGTTAAAGAGACATTGAGGCCCTGATGCATGGTGACAGCTATCACTAGCTAGTGAGAGCATGCTGTGTGCATTGCCTTCCAAGTCTGGGATCTGTGACATTGAGTTGGTACCATGAAATAGCGCAGAATGAAAAATAGGGTTTTTTGTTTGTTTGTTTAATCTTCCCCCACCCCCACACTGTCTACTTATCTGTGCAACCCTGACAGTAACATAGGGGAAGGTGACTAGAGAACAATGCAGGTAGAAAGAACAGCAAGTGCAAAGGCTCAGAGGTTGGAGACTTGATGCCATGTTGGGGAAAACATTCAGTATGGCTGTAGAATGGTGTTTGGCATGGAGTGTGCTGAAGCTGGCAAGATAAGCAGAAACCTTATCTAAATACCCAATAAATCATAATTATGCATGATGTACATTATAGATAATACATTTGAAATACTATAGGGAAAAGGTTATAATTCTGCATGTGAAAAATGTTAACTTCTTCAATACAAGCTGTATTCCCTTTCACCTTCATATAAATATAATTTTATTCTTCACTGTCTTCACTGTCTTGTCCCGCAAGACAAAAGGATAACTATTCACTTGGAACAAAAGTAGTTCCCAAATTATCATTCTTCATTTGGGAATTATAGTAATACGCAAACAATCTGAGGCTGTTTAATACATGAATAAAATGTCACTGGCAAATGCGGCATCTGTTTGGGCATGATTCCTTTTATTCTGATCTGACCAAAAGGAATTCAAGTCCAGAAACTTTACCAGTCAAGGGGACAATTACCCTTTGGATTCTCATTCATACCTCTGTGTGATTAACCTAAGGTTGAGAGTTCCCTTCTATTAATGAAAGAGGGTAATGTCTTAGTATTGACAAAAATCTATTTTCCCACAGTTAACTCTCCTTTAGAGGTTTTTGTCCTTTATTCCAATATTATGAAAGTTGTGTTTCTGGCATTCTTGGTTGGAATATTAGAGCAAAATATAAACAAACAAAGCTCTTCTTATTTTTATTTGAATCCTTTTAATTTATTGAATGGTGAAATTTCTTTCATAGATTGTTTTCCTCTGTCCCATTTTCCATCTTTTTGTCCCTTATTTGTATTTGTTATTAGAGTTTTCCATCATTTTTATTAACTAGTATGAATTTATATTGTGCTTTCTACTTGCTGTCTATAAATTGCAGTATTTCCCAATTTTAATATGGTTTATGGTATTTTAAATTGTTGTTTAAATTTTAATTAGTGTTGTAGAGGTTGTGTGGCCCCAGCAGCACTTCTCTACTTCTCCCATAGTAACAAATTTTTCAGCTATGCACAAAGACAAGGAAAAACACTACACTTCTCAGCTCCTCTTGTAGTTAATGGTGGACATGCATCTAAGATTTGGACAATAGAATGTAACTTGGATATCATGTGTAGCTTACAGAAACTTCCCTCAAAGACAATTTTGCGTGCTCATTCCCTGTTTTTTGTTATTAATTTCTTCATTCTATTGCTAAAATGCATATGCATATTTAGAAATTAAGAGTAATATTTTAAAGAATGGATGAGTGGTGAGTTTCATGGAGCAAAGCCACCATACAAACTGTGGACTTCTTAATTCCAGAATAAGCTTCTAGTATGTTTAAACTACTATTATTTTTTCCCTCATATTCAAATTTAGACACAGTTTTAATAACGCATGTGGTTAAACATATCTTACTTTTTTTCTGGGTTTTCTATTGTATTCACTCTAAGAAAGGTGCTCAGCATCAGTCGCAACAAAATTTTAAAAATTCTAGAGTTAGTGGACAAAGATTTAGTGAGTGAAAAAAATCAAAACAGTCAAACACCATCAATTGCTACAGAAATGAAGAGAGTAAAATGTTGTAAGGACAGAGTTGACAGTATAAAGTGAGAGCAAATGGACTTGAGAACTGTATGTTGAATTTGGTATTCTGAGGTCTTTTGTAATCTTCAAGTTTTCAATTTAAGATTGTTACAGTTATTTAATTTTAGCACTGATGTATTGCTCTGTTTATTAGTTTTTAATGAATTTTTGCGTCTTTATTCACTATGCTTTATGTTATATATAAATTTATTAACAGATTTTCTTAATTCTTACAACTGTCACATAAAAAATGTTACATTTATTTTTCCCATTGCTGTGGTTTACTGTGAGTGGATGATGCTTTCCCATACCATTGATGTATACTTGTCAACTTCTAGGTAAAATCAAATAATTATATGTATTAATTTACTACTGCTGCTGAAACAAATTACCACAAACTTAATGACTTAAAACAACAAAAATGTATTATCTTGCAATTCTGTAGGTCAAAGAGCTATATTATTTTAGGAGTCTCGACAGGAGAAGTTTCCTTGTCTTTCCCAGCAACTAGAGGCTGTCTGCATTTCTTAACTTGTAGACCCATTCTTCCATGTTCAAAGACAGAAATATTCAGTTAATTCCTTTACACATTGTACTTAATATTCTCTGACGTACTCTTCTGCTGTTTATTTTATTTTTAAGAAACC
The DNA here is from genome assembly GCF_000001405.40 of Homo sapiens. Classification (NCBI taxonomy): domain Eukaryota; kingdom Metazoa; phylum Chordata; class Mammalia; order Primates; family Hominidae; genus Homo; species Homo sapiens. Next base: position 106,151,448 of record NC_000001.11, on the reverse strand, counting down.
TTGTGATTACAGTGGGCCTGTCCAGATAATCCAGGACATTCTCCCCATTTTAATGTCAACTGATTAACAACTTTAATTTCAACTACAACCTTAATTTCCTTTTGTTATATGTAACGGGGTGAGTGGTAGGTAGCTCCAAATGATCTGTCCAGCCGCTACCCACAAATGTGACTTTGTTTGGAAAATGGTCTTTGCAAATGTTGTTAAGGCTCTTGAGATAAGACCTTTCTGGATTACGGTGGACCCTAGATTTGTGATAAATGTCTTTATAATACAATAGAAGGAAGAATAGCCTGTTTAGAGTTATATGGGTTCATCAATCCAAGGAATGTGTATTAGTTTATTCTCACGCTGCTAATAAAGACATACCTGAGACTGGATAATTTATTAAAAAAAAAGAAGTTTAATTGACTTATAATTCCACATGGCTGGGGAGGCCTCACAATCATGGTGGAAGGTGAAGGAGGAACAAAGGCATCTCTTACATGGTGGCAGGCAAGAGAGCATGTGCAGGGGAACTGCCCTTTATAAAACCATCAAATCTCATGAGACTTATTCATTATCATGTGAGCAGCAAAAGAAAACCCACCCCCATGATTTAATTACCTCCCACCGGCCCCTCCCATGACACATGGGGATTATGGAAGCTACAATTCAAGATGAAATTTGATAGGAACACAGCCAAACCATATTATTTTTCCCTGAGCTGCTCCCAAATCTCACGTCCTCACATTTTAAAAACAATCATGTCTTCCCAACAGTTCCCCAAAGTCTTAATTCATTTCAGCATTATCTCAAAAGTCCACAGCCCAAAGTCTCATCTGAGAGAAGACAAGTCCCTTCTGCCTACAAGCCTGTAAAATCTAAAGCAACTGGAGGCTGTCTGCATTCCTTGACTTGTAGACCTGTTACTTCCTAGATACAATGGGGGTACAGGCATTGGATAAATACATCTATTTAAAATAGGAGAAATTGGCCAAAACAAAGGGGCTACAGGCTGCATGCAAATCCAAAATTCAATAGGGCAGTCAGTAAACCTTAAAGATCCAAAATGATCTCCTTTGACTCCATGTCTCATATCTAGATTATGTTGATGCAAAAGGTGGGCTCCCACAGCCTTGGTCAGCTCCATCCTTTTGGCTTTTCAGGGTACAACCTCCCTTCTGGCTACTTTCACAGGCTGTCATTGAGGTCTGCAGCTTTTCCAGGTGCATGTTTCAAGCTGTTGGTAGATCTTCCATTCTGGGGTCTGCAGGGTGGTGCTCCACTAGGCAGTGCCACAGTGGGTGTGTCATCGCTGCAGCACACTTCTGCCTGGATATCCAGGCATTTCCATACATCCTCTGAAATCTAGCTAGTGCTTCACAAACCTAAACTGTTGACTTCTATGCACCCACAGGTCCAACACCACATGTAAGCTGCCAATGCTTGGGGCCTGCACCCTCTGAAGCAACAGGCTGTGCTGTACATTGGCCCCTTTTAGTCATGGGTGGGATGGAGGGTGTCAAGTCCCAAGACTGCACAAAGCAGCCAGGCCCTGGGCCCAGCCCAGAAAACCATTTTTCCCTCCTCTAACCTGTGATGGGAGGGGTTGCTGTGAAGATCTCTGAGGTACCCTGGAGACATTTTCCCCATTGTCTTGGTAATTAACATTTGGCTCCTCGTTACTCATACAAATTTCTGCAGCCAGCTTGAATTTCCCCTCAGAAAATGGATTTTTCTTAACTGTTGCATCATCAGGCTGCAAATTTTGCAAACTTTTGTGCTTTGCTTCCCTTTTAAACATAAGTTCTAATCCAAATTATATGTTTGTAAATGAATAAAACAGTGCTTTTAAGAGCACACAAGTCACATCTTGAAGGCTTTGCTGCTTAGAAATTTCTTCTGCCAGATATCCTAAATCATCTCTCTCAAGTTCAAAGTTCCACAGATCTCTAGGGCAGGGGCAAAATGCCACCAGTGTCTTTGCTAAAACACAGCAAGAATCACCTTTGCTTCAGTTCCCAATAAGTTCCTCATCTATATCTGAGACTACCTCAGGCTGGACTTTATTGTCCTTATCACTATTAGCATTTTGGTCAAAACTGTTCAACAAGTCTCTAAAAAGTTCCAAACATTCCCACATCTTCCTGTCTTCTTAGCCCTCCAAGTTTCTAGGAAGTTCCAGACATACCCACATTTTTGTACTTCCTTATGAGCCCTCCAAACTTTTCTAACCCCTGCCTGTTCCAAAGTCACTACTACATTTCTGGGTATCTTTACAGTAGCACCCCACCCTTGGTTCCAATTTACTGTATTAGTCTGTTCTCACACTACTAATAAAGGCCTACTCAAGACTGGGTGGTTTTTAAAGATAAAGAACTTTAATGAACTCACAGTTGCACTTGGCTGAGGAGGCCTCACAATCATGGTGGAGGGTGAAGGAATAGTAAAGGCATGTCTTACATGCTGGCAGATAAGAGGGTGTGCAGGGGAACTACCCTTTATAAAACCATCAGATCGCATGAGACTTACTCTCTATTGTGAGAACAGCAGGAGAAAACTTACCCCTATGATTCAATTACCTCCCACCGAGTCCCTCCCACCACATGTGGGGATTATGTGAGCTACAATTCAAGATGAGATTTGGGTGGGGACACAGACAAACCATATTAGAATGCATGAAGCCACCAGAAGCTGGAAGAGGCAAGGAAGAATCTCCCCTAGAAACTTCAGCAGAAGTTGCCCTACCAATACTTTGATTTCAGATTTCTGGCCTCCAGAACTATGAGACAAAAAGTTTCAGTTATTTAAAGATATTAACTTTGTGGTCATTTTTTATATGACAGTTCTAGGAACTAAGGTACTATATAAAGTAACATATCCACAGGTTCTGCAAATTACGATTTGCAGACCTTTGAAGGTCATTATTTTGCCTATGATATTATGTAATCTACAACTGTACTGATACTATCATGCAAAATACTTTTAATTTCAGGGGACTACTATAGGTCAAAAATAGCTCATAACAAATCCAGATTGTTTGCTTCAACCCAGAGAGAATAATAGTAAAGTAATGTTACTTTATTAATATTATTGAAAGTTTATAAAAATATTCAGTACTATTTGTTTGGCTATTTATTACTCTATTACAAACTTCCCTGTGACTTAATGGTTTAAAACCATATCATCTTTTGTCCTCATGATTCTGTAGGTCAAGAATTTGGGCGGTGGGGTTTGTTGGATTCATTAACTTGGCTGCAATCAGTGGGTGCCTTGTCTGGTGAGGGGGAACTAAAACTTCACTCACATGTTTCTCACCTTGCTCATTTACATGGCCTTTCTCTCTGTCTAGATGGCTAGCCTTGGCTTTCTCATGGTATGGTGGTCTCAGAATTTTCAAACTTCACCCATAGTTTTGAGAATGGTGAATGTACAATGCTTCAGCATCATTCTCCCCATATTATAATAGTCAGTGCCAGTTACAGAGCTAATTCCATTTCAAGAGAAGGGAAAATTAAAGCTATATGGGAGAATTTGTAAAGAATGATGACCATATTTAATCCACCACAAACAGGGCCTGCTTCATGGACATATGATCTGTCTAGTTACATAGGACCCTACACTTAGATTAATTCTCTGCATCACTGTGTTTCCATTTTTAATACTTTTAAAACAAGGAACCCACATTTTCTTTTTATACAAGGCACCACAAATTCTATAGCCATTTCTGACTACATGCATTAACCAAATAAGTTTTAAAAAGTATTAAACTTATTTCTCAGGTGATAACATGACCTAGATGTTAAGGAATTTGCATAAATGTATATACTTAGCAATGGGTAGACTTTCAAAATTAATATTTTGTATTCTTTCTATTACCCTGTATTACCTGAACTTTCTTATAAGGATCTATGTTATTTTCAGGTATAAAATAAAAATATCAATCTATTGTCAATCTTATAAGTTTAAGGATTTTTATTTGTCTGTCAACCATTTTATCTGCCTATTATTTGTCAGGCTGAGGGCTTTTAAATTTTTTATGTATAGCTAATAACATTGTGGGTTTTATTTGCTATTATCTTATAAAGAGGAAAAACTCTATTCAGAATCCATAGTGGTCCCCACAAAAGGACGTAGATCAGTTTACTTTGTGACATGAATGCCTGGATTAAACTCTGTGACCCGTGGAGTAGCAATTATGATTGACCAGGTTTTGATCGCTGCTGTAAACTTTAAACTAGAAGTCAGTCATACTAAGTACAACTTAAATCTTAGGAAATAAATTGGAGGACAACTCTTTCCTAAAAACATGATTGACAGGCAGACAAATATTTCTACTAAGAAGTTGAGATTTAATATTAAACCACATGTTTTATATTATAAATCCTCCAGTGTTTTTTAAACAACAATGTAGATATCTGGTGCTAACCCCATGCTATCACTAGTATTTCATGGCTCAATTCATTCTCAGTGATAAGATGTGGAATGATCTGCCTGTATTACAAAAACTGTATGTATATTAATTTCTTAAATTTTTTTTCTCAAGGGTCATTTACAGAAACAGGCATTACTAAGAAACGAGTTAAATAACTTAATATATCTGATGAGTGGACATGTGATTTGAGGCAAGTTATTTACAAACTGTGTACTTTACAATATTTCTATGTGACTAGCCTGTGATCATGGCCACAAGAAACAATGTGATTATAAGGTAACTATAGAAAAACTAACTGCCTCCTTTTTCACCCTGCTTTATACCAGTCTCTATAAGAGTTAATTTTTGCCTTAATTCATTATAATCACGTTATTCTAAATTACATTTAGTAGCAAGAAGTTTCATTTTTATTGTGACACATCTTGGCTTAAAGCAATTCTGTGAGTGTTCTTCTTCAATGTAATCTTATTTTTTGTATTTTTAGTGAGATATATAACCTACATAGTCATTTCTTGGCTAGAAATTGAGAGATACATACTGTGAACATTTCAAGTGATGTTTTACGTTTTAGATGTGATCCACGTGTCCTGGAACAAGTAAAGTAACAAAAATATGTTGGTAAAATATCAAGAACAAAGACATTTTCAACTAAATTTAAAGCATAACCAGAGAACACATTTTTAGACATGTCACAGCTGGAACTAGTCCTGATTTGGCATGGTGAATGTCTGAGCAGTGCTTTTTATTCTTTTTTACAAAAAGACAAGTCTTTGACGTCTTTTCCAACTAGTTCAATAACAGTAGGATAACTATCTTGTAGATTAAAAATAATAAACTTTTAACTTTCTTATGATGGAGTATCCAGCATGCATTCATCCTGTTTCCCTTCTTGATCTTATTTGGATGGAGAAACAAAATTAGATTAGTAATAGCAAACAAAAAAAAATTCTTTCTCCATGCCATTGTTTCACATTGATTGTACAATGAGATGTAACTGAAATGCCTGAAAAATCATTTGAAAAGGATTTTCTCATCTGAAAAAACACCCTCTGTGCTTCCTGCAACTTGAACCTAATGATAAGAGTTCCAATAACCATTTCCTGTCTTTGAAGATAGATAGAAATTATGGTGCTCAGAAAGACAGAAGGACTTCAAGTCCTTCAAGGGTTTCTGAAACCACCATATTAACCTTAGACTGGCTACCTCTGTAATTCTTCTACAAAAGATTATAAATTTATTTATTTAAGAAACTGAAGGCTTTATTAGTTTACAGCTTTACTAGTTGGTGAGTGCAATTCCCGTATTATAAATTTACTGTCGTTGTGTACGTGAGATTGTCTTGTTTTTACATATTTTTCCATCTTTCTCAGCATTTAAATCATCTCTCCACTTGAACATCAATAAAATTAATTACTGTACTTTAGTCCTATTCATATTTGTGTATTTTTTCTTAGAATATAGTTTATGCAAATGGACTGGAGAATATAAATTGCTTGTTCAAGTGGTTTCAACACCACCAGTTAATTGTTGTTGCTAGAAATGCATTTTTAGGAACATACAGATGCTCCTCAAATTATTGTAGGTGGAATATAGAATTTTTTTTAATGAGGTATTTAGTGTTTATATATAAAATATAAGTTACAGCTGCTATTTATAAAGAAAAGTGTGATAGATTTAAATCTGGATATACGGGTGAAACAATAATAATCAGCCACTGACAGGGTTCTGCTCCCCGAAGCATGCAAAGTCTCAGTTGTGCTTTACTCACAGTTCTTCAAAAGATTTTTGATCCTTAGATAAAGAATTTGCTAATACTTTAAAGTTTTAAACTTAAGATCTATAAAGATTTCTCTTTTTCTGAGTCTGATATGTGATAGTTTTACCTAAGCAAGAAAATGCCTGCAATCTTTAGACCAACAACTCATCCCCAGGCATTTTTTGGATACCAACATTACAGTGAGAAAATATAAGTGACATCCAAAAACCCCAGCTAAGGATATAATATAAGAAAGGAAAAAATGACCTGAAGACAGGGTACTTCAAGAATTCATATTGAGGGTAATTTAATCCTTTTTCTGTCCTCCAAACATCTATTATTATCATCTCATGGTCTGGCAACTCAAGGTGTAAATCTAATATCACATTTACCATAAAAGATATTCTTGATGGTCCTTTATCCTATTGAATTTGAACCTTTCTTCTCTGTATAATTACATGCTAGTTTTACCATTTTTCTGGAATCTATATGCTATGGAATGAATTCATGTTGAAGCCCTAACACCCAATGTAATTGGAGATAGAGCTTTTAGGAGGCACCTAAGGTTTAATGAGGCAAATAGGAGTGAAGTCCTAATCTAATAGGATTGTGGTCTGGTAAGAACAGGAAGAGAGAGAAAGAGAAAGGGGGTGGGGGGAGAGAGATTTCTCTCGATATACAAATATCAAGTAAAGGTCAGGTAAGGACACAGAGAGAAGGCACCCATTTACGAGTCAGGAAGAGTCCTCCCCAGAGCCCAGCTATGCTGGCATCCTGATCTCAGACCTCTTGCCCCCCGCAGACTGTAAGACAATAAATTTATGTTGTTGAAGCCACACAGTCTATGATAATTTGTTATGACAGCCCAAGCTGGCTAAGACACTATTTTATTTTAATTTACATTATTATTATTTGCAGTTTTTCTTTTCTTCTTTATCATAAGTTTTTAGATATGTGTTTTATTTTTCCTTGTAATGTCCGCCATTCAGTTTATTTCTTTTGTAGCTACTCAATTAATATACTTGAGCACATCCAAAAATGACTAAATGAAATCCGCAATTGTGATTGAATCTAGAGATGAGCATAGTATCACAGCATATGAGGCAGAATGAAATCATGAAGTTCACATACCCAAGCATTCAAGTAGTGTTTGTAGCTTAGGCACTTCCTTAAGATTTGTAACAGCTTGGGTTTCCCGCTGAAGTGGAGCCACAATTATTGTAGGATATGCATGTTAGAAAATGATTCTTCATGTTTTGTCATTGTTCTTTAGAACTGGAAATATGTCTTTAAAATGTATATTTCTGGGAATACCCACTCCCCCCAGTTCTGATTCAATTGTTCTGGAATAAAGCCTTGGAATCTGTATTTTAAAAACAATTAAAACAATACTGGTATAAATGAACCACAGACTCCTTTGTGAAACAGCCTTCTAGTTATTTTCTTCTTCATGTGGTTGATTGTTAGCTATAGAACACATCTCAAAATGCCTTTTCACATCACTTCAAGAATAAAGGGAAAAAAATATTTGAGAAAGGATGTATCCTGGCAGAACTCCAATTGTAATGGCAGTGGAATTGCAGTTTCTTATCATTCCGGCTACAAATGAGTTGTACCTCTCAACAAAGCAGCATACGTTATTACTGAAATTTTCATTATTCACAACTTTTTTGAGGAGTAAAGCATGACAGATTTAAATCTGGATGTATGAGTGAAAGAACGATGACCAATTACTGATAGCGTTTACTCACTACACAATGGATCCATCTCTGTTACAATGTCATGTAACAATGAATGAATAATGCAGATTGGTGGACTTAGATCCATAGTCTTAACGGGAGCAGTTTTATTTTAATAAATACAATCAAATTAAAAGATATCTATAAGGCTGCTCAGACAATTAGAACAACTTTTTATTAAAAGAATGGTTGGAAATGTGACTCATATCTATTAAATATTTCTCACGTGATAGGTACTGTGATATTTACAACTTCTCCAGACAATATGATCATTCCCATTCTTTAGATGAGAAAGTTAAAACTCAGGGTGGATTAAAGAAAAAAAAAAAACAACTTCCCAAAACAGAAAACTTACTGACAGAATCAGGAAATAAACCTGGACTTTTCTGAATACAATGCACTTAGGCATTTATTTATACTATTTAGGGTATAAATTTCAATAGGGTTGAGTAATGATCGGCATCTGTGTATTCAGATTTCTTTATTTTATAACTACAGTTTGTTTATTTTTTCCAGAAAGATCAATGGATTCAGGCTAACAGAATCATAGTCATTTAGCCTTATAAAACAAACTATTTATTTTTAAAATGTTTGATGGAGTCCACGATGATGAAACTATTCCTAGTATAATGAAATCTATGCACTTGATTTTATCTAATGCATTAACCAAATATAACTGGCCTCATAGCAATTTTGATAGGCAAAATTATAAACAGAAAAATAGGCAGGAGGTTTGTTCTGACCATCAATATTTTTCTTAAATGGGAGAATTTTAAGATAATCTTTGCTCTAGTATTCTCTTCAGTATGAGCCTGTTTGTCCTTTCCTTTGAGCATTAAGCTTTTCAGGAAATCTACATTAGCCATGAAAATGACCCCAGTCTCAGGCGAGTGTGGCTGCAAAGTAGAAAGATTCAATTGCATGGGCATAAGAACTACTACAACATCCTCCAATCTCAGAACTATGTCTGAGAAAAGCTTGCCATTACTCTTGGCAAGAATAAAGAATTATTTCTCTGGAGATCATGGCCATTATGTATTGTCCTGAAGACTAAAGAACACCAAAATTTGTGTTCTTCTAACTGTTATCAATTCAAGCAATTAGAACCTCTCTACCATCTGCTGAAATCAAAGTAAATTAAGAGAGAGAAAGAGAGACAGAGAACAGTAAGTCCTCATTTAAGGTCAGTGATAGGTTCTTAGAAACTGTGACTTTGTGTAAAATGACCAGTTAGATCATAGGCTATTTTAAAAAAACAATAGTTAAGTTCTCATGGCATATTTTGGTCACAAAAATATTTTTAAAATCCTATGTGAAGACCAAAACATTTCTAATATTAAACATTGAAATAAATGTGAGGTATACATACATTTAAGAACGAGTAATAAAAACAAATAAAGTGATTATTTACCCAAGTATTCTGGTTCAGTGTTGCAAGTAGTCAGAGCCTCTCCTGGCAGCTCAGGGAACCAGGTGGGACCCACTGTGGAAAGGATGACATCCCATCACAGGGCATATTCACACAGGAACTCACACTCACTCAGATTGGAACAATTCAGACCTGCCAATTAACCTAACATGTACATATTTAGGATGTGGAAGAAAACTGGTGTATCCAGAAAAAAATCCATGTAAACATAGGGAGAACATGCAAACTCTACATAGACAGTGGCCCTAGTCAGCAATCTCTTTTTTTTCTCATCAATGTTAAATGAGACAACATTGAACAAAACAATGTTATTCTAGGGCCTGCTGTACTAGGATTTAGAAACATTACAACCCCAACAAATCACATGAACTTCTTCTTCCCTTTCTCCTTCCAAGTTTGCCTAGGAATTTACTTAAAATACAAGAGCCTTTATTGGGTATGGCAATATTTGACTTGAAAAAACAGTCATGATATTTGACAGACACCCATAAGGGTTGTTATTGAATAGGTTAGAATATTTGTTCTCATTAGCCATATTGGACTTGCTTAAAAGCACATGCCCAGGTAAGTTTCAAGTAGTAGAGATTTTATGAGCATCAGTGGCTTCTTTGTATGTTAATAAATTCCTTACTGACACCCCTGGTCTTCATGATAATTTCATTACAGTGGTAAATTTGAACGTGAATCCAGTTGGCTATGGTAAATATTGTGGTTAGACAAGATTAATCATTTTTAAAATTGATGCTTTTCAATCATTGTATTCACTTCTTTTTGCATGTGTAACCTAAAGATAAAATTTAGAATTAGACGGTATTTACTACCAAAGGAAGTACACCTTATGTGTGCAGTCAATAGCCCAGTCCATTGTACCTATGCAGTCCAGTGAAATTTTACACATTTAGTACTGAATGGTTGCTCTTGCACTTTGCATGAGTATTTTACCCCATGTATGATTTTATAATATGATGCATTGATCATTTTGAAAATATTGGTTCAATGATTTATTTAGATATTTCAAAAGTCTAGATACATTTCATTTACAATATCAGAAGATCACATTTGTTGTTATCATTAATCTCATCATAAGAAACCTTAAGTATTTGGAAGAAGTCAAGCTCACAGTGGCTAATAAAAGTTTTCCCAAGTTATAATTTTTCACTGTAGAGTCAACTGTATTATTGACAAAAATGCTATCAATTCATTTTCTTAAATTGACAAGTTTTCTTTATTCTCCAGATTATATCCACTTAAAACTGAAATCTGAATAATCACAATTTATCTTCTTTCAAATACAAATAATATTCTGTGAAGCTATGAAACTGGCATCTCATTCAAAAGCACAAATATTTTTCCAAGAGACAACTATCTGACTTTAAATTCTCTTTCCTTCTGATATCTATCTCTCCAGTTCATTCCACCACATAGTCCCCATAAAATCACTGACATGCTTTCTGTCACTACAGATTACTTTGCATTATAAATATGGATTTATGTGGTATGGTATGTACTGTTGTATCTAGCTTTTTTCATTAAGCATAATTATTTTGAGATATAGTCATGTCATTGAGTATTAGTTACTTAAGACTTTTTATTACTGAAGTGTATTCCACTCTATATAAGTATCACAATGTTTTATATCCATTCACCTATTAAAGGTTACTATGTTCTTTCCAGTTTGGGGCTTGTATTAGTCTGTTTTCACACTGCTGGAAAAGACACATCTGAGACTGCGCAATTTACAAAAGAAAGAGGTTTAATGGACTTACAGTTCCATGTGACTGGGAAGGCCTAAAAACCATGGCAGAAGGTAAAAGGCACGTCTCACATGATGGCAGACAAGAGAAGAGAAAGCTTGTGCAGGGAAACACCCCCTTATAAAACCTCCAGATCTCATGAGACTTATTCACTGTCATGAGAACAGCACAGGGAAGACCTGCCCCCATGATTCAATTACTTTCCACATTGTCCCTCCCACGACACAAGGAATTCAAGATGAGATTTGGGTGGGGACACAGTCAAACTATATCTGGGCTATAATAAATAAAGTTGCTGTGAACATCTCTCTAGATGTCTTTTTGTGGGCATATGCTTTTATTTATCTGAAGGAAATACTTTGCAGTGGAATGGCTGGATCATATGGTAGGTAGGTATATGTTTAGTATTTTAAGAAACTGCTATATCTTCTAAAGTTGCACTATTTTACATTCATACTAGCAATAATTCTAGTCTGTGCTACTCCATCTTGACCATAAAAGTAGTTTTAATCATTTTTTACTCTTCGCTGTTATGAAAACTTCATTGAAACACAGAGATAATTAAATTTTTAATAAAAATAACTTTTTAAAAGGCTTTTTGAATTCTGATATTTGCTGAAACTCGTTCTTGTACTTGTATGGCATTCATAGGATTTCAACCAAATATGCTCAATAATTTCAACATTAGATAATTTTATTTAGTGAGAGAGGAAAATAAACTTGCTTTCAATGACAATTCTTCATTTTATGAAATCTATATTATCTACAGGGATATTACAAAGATTAGAATCCCCATATTTTTCTTTAATATTTAGATATTCAGAAAATGTTAAATAAGACAACAAATATCTACTCCAGAGAAATATCTAGAGGTTGTTGGAGTGTAATGGACTCTCTTTGGTAAACTCACCATTCAAGGTAAGAGTTCCTAAGTTTAATTCTTTCCATTATTGTCCGATTTTAAATCATTTAGAGACAGCAAATGTCTATGTTACTTTTAAAGTTCTGATTGCATAGTATTGCATTCTTACTTAAAAAATAACTCCCCTTTTCTGAAGATTTCATTGTCATTATTAAAACTAGAATTTAATAAATGTATATTTGTTGTCTGTATTAAAATGTTAAATTTATTTTTCTACCTGTATCTTATATAATGTGTTTTATTAGAAATGTAGACCATATCCCAGATGGAAACCTAGTCTATTTTAAAATTTATTCTTATTTAATAGTGATATACTCATCTGTGGTATAATTTTATGAACATATTTCATAATCATCATTTCTATGCCATATATATTCAGTTTAGATTTTGGTAGCGATAATGTGGGATACATTAATTAGTAAGCTATAAGCTCATTGAATACCTCATTGAAGTAGCTGCACTTCTTCCAGGCAATAAATTTTTATTGAATAAATAAAGATTTCTTTTAATTTCTTAATTATTTTTATTATTATTTTGAGACAGAGTCTCGCTCTGCAGCCCAGGCTGGAGTACAGTGGTGCGATCTCGGTTCACTGCAACCTCTGCCTCCCAGGTTCAAGCCATTCTCCTGCATCTGCCTCCCAAGTAGTTGGAATTACAGGCGTGTGCCCCCTTGCCTGGCTAATTTTCTTTATTTTTAGTAGAGATGGGGTTTCACCATGTTGGCCAGGCTGGTCTCAAACTCCTGACCTCTGGTGATCCGTCTCCTTGGGCTCCCAAAGGGCTGGCATTACAGGCATGAGCCACTGTGCCTGGCCCCAAATGAGTTTCTATATGGCTTTCCACTGGTAAATTTCAGTTTTCTTAAAATATTCCTGAGGGGTGAGAATTATGAAAAAGTATATGTGAGAGAATTATTTTTTTCACATGAGAATCTGAATTCGTGGTAATTGTAATTATAGCTAAAATGTATTGGCTGCTTAATATACCAGCCTCTAAGCTAAGTTCTTTACATATACTATTTTCTTCAATACTTTCAAAGGCCTCATAAACAAGGTACTATTATTAACTCAATGTTACTGATGAAGATGAGGTTGACTGAAGTAATTTGCTAAAGAACACAGAGCTAGGAATTAGCAGAGTTAAGATATAAACCAAGCCAATCTGATTCCACAGACTTCACTATATTTGTAATGATAGTAGGTATACAGTCTATTTTCATGAGAAGGAAGAAATTTCCTGCTTCTAGTTTTGTATTTTGGAGTTACCCTGCTATATTATGCATATTATAACAGCTTTTGTAACAAAGTATAAAAAAAGACTGAGAGATATAAGCATTTTCAGAAGTCTTCTTTATGTTTTTTTTAAAAAAGCAAGACTGTTCGGCTTTGACTAACAGATAAACATAAATGAAACAGGTATTTGTAGCAAAATCAGAAACTCCAAAAGATTATGAAATATTCTTAACAGCTGTTCCAGAAAGAAAAGCAACATGTTTTTCATTGAATTATTATCTCTGCAAATGTTGTTGCTTATCTCCAGATATCACTGTACCAAAATTCACAGATAAAATTTTGTTTTGTAGGAAATGTGTAACTTACAGGGAAAAAATGTATTTTTATTTTATTTTATTTTATTTTGAGAGGGGAGGATGAGAAACAGTCAAGGAGACCAGGATCTTTTTATTTTTATTTTTCATTTATTTTTGTTTCAATTCACATTGCAAACTGCTTTCTTTTTCCCTCATTTTTGAAATGTTATCTGTGTGTTTGTATAATGGAGACAGAGCAAGGTGGCAATTTTGTTACTTTGCTAAGTGAGCTTGAATGGATAACATCCTCAAACATAATGTCAAAGATAACCAAATAGAATGTTATTTAGTTTACTATATAACATGGTCACTGGCAAACTCAAATGAAAACATGCTCTCACTAATTGGATCTGGGGGCAATATCTAAGAGATAACTTATAAAGCTCATGGATGCAAGGTAATTCATGAAGTTCACATGTCCAAAACAATGTCAAGAAACAGAAAAGTGGCCCCACAAAATATAGGCAAGAACATTGATTAGGCTTCAGCGATATGGACAACAGCTTTTAGTATGGCAATGGAGTATTTAGACGCCCTAATTTCTGTGGGGAAGGCATCATTCTTTGAGTTATTCACTTGGAACTTGTGATCCCTAATCCTTTGGGCTGAGGTAATAAAGAGAGACTCTCACTTAAGAAAGATGGTGATGGGCAGATGAGACTAGCTCTGATTTATGTTCTAGGGAAAATCCCTCTTTCTCCTTCTTCTTCTGATGTTGGCTTTCCTCAATGTGTGGTACTAGGCTGACATGGCCTCAAGACAGTGAACCCATCAAACTTGATAACCTCTTAAACCAAAGTGAGAGACCCATGCCACAGGTACCATACTGAAGCTTTCTGCCCACCACTACCCAAAATCATTTGAAATGACAGTATTGCCTTTATCACTAACGTATTTACCTTTATGTAATCTAACTCATTAAAAAATCAGTCACAAAATTTGAAAAAATGCCAAGAAAGTTGAATATTCTTGAAATAATTAAAGCTTAACTGTCAACAAAAGGGCTTTACTGATTAAAGGAATTCATTGAAGACAAGCTGAAAATGTTTCCATTTCTTGTTCTTGTTTTCTGTAAAAAGTTGAGGTTGTCATTTTTGGGAGCATAATATGAAAAGCTATCATCATCAAATCAGTCAGTGTTTCTTAAAGTCCTTGCTATAAAATATTAGTATATGTGTGACTCTGTTTACTCATAAGGCTCTGTCATTCTTGCAAATAAAATTAATGTTAACGAGCATATATATTCTACAGAAATCTTATATATGATGTTCCATAAAATAAAATAAAAAGTTTCGGAAACAAAATAAAGCTTTAAATTTACAATTTTGACATGTGTTTCTGTGTAATGCTATAAACTTTGCTAGGAGACCTTAATTGTTATTGTAATACCCAATAATGTTCACTGGTATTTTCTAGGATCAAGTTTTTCACAACATGTTATGGTTCTTTGTAAAAGCTGCTCAAATTAATAATTCTTCAATTAAACAATTTTAGGTATCAGTAATGATTAGTAAAAAAAATAAAGAATGTTATAGATGTTTTATAAGAAAGAAGAAATCCATTACCTTGTTGTCAGATATGTTTTAAATCACTGCAGTGTAAAACATCATTGACTAGTGCACTTCATAGGCATCTTGAACACACTCATAGCACATATAGGACAAAAATTCTGACAATATCCTTTGAGACAGTTCCAAATGCTCATAAGAATTATGCACAATTTTCCAGTATGTCAAGGGAGAGTATTTAGAAAAGATAGTAATATATTTTCTCCGATAGATTATCTATCAACACCACCTCAATGAAGAGTGTATTCTTGAGAATTCTAAAGATTTTGATTATTTTATCCAAATCCCAAATAGACTAGTGTTTTGGTGAACTTTGGGAAGACTAGCTGAGATCAAATAGACACTGCCCAAATTAAGTACATTAAAGTATCTAACTTCTAAATGAGTAGAATGCTGATTCAATAACCTTAATTCCTGCTGCTATATTTCCAGTTTATTAGAACTGATATTTATTGGTTATTTTAAAAATCTCTTATTTCCTAACATATAAGATTATATTTCCTTATAAAATTATCCTTTTCCAATTAAACACATTTTAACACGTATTATTTATATTGTTACTCAATTCAAAACATGTCCCAATACTCATTGTTTAATTTCTTCTTTATGTATTTCTTAATTGAAAGTATTAAGGGTAATTTTATAGTTATCTTTTTGTTACTGCTTCTAACTTATTTCTACTGTGGTTCAAAAGCATACTTTGTATAATTTAATCCTTTGAAATTTTTAAGGGCTTGATTAATGGTCCAAGATATGCTTAATTTTTGAAAATGTTTCAAGTGTAGTTGAAAAGAACATGCATTCTGACTTCTGGGAAGCAGTGCACTGTATTTCTCAACTAATCTCTTTTGTTAATCATGCTTCTCTAAACTTCTATATCCTTACTAATTTCATGTAATTGTTTTGTGCAGCTTTTCATGAGATGCTTTAAACTATCCATTATGAATGTAGATTTATCCATTTTATCTTATATTTGGGTCAATTTTTTATTTATTTTGAGGCTGTGCTTACTTGCACGCAAATATATAAATCTCAAATCTTCCTGATGGTATTAACCTTGTATTACTATGAAATATTCTTTATTTCCCACAATACTTTTTGCTTTAAAATCTAATTTTAATATAACCACAGTAGCTTTATTTTGATCAGTTATTTAGTGATGTATCTTTTTTCCATGATTTTACTTTTGATATTTCTTTCTTCTTGTATGTTGTGTCACACAGTTGAGTTTTTAAGAAATCAAGGCAGACATATTTGTATTTTGTCTATTTATATCTAATATAATCACAGATATATATTGGTATCTAGGCTTCTGATAACATGTATGTTAGACTTCCTCATAGTAGTATTTATGTATCTTTCCCTCTCTTCTGTGTTTACTTTTTTCTTCTTGTCTTTTAATATACATTCCAATGCAATAATTATCTTTTCAGCTGTGTTTACTCTCCTGTTAAAACTATTTGCTGACTTCCGTTAGTCCACAGTATCCTGATTATTTTCGTATTTCATTAGATGTTTTATGCACTCTTCTTTGTTGATTTATCCTATGCTGCAGTGCTTTAGAGGTACTCCCTTCTTGGTCTCGGTCCCTCTGTAATCTTATTCTTTCTTCATTCACTACAGAAGTCTTATAAATCCAAATATCATCTACTTGTGAACTCTCTTATTTATGTCTCCCCCCTGCCATTTCCTCCTCTGACCTGAATGCCTATATATCAAAATATTCAAAAATTTCAGGAATTCTGTCCCACATTTTTTTCTCTTCATTTCTGTTTTTTTTTTTTTTTTTTTTTTTTTTTTTTTTTGCTATTTTGCTGACATTGCTTCACAGGTTAAATGCTTCTAACTTAAGAAAGTCTTCTCAACCTCTTGCTGCATCCTAACTAGTACTCTTTCTCTCCTTCATGTTATTTTGTATTGTTTGTTGACTAAGTTATCCTTACAAATTGTCCACATGTTTATACTTCTTCTTTCTTTATCCTCAGTCTACTGCCATCTAGCTCTGTCCCTATCATTTTATGCAAACGTTTCCAGTAACATACATGATTCTCATTGCTATTAATTTTATTGAGAATATTGTAATTCTTATAATTGCCCTAGCTTTATCCATGTATATCTTGTCAGTTCTCACTTAAACACTTTCTTCACTCGGCTTTCTTTACACCATCTGGTTTTCCTCAATCCTCATACGCCACTACTTCTTTGTCTTCTTCATAGATTTATTTTCCTCTGTCTCCCTTTAAATCAGGCATTCCCAGGGTTCTCAATTAATTATGCTCAGAATAAATTAGATTTCATTTGTGCGGGTGTGTGTGAGTGATTCAATAGTGCCTTTTTCATGCTCCTAAAATTATTTATCAAACGGCATTATATCTACTTGATAATTTGTTGCTTTCCTCTACTACAGAAACATTTATTGAGGGATGATATTATGAATGAAAAATATTTAAATATGTTCAACATTTGGAAAATAGTAA
The DNA here is from genome assembly GCF_000001405.40 of Homo sapiens. Classification (NCBI taxonomy): domain Eukaryota; kingdom Metazoa; phylum Chordata; class Mammalia; order Primates; family Hominidae; genus Homo; species Homo sapiens. The sequence goes on along the minus strand of NC_000001.11, from coordinate 106,133,795 downwards.
CCTGTGATAAATATTTGTTTGATGTATAAAGGCAATGGAACCATTAAATGTTTGGCACCCTGACATTGTCTATACTTGGTAGAGATAAAAGTTTTCCATCAAAAATTAAATTTGACCCTCTTCCTACTGCTGATAGCCACATCCATTATCCAATCAGTTCAACAAATATTTTTTGAATATGCAAATTATGTATAGTTTTATGGAGAAGTGAATCCCTTTCATGAGTTCATAATCTATTTGGAGATAAAAACTGCAAAAATGCCAAAAATTTGGCTGCATTATATAAAATTTACACAATTGGTTTAAAACAATAGTATATCGGTTCTGTCTAACAGAATTTTAATGTAAATCATTCATATAATTTAATTTTTTTCTAGTAGCCACATGTAAAAAGTAAAAACAAAAATAAGTAAAATTAACTTTATTAACATTATTTATTACAATATACACAAATGATTATTTCAACATATAAAAAATATTGAGACATATTACATTGTGTTTTTCATTATAAAGTTTTCAAAATTTAATGTTTATTTTGTGGTTACAGCATATCTCAATTTAGGCTCTGAATTTTCATTGCAAATATGACATCTAGCTATAGATATCATAAAATGTAGAGTTCAAGTAGTTTCATCTAACTATGATTTTTCAAAATTATCTTTCTTTAAAAATGTGTGGCCCGGAGCGGTGGCTCACGCCTGTAATCCCAGCACTCTGCGAGGCCGAGGCGGGCGGATCACGAGGTCAGGAGATCAAAACACGGTGAAACCCCGTCTCTACTAAAAATATACGTATAAAAAAATAAAAAATAAAAAATAATTAGCCGGGCGTGGTGGCGGGCGCCAGGCAGGAGAATGGCGTGAACCCGGGAGACGGAGCTTGCAGTGAGCAGTAATCTGGCCATCTGGCCACTGCACTCTAGCCTGGGCGACAGAGCAATACTCCGTCTCAAAAAAAAAAAAAAATGTATATCAAGTATCAAAATAATGTTTTTCAAATCTGCATTTGATAGAAAACAATGTTTCCTTATAATTATAATTTGGTTTTCAAATAAAAGCATATTCATTAAAATCTACAGATGTTTAAATTGCACAACTTCTCTAGTTATTTTGTTTGCTTGGTGTTAGTTTCATCAAATTGAAACGAACATTGCCTGAATTGAAGAGTAATGATAACTTTATTAATATCTAAAAAGCTCCTTTCAGATTTTTCTTCTCTTTTTCAGGCAAAGCCTATGACTCTGTGGATTATTAAAAAAAATAAAAATAAAAAAATAAAAAACTTTTGAATGTTGCCTTATGATAGAAAAATGCAGACTCACATCCTTATATGTACCGCTTCAGTTTCAACACTTTCTCTTATTTTACACAACTCAACCTATTTAACTAGGTCACAAGAAATTTTTCCTTTCATTTTCATTGGTGCTTCCAATTTTTTCATTGATGTGCAGTGCGATGTCAGTGAGAAAACATCAACCATACTGTCACTTTTTGTTTTTGATTATTGAATAATTGGTAAGCATTTATTTTGTTTCATGATCTTGACTTTGAAATAACAATAGAGTCTTTGTAAGACTCTTCACAATTCAGCCAGTAAACATTTGCAACAGACACAAGATCATTAATTTTTTTCATTAACAGTGGTTCCAAAAACTGTTAATGTTCATAGCATTTGCATGTATATTCCAAAAACTTGTAAGAAATTTATTCCTGACACCTTTTATGCTCTTTACTTCAGAAAATTGAAGACAACTATTTTAAATATATGTGATATAATCCAATAAAGCAGAAAGAGAAACATTTGTCTGTTTCAGAATTCCAAGAAATTTGGAACATAATATAATCTAGCAGGAATATTTTCTTTGACAGATGTAAGTAATTTTAAAATTTTCTGATATAAATTCAGTTTCTTAGGCTACAAATGGAATTGGCATTTATTTATAAATTTGAAAATCCTTTGAAAAAAGGACATGCCCAAAGTATTAATTGATCAGTGTGATCTGTTGCATAATTCATCTAAACCAAAAATATGCAAATGTTAAAATTTTGAATTAATTGATCATCAATATTATTAGAAAGATCTTATATGGGCAATTGGTTGGTGATAGTTGAAAATCTTTTACTTCTTGTGAAGTATATTTTTCTTTTATTGATAATTTTCGAATGAAATTTTCATAACTAAAATAATTTATTTTTACTCTCTGTCCATATAATCATAAAACCTCATTTTTTGAATGAGATTTGAAGGCAATCCATTTAAATACAAATTTAATACCTGGATTCCTACACAGTGAAGTTTTTGCTGAGAAGCCTAGGATAATATTACAAGGAGTACTTATAATTTGGATTATTTACCTTGATTACTTATTTTAGCCCATATTTTACCTTATGTTAGGTATCCTATCACAGAAGTTATTTGTCTTACCCATGGTATACCTTTCAACTTTGGAAATTTAGTGACAATTGTCTTGCTGAAATAGAATCATTTCAGGTGTTTCCAAAAGAATAATAGATAAAACCAGAAGTTGCATGCATTTATGTCTTAAATAAATGTGTTATATAGATGTCTTAAATAAATGTGTCACATAGATGAAAATACTGAATTAAATCAATGTAGAAATATAGCATAATCAGAAAATTTTTTGGTCAGAATATTATCAGAACAAATTAAATTAAATAGGGCAGCCCTGTAAACTATTTAACTTTGGATTGACCTAATCAACCATACTGGAGGTACTCAAAATGCTCGCAGCCTCCCATGTTACCCCACCACTCAGAGCCATACCATCAACAGTGGCCCTAGTCTGTTCTTTCCGTCAGCTTTGGCTCCTGCCCGCCCCCCCACCCCACACACCCCCACAGGCCTTAGTTGAGCACTTTCAACTTTTACTTTACTTACTCTCCTTCTATAGGTCCAAAGTTGATCAACTTGCCCAACCTCTCCCCTTTTCACTACTGTTTTTCACATGAGTTACGTAAATCCAACAAGTATATGGTCAATTTTCATAATCCTGAGAGATAGCTTCTTAAGGAAAACTTTTCTTAGACACTAATGTATTATTTTTACAGTATAACTTTAGAGGATGTATATATTTTCAACTTATATTTACATTTCTGACTTCCTGAGAGATCCTCAGGGTAATTCTCCAAGTACTGACAAAAGGAAAAAAAAAAAAAGGATACCCATAGGAAATGCAAGCACTGAGTCTACAGAGTGAATATATGAGAATTGAGAAGTATTTAAAGGTATAAGGTGACCCAGTCTATTGTCTTTACTTTCTCATATACATCATTTATCTATGAAATATTTTCAGAGGGAGAGACTTTTTAGTCATTCCCAGGGTTTGGGTTTCAGATGCACGAATGTGGACAGACAAATGATCAGACAAAGATTTCCAGGACTTCCATACAGATTTGAAACAAAACCAAAGAGAACAAAGTGGAATTCATTATAAAGTGTCTTTATTTATTTATGTATTTTTAATATCTAATGAGCATGATTTATGGTTGAAGCATGCATATGAATAAAATTAGTCATCAGGAGCAATTTAGCATTTCAGATTCTCTCACTCATTGAACTCATAACCTTTTAATAAATTCATGTTCTTAAAAGTCAGGGTTGTTTTTAGGGTGCTTTTTTGTTCCATTATATCTTGTGCATTTTACCTAGTATTGTACTGATTATTACAGTAAAAATAATATCAATTTTAAAAGACCAAAATATAGATTGCAACAATTTATATAAGATAAATTATTAGAGTCATCGTATATTTCATTTTAAAGAAATATTAGCAATATTTTCATATTCTTGTCTTTTTAATGAAAGAATATTATGTTAGCAAAGTTATAACATCTTGGCTTTTTGGCCTATCAATTTTGAGTGTTTCCCATAACATCAGTGTTTTGTTTCTAAGTTATTTTACTGCAGCAGGCAGGACATCTAACTAAATACATTGCTTTCCTGAAACAGCCTGGACTCTAATTCTGTAGCAGTCCGGTTACATTACCATCTTTCAGGAGGCCTGTCACTAAGCCATGGCAGTAGGAAAGAGGAGCAGGAAAGGAACATTGATGAGGGCAGTTGCATTCGGTGATTTCCCAGGAGAAGACAAACACCAATCTACTGAAGGACTTTGGCTGCTAGCAGGTAAAATCAAGACATTGCCTTTATTTCCAACATATTAGGAACGTTTAATTCTGCCTTTCTCAGCTGGATGGAGAATACGCTGACAGATCCTGACCTTTCATCAGCGAAATCAAGGAATGTGAGGGTTATTTTACATCCCCTTAGCAATAAATTCATAAGCTTTACAATCGCCATGAAAAAAAGTATGTGGCCTCATTGTATTTTTTTAAGTAATAATCTATTTGTTGGTTGCAATTTCAGAAAAAAAATATATGTTGTGTCATTCATTAGGTTTTATTTTTGATCTACTAAATGAAGATTGTGATACTTCCCTCAGAAGAAATAATTTCTTATCTTTCTTATATGTATTGACCCATGTAACAGTAGATAAGAAATGCATAAACATTATCCATAATTTCAAGATGCAAAGTGATTTTCTCTAATTTGTGCATAATGGTGTCTGAGACATCTCTCTGCTGGCTAGCTTCTTGACCTAATGTTCACCTGTGGGGTCCCTCCCACCATTCACACTGAAGTTGTTCTCCATGTTTACCATATGCTTTCACACCATCATGGATTTACCCACGCTGTTCCTCTTCCTGGGACATTCTCATCCTTCTTTGCCTTCTCGACTGGACCACACTTCAGTTTTTCCAGGAGTCCTTCTTTAAATGCTATAATCTGATAAATTCAGATGTCTCTTCTTTGTGCTCTCATACCACCTAGTGTAGTCTGTTATCCTAGCACTTTTTACTTGAAATGTAAGACTAATTATTTATTTAACATGTCATAACAGTGTCTCAATTGTCTTTTTGTCTCCAATGTATAGCATACTTGCTAAAATGCAGCAGGCTTATATTAATTAAGTAATATATAATTAAATAAATACATTAATGGAATTTGCTTTTGAATGCTTCTTAAAAAGAGAATAAGCTTTTCCTCCATAATTTAAAGTTGACTTCATTTCACAATTTTAATAGTAACTTTTTCCCACATAAAAATGTTGCTACAGGAAATAAACTACATACTTTTATTTCTATGTGTTCTCTAATTTATAGAGATTTACCTCCATCACTATTTTAATCTTGAAGTTTATAAAAATATTTTAAACAAGTCTAAATGTGTACACCATTCATTTATTTGTGGATTCCACTACTTTTTCCTTTTCTCTACTCCCCTTATGTCCACTTTTCAAGAACACAGTCTGAAAACCCTACATCTTTTATGTAATTACCTATATTGGTAAAAGCCCACTTTTGTTAAACCCAGCTCTGCTAACTCAATCCACCCCATTGTCCAAGAGACCAACCAATTAATCTATCATTTTGCTCATTCTTCTTCTCCTGTTGTATTTATTCCTCTTTCTTTATGTTTCCCTAATGAATGACTTCTTACAGACATGGAAACATGTTCTTTTTCTTATTTTAAAAAACGATTTCCCCACTCTACATTTTCTCTTTCTATTAATTTATTTTCTTCCCTCTAGAGTAAGTACTCCTCAGAAGTTGCTGATGCTTACAGAGGCAATTCCTTTTCTTTGCACTCTCTTGAACGTCTTTGGTCAAACTTTCCTCAACACCCCATCAGCTTAACCTGCCGGCATCAAGGACATCAATAACATCATCGTTGTCAGCTACAGTTGTTAATTCTCAGAGCTCACCTTGGAGCTCATTTTAAGTAACCATCAGCAGGACTCATGAGAATAGTTGACTGCTATCTCCTCTTTAAAATAATCTCTACATTTGACTTTCATAACACATCACCTATTGTTTCCAAGAGTAGGGTGTTTGCCCCAAGTGCAGTCAAAAAGTTTATTCATTGTCTATAGAGAAGTGGAAAATGATAACATGACTTACTAAAATGCTTTGTTTTTATTGTCACCATTAGCTGGCAATACTATTTCCTAGGGGAAAATATGCGTTTTTGTTATTTTTTTTTTTCAGGAATTGTAGTTGCTGTAAAATTTTGATAATTTATATTTAATCTTCATGGTAGCACTTTTTTAGCCTTTGATCCACACAGAATCAGCTGGAAGCTCTCCTTCTCAGAGTACTTTTGTGACGATTTGCAATTGCTTAAGCTCCTTTCCAAAGTGGTTGCTATCTCCAATCCCTGTGGATCCAGCACTTGAACAATGGGTTCAAATAAGAGTGATGCACCAGGGACTATAAAGATGGACAGATTACGACTTGGTCCAATTCTGTCATTCTGTGTTAACTTGGATTTTTTCTTTGTGTATGGAATACACAAATAAATACAGAGTGAACTGCAATGTGTAATGTTTTTGTTTGCTGTATGCTGTAGGGCATACGTGAAATATTCTATTGAATTGGAATTATATTTTTAAATGGCAATTTAGTATTGTTTTAGCTGTTGCTTGTTTTAAAAATAATGAGATTAGAAACTGCAATTTTATTACAGATTAGTGTGGCAACATACTAATTCATTATTTGCACTATGAAATTATTTTTATATTTTATTTTTTGTTGAAATTGACTGGCTTAAAAAACAGAAATGTATTGTCTGACAGTTCTGGAAGCTGAAAGTCCAAAATTAAGGTGTCAACAAAGTGGGTTCCTTCTATTCCAGAACTTTTTTTTTTTTTTTTTTTTTTTGGCTTTTGGTGGCTGTCTTCTCTCCGGGCTTTTCACATTATCTACCTTCAATGTGTATACATCTCTTTTGTCAAATTTTCTCATTTTATAATAATACCAGTTACATTGAATTATGGCCCACTATAATTAACTCATTCTAACTTGATTAACTCTGTAGATACTGTATCTCTGAAAAATGTCACATTCTGAGGAACTGGGGGTTAGGACTCAATATATATTGTGTGTCAGATGGAGATGAGGAGTACAATTCAACCCGTAACATATATTTTACATTTAACAAAATAAAAAAATTAACTGTCTGTACTTTCAATGTCTGGCCATAATTATTTTTTTCTTCATTTCATAATTCATACTAAAAATAATTTTGTCGTGTAAAGAAATGAGTGTTAAAAAATTATCCACTCCAGGTGTCAAATATTCCAGGTATATTGACTACACCATAGCCTCCTAATTTTGCACTTAAAACTTGCTGCCCATGCCTCAATCACGTTTTTAAATATCTCTATGCACTAAAATCTTGCACATTTATATCTCCAGCTCCAACTTTTCCTCTGAACAGCAATTCCTGTTTCCAAATGCCTTCTACTCTACCATTGGGATGTCTTATAAATGACAGAAAACTCACAATCTTCCATCAAATTTGACTTTCCGTAAGTTTGATTTATTTAGAAAATGGAAAGTCCATCATTCAATTACTCAGGCAAATTTTTGTAGTTATATAGGACTCCTTTTTTTGCCTATACCATATCATCTGAAATATAAGAAAATCTTATTCTTTTCACCTTCAAAATATAACCAAAATTTGACGATTAAACCACTGTTAAGATTATGGCCCAAGTCACCAACAAACATCTCCTCCTTGAACATTTCACTAGACTCATATATATATATATATATATATATATATATATATATATATATATATATATATGTGGCTTCCCCTCTTATATGCTTACCCTATTGGCATTAACCTCAGCAAAGCAGTCAATATATTTAATATTGTCAGATAGTATATATATGAATTTTTCTTTTCAAACATTCTTATTGTTCTCTATTTTCTTCAGAGTACAAGCCATGGCCCTAAACCTACAATGGCCTATGGGTTCCTGGTATGTTTCCAGTTCATTTTCTTTCTCTCATTTATTAACTGCTGTCACGATAACTTACTGTTTCCCCTCTCCATACACCTGTGCTAATCATTGAACGTATCAGACATTCACTCTCCTTAGGAACTTTGCCCCTGGTATTAACTTTTTACAAAAATTTGTGCTCAAGATATTCAAATGGTTTCCCCCCAACTCCATGTTTTCAATGAGACTTTCCATGGTCAATCTATTTGAAACTATATTTCCTCCCAATATATTGTTTCCACTGTAATTATTTTATTTTTTCTAGTATATTTTATAGCCCTTAATCACTATATGTTTTTATACTTATTTTCCTTGTTCTATCACTGAAACATATCTGACAAACACCTGTGAATCAGTGAAAACTTTAGGATTACTTTTTTGTCTTTTGTTTATTGCTTTATGTACAGGCATTTATCTGGCTCATGGTAAGTGTTCAATAAGTTTTATTAAACAAATTTTTGAAAAGTGAATTCACAAACAAAACTCAAAATTTTAAGCAGGTCTCAATTTGTCAAGAAAAAAATGACAAAAGTTTTAAATATGGTAACATCAGCTGCTACACTAGATATACCTAAGTTGTTAGCAGATTAACTTTGCGTAAGTAGTAGTTTGATACATGTGTTCCATGTCAACAGTTCTTCCTTAAATGATGATTCAAGGATTCTGACTCCTTCTACAGCATGAATCAACCATTTTCATATACAGTTTTCAAAATCATCTTGGGAGTTGTGTTCATTATAAGAGCATTCTGGGAACACTTTTAAGGGCTTATCCTTGAATTGGTTTTCAAATTCTCCAGTCATATTCCATGAGCTAGCACTCAATCAGATGGCTACATTTAGCCACCTGTCTAGTTAGAAGAGGAAATGGATTTGATAAAGAAGTAACACTTCTGACAGAGCCAACAATGTAAAGGACAAAATAAACCTAGAATGTCTGCTTAAATTTGAATATCTAGTGATGCACATTAGTGTTCAATGCATTATGAAGGCATAAGTATAATTTTTTAAGCAATTACAATTTGTAACTAAGTTTCAGTGTTTCAAATACATCTTGCTCATTCCACAAAAAATTCAAGGAGAAATTCATGTTTATTATGAAACCTGTCTGACCAGATATCTGTATTGTTGCATTTGTTATTGTTTTATGTTTATCTAGCAGAAGAATTCTTGAAACGAATGTAGTATTATGTTTTTACAGCTGTTCTTAACAATCTGAACATCTGGTTTTGTAAACTGCTTGTAACAAAAAATTCACAAGCTGAGATTCATCCTCAAGAGCACAACTGGCATTTAAAGAGCTTTTAGTAAAAATTTATTTTAAGGTCAAAAAATAAAGCAGAATCAAAAAGTATATTGCCTCTTTGCCTGGAGGAAAATAAGAAGTTGCTTTGAATTTTCTAGGTATTATGGTAATTATTTTAATTTTGACATTCTGCATTTCCCAAATTAGCTTCCATTGAGTAGTAGTTATGTGACATGACCAGTATGGAAAATGTTTTGTTCCACTAACAAATATTTTTATATTAGCCTGGTGCTGTGGTGCAAATCTGTGTTCCCAGCTACATGGGAGGCTGAGGCAGGAGGATCACTGGATCCCAGAAAGTTGAGGCTGCAGTGAGGTGTGATTGCGCATGATTGCACCATTACCTTCCATCTGGGGCAACAGGAGAGTGCTCTGTATCTAAAAAAACAAAAACTAACAAACAAAACTAATTAAGAAATGAAAATATTTTATGTTACAATTCTCCTCTAGGAGCATCAAGATAGCCATTAATACAGTAAAGTCACTGAGACATTCTTCATTTTTATTTAGCTGCATTTAAAAGTATGTTCACTCTTAGAACTTGCTGTGGAGAAATTATTTTGCAATGAAACTATTTTTCTCACCTTAATATCTATTGATTAGTTTTCTAGGGCCATAACAAAATACCACAAATGGAGTGGCTTTCAACAACAGAAATATATTGTCTCACAGTTCTGAAGGCTAGAAATCTGAAATCAAGGTGTGGACTGGGCCGTGCTCCTTCTGAAACTTGTAGAGAAAGGTCCATCCTTGCCTCTTCCAGCTTTTTGTAGCCCCAGATGTTCCTTGGTTGTTGGCAGCATAACTCCAATGTTTGTCTCTTTCTTCATACGTTTTCAAATTTCCTTTTTTTTAAAAAATGACATCAGTCATGTTGGAAAATGGCTCACTCTAATGCCCTCATTTTTGCCTGATTATATTAATAAATAACTTATTTCCAAACAAAGTCATATTCTGGGTTTCCAAGCTATGGTGCTTTAAGATATATATTTTTGTGAGGGCACAATTTAACCTGTAGCATCTGTTAACATGTTTTCTGTTAACATTCCATAATTTGGAATATACTATGCTACATAATCACTTCTCTTAACTATTGCAGTGGAAGTGTGGGTGTCGTATGTGTGATTTTTAAATTATGCCAAATTTGCAAAAAATTCAGGGCTAAAGGAAAAAATGTAAAGTTAATAATTATTCCATAACCACAATTTATCTAAACTATTCCTATTAATGTGTACTAAACTGCCAATAGCATTAATATAAATGACTCTGAATTCATAAACTGCTGCCAATTGATGAGCAATGTCAATGTAAAATATTAAAAAGTGTATATCTTAATATTACTGGAAAGATAAAGCTGAGAATGTCAACCATGACACTTGAGAATGTACATCATATATGCTTTTTGTTTATCTTGAATCAAAGCCTCTTTTTATTTATTTATTGGAGAAAATATATTTTAAAATATAATATTCATCTAACTTCTGCTTTAGATTTCAGGTTACTTAAAATGAATTCTTTATTTAGGGGACATTTTAAATACACTAATTTACACATATATTTATCACCTTAAATATATTCTTCAAGTTAATCAGTTAATCAACACCAATTTGAAAAAGTGGTAATATTGTGAATTTATTTTGGCATTAACTACAAGACACATGCATATATATTTATGTAAAAGTATAAATTTTTGTCATAAAGTAAATATATGATGTCAAAAAGCATTATTGCATTTAACTCCCTACTGATCATCTGGAGACATAGAAAAAAATATTTTTTGAATGTATGTAATCATTTTGTGTATCAGTGTTTAAAGTACATGATATTTAAAAAATGTAGTACAAGGGCTATTTGTTTTTCCTTGAGAAATTAGATTTCCTACACAAAGAGTACTACACAAAGTTTTCTATAAGTTGCAAAATAATACTTTTTATACAGTTTCAAGAAAATTTACAGATATGACTTAAACTTGAGAAAAAGCGGAAATAAAATGCAAGTTAATTAAATATTGTATTATAAACTCCTTGCTTTCTACACTTCCAGAAAGAAAAGAACCAAATTAATTATTAGCTCTTCAGACTTGGAATCTCTTTTATGTTTCATTATACAAATAGAATATCAAGATCACTTTCTCAGATTTTATAAAACAAAATATTTGTACCATTTCAGAAATGAATGACTTTTATATTTCTTATAAAAAAACACTTTTCTACTATACACAGAATTTCTAGGTGCCAATTCATACATGAGTCACCCTACGCATATTATTTAATTTAATCAACAACTACCTGAAAATGTGGTAACATGAATTTATTTCAGTAATCATTGCAGCAATTCGACTCAGGGTATTCTGTCATCCCCCTCTGCATTCTCCATGATAGACCAGGCATTCATTCATACTTCAATCATTTGTAATACAAAGGTAAATTTAGCTAGTTAATTATTTTGATGGTCTTGTGTCACGGGATGCTTAGAGCATCAATTTTTCACCTGGAAACCTATGTAGCAGTGGCATCTTAGTGCCTGAGTTTTGCTCAGGCTCGCTGGGCTCATTCCATTTACTTGACCCAGCCCACGGTGCTCAGCTCGCACTACTGGCCTGGATCCGATACCTGCCAAGGGTGAGCCAGGTGCAGAGTGGTGAGGGGTATGTGAGTGGGTGTGGGGTCCAGCCACTGTGCACAGCCATGTGTTCCAGCAGGGGTGGGGTGGGCAGCTACAAGCACTAGTACAGGCACTGACTCCATGCGAGGCTGTGGCTGGATCACGGGTAACACAAGCAGCTTCTGCTGTGGGCACCAAGGAACACAGTCATGCCTGAAAGCCTGGAGATGCCAGAAACTATAGAGCCCTAAAGAGGATGTCACAGCCTTGGCTCTGGGATTCCCTAGGACTGGGGTCCTCAAAGGGTCACAGCCCTTCTATCCTTCTCATCACCCACAGTGTGGCAAGTTGGGGTCATGTTTCAGCCCTGTTTGTGTTACATCTCTTTCAGTCCTGCCATTCAGTGGGTCCCAAGTTCTTGTCCCACGTCCAGGATGAATGAGGTATGTAGACCACGAGAGGGTGAGAAAGATAGACAGCAGCTTCACTGAGTGATAGACTAGCTCTCAGGAGACCCAAAGTGGGCATCTCCTTCCCACAGGCAGGTCATCTTGATGAATGTCCAGCTCTCAGCAGTGATGAACCTGTAGTGGGTAGCTCCTTCCCCACAGGCAAGTCATTCCAACAAGTTGAAGAAACCTGAAGTGGGTAGCACCTTCCCACAGCTGGTTGTCCTGAGGTGTGTGTGAGTCTGGCTGAGTACAGGGTTTTTATGGGCTCAGAAGGGAGGAAGTACATGCTGATTGGTCCATGGGCAGGCCTGGAAAAAGCACCATAAGTTTTCACTTCAGGCCATGGACTCCATCCAGAATGAGAAGCCTGGCCCACAGGCTTCTGGCTGTTCCTGGCTTGAAGGTGGGGTTTTATCAGGGACCTGCCCCTTTCTGCCCAGGAACCTGTCTGCCTCCTGTCGTCAACATGCCATCTGCAGTGTTCAGGCTGTTCATGCTGAGGGGTGCCTGGAGGCCCATGCTGAGTGGCCCTCAGCCCCCTCTCTGGCCAACCTCCCATGCTCATCAGTCCTCAAAGCCCAGAGGGGGTCAAGGCAGCAGGGGGCTGTAGTGGTCAGCACTACCCCAAGCATGTGCACGCCCAGCCAGGTCATGACAGAACCTGGGCTTGGCTACTACTTTGTTCTGCACTGGAGAGAGTGCCAGGAGCATGGAGAGGCCAAGGAGTGAAAGCAGGCACTACTGAGCATGCAGGAGGAGGGGGAGCATCCTGAGCCCAAGATCACAGGGATTCCAGGATCTGGAGCTGTGGCTGGGTGGCTGCAGCTGTGCCTGGGAGCATGCAGCTCCTTCCCCAGTGGTTCCTGCCCCACTCCCATTCTGCAGCTGGTGTCTTCACAGCAGCCACTCTAAATAAGTTGTTGCTTCCATTGATCTCCACTCTGAAGAGGTACATCTAACTGCCGTTAGAATAGGGATGATGACTGTCTTAATTGCTTCATGCTGACAGGTGACATTGTCTTGGTGAAAGCAGCAGTCAGATCTTCTCTCAGAGGCCTATCTAAGGGTTCTCAGTGAAAGGGAGCTATTGTCTGAAGCTGGATTTGCATGATGATTTGGAGTTTGATGGCCCGAAGGCAAGAAGAGACAAACTGGGTTATTAGAACACATATATCAAAATGAAACAAGGGGGTAAGGACAGCTCAAAAATCTTGAGGCTGCTGACATGCCCAGATAACTGGTGGCTATAGTTATGCCTGCTAAGACTTGGGTGCAAGGGGGTTGGTTTTGGTAAGCTCTCTTGTTCTTATTTTCTCAAAAAAGAAACCTTCGAGTATAGGCACCCTATTTACCCCTATCACCTGGCAGGATTTGCAGGATAATTGCCCAGAACTACAGTACTGACCAAGAGTTGTTTTTTGTTTGTTTGTTCGTTTATTTCTTTTGAAACAGAGTCTCGCTCTGTTGCCTAGGCTGGAGTGCAGTGGCGCAGTCTCAGTTCACTGCAAGCTCTGCCTCCTGGGTTCATGCCATTGTCCTGCAGCAGCCTCCCAAGTAGCTGGAACTACAGGCACCTGCCACCATTCCTGGCTAATTTTTTTTGTATTTTAAGGAGAGACGGGGTTTCACCGTGTTAGCCAGGATGGTCTCAATCTCCTGACCTCGTGATCCACCTGCCTCGGCCTCGCAAAGTGCTGGGATTACAAGTGTGAGCCACTGAGCCCGGCCCAGAGTTTTACATTACCCTTCCATTTTGTTTTTTCTGAGCTGCAACCAGAGATCACTGGTTGGTTCATAGAAATGAGCAGGGTTAGTCTAAAATGCAGACAAATACTTTGAGATTAGAATTTAATGGCAAGTGCGCAATAAGTTTTGAAGTATAATTTTTCTCTCTCCAGTCCTCATGTTTGTTAAAAACAAATCATGATAAGACTGACTTGTTTGCAGAATATTAAATTTTAGTCTTACGTTTAGCCTGATTATTTGTGTAAAGTGAAACAAGAATAATTATTTTATATAGGCTTTTTAAATTGGCTCTGATGGAACTCTGTTCTTAAAGGAACCTCAGATAAGACCTTTTAAAGCCTAGCCCTACAATGAGTTTTTCCCCTCAAATACCTATGAGTTGAATAAATTCCTCTCTTCTCAAAGTCCCAAGATAACTTGGGGTTCCAGGGCCTGTTAGAAAGTGACATTCTTTACAGACCAAAGGTTAGGGACCAGGTGGGGTATGGGAATGGTGTACACAGGCTATGGGGCCAGTTTTCCCAAGGACCTTTTATTGGTTCTGCAAGTTAAGCTTGATACCTTAAAAGGAAGCACACTCTTTGAGGCTAAACTTTAGTAAAACAACCAGTTTCTCCAATTGCATCCTGTTGCAAAAGAAAATGGATTCTTTTTTTTTTTTTTTGAGATGGAGTCTCGCTCTGTCACCCAGGCTGGAGTGCAGTGGTGTGATCTCGGCTCACTGCAAGCTCCGCCTCTTGGGTTCACATCATTCTCCTGCCTCAGCCTCCCGAGTAGCTGGGACTACAGGCACCTGCCACCACACCTGGCTAAGTTTTTTTGTATTTTTAGTAGAGATGAGGTTTCACAGTGTTAGCCAGGATGGTCTCAATCTCCTGACCTTGTGATCTGCCCATCTTGGCCTCCCAAAGTGCTGGGATTACAGGCATAAGCCACTGCACCCAGCCCAGAAAATGGATTCTTATTACACTTATGCAAATAACTATGTTGCCATAGTTAAGAATATTCACATATAGTTTCCAAATTCTGAAGAAACCAGGCAGAGAAACAAATATGCTCCAAATTTTGTTCACAAAGGTATACCTTACTCAATTGTCAAAAGCTATAAATAGCTCAAAATAAAAGTTTTCCTGACTTTAACAAAAAAGATCAGCCATGTTTTAAGCAAAATATTAGAAAAGATTACTTCAGTTTTCTATTAGTTCAGTCCATTCAGTTAACTCTTATTCTGCTTGATATTCATGAACATTTCTGCTCTTCATGAGTCCTGAACATTTTTCCTTTATTCGAATGTCAAAATTGCCCAAGATATCAGAAACCTGCATTTAAGAGCACTTGTCAAAGTTCTATAGATTAATATATACCATCTTTTCAAGAGGATCAAAAGAAGACAATTGTGAATGACAAAATATCTTTGAGTAGTCACTTCAAAAACACAATTGACAAAGAAATTTGGTTATGTCTGTGACGTACAATAAGTTAATATAATTGATAGCATATACTCAGACATTAGAATTTTAAAAATCCCATACAAATTTGGAACATATATTAATATTATTTACTAAAATATAACCTGAAAAAGACTGTTATTTTTATTTTGGCAAACCCATGTGACTAAACATGTAAAATAATCCTGTTTACTTCTCTTTTGGATACTCCAAGGGTCCTCTGTAGTTTCCAAAAGCTAGGGGTTTTAAAAGACAATTTTAAAGCTGTAATTTGATTTTGGAAAGACTATCAAATATGTTCAATGTTTAAAACACTTGATATTATATAATAGAATTACAGGTTATGATAAGTCATTTATTAACCAAAATAATGACTCAAGCAATTTTAAAAAAGCAAAAAACTTTACTCTTTAAGCAGAAAGACTTAGCTTTCCAAATTATCTGTCTCTTGTCTTTTCCTTCTTTTTTCAGCAGTTTATTCACAAGGTTAACAAAAATCTTTCATTGTCTTTTAACATTACATGAAAATCTTGTTTGAGAGGAGAGCCAAATTTCCTTTACATTAGTCTATTATTGATGTCAAGCCAAATTTATTTTAATAAAACCTTATAGACAAATCTATCCGATCTTAACCAGTTTGACCATGAGGTGAGATTTTCATAAAACTTACATAACCCTTTGAAAATATTTGTTACGAAGCAGGTCAGTACCTGAAGAAATTCTTCTTGTGCTTTTTTCCCAATGTGTAATTTACAGAAAAACCAAATAATTTCCTTTTGAATTTACTCAATATGTTCACACAAGAATTGCTTTTACAGGATTAACTTTTACAAACCTTCCACAACTTAAAACTTTTAACTTTATTATTACTAATTTAAAACAATCATTTAACCCTCTAAACTAGGCAAAAATATACATCCCCATGCTGCCCTATAAACTTTTACTAAAAAATTTTTACTTTTTTTACACACCATGCATGTAAATCTGTTTTCATTGGTCTCAGTTACATATTATAATGGTAACTCTTAGCAAATTTTAATTTGGCGTAAAACCTGGTAAGATATTTTAATTAGGTACTAGGTGCAGATAAGGTCTGACTCTTTCCAGCATAGTTAGGGGGTGGTTGCCTTTGTATGTCCCCAGGCCTTGACAAATTGTTAAGAAGGTTAGTTAAACAATTTTCAAAAGCCAAAGAAGGCCAGAATTATGGCTCACGCCTGTAATCCCAGAACTTTGGGAGACCGAGGTGGGTGGATCACCTGAGGTCAGGAGTTCAAAACCAGCCTGGCCAACATGGTGAAACCCCATCTCTAGTAAAAACACAAAAATTAGCCGGGCAAGGTTGTGCACTCCTGTAGTCCCATCTACTCAGGAGGCTGAGGCATGAGACTCTCTTGAACCCAGGCAGGGGAGGTTGCAGTGAGTCAAGATTGTGCTGCTGTACTACCGCCTGGGTGACAGAGCAACACTTTGTCTTAATTAAAAAAAAAAAAAAAGCCAAAGAAGCAGTTTATGACCTTAAAGCATTTAGAACCTAGTTTGTGAACTGCATAATTTAGACCACATGTCTATATTTTGAAGACATTATTATTTTACCAATAATTTTTAAAACTGTTTTTATTTCTCAAAGATTAAAGTCACATCAACTAAGGGGCATTATAGCTTTATTTTTTTAAAATATTTTATCTAAGTGCTTATTTTTCTTTAAGCTAATCAATTAGATATATATTTCATATAAACATCAAACACATAACATAGACAGAAGAAGATCCACTAGTTGTAAGATTTTTCATTTGCCAATCTCCAAATTGGATTACTGGCCTCAGAGTGGAGCCCTTCAAGAAACAGGGCTAGGAAAACATGCAGTTTCTAGAGCCTAATCAACAGGCATAGCTGAAAGACAAAAACAGATTTTGAGAGGGAACAATCTGCCTCTGATTACTGATGTTCCATGAGGAAAAGAGGAGTTTTCTCCCAAAACAAGGTCACTGATGCCTCCTCTGTTTTTCCAAGTAGTCCCAGGCCATCAGAAGTTACCTTAGGGCCCCTCACGTGTGCATTAAGAGTGGCGACAAAAATAGAAAAAAGTAATTCTGTTGACTGAGAATAAAACAAAACCCTTCTTTCAGAACAACAAGATCCATGAAGGGAAAAAGACCTAAAGGCATTTTAAATATACCTATACCTTGGATATTCACTTTATTTTTATTATTATACTTTCAGTTCTGGGATACATATGCAGAACGTGCAGGTTTGTTATATAAGTATACATGTGCCATGATGGTTTGCTGCACCCATAAACCTGTCATCTACATTAGGTATTTCTCCTAATGGTATCCCTCCCCAAGCCCCCCATCCCCTGACAGGCCCCATTGTGTGATGTTCCCCTCCCTGGGTCCATGTGTTCTCATTGTTCAACTCCTACATATGAGTGAGAACGTTCGGTGTTTGGTTTTCTGTTTCTGTGTTAGTTTGCTGAGTGATGGTTTCCAGCTTCATCCATGTCCCTGAAAAGGACATGAAATCATCTTTTTTTTATGGCTGGATAGTATTCCATGGTGTATATGTGCCACATTTTCTTTATCCAGTTGATCATTGATGGGCATTTGGGTTGGTTCCAAGTCTTTGCTATTGTGAATAGTGCTGCAACAACCATGCATGTGCATGTGTCTTTATAGTACAATGATTTATAATCCTTTGGGTATATACCCAGTAATGAGATTACTGGGTCAAATGGTATTTCTAATTCTAGATCCTTGAGGAATTGTCACACTGTCTTGCACAATGGTTGAACTAATTTACACTCCTACCAACAGTGTAAAAGCGTTCCTATTTCTCCACATCCTCTCCAGCATCTGTTGTTTCCTGACTTTTTAATGATCACCATTCTAACTGGCCTGAGATGGTATCTCATTGTGGTTTGTTGTACTAAAAATACAAAAATTAGCATTT
The DNA here is from genome assembly GCF_000001405.40 of Homo sapiens. Classification (NCBI taxonomy): domain Eukaryota; kingdom Metazoa; phylum Chordata; class Mammalia; order Primates; family Hominidae; genus Homo; species Homo sapiens. Next base: position 106,115,418 of record NC_000001.11, on the reverse strand, counting down.
CTCTAATGACCGGTGATGATGAGCTTTTTTTCATATGTTTGTGGTCTGCCTAAATGTCTTCTTTTGAGAAGTGTAAGTTCATATGTTTTGCCCACTTTTTGATGAGGTTGTTTTTTTTCTTGTAAATTTGTTTACAAGAAACAAATAACATTGAATCTATAAATTACTTTGGGCAGTATGGCCATTTTCACAATATTGATTCTTCCTATACATGAGTATGAAATGTTTTTCCATTTCTTTGTGTCCTATCTTTTATTTCCTTGAGGAGTGGTTTGTAGTTCTCCTTGAAGAGGTCCTTCACAACCCTTGTAAGTTGGATTCCTAGATATTTTATTCTTTTGTGGCAATTCTGAATGGGAGTTCACTCATGATTTGGCCCTCTGTCTATTATTAGTGTATAGGAATGCTTGTGATTTTTGCACATTGATTTTGTATCCTGAGACTTTGCTGAAGTTGCTTATCAGCCTAAGGAGATTTTGGGCTGAGACGATGGGGTTTTCTAGATATACAATCATGTCATCTGCAAACAGGGACAATTTGACTTCCTCTTTTCCTAATTGAATACCCTTTATTTCCTTCTCCTGCCTGATTGCCCTGGCCAGAACTTCCAACACTGTGTTGAATAGGAGTGGTGAGAGAGGACATCCCTGTCTTGTGCCAGTTTTCAAAGGGAATGCTTCCAGTTTTTGCCCATTGAGTATGATATTGGCTGTGGGTTTGTCATAGATAGCTCTTACTATTTTGAGATATGTCCCATCAATACCTAATTTACTGAAAGTTTTTAGCATGCACAGCTGTTGAATTTTGTCAAAGGACTTTACTACATCTATTGAGATAATCATGTGGTTTTTGTGATTGGTTCTGTTTATGTGATGGATTATGTTTATTGATTCATGTATGTTAAACCAGCCTTGCATCCCAGGGATGAAGCCCACTTGATCATGGTGGATAAGCTTTTGGATGTGCTGCTGGATTTGGTTTGCCAGTATTTTATTGAGGATTTTCCCACTGATGTTCATCAGGGATATTGGCCTGAAATTTTCTTTATTTCTTGTGTCTATGTCAGATTTTGGTATCAGGATGATGCTGGCCTCATAAAATGAGTTAGGGAGGAGTCCCTCTTTTTCTGTTGTTTGGAACACTTTTGGAAGGAATGGTACAGCTCCTCTTTGTACCTATGGTAGATTTCCACTGTGAATCCTTCTGGTGCTGGGCTTTTTTTTTTTTTTTTTTTTTTGGTTGGTAGGCTATTAATTCCTCAACTGCCCAGGAACCTGTCTGCCTCCCACCATCAACATGCCGCCCATGGCACCCAGGCTTTTCTTGCCAAGGGGTGCTTGCAGACCCTTGTCGAGCTGCCCTCAGCCTCTTCCCCATCCTTCCTCCCTTGCTCATTGGTGCCCAAAGTCTGGAGGGGGCTGAGACAGCAGGGGTCTGGCATGTCAGTGCCACCCTGAGCATGTGCACACTTGATCAGGTCATGATGGCACCTGGACTTGGCTACAGCTTTGCTTCTCACTGGAGCAGGCTCCTGGAGCCAGGGGAGGCCAGGGAGCAGGAGGGAGCACTTCCGAGCCTGTGGGGGGCAGGGCAGGCTTCCTGGGCTCCCGATAGTGCAGGGAAGCTTGGGTGCAGTGCCACAAATGGGCAGCTGCAGCTGTGCCTGGGAGCCTGGGGCTCCTGCCTCTCTGACTTGGTAGGGGGCAGGACGCCCATGGGCTCCATGGGCCATGCAGCCTTGGACACACCTCCCCTGCTGCAGCCTACATCTTTGCAGCCGCGGCCACTGATGGGCTGCCGCTGCCATCACTTGTATCTCATTTTCTCTAACATTTCTGGTTTTCTTTGTTAATATCACCATTTTACTATCTCAGTTATGGTCCCTTTTGGCTAATACATCACATGGGAATTATGTAGTTTTCAAAAGTTTATGTAGACATTTCAGAAAAAAGTTCAATCTCTTGTGTAGTGAATGTAGTATCTAAAATAAATAGAAAAGAAATAAATAGATAAATAGGTTGAAGAAAAGGTGCTTTCAGAGTACAATCTTCTAAAAATATAGAAAACAATTGATAGATCAAGATAAGCAAAAAGCTAGGAAGAAGGAATTAGAATAAAAGATAATTGAAGGCAGCACAATTCCTGATAAATAAGGACAGAGGTAAAAATAGGCATTTAATAGATAACTATAGGTCTCAGGTCATTAAGCTGAGGATTCTCCTACCTGATGATTTCACTGTTCTGTATGCTGTAGGAGATAATGTTAGTTGTTGGAAATAAATGATCTAATGGTATAGCAAGGTATTTAAAATCAAGTAAGCTTTGTATAAAAAAAACTGAGGTAACAAAAAACAGAATAAAAATACAGATACTGAGGGTCCATTTGAAATTGAATCTCACATGTATCTGCGTGTGTAGATATGGAGATACTGAATAGATTGATCCAGGATTATAGATATGAAAAATCAAAAGATGAAAGAACTTGAGAAAGCTCACAAGACTAATTAATAAAATAGTACAGCAATTTTTGCTTAATTAAAGAAGAATATAAAACTAGGAGGGAACTCATAAATCCAAAGAAAATACATGCATCATGAAACTGACGGGCTGAGCACGGTGGCTCATGCCTGTAGTCCCAGCACTTTGGGAGGCCCAGGCAGGAGTATCACGAGGTCAGGAGATCGAGACCATCCTGGCTGACACGGTGAAACCTCATCTCTACTAAAAATACAAAAAATTAGGCATGGTGGCGGGCGCCTGTGGTCCCAGCTACTTAGGAGGCTGAGGCTGGAGAAAGACGTGAACCCGGGAGGTGGAGGTTGCAGTGAGCTGAGATCATGCCACTGCACTCCAGCCTGGGTGATAGAGCAAGACTCCGTCTCAAAAACAAAAAGACTGACGGTCAGGACCAGATCAGGGAGTGGTTAAAGTGAAAACAAGGGAAGTGCACAGAGCATGCAGGACAGGAAATGGTAGCCATGGGAGAGAATTAACTTATTAACATAAGCAATCACTACATAAAACAATGCCCAGTTGTGGCCATGGAACTTGTTCTAATAATTAGGAGTTGAAAATGTATGCCCTTACAATTTTATGATTACTTTAGAACTGCGTCTTCTTCGGAGAATAAAGAGGTATTTGATCTAAGAAGTTAAGTGGGTAATGGTATTTGTAGAGACAAGAAAACTTGTACTGTTACCAGGCTGACACTTTCTTGGTGAATGTTTTCCATAAACTGTAAAAGAGAACGTTGGTGTCTGTACTGTTCCCTATGATTTGAAGATTGACCCAGGTATTACTCTAACCCAAAAATACTTATTCTTTCTGTTTTTTTCTTCTCCTTTGCTTAGAGTAATGAGATCTACTTATTTTTTTGTTTCTGAAAAACTTTCATTCATCTAAACTAGGACATAAAGCAACCGCAGAGTGAGACCAGGAAACCTGACCTTCCTTACATTTAGTCATTTGCCATCTGTTCTCTCTATCTCTCTCTCACACACACATATCACTTTCCTATCCATATACTGGTGTAATACAAGCTATTACTCCATTGTAAAGATTCTCCATTTTCTATGTCACTTTCTGATTGCATATTTCTTTGAATTCTTTAAATGTTATTTTCATCACTCATTTTGCTTCTTAACACTATACTTCCCTATAGAACTATTAAACTTTTTCATTTATGTGTCCCTTTTATTTAGTATGCTTTATTATTACTGTAGAGAAAGAATTCCTTTTTATTTATACATCACTCATCAGAGAAGAAAAGTGTTAATAAATGTTTTTAGAATTGAATTGACTTATCAAGAGGAGTAAGTAGGTAATAGACAGATGTACAGAGAAGTAAATCTGCATATTTAGGGAGTAACTTGGCCAATATCCTTTCATCATCTCTTGGGTTATTCATGAAGTATTGTAGATTATTTATCTGTATTGATGCTCAGCAAAAAGAATAGAGAGAAATTCATTATACTTTCATGGCAGCACATTGTACTAAAAGTGGTTACAGGTCACTAATTTTTCCATTATTCTTGTGAGCTCTTAATTGCACACACTATTAGTATTGTTTCTTTTCAGGCAATAGAAAAATGAGTCTTCATAAATGCTAAGCATATCAGTCCATAAATGTGCAAATTGTATATGCTGCTTAATGTAGTGTTGCTGATGTACCCCAACTGAGTTTATGACATACATATTCCTTACCCATTAATGAGACCAGAAGGAATCAGTGAGTATGTGCTTCTGAGCCCTGCTATTGCCATCTTAATGCACGAATGGGGTCACAGCCTGGGCTGAAGCTTCTTTCTTCAAAACAAAAGCCTGGATTTCCAATAAAGGTTGAAAAATACAAGACTTACGTGTTTTTATAAAAAAAATTTACTAACTTTTAAACTCTTGTAATTTTTCATTGGAAGACTAAAAGTAATTTGGAAGAAGAATTAAAACTGTTAATATATATTCATGAGCAGTTAGTTTACTCCTATTTAGCTGAGCCTCTTAAACATGTTTATTAAACAATGACTTAACTGTAAAATCCACCAGGAATGCTGTCAACATTAAACAGCCAGTGTTTCAGGAAAGATGTTTTTAGTCACATCATAATTACCACCAATCTCACTAAATATATAGTCATATGCATTTTGATAACATTGTTATTTTCCTAAGAAATTAAAAATGGGAATATAAAGTCAGAGAGAATATTTTTACTTGATCCTAAAATATAAGTTATCTACTATGAAGCCGATGCCTAAAATAGCTATGTCTATGCACTTAATACTCAATTACTACGTGCTGCCTTGGTGACTGACCATAGCTCTTGGAATAAATCTTACGCATTTCTTGAAGCAGCTGGTCATAAAATATAGATAAATTATTGGAATGTCTGAAGGTTAAACTCATTTTCCAATAAAATGGAAAGGAATTATATAAAAGCTCAGATAAGCAATGGTTTAAAGACGTTTCTTTACTTTCCAAGAACTATGGAATTTCCACAAGAGAAATGGGAAAAGTATTTCAGGTGAAAACATGAAAATGTTCCTTTGGCTTCTGTAAGAGGAATTTCTTTCTAAGAAAATACTTCCTCATGTTTGGAAGAAGAAATTTGTCTGTTTTTAGTTACAAAATATCCCCTCTATCATTCCTCTTAAAAAGCATTGGGCATCCTCAATTTTAAACCTAGACTACATGAACAGTTTAAAAGTATTATTGTGATGGAAATAGTTATGTGTCTGTTTTTATTTCTCAGCAACAAACTCATTGAATTCATGCCTAGTTTATTAATAAGGAATCATAACATCTTTATCAATATCAATTTACTTCATAAGTAGGGAAAATAGATATTTTTATCTCAAAATAAATTATAGTACAACATTCATAGTAGCTAGTGAAATAATCTGAATGATAGAGCTATATGCCATTTTGTTGAGAGTATTTTAATTTATAGAAAACTTGGGCTTAAGTCATCATTTGTAGACAAACCAGATGTGGAGTTGCAAGTATTTATGAATGTTTCAGCCTTTTTATTTACTTTAAAACTGTAAATTTATAATTAATTATTTCTAATTGCAGAGATGGCTTTGGATACTATTAAGGAGTTAGATGTTCAACACTTAGGAGAATTTGAACAAAACTAAATATCTAAAAGTAGACAGTTTGGGGGTAATGTTCTAATTGTCATTTCAAATATGTATTTTTTTTGTTGTTGTTGGTCAACTTGATTTCAACCAAATTGCTCTAAACCAAAAATATCCAGAGCTCTGTCACTGTAAATATTAACAGTGTTGCCATCTCATCCAATGCCAAGTTAGTTAGTAGAAACAATGTATGTTGCTACCAATAAATACATTATATTGAGATATGAGAACAAACAAAAAACTTTGAATCCACCTATAAAAGAGTAGCAGGAAAGCTACATGATGAGTGTGTGTGAAAATGACAAAGTAGCGGTGGAGACCAGGCTTGCGTGGTAAAATTAAGTTTTGCCATTATTGCTGTTGTAGTCTTGAAAAAATAATTATTTCAATTTTCTTTCTTTCTTTCTTTCTTTCTTTCTTTCTTTCTTTCTTTCTTTCTTTCTTTCTTTCTTTCTTTCTTTCTTTCTTTTTTTCTGGAGTTTTACCCTTGTTGCTCAGGCTAGAGTGCAATGGCGTGATCTCAGTTCACCGCAACCTCCGCCTCCCGGGTTCAAGCAATTATCCTGCTTCAGCCTCTCGAGTAGCTCAGATTACAGGCATGCACCACCATGCCTGGCTAATTTTGTATTTTTGTAGAGACGGGTTTTCTGCATGTTGATCTGGCTGGTCTTCAACTCCTGACCTCAGGTGATCTGCCCACTTCAGTCTCCCAAAGTGTTGGGAATACAGGTGTGAGCCACTGCACCTGGCCACAAATATTCAATTTTCTAACTATAGAGAAGAGTCCATTACACGTAATTTAAAATATTGTCCTTAATGATAGATGTTAAGTCTTGGGAAAGTTTTTAGCTTCTTTATTTCACTTTAACTTCTTTAAATATATGTAAAAATTTACAGTTTTGTGAGCAATATGTCTTCTTCACCCTCTAAACTTTCAGTTGTACACATAAGATAAATGTTAAAAGGAGAGTTAGTTCTTTTTTATTAAATTATTTTCAAAATCATTTTCAAATATTTTAATGGGAAACTATAATGTTTAGTAATCTCCCACTCTTATCTATGGGTATCTTAGTCAATTCATGCTGCTATAATAAAATACTTGAGACTGGGTAATAATCTAAACAGTAGAAATTTATTATTTGCAGTTCTGAAGGCTGGGAAGTTCAAGATTGATGTACTAGAATTGAGTGTCTGATGAGGGCCTTTCTTACATGGCTGAAGGGGTAAAACAGTCAAAAGGGAAAAAACACTGTGTCCTCACATGGCAGAGAAGCAGAAAAGAGAAAAACCCACTCCCTCAAGCCCTTTTATAAGGGCTTATAATTCTAACCATGAGGGCTCTGCCCTCATCACTTTTTCACCTGCTAAAGGCCTCACCTCTTAATACCATTATAGTGGTGATTGAGGCTCACCATAAATTTGAGGGGACACATTTAAACTATATCTACCCATAGTATTTCACCCTGTCCTCAACAAATTCATATCCTTTTAACATGCAAAATATATTTATTCTATCCCAACAGCCCCAACAGTCTTAACTCATTCCAGCACCAACTCAAGAGTCTGAAGTCTAGAGTCTCAACTAAATCAGATATGGATAGACTCAAGTTAAACTTTATCTGAAGAAAATTGCTCTCTAGCTGTGAACATGCAAGATAAAACAAATTATGTGCTTCCAAAATACAATGGTGGAAAGGCAGAAAATAGACGTTCACATTTCAAAAGAAAGTAGGAGGAAAGAAAAAAGTAGTAACAGTTCCAAAGTAAGCCCTAAACTCAATAGGGCAAACAATATTAAATATTAAAGTGGTAAAAGTAATCTTCTACTCCTTGTTCTGACTTTGAAACATACTGTTGTGGAGGTTGAACCTCCAAGGCCCTGGAAAGCCCCACCCTATGGCTTTCTGGGATGTGGTTCACACAAGAGCTATCAGCAATTGCTGTCAGGCACCTAAAGTTCTCTGAGACTGGCATTGCATGCTAATGGCTCTACATATCTAAGGTCTCAAGAGTGATTCTGCCCTCATGTCCCCATTAAACATTGCCCAGTGAGGGCTCTCTCATGGTTCCAGTCTCACAGCTCTTGGTATGGACTCTTTGTCTTGGTATGGATTGTCTTGGTATGGACTCTTTGCAGTGGTCCCACTTTCACAGCTCCACTTGGCATTTCCATAGCTATTAGGGAATCTCTGCAGCAGCTCTGCCCCATAACACTCCTCCTCCTGGTTCCCGAGACTCTCTGAAACATTCTTTGAAATCTAGGTGGAAGTAACCATGTTGCCACAGCTTGTGTACTGTGTGCATCTGCAGAGTTAACACCATATGGATGCCACCCAGGTTTCCACTTGTGCCCTATGGAGTGATGGCCCAAGCCCCGCGTAGCGCAGTTAAGGAGAGCTGTGTTAGAATGTGTGGAGCAGAAACTTGAGGCAGTCCTGGACAGAGAACCCTGGCGTCCCATGGACATCCTTGGCCCCTCGCTTGAAATTGTTCTTCCTTCAAGCTTCTGGTACTCTGAGCCAGTGATAGGAGGAACAGCCTCAATGATCTTCAAAATGCTTTCAGGGTCATTCTTTCATTATCCTGTTGGATAGAATCTTGCTTCCTTCTATCTATACCATTGTCTTTATCAAACGCTTGCTTGGCCACACTTTGGTATTCTCTAACAAATATGCTTTATTATTCTTTACACAGCCAGGCTGAGAATTTCCAAATCTTAAAGTCTGCTTCCTTTTCAATAATAAATTATGCCTTTAATTTGTTTCTCTCTCTTTTTAATTTTACTGTAAGTAATTAAGAGAAGCCATGCAGTACCTTCAGCGTTTTGCTTAGATATTTCTTCCACCAAATATACACTTCATTGATTGCTCTGAAAGTCTGCCTTCCACAACATACAAGCAAACAGACACAATTCAGCTAAGTTCTTTACCACTTTGTAACCAGGATGACCTTTCCTCCTGTTTCCAAGAAGATATTTCTTATTTCCATCTAAGAACTCATCAGAATTGCCTTATTTCCATCTAAGACCTCACTAGACTGCTGATCATGGCTACTTAGATAATCTCTAAGAAGACCAAGAATCTCTCTATAGTTTTCTCTTCTGAGCCTTGACCAGAATTGCTTTTTACTTTCCATTCCTGGCAATCTAGGTGATTTGCAGCATGCACTTCAAAACTGTTCCTGCCCTGCTATTACCCAGTTCCAAAATTGCTTCCACATTTTCAAGAATTTGTTATTGTAGCACTCCACTCCTAGTACCAATTACTCATTTAATCCTTCTGGTGCTACAAAAAAAAATACCAGATAGTGATGACTTAGAAGCAATCAGAATTTATTTCTCACCATTCTGGAGGCTGAAAAGTCCAAAATCAAGGTGCCACCATTACGTTTTCCATGAGGGTCTTCCTACTGCATCTTTTGCATGGCAGAAGGGGTAAAAAGGGCAAAAGAAAAAACATACTGTCTTTACATGATGAAAAAGCCAGAAGAGAGAACACATGTCCTCAAGCTCTTTTATAACAGCCCTAATTCTAGGCATGAGGACCTCCCCTTCATGACTTAATTACTTCCTAAATGTCTCACCTCCTATTATTATTATATTGGCAATTAAGTTTCAATACATAAATTTAAGAGGGACACATTCAGATCCTGGCAACAGTTTATTTACCACCATAGGTCTCAGGAAGAATTATAGTTGTGAATTATAATGGTGGTGTTTTGATAAAATCAATGAATAATCCAGAAAATGAAACAGAGAAATTTTAGGTTGGTTAGTAAGATAAACTAATGGGAAAATAAGTTTTAACTCTTATTTTCCTGAGAGGTGATGAGTGCAGTGGCAAGATCTCAGCTCACTGCAACCTCCACCTCCCGGGTTCAAGAGATTCTTCTGTCTCAGCCAGCCTCTCAGGTAAGTGTTTTTTCTTTTTTAATTGGAAAATTAAATTTGTATATATTTATGGTGTACAGCATAACATTTTGATATATGTATACATTGCAAAGTGGCTAAATCAAGTTAATTAACATATGCATTACCTCACATACTTACCATTGTTTTTTTGTAGTGAGAATGCTTGAAATCTACTTTGTAAGCAATGTCTAAGTATACAATCCATTGCTATTAGCTGTAAGTTACTATGTTGTACAAATCTCTTGAACTTATTTCTCTAGTCAAACTGATATTTTGAATACTTTGACCAACATCTTCCCAATACCTGCACCCCAGCCCCCAGACTCATGTAATTATTGTTTGACTGTTGGCTTCTATGAGTTTGACCTTTTTAGATTCCACATAAACTCAAATCATTAGGTATTTGCCTTTCTGTGCCTGGATTATTTCACTTAACGATGTGCTCCAAGTTCATCCATGTTGCCACAAGATTCTCTTCTTTTTTAAAGGCTGAATAGTGTTCAATTTTGTATATATAATACATTTTTTAAACTCATTCATCCATTGATGAACACAATATGGCAGGCAAAAATAAAAAAAATAGATAAATTAAATCAAACCAAAAATCTTTTGCACCACAAAGGAACCTATCAACAAAGTAAAGGAACAACCTACAGAATGGGAAAAAATACTTGCTAACCATACATCTGAATAAGGGGTTAATATACTAACTATATAAGGAACTCAAACAACTCAATAGCAAGATAATAAATTACCTGTTTTGAAAACGGGCAAAGGACCTGAGCAGGCTTTTCTGAAAAGAATACATACAAATGACCAATAGGTGTATGAAAACATGCTTGACATCATTAATCATCACATAAATGCAAATCAAAACCACAATGAGATAGCACCTATGGCCATTCCCTGGGAATTTAGAATTATTACTAAAAGATTTCAGTTTCAATATGTGCTTACCTTTTGAAGAAAGAATCTGTAAATGCCTGGAAATGTCATCATATAATTTTAAAAACAGAGAAAGTCAGTCCATGGAGTCAGAGAAGAATGAAGCAGATGGTGAGAGAGAAGCAAAAATAAATAATGGTAAGTTATCTCTCCTTTGGTTTCATGTACTCTCCCTGTATTCCCATCAAAAACATTATTTTCTTTTATTTAAGATAGTTTCAATGGGTTTCTCTGACTTGCAAACTATTATCTTTAATAAATGAAGCTTTGGGCTAAAATTAACAATAGTGATTTTGGACATTCTTCTTTTTGGAACTAGAGTTACATGGAGGATCCTCAGCACTAGAGGAAACAGGGTATTCCAGTGTATTTACCCCATTCATTTAGGACAATGAACTAAAGCAGACAACACTAGAACCTTAAAAAAAGTTGCAACTGGTAAATCCTATGGAGAACAAAACAAATATTCAGTTTTATCCATTGTCTCAAAATAGCATACTTCCTTGGACCAGGTGTCCTCCCTTAAAGAATACTGTGGACATGTGTTCTTCCGGGCAAAGTTAGAATATACAGAGTCTACAACTTCAATTTTTTAACACAGGAAGCAAAGGGGATTAATTTACTCTTAAAGCATATTTCAAATCATTAAGCCACTGACTTAAACATCTCAAGCCAGTGATTAAAAGAATATCTTATTGTGACTTCTCCCAATTCTTGTTTTAAGAATTATTTTTAGTAGTCCATGTCACAAGAGGTTATTATATCAGGATGAGTGAGACAATAATTGAGTGTACTAACTACTAATAGTTACTAGTGTAGAGATAAGAGTGCTGTGACACTAAGATTTTGCTTATACATTTTCATTACACTTGTAGTTCATAAACACCTCACACTCTTTTCTTATTTCTAACAGTAGAATTTCAAGAAATTTTTTATTAGGTAACCACAAATGGAACGGAAATACAATATGTAGCTTCTGAGTGAGTAAAGGGAAATAAAATAGTTACATCTATTAATCTAAGATAAAGCTAAAATAAAATTAGCAAAGCAAAATAAAACTCGAAATAAGATATGACAAATAATTGTGTGAGCTTGTGGAATGGGGCAAGAATTTTGTAATTACAATAAGTGTGAATGAAATAAATCCACTTAATCATACATGCTAACAGTTACTTAGCAGTTTCCACAAACTAGTCACTATTCTAAAGGCTTTACATGTAGTAAATATTTTACTTCTCCTAGCAAACCCTTCATATAAGTACTATACTGATTCTTATTTAATACAAGAGGAAACTACAGCCTAGATAATTTAAATAAATTTGCTGAAGCTCACACAACTGAGTCCAGGGAATACCTTGTCCATCACGGTTCTGTTTCCTTATTTTTAAAAAATGGGCCATCACAGGTTAGATAACAACAACAACAACAATATACAGCAAGGTGCTCTTCAGAAGAGACATGTAAAGCAAAATGACTTAGGCTATGTTAACATAAAGAATGGAAAAAGCACACCTAGTCACACACATAAATCTACTAGAGAAGATTTAAACCTGGACTGGTAGCTTTCAGTACCAAATTGAATAAAACCAAAATTTAATCCCTGCATGTCTTGCCTCTTCCCTCTCACAGGTTTATCCCACTGTCCCCATTGTTTACATTAGTCAAGACGGTGACAGGATCTCGGTGCACTGCAACCTCTACCTCCTGGGCTCAAGTGATCCTCCCATCTTGGTCCCCTGAGTAGCTAAGGCTACAGGTGCATGTCATGACACCTGGCTACTTTTGGTCTTTTTTTATAGATGAGGTCTCACTATGTGGTCCAGGCTGTCTCAAACTCCTGGGCTCATGTGATCCACCTGCCTTGGCTTCCCAAAGTGCTAGGATTATAGCCTTGTTTCTAATTCTTGAACATTGCTTGTAGGGTTCCCTCTCTAGACCTTTGCAGTTACTTCCTGGAACACTGTGACATGATTTATTTGATCAATTGGGCACCCTCAGGACTCTGTTCTAAAGTCACCTCCTCTAAGAGTCTTGCCATTACAGACTATTGTTTTATCTAGCTTTGTTTTTTCTTATATACAATATCAACCCCAATATTACAAAATAATCAGTTTTAATTATTTATTTTCTGTCTACTTCAGTAAAATGTAAATTTTACAGAAGTATTCCCTTTTTGATTTTAGTAATCCCTCCTTTGCATGATTATAGAAGTAAAAAGTAATGTTTAATAGCAAAAAAGTCCACTAAAAGTCTACTAAAATCACTACTAGAAATACCTAAAATAATGGTAATAATTAAAAGGAGAAACTAGCAAGTCCACAATGACAGTGAGACATTTTCCCACAACTTTCTCAGAGACTGATAAAGCAGTTAATTAATTATTAAAGTAATAGAAGAGTTGAACAAAAAATAAACTGAGATGATTAGGTAATGCTTTAAAATAGTAGAAATACAAGAATTGAACAGAAAAAGTAAAAATTTTATTTATATTAATAAATAAAACGTATTGAATGTATGATGAATTATATTTATATATTGAGCTTTTTTTTTTTTTTTGAGACAGAGTCTCTCTCTGTCACCCAGGCTGGAGTGCAGTGGCGTGATTTTGGCTCACTGCAACCTCTGCCTCCCAGGTTCAAGCGATTCTCCTGCCTCAGCCTCCCGAGTAGCTGGGATTACAGGTGTCTACCACCACAACTGGCTAATTTTTGTATTTTTGGTAGAGACGGGGTTTCACCATGTTGGACAGGCTGGTCTCGAACTCCTGACCTTGTGATCCACCTGCCTTGGCCTCCCAAAGTGCTGGGATTACAGGCATGAGCCACTGCACCCAGCCACAAATTGAGCTTTTAATCTATAATTGTGACTGTGTCCACAGCACAGTCAAAAGATCCTATCTTTTTGAGTGTCCAAAAGATAGGTAGGTATGAAGGTAGAGAGGGAGATGATAGATAGATAGACAGATAGACAGACAGATAGATAGATAGATCGATCTTGTTCATGAGAAGTAAAGGATACCTATTTTCTTCATGTCTGTATAATAAGTCATAAAGGCTTTTCAAACAACATTCTCAAATTGAATCATTTAATGTACATTTTGCTCCCTGATTATAACTCAATAAAACTATTAACCAACAATAAAATAATATTAAAGTTCTATCTAAGACAAACATTCTGCATGTCTTATAAGACACAAACTGTACTATTATTTGTGGCAGGGGTTCTTTACTGCTGTTTAATTGGACTTCTAGTTTTATTTCTGTAATATGTGGTATAAAGCTTCAGTGAAGTTCAAATGTTATAATTAACAAAAATTGATTAGTGTTCCGCTTAAATACATTTATACTATGTATTGTATGTATGCTCTGGACACAGTCACAATTATAGATTAAAAGCTCAATATATAAATATAAGTCTCAGTGACACAATAAGAAAAGTTCTGATATCTTTTGGAGGAAAAATGTTAGCAGGTGGGGTCAAATTACAGCATATCACCTTAAAGTAGTACTGTTCTTGTGAAATCTCTTAAGTATGTTTATTTTCACATCCCTCAGGAAATTGTATGGAATAGAAAGAAGTGCATACAGAACAAAAATGACACCTATATTTAATAGGAGCTCCTCTTCTAGGGCTGCTACCTTAACACCAGACAATAGATGAGGCACTAGGGTCTAACTTTATTATTTTGTAAACAATATATTCAGCTAGTAAAATAGAATTGAGGAACAAAAAGTAACTCTCAGGTTGCAACTATTTCTCATTTTAGATCCCTTCTCATCCTGTTAATTGAACATCAAAATAAAAGGCTTTCATTTTTTCCTAACTCTCTTTTAAAGGCATAAAAGGCTGGCATGTATAATGACTTTTGCTCAATAATTTAAAAAATCTCTAAGTGATACAATTAATTTCAGAATTGAATCTTATTCTGAAATCAATACCTGATGTAGATGATTACTATGAAAACAATTTGCTTTCCTTATAGAAGGAGCCTAGCAACCATTGTTTCTGCTTTCAGTAGAGGAAAAAATAATAGTAAAGAATGATTTATGATCCTTATTCAGTTACTACCTCTTTTGTGGAAGGAGTTTCCCCACTTTTTTGCAGTCAATGAATATTTAGGACCCCCATGGAAATACACATGCAAACACACTCCAATTTGCCTGTGTTTCCAGAGTCTATGATGTAGTTACTCATTTGTGAATCTGTAGGTTAGAGCCCCGATTAGAAGATGAGATTCTCATGTCAACAAGATGTACTTTTGTGTCTTAATAATTGCCTCAAAAATAGTAAATAAATAATTGCTACTTCTTTTGCCACTTATTTTTAATAGTCAGGGTTTCCCCAAGAGAGCAGTGAGAAATAAAAAGCAATTCTTTACATCACAACTATTTCTTATTTTAGATCTCCTCTTGTCCTGTTAATTGAACATCAAAATAATATGCTTATGTTAAAATAAATCATATTTAACATAGAGTTATTTTGTGAGCCTGTGTGTTGGAGGGGCAGGGGCAGGGTGAGCAGTAGGTTATCAAATTATAGAAGTCAAATTACATTTTACAATAAGAGGACAGAGTGAAGGGAACTCTAGAAATGATTATAGTAAGAACAATTAGATCGATTGGAAAGCTTTAATTTGAGAACTGAAGTTAGTCATCCTATTTTATCTTTTATGTGCAGTGCCTATAGCTCATGTGAAAACAAATTTAGCTAATGTTTCCTGTTAATATTCAAAGATACTGAATAAGGAAATATCAGTTTGGAGAAACTGTCACTGGTTTATTGATACCCTTTTTTCTTTGAGATATAAGTGAAGAATTGGTGAGTTTATTTGTGTGTGTGTTTGTGTGCGTGTGTGTTTAGGATTTTCTAGAGTATAAAGTTGTATCATTAATTTGCCTATTTTTAGTAATGGATCATACTGTTCATGAAAGTTTCTTTAGAAAATGAAGTAATTGTAGAGTATATTTACACACAGTGAGATACTATTTTGCCACATACATTTTCTATTTTGAAATTAGTGGTGGTGGCAAAGAGTAGCCAATAATTGCAATTTTAATGTTACTCTGGATTTGGTATAGCTTTCTTTTTATGCAATAATTGATGTAACAAAGATATTGTAATAATTACCCTACGACCCTCAATTGAAATTTGAGGATTTTTATGTTTAGTTTTTGGATATTATTGAGACTTATATCTGAAGCTGACCTCCAATATGTTAACTATTATCCAACATCGCTGACCCTTTGTTTTTCATGGTTGGAGTATTAATTTCTTCTAAGTATTCTGATTACCTCCAGAATATGAGTGTTTTAGGTGTGTTTCTTAAATCTTGTTAAGAATTCCCTCTGACTGATTAAAATCATGATTTTTAAAAGCAAAAAAAGTAAAAATGAAAAGCATGAGTGAGCTTTCAATTGCCAAAATAATTAAATGCAATAAAATGTTTATTATTCTGTATAACATCCAGATTACACAGGAGGATTTAGTGAAACTCAGGCTAACAGTAAAAAAGTATGACTGAACAAAACAGGTCGTTATTATGAATGTGTAGATGTTTATTCCCTTGGTAAAAAGAGATGGCATTTATAATTTTTCAGTCTCAAAAGACAATAACATACTCAGCATACTAATTAAGAAAAATGAATCAGCTCTAAATTTAATGCCAGTGAATATGATATGTTTGATTTCTTTCTCTTTCTCTTTTTCTCTTTCCTTCTGTTCTTTCTCTCTCTCTCTCTCTCTCTCTTTCTTTCTTTCTTTCTTTTTTCCATAAAAAAAAAAAACGGAGTCTTGCTCTGTCTCCCAGGCTGGAGTGCAGTGGTGTGATCTCGGCCCACTGCAGCCTCCACCCGCTGGGTTCAAGCGATTCTCCTGCCTCAGCCTACCGAGTAGTTGGGACTACAAGCGCCACCCGCCACCAAGGCCGGCTAATTTTTTTTGTATTTTTATTAGAGACGGGGTTTCACCGTGTTAGCCAGGATGGTCTCGATCTCCTGACCTCGTGATCCGACCACCTCGGCCTCCCAAAGTGCTGGGATTACAAGCGTGAGCCACCGTGCCCTGTCGCCATGTTTGTTGTCTTCTTATTATTAACTATAATAATACTATTTTAAAGGTAGTATATATACCATGAAACAAAACAGTAGAAAGTAAAAATTTCTGGACCTCAATCAATACTACTCAGATAGTTGCTGTCAAAAGATTTTTAGTGTATTCTTAATTTTCTATGCAGATAAAAAATTTACATAATTGTTTTTATAAAAGATTGAAATTAAATTTTACTTTTTATTCTGAAATCAGATGTTTTTCTTAACAAATATGTTGGTCGATATTCTACCTCTTTACTTAACTACTACTTCACATATTTTTTATAAGTACGAAGCATTGCATTGTTTTTATGTAAGATTTTTGCTAGTGGGAAAACATGTCAAGGGATGATTCATATATATTTATCTTTATACGTTTTTATGATTAGTGACAGCTTTAAAGTTAGTAAATCACTTTATACATAATTTTTAATTAGAAAAATTATTAATTCCTTAAAGTGGGATTTCTAGGCAAAAGATTATATACATTCAGAAGTGTATTTCTTTCACCATCCTGCCTTCTGTAATGCTGCATCCATTAACTGTCCCCAGCACTTACATGAGTGTGCTTTTTTTGCCCCACATCTTCATGTATATAGGATAATACAAATATTCTTAATATTTTCAGTTTGACAGATTGAATGTATAATAATATTTATGCTTTTTGTAATTGCCTCATTATGAATGATACTGACATTTTTTTGTCAACAGATTTCTAACTTTATTCATGCCTAAGTTTCACAAAGCCTATTTTAAAATTTTCAACCTTATATCAGAAATATAAGAGTAGCTAATTTGAGCTACTGAATATTTCCTTGTTAAAAATAATGTAGAAAATGCAAAAACATAATAAAAAAATCCATAATTTCCAGACACCAAATATAGGCAGACACCCAATTTTCCATAATTTCCATAATTTCCAGACACCAAATATAACCCCCATAAAAATATAGTATGTTTTCTGAAACCTGTTTTGGTCCTATACATGCAAAGACATATTCAATTTCTCCATTTGTATACTCACAAACAACCCTATATGGTATAGTAGATTTCATAACGCAGAGACACACTTACAGTATACTTGTTAAAAAAACTTCTGGCACTATAACTTCAAAAACTTATTTTTAATATATTGATATTTCATCTTATGGCTGCACATAGTTTATTTTTTTGTTGTTGGATATTTAGCTGGTTTCCAATTATTTACCTCAGTAAATAATACTGTATAAATCTATGTGATCATGGCTATAAAAATACATCTGGTTTTGGTGTATTCCTTTTATGTTAAGATACTAGACTTCTTGTCCAATATTTTCATAAATTGCCATGAAGTTGTCACAGAGTAAATTCACAGTTCTATAGATAGGGAGTGGACTTCTCCTGAATAAATGGAATCCCCAAAATGAAACTGATTTAGGAAGGAGGACAATCTGGACAGACTGGAAGGAGAACACATTTTCCAAGCAATATTCTTTTGAACCTCTGCTTCAAAAAATATAGTTGTGCTTGAGGGAAAGGAAGATTCTAATTCCCGGAGGTGAGACAGAAAAGGAAGAGAGTGAGAGATATCTCTTTAAACTATAAATAACTTTTACAAAATGACATAATAAAAATGTCAATTTTTACATATTATTTCCATAGATTCTTCATTTATTTTGTTTTTGTTGCTCTCTAGTATGCAAAATATACCTGGACAGTTTTGGTGCAGTCATGGGAAAATCAATGAATGGTCATGCAAATAGGTTTTAAACAAATAAAAGATAAACAGTGCTCAGCAAAGACTAGAGTGGGATTGATTGTGGATTTTAGTAAGATATTAAAACTCTGGAGATATGAAGCCAGTCTACATTTCCAACTATTCTTCCTTACATGGGCATTTTGATCCTTCTTTAAACAGATCTGTTTCCTCTAAATTTAAAATGGATTCTAAGGCCAGACATGGTGGCTTACTCCTGAAATCCCAGCACTTTGGGAAGCCAAGGTGAGAAGATCATTTGAAGTCAGGAGTTCCAGACCAGCCTGGCCAACATGACGAAACCCCATCTCTACTAAAAATACAAAAAAATTAGCAGGGCATGGTGGTACACACCTGTAGTCCCAGCTACTCGGGAGGCTGAGGCAGGAGAATCGCTTGAACCCAGCAGGTGGAGGCTGCAGTGAGCTGAGATTGCACCACTGCACTCCAACCTGGTCAACAGAGCGAGACTCCATCTGTAAAAAGGAAAAAAAAGAATTCTAATAATACCAGTAATACTACTGAAAAATAGTAATAATAGTTAACGTGTATAGAGTGTTCAACATTTGCTGGATTGTTCTAAAAATTTTACATATGTAAATCCATCTAATTTTCCCAGCAATACCATTAGGTAAGAATGATCATTACTCACGTTTTAGAGCTTTGATAACTGAAACAAATAAAGTATTGGTTGCCCATGGACCCAAAACTCATCAATGAAGAGCTGTGATTTGAGATAAAGATGTCAGGTTTCATAGATCATGCTCTTCACCACTATGATGAACTAGCTCTCCATGTATAGAAAACATACATACTTATATACATATCTGTATTTTTAAAGGCAAACTCTTCATTTTGAAATTTTTTTCTATAGAAATACCATCTTATTTTAGCTCTCAACTGTAGTGCATTAGACTTCCCATTTCATTTTACCCCTTTAACATTGTGTAGTACGCATGTTTTACATAATCTTTGTCAAATTTGGAGGTAAACATTTAACATGTTTTTTTTTTGAGTTTTTACAATTATGAACAATTTCCTCATTTTTACTAGTTATTTATACTATAGTTATTTAAAGTATAACTTTGGTGGACTGCCTATTCTCTTTTGTTGTCCACTGTATCTTTTCATTTTATATACACCTTTTACGCAGAGGTTTACTTGTAAAAACTGATTTAAATTCAGCTTAACAAAAATTCTTACTGTTCTATTTAATTTATGTATATTTTACATGTCACTATCTTTTCGAATATAAAATACATACCTTTTTAGTCTTTTTGGCAATATGTATTTCTTTCTAATTGTAAATGTAATACATACAGAGAAATACAATTTAGTGAATTTAAAAATGTGAATATCACCTGGTAGCATCTACTCTAAAAAATGTAGTATTTTTATTGTCTACGTATTTAGACATAAATGTACATGCATATTTAGAAAAGTTAATGTTCTACTTCACAGAGTTTTACTTCTTGCCTTTTTTACTTACAATTATATTATGATTATGTACAATATCTTATTTTTAGGCAGTTTTGAAAATGTGATATCTGAAGCTCTATACATAAACAATGTTTTATTTATCTTCTATCTTGAACATTAAGCTTATTTGCTACTTATGTGATCACAAATAAGACAGCACTGAACATACTAGATTTTTAATACTTTGAAGGCATTTATGCTAAGACTATTTTTATTGGATGAGTTGGTAGCTTTACTAGAATTAAAATTAGTGATATTTCTAAAACTCTTTGTACATATTGTCATGTTGGTCTTCAACTTTGTTAAAGTATATATCTCAACATCTTTTTTAAGAATGTGTGGGCCGGGCGTGGAGGCTCACGCCTGTAATCCTAGCACTTTGGGAGGCTGAGGCGGGCAGACTGACTGAGCTCAGGAGTTTGAAACCAGCTTGGGCAACAAGGTGAAACCCCGTCTCTACTAAAAATACAAAAAAATTAGCCGGGCGTGGCGGCGTGCCCCCGTAGTCCCAGCTACTCAGGAGGCTGAGGCAGGATAATTGCTTGAACCAGGGAGGCGGAAGTTGTAGTGAGCCGAGATCGCGCCACTGCACCCCACACTCCAGCCTGGGGAACAGAGCAAGACTCCGTCTCAAAAAAAAAAAAATTATATATATATATATATATATATATATATATATATAGAGAGAGAGAGAGAGAGAGAGAGAGAGAGAGAGAGAGAGCGTGTGTATGTGGGAGATGAGGGATTGTGTATGCATGTGTGCATTAAGTGTGCAAGAAAAAAATTATAAACTGTTCATTTTTAGAAGATTGAATATGTTTGAAAATATATTTACCATTAGTATTACTTATTTTTAAAATGGCTGCTCATGTAATTGTGTATGTAATTGAGACATTTAAATTATGGACATGTAGGAACTAATTATATATTGTCTATATTTAAAATTATACATATAAAAATCATATTATACTATAATATATATTAATATTATTTCCAGATTTTGCTCCTAAATGTTGACATTGCTTGGGTAGCTTCTACTATGTCCAACACTAGTAATCATTAAGTCAACATTAGTAAATAAATTCGTGTTATAAAAGACCTCAAAATGGACAAATAGATTAGATGATCCTCAGGGAAACATTAATTTCAGATAAGGATATGAAAAGGTATTTTTACTCACTTGCAGTGAATAATATTATAAAAACAAAGGATGACACTGTTGAAGTAAATATATTAAAGTTGAGGATTAATAAACATAGTTTAGCTTCCAAACTGAAAAATGAAATTGGTCCATTTTCTTCTTAATATATAGGGTCTTACAAATAAAATGGAAAGTAATTTTTAAACCAGTATTAAATTGAGAAAATAAGTAAATAACTCTTTGTTTAGTGCTTTCTAAATGTCTAAGATTTTTATTCAAATTAAAGCTTATTTTAATTACTTATACAACAGAAAAAATGAATTTATTCATTCCATTGAATATGGAAAATATTAGGGAGAAAGAGTGTACAATATTGATACCTTAGTAAAATGATTGCAATAAATTAAAAATAGTCTCCATCCTGAAAAAAACTACAGTAATTTCCTGGGGCTAAAAGAAAATTAATTATTTGACTAATAACAATATTAATATTTCATATATTAGTTATAACCAGCACTACTAAAAGGGTCCATTTTATATTATAGATTTATATAAATTATTACCTTAGGTTGAAGAAGTAGTAGCGTAAGGCAGTAAATTAAGGGCAATATAAGTGAAGAGTAAAAGTGTGACATAAGCTCTCAGATACGCAATGTGCATTTCTGTATTTGGATCAATTACATGCATATTCAGTAAATAATGACAAGGCCCTTTCGTAAAATGATTTAGGTTACATGTTTTAAGGGCTTCTTATTATTTATCTAACAATTTATTAGTATATTAATTACCTAATGAAGTTAGTATCAGCTATAATTTTTAGTATTTATGAGGTCTTCCTATACATTAGACACTTTTATTAGCACAGTCCAAGGTGAGTAGAACATATAGATACCACTTAGTACGGACACACCTTCTCTTATTTATGTGATTCCTATGGCATCCTAGAAAAATTATTGCACTTTACTTTGATTTGTGTTGGTGTTCTCATTTGTCTAATTACCAACAGGATAAACAACTTCTCAGAGTTTCTGTATTGTAAAGTCGAGTAAGTCTGAGCCCTTGTCATAATCTGTTATGGATGCTCTAACAAATATCATAAACTGGTAGCTTATAAACAACAGAATTTTATTTCTCACAGATCTGAAGGCTGGGGAAATTCAAGATCTAGCAGGGTGCAGATTCAGTGTCTGGTGTGAGCCCATTTCCTGGTTCATAGATGGAGCCTTCTTACTCTGTCCTTCTATGGTAAAAGGAGTGAATCAGCTCCTTTGGGTTTATTCTATAAGGGCATATAAGGGTACTAATACCATTTATTAGGGACCCACTGTCATGATCTAATAACCTTCCCAAAGGCTCCACCTCCCAACACCATCACGTTGGTGATTAAGTTTCAACATAAAAATTTAGGGGACCACAAACATTGACAAAATAGCCCCACAGATGTGTTCTAAGAACAGATTATCTTGCTGGTAATTAGACAAGTCAGAACACAAACATGAATCAAAGTAAAGTCCAATTATTTTTCTAGGATGTCATAGCAATCACATGGGTAAGAGGTGTGTCTATTCTAAGTAGAATCTATATGTTCTACTCACCTTGGAATCATGTATGCAACTATTGTATTGTGAACTTTTACATTTTTCTTATTAAAAATAATAAATACAAATAGTGATATACATACAGAAATAAAGACCATATAGGAAGACATGTTTACTTTTCAGATCAGATGTGGTGGTTTATGCCTGGGTCCCAGGTACTCAGGGGTTTGATGTGAGAAGATTGCTTGAGCCAGGGATGTTGAGGCTGCAGTGAGCTGTGATAGAGCCACTGCACTGCACCTCGGGTCACAGAGGAAGACCTTGTCTCAAAGAGAAAAAAAAAGTTTTTCAGTGAGTAGTTATAATTGTTACATTCATGCTTTGAGCTCCTGGTGGAATGCAATATAAGAATTAGGTTGTTCAAAGAGAGTGTTTACTATAGTCTTTGACAAGTTTACAAAGCCAGGGACATTAAATCCTACCTTACATACAGAATAAAAAAGAATTTTAGAAAGGCAGGGGATTGGTGACAAATGTAATAGCTGAAAAATAACTGTGCAACAAATATTAAAGGTACTATCGTGTCCTGGAAAGACAGTGGGTAAATGTCATTATTTTCCTACAATTGTACATTGAGATTATTAAGATTATTTAAAAAATGATTATGACAAAATGCCAATGTCAATTTAAAAAATAAAAGAGAAGAAAATGGGATTAAAAAGGTCATAAATTAAGATTTGAAATCTTTTAAAGGAAAAACTTCCATTGAAAGTTATCTCAGTATTTTAAGTAAGGCACACAGAATAACAAAATTAAATCACTAAATATCTAAAACTTCTTAAATTATTACAATGCGTAATATAAAACCTAACAGAAAAAAAATTATGAATTATAATATATACTGCAAAAAATGAGTCAACTAACTTTTTTTGCATTAATGATTGACATTTTGAATTGGGTTTTGATAGAAAAAAATAGATATTTTCAGAGTAAATTCATCATCTGACTTAAAGGTGTAAATTTCTATTTTATTTTATATTTTGGAGAGGTGCAAAAGTTGATTATTGAACCTTTGTGAAGAGGGGTAGATATATTTGCCACAGAGGGTGTGTTGAAAATAAGATTAAAAAAAAAAAAGAAAAGAAATGTAGCTTTGAGAATGTGACTTCTGAGATCACTGATAGGAAATGTAGCTTCGAGAATGTGACTTCTGAGATCACTGATAGAATGCCTATAGGCGTTTTGAAGGTTGCACTCATATGATCAAGTGACTCCCAGTGGAAAACAATGTTGTACTTCCCTTTTTTGTAATTTTTTAAGAAATTTAAGTAAAATAAAATAAGTATTCATGAAATTTGTTCTTCCTTTAAAATCAAATTATATTTACTTTGCTAAGTTTGAGCTACAGATGATGTGCAAAATCAGAATTGTCACTGGAAATTTGCTTCAAAATTTGCTCTACTTAACCTTACTTGAAAGATGTATAGGAGATATTATATTTAGTGGCCTTCAAGTATATAATCACAAGTAACAAATATACTTGAATAATTTAGAACTACTTTGAAGAAGTTCAAAATACACTCTATTATGAAAGAACAATTCAACTATATTTCTGATTTAAATATATATATGTATACCTATATATACACACATACACTTATATAGCAATGTGTAAAGTCAAAAGCGACTAGTAGTTTTAATATTTTCTTGTTATAAAATTATTAGAAAAAAATATAATGCAATGTGAAATTTAAATAAACGAATTTGAAATTTCTCATGAAAGTGGCAAAAACATGCTGTGTCCTAGTTCATTTGGGCTGCTATAACATATCATAGACTGGGTAGCTTATAAAAACAGAAATTTATTTCCCAAAGTTTTGGAGGCTGGGAAGTCCAAGATCAAGGTGCTAGCAGATTCGGTGTCTGATGAGAGTTTGCTTTCTGCTTCATAGATGGTGCCTTCTCACTGTGTTCTCACATGACAAAAGATATGAGGGGTCATTTTTGGGCCTCTTTCATATGGCCATTACTTAACTCTCATAAACTAATTATCCTCCCAAAGTCCCCATTCCCTAACACTATCAACCTGGGGGTTAAAATGTCAACATATGAATTTTGGGAGAACATAAACATTCAGGACATAGCATATGAAAACTCAACACACACCTACACAAACACACACAATCAAAACCTGAAAATGTTATAGCAAGTTATGCAATGGGGTCAATCAACTGTTCTCCTTTTTTATTTTTAGATTTCATGATAATTATTTGAAGTAAACTGTGTTATCTGTTTCTGATATAGATAGCTGCACATTTAAGACAATGAAACAAAGAGATGCTAGCTTTTAATTATAGGTAATGCTCCAAAATACTTCTCATAAATCTGCCTGCAGATAAATCCAAAGTTCCTCCAACCAAATGAGTCTGACACATAGCCAAATGGCTGCTGTCTCCGTTGTGTGTGTGTGTGTATGGTAGTGACTTTGCTAGTAGCTTTGTTGATACTACAAATGATCAAGCATTGATAATTTATAATTATATTAACAATTATAATTATAAGTAATATAATTATTTAATCGGAAACAAAGCAGATCCGAGAAGATATCCTTTATCTATTTGTTTTTACCATGATTATCACCCAATAATTATCAAACCCTCACCCTATATTTTTATTTTTTTAAAGAAAAGTGGGGCAATAAATCAAAGAGAATGGCCAGTGTATTGAGGCAAGTTAACAAGCATTTTCTGAATTTGTCACATTTTCTGGAATCTTTTATTAGTTCCTATAAAGTATGTACAAAAAAGTAAAATACGATTTCTGATCTCCAAATATTGTGATTTTGAAATGGTATAAAATATAATAATTGATAAAATAGCATTTACTGTGTCCATTTGCATCATTTTGCTCATTCCTCTCAGAAGGTTGTGCTGGAGGAAGCTGGTATTTCTGGAAATTAAGTTTTTTTTCCTTCTTCTCAACAGAAATATCACAAATATGGAGGCATCTTTATTTAAATTTTAAGTCAAATCAATATATTTTTTGATGATCAATATAATGGTATACTGTTAAACAGCCTTTTTTTCTGATCAAATTCCTTTATCAAACTGTCAAAAAATTTAAGCCTAGACATCAAAGCTGTAGATAATTTGGTATATATTCATCCATTTTTTAGTTTATTCAGTTATTCAAAAGCACTTGTTGAGTGGCTTCTGTGGGCTAGGCAATGGGCTAGGGAACAGGGAACAGAGAGGTGACAGTGCAGACTCCAGCTCAAAGCTTCTCTAATGAGCTAGATTGTCATGCAAATTAAACTTAGAGTAGGATGTGATATGTGTTATGATAAAGGATTATGCAAGTTGCTTTGCTGTGCAAATGGGAAAAAGCGACTATTTCTGTTAGAGAACTTCTGGGAGGTGATACTTTAAGAAATTAAGATGTATAGATACAGCTTCAAATTCTTCCTAGTAGGCAGTTGTCACCTGTTCATCGGTTAGTCTGAAAGTGGAAGCGTATTTACCACCCCCCTTCTGATGGTAAAAGTTATACAGAGATTAGAAGCCGAAAATAAGAGTTAAAATGAGAATACTACAATGTAAAATTGAAAACTGCTGGAGAATTTAATAATGAGGAAATTTGTCATCAATGTAAAAAAACTTCAGCGATTAGAAAATCACGTCCTTTGCAGAAACATGGATGAAGCTGGAAACCATAATTCTCAGCAAACTAACGCAAGAACAGAAAACCAAACACCGCATGTTCTCACTCGTAAGTGGGAGTTGAACAATGAGAACACATGGACACAGGGAGGGGAACATCACACACCAGGGCCTGTCGGGGGGTGGGGGACTAGGAGAGGGATAGCATTAGGAGAAATACCCAATGTAGATGATGGGTTGATGGGTGCAGCAAAGCGCCATGCCATGTATATACCTATGTGACAAACCTGCACGTTCTGCACATGCATCCCAGAACTTAAAGTATAATAACAATCAAAAAAAGAAAATCAGTACTTTAAAAAGGGTATTGTAGATGGCTAAAACAAAAGGACAGCCTTTATAAAAGCACATGTTTGTTAGAATGGAGGTGAAGTGAGAGTACAAAGGATAAGTGCAGGTGGTGATAGCTCAATTCCAGATCCATTTCCTTTCTTCTATTGGAAGTCTGTTAGGAATTTATTCTGAAATAAAAATATGTCTTAAGTGTTGTTTATAGAAATGTACTAGTGCTGTGCCACTGAAATTGAATTTAAGCAATAAAAACATGACCATATTATTTTGAAGGAAAATAATATTTTATGAAAGATTATAATGTAATGGAAAAAATACTCTTGAAAGTAATCAGAGGTTAAATATTTTATATAACACAGATATCTATTTCCTATTTCAATTGTTGAGAAAGCATTCTGTTTGAAATGTGTTCAAGCATAAGAAACATGAACTAGAAATAGATTACTTTATTCTTGAGGATCTACTTAGGAAGCTATATATATTCACATATCAGAATGACTAAAGGATAATGATCTTTTTTGTGTATATGGTAGAAAACGAAGATCAAATATATATTTTAATATAAATAAAATTAGAAAATTTGAAGGGTAAATAAATGACAAGTTATGATGCCTATATAAGATGATAGAAGTAAAAATATGTTGGCAATCTCAATTATTTGTAACACAAGGGTATTAAGAGATAATTTTCTCTCTGTGAGTTTAGGCAGCTCTGAGGAAAGTGCCCTTTGCAAAGGTCAGCGACTCCCAGGAAGATGGATTACATGTAGGTAGAACAACCTGGCAACTTTTATGTTCAAATTTCTGCTAACACGAATAAGATCATCTCTGCCCTTTTCCTCCATTTCCAAAGAGTTTGAGAGATCTTATTTTTTAAAAAGGGTTTGTCATAACGTGTATGCAAAGAATATTTTCCTTCCTACTATTGGGTAACAGGTGAACATGTTTTATAAGAAGTATTAGATAAATGCCACTGTGAAGATGAAAATAGCATTGGAGGATAAAGAGCATTGTTTGGTGTGATCTTTGTTATTTTCCAGTTGAGAAGTACAGGTACAATAGCTATATTAATATTTTATAATCATACTTGTATAAATTGACTCCAAATAATCAGTCCCTTTTGAATAAAATAAGGCACTATATCATTGATGTTTTATTTCCCTATGTGCTCACCTACTATGTGGGCATCGTCATGACTGCTGGCCTTACCATTACTTTCTCCAATTGTGTAAGGTCCTTTGCTTATGGAATACATGACAATATAACACTTGCAAAAATGGTCTGTTTAATGAATGAAAGCTAAAGTGATGATGATTTTCCCACATGCAAAGATTTGCTTTAAATAAAATCATTACAAAAAATTTAGTTAGTTGGCAGAGGAGACCAGGTACAACCTTATTTCATTTCTATGTGCAGACTTAGAATGGAGGGAGCTTTTATTGTGGGATACAGATAGATAACAGAAGAATGTGAGGAGAAAGATGTCTTTTACAGAGCACACATGATGATATTGTGTGTACAATTCATAAAATGGAATGGAGAAGAGAATATGTCATTCTTAATTTACTCCAAGTAGAATTTTTAAGAATTTTAAAACGTTATGCTAAGTTATCAATTAAGGACTAATATATATTATTAATCATTTAAGGTAAGATTGAAATTAATGATGAAGATACTAACTTAAGTAAAAGTTATTCTTAATTCTAATTTTATGGTTATGTATTTAACAAATTGTGAGAAGCAAACTCTGTCCACATACTTATGTGTTTCTCTGGTATCTCTAAGGTAAAATCAGTTTTAAATTCTAATTTTATAATAATACTTTCACAGCAATTAAAAATGAACAATAACTAGATTTTTATACCTCTTCTCTCTCCATATGGGGAAATAGTACAATATAAATTAAGGTATTGTGATTTTTAAAAAGACACAACTCTCTCACTAAAGTAATACCTATTCAAGAGCCAGAAAATAAAAATACATTCACAATCTCATTACCTAGAAACTGGTATTGTTAACGTCTTACCCTCTGTAACCTAATCTAAGCTTTACATGTCTAGTTTGAAAATGGGATCATATAGCAAATTTTTATAGTAATAATTTTTTTCCACTGTTTTTTTAAAATGGTAATTATATTCTATTTTCCATCACGTATTTAACCGATACTATTACTTTTGGCAACTTTGGTAGTTTCTAAATCTGGATTTTTATAATCAACTTTGTGATATGCACTGTTTTAGGAACATCTTTTCTGTAACCCTTTGTAAAGCCTTTGGGAGACTGTCCAATTGGCCTTACAGGAAATGTGTGCCACACAGTTAAATCAGTTTGTGCAAGTAGTTACTCCCTTCTTTACATTAATAATTCTGCTGAGCAAGATTTTGTTTCAATTTGCTTTATTGATGTTAAAATCTGCATAATTTACATATGCTTATTGGACTTCTGAAAGATAAATTTCTTGCTCAAGTTATTTATGTGTGTTTCTGTTGGCATAGTCATCATTATCTAACAAATTTGTAGGTGTCTTATATATGTTTTAGTCAATATTGACTTCTACAGAATTTCTCATTCTGAGCTATGTGAAATAATATTGAAGTAATGAGATTTATATCATTTAATAATCAGTCATATAATTGACTGACTTAAAAGATACATGAAAACTGTGGTTATGGATGTGTTAATATTAACCCGAAATAGGTAAATGATTATCTGTATCATATAGCTTATTACTTACCAAAATAACAAAATAAATTACAAAATATAAATGCTGGAAATAGTAGATTTTGGGGCCTTTGTTAAATAACTTTAAAATTAAAACTGATTGTATGTAGAATGTGAAATCAGAACATACTAGTAAAATAAAATTTAAATTATAATTAATAAATACTATACTATGAGCAGAAGCACAAACTGGCAAAATGCAAGGTTTTGTGTCCTGGTATTTTGGGTAGGAAATAATCTTTGTGACATAGTGGGCCATAACTTTGCAGTGTTTCAATGATAAGGAGTGACTGGTGATAAAAGAGCATGATATTTGATAGTATTAATGACTAATGTAATAGAAAATTGATTTCCTAACTTCTTTCCCTTTGCATAGTGTCTTTTCCCTTAGATTGAAAGGGAATCAATATATGAATATCTGAGTATATTACAGGCAGCCAAGTGCAGAGAAAATATCATTCAGTTAGCAAGTAGAAGGTCTAATATCTTAATCTAATTGTGCCGTAAATGAGTTGCATGACCTTGGACAAGTCATTTGGTCTTTCTAAGGTTCACTGTCTTTATCCACAAAAGTAAATTGTATCTAAGTTTCAGGATTAGATTTATGTGACTCGATTTTGAAATAAATTTAAATAAAAAACAAAGGATTAAATTCACTGAATATGCTTTGATGATGTTTCCCAAACTGTCTTCTACAGAAGAACATTTGCTTTTTTGCATTAACTAATGCTTTGTGGTAATTTAATACATGTAGGCATTACTCTTATGGAATTGTCACAAAACTCTAGGTAAATATTGTTATTATTTCATTTTATAAATGAATAAACTGATTTGAAAGGAGGTTAAAGTTTGTCTTGGTTCACAGAGATATTGAGCAGTCAAATGAGGCTTCAAAGTCTGGCAGTCTGATTCCATAACCTGGGAATGTAATCATTATTCACACTTTCTTAAATGTGTATTTCTAACTAAATAAACTTGTGAAACACTGGCTTTGACAGAGTAAACTCAGTTGAACACAAGATAGTTCAGAATATTTAATATTTGTTTTGAATATCCAAGAGGAACATCATATGCGGAGTTGCTAGCACTTATTTTAACCACTAAATCCCTGCTACAAGAAATTCTTAACCTGTCAGAGGTGCTTAAGTTCTGCAAACCACTTTTGGAAAACTCTTAACTCTTGAGTCTTAACAGACTCAAATTACTCAAATTATTTTAAATTACTTAAGAAATTGTTACAGGACTGAGTACAGGAAGATCTGCATAGGTAACTATTTCTTAAGTAATTTAAAAATCAATAAAGATGAAAACAATACTGTCTATGAGATTTGCTTTCTCATATCTTAATTCCTATTTTGTACATTTTCCTTCTTTAGCACATCTTAATGCAAGAAATCTTACCAGTTCATTAAAGTTGTGTTTAATAAGGGAAAACTGGTTTAAAGGTGGGAACTATAGTTAGTGGTTTGGGAAGACGTGGGTATTTTTACACTAAGAACATTCTTTCCCATAAGGTTTGCTTAGGACATCTCCATTGTGGTGAACATTGTTTACTATTTCTTAGTAGCTCTGAAATTCAAACATATTCAGTGTTTGGAAAATATTTTCTATATTATAAAGGGAGAAAATAGACATAATTCATACTTCTATTATGTGAACCTTTAAATATTTCATTTTATATTTAGAAAATAACCAAACCAAAATAAAACAAAATCACAAATATTTCAAGTCAGATCCTTTATTCTCTTTAATCTTCTGAGATTTTCTCAATCAGTCTTTGAATGAAAATGATCTACAAGAAAAATCATAAAATCAAAAACAATATATATTCAATGATAGTTTCGATAATGGATATGGACTAGATAGACAAGTGTTCAATATAATTGATACTGTTTTTTTTTCTCCTGGTATAATACAACTTTATAAAATTTTATAAAATATCCCAAAATTGTAAAAGAAAAGCAAAATAGAGTTGATCCTTATAATGTGCAGAATCTGTATATGCAAATCTGCCTACTCGCTAAAATGTATTTGAACCTCTAAAAGTGACATTCTTGATGCATTTGCAGTCATTTCCATACATCTGCAGAACTGACAAAAAATTGAATCACCCAACTCACATGTTCCCAGTTCAAGTCGAATGAGACAGTGCTCCGTCTTCTTCTTCAACTTTTGAAGTGTAATAAAAAGTTTGCTTTTCAAAATCTATTTGCTATCACATATTTGCATTTTTTTGTGCTTTTTCTTCACAACTTTGCCACTTTAAATGACCCTTCAAGTAAAGCTGATGTGGTGTCTGGTGTTTCCAAGTGCAAGAAAGATGTGATGTGACTTATGGAGAAAATACTGGTGTTAGATAAGCATTGTTCACCCATGAATTATAGTGTTGTTGGCCACGAGTTCAATGTTAATGAATCAACAATGCCTTATATTCAGAAAAGGAAGAGGAAATTCATGGATCTGCATGTAAGGCTGCTCCAGAAAGTGTCAAAGTAACACCACGGTACATGAAAGATGGAAAAGCAGCTACATCTGTGGATTCATGAGACAACAACTGATTTCAAAAAAGTATAGTGGACAGAATTGTTGTGAGGCTGAAAGGCAAAGAAATTTGTCATGTTAAACACTCTGGCTAGTACTGGCTGCTTTCCATGTTTCAGAAGGTGATATGGCATGAAAAATGTTAACTTGCAGGTGAGGAAGTTTCTGCAGATCAAGAGGATGTGGAAGAATTTTTTAAATACCTGTGAAATGTATACAAAGAAAGGGTTTTATAAAAGAGCAGATTTTCAATGCTGATGACAGTGGTTTGTTTTACATGGACGCTTGGCAAAGGAATCTATACAAGACAAATGGTGTTTCACTTGACCAATATATGACTAGAGGCTCTAAAGATCCTAACCCTGCATTTCCCTTAGGAACAGTAGTTCAGTATTTGCTGATTCAATGTTTGTGGCGACCTTAAAGAATCTAAAAAACGGCCAGACTCGGTGGCTCACACCTGTAATCCCAGCACTTTGGGAGGCAAAGGTGGGCGTATCACCTGAGGTCAGGAGTTCGAGACCACTCTGGCCAATGTGGCGAAACCCCGTCTCTACTAAAACTACAAAAAATTACCCAGGTGTTGTGGCGCACCTGTAATTCCAGCTACTCGGAGGCTGAGGCAGGAGAATAGCTTGAAACTGGGAGGCGGAGGCCACAGTGAGCTGAGATCTCCCCATTGTACTCCAGCCTGGGCAACAAGAGCGAAACTCCATCTCAAAAAAAAAAAAAGAATATAAATACTGTGAATAATGAAAATTTGTTGTATATACTTGAGATCTGGTTTGCAGATAGCTTCCATCTAAAACTTATAGAAAGAGGTATTGCAAATAAAATCTGCAGTAGTTTTTCTTGAAACCACACCAACACTACTGCTGTGGGAACTTATTTTTTTAAGAGACATTTAGTATTATGGAGAAAAATTGTTTCCATTCCAAAATGACCGTACCGTAAGGGTGGAGTAGCCAAGGTACAATTTTGATGGCACCCTTGTTGTGAAAATTAACATTTCTGAAGCAATATTGGTGAAGGAAGACTCTAAGTCCCCAAAAGTGGATTACTGGACAGAAGATATTAAAGACCAAGGTGTTAGAGTAGAAGAATATGAGAAGACAAAACTTGAACATGAATAAGATACTACTGATTTTATTTCTTTAAAATATATATTCAGAAGTGGGATTGCTGGGTCATATGGTTATTCTATTTGTAGTTTTTTGAGGAGCTTCCATACTGTTTTCCATAATGACTGTGCCAATTTACTTTTACATGAACAATGTATATGGGTTTTCTTTTCACCTCATCCTCATCAATGCTTGTTATCTTTTGACTTTTTGACAATAGCCATCCTAACAAATATGAGGCAATATCTCATTGTGGTTTTGATTTGCATTTCCCTGATGATTAGCAATGTTGAGCACCTTTTCATATATCTGTTGGCCATTTGTATGTCTTCTCTGAAAAAACTGTGCATTTAAGTGTCTACTCCTTTGCTATCTTTAAATTACTTGTTTCTTTTTTGTTGTTATTTTTGCTATTGAGTTGTTTGAGTTCCTTATATATTGGATATTGATCCCTTATAAAATCACTATCTCAAAGAGATACCTCCACTCTGATGTTCAGTGCAGCATTATTTACAATAGTCAAGATGTGGAAACAACTTAAGTGTCCATCAATGGATAAATGCATAAAAAAGTAGTGTGTGTGTGCCTCTGTGAGTGTGTATAACACACACACACAATGGAATATTATTCAGTCTTAAAAACATGAAAATCCTGCCATTTGCAACAACAGAGATTTACCTGGAGGACATTATACTAAGTGAAATAAGTCAGACACAGAAATACAAATATTGCATGAACTCACTAATATGTGGAATCTAAAAAAAATTAAACTCATAGAAACAGAGTAGAAGGAAGGTTACCAGGGATCAGGGTGGGTAGAGAGGGTAGGGGAAATGTAGTGATGTTGATCAAAGGGTATAAACTTAAAATTATAAAACGAATAAGTGATGAAGACCTAATATACAGCATGGTAACTATAGTGAACTAAAATGTATATTTGACTTTTGTTAAGAGAGTAGATTCCCACAATACACACGCATAGAGTAACGATGTGAGGTGGTGGATCTGGTAATTAGCTTATGTTAATTATTTCACAATGTATATGTGTGTCAGAACATTGTGTTATATACTCCGAATATATACAATTTTAATTTTTCAATTAAACCTCAATAAACCTGAACACTAAAAATACTACCTGAAAATCACTGGATGTATGAGGACAATTTAGAAGGAGCTAAGTTGGCTGGCGCCTGCCTCCTGCCGCAGTACCCGCCGCCTCTACGCACAAGCCCAGAAGCTGCGGAAGCAGAGCAGCCACCTCTTCACAGCCACCATCCCTCTGAATGGCACGAGTGACACCTGGTACCAGGAGTTCAAGGCTATCATTCGAGAGCAGCAGACGCGGCCCATCTGGACGGCGGAAGATAAGCTGGATGGCTCCTTGGAGGACAACCCTCACCGCGGCCTGGCCGACAGCTCTGCTGACCTCAGCTGCGACAGCCGTGTTAACAGCGACTACTGGAGGAGACGGAAGGCGAGGGCGGCGCGTACACTGA
Organism: Homo sapiens; assembly: GCF_000001405.40. Taxonomy (NCBI): domain Eukaryota; kingdom Metazoa; phylum Chordata; class Mammalia; order Primates; family Hominidae; genus Homo; species Homo sapiens. The sequence continues at coordinate 106,081,063 of NC_000001.11, read as the reverse complement.
TGGCGAGCGCTACACAGACGGCTAGCGGGGGGCCCTACACGGATGCGGATGATGAGCTCCCGGCTCCAGCCCTGGACAGGTCCTCAGAGCCCGTGCAAGCAGATGAGCCCCAGAGCCCGAGGGTTCGTGGGAGAATCTCGGCTCATCAGGGGCCCCAAGTGGACAGCCCCCACCCCCAGGGTCAGAGGCGACAGGACAGCATGCGAACCTGTGAACCGGAAGCCCTGAAGAAAAAGTTTACACGAGTCCGCGATGCGGAGTCCCCGATGAAGATGGCTACGACTGGGGTCCGGCCACTGACCTGTGACCTCTCCCAGGCTGCCAGCTGGTCCGTCCTCCTTCTCCCTTCCTGGGGCTGGGACTCAGTTTCCTGTACAGAACCCACAACCTCACCTCCCTCCGCCTGGTCTTTATTAAACAGAGTATTTTCACACCAAAAAAAAAAAAAATAAGATTAAATAAATGATAAAATCAATTATTTTATTGGGTACCTCAGGGTAGCAAGGCTTGTAAAATCTAGGATTATAGCAATAGAAAACATATGAGATTTTATGTGGTGGATAGACTGTTATATATAATTGAGTTTGGAACATGGAAACGTTAAGAATGAACAGTTATTTGAAAAAGCAGATTTGTGGTTCAAGAGAAAGGGGTATAGATTTAGATACATATAGTGTTATACAGAGAGCTATAGAGAAGTATAGATATTGATATATACACACATCATATGTATATTTATATATTGCCTGTCTATATATTTATCTATATAAATCACAATATATAGATTTGGTAGTTAACACATACGAATTGTTTAGCACAAAAGTGATGAATGATGATAATCTCTAGGGCAAAAATTCATGAGGAATCAGCATAGAAACAGAACAGTTATATACACACATATATATCTTCACATGGTTACTTCTAGGGCATTTGTAGAAGAAAATAAATTAACAAAATAGAAGATCTGGTTAAAGCTTTGATGACTGTGAGGTGGAAGACAGAGGTCCAGCCAGAGAAGGAAGAACTGCAGTCCTGGCTGCTGCCCTGCTCCAACACAATTATATTCCACCTTACAGTGTAGGGCCCCCCCCTCGCCATCTGTGTAGCCCTCGCTACACAGACTGGTGCCCTCGCTACACAGACTGGTGGTCTCTATGAAAGGTTGTGCCTTTCAATTCTGAGCTAAATATGCACCTAGTCATGGAGTCAGTGTGACCATTGCAACTGGTGTCAAAACTATTAATGTAATTATCACATCGAGGGAAGGAACAAGGTGAAACAAGGTGTGTTATATTCAAGACCTACTCTCTGTTTCTATGAATTTAAATTCTTTTAGATTCCACATGTAAGTGAGATCATGCAACATTTATCTTTCTGTGTCCTACTTATTTAACTTAGCATAATGTTCTTTAGATACTTCTAGTTTGCACATCACAAAAATAAAATTGTAGGGACATCATGTAGAACTCATGTGACTCCAGGGAAGGGAGAGGGCTGATAAAAACATAGTGATTTAAGCCAAACTCACCTTCCCCATGGCTCCAGGGCTTAAAATCTTACACTTTTCAAAAGAGTTCCATGGTGCTTAGTGCTTAATAAGTACTCAACAGATTGCGTTTATATAAAATATTTTATTTAGTCTCTATTTAAAATCAAGCTATGTGGCCTAAACAGTATCATTGCCCCTATTAACAGATGAAAAACTGAGACTCAGTGACATTCAGTAAACTGTATCAGGATACACAGTGCAGAGTCAGGATGTGAATGCGGGGATGCTGGTTCAAATTCTTGACATAAGCTTCTACTCTGCTGTAATGCCTTCTCATCTAAGCCGGGGAGCTGGTTTTTCAACCTCCTTCTATCAAGAGTTATTTATTTTTTATTTATTATAACTGGCATAGATTGGTTTGTGAACATAAAATTTTCTGATTTGCCTATGTAAAAAGAACACATAAACAAAAAACAGTATTCTTTTATTACATTTTCATTATAAAAACTCATTTTGACGTGGTTCGTGTTTTTTTTTAATGTGTTTTTAAAGAGCTTATTTTCTATTGCATCATAAATATAGCATTCATTTTAATGGCATTCGCATTGCAATTCAAAAATATTGAATGCACATTATTGTGTGTGTGACATCTTACCACCCTCATCTTAAGCTATGATAATTCATTCACCTATTTAAAATTTATATGTAAAATCCTCATTTGATATTTAGAAAGTAAACATTACTAGCATAGGACACTTTGCAATAGTTCACATTTTAAAGCAACCATAAAGTATAAAATAAAAGTGAAAATTGTTAGCATTCAGAAAAATTGGGAGTATTTTGTATCTCTGTATGGGTACCTGACACATTTCTTCTATAATAACAAGCATTGTTCAAATATAATTGTATTCTTATCAACTTGCGAATGTGTTATTCATTCAGATTACCCATCTCTTCTATCTAACCTCCCTTAAATATTCAGGCAGTGAGGTGGATTTCCATTGTCAATTTAGCTAAGCCGGAACTACATTTCCCATAATTCCCCTCTTTTATATTTCTAATTATAGTGAGCCACAAACATTTTTTTTTTGGTAGGAGAAATAGATGGCAGAACAGGTGGGTATCCCTGTTTTACACAGAAGATCATTGGTGCAGAGACCATAGACACATTGTGGTCACTTTTTTGCAGGCTTATTGTGTTGGTGCAGGGCAGCAGCCAGGACTGCAGTTCTTCCTTCTCTGGCTGGACCTCTGTCTTCCACCTCACTGACTCCATGACTAGGTGCATATTTAGCTCAGAATTGAAAGGCACGACCTTTCATACAGACCACCACTATCATCAGTTTAGAGGTGGGGAGTTTATGGGTGAAGAGACACTGGCACCAATGTCCATCCTAGTGGATTTTGGCTCACCCTTGCATGTTCTAATGTTTCCTCATTTCCCACACTTTGTGCCCATCTTTCCTCCAGAACACCTTGTCGTGTGATTTTACCTTATCTTCTAGTGGTTATGCTTCTCGGATCAAACCGGACTGAAACAGGCAGATTCATATTTGAGCCGTATTTTCTGCTTCAATGGTACCATGGCTATACCCCTATCTTAACATTTATCAAATAGTCATAAATCCTTGTTTGTCTATCCCACTGCATTGAGGGTAACGTGAGGGAAGGATTTCATTTATACAACTTTTTATTGCAATAAACCAGTGCTGTGCATTATGCATTAAAGACATTGAATATATGCAGGTTGAACTGAATGAGTCCCGTTACAAATTTATGTTTACTTAAACATTTCCGAGAATTTATTTTTTCAAAGTAATGTATTTCAAGGAAGTCTAGAGATGTTACCACTTTTCTCCTCAAGGATTCATGTACATAAAAGTAGTAGGGTGAGCAGGTGTTTAATTATAAGGAAGCCCTTAGGTCAATTGCTGATGTATTTAATAAAGACTATTTTCACCCCAAACCACCTGTGAATCTTAGCTTTCATCATTCAAAGACTATAGCTTTGTTCTTGATTACATCTGGGGATTAATGGCATAATAGGCTATATCATTCTGTAAGCCTTAATCTATTATAATTCTTGTTTTTATGCTTATGACCGAAACCTCTGTCTTCAAAACATGTTTTGTCCTGCATTCACATACTGGGTCAGCCACTGCCACTCTCTGTTATTTTGGGCAAGACACAACATCTCCAAGTGTATCAGGGATAAAATCTATGTTATAAACAGGGTTATTCTAAGGAATAAAAGGGATATATGCAAATACAGCCCATATAGAGTCCTTAGAACATAATATTTATAAAATAAATATTAACTATTATTATCATCAGATATTATTTCAAGGAAATGGATGGAAATAACAGTAATGTATGACTGCTCATGAAATGCATAGTTTAATTCAAAGCTGATATACACACCTAGGTATAATAAAAAAAGTTCATTGCTCATCTGAAATTATGAATTTTTCATAGCTGTTATCAGATCCTACTAAATTAAGAAATCATCTCTCACTACATGGTAGGGAATTTGAAAAATTGCTATTTTGCCATTTCTGACAGTATACCTGCAATATATTAAAATCATAAGAACACAACTTTCAACATTTGTAGTTATAATTCACAAAATACTATTTACAGTGAAGACCTGGCTCATTCTGTCTCAATCCACTCTTCCTTATACAAATGTTCTCAGCAAGGGAGATGGTGAAATTGTTTCTTTTTTTAAAATTTTTTTTATTTTAATTTTTTTTTTGAGACAGAGTCTCGCTCTGTCGCCCAGGCTGGGGTGCAGAGGCGCGATCTCCGCTCACTGCAACCTCCTACTCCCGGGTTCACGCCATTCTCCTGCCTCGGCCTCTCGGAGTAGCTTGGACTACAGGCGCCCGCCCCCAAGCCCGGCTAATTTTTTTTTGTATTTTTAGTAGAGACGGGGTTTCACCGTGGTCTCGATCTCCTGACCTCGTGATCCGCCCGCCTCAGCCTCCCAAAGTGCTGGGATTACAAGCGTGAGCCACCGCGCCCGGCCAATTGTTTTTAATTTAATATTTCTTTTGTATATATGCTATTCCTAGTCAATTCTAAGTTAATGAGCAAAAATTCCCAAGGATTAAAAACGATCTGGTTTTGAAGGTTAGTCATGTATAGTGATATTATATTTTTAAATTATTCATTGAAATACAAGATTGAGTGAATATTAAGGATTATATTTTGTTCTCTATACTATGAATTCACATTTGTTAAACTGCACAAAACTTGTAAAGAGTTCTGCAGCATTGTTAGGATATTGAAACCACGGATAGGATGACGAACAACTTGTTTTAGGGACATTAGCCTTCCCAGTCTCAAAAGTCTGCCTTTCATCATTTCCACTTATGAACAATAAACTGTCAAATGTATGCAGACAATTATGGTGATAAAAATCATTATATGATTTTAAGGACCAATACAATCCTTCTGTTGTGTATTATCACACATATGTCTTGTGAATTCTTATATGTGTGTTCACTATTATTAATAAGAGTTAATGATAAGTTTTAAATAATCTGTACTCTGACACTATGGCACTCTTAGGACAATGTGATTAAAAGTGGCCAACAACTTAACATTATACCATGCCTTGTGCCAGAAGATTTCCTGGGAGGAAAGGATTTGAAAGAAACAACAAGAACAAAAGCCTTTACAAAGGAAATTGTGATGGTCAAAATGCTTGTGTAAAATACTTGTGGTAATTTCTCAAGATGCTTAGCAGGTGAGTTTTCTAAATTCAGTTCATCCCTATCACTGTTAAACATCACCCTGAGAATCCATAGTGCCAATTTCCTTTTATCTATAAGCTTAACATTTATATGTGTCGATATTATAATTCTAACTAATTACTTAATTTTAATCAATACACTAAGGAGAAATTTGAGACAGCTAATGTGATTTATTACTAATTCTAAAAACATTTGTCTTGCATTTTGGCAGTTGTGCTATCTCTGGAATGCCCCTGTTTGCTTGGCAGCAACCTGTCATGGTAGTTAGGATTGCTGTATGCAGGAGCATTCATTGACAGTTCTTCTCCTGGTAAATGTATACCTGCAGTGTAATCACACATGTGGTCTTGTTCACCTATAGCTTCACCAGGTATGAGTATATGTAGCATAAATATATTCATTCATATATGAGCAAAGCATCACATCATATGTAGATGACAAGAAATCTATTTGGTAGTCTCTCCTGAAACGTCATGCTACGTAAAGCTATGCAAGTACCTCTGTAGGGAGGAAACACTTCTCCTATTTTGTTAAGAATACTGGAGTGATTCTTAAAAACTGACATAGTTAAAAATTATTTTATAGTCATGAGAAGATTTTTCCCAAGAGCAACATTTAAAAATCAGTGATTCTGAAATCACAGACTTTGTGGTGGGGTGGGAATTGCTTATATTAAGTTATTAATAAAGACCTGCAGTGGATGGAAATTTAAATTGAGCATTCAAATATATAACTCTCTTCTGAAGCTGCTCTAGCATATACTTATATTCCAAAGCTCCTCAATAGAACTTGACCCTGTTTTTTATTGATAAATCTTTTATTCTTCTCTCATGAATTATTCAAGTAACTGTGTCAGGCTAGCTTATTCCCAGTGAGAGAAAAGGAGATGCTCAAATCATATGCTATCATTGCTTTTAAAAAAATCTTTACTCTTACAATTGTATATTGATACAATTATATGTGTTTTGGTGATTTAACATTCTTTATTGTTGAAATAAACATTATAGTTTGAAAAGCATTTGATTTGTTGAAACAATCTTAAATGGATAACTTTCTCATACTATTGGTCAACACCATAGTCACCATTGCACATTTCTGTTAGAAATGTGTAACCTGTCACACTGATATGGTAGAGTCAGTACTACTCTGAGAAGAGAAAGAAACCACTAGCGACTGTATAATTGCATGATAAGGCATAGACAGAAGGATATTCATAGGTGATAAGGCCAGAAAAATGGCCAGAAATAAGGCACTGATGTCTAGCAGACTGACTGCATGTGCATTAAAGTAAAAGGTAAATGTTGTCAGATACGATACATTTTTTAAAAACCTAAATTAGCTTTAGAAAGATTAAAGGCGAACTTATTAAGCAATTGACTTCAACTACAGAAAAATATCAAGTACCAAGTTAAACAAATGTGAGTATTTTGCCATAGAACATGAAGAAAGAAAACCAAAAAGATTTTGCTAAAGATGAAATAGAATTTGTTAATAGAAAATATTTTGTATTACAATTTCTTTATCTACCTACCTATCTATCTATCTATCTATCATCTATCTATCTAAGTTGTATTGACTTTAATCTACCAGAAGTAGATGGAAACTTTACAAAACTCCCTTATTTATGGGAGAGGAAACAGGAGTCTAAGTTACAATCTGCAAAGCCCATCAGGAGTTATAAGAAGTTCCTAGATTAGAAAGAACTTCTCTAGTTCAATCCATGCCGAACATTCTCTATCATTCTTTTCCTTTTAAAAGTCAATTTTTTCTCAAATATTTATTACCTATGAATTATTTTAATATTCAATATATGTACATGTGGGACTTCAATATGTCTACAATAAGTGCACTTATTGTACTTTACATTAAAGCAACTACATGCTTAATTTTTAAGAATAAAACATTTGGTATGTATGAAAGCATTGGTAATATGGTTATTTTTCTGGTAAATTACAAGACTACTTTTCCTAGAAAATATCTACAGTTCTATGTAGTCACAGTACAAGTAGCATTGGTAATATGGTTGATTTTCTGTTAAAGTAAAAGAATAATTTTCCTAGAAAATAACTACAGTTCTATGTATTTACAGTACAAATATGCCTTAATTTTAAGAATGTTTACATTTCAACCACTTATCTAAATAGAAAAATTTAATATATCAAAACCTTCTTTTATTAACTTTCTTTAAATAGATACATCTACTATATATGTCATATATATGACATATTATAGAATAGATATATTGCCAGGCTTTATTTTCAGCCAATACAAAACGAGATTATGAAAAGGTACAAAATCCGCTAAAAGTCCACCACTCATTAAAAATCTCCCACCAATATCGGTATAAGCATCCTCCCAGAGAAGTCATTTTCAGTATGTCTATATTTATATTTCCTATTACTCACTTTCACTTCTGTTTTTACTGTATGGTTGTACTTCTTTCCCTCTAATGACATAAAGGAGATATGTCTCTCGTCATATTAAAGGTAATTTTATAACATTAAATAGTTTTTCTATTACTTTTTATATAATTTCTCTAGTTATTATTAAAGTCACTATGCTAGGAGGTCATAGTGCTTAGAACTTAGAACTTAGTGGGAATAGCTTTGTCATTTATGTGAGCCCCTAGAACCTCATCTGATATATTATGGTAACAAGATGGCTCTATGAGCTGGCCATACTCAGTAGTCAGAGTGAAACCGGCCATGTAAAAACGACAAAGCATAGGATTCAGTGTAGGAGCTTGGGCCCCGTGGTATCAGTTGACTTACAGACTGAGTTCAACCACATGGGCAACATATTAATCAATCATACCTATGCAATAAAGTCTTCATAAAAACTATGGACAACAAAGTTCTGGTGAGCATCATGGGTTGGCAACACTCCAGGTACATGGTTTTACATTATTCTAGGAGAATAATGCATCATGAGGAAAATAAAAGATTCACGTTTGGTACCTTCTCAGGCTGCCCTATACATGCCTGCCTTTGTTGATTTTCTGTATTCTTTCTCTGTAATAAGCATAACTGTGTAGAATAGCTTTCAATGAGTTCTGTAAGTCTTACTAATGACTTATTGAACCTCAGGGTGGTTTTGGGAAACCTGAAAATGTGCAGTTGGTGTCAGAAGTGAGGGTGGCTTTTCAGGGACTGTTGCCTCTAATTGTATTTGGACCTTAACTCCTTGAAGTTGGGGTCATGTACCACTTTGATAGCTGAGACAGATGCTGAAAGATAAGAAACCATGAGGTCTACGTGATTTGACATCTGAAGAGAATTTTAAACGTGTGAATTGGAGTTATCTATGCTGAACATTTAATAACCATTTCTCTACCATCTAGGATCATTTTTCTGATCGTTCTCTATAAGGAGCCTTGGAGGGTTTTGTGGTCTGGGTTGTTCACAGTGTATGTAAAGTAAGAATAAGCATTGTTTTTCTACCCCTTTATTCTTTCCTCCCTTCCTGGTTTAATTAATTCCATGTTATTAAAATATATGATAATTACATGAGACTGCCCACCCTTAAAGGCTTATATCATCCTTTTAGTTCTTGTATGCTTATTTGTCACCTCCACCGAATTCTATGCACCATTAGTCAAGGTAGCATTTTAGTTATTATTGTCACATCCTCATCTTGTAACAATCTGTCTCCTACTAATAGCTATTTTAAAATTTTTTGGACATTGATGGGTAAATATGTAAAAGAAATACCTTGTAATGAGTGTGCTCTCATTTTTTCATGTCTTAAAATTGTTGTCATGCAATTATATTACCTATTCTATTGAGTGCTACTCTCTCACCAAAATTTTATTCTTATGTTTCAAATAAAACTAGAGGATCCAGGGTCCTTTTTCTAAGATATTTTTCCCCAAAAATAGGTTGGTCTAATCTGCTTTTATAGAACAGAAAGAGCTAGGGGGTTGTCAATAAGAGACAGTTTAGAAAATCTGGATTGGGGAGATGGGGGAAACTAAATGTGTTATAAATTTTAAAAATTGGTCTTGGAAAAAAGTGAGTTTCAGTGCTGGTGGTCAGGTGGGTGAGAAAAGGGGAATGTTAATAGAGTACAACTCATTTTGCAGTTTGTATTTATTACAGACTTCTGGGACATCTGCTGAGAAATATATAATTAGAACAAGAAATCTCTAAAGAGACTTTCAACGACATTATCAGATTATCTTCATAGATTTGTAATTGCTGATCCATAGATTCTGGGTACCTTTTGGTAGGCATGGAAGATAGAGGTGATATCAGGAGGTGATCTGTTTCTTTGTAGGTCTTTATGTGAATCAAGTATATGTAACAATTTTCAATAAACCATTGCTGTGTGAAGATAATTTTAAAAATATTTTACTTTTATTTAGGCATAGCCACATTCATGTCCTCAACTTTTATTTGTATTATTACATATATTTACTACTTACATGTATTGACTTTTTAGTTTTTGTTGTATTGACTTTTAAGAAAGAAAATTGAAAGGAAAATAACATCGAATAGGGAGTATTTTAATAATATCTCAAAATTTTGGAAAAAGGAATGTAGAATACACCAGTGGCCAAATGATTTCAAGGAAATACTTTTTTAAATAACAAAAAAATCTTAATTAGCTCCAATGTTGTAAATACTAGATTTGATTTCACGTTTTTTCTTTGTTTTTAGTAATTTGTAATATCTAAGGCCAAGAAAAGAATAGTATTTATATTAAATATATTTAAATTAGTAAAAAAGATGATTTATGTGTTATTATGTACCATGCAATCACTTTTATCTTTTATATTATTTCATATGGCAGGATGTTGCTTTAGCATTTTCTTTCTTAAATAGTAATCAGTGTCTCTCATTGAAGTCCTTCAATATCTGTCATTCTTCTAAGTTTCTTTTTTTAGAGCAGTTGGTCTTTATGATAATAATGGAAAGATAGGTATATTTTATATTAGAATACTTTGGTTTGAGTCTTGGACATAGGAGATTAGTATAATCTCCCTAAAATATCTTTTTCATGTCTATGAAGTGTGCGTATACATACTTAACTGACACACAGATTTACTGTGGAAAGCAAATAAGAATAAAATTAATTAATTAAAAAGAAAACTCTTTTAAAACCTCTATATCTATCCTAAAATAACATCAGTTTATACATGTCTCAGTCTCCCAAATAGCTGGGACTACATACGCACCACCACGCCCAGGTAATTTTGTATTTTTAGTAGAGATGGGGTCATGGCCATGGTCTCGAACTCCTGACCTCAAGCGATCCACCCGCCTCGGTTGGACTCTGTCTTTTCTTAATAGCCAGTAGGAAACTTCTGGTATTTACATTTTCTAAAATATCTCATTTATTTATAAATTCATCCATCCATCTGTCATAATTCATTCATAAAACAAATACAATTTGAAATTAATCTATTGTCTTAGGGGCTATGATAGATTCTGGGGCTACAACTTTAAACAAAGTACTGCTTCTCTTTCAAAGATATATTGGTTTTGATTAGATGTGTGTTATAAATAGCAACAACAATACTACCTAACGTCTAACCACAAAATGCTGGGTGGCATACTGTGATAAATATTTATTTTTTTTATTAGTCTGTGGATCAACAGTGTGGTTTTGCTTATCTAAAATGATCTTAGGTAGGACAACTTATATTTGCATCATGCTATTTCTAGTACTCCAGCAGACTAGTTGGGCTTATTGTAACAGCCTAAGCAGACATCCAGGAGAAAGCTATCCTATGTATGTCCTCTTGGTGAAGACAGGAGGCGGGGACATGGGAAGAAAGTTTGCAAAGTCTTTTGGACAAGACTTAGAACTGTCACACTTTCAGGCAAAGCCATAAGGCCAACTTACATTTACAGAATGGGAGGTCGACTGCCTCTTGATGAAAAGCATTGTAAAATCATATTTAAATGGTATGGATATAGAGTTTGTGAAGAATTAAAGCCATTTTTGCAATCAGTCCCCCTCAGTGGGAGACATAAATAGACAAATAAAGTATAAATACTTCATTTTCTCTCCAGCTTGTCTCCAACTTTCTTTGCCATTTCTCTTTGTTCAAACCTTTCTCACTCCTGATATTTTAAATTATTAAATACCTGAGGTGAGGTTCATAAACTTAAAGAAAAGGGCCACATGAAGAGAAAGCACTACCTAACTTCATGTTTCTATGCAACGGATATTTATTGTGTGCCTGTTCTTTTATGAAAGTTTATGGAAGAAGCATGTTTTCTCATGAATATTTGGGGATCGTTATTAAAAATCTATGGTAGGGGATCTTCTTAGGGGATTTCATTCTCCTAAAAAAATAAAGAGGACTGTCTGAAATATAAAAAAAAAAAATTTTAAATATTCTTTTCTTTTTATCTTTCTTCTCTCCTTTCTTCTCTGTCAGTAGCTTATTGAAATATTTTGTCTTGTCTTTCCCAGCAGTTTCTCTAAGTACCATCTCCTCTCTCTCAAGCTCTCTCTTTATACCTTTCCCTTTATTATTAAATTTTTATGAAAATTTCCAAAGCACCTCTTATATTTCTGATATTTGAGTCCTACCTTTTATATTTACTTTCTTCCTTCTCAATCTATGCAGTTCGACTTCAATCCCTATTACTCTGCTGACATAGCATTTGCAATAATTTCACATCCAGTCTAGAGCTTTTGACCTGCTTGACTTGCCACCATTTTCTTTGAAACTCTATCTTTTGTTTTTCGAAGGCTTCTCTTTACTCTTTGAGTATGAATTCTCAACCTATAGCTAAGATTCCCCTGATTTTCCAACAAGTGAAAAGAAATAATGAATTCCTGGAAAAGACAAGCACATAAAATATTTGATAACTGACTTACCTTGCAATTTACTGATTTTGAAATGTATTTATTGATGTTAGTTTTCAAAAATTTGATTAGCTAATTTGCATCAAATATCTTAAGGTTAGTTTTGTGGAAATTAATAATCCATATTTTGTAGTTATGTGGTAAAGACTATTAAACTATTAAATTAAAACTACTTGAAACAAATTTTTCAGAAAGAATAAAATCAATTTCTGATTCACAGATTCATTTAAACTCCAGAATATAGATTTTTATTATTTGGCTTAGGAATTCATTATCATGGCAAGATATATGTGGTTATTTCAATATTTTCAGTAATTCAATATATTTAGTATATCTTAGTTTTACTCTACCTAAAATTAACACACTTACTATATCAGCAGGAACCAGCAAATAGAAAGGAAAATAATAATGTAAAACCTTGATGCTAATTTTTATATCACTATGTTACTTCCTTATTTTACAGAAGCTATGGTCTACTTATTTTTAAAAATATATAACATTAAGTACTATCGTATTTTCTCATTTTAAAAACAGTAAAATCACCTAGTTAGTAAACTCTGATGCAAATACCTCAAACACTGTGTTTTGGTGACGTATCTTTTCTCAAATGATTTTCTATAACAAATACATAGATTAAATTTAAGATGTTTAAATATTCTTCCCTGGGATTAATATACACATTGCATTTTCTCAGTGTCAATCATTTTTATAGCTATGATTTATTATAGTTGTTATACTCTTTTTATAGTCTTTTTAGACATTTTTGAATTGCCAAAAATGATAAGTATAGATGCTAATAAATGTAAAACTTTGTAAGGAAATATGTTATTTATTAACCATTAATATGAGCTTAAACTTTTCATATTCAGAACAAGTTATTGTTGCCTTTGATGATATTATTAGAAAGACATTTTCATACAGTGTTGAACAACTCTATGAAAAGAATGTTTCCATATGCATGAATATATGAAAATAACTATTTTACAAAGAATAGCTTTAGCTTTGTATTTTAGGACAATTTTCACAGTGGGAGAAAGAACCAGTAATATATTTACTCCAAATAATCAAAATACGTTAGGCTCACAGTCAGGTACATAATTCATATGGCCTTCAATAAGTACAAGTGGTCTTGATGATTTTAGATGATTAGTTTTTAATTCTAGGGATTCCTAAGAGCTGAGCTAGAGGAAAAAAGTGCAGTTTTCTGATAATGTTCTTAAGCACATATAAAGAAATAAAGTTTTAAATTGTATGCCAGGAGCTAAGCTATACATGCATGACACAAAGAAATGAACTAAAATTGTAATTCTTGACAGATGATTGCAGTCTAGCTAAAATGTCAGTGACAAAAAAGATTTAGTAGCAATTTTGATTAAATATTCAATGAAGGAGGAAATAAAAAGAGACAATGAATAAGCTTAGGAATATGTGGAAAGAGATGCGTCCATTTACTTGATAGTCTCCAGATTAGAAAAAATTAATAATAATAATCATCATCATCATAATGAATAACAATACATCTATTTTTTATTGATTTTCAAAAGCACAGTCTCTCCTGGGATCAACTGCTCACTTTTTATCTGTCTAGTATAGGTTTTTCTGCTTCTTGGTTTGCCAGGTCCCTGGCTTGTTACTAGTTTGCCAGAGCTGCAGTTCTTGCTTTAGTCAACTTCACTGAGAACATTCGTCCTCATCATGCCAATGATATTCTGGATCGCACCTTGTTCAATATGCCTTTATACAGATAAAACTCTGGCCCTTTCCTGCTTAATTCTGGGCTTGCTTGACCCTCTTCCTCAGTTAAACTAAAATTTCTGAATGGGCACTGAGTTGTTGCCTGTTATTCAAATACAAAATTTCTGGACCCATCCACAAGGACTCATGAATCATAATCATCTACATATTAAAAGGATCCTCACATAATTTTTGGATACACATATTTCAGAACCAGTTATCTATGTTGTTTTGATTTTTTAAATTCTAATAGTTTTTCCATTAGGCAAACAAAATCATCCTATGCTGATTGGTTGATTTTAAAACTTTTAATTAGACAACAATGTATTTTCAATACATGAAGTAATTTGTGACTAACAGAGATGTCTAAGAAAAGAGAAAGCCTTGAATAATCTTGAATGATAAGAGATATATCAGTTTCTATATCTGTTCATCACTTGATGGACTCTTAGGTTGATTTCACAGCTTAGCTATTGTGAATAGTGTTGCAATAAACATGGGAGTGCAGATACCTCTATGACACACTGATTTCATTTCCTTTGGATATATACCCAGTAACAGCATTGCTGGATCATTTGGAAGCTCTATTTTTATTTTTATTTTTTTTGAGAAACCTCCTTACTTGTGTCTGTGACTATGGAACTTAATATCCCACCAGCAGTGTATAAGAGTTCCTCTTTCTTCACATCCTTACCAACACTTGTTAGCTGTTGTCTTTTTGACAATAACATGTGTGAGGTAATATCTCATGGTTTTAATTTACATATCCCTCACGATTAGCGATGTTGAGCATTTTTCATGTACTTATTGGCAATTTATATGGCTTTTCAGAAATGTTTCTTCAGGTCTTTTGCCCATTTTTAATTGGGCTATTTGTTTTCTTGCTGTTCAGTTGTTTGAGTTCTTCAGATATTTTGGATATTTACCCCTTACCAGACACACAATTTGCAAATATTTTTCTCTCATTCTCTAGATTGTCTTTTCACTTTGTCAATTGTTTTTATTATTATACAGAAGCTTTTCAGTTTAATGTAATTCCATTCATGTATTTTTTTTGTTTTTTTTTGCTTCCGCTATCTGTGTTTTGAGGGGTCATATCCAAAAGACAGTTGTCCAAACCAAAGTCATGAAGCTTTTTCCCTGTTTTCTTCTAGTGGTTCACAGTTTCAGGTAGTACATTTAAGTCTTTAATCCATTTTAAGTTGATTTCTTTATATTGCCTACAGTAGAAATCTAATTTCATTCTTCTCCACATGGTTATTCAGTTTTCCCAGTACCATTTATTAATTAATTAATTTATTTATTCATTTATTGAGATGGAGTCTTGCTCTGTCACCAGCTGGGAGTGCAGTGGCGCGATCTTGGCTCACTGCAACCTCTGCCTCCTGGGTTCAAGCAATTATCCTGCTTCAGCATCCTGAGTAGCTGGGACTACAGGCACGAGCCACCATGCCCAGCTAATTTTTTATATTTTTAGTG
This sequence comes from Homo sapiens, assembly GCF_000001405.40. Lineage (NCBI taxonomy): Eukaryota > Metazoa > Chordata > Mammalia > Primates > Hominidae > Homo > Homo sapiens. The sequence continues at coordinate 106,065,781 of NC_000001.11, read as the reverse complement.
GAGATGGGGTTTCACCATGTTGGCCAGAATGGTCTTGATCTCTTGACATTGTGATCTGCCTGCCTTGGCCTGCCAAAGTCTTGGGATTACAGGCGTGAGCCACTGCACCCAGCCAGCTCCCAGTACCATTTATTGAAGGTATTCTCCCTTCCTCATTGTGTGCTTTTGACAACTTTGTTGAAAATGAATTGACTGTAAATGCATGGATTTATTTCTGGGCTATTATGTTACATTGGTTTATATGTCTGTTTTTATGCTAGTACCATGCTGTTTTGGTTACTATAGCTTTGTGGTATACTTTGAAGTCAGGTAGTATGAAGCCTTTAGCTTCATTTTTTTTCCTCGAGATTGCTTTGGCTATTCAGTATCTTTTATGGCTCAGACAGCTAAATTCCTAAGTGTTAATGTAAATACTAATATAAAGGTGTATAGTCAGCAGGGAATTTATAATAATATGACAATAACAACAGTGATTTAAGAAAAAAAAAACTTAGTAAACTACCAGTCCTTGTCCTGATTTAGTAGATTTTCTTTATGGTTTACTGAAGGGTTAACTAAATATAGCTGCTTTCAGTTCATACATTAATATTCCATAGTGATCTTGCAATTAGACAGTTTGTGAAAAAATAAAACATGTAATGGATAAAGAAAGAAACCTCAAATCACTGAGAATTTAATGCCTTTTCAAAACATAGCTGAGTCATTAGTCATTTCATTTTATTTTTTACAATCATTTGACAATAGGATTTCTATAAACACTGATAGTAATGAAATAACTAGAATCTTTTTTTCAGGCAAAGAAGATGTGATGACTTGTCCCAATACAGTGTGTTCTATTTATTTGTTTTACACTGTGTGTGTGTGTGAGAGAGAGAGAGAAATACAGAAGAGTGACTTAAAAAGGGGGGATAGATAGATAGATGATAGATGGATAAAATGTATCATACTTTTCAAGACTTTAGGAATTTTATGCTCATTATCTCATTTTATCTTCACAAGTGACCTATAAGATAAACAATACTATCAACTTTGGGTTTCAATTAAAGAAATTGAAGCTGGGATAGGTAAAAAAAAAAAACTCAATAAAGGTCAGACAGGTAGTAAGTGCTATTCTGGGATTCAAATTCCAGAATCGTTGAATTTCAAAGCTTTCTCCTCAGGGGAAAGACGGGCTGCATTTTTCCTCCTCATACAGAATACAAGCTCCTCATTTTTCAGACTGAAGGGCACTGAGTTTCACACAGATGGCTCTATGATTAGCAGTAAATCGGCCCTTAATTGGGAAATTAAAAAAATAATTTCTGAAATTCCATGTAGAAAAATCACTTAATATCAGTTGCATTGCTTTATGGCAACAGTTAATGAATTAATTATATTTACATAAGCAAAACAATGAAGCAGAAAGTAACTCTTTAAAGTTAAAAAAAAAGATAGCTTTTCAAATGCATTACCCAAGCATGATCACCAATGAGATGATGATCTTGAATACTCCAAAGTCAGCAAGTTAAAGAATTCGCTTTAATGTGTCACCATCACTCTTAACCTTTGTACACATTGCCCTCACTATATAAAGCTGTAAAGTAATTCTCAAATTAAAAAGAAACAAAATGCTGACAACATCTTCTGAGCATTAAAAAATTTATCTATTCAAACATACTAATGCAGAATAGGAAACCATGCATGTTTTATATTTAGAAAGCTATATGTAAAATACCTGCTAGTGATAACGAATACATGGTTTCAGAAAAAAATTCTAAAGAATATTTACATACATATTTAGTGTAGTTTCTTAACTTATTAGTCATTTGTAGGCTTCCCTGAAATAAGAGAATAAATGTGACTGGAATGTAGCATAACAAACTCCATTTTTTTTTTTTTTTGATATGATCACTTGTTTTGACTGAGAGGAATTGCTGGGTGTTGAGAGAGCATGGTGAATTGGATTATTGAGAGGAATGTAAGCAACATAAAGGGGCAGGAGTATTGTATCTTTATGAGTTCTCCTTCTGCATGAGGCCCACATAATGTATTTATCACAGCTGAGTGAGCTCACTTGAAAGCCATTTATGATGTGTAATGCTCTGTGTCCTTTGTTGGAGCATTGGGTGACAGGTTAATTGAATAGAGGCAAGGCAAACAATCAGGGTCATGCAAGATGACTAGTGTATATGATGGTTAAAGACAGTACTTCATTTGCTAAAGAGCTTTTATATATGAGTACAATCTCAAATAGTCCTTTAGAAAAATATTCATTCGTAACTGTTCAGAGGTATCCAGGGACTTATTAGGTAAAATTTTCTGTAGAAATTTTTAAAATATTCAATCAGGGTTGTAGGTCAGACAATTGATTAACAACCTTGAAAAAATGATTAGATGATTATTCAATACCACCAACACAAAACCACTATGGCCCTCTGGGGTATATTTATTCACTTTCTGAGAGAAGCTGTATTAAGGCTAAAAGATTAACCATAGGCATGTATTATTTTTCTATGAATAAAAGTAACTTCATTTTCATCTACATAATTTTTTTAGTACAAACACAGCTACATGGATGTATATTTTTAGTTTTTAGAAGAACAATTAAAATGGAAAAATTGTGACATTATTAGAGTACACAAATTACCAATACACTCCCATCTAAGACAGCTTTATTTTATTCCTTCTCACTTCAAATTACTATTTATATCTCGGAAAAAAAGCTACTTTGTGACTTATTTTTGTATTTAAATTTATCATCTCTCAGCATAAATTTAATGGGTTTTTAAAATAAAATTTGCTTGTTAATTATACGTTTCAGATTGATTCATCTTTTCTGTTAAGCTCTATTTTACTTTTAGAAATGGCAGTGTAAGGACATCTAAAAATCTCTAAAAAGAAAGAGAACACTGTCACAAATAGTCAATATCAACTATTTTTGAGTCCTGGTAATTAACTAAATGGTTGCTATAATATGAGGAGTATTTACTCAAGGACAATGATTAAACTGGGGGAAGAACTGCAAGTTTGAGCATTTTGTCTTATTCTATTCCCCTCCTTTCTCTTCAGCTCTAGGGTAGTAGACTTTAAAGCAATCAGTCATGCAACCAGCAAGCTTTGAAAATAAACAGTTTAGCAATGACTAGAGGATACAGAATAGGTTTGAAACTTCTCAAAAAGCTACATCCCAAGAGAATTGTTACTATTTGACCTGTTTACCAGGTCCTTGAAAAAGTTCCATTCCCAGGGCTTGTCTTTATTTGATCCGCCTCAGAGTCCACTTAGTGATAAAAGCCCTATACCCAGGGTTTTGTCCAAAAAAAAAAAAAATAAAAAATAAAATAGAAAGAAAGAAAAATCAGCAGCATTGCCTTAACACTGCAGCTGCCTGAGGAGGCAACACTAGTTGGACAAACAAGAAGCTTGGCAAAAACTTAAAGGAAAATCTGTCAAATGAGACATCCATGGTGGCTTGGAAGAACTCGACGTATTCCTGGGAGTCTAGAAGGATATGATCATGTGCAGGAGTGTGTGAAAACCCAGGAAAGGACTGAGAAGGCTCTATTCCTCCCCTTGGCTGACCGTGAGGGCTGCTGCAAGCAGGAAGTAAGAATTAATACAGTTACAAACTGCTGGAGTGTTTAACATGTGTCTCAATATACACACAAAGCCCTTAGCAAAGAGTGGGAGCCTCACTGGTTCAAGATGTTTAATAAAATCTCTGTCCAATCATTAGCTGACCACTACTCTAACTAAGCAGGACTTCAGTGGCCATACACAGCAAATAATTCACAGTTTACAGATTTAGTTTAAATAAGCAATAAAATCAACAAAAAGAAGTAGCATCAACAAAAGCAAACCCTGGGGAGGGGAAAGGGAAATTTTATTTTCATAATACCTACTTTTATTATTTAAAATGTCCAATTTTCAATAATAACCAAAGAGATTTACAAACAAAAAGTAAAGCATGACTGAATAAAGCAGTGGAATAAAGTAGTTAATAGAAACTGTCCCTGAGGAAGCCCAGATGTTTTACTTTGTACCAGGCAAAGACTGTAAATCAGCTATTATAAATATTTCCAAAACACTAAATGAGACCATGTCTAACAAATTATAAGGAAAATTATGAGAACAATGTCTTTCCAATAGAAAATATCAATAAAAATGGAAATTATACAAATCACTTAATAGTTATTCTTCAGTTGAAAATTACAGTATTGAAATAAAAAAGAAACATTGGAAGGATTCAAAGGCATATTTAAGTGAGTATAAAAAATAATCAACCAATTGGAGATAGGTTAATCAAGATTATTCTGAAAAACTGAAAGAATAAAGAATGGATGGAAATGAATACAGCCTCAGAGAAGTAGGGAACACTATCAAGCTACTAGCATGTATATGATAGGAGTCATAGAAGAATAAGAGAAGAGTTTGACAAAGGGGTAGAAAAATATTTGAATAAATAATAGCTAAAACACCCCCACATTGTAGAAAAAAAATTAATCTACTCATCTGAAAACTGAAAAGACCCCAAGTAAGATAAACTGAAAGGTCTACAACTAAACACATCACAGTCAAACTTTGAAAAACCAAATTACAAAGACACAATCTTGAAAGCAGCAAAGGAAAGGTGACTGGGAGCATCAGTATCATTAACAACAGCCTTATCACCAGACACAATGACAGTAGAAGGCAGTAGGACAACATATACAAAGTACTCCAAAAGAAATAATGTAAAACACAAATTCTATACACCACAAAACTATTTTCAGAAATAAAAGATAAATTAATACATTCCCAGGTAAACAAAAGGTTTGTAATGGGTTTGTAATGTATAAAGATGAAATGTTTATGACAATGCTATTATAAAAAGGGTAGAAAGAACACAAAAACATTGAAACAAAGTTTTCACATGGTATTAAAATTAAGTTGTATTAATCCAAATCATATTGTTCTAGGTTAAAACTAAGTTGTCTTAGTCTTCTTGGACTGCCATTATAAAATACCATAGGCTGTGTGGCTTAAACAGTGGAAATTTATGTCTCACTCTTCTAAGACTCAGAAATCCAAGTTCCAGGTGCCAGAAAAATAAATCTTTATTCTGAGGCTTCTTCTCTTGGCTTGTAGGCTGCTGCTATCTTGCTGAGCCCCTTCATGATCTCTTTATTGTGCACACAGGGAGAGAGTCAGCACTGGTCTTTCTTCCTTTGTTTTTTTTTTTTTTTTTTTTTTTAATTTTCTAAACACCAGTTTCATCATGGGGGCTTTATGCTCAGTACTTCTTTCAAACCTAATTATCTCTCATAGACCCAACCTCCAGATACAATCACATTGAGGGTTTGGGCTTCAAAATATGAATATTGGGAGTATACAAACTTTCGATCAGTAATACGTATTGATTGTAATCCCTTAAACAAATATTTCAAATTAAATATTTGAAAAATATTTAAGGAGTAAAATAAATTAGAAAGAATTTAAAAGAGTATACCAGAAAATAATAAACAGAAAAAAATACATAACACAAAAAAGTTAATTATTAAGAACAAAAAGGAACAAGAGAGACATAGATATATAAAAAACAAATAGAAAACTAGTAGTCTTGAGTCTTATCAGCACTTACATTAAAATTAAATAGAATGAGCAGTTTAATCAAAATTATGAGGTTTGGTAGAATTGATTTTTTAAAAAACAATCAAATTCTGTACCGTCTACAAATATGCACTTTAGATTTGAAGACAAAAATAGGTTTAAAGTAAATAGGTTTAAAATATAAATGATATGCCAGGCAAGTAGTCAGAACTGGAGTGTCCATACCGATATCAAATACACATATGTACGTATAATTTCTTTACATGCACACACACACACGTTTTATATATATATATATATATATATATATATATATATATATATATATATATGTATAGATAAATTATCACTAGAAAAAAATGGCTGTTTTATAATACTAAAAGGGACAATCCTTCAGAAATAAATAGCATTATAAAAATACATTCACCAAATAATAAAGCTGTGCATTCAACACAGATGCTATCAAAATCCAAGCTGGCTTTTTTTTTTCAAAAATTAGTAATTTGTTCCTAAATTTTATGTGGGAAGGCATGAGACCCAGACAAGTCAAAACAAATTTGAAAAAGAATAAATTTGGAGGACTCACATTTCTCAGTTTCCAAACTTAACTACAAAGCAATGGTAATCAAGACAATGTGGAACTGGCATAAGAATGGACATATAGATGAAATAAATAGAATTGAAAGTCCAAAAATAAATCCTCGCATTTATGATAAGTTAATTTTTTGGTAAGTGTTCCAGGATAATTCAACTGGAAATCATAGTTTTTCAACAAATGCTGTTGGAACTACGGGAATCTACTAAAAAAAAAAAAAAAAAAAAAGAAATTAAGACCTTTACCTCAAGACCATAAACAAAAATTAACCCAAATTGGATCATAGACCTTAACCTAAGAGCCAAAGTTAAAAACACTCAGAATGAAATGTAGGAGTAAATCTTCTGACTTGTGGTTAGGCAGTAATTTCTTACATATGCTAATCTTCTTGAAAACTGTGTAGATTATTTAGCAATATATTTAAAATGAAAAGATAAAATGTATTTGCATCTTATATGGCTAAATAACTTAAAGCATTGGGCTCAATATGTATGATTCCTTAGCTGGAAAATACACTTGTGTGTTTTCTCCCCAAAGCCAGAAAAATTAGTTGTTGTATGTGTGACATCTAAGCATTAACGTATTTTAATTGTGATGTCAGAGGCAGCACTACAGATGGAAAATAAGCTGGAAAATCCATCAAGTGTAATGAAGATAATATTTTAAAAGTATTAAATGAACAAGTATACTTTTTAGGCCTCTCCCACATGAATCAGCTTTGAAAGTCATACTGACATTATGGCCCCATTAAAATGGAAAGTACGAATGTCACTTGAGCAAGAAAAAGATTATGACAAAGAACAATATCTTGTTTAACAGCAAAGGTGAAGGAAAGACTACTGGCTGAGAAACTCAAAGAAAGAGAAGATACCCAAGAGTTCCGTAACATAGTCACAATACTTTCTTTTCCAGAGCCAAAATTCTAACAAGAATGGAATGATAGATTAGATTATGGAAATCAAAAGTGTAGAATTTTGTGTCCCACACACCATATGGATTTTTGTGGAAGTAGATGATTAGGGCTTCTCAGGGATGTCCTGTGGCAACATGTAAAGAAGATTTGCTCATCAGGGTAAAAGTAGTGGTATGGTGAGGAGGCAGATAGAAGATCAGAATTTCTCTTCTTAAGTTTCCCTCAGTTTGAGTTTGAACACCACAGATCCAGAGTTCACTATCAGCTCCATTCAGAGCCAGAAATAGAGCTTTTGATACTGGATAATGATTTCTTCAGAAGCAATATCTTTGATTGTTGTATGAAAGTGTATATATGGGATCAGAGATGTTAAAGAAAGAAGGCACAAAGCAATTCTGTAGTTTATGGCTATAAGGTCAACAGTGAAGCAGAGATCAACTAGGGATTACAGGCAACTTTCAGTGAAATCCCTAGAACCAGAATAAGCTACAGCGACTCAGAATTAACAAAGAAAAAATCTCCAGGTGCTTAAGAATCCAGGAAAAATGTTCACTACCTAAGGAGTGAGATTAGTTTAGTCATCAAAAATGCAACAGCATTTTTGTCTTTGCATTCTTAAATTTGAGCTTTACATTTGTAATTCCACTATATGGTGAATCATAATATATAAAAACATTTTAGAAATAATGCTTAAGTCTTTTAAATATATGAATATATGGGGATTATTCCTAAAGTTCTTGGAACTTTAGTTGCTGAGATCTAGAAAGAAAATCCTGTTTATCAGCTGTCTGTTATGTAACTGTTTTTTGTTTAAAGTACCACATGACAGAACTCTCCTAAAAAGTAGTAAAAAAATAATAATAATTAGAAGAAGAAGAAGCTTCTCTTGAATAAAAGACATTTTTTAAATAATGTTTTGTTTTTGGTTTTCTTTTTTTTTCCTTTTGCTTGTTATCATTAGGTATTTAGAAAGGTTGGTGATAAATTTAATGCTTATCTCAGGTTTATGGGAAACTATTACCTTATCCTTTATGATTCTTATTACTTGACACTTTTCCTTTTGTACATAACAATGCAAGCCAAGTTTTGACACCTAAACCTACAGACATAATCACTTTTCTTTTCATACCTAAGCACTGTTCTGTCTATACCATATCTATTCCTGTACCTACTCTTGTCCTATTTCTATTCCTAGTTCTGTATCTACACCTCTGCCTGTACCTTTATAGCTGTCTGTTTCGAGTTTAAAATGACCTTAGTGGTTTGGCTATATTTTGACTTCAAAGTAAGAACTAGTGTGGTAATAACAATTCGCATTTAGTACAACAACATAATATTGTTCCACAGGTTGACCAAAAGATATGCAATAGAAAATGAATTTTATATTTCTGGTAGTAATTTTTAGTAAGATAAATTTATTCTTATTCAAATTTCCTTGTGCAAAGTTCATTATTATTTTTATATGACTTGCATTTGAAACTCAAAATAACATTGGAGGAATTGGTGAGCTGTTACCAATATCTTGATAAATTAAAGGATACTTACATGCTCAGCAAATGGAATGTTTGTGGAAGCCTGGGAACAGATGTGAACGGAGGGCCGCATGCTACTTAGTGGAGAATAGTCAGTTTCCCAACAGGGTTTTTTTTTTTTTTTATTCCCTCAGCTATATGTACAGGACTTCTGCTCCAGTGGCCATATATGTATGGCATTTGGGCAGTGTAAATTTATTGTAATTTTATTTTCCTTCCCACTACCCTTTCCTTAGATTTCTCACCTCCCAGTAGTGCAATTGAAAGGGATACAGTTGCACTATCAGAAGAAATTTCATGAACAGCAAACCTTTCAAATTTAATTAATTTGGGTGCATAATAAGCATTTTTTTCTTTCTTTGAGAAACACATTACTGAACTAAAGAATAAGGAGCATGAACACCATTTTTAATCAGGCCCTTGGTGAGTAATTTGGAAATAATAAACTTTGCATAAACAAAGGTAATTATACTTACAACTAAAGCTAGGAGAGAACTCTCCTTATTTCTCATTTGTAGAAACTTAGAGACACATGTGTTAAGATTTAATTCATTTACTGTCGGTAAATTTGACTTGCAGGTTTAGTTTTACAGATTTTTATGTATTAGTTATGTCACATTAATTGATAATAACGGCCTCAAAACTTGAGAGTGGTTTTTTGTTGTTTATAATTTTGACATAAAAATTAATATAATAACATGCACAAATCTTACATCTACAATTCAGTGAATCTTGACACACACCATTTACTGATCAATCTCAAATATCACCAAAATTTGGAACATTTCCAGCCCTCTACAGAGTTCCCTCATTTCTTTTCTCAGTACATTCACCATTATTTTTCATTTCCCAACTGCCAAGAGAACCGCTTTTTTTTCTAATTGGGCTCATCATGGGTTAGCTTTTCCTGTTTTTGAACTTTAGATAAATGAAATCATGCATAAACTGTGAGCTCCATCTGGTCGAGCAATCAACTGTCAAGGTGGTCAAAGACAATAGACCAAATTGAAACTAACAATCAAGCTCTAATTCACTTACTATGTCAGTGCCAAAAATAGGCAAAATGCTAAGCTGCCTCCCTAATATTCCATTCCCCCCAGCATGGATTGGCAATGGAAAAGAATCAGTCAGGTGACTCAGCACAGATGGGAGGAATTGCCTCACTGCATAACAAAAAGCCCTTGCCTCCTTCTGGACTTCAGTCCAGGGAAAAGGCAGTGGGAGGGAGAAGGAAAATGGCTAGAAATAGAAAGGCAGAGTCCAGATAGTAAAGAATGCCTCAGTTAAGTCCTCCATTAATTATACTTCCCATGGAGACACCTAGACTAGGAAGGCAGACGTGTATAAACCTGGCTGGCCCAAACGTACCTGAGTTCTTGACTGCAACTCTCTCCAGAAAATTGCAGTGCCCTGGCTGTGCACCAAGCCTGCTGTAGAGAGGACAGTTTCCCTGGGTCAGGCTTGCTAAACAAAGGCTTGTACTTGCCTACAATCTGGCCTGAAAGATCATACATAAATTTTGGCCTGAAGTCAGACTGTTCACATCCATGTTTTTATATGTGTCAGGATCTTGTTCCTTTGGTTTCTGTTGCTGAGAGTAGTATTCCAACATATGAATATATCTCAGTTTTGCTTATCCATTTTCTTTTTTTCTTTCTTTCTTTTTTTTTTTTTGAGACAGAGTCTTGCTTTGTCACCCAGGCTGGAGTGCAGTGGTGTGATCTCTGCTGACTACAACCTCCACCTCCCTGGTTCAAGCAATTGTCCTGCCTCAGCCTCCCAAGTAGCTGGGATTACAGGCGCTCACCACCACGCTTGGCTAATTTTTTTTAGTTTTAGTAGAGATGGGTTTTCACCACGTTGGCCTGGCTGTTCTTGAACTCCTGACCTCAGGTGATCCGCCCACCTCGGCCTTCCAAAGTGCTGAAATTAAAGGCGTGAGCCACCGCGCCCTGCCTGCTTATCCATTTTCTTATTGATGGGCACTTGTTATTTTCAGTTTGAGCTATCATGAGCAAAGCTACTTTACATATTCTTACACAAGATGTTTTGTGGAGGTATGCCTTCATATCTCTTAGATAAATGCCGAAAGGTAGAATTGCTGGGTCATGGGGTCAGTATATGTTCAAATTCATTACAAAGACTTCATTAAAAATTGTCTAAGTGTTTTTCCAAAGTGGTTGTACTGCTTTCCACACAAAACCCCAATATTAGAGAGTTCTAGTTGCCAGGCTGGAAGGCAGTGGTGTGATCTCGGCTCACTGCAACATCTGCCTCCTGGGTTCCAGCAATTCTCATGCCCCAGGTAGTTGGGATTACAGGTGCACCCAATCAGGCCTGGCTAATTTTTGTATTTTTAGTAGAGACGGGGTTTCACTATGTTGGTCAGGCTGGTCTCAAACTCCTTACCTCATGATCAGCCCACCTCGGCCTCCCAAAGTGCTGGGATTACAGGTGTGAGCCACTGTGCCTGGCCTGTTTTTCTTTTCATTACCGACTCAAAATTATCCCTCCCCTTTTCTGTGGACACAGTCACTGTTTTAATTTTCAGATTAAATTATGTTTCTACATTTTAGCCAGCCACATACTGACTTGTTTCTACCTCCTAAAAATATGCATGTGATCCTAAGACTGTGTGTCAGCATGGGAATTCCAACTTTCAGCATGATAAAGATTCACCTGTCTGCTCCTCTCCTTCTTCCCAGTGTTACATTTGAGATACTCGTCACCTCTGACTTGTGCCCTTGCTGTGGCCTCACAGTTGGTGCTGCTACCTTGTGTCTTGGTCCTTCAGTCCATCCTTTAACCCATCCTGGAGTGATCTATCATAATGAAATCTAACCAAACAATTCTTCTCACAATCTTTCTCTAGCTCCTTGTCAGTAGTACCTGGAGCCCTCCATAATTTGGTCCTGCCTGCCTTTCCAGCATCAGCTCCAACTACTCTTCATCTGATTTCTAAGATTCCAGTGGTACTAACGCAGTTAATGATTCCCCACACCTCTGCACCCTGCTCATTTTTGGTTTATAGGATGATATTTTATTCATTCATTCATATATTTATATTCATTCAATATGTATTGATGGCTTACCTACTACGCAGCAGGCAATGATTTCATTACTTGGAATATTACGTGAATAAAAGATATAAAAATACCTAATTTGAGTACTTTGCCTGTGATGCCTGTATTTGTCATCTTCAATTGACTGACTTTTATCTAACATTGTAGTCTCATTTCAAGTTTCAAGGTTTATTTTTTCTAAGAATTCTCCTGTGATTTTTTTTTTCTTGGCCATGCTTCAAACTAGTACATACTAAATGTTCTCAAAAATCAGTTTATTCAAATTAGACATTCACCTATTTTTTACACTATTCTGTAAATTCCCTGAGTGCTATGCTTCATAAATCCTTATAACCAGAGCACCTAGCACAATTAACATCTAATAAACACATGTGTTATGGCGAATGACCACAGAAAAAGACGATCTCAGAAAGTGATTAAAACTGAAATCTTAGGGAATAAACTCATGACTATGAATTGCAAATTATAAATGATAAAAAGGCTGATTGTCATATGGGATGTCTTAACCTATTTGAACTGCTATAACAAACATTTTAGAGCTGGTAATCTACAGACAACAAAAATTTATTGCTCACATTTCTGGAGGTAGAGAAGTTCAAGATCAAGACACCAGCAGATTTGATGTCTAGTGAGCCTTTTCGTCTTAGATACTGCCTTCTGTGATCTTACTTGGTAGAAGTTGCAAACAAGCTCCCACAAGCCTCATTTAAAAGGGCAATATTCCCATATATGAGGTTTCTATCCTCATGACCTACTCCCTACCAAAAACACCACTTCTTATGATCAACACATTGGGGATTAGATTTTGATATATAAAATTTGGAGAGACACACATTTTCAGACCACAGCATGAGTATTGACCTGGTCATTTTCTAGGTGCTCAGCAAGAAACCAAAGGTTCAAAGGTTCAGAAGAGACCTGAAGCTATTGACCTGTGCTTATTTTCCTCCACCTATCTTTCTAATCTCAACAGAGTCCAAATAATTGTTGAACTGCCCTTAATATTTGGTTTCAGGATTCCGGAAGCTTCACCAATGTTTGTTTGTTCATTTTTAATTACTTTATAATATATCATTAGCAAGAGAATTTATTGAGTGTCTTTTTTGCATGTGACATAAGGATATTGAAATATAATTTAGGGAAGATTAAGACTATAGTGATTCAAATTCAAGGAAGGATGTCAACTGTGATGTAGATGCAAAAATATATAGAGAACAGGGAAAAATTGAATAGAATTTGAAGTGTGCCCAGATTATCTTCCAATGTGAAACTGGAAAACTTGTTATTCTTATTTCTGTGTCCTATGTCTACTATTTAGTTCTCCCAAAATTCTCTTTTCCTTTCCAGCAGACTTTGCAAAAAAGAAAGAAGAAAGTAAATAAATGAAAATAGAAAGGAAGCTAGAGAAAGAGAGAAAGAAAGAAAGAAAGAGAGAGAAAGAGAGAATGAATGAGAGAAAGAAAGAAAGAGGAAGAGAAAGAGAGAGGAAGAAAGAATAAATGAGAGAGAAAAAAAGAAGAAAGAAAGAAAAAAGAAAGGAAGAGAGGAAGAAAAGAGAGAGAAAGAATTTTTTTTCATTTTACTTTCCCTGAATCCTTCCCCAGGTAGTAGCTATTTATGGTAACTACCTAAACATTACCAAAGTTTATTTTTATATTTCTCTTTTGGTATGATTTTCCTACTGTGACTTATACTACTATGTGCTTTCATAGTGTTTCTCACTTGACTGGAAGAGCGGTAGGATGTATCTGGACTCCACAATGCTTTTATATTGCAGGAATTCAATAAATGATACAAATGACTGGACACAGGCCAGAATGTTTGGATTCTGTTTAAAGTGATGAATAAAATTTATCTTTTGATAATAGAAGTGTTATATATAAAATCGCTTTTTAGGAAGATTAGTGGGTTAACTATTTTGATTAAAATGACTTGTAATATTGTGGTACATGGACACTCAAGTAGAAAAAGAATATTCATTAATTTACCCACTGATTCAATCATTCATAAAGAGCTTACTATGTATCCATCACTTTTATTATGTCTCCATCACTTTTTAGCTTACTATGTACCCAACACTTTTTAGGTTTCAGCTACCATGGTAAGCAAGAGCAAGCCTTACTCTCATTCCAGTTGGAGACAATAGTGTGAATTCTAACAAAACAAACTATATATGAGTGCTAAGGTGCCAACTGAAGGATGTATTAAAAGCAAGGAAAAATAATAGTGACTCACCTGGAAGAAACATTACATGATTTCTAGATATCTCAGAAAGAAAAAAAAAGAATATCAAAATAAGTGAAACTAATTAACTGTATTCTAAGTGGAGAAGGTAGGAGTAATTGGGGAAAAAAATCCCAGAACACTTTCTTGAAAGAAGACTTAGTGAAGAAGATACTCAGGTGTTTGAAGAGATGTGGGAATCATTGTCTTCTGTGGGAAGATGAAAGTAAGGAGATGGAAATAAACCACTTTTTGGTTCAGTGGTAAGACAGAAACAAATACAAAAGAGTCACAGGATTCTTATGGTTAAGCCACATGAGTGTCTACTTAAGAGTCTTCAGCTCCCTGTGAAGAGCTTCCCACTGGGTAAAGGGAAGGAAGAAATCTAGAAAGTCTGTCTAGGACGAAAGAGGTGGTCCTAAGCAAGATAGTTAAGATCTGTCTTCTCAAAATGTAAGAAGAGTAGAAAAATGGGAGAGAAAGAAGTAATTATCAGACAGTAAAGTGTATGTGACATCTGGTGTGGGATTTGGGAGAGTCTAAGAAATATTGCTCAAAGAGTAGCGGCAACTTTGTGTCATGTGAAAAGCTAGGAACCGTTAGCTTGCTATTCTCCTGAACACTTACTCTGTCCCCAGTATAATAAATATGTGATGGAGAAGTAATATTTAAAATAATTATTTCAAGAAAAATGAACTGTAAGAATCTGTGTGGTTAGATTTTGGTTGAGTGTTCTGTGGGATGGAGGGCTTGGATATATAGATGAAAGAACACATGAGAGATTTAAACCTAACTTCAGCAATTGCTAATTTAAGGATCCTTGGAAACATTATTGGGTATTTGATATCATAATTGTATGAATGCTAATATTTGTTGCTTGTTTACCATGTGTCAAATCCTGCAGTTTAATAGCTCAATCCATTTCTTTAAAGTTTTCATGTGATTTTTTTTTCCTTTTAGCAATTTCTATACTAATGATCTAGAATATTTGCTTAATAAATTATGAATGGCTTTATTTCAACAATGAGGATATTCACTCATGGCAAGACTGGGAACTTTGATTTTGATTCTCTAGTCTTTAATACTTCTACTGTTTACCTAGATAAAGGCATAAGGAACACAACCACCATATTTTTAATTGATGTAGACCTGGGTGAAAGAGGTAATAAAGTGATTTAAGAGTGATCTTTAAGATACTCTGCCCAGTCTACAATGGTGAATTTAAATCGATAAGTACGAAATTAAATACAATTTTTTTATAATTTATTTTATCATTATTTTTTACTTGGAGTTACAATGCCTAATTGTTTCCCCAATTTTGTCACTTTCCACATTAAAGATGTTAATTTGGCATTTGTAACTGAGGAACCAAGAGACCATAGAAATGATATTTATGAAACTCCAAACTGAAGTGTCATACTAAGATGAATATTTTTAAAAGAAAAATTTGATTACAAAGTTATTAATTCTCACCTAGATCCAGGTTGTTAATAAATTATGTTGTTGGTAATTAAGAGAGATTTAAAGATATATTTTAGAGAGAACTTTTGGTGAACTATGAGTCCAAACATTCCCAAGTGCAAAGAGATATGGGTTCCTGACCCTTATCTCAAGCTTAGTAGGACTGGCTTCATCAGGACTGTGTAGAGAGTTTGATATGCTATGAAGTTGGGGTAATATAATGGACCTGTCTTTGTCCTGCTGGTAAATTCAAATGGGGAGAGGTGGGGTAGCTAGTTCTTCCACATCTGGAAGTAAATGGGTGATTTCATTAGGCTGAGGCTGTATTTCCCAGAGTTTGACTGGACAAAGGATACAGATGTGTTATAGAGACCAGCTATCAGTCATGTGACTAAGACAGGTCACCTTAATGTATCTTGGATCGTGTCCAAGAGGGCTTCCCATAGTCTGGAAACCTTATCAAAGAGAAACCAAGGATAGCAGTGGATCCTTTAAGACAGAGGAAATATGCCATCTGCATCAAGAAAAGCAAACATGACAGATAAGGGACAGTGTCTCTGAAGAGATCATAGGTGGTACAATGCTGCAGTGAAATCTTGGAATTTCTTCCACATTCCTGCAACCACACCCTGGTAACCCCTTCTCATGCTGACTCATATTTGGTCATGTGATCTGTTCTTGCCAATGGGATAAAAGCAAACATCATAAGCAGCAATTTGAAAAGCACTTTTGCATTGGGGCTTACCTTCTCTTTTACTGCTTTTTGTACTTTGTCATGGGAAGAAGCTACACTATTGAAAGATGAGGCACATGACCCAATCAAACCTGTTGTCTCTGATGACAGTCAACCCACCTGCAAACACACATATGGCTTTCTGAGGCTACTCAGCCCCAATGGAGCCACCATCTGACTTTTGACAGAACCCAGCCAAGATAAGAGAAGTCTGGTCCAATCAGCAGAATTACACAGCTGACCTGTTGACTCATGGGATATAATAAAGAGCTGCTGTTTTAAGGTAGTAAGTGTTGAGATGGTTTGCTACACAGAAAATATCACTGCTACACCATTAAAGTCCCCTATAAGAGAAAGGAAGCTTTAAAGCCAGGTCTACAAAGCTTAGAGTCAGTTGCTGACTGTAGCAGTTAAGTAAGAACTTTGCTGCCCCTTCTCTTATCTCTTTACTGTCTTCAATATTCACTTCACTTCCAGAGTGTTCAGAAATATCAAATATGAGCTGAATAAGTAGTGGAAAGACAAGGATTCATCCGTTCCACAGACTACAAACCTGGCCGATAGAGGGAATATTTCATTTTAGATCAAATGGTAAGAGTTTTGACTATTATATAGGAGTGAACAAAATACCTTGACATTGTTTGAAACTTATAGTGACCTTTGGATTAATTTTTTTTTTTTTTTTTTTTTTGAGACGGAGTCTCGCTCTGTCACCCAGGCTGGAGTGCAGTGGCGCGATCTCGGCTCACTGCAAGCTCCGCCTCCCGGGTTCACACCATTCTCCTGCCTTAGCCTCCCGAGTAGCTGGGACTACAGGCGCCCGCCACGACACTCAGCTAATTTTCTGTATTTTCAGTAGAGACGGGGTTTCACCGTATTAGCCAGGATGGTCTCGATCTCCTGACCTTGTGATCCACCCGCCTCAGCCTCCCAAAGTGCTGGGATTACAGGCGTGAGCCACTGTGCCCAGCCTGGATTAATATTATTTGTATTTAATCTAAGAATTATCTGCAAAGGCATGGAACTGCGTGTTTGTATCTAGTACCCAAGAAAGAACTCCCCCAATGCAGTTTAGGAAATAATGTTGCTTTATGATTATATCCAGTGAAAGTTATTTTCTCAACATTCTGATTACTCATAGCATAAATGAGACATCTAGCAATTGTTTAATAGTTTTACTCTATGCATATAATGGGTAGAAACATAGTTTTAGAACTCTAAATCCCATGATTATTAATTATTGGAAAGATTTTTGAAAAATCTATCCTTCGAAATATAGCCTGTGAGCATAGATTCTTTTGTGTTCTGTTTTGAAATATACTCTTACCTTCACCTGCTCTGGAATCAGTGGTTCTCAGAATGCTTTCTTCTTTTGCAGATTCACTGTCATCTTTGTCTGATATTACAACATAGTGACCACACAACTATCCTCAATGGTATTTGACTACATGGATTCTGTAAAAAGATGAAGCTTAAGAACACTATTTTTTTTCAAGTGCAATATACTGTAGTCATAAGATGAATGGGGTCTTGTCCATATATCTACATGAAATTTAGATAAAGCAAGCAATGTGAAGAACACATAATCTCACATTTTGCATGTCACACTATAAATTCTATACCAGGTTGTACTTCATTTTTGCCCTGTTTTTCTCTACCAAAGGGAAACAAATGAGGAGAGTTCACCATATTTGTTTATTTATTTAACATTTGAAAATCATAATCACAGAGTTGAACTTCATATTCCTTGGTGTGCTTCATGTAGCACACCCAAGATATAGGTGAGTGGTGGCTTTTTTATAGGAGAAATTACAAAGCTTTTTTTCCTACATCTGAAAACTCACATCTGAAGTTTTAAAATGTGTACCTCTCTAAAAGATACAATTGCTTTGTCCTCACCTGTGTGATGAGGTTAGATGTTGCCATTCTGTGAAAAGCAAAACCTCATACCAGATGTATTTTGAATGAATCCTTGATTCACAATGGAAGTTGCTCACAGCTAAAATGAAATATGTGTTGCCTTCTCTCTAGTTTGTTTTCTCAGATTTCTAAACACAAAGACAAAAAAGGACAGAAAACACTTTGTATTTGCTATAACCTTGAGAATCAGTCCTAAGAGTTAGATGTCAAATTGTTGAATTACTTGCTCTTATTATCCTCTAACTATTCCATATTCTTTTAATTGACTCAGTGTTGTAAAGATAAACGCCTTGGGTTACGCATAACACAGAACACAGCACAACATAATGCAATTTCATAAAGGATCTTCTGTAATTGCTTATCACACGTGGCTGTGCATGACAGATAGAAACAATAAAAGAACAAATGGAAAATATTAGGCCAAACCTTATTACTGAGATAATATTTGAAACAATCTTGAAATACTTTTTGATACACATTGTCCATATGTAAGCCTTGTGAATGATTGCAGTTTCTCAAATCTATCTGGTTGTATATTGGAAATGGTGGGGAGCAACTAGTAAAGGGGCTAACTTTGCAAATAAGAATTCTGAGTGTTACAAGAAGACAAGCAACTGATTTAAAATAAAAGTTGGTATTCAAGGAATAAGAGTTCATTATATTGTCAGTAGCCCCATCATTGATTAAAAACAGCGAAGTATCAATGTTGACTCTGTGTTTAATATGAGGCATGACAAAATTTTCCTCATGAAAGGGATGCTGACCTTTCAAATCCAAGCAAGTACACAGATAACTTAATATCATTTTGCTATAACAAAAGTTTAAGAAGAGAAGTGATAAAATATTCATTTAGTTTGATTTGAGAACCTGAAGTTTTCAGTTATTAACTTATCAATTAAGTGTTTTATCTAAAATAATCTCATAAAAACCTGGGAATATTTTATTGATGTTTATTATTTCTCTCATTACATGTCAACTTCTGAGGATTTCCTGTCTTCAGAAATCATGTGAGGCATCTTAGTGATGACATAATTGATGTCTTTGAGTTGACAAATGATAAAAGTGGGGCAGGAAAGTAAAATGACTTACATGAAACTGATATAAGATGAATTCATGACAGCATCTGTATAGAACCAAGGGTATTGTCCTTTCTCGAGGTCTTCAAATGTTTCATAAAGATTAAAAGTTCTGAGGGCATGCCTGCAGGGAGTAGAGGGACATGATTTGAATAAGATTTCCATGAGTTTAAAATTTCCTCCATATTTCTATTTGTAAACATACAAACTTATGAACACTTTATGGTCTAATTAGTCATGTTCATTTCTCAATAAAATTTATTTTTAAATTCCCTTGAAGGACGCTCACACATACATAGTATTTTCTGTTTTATTATCTAGGTGGTCTGGCAATTAAATTATTTATATCAGAACACTGAGTTAAACTGAAAAGAGATGACACTGAATTTCAATTTCATATTTGGGGGAATGCATCTCCTCTTGCTCATAACATTTCAAAATTAAGACATACATAAGCATATAGTATCGCACAATTGTTTTTCACTGCTTTATATATTATGTCAGTGTAATTTTTAATTAAAAATGAGCAGAATACTACCACCACACAGATTATTGTTAAGCTATACAGTTGGTGGAAATTCAATAAATATATTTGATAAGAAAATAAATGATTTGCATCGTATGAACATTCAAAATGGTAAGTGATAATTTTTTCAATTTTATTTTTTCAGAAGAACATGCAACAAAGGATTATTCAATCACAAAAACTATGTTCTTTACTTCATTGTAATTTAAACATGTGGATAAACTCAGTTACAAAAACTTATTGATTAGATACTATATTCTTAAAGACTATTTTTTATAGCAGCTTTGTGTTCACAGTAAAATCGAGGGGAAGGTACAAAAATTTCTTATTATACCCCTTGCTCCCACACACACATAGACTCTCCTATTACCAACATCCTTCACCAGACAGGCACATTTGTTACAAATGGTGAAAGCACAATGACAAATCACTATCACTCAAGGCGCATCATTTACATTAGGGCTCACTCTTTTTTTGTTTGTTGTTTTTCCGTTTTTGTTTTTGTTTCTGTTTTTGAGGTGGAGTCTAACTCTGTCACCCAGGCTGGAATGCAGTGGTGCCATCTCAGCTCACTGCAACCTCTGCCTCCCGGGTTCAAGTGACTCTCCTGCCTCAGCCTCCCAAGTAGCTGGGATTACAGGCATGCTCTACCACACCTGGCTAATTTTTGTATTTTTAGTAAAGATGGGGATTCACCATGTTGGCCAGGCTGGTTTCAAACTCCTGACCTCAAGTGATCTGCCCGCCTCAGTCTCCCATGGTGCTGGGATTACAATTATGAGCCATAATGTCCTGCCAGGGCTCACTCTTGGTGTTAAACATTGTATGGATTTTGACAAATATATAGTAACACTTATCCACCATTATAATACCACACAGAGGAGCTTCACTGCCCTAAAAATTCCCTATGCTCTATTTATTTAACCCTCCCTTTCTTCCAACCTCTGTTCATTTTACTATCTCCATAGTTTTGCTTTTCCCAGAATGTCATATAATTGGAATCACAGTAAATATGCAGCTTTTCAAATTGACTTCCATCATTAGTTGTATGAATTTATTAATAAGATTCTTCTATGTTTTTCATGGCTTATTAGCTCCCTTCTATTAAATATTTGATAATATTTTACTTTCTGGATGTACCATAGTTTATTTATCCATTCAGCTACTGAAGGACATCTTGTTTGCTTCCAAGTTTTGGCAATTACTAATAAAGCTACTATAAATATTTGTGTGCAGTTTTTTTTTTTTTTTTTTTTTTTTTTTTTTTTTTTTTGCACGAACATGCTGCAACTCTTTTGGATAAATACTAAGAAGTGTGATTGCTGGACTGTATAGTATGAGTATGTTTAGTTTTGTAAGAAACTGCCAAACTGTCTTCCAAAGAGGCTGTACCATTTTCCATTTCCATAGCAATGAATGAGAATTCCTTTTTCTCTCCACATCCTTACCAACATTTGTGTTTTCAATGTTCTGGATTTGGGCCATTCTGATAGGTATGTAGTATTAATGCAGTTTTTCATTATTTATGTACAAGACATTTTCCTTGTATCTGTCCCTTTCTATTTGTAACATCACCACCTATTTTCAACACTTATATTCCTTGTGTGGCTATTACATTTAACATTTTATGTATCATTCACCAACATCACTGACTCTTTTTATAGAACACTATTATATGAGTATTCTTAACATAGCCTTCCTACACTTGTAAAGTAAATTTCAATTTCCTTGCACTGAGATTCAGATGTTGCTCTCATGTGATTTTGTTTCTCAATATTTCTTGCATGGTATTCTTTACCAATATGTACGCTAATTTTTAAACCACCAATATCCTGGGGAAACAACTCTGTTTTCTTCCCTTTTGTGATCTGCTATAGCATTGTTCTTTGCCCTTTTACACATTATTACAATAAGCCCAGTTTCCACTTGTTTTCCAGAGGTTTCCTTGGTTATTTCATTCACGCAACTCTTTTTCCCCTGGAGAGACTTTATATATTCATCATGTACTAAAGGCCAAGTTCTGCCTTAGTCTTGGCAGCCCCTTCCTTCAGGATATATTTGGTTGAATGTGGGAAGTGCAATTAAATATATTACAGGAATACAGGCAATGGTAGAAATCTAAACTAGTTTTAGTTTTAGAGTATAATGGAGGAGCTGCTAACCTAACAATGTGAGAGAAGGAGTATCCTGGAGATAGGGACCTACTTTGACTCTTGAAAGACTGGGAGTTTGTCATGTATAAATAAGAAAGGTTTTCAGTGAACATCACCGCCAAGGCTTGGAAGTACAACCATGTACTGTGCATATTGTTTATTAGGCACTAAACATAGACACTTTTCATTTATTCAAGAAATATTTGTTGAGTACTTTTAAATACTGTTAGAAAACTTCTAGATATGGGAAACAGGGAGTTCTCGGTGAACTTGAAGATTTTTTTGGTCACATAAAGTTTTTTTTTTTTTTTTTTTTTTTTTTTTTTTTTTTTGAGACGCAGCCTCACTGTCACCCAGGATGGAGTGCAGTGGCGTGGTCTCGGCTCACTGCAGGCTCTGCCTCCCGGGTTCACGCCATTCTCCTGCCTCAGCTTCCCGAGTAGCTGGGACTACAGGAGCCCGTCACCAAGCCCGGCTACTTTTTTGTGTTTTTAGTAGAGACAGGGTTTCACCGTGTTAGCCAGGATGGACCGGATCTCCTAACCTCGTGATCCGCCTGCCTCGGCCTCCAAAAGTTCTGGGATTACAGGCGTGAGCCACCGCGCCCGGCCGTCACATAAAGTTTTTACGGTAATGTACCTTTAAAATGGACTAATTTGGTAGCTTAATAATGTTAATCGACACCTGAATGTTTTACATCTTCCGGCCATGTCATCTCTACTTAGCTCCCCTAATGAACTCAGGAAGGATTCAGAAGCAGTACTGTTTCTTTTTATGCATCACATTTTAAGAGCAAGGAAAGCTTTCCTAGAAATTTCCAAGTAGATTTTCAAGTCTTCTCAGACAGAACGTTTTGCATACCTGGCCTAAGCCAATCATTTACAAAAGGAATTGGCTCATAACAATCAGTTTAAATCAAGCAAAAATTACTTCAGGAGTTGAAATGAGAAATATAGTCCCGGAGTCGTTCATGGGTATCATGCACACCTGAATCAAACAGGGGCTCTGTCAATCAGCATATGTGAGAAATGGGTGCCAGATAGGTGACTGTTGATATCTGTAACAACCAGTTGTTTACTAGTCACTGTGCTTGATGTTAGGAAGGCCATGGAGAGCAAAATACATAATCTCTGACCTCAGGGAGCTGAGGAAATGTTGAGTAAGGTATTATTAAATAATCACACAGGTAGTTAATAAACAACAATATCTTTAAAAAGAAACAAGTACAGGGAGAGAAGAAAGCATTTAATATGGTGAACTTTATTTATTATGAGGTGTCAAGGAAGAATTCTATGAGGAAATACATTTGAGCCATAATCTGAAGTTAAGTCAGAATAAAGCAAGCAAAGGGTAGATAATTTAAGGGAAAAGTATAATCCTAGTAAAGGGAACAGCATGTGCATAAGATGTGACACTAGTTGTACCTTCAGAAATGAAAACAATTCTGTGATCAGAGAATAGAGAGAATGCAAAAATGGGATAGGAGAAAAGGCTGGGCAAGATAGAAGAGACTATCCTGTTTGCAATGTCCAGCTTAGCCTTAAGAGAAACGAGAAGACACAGAGAAATTGAAAGCAGGAGAATATCATAATGTGGGATAAATGAGCCTTCCAAAATGCTATAAAGCTGGCATAAAGATAATATTCAGGAAAACCCTGAAACTAGGAATCAGTTGTTAACCCTAGAACTAGGAATCAGTTGTTAACTATGGGTAGGTTTCAAGAACCAGGAAGCTTGATATTTATAAATTAAATCTCAAAAATTATTAGTGAAAACATCCTAGAATGGTGAGAATGGTGATATAATTCTCAAATACAAAAAGGCAAGGATAAGGAAGATAACAAACTTTCAGAATCTCCCAGAAGCTTATTTTGTCCAGGTAAATTGGATTGTTAGTCTAATCTTTCAGTAGAGGAAAAAACAGAGTATGTGTGATTTCTTGAAGTTAAAATATAAACCTTTTGTCATGCTGCAGCCTTGATTTCTTCTCTTTGTTATACTTTTTTATTCCCATCAATTATGAAGTAATGTTAAACAATCATCCAAATATTTATTGAATTCATCCACATTTCTGTGGCTCAACTCACACTATGGTTATCCATCCCTTATCTCAAAATTGGATATTTGTATTGAATCTCTTTGCTGGTGTTTGTTCTTGAATTCTTAGCTGTAAAAGAAAAGAAAGATCCTCCACTTATACCCCAAAGTACAATGACTCAAGCACAACAAAAGCATTATATCAATAAAAATCCAAGTTGAGTGTTCTTGGTTTGCAAGCAGCTATTTTTCATGCAGCAGTTTGGGGGCCCAGCCTCTTTCCATATTGTGGCTCCACAATGGTATTTACCTCCAGCCAGCAAGAAGAGCAGAACTCGGATGATTCTTAAATGCCTTGTCCCGTTAGCAGCTCGTATAGTTTCCACTCACATTCTCTTTGAAAAAAATAAAATAAAATGGTCACTTCCCTGAATCAAGTGAAGGAAGCCTGGAAAATAATGTAGCACTGTTCTTAGAAGAAAGCTTTTTTGTTGTGTGTTATCAGCTGATAAACTCTGCCACATTTGTTTCTAATCTTGCTGTAATCCAAATTGTTCTCCAAACTATACACATGATAATTAAAACAGTTTATTTAATATTTCTTTGTTTAAAGACTTAAAGGTATGCACTGATTTTAGAATGAAGTTCACTCCTTTTCATAGATGCTTATGTGTAATATTTATCTCAGCCCCTTCTAAATTTACTACCCCATTTGCTGCTAGTTTTCTCTTAAGATTATATTGCAAAATTACTAAACTTCCATCTGTTGTCTAGAACATGCTGCATTATTTTGCCTTGAAGCTCTGAAACTTGATCTTCTCTCTGCCAGTAACACTATCTTTGTTCATTCACTTCCCCAACTCCTGCATACACTTAAAGTCTCAGTGTAAATTCCATAGGCCCAGAGTGCCCATCTCTGTCCCAGACCAAATAAGCACCCCTGCATTTATTCCTGTAATGTTTTGTAGTTCTGTTTCATAAAATCTCATCATACTTCAATTGATGATTTATTTAATGTCTATTTCCTTAACAAAGTTTTGACCTTTTAGGCAAAATTTGTAACTCTTGCACACTAAAGACTCATTTTTAATTATAGTCAGTTTTCTTATAATGCTGGTTTTAAAAATGAAAATTGGTTCTAAGATAATTGATATTTTAGGAAAAAAAGCATAGTAGAAATACTGCATTTGCTTATATTTGACTTTGTCCATTAGAAATACTGGATAAATGAACAAAATAGTACTCAACTGAACTGAGCTGTAGGGGACCACAAAAAATGCACACATATACATAACTCAAGCATCTCCCAGATACCTTGGTGTACTGCGTTTGGTATGAGCCACAGTCAATCACATCTGTGATTAAAACTTTCTGTCAAATTTCTAATAATCCTCTTGCTACACCTTTACAATAAGCCCCAAACTGACACCTATTTCCACAAGCAAATTTCCGATGGTTTTAAAGAAACATGGAATATTATTGTAGTATTGTAGCACGTAGGAAATCATATGACATGTTGAAGAGAACTGAGGATAAATGAAAGAGCATTGTTAACCATTTAACATTTGTAAAATGTTGCTACTGTTTCTTTTGTCCTTCCTTCCTTCTTCCTTTCCCTTTCCATCTCCCTATTTCTTTCTTTCTTTTTCTTACTTCCTTCCTTCTTTTTCTTTTCTTTTCTTTTCTTTCTCTCTTTCTTTCTTTCTTTCTTTCTTTCTTTCTTTCTTTCTTTCTTTCTTTCTTTCTTTCTTTCTTTTTTATTTTCCCTCCCTCCCTCCCTTCCTTCCTTCCTTTCTCTTTCTCTCTTTCTCTTTCCTGCTTTTTTTTTTTTCTTTTTGAGACAGTCTCCTCCCTCTTGTTACCTAGGCTGAAGTGCAGTGGCATGATCTCAGCTCACTGTTGCCTCTGCCTCCTGGATTCAAACGATTCTCCCCTCTCAGCCTCTCCAGTAGCTGGGACCACAGGCACACACCACCATGTCTGGCTAATTTTTGTGCTTTT
Organism: Homo sapiens; assembly: GCF_000001405.40. Classification (NCBI taxonomy): domain Eukaryota; kingdom Metazoa; phylum Chordata; class Mammalia; order Primates; family Hominidae; genus Homo; species Homo sapiens. The sequence goes on along the minus strand of NC_000001.11, from coordinate 106,039,960 downwards.
AGTAGAGAGGGCATTTCACCATGTTGGCCAGATTGGTCTGAAACTCCTGACCTCAGGTGATCCACCCACCTCGGCCTCCCAAAGTACTGGGATTACAGGCATTAGCCACCATGCCCCAATTATTGCTACCATTTCTATTAGGTTATTATCTTCTATTTATTTATTACATTATTTTGACTATTGTGTTCTATTATAAACTGAATGTTTGTGCCCCTCCCCCCATTTGTATGTTGAAATCTAGTACCCATCCTGATGTTATTTGGAGGCTGGGCCTCTGAGAGGTAATTACGTTGTGAGCTTTCATGAATAGAATTAGAGTCCTTGGAAGAGGAGGTCAGAGAGTTAACTTACTCTCTTTCTACCCTGTGTGGACACAGCAAGAAGAAAACTATCTGTAAACCAGGAAAAGACCCCTCACCAAGAAGCCAACACTTCTGGCACCCTGATCTCAGACTTTTAACCTCCATAACTGTAAGAAAGAAATATTTGTTGTTTAAGCCACTCGGTCTATGATAATTCCTTATGTTGGCCCAAACTGACTAAGGCATGCTCTTGATTCCATCTTTCCCCATATGCCCTATTGTTTTTATTGTGTGTGTGACTTTGTATAACACAGTGATTTTTAGGAAATCATATGACATGTTAAAGATAACTGAGGATAAATGAAAGAGCAATTGTGTGAAGCTAATTAGGGACTTGGTTATTTGGATCAAAGCTTGAAATGACAGCAGTCTGCCATCCTAGATAGTACCTGAGCTCCTAGGACTGCCAGATTATGCTACCCTCAGACATCCATAAGGTTGTTCTCAGAATACCAGTGAAGAAACCAATCCTTCCTCTTCATATCCCAGTGTCAGGTCAAAGGGGGGAAGGAAGCTATGGACCTGTGTGAGTGGAAGCTCTTTCAGGATCACCACTGTCATTGAAGGGAAAGGGAGTGAGTCTTTGTATGTCTGTAACTAGGCACACTTCACATGAGTTCTGCTTCATGCAGTCTTTCAGATAACAGTCCTGAGAATATCCAGACTCCTTGTAGCTTTTCCTATCCATTTGAGATTTTTAGCCGTCATCTATTTCTTCTAAGATTTTATCCATCATTTCACTTCCATTAGCCTCAGTTTTCTTATCTACAAAAAGATATGATTGAAGCAGCTCATCAATAAGCTTTCCTTTTCTTATAAAAGATTTTCATTTACAGTCTAACCCTCATTTTACCTACACCATACCCAAGCATCAAGGCTAAAAGGAAATGGAAGTGTGAACTGAACAGTCTCTGCTGGCAGCATATCAGATTCCTAACCATAAAAGTGATTATGCCTCATGCTGTTTGTCAGCCTTTCACTTACCCATACATACCTATAGATCTGTCTTTGTGGTAATCAATCCTTCTCAGAACATAAAACAGCACAAGATGTCTTTTAATCTTAGGAATGTAAGGAGTCAGATTCTAAAGCCCCCAATACAAGTGGGAATAGGCCACACCTCTGTAAGTATTAGCTGGAGCGGTGAAACAGTCAGAACATTTCCTGGTGTTGGACAGTGGAACTGCTGTTTCTCACTATGGATGTCATCAAATGTGAGTAAAAAGAAAGGCATCATTGTGCTTTTGGTCTAAAAGAAAGGAAGATGAAATGATGTCAGAACTTACTGTCAAAACATTTAGTATAGATCACTGGGGTTACATTTTAAGGAAAAACAAGCCCTATTTGCAAGGAGAAAAACATATCTAATTTGAAAATGATGTAAAACTACTTGTATCACAAAACAGACATCTTACTGCAAACTTAATGAGGCCAAGGTCACATTGATATATTCTGATTTCTAATCTTTAAATGTAATATTCTTTGTAGAAAGAAATCTGTGCAGAGATTTTAAAAATTGAATTATTTCTATTGTTTTTTTTTTGTTTGTTTTCTGTTTGCTTAAATTTTCTCAGATTATGCATGAAGACATTGAGTTCAAATGATGGTACAAATTTTTGTGTCAGGGTGTAAAATTTCAAGTAATTAAAAAAGAAATGGAAAGCAGCAAATGAACTCTTCCTTAGCATTATTAAAAGTCTGCAGTAAAAGACCCAACAAAGGAGAAAGAAAAGTAGAGAGACAAAGAAAGAATTAAATTTAAAAAATCCACAGATATAGCCACATAGTTGTCAAGCTTATTCCTGAAATGAGATCTGACATGCCAATATCAATTGGGAAAGATAAAGGTAATTTCAGTGTCTCTAAACATTTAGAGGAGCTACCAGAACAAAGTCAGTGAGATCTGTATCAACAATGTGGTTACAGCACTGGGAATGCATTGTGGGATTTTTTTTTTTTTCAATAAGTTGATCTAAAGAAGCCTGGCCAAGCTATTCACAGTCTCTGTTACATGAGTGTCACTTTGCAAAGTAGAACACACACTTGGAAGTGTTACCCTCCAAATACATTTTACATGTGGATTATGATTTAAAATTTTTTCTATGATCTAAAAAAAAGTGAATTATAATAGACTGTCAAAGAAAAAAATGAAGATGGAAATATACTATCATTCAGAAAGTAGTTACAGTCAAAATTTAGCCAGTTCCACTGTGAAAATTTGGTTTTTCTCTTTAACTTTTTCTCCTTTTTTCGTTATTAGTTTTAAATATAGGTTACGATCAGCTAACTCTGATTTCATTTGTTCCTCTTACTTTTTCTCAAGGGGCAGGAATACCTTCCAAGCAGGTCTGTAGTTAACCTGGTCATTTTTAAACTTTCAGCACGTTTAAATGAATGTTTCACAAATCAAATTTCTGAAGCTCAAGCTGCAACTTTCACTGTCTTTCTATGTAGCATTTGTAACAGTCATGGTACAAAGAAAAGGAGAACCAAGGTGAAGGGTATAGAATAAATGATTTACAAAAGTTAGACTCTAAGCAACCATGGGAGTTGATGGGACATTTTTGGCTGGCTAATGCTCCTGTGTCTAGCGTTGAATCTAAAGTCATTATAGCTTGGCCAGACAGTAATTAAAAATAAAATCTGGATATGAAAAAGATTAGTAGCAAATTGGAACCCAAAAGGATGAAATATCTGTCTTCTCCCACCTCTTACTTTGAAGCTATTGGAGACTTGTTATGAAAGCTGCTGCCTTTCACCACAGAGCTACATGTGCACTTGGCTTAGGACTCAGAGACTTTGAAGAAGATTTGCAGGAGCTAGAGGTCCAGATGTTACGAGCAGCAAGGTGAGCTCTAGATCAGTGACAACAACATTCTAAAGCTATTGTGGTACCATGCACAGGTTTCAGAGTATAAAAGTGTACAGCTGGTGATTCTCTTATGCCTTTTGGAAAGCAATCAAATGTGTCTTGTAACAATACTAACAGCAAACTACACAATAAAGACAACTAGGGAAAACGTAGTCCTAGCTTAGGTAACCTGATAAAATGCAAATTCACTAAAATCTACTCTTTGGCAAAATTTAACCCACACAGTTTTCTTTAAGCAAATAACTTCTAAATAAAGACAAGAACAAACCATGCTTTTGCCTAATAGGCGAAATGACCCCTCGTACAACTGAAAACTTGCCAACCATGCTCCCCAAAAGAGGTCGCTGCTTTTCAAAAATAAGTTATTCTTTTAAATTAGTCATATTGTTTTGTATATTAAAACTTAAACACTGAAATTATAAAAAAATCCTACTACTAACACATACAATGCTATATGATAGGGGAATAGGAGAGGGAAATACATCGATACATGTATACACAGACAATATGAAAGTGAAAAATAAATGTTTATAATTATTGCAGTGCATATTGCTCTAACTGGTCAGGGCCAAAGTTCTTCCACTAGCCATTCCATATTCTTCTGGATAGTCATTATTTCCTGTAGGGTGTGTTGTCCCGAAACTTCATTTCTAAATGGTCTGGGTCATTTGCAGTTCTGTCCCATCAGATTAGCTGTCTGTTGACTCTAATCAGCAAGGATAAGAGCTCTAAGAGGCATTTCATGAGATCTCCTTCATTTCAGACTTGACCATTCTCACCCATATTGTGCAGCAGCACCCCAATACCTCCTGAGAGTCACAATAAATTACCTGTCTCTAAGGTTCTTTTTTCCCTGATGGTTCACTAGCATTAGGGCACAAAACATCTATGTGAAATTTCAACTCTAAGCTTAACAAAACTATTGGTTTATCTTTTGGAAGAATCCTTTTCCTTTAGAAACAGGAATAAGAAGACCATCAGAGTCCACAGTTGCAGGGATGGGAAGCAAACCTTTCTGGATCACAATGGTGGGTAAGAAACGACACTTCACTGTTCACCTTTTCACTTCTGGACTTGTGAATTCTGGCTATGGTAAAAACATAACCATAGAGTAATCACTGATTTAAAGTTTACACTTTAGCCTGAGTAACATTACCACAGTGTCCCAGCATAGACTTCAGTAGGACATTTTACTGTTCTGTCAGGAAAGCTATTTCAAGGTGATGAGCAAAATGGTAAGATAAGTGAATGCCATGAATATATGCAAATTTCTTCCTTTCACTTTCTTTGAAACACTGTTTGAATTCCATGAGTGAGGAATTCTGTAAGTTCATAGATTTTGGCAAAAGCATCATGGACAAGAAAGGCAGATACAGATATTAAGTGTCTGTCTCAGTGAGAAAAAAAGGTGTTGCTCCTTCCATGATAGAAATGGTCCAATGCAATCAACATGACATATGACACCTTACTATTCTCTTTTAGGGAATGGAGCTATAATGAGATCTCAATGTCAGTTTCTACTTTTGGCATGTTGACCACTTGGCAATAGTTATAGTGAGATAACCTTTAGAAAATAGAAGACCATAGTGTTGAGCCATACTTAAGCTCTGTCTCAATGGCATGAGCACTTTATTCGTGAGTTCATTGGGAAATGACTGGGTTGGCTGGAGTAAGAAGCTAGCATGGCATCCACGCACTGGGTTTCCTTGTTCACATACTTATTAAAATTATCTTCTGATAAGAGATTACTGTTTGGTGAGATTCACTTGGGGTACAAACATCTTCATACTCTGTAACCATTCAGAAAGCTCTATTTACATACACATATATTCTCTAGTCATCCTTGTCACCAGTTGTCAATTACCCTTCATTCAATCTTTGAACATTTAGCAAAGTTCTTAGCCACTGCTTGCAAGTATATCTGGGGATCCATAACTCTCACAAAGATATATTCAAGACAAAATAACCAACTGAGCACATTTCTTGGAGTTCTGCCTATGGGAGGGGTTTGCCATCATCATGACCCTTCAGGGCTATCATGTAGTTGTACCGCAAGGCTGCCAACATCTATTTTTGCATAGCACACATTTTTATCTATAAACTGGGGTTGAACATTTTTTTTCCTCAGTCAACTGAGAATAGGAAACTACCTGAGAACTCATAGTGCAGGCTAAAATGTAGACGGCAATGTAGCAGTGCTGTAGACTCATTTCATATAGATTTAAGGCAAAACTCCCATGATGGTTGACCTCCATAAGCTCCTACTATGACCAGTAAACTGCAGTGAAATTTTTGATCTTTAGGAATTAATATCAGTGCAGATCTTGTGTTTGGTAATTATTCTAAATTCTGACAATTTCCCTATTCCAATGCAAAGACTCTGGGAAATGTCTTCAGAGGTCACATAAGGGAAAGTCAGGAGGAAGGATAAAACATTTTGGCTTTGTAGCATTATCCATCCTCTAAGGGAACAAACCACCACAAACCACCCTTTCACTCAAAGTGCTCTGGGCCAGTGAAATGGCATAATCAGGGAATTGATTGAGGAACCAAACCTATACATGATAATTCAAGTCAGACTTCTGCTCACCAGACCTAGAGCTATTCAACTAACACAAATCAGAAATATCTTTAATAGGCCATCCATATAGGGCAACATGACCCAATAGTCAATGCCAAATATGTCTTCAGATAAGACTTTTCGGATTACTGCAACTATGTGTCCATTAACAGCACCTATGTGTCTTTGATAATTTGAAGCCCTCATTTGGCTGTAGCCACCTTGATATCTCATCCTCTCTATTGCATAAAGGGACCTTTCCCACGATGGTGGCATTTCTCATTTTCATTTGTAGATCACAGGGAACAAATACAACAATATTCGTCAAGAATAAAGAGCCTTAACACAAATCTTCAAACCTCCCCTCATGAATGTTCTGATGACCTTTATGAAGGAGGAGTATCTTCTCTAATAGACTCTTAAAGAGAATATATTGAGAGGACAGCAGGAAACTTTTACGTAATAAATCCAGTCTTTCATTTAAATTTCCCTATATCTTTGGACAACTTCCTCTATTGTACACCCAGAAAGTTCTGGCATTTCAGTTTTCCTATGCAGACTTCATTTGGATCCATATGCCAGTCAGCAGTAAACTTTGGAACCTCTCCTTGCCATTTGAGCTAATAGATGCAAATGAGATTCTCACGTCAATAAATTCAACCTCATCAAATATTATTTTCTTTCCAACTGAACCCAATACCCTTAGGACCCATTTCCACATAGTGTTCCCCAGGCTTCTGTCTATAGAAATTGAAAAAATAATGCAATTACTTTGGTGTGTATTAAAGTACCAGTTGTTCATACTTCGTAATTCATCCTCTGGGGCCAATTGGTACATAAGTCTAGCTATAGGTTTAGAGGCTATGATCCCTCTGAGGAGGATAAACAGTCCCTTAAAAATAGGCATTTCAAGTTCTTCAAGCAAGGGAAGCCTAACTTCCTGGGAGAGGGAAAAAGGCTACACCCACTGTCAAATATGGTTCAATAGAATGTACCAGTTTAAGGTCTCCAGCTTCATGGAAATACGCCTCTATGTTCTCATCCCAATTCTCAGAAATTAAGTCCTTCCCTAACAATGCCCTATATCTAACATTAGGAATCCTATGAACAGGATAATCCAATTTGTATTATAATTCAGCTATTCGTAGGAATAGACTTTGGGTTTAGTTTTCTGAAATCTCAACCATGAAGCCATAAGAAATAAGAGTTTCTTACAGAAAATTCATAGAGGTTTTCTAATCCCTTGAACTTGAGTAGGTATGGATTTATCATTTGAGCATATCATTTTCCCGCATGATTTTTTCACTGCACTTTATAAGCAATGAACCAACTCAATTTTACTGCTTATTTTTACAAAACTGTTTCATGGTAGCAACCACTTGTCATGTAGTTTTTCCCTTTCTAGGTGCTTGAATACAAGTAGCTAAAGAAATAATTTTAGGTGACTATGTCATTCTGCTTGCCTGGAGTACCAGTACAAACTTTACAAATAGAAACAATACAAGATGAAAACTGAGGCAGCCATCGAGAATAATATATATTTGAAAAAAATAATATTTTACTGTTTTTAGTCCTATTAATAAGTGGACTACAAAGAGAAAGGGAGCTTTCTAAAGAGCAGAATACAATTGTTTATTTAAGATTACTTATCCCAATGAGCAATAGATTTATTTCTCATGAAAATAGAACATTCAGATAGACTATTGATTTGCTTCACCTGTTCTATCAACTATAGAAATCAACCTCCCAACACTAATTTTTATACCAAAATTCTGTGTTTCATGTCTGAATTTTGTATGTTCTCTTGGTCTAAATGCATCAAGAAAAGTAGACGTTGCCTTATTTTCCAATTAATAATCAAAGGTGCTATCTAGTCCTAGCTAAATCTAACTAGAAAAAGGATAATCAGGAAATTTCTAGGGCACATAATGTTAAGTAAAAAAGTGGATTTCTATTATTTTGAGTCACATAATAAGGGCTTCTTGTTTTTTCAAATATAGCATTTAGAGGAGCCACATATTTTCAAAATTGGGGATAGTCACAAGCTAAGAGAGGGGAAAAGCAGTAACAGCATTGACACCAGTCAAGAAAAGTCTTGAAAACAAACTGCTCTTTTGGCAAAAGTGTCTGTTTCATTGCTCTGAAATAAATTTGTGTCTATTTCTGGGATGCAAAGGAAACACTTCATTACCCCCACCATGAGCCCTGGTTGAGTAACTAGCTGTGTGTATATGAATTGATGGGTGGAGTACATTGAGTATTGCTCTGTTTACTGTTAAATTTCTAGGGAACATGTGAGACTTCAGTTAGGGAATCTCTGATGCAGTAAGCAGAATAAGTGAGGATGGTTTAGGGCATAGAGAAATTCTACTGCCTGTCGTTATTCTCCACTGGTTCAGAACAGAAGAAATATGTTAGAAGCCACAGAGAAAAATTGAAGTACTAAATTTCATTTGGTTTTAAAGTTGGAAGTAAAACTAAAGTGTTAGTCATTCAGAGAGGAAGATGATATAGAATCCAGAGTGGTCACACACACACACACACACACACACACACGCAGACACACAATGCTTGGGAGACTACTAAGGCTAATGGAGATGAAAACAATTAGGCACTGATAAAATAATATTTTTTTTCAAATTTGTAGAGATATACAATTCCAAGGGTTCTAAGATTGAAAAAAAATTTGTTTTATTCATATGTATTCAAATTAAATGACTGGCTTAAAAAAGTTTATTTGATACAATATATTCCCCAAATATGTGGATAACAGAAATAACTAAAAAAAATTATGTTATATATATGTTTATTTATAATATGTTATAATTATTTATAATGTTATATATAATGTTATATATATGATTTATATACACATATATAATATGTTATACATATGTTTTATATATATACATATATAATATGTTATATATATGTTATATATAGCAGCCACACAAAATACGTGGCTATTGAGCACTTTTGAAATGCAGTTAGTCCAACTGAGACATAGCTAAGTGTAAAATACACATTCGATTTTAAAGACATTCCAAAAGAAAGAATATTTTAAAAACTCAATAATTTTAAATATCTGTTACATGTTGAAATAATTTGATTATGTTGGGTTAAACAAAATGTTAAAATTAGCTTCATCTTTTTAACTTTACTTTTTATGTAAATACTACTAAAGTTAAAATTAAATATATGGCTCTCATTATATTTCCACCGGACAGTCCAGCTCTGGAGGATAAAAAGTATATTCTGATATCAATTATAATTTCCTTTTCACTTCGGAATTTTTTTTTTTTTTTTTGAGACGGAGTCTCACTCCCACGCCCAGGCTGGAGTGCAGTGGCACGATCTCAGCTCACTGCAAGCTCCGCCTCCCGGGTTCACGCCATTCTCCTGCCTCAGCCTCCTGAGTAGCTCGGACTACAGGCGCCCACCACCATGCCCGGCTAATTATTTTTTTATTTTTATTTTTTAGTAGAGATGGGGTTTCACCGTGTTGGCCAAGATGGTCTCGATCTCCTGACCTCGTGATCCACCCACCTTGGCCTCCCAAAGTGCTGGGATTACAGGCGTGAGCCACCGCATCCAGCCTCACTTGGGAATTTAAAGTAATATAAACATTATACCTAGGAAGATAGATTTGATGTGTGATTCTTCAATTCTGTCTTTCTAACCTGAAAAATACTTTCTTCAATCTTTCCTGCATTTACATTAAATTTAAAACTTCAATATGTTCTCTGTGAAATAGATAAAAAGAATTTTCTTTCTTTACATGAATTCTTTTAAAGTTTCTACTGGAAGTAGAAGCTGAAATCCTACTCCGAATTTCCCCCTTTAGGAATACTCTGAAATGTTTAGACAATAATAGTGAAATTCCCCTTGGTAGATGAAACTTAGAAAGTCTTCTATTTACTATTCCTACAATCTTTGTTACCACCAACACTAGCAATACTATCATTATTAATGTTTGCTATGTACAAAATAGTTTTCTGTTGTTGTTTTTGAGATGGGGTCTCACTGGGTTGCCCAGGCTGGAATGCAGTGGTGTGATCATGGCTTATTGCAGCCTCAACCTCTCTGGCTCATGTGATTCTCCTGCTTCAGCCTCCCAAGTAGCTGGTACTACAGGGGTGTGCTTCCACATCTGGTTAATTTTTGTATTTTTTGTAGTGACAAGATTTCATCATGTTGCCTAGGCTGATTTTGAACTCCTGGGCTCAAGCAATCTGTCCACCTCAGCCTCTCAAAGTGGTGGGATTTTAGCCCTGAGCCACAAGGCCTGGCCTCTATTAAATATGAAGAATTTATTGTGCTAAATACTTTAGGTTCATTGTCTCCCAAGAATACTATAGACTATTAGTCCTGTTTTACAGAAAAATAAAAAGACAGCTTGAAGAATGTAAGTAATTTGTCCAAGGTTACTAACCAGTAAGTAATATGGACCAGATCTGTCCATAAAACCTGTGTCTTTAGTGTCTTACACAACTAATATCACTGTGGCAACAAAAATATCTGTGATACCAAACTCTACCTTTTGAGACTAGATAATCCAATTATCAGTTGTAATTCTATTTCCATTATTAATGCATTATCTCACATCATATAAAACAATGTTATATTTTATTTCTACTGTTCTAAAGAATATTATTCTACTTGTTTACGATATATTTATGTAACTCTCCTGCTTAATTCACTTATGCATACCAGCAGTTTATTTTGAAGGAAGTGTTAGTAGCATCATGTTGGATACACAATTCTTGATGTACCAAGAACGGGATATTTGCCATTACAGTTCCCACTAAATTCCAACAGTGCCTCCCATTTACTGTGAAAATAAAAAATTATTCCATGAATTTCTAAATACCCTGGTGAAGGTGAAGTAAGAAACAGGATATGTCTATGGCTGATTACCTTTGAGCATCTGATTCAAATGTTCATATTTAACTAAAGCCTTATATTCACAGCCTCAGGTTGTAGCTTAACACACATGCAGGTGTATTCTTACCTGACTTTCTCGATTTCTATTTTGCAAAGTAATGTAAATCAGGTCCTCCTGATAACCTCCATTTATATTTTTAGCTATTTATTTGTTGTACTTTTTTGTTTTAAAACAATTAAAAACTTACAAAAGTATGTAAGAAAAAGACATTTCCATTTTTTTTTTCTGAACTATTTGTGGGTAAGTGGTCAACATAATGCCTCATTGACCATGAATATTTAAGTATGGACTTCCTACATATGAGGTCACTATCTTACAAAGCCACAGCACCACTCTCAAAATAATTATAATTACAAATGACAGAAATTTTATTTTATTTTGTTTTTAAAAATTATTTTAGATTCAGGGAGTACATGTGCAAGTTTGTTACATAGGTATATTGCCTAATTTTGGAGTGTGGCTTCTATTGAACCCATCACTCAAATAATAATCATTGTGCCCAATAAGTAGTTTTTTAACCCTTCCCTTCCGCCTCCCTCCTTCCTTCCTTTTGGAGTCTCCATTATCTATTGTTTCACCTCTGTGTGCATGTACACCCATTTTTTAACTCCTACTTAATAAGTGAGAACAGGCAGTATTTGATTTACAGATTTTATTTTCTAAAAACAACTGCAACTCAATCTCCCTTCTGTCTTGCATGCTCTTATTACAAAGTGAGTTTCATCCTCCTGCTATCAAATGTGTGGTTTTGACCTGGAAAAGGAAAGGTGAGAAGGTCTTTATTTCCTGTTCTTGAATCTGGGAAGGCTCTGAGACTTATGAGGCTAATGCATAAATAGTTTAAAGAATTTTAGCTGATTCTCCTAATACACTCGCTATTGAGATGCAGTCACTATGCTGTGAGGAAGCCCATGTAACAATGTGGAGATTCTGAAGTGAGTTCTGGGTTCTAAGCCAACAGCCTAAATACTTTAGGTCCATTATTTAGGTCCAAGTTCAACCACTAGACCTGTACTTCGCAAGCCTTCAGAGGATTCCTGCTTTCAGCCCGCAAGCTTTTTCAGCTGAAGCCCCCAGTATCATGGAACAGAATCAGATTATTTCCACTGAGTCCTTTTCAATTTCTTAACCCACAGGATTTATGAGCATTATGAAGTCATTATGGCTTTCTGCCACTAGGCTGAGAGTGGACCACATATACAGAAATAAAAAACTATTAATAGAAAAATATATTGCAAACATCTAATCCTCAAACCCCATTCAAGTTTTGCCAACTACCCTCCATCCTATCAAATATTCCTTATACCAAAAAGATCCAGTTCAAAAATAAGTGTTGCATTTATTTTTTAACCTCTTTTGATCTGGAATAGCTCCTCACACCGTCTTTCATGACTTTAGTGCTTTGGAAGACTACAGGTCAGTTATTATACAAAATGTCATTATATTTAGATTTGCCTAAATTTTTTTTATTACATTCAGACTAGGCATCTTTGTAAGGAATACTACAGGAGTGATGCTGTGTTCCCAGACATTCCTATCTGCTGGAGGCACAAATTCTACTTGTTCTATTACTTGGTAATATTCACTTTAATGCTCAATTAAAGTGGTGTTTGATAGGCTTCTCTACTCATTTTTTAAGTCTTATAATTAGTAAGCGTTAGTGGGGAGATATTTTGAGACTAGGTCAATGTCCCATTTCTTACAAAAGATTTGTTACCTTTTCACATAAGTATAGACTCATGGATTCTTGCTTTATTCTATGCCATAATTCATTACTCTGTATTTATTTTGATGTCCACACTGTCCCAGATTTAATGAAATGTAATCTCCTTTAAGCTAGGCCCTGTGCCCTTTTGATACCTACCTATGATTCTTTAAAACAGTATTCTTTATATCTGAAAAATAAAGGAATTTCTACTTTCTGGCTTAATATAATAAGATGTTTAGGCTCATCTGAAATTTCCCTGCCGTCACCTGGGAATCAACCATTTCTTCAGGGAGTCCTAGTTTCTTTTAGCGGTAAGTACTGTTTACAAAGCAATGTCTGGTGAGTAGGTATGTTTGTGTTTTATGCTAAATCACATGGTAGTCTCTTTACTGGCTTAGGCAGTTTCAGTGCCCTATACCTGGCCCCTAACTCATTTCTCTAAAGCTAAAAAATAGGTGTGTCTATTTGATGTATTTACGTTTTTCTCTCCTAGTAAATAAATAGTTTTGTAATAAGTTAACTTTTATAACATTTTCTCCCTATTCTGTTATTGGAAGAGAAATATGCTGTTTTTTTATTAATTTAAATATTATGTATAATTCTGTCTGGGCGAAACATGCACACACACATGTAAATGCACACACACATTTTATGCCATGGATCATTTCACTGGAAAACTAAAGTGGTATCTCTGGTTAACATTTTGAAAATTGAAATCCCATGAGAGTTAGTTGTGCAAAACTGTTTTATGTGATAATTGACTATGTAAAACCTGAATTACAACAGTATAGAATGGCTTGGAATTTTATTTAGATAGTCTTCAGTGTCAAACAAGAGACAATTAGATTTATTCAATGGAATGTTAATTTTCATATAAATGCAAGTTCTTAACTAAGCCATGTTTTCTAACACATTCAGGATAGGGTTATGAATACATATAAACCTTGGTGAAAATTATTTAAATAGTCAAAGATTTATTTCGAGGAGAATTTGGTGTCAAAAATAGTGTAAGGTATTAGGGATACATATATTTAAGACATACTCCCTATATTAAGGAATTTACTGTCTAGTGGGGAAAGTAGCTATATAAACAAATATAATATGGTGCAAAGAGTAGGTCTAGGGGCAAAAAATTCCACCTTCGTCCCCTTGGGGTTTCAGCTGGATCTGAGAATTAAATTGACATTAGATAGATTAACAAGATAAAAGTGTAATACAAATTTTACAGGGCATGGAAGCTCTCATAAGGAAATAAAGACCCAAAGAGGCAGTTAGGGTCAGTTACTTAAACACTGAATTGGACAAAGAATAGTTAGTTGCGAAGAAGCAACTAAATCATGTGGGAGGCTTAAAAGACAAGAGGTATTTTAACAAGATCTTTACATAGTTTTTAGTTTTGACTTCTCATCCTTGAATATAAAGATTTTGCATCTTTCTAGTAAAGGGAGGGCGTCTTTCACATGGGAATTTTATCTTCTGCTTTTGAGAGACAGCACAGAGGTCAAAGTGATCTTTTGTACGTATTGTTTTTTAAACCACTTTAAACTTAAATAGCCAATATGCCAGAATAGCATATTTTAACCTCTTCAAGGTCAACAGTAGTGATGAGCACATAGTGGATTAATGCACAGAAGAGGCTTCTCTATGAGTGAGTTGGAAAGGCATTTGGTAGGATAGGATTCCCATTTTGCTCCTTGAACCAGACCAAGCAAGGTGAAATACTCTACAGAACATACTACTGCAAGCAACTTTTATGAGAGTTTTTTTTATTGTTGTTGTTGTTTTGTTTTGCTTTGTTTTTAACCTAATGGAACTGATACCAACACAGCCAAGTTGGGGAACCAGAAATATTTTCAAGAGCAGATAAGTTCATAGCAAGAAGAGTAATATCAGTGTCTTAGCTAGTTTCTGAGAAGATGTTGTTTCCTTATATTCAAAATCAGAGCTTTTTAATTTTTTTCAAATCAGTACTGTGAATAAAACAGAGAGAAAGCAAAAATGATATAATTTTGTTAGCCTTAAAACAGAGGTTATGCTACAACATCTTACTCTTCTACTAATCTGATACTTCAGATTGATTTACCTTAAATCTTCTTACTTTAAAACTTCCGATGGACCTTAAATCTTCAGGATGGTTTAAGGTCAATTTACTTGCATTTTTACGCTAGCAGAGTATATGACATATTGTATTAATAAAAAATGTTAAATTTGTCATGCTGACTTGACTCTCTACACTTATGGGAATAAGGTGAAGAAATATAATTAACCACTTTTCTATTTTTCCACTTGGGCTTTTAAAAAATGTACATTTTTTCTTCAAACTATTTATAAATTACTCATAGCCCTAATTTCATATTTATCTCTCATTCGGGAGTGTTGGCCATATTTAGACTGATTATGTTTTACTGAATTCTGAGATGTTAGGAAGCCTTAATATCTTCTACATTGTGTTATTTAAGTCACAAATTTAAATGTAAGTAGAGTGAAGGCTGCAGATAACTATTTTTTAAAAAATAGTTTTTATTGTTTCGTTATATTCACTCCTAGGACAGACACTGTGGGATAAATGCACTGTAAATATTTATATTACTTTACAAGAATGGGGATCACAGACTAAATCCCTATATATTGCTCTAAATATTTACCCTCCTGTATTAGTAAAGTTACTCAAGGACATTGCCAATCATTCTCAGTGTTTGCAAACAATAAGAAGGGTTGCAAAATTCAGAGAAGTAATCATTTCATTTTTACAATGGGAGAATGCATAAGAAGTAAAGAAACTGAGTGTCTTATCAAGATTGTCTCATATACATATAATTAATTATATATCAGTAAACATATCTTATATAAGTATAAAACATAGATGATGATAGATAGATAGATAGATAGATAGATAGATAGATACCCACACTTTAAGATAGCAAGTCCCTGAGGATATACATCAGTTTTAATTCTTGCTGGTGGTAAACAATGTGGTAAAATGGAAAGTGAGAATAAAGTGCTTATATAAATGTGAGCAGACAGATCTAAGTCACTCTCAGAAGGTAGCTCTTACTCCATGGAATATCCTGGTAGCAATGATAAGTACTTTTTTCTTCTTTTAATCAGATAGCTGATTAACATTGAAACACAAAGTCTCATTCTCTCTCTAATTATACTATTTTATCTTTCCTTGTCCTTTTGTTATTTTCCATATACATTACTACTCCTTTAATAAGAAAGTTTTGCATTCTTAATCCACTGATATGTTTTTTCCCAATCTGCTTAGTCCCATTAATTTTTACTTCCTTTCCTGTTTAGAGTAATCATTATGGACTACTACTTCTAATGCATCTTCATATTAATTGTCTATAATTTTGATAAATCAGTATAAAGCTGAACATTAACATAAATATGTGGGAGAAAAGTTTAGTTTCTGAAGACTCTGCATTTTAAAATATAAACCGATATCATCTCTTTTTGATATATACTCAGTAGTGGCATTGTTAGATTATGTGGTAGTTATATTTTTAGTTTTCTGAGGCCCTCTTTACTGTTTTCCATTTTAGCTGTACTAATTTACATTCCCACCAATAGTGTAATAGGGGTCCCTTTTCTCCATATTCTGCCCCAAACTTGACATTTCTTGACATTTCTACCTTAGTCAACCTGAAGACCAATTATAAGTTGGCCAAGATGTTTAATTACAAAGATTAGAATTATCAGTTGTATCTGCTTTTCCATTCACTGGTCCTTTAAAGGCATAAACTTTTTATTCAATTTGTTATGCCCACCACTGAGCATAATACAAGGAACATATTAGGTCCTCAAGAAATGCTTACTGAATCCACCTTAATTGATAATCAAGTTATTGTTGGTTCACTCTTCTCCATACATTTTTTTTTTTTTTTTTTTTGAGATGGAGTCTCACTCTGTCATCCAGGCTGGAGTGCAGTGGTGTGATCTCGGCTCACTGCAAACTTCACCTCCTGCGTTCAAGCGATTCTCCTGCCTCAGCCTCCTAAATGGTTGGGATTACAGGCATGTGCCACATGCCCAGCTAATTTTTGTATTTTTAGTAGTTATGAGGTTTCACCACGCTGGCTAGGCTGGTCTCAAACTCCTGGCCTCAAGTGATCTGCCCACATCAGCCTCCCAAAGTGCTGGGATTACAGGCGTGAGCCACCCCACCCAGCTCATATATCGTTTTAAAATCAATATTATATTGATATGAAATTGAGCAAGATAAAATAAAACACAGTAAGGTATTATCATAGTAAATAATTAAATTTTCATTGTTTTTTTTTCTACCATCATTATAGTATAGCCACCAATTTCTACTGAGTATTTATCTACTATATGGCAGGTCAAGTCTGCATTCTGGGATAAAGTGTTGACACAATCTTGAATCAGTGCCTAAGGAGTTCACAAGTCCAGAGAGGGGATAGCGCATGTGAGTAATTCTAACATAATATTTTACAATCTGAGTTGGAAGTACAGAAGCACATAATTTCGTTCTGCAAAGGGAAGTAAAAGATTTCTAAAACAGAATCATATCTAAAACAGACTGTCTTATCATTTTTATTCTTGGGGCCTAACAAAATGGCCAGTAATTTTTAAAAAATGCCATGTTGAATTCAAAATAATATTTTAACAGTATTATTTATATTTAATATGTTACATATAATTTAATATACATTTAATATTTAATATATTGTAATTTCACTCTTGTATCGTTTTCCTGTATACTTATTTTTTGTATTTTTAGTAGGGACAAGGTTTCACAGTTAAGTTCAAAATGGTATCTGTCCATTGACTATGAATTTTTTAAATGTTTAATATATTTAAGAGAATTTGTGAAGTAGGATAGAATTTGAGATTTTTTTAAAAGGACATCTTAAGAAATCATTAGAATAAGATTAACCCAAAAATATCGTCATATAGAAATTGTCTTTCAAAAAAGTTAACAGAAATATAAGTATGATGTAATTATTTTGTTAATTTCATCAATAAGGGAACTAATATTGAGAAATAACCCTGCCCTCTAGTGGTGATTAATAAATTTTAAAATATACTGAAAACACCAGTTTGCTGTTACAGCAAAGTTCACATTGACATATATTTGAATAGAAACACTGAAACCATGTATTCTGCATTAATAAACAGACATGATTAAACTAACAGCCTTGAATGTTGTTTAGTAGATTCATCCCCCTAAGAAATTTAGTAAAACAAATTTTAGTAAATGAAAAGTGTCACTGTGTTTCTCCTTGTGAATGGTATTACCAATGTTGAATTAGATTCTTTGATGGAATCCTTTTTCCATTTGAATTTTGATTAGAAATCCACAATCTAGGGAAAAATTTACAAAGTCTCAAACTTGTTTTACTCACCCCCTACCAATTTTCATCACCAATTCTCTCCACTGCCCTGATAAGTCCTCTTCATATGCCATTTGTCTCTGCTTAAATATTGGATAAGCCATTTCTCTCTTTTCTGAGATACGACTCGAAGGATCTATACAAAAAACACAATTTATTGCACTTCATTTGATATTTCTTTTTAAATCCTGAGATCTCTACATGCCTGATTATATGCTAGGTATCATCTAAACTATATTTTATCCCATGTTTTTTCCTAAAAGAAGGATAATACTTTTAGACAAACGTAGCATAATTAATTATACAATTTATTCATGAAAGAAACTATACTTATGTACTGATTTTTTTTAATTCTGAATTTTGTGCTATCTGTATTTTAAAACTCAACATCTATTTTTACCTATGACTGTCATAAAAAATCAGAGGTAGCCTCTAGTTACATAATCACAACATGAAGAATTATTAGATATTTTAGAAATAACTAGATCAATCCCTCTATTACAACAAAGTAAATGTTCAAATGTGTCTACTGACTTTGCCAAGGTTTTGTAGTTGCTTGTTTCACTAAAAGTCAGAGCTAAATGGAAAACATTTTTTAGTTTTGCTTCCAATTTACCTCTGTACCTACAAATATAATATTTCAAAACTGTGTTATATCCATGTCCTCACTCTGAGAATCTCTGAATTCATTACAGTACATATCAAAAGTTAAGGACTTCGAAAGATTGTCCTGGTGGGCTCAGTGTAATCACAATGATCCTTACAAGAGAAGGGCAGGAGGGTCAGAATCGGAGAAGGAGATGTGATGACAGAAGCAGGAGTGAGAGTGAAAAAGAGAGGGTATGAGAGAGGGTGTGCATGTGTGTGTGTGTGTGTGCATGTGTGTGTCTGTGTGTGTGTGAGAGAAAGAGAGAGAGAGAGGGAGAGAGAGAGACAGAGATATTAGGAGACACTGTGCTTTGAAAATGGGGTAATTAATGAACCAAAGAATGCAAGTAGCCACTATGCCTTCTACTGAAAAAAAAGTAAGGCAACAGAGTCTCCCCAAGAGCCTCCAAAAGGAACACAGTCCTGCTGACTCATTTTAGACTTCTGACATGCAGAACTGTAAAATAATAAATTTGTGTTTTAAAAATAAAATAATAACTTAGGAACTTGTTAAAAATTCAAATTCCCTGGTACCAACCCAGACAGACTAATTCATAGAAACAAGGGGAGGGATTCAGAAATCTGCAGTTTAAGAAGCCCTCTAAGTAATGAATGCTAAGCCTGGGTGATATTGACTTACATAAAGTGTTTTCCTCACCTATTGCAGGGAAGATTACTGCAGGAGGTTATTTCTCATTGTGGTTTTGATTTGCATTTTCTTTATAATTAGTTTTATTGAGTGCTTTGATACCTGTTGGCCATTTCTATGTCTTCTTTGGAAAATGGAAAAATGTCTATTTGGATCCATTGCTCATTTTATGATGGGGTTATCTGGCTTTTTGCTATGGAGGTGTATGAGCTCCTTAAATATTTTAGATATTAACTCCTTATCAGGTATAAGGTTGGCAAATATTTTTCCCATTCCATAAGTTGACTTTCCATTTTGTCAGTGGTTTCTTTTGCTGTACACAAACTTTTTGTTCTTTCATCCATATTTTATAATTTTTAGTTCATTGTATTGACTACGTTTATTCTTAAGTATTTTATTCTTTTAATGATATTATAAATGGGATTGTTTTCTTAATTCTTGAATAGTTCATTATTAGCTTATAAAATGCAACTATATTTTATATATTGGTTATCCTGCAAATTTACTGGATTTCCTTATAAGTTCTAACAGGTGTTTTGGTGGAGTCTTTTTGGGTTTCTACATATAAAATTATGCCATCTACATACAGGGATAATTTTACTTCTTCCTTTCTGATGTAGATGCCTTTTATTTATTCATTTCTCTCCTAATTGCTCTGGCTAGAACTTCCAGTACAAAGTTAAGTAGAAGTAGCAAGAGTGGGAGTCCTTGTGTGGTTCCAGATCTTAGAGGAATAGCTTTCTACTTTTCACTTCTGAGTATAAGGTTAGCTGTGGGTTTGTCATATATGGCCTTTATTGTGTTGAGGTACACTCTTTCTAAACCTAAATTATTGAGAGTTTTTACCATAAAAGCATGTTGAATTTATCCAAATATTTTCTGCATATATTGAAATGATTATGTAACTTTGTTCTTCGTTCTGTCATTGTGATTTATCATATTTATTGATTTGCATATATTAAATCATCTTTGCGTACCAGGGATAAATTTCATTTGATCTTGGCAAATGATTCTGTTAATGTGCTGTTGAATTTGGTTTGCTAATATTTTGTTGGAGATTTTTCCATCGATGTTCATCAGAAATGTTAGCCTGGAATTTTCTTTTCTTGTAATGTTTTTGTCTGGCTTTGGAGTCAGAGTGATGTTGGACTAATGAGTTTGGAAGTACTCTGTCTTTAATTTTTTGAAAGAGTATGAGAAGGATTGGTTAATTCTTTTGTAAATGTGTGTTCGAACTTACCAGCTAGTCATCAGGTCCTAGGATTTTCTCTGATGCATATTTGATATTACTTATTCAGTTTCCTTACTTAAGGATCAGAGCAGATTTTCTATTTCTTTGTGATTCAGTCTCAGTAGAGATATGATTTTAGGAATTTATCCATTCTTACAGGCTGTCTTAATTGCAGGTATACAATTTTCCATTGTAGCCTCTTATGATCCTTTGTATTTCTATGGTATCAGTTGTAATATCTCCTTTTTATTTGTGATTTTATTTATTCAGTCTTTACTCTTTTTGTATTAGTCTGGCTAAAGGTTTGTTGATCTTGTTTATGTGTTTTTAAAAATCCATCTTTTAATTTCATCGATATTTTCCACTTTCCCATAGTCTCAATTTTATTTTTTTTCTGCTTTGATATTCATTATTTCATTTTGACTACTAACTTAGGGCTTAGTTGTTCCTTCTTCTCTAATTCCTTGAGGAAAAGTAGTGTTAGATTGTGTATTTGTTATTTTTATATAGGTATTTATTGTAATAAATTTATATCTTAGAATTGCTGTCATAAACTCTAATAAAGTTTGTTTCCATTTATATTTGTCTCAAAATATTTTTTAAGTTTTTATTTTTTGATATATCATTTTATCAGGAAATGCTGTTTAACTTACACATATTTGTAAATTTTCCAGGTTCTTCTTGTTATTGATTTCTCATTTCATACCAGAGTCATAATGATAAGATATTTAATTTGACTTCAATCT
Source organism: Homo sapiens (assembly GCF_000001405.40). Taxonomy (NCBI): domain Eukaryota; kingdom Metazoa; phylum Chordata; class Mammalia; order Primates; family Hominidae; genus Homo; species Homo sapiens. Next base: position 106,018,879 of record NC_000001.11, on the reverse strand, counting down.
TCTTAAATTTGTTAGGACATATTTTGTAGCCTAATACGTGGTCTATCCTGGAGAATGTTCCATATGCACTTGAGGAGAATGTATGTACTGCTGTTGCTAGATGAAATTTCCTGTATATATCTGTTGGTCCATTTGGTCAAGGTATACTTTCAGTCCAATGTTTTCTTGTTCAATTTCTTTCCAGATGACTCATCTATTTTTGTTTAAAGTCGGTAATTGAAGTACTCTACTATTGTTTTACTGCTATTTCTCCCTTCACATCTATTAGTATTTGTTTTATATGCTTAACTGTTTAAATGTTGGGAGCACATATTTTTACAATTGTTATATCTTCTTAAAGAGTTGACTTCTATTATTATATAATAAGGGTTTTTGTCTTGTTTTACAGTTTTTTAATTTAAAGTACGTTTTATCTGATATAAAAGTATAGCTCTTTTTGGTTTCTATTTCCATGGCATTTTTTTTTATATCCATTTACTTTCTGCCTCTGTGTGCTCTTAAAGTAATTCTCTTGTAGAGAGCATAGAGTTGGGTCTGACATTTTAAAATTGAACTACTGAGTTTCTTTTGATTTACATTTAAACTAATCATTGATAGGTAAAGACTTACTGTTTCAATTTTATTGTTTTCTGACTGTTTTGTACATCCTTTGTTCCTCTTGCTAGATTATTTTGTGATTTGATCGTTTTCTATGGTGCTATGCTTTAATTCCTTTCTATAACATTTATGTATATATTATAGTTCTTTTCTCCGTATTTACTATGAGGCTTACCAGAACATCTTATATTTTAAGCTGGTAACAACCTAACTTTGATCACATACAATAACTTTACAACTTTCTTCCCCACACATATTTTATATTTTTGATACTATTTACATTTTCATATTGTTTATTCATGAACAAATTATTGGAGTTATAGTTATTTTTAATATTTTTGTTTTTTAACCTTTGTACTGAAGATGTAAGTTATTTTCACACCACTATTATAGTATTAGAGTCTTTAACATTTGAATACCTACTTAATTTTACCTGTGTACCAGTGAGTTTTATGTTTTTTTTTTTTATTATACTTTTAAGTTTTAGGGTACATGTGCACATTGTGCAGGTTAGTTACATATATATACATGTGCCATGCTGGTGCGCTGCACCCACTAACTCGTCATCTAGCATTAGGTATATCTCCCGATGCTATCCCTCCCTCCTCCCACCCCCCCACAACAGTCCCCAGAGTGTGATATTCCCCTTCCTGTGTCCATGTGATCTCATTGTTCAGTTCCCACCTATGAGTGAGAATATGCCGTGTTTGGTTTTTTGTTCTTGCGATAGTTTACTGAGAAGGATGATTTCCAGTTTTATGTTTTATATATATTCATGCTACTAATAGCATCCTTTTAATTCAGCTTGAAGAACTGCCTTTAGTATTTCTTGCAAGACAGGTCTAGTGATGATGAGTTCTCTCAGCTTTATCTCTCTCTGGGAAGGTCTTTAGTTTTATTTATTTTTCATGCACAGCCCTGCCCAGTAAAGATAGTATTATTAGTTGCATGCTTTTTTTTTTTCCCCAGAATTTGGAATGTAGCATTCTTCTTTCTCCTGGGCTACAAAGTTTCTTGCTGAAAGATTCCACTGACAGCCTTATGGGGAACATAAACGTATATATAAACTATATATAAACTATAATAGATATATAAATATATAATAATATATATATAATAGGTAATATATAATAATATATAATATGTAATAATATATATAACATATATATAAACTATAATATATACATTAAAGTTATAGAAAGGAATTAAAGCATACCACCATAGAAAATTATCAAATCACAAAATAATCTAGCAAGAGGAACAAAGGATGTACAAAACAGCCAGAAAACAATTAATAAAATTGAAACAGTAAGTCTTTACCTATCAATGATTAGTTTAAATGTAAGTCAAAAGAAAACCAGTAGCTCAATTTTAAAATGTCAGACCCAACTCTGTGCTCGCTACAAGAGAATTACTTTAGGAGCACATGGAGGCAGAAAGTAAATGGATAGAAAATAAATTCCATGCAAATAGAAACCAAAGAGAGCTATACTTATATCAGATAAAATATACTTTGAATAAAAAACTGTAAAAAAAGACAAAAAAATTGTATGTGAGAAAAAAATCATTTGTTGCTTTCAAGAGTCTCTGTTTATCTTTAGTTTTTGAAAGTGTGACTATGCTATGTCTTGGTAAAGTTTTCTTGGGGTTGAACCTGTTTGGACCATTGAGATTCATGTACCGGGATGCATGTATCTCTCCTCAGCTTTGGGAAGTTTTCAGCCATTGTTAAAAGCTCTTTATCTCTTTTTCTCTCTCTTACCCTATCTCACTCCTATAACACAAATGTTAACTCTCTAGATGGAGTCCCATAAATTCCACAGGCTTTCTTTATTCTCTTGCATTCTATTTTGTCTTTTTTCTCCTCTGGTGATTGTTTTCAAATGCCTGTTTGAATTCACAGAATATTTCAGATTGCTGTTGATGTTGTCTACTGCTTTTTAAATTTTACTCATTGTATTATTTAGCTTCAGAATTTCTGTTTGCTTCTTTTTATGATTTCTATTTATTTCTAAAATTTCTCTTGTTTTTTATGAATTGTTTTTCTGATTTCATTAAGTTGTATACCTGTTGTCACTCACTGAAATTTACTAAAACAATGATTTTGGGCCACGTATGATTGCTCATAGATATAATACCAACACTTTGAGATACATAATTATATTTTACATATAATTACATATACAATTCTATTACATATATAAGCACTTTGTTTACATAATTATCATAGGGTTCTCATATACCTACTTTATTAGAACTTTATTTTAAAGATATTGATGGCAGATTTTTTAAAAATATGCACATTCTCCCCTTTCATGTAAACAAAATTGTATTTTACCTTATGGAAGAGAGAATGAAGAGAACTTTATGTAAATTACAGGTTTAAAAATAAGAATATAGATAAAAAGTCATACATTTTTTTCAAGTTCAATGAATTAAGAATTCTTTAAAAATATCAACAGTCATATTAATTATGTTGGTATGTGGCATTTTTATTGTAAAATTTCTATGTAGAAATGCTTTCTATGATCATTACCTAGCTATATTATGAATAACTTCATCTGTAATGTTATAATATATTTATAAAATTCTAATTTATTTAAGTTGATAATTAAAAGAACATGTCATTAATTTGTATATAAAAATAAATCATTATTTTAAAATTTAGGCTAAGGTAGTAAATGTGGATCTAAAGAAAATTAAAATATATAGATTTTTTATTTTTAAATCATGTGACAATAATTATGTCTATTTTAAAAATATTTTTAAAAGCTTGAATATTTTGTAAAATGGTATTTTTTTTTAGATTTTAAAGTAAAAAATACATTTTTTAAGATGATGAACAACTTTACCTTTGAAACTTTCTATGGTCCTGTTATGATTTGAATCTGTGTCCCCACCGAAATTCCATTTTGAATTGTAATCTCCAATGTTGGAGGTGGGCCTGGTGGGAGGTAACTGGATGATGGAGGTGGATTTCTCATGAATGATTTAGCACCATCCACTTAGTGCTATCCTTGTGACAGTGAGTGAGTTCTCATGAGATCTCACTGTGTAAAATTGTGTAGTACCTCCCCTATTCCTCTCTTGCTCCTGCTCTGGCCATGTGACGTGCCTGCTTCCCCTTCACCTTCCAACATAACTGGAATCTTCCTGAGGCCTCCGCAGAAGCCAAGCAGAGCTGGCATCACGATTCCTGTATAGCTGCAGAACTGTGAGCTAGTTCAACCTCTTTTCTTTGTAAATTATTCAGTCTCAAGTATTTCTTTATAGCAATACAAGAATCACCTAATACAGAAAATTGGTACCAAGGAGTGGGGCATTGCTACAATGATATCTGCAAATGTGGAAATGACTTTGAAACTGGGCAACAGATGAAGATTGGAAGAGTTTGGAAGGTTCAGAAGACAGGAAGATGAGGGAAAGTTTGGAACTTCTTAGGGAGTGACTAAATGGTTGTAACCAAAATGCTGATAGTAATATGGACAGGGAAGTACAGCCTAAGGATGGCTCAGATGAAAATGAGGAACTGGAGCAAAAGGCACATGTGTTATTTCTTAGCAAATAAGTTGGCTGAATTGTGTCTATGACCTAGGGATCTGTGGAGTTTGAACTAGAGACTGATGATTTAGGGTACCTGGTGAAAAAATTTCCTAAGCAGCAAAGTGTTAAGTGTGTGGTGTAGTTGCTTCTAGCAACCTATGCTCAGATGCATGAGCAAAAATTGATCTAAGTCTGAAACTTACATTTAAAGGGAAAGCAGAGCATAAAAGTTTGGAAAATTTGCAGTCTAGCCATATGGTATAAAGGAAAGCCTATTTTTAGAAGAGCTCAATCAGGCTGTGGAGCAACTACTTGTTAGACATATTTGCATAACTAAGAGGAGTCCAAGTGGTGATAGCCAAAGCAATAAGGAAAAGGCCTCAAAGACATTTCAGAGAACTCTATGGCATCCCTTCCCACCACAGGCCCAGATGCTTAGAAGGGAAGAATGATTTCATGGACCAGGCCAAGGGCCCCACTGCCCTGCGTAGCCTCGGGACACTGTTCCTTGCATCCCAGCCACTCCAGCTCTAGTTGTGGCTCAAAGGAGCACAGGTATAACTAGGGCAGCTGCTTCAGAGGATGTAGGCCATAAGCCTTGGTGATTTCCTTTTGGTATTAAGCCGGAGGGTGCACAGAATGCAAGAGTTAAGGCTTGGGAACTTCCACCTAGATTTCAGAGTATATATAGGAAAGCCTGGGTGTCAGGCAGAAGCCTGCTGCAAGGGTGGAGCCCTCACACAGATGCTCTACTAGTATAGTGAAGATAGAAAATGTGGCATTGGAGACCCCACACAGTCTTCCCTGAGGCACTGTCTAGTGGAGCTATAAGAAGAAAGCCACCACCCTCCAGAACTCAGAATGGTATATTGTATATATTCATTGTATCCACTGGTGGCTTGCACACTGTGTGTAGAAAAACCAAAGGCAGTTAGCTACCACCCGTGAGAGCACCTGCAGGGGCTGAACACTGCAAAGCCAGAAGGGCAAATCTTCCCAAGGCCTTGGGAGCCCACCCTTTGAACCAGTGTGCACTGGATGCAGCAAGTGGACTCAAAATAGATTATTTCAGAGCTTTAAGTTTTAATGAATATTCTGCTGGGTTTCAGACTTGCATGGGACTGTAGTCCCTTTCTTTTGGCTGACTTATGCCTTTTGAAATGGGAATATTTGCCCAATTCTGGTACCTTTATTGTATCTTGAAAGTAAATAACTTTTTTTTCTTTATTTTACTGGCTCATAGGTAAAAGGGAGTTGCCTAGTTTCAGAAGAGACTTTGAACTTGAGACATTTAAGTTAATACTGGAATGAATTAGGACTTTGGGAAACTAGTAGGAAGGCATAATTGCATTTTTCAGTGTGAGAATATGAGACATAAGAATTGTCAGAGTTGTAATGATATGATTTGGATCTGTGTCCCCAACAAAATGTCATGTTGAATTGTAATACCCAGTGATGGAAGTGGGTCTGGTGAGAGGTGATTGAATCATGAGGGCTCATTTCTCATGAATGGTTTAGCACCATCCACTTTGTGTTATCCTCGTGGTAGTGAGTGGATTCTTTCCAGATCTCATAGTTTTAAGTTTGTGGCACCTCCCCACTTCGTTTCCTGCTCCTGCTGCCACCATTTGACTCACCTGGTCCCCCTTTGCCTTCTACTGTGATTGGAAGCTTCCTGAGGTCTCCCTAGAAGCAGACACCACTATGCTTCCTGTACCGCCTACAGAACCATGAGCCAATTAAACCGCTTTTCTTTTGAAATTACCCAGTCTCAGGTATTTCCTTACAGCAGTCTAATGTGAGAACAGCCTAATATAGGTCCTAAATATGTCTGGCATGTATCAGTGTATAAAAAATAACAACATTAAAGAAAAATTAATTGGAATTATTGTGATTCATACTATACATATGTAATTTAAGAGTATTAATGTGTTATTTTAAGAGACTCTATTAATCACATATTAATTTTGAAGATGACTTTGCTCATTGTTTGGTTAAGTATAATAGATTTCCCCAGATAATACGAGTTACAAATGCTTTCATTTTTGTGCTTTGAAATCACTATAAGAAACTTCATTGTGCTCTTCTTCTTTAGCTCTCAATCCAGTATAACATGTAAGTGAATTACTGTAATTAGAGTTGTCTTGTCATTTCATATTTTTGATAAAAATTTGGAATTGGTATTTACACAATCACATCAACAAACCTAATTAACTTCTCTACATACCCTTTACTAATGCAGAGTGAAACATCCAGGAACATGAAATATATTCTGTAAATTCAAAGGCCATAAAGGAAGTGGAATGTTGGATCAGAATAATGCCTAATGATTTAGTGACATTACAGTTTAATCTTCACATGAATATTTTGAGTTAGAGTATGTTGTTCATTAATTGGTTGATTATTTTATTCCAAAATATTTAATTGGCATGGTACTAGCTGCCATAAACTGTTTTAGGCACTAATTATACAGCAATAAACAAAAGAATAATACCTGCCCTGACGTAATCTACATTACTATTATTGTTACCATATAAATGAAAATAAACTGAGTTTAAAAAGTTGTTTTGGTTAATGTCACAAAAAAATGTGAGAGTTGAGATTTTAATACAAAGTTCCTTGACCTCAGAGTGAGTGCTGTTACCATACACACAGCAACATATGGCCTGTAACAATAGGCTACCAAGTCATAGATTTGTTAGGTCCCCAACACTGAAAATTAATAGTGAGTGGAGCTTTCTAGTTTTAAAAATATGTTTCCTAGAGAATGCTATAAAACATTGAAAGAAATCAAGGTAAAAAATCATGAATTAAACTATGTCTCTAAGAAACTCTGTAGCCTGTTCTGTTCCTTTCTATGCCTGATAATTTACTTGAATTGTCTTTGAATCTAAAGGGACAACAGAAAAGAATATTAGAGTATTTAAAATATTTAGACAATAAGTATTGTTCTGTATGTAACTTTGATTATTCCTTAAATTATTTTGGAGCAATCAAGATACCTCAAATACCTTCATTAATCAATTAATTAATCAATATCAGTTACAGCTGAAGAAAGAGGAAAACTTATGAGTTATAAACATATTCCATGTGTGATTGTGAGGCAATTCAATTTCAGCAATAAATTTTCAAATTCTAAACTTCCTTGAATTCAAATAGGCAAGATATTTATTTTAAGATTGCAAGAATTTTGATAATTATTTTCATGTAAGTATTTGTTTAATATTTCCTTGATTAACCATATTTTCCATGAAAGCAGAAACCTTTTCTTCTTGTTCACTGATGTGTCATCATGGCTTATTACACTTTGTATGTGATCAGTAAATGACTTAAATAAGTGAAGGGCTGAATGCTCCCAATAGTAACAGATATACAACACTCATCGCATTTTTGCCATCAAGCATTATTATTTTATTTATTTATTTATTTAAGCAGACGGAGCCTCACTCTGCCACCCAGGCTGGAGTGCAGTGGTGTGAATTCAGCTCAGCTCACTGCAGCCTCCACCTCCCAGGTTCAAACAATTCTCTGATCTCAGCCTCTCGAGTAGCTGGGACTACAGGTGCGTGCCAACACACCCGTCTAATTTTTTTATTTTTAGTAGAGTCAGGGTTTTGTCATATTGGCCAGGCTTGTCTCAAACTCTTGACCTCAAGAGATCCGCCCACCTCAGCCTCTCATTGATGGGATTACAGGTGTGAGCCACAGCACCTGGCCATCAAGTATTATCAATAATAATACTCAGTAATAATTTAATTAGTTAATTTATCAGGTGGGAGATTAACCTAACTCTTGTTATTATTTGGTTACTGGTGAGGATAAACACATTTTCTTCTGTTTATGTTTTTTTTTGTTAAATTCTTCATCTTAAATTGTTCATATGCATTTATATCTATTGAGATTTTACTTTATGTTTATGTTTTAGTTTAATTGATTCTTGTATGTAACAAGCAAATTGGCTACTTATATTTTCTGGGCAGTAAGCTGTCCCTTAATAGAGTATAAGACCTATCTCTTTTAAAGTGTTTTCAGTAATCACTGTTACTTTCTGCCTGGCACACGGACTTGGAAGAAGCTTAACAAGGCTGAGTTAAGGAAGAGGAATACCTGAAAACTAGATGGATAAGTAAGGCTTCCCCTTCCCAGATTCCAAAAATTGGGCAAGTAATTGACTCTTTTATTTGTCAATTAGTCTAATGATCAAGGCAATAAATATAAAACTGCCAATGTAAAACCTATTTAGCAAATATCAGGATTTCTACTAGAATATAGATATAAAAAATACAGAATAACAAAAAACCAACAGCATTCTTTTTCAGTCAGACAAAATCCCTTCAGAAAGATAAAATAAACATCGGAAAAAAAACCAAATTGTGTATTTTAATTGCTTAGATTCTGTGAAACAAAGAAAAAGAGCTCCACTTGAGAAAGTCAGCTGATATTTTACAGAATAGAGACAAGTAATGCAATTCACACTTCAATAAATATGATTGAAGACTGCTTAGAACTTAAATATGAAATGAAATAGATGCTATTTGGAAGAGAGGATAATTCAGGAAAGTCTTTTGGAACAGTAGGAGATATTATTTCTTATTTTTTAAGATACAATTTTATTAGGAAAGTGAAATTCACCTTGAATTAACATGTTCAAAATGGTGGGAACTGCTAAGGAGAGTGAAAAACAGATATAAACCATCTGAGCATAGACATTTTCTAAATTTTTTTTTTTTTTTTTTTTTTTTTTGAGAAGGAGTCTTGGTATGTCGCCCAGGCTGGAGTGCAGTGGCGTGATCTCAGCTCACTGCAAGCTCCGCCTCCCGAGTTCACGCCGTTCTCCTGCCTCAGCCTCCTGAGTAGCTGGGACTATAGGCGCGCGGCACCACGCCCAGCTAATTTTTTGTATTTTTAGTAGAGACTGAGTTTCACCGTGTTAGCCAGGATGGTCTGGATCTCCTGACCTCGTGATCCGCCTGCCTCGGCCTCCAAAAGTACTGGGATTACAGGCGTGAGCCACCGCGTCCAGCCGACATTTTCTACATAATTTTATCTGTAATAGTAATCACTAAGTAATTGTATTTGTCTTTATCTTAATCATGTCTTCAAAAATTCTCTGTGAAGAATTTGGTAGGAATAGATTCAATTTTATGAGTTCTTCTATTTCTCTGGACAAAAAAGAGTATAGATGTGAATAAACATTTATCCCCAAGTAAAGAAAATAGGAAAAAGCCACAAAAGTTAATTCGGTCCATTTTTCAGTATTTTTCTATATGCATGCTTAAGAGCTAATGAGAACCTGTCAAGTACTGTGATGATTGGGGAATTAAGATTTATTCTAAGTGACAATTCAGCACAATTTTCTGGAAAGAAAAACAGGAAAAAGGAAGACATTTAACTGGAATTTTGGTAGTGAAAGAGAAAGCAGCAAATAAGAAATAAGCTAATTACATAGGATTGACACATATAACACAATATACTCTAGGCTGGGAAGTTTGTGACCAGTTCAATCCCTGACTAAGCTCTGTTTCTGAGGACTTGTTGAATGATGCCAATCTTTGTCCTTCTTGGTGTCTAATTCATTCAATAATTATGGTTATATCAGCCATTAATTATGAGGCTTTATTGTATCAAGTGTTAGAGAAAGTAAAAATTAGATAGGCAATTATATTCAGATGCTACATCTTTTGGCCCAAAGCAATTTACCTAATTCTTTAAATCTTCTCTTTACTCATGTGTGAAATGAGAAAATTTATATCTTCCTTATAGGATTGCTGAAAGGACTTAATGAAATAACGCATGTAAAACAGTACAGTACCAGACGTATGGTAATGAATAAATAAATAATTTTAGATTATGATGATGATGAAGTGCTTGAAAATTGAAAATAAACTATTTAACTTTTGTAGTCTGTGATTTGTCTATTCATTCTCTTAACAATACATATTGAAAACTGGATATATAATATTTTTAAAAATCACTTATCAGTATATTCTTCTATGGAACCTGCTTTTGATGTTGTATTTAAAATATTCTTCACCTAACCCAAAGTCACAAATATTTTCTCCAGTGTTTTGTTCCTACATGGAGTATACTTTTAGACATTACATTTAGGTCTATGATCTATTCTGAGTTAATTACTGTATATGATTCAAGGTTGGTCTAAGTTCATTTTTAAACATGAATATTCAATCATTCCATCCACATTTGTTTAAAGGACTGCTTATTTTTTTTTAATTACTAGATTGCCTTCACATATTTGTTGAAAACTAGTTGTCCATATATGATTAAGGCTACTTATATACTCTTTATTCTGTCCCATTATTCAAATTGTCCATCTTATGCCAGTAACACAATGTTAGTTAAGATTAACATAAATCTTGAAATCAGATAGGGTTAGTGCTCCTTTTTCAAATTAATTTTTGACTATTCTAAGTTCTTATAATTTACATTCACATTTGAGAATCAGTTTGTCAATTTCCACCAATGGAAAAATAGCATGTTGGTGCCTTTATCAAAATATTTTATGTACCTCATAAATATATACATCTAATATGTAACTATAAAAATTTAAAAATAGCAAAATTTAATTTTAAAAAATATACTGGGATTCTCTTAATAGATATTCATTTTTATTTTTAATAGACTTCATTTTTCAGAGAAGTTTTAGATTCACAGAAAACCTCAGTGGACATTACAGAGATTTACCATATACCCTGTTGCCATGCATGCATAGCCTCTCCCATTATCAGCATTCCTTACCACAGTAGTACTTTTGTTATGATTGATGAACATATGTTAACAAATCATGCCACCCAGAGTTAGGGTTCACTCTTGACATTTTACATTCTGTTTGTTTGCACAACTTTTTATGATGCATATCCACCACTACAGTTTCATACAAGTAGCTTCACTGCCCTAAAAATCCTCTGTTTTATGCCTATGTATCCCTTTCCTTCTCAAACCATAGCAATCACAGATTTTATTTTCTTATTAATACTATCTCCATACTTGTCTTTTCTAAGATGTCATATAATTGCAATCCTTTTTTGATTGGTTTCTTTCATTTAATAATACACATTTATGATTTCTCCATGTCTTTTTGTGGCTGGGTAGCTTTTTTTTTTAGTGCTGGATAATACCCCATTATGAGGATGTAACAATTTATTTACACATTCATTTATGGAAGGACATCTTGGTTGTTTCCAAGTTTTGGTAATTATGAATAAACCTACTACAAACATCTATGTGCAGATTTTTGCTTGGACATAAACTTGTTAACACTTTTGAGAAAAAGCCAAGAAACATAATTCCTGGATTATGTGTTATGAGTATGTTTAGTTTTGTAAGAAACTGCTAAACTGTCTTCTAAAAGTGACTGTATCATTCTGCATTCCCATAAGCAGTAAATATGAGTTCTTGTCGCTCCACATCTTCACCAACATTTGGTGATGCTGGTGCTCTGGATTTGGCCATTCTAATAGTGGTTATCTTGTTTGTAATGCTATCTCATTGCTGTGTTAATTTATACATTCCTAATGACATATATGATGTGAAGCATCTTTTTATATCCTTATTTGCCATTTGTATATCTTTTTGCTGAGATATCTGTTAAGATTTTTGGCTCAGTTTTTAATCAAGTTGTCCATTTTATTATTTTTCAGTTTTAAATGTTCTTTACATATTTGGGATTACAGTTCTTCGTCAGATATGCCCTTTGAAAAATATTTTCTCTCAGCCTGTATCTTGCTCTTTCATTCTTTTGACAGTATCTTTGATAGAGCAGATAATTTTAATTGTAATGTACTTCAGCTTATCAATTATTTATTTCATATATTTGGTGTTACTAATATCTCTAAAAATCATCACCAAAATGAAGGTCCTCTAGATTTTTTTCATATGTTATATTATAGGAGATTTTTTAGTTTTAAGCTTTACATTTTGGTCTACAATTTATTTTGAGTTAATTTTTGTGAAGCATATAAAGTCTGGGTCTGGTTCATTTTTTTAAATTTTTTTTAAATACATTTTGTATATTCCATCAGATTTTGTACATAGACAATAATTTTGTCATTAAATAAATGATTTTTGCCTTCTTCCCTTCCAATCTGGGCTTTGTCCTCCCCCACTTTCTGTCTGTGTCTCTCTGCTTTCTCTCCATCTCTCTTTGTGTCCTTCTCCCTCTCTCTGTCTCTGTCATCATCACTGTGTCCACCAAGCCCACTGTCTTGGTTTTTGCCTTATTGGACTGGATAGAATCTTTGGTAAATGATTGGATAGAAATGGGAAGTGGTAAAAGTGGATGTGGACATTATTTATCTTATTTCTGATCTTATGAGAAAGGCAGTACATACTTTTCTTTCAGAATAGTATCAGTTGTAGGATTTTTATGGATTCCATTTATCAGATTAAAAGAGATTCCTTTTGTTATTAAATTGCTGAGAATTTTTGTCACAAATAATTTTAGATGTTATCCCATACTGTATCCGCATCAATATCTTCCTTCTTGCTTTCTTTATTTCTTTTCTTTCTTTCTTTTGTAATGCCTTTGGTTTTGAGATCGGGTAAGTTTGACTTTATAGAATGAGTTGTGGAGTATTTCTTCCCTTTCAAACTCTAGAGTATTCTGTGTAAAATCAATATTACTTCTTCCTTAGCTATCTGATATAATTCACTAGTGAAGGAATCTGAGCCTTGAGTTTGTGGTACAAAAGAAAGAGAAATTGTGTTGGGAGTCTGGGAGTGAATAGAGAAGAGTAAATAAGAAAAAGGCATAGTCTTTAAGATTGATATGTGCAAAAAAATGCTCTCAGCTGGTCAGTGTGCTCCTGGTTGAACTATTAACTAAGATCTGTTCTGTTGACTTGCCGTGTGGTCACTGCCAATCTTTGCCTCTTCTAGTGTCCAATTCAATTATTCCATCATTATTATTGTAACAGCCATTAGTTGTGGGGCTAGTATAATAATAATATTACATTGTGAGTATTTTTGGTTAAATTATCATCCTTTAAAGATTATTTTTAATTAATTTCTACATATATTTATATTTTAAATAATAAAATAATGTTATACACTTATGCAATTATTTCAAATAATGTTCATTAATTTTTACAGATCTAAATTTCCTACAGGTCTCATTTTTCTATGTGTAATAAAGGATATTTTAAAAGCATTTCTTATATTGAATTACTGTCTATAATAATTTTTCTCAGCTTTTGTATGTCTGAAAGGGTACTTTACCTTAATTTTCATAAGATTATTTTGCTGATGTGGAATTCTACAATGAAACTCTTTATAAAACAAGTTTTGGCCAGGCTCAGTGGCTCACGCCTGTAATCCCAACCATTTGGGAAGCTGAGGCAGGTGGATCACAAGATCAGGAGTTTGAGACCAGCCTGGCCAAGATGGTGAAACCCCATCTCTACTAAAAACACAAAAATTAGCTGGGTGCGGTGGCGAGCCAGCTACTCGGGAGGCTGAAACACTGCACTCCAGCCTGGGTGACAGAGTGAGACTCCATCTCAAAAATAAAATAAAATAAAATAAAAATAAAAATAAAACAAGTTTCAAGATATCTACTCTCTTATTTCATTGTTTCCAGTGATAAATCTTCTGCTACTGTCACATTTTCTTCCCGTCTTTATATAACATTGTATTTCATATCTGGCTACATTTACGATGTTCTCCTATCACTGATATTGAGAAAATTGATTATGATGTAGTTCTTATAGTTATTTTCATGTTTCTTGTGTTTGGGGTTTGTTGAGCTTCTCAGATCTGTGGCTTTACAGTTTTCATAAAACATTAAAAATAATTCACCAATTATTTCTTCAAATATATTTTTTTCTTCTTTTCCTCTTTCCTTTTCTTCAGAACTTCCAATATATATATACAGTTGGCTCCTTGACATCTTTCTACCAGTTATTGATGCTCCGTTCTTTTTTTTCTCTGTTCTCTCAGTGCCTTATTTAACTACTTTGTATTCCTGTATTCTGAATGTAATATTGTTTTACTGCAATATTTATTAAGTTCTTGATCTCATCTAGTATATCTCAGACATTGTAGTTCTCACTATAGAAAATCAATTTAAAATTTTCATTTTCCATTTCCCCTGCCTCTATTTTACATTAGGTGTATATAATAAAGAAACAAAAATTGTTTTAATTTTCTTGCCTGCTATTTCTAGCCTCCCTCCATTTCAGTTCTGAGTAATTTTTGATTGATTTATCTCAATATTTTGAATTTTATTTTCTTGATTCTGTGCATAACTGGAATTCTTTAAAAAATAGCTAAAATTAAATAGCAAATATTGTGAATTTTACCTTGGTATGGGCTGGGTAATTTTGTGTCTTTATAAATATTCACAGAATTTTTTCTAGTCTACAGTCGTTAACTGAAAATATTTTGATCCTGTTGGCTCTTGCTTTAACAATTTTTTAGGCAGGGTGATAGAAGTGTTCATTCTATAATAGTAGTTTTTAATAAAGGCAATTTTTTACCCCTGGAAGACATTTGGCAAGGTCTGGATTTTGTAACCAAATTTTTTTATTTTTTTGAGATGGAGTCGCGCTCTGTTGCCCATGCTGGAGTGCAGTGGCGTGATCTCAGCTCACTGCAAGTTCCACCTCCCAGGTTCATGCCTTTCTCCTGCCTCAGCCTCCCGAGTAGCTGGGACTACAGGCGCCTGCCACCATGCACAGCTAATTTTTTGTATTTTTAGTAGAGACGGGGTTTCACCGTGTTAGCCAGGATGGTCTCGATCTCCTTGACCTCATGATCCACCCACGTCGGCCTCCCAAAGTGCTGGGATTACAGGCATGAGCCACTGCGCCTGGCCTGTAATCAATTTTGCAATCAAAATTGATTGTCAAATTAGGGATGAATGCAACTGACACTTAAGGGTTAGATGCCATGGATGCTGCTGAACATTTTGTAATGCTTAGGGCAGGCCCCCAACAACAAATAATCATAGCCTAAAATATTAAAATTTTTGAATTTAAACTCAAATATTTGAATTTTTCAAAAAAGTTGAATTTGGGAAACTCTGACTTAGGGCTAGTTATTCCACAAACGTAAGGCAGGACCCTTTTGTATATTCTACTCAATGTCTTGAGCAACGTGAATTTCTTTAGTATGGTTTGTAAGACCAGTACTAGGTTTGGATCCCTGTAAGAGCCAGGTGCTATCACATCGTATCTTTACTTGTGTGTCTATGCTGCGCCACAAACACGCTTGTCAAAAGCATGTGGAAGTGTCGATCAATACTCAGAACTGGAGGAGTTCCTCTGCAGATCTCTGAAGCCCTGTCTTCCTACAGCTTTCTCATCTCCAGTGTTCTGTTATGTAAATTCTAGCTCTTTTGTCTCCCCTGAGCAATATGTAAAAAAAAAAAAAGATACATATTTTCTCCAAAAAGTAGTTTTTCACGTTGAATTAATTTTTAGAGTTTTAGGATACTTGCTTGTCTTTAAAGTGTATAAGTAATTCACTTTCTCTTATTGTCAGCTCTGGAAATATTTATGAAATATTATTAAACTGAACATGTATCAAACCAGCTAAAAAGTGCTTATGAATATAGCATGAAAAAGAAATTCTGCAAAGGCACAGTGCAATTATGTGAGGCATTTGTATACAGTATTAGAAAATCACACCTCTGTAATGTTTTTATATTTTCATCATATTTTCATTTACTAATGTAGTTCACTGATTTGGTTAAAATCTTAACATTGTACCCTTCAACTAAAAAAATAAAATAAAAAAGAAACCAAATTGTTGTCAATTGAATAGATGTGGTTAATATCACAAAACCACATATTTTTGGAATTAGTAAAAACTTGCCATGTTGTGAAAAAGCATTAGGATCACCAGTTTTGATTGCCATAAGGTGGCTTTGGTATTTGGAAAATTAAATGATAATTTGTTTAGGATGCTTAGTTGAATATTTTAACTAAAAATACTCTAACATGAGTAATATTTTAGAAAATGAATGAGCATTGGAATCTCGTTTAACTTAATATTTCTCAACAGAGCTGTTTTTACTATGGAAGATCTCTAACAGTTGTAATATTGACCTTAAAGCGATTATTTCTCTGGGTAGGAATAGGGTGTGTGTATCTGTGTGTGTGTGTGTGTGTGCACGTGCGTGTGTATTTCCATGCCCATTGTGCATAATAACGATGCTATTCTATTTATAAATACAAGAAAATAAAACAAAATAACAACCATGTTATATATTCTCTTTGAGATTTTTAACTCAGAGTAACTTCATCAGAAAGTGTGGTGGTACTAATTATTATAGACAGCCAAATATGTAAGGATTTAACTAGCAAAGTTAATTTCATGTTTCTGGATCAAAAAAGTCTATCAAAGTTGGTTAACAACTGTCCATGACCTTCTCTGAGGCTGGGGTTATTAGCGTTACATAGAAATGTGTGTGTGTGTGTGTGTGTGTGTGTGTGTGAGACAGAGAGAGAGAGAGAGAGAGAGAGAGAGAGAGAGAGACTGTAGATTTCATAGAACTTTTTTAGTAATAACAGTTATTGTATTAAATGAGTTAAGTGCCTAGAGTGGAAGTTGCTCTAAAATATCCATTGTTGGAATAAATTTAGTATTGTAAACTGTAGCTTAGTTCACAGTAGCTATAACCTATAATAACTTCTTATGACCACAAAAGTAAAGTCGTTGTTAAATGCATTTCTTTGTAGAGAAGAGAGAAACAGTGGTTAGATTATTTGTTTAATATTAAATATCATATGGAGTAGATCCAGTACACAAACCCAGATATATTTAAGAAAAGCTTTTTGACCATGCTATCAATAATAATCTCTTTAAAACAAGTAACAAACAAATCAAAAATAAATCTTGAATAGTATTTCACTAAAGCACATCTTCCAAATAATACACGTTTTATTTGGTACTGTTCCCAATAGACCAAATGCAGCCTTCAAAGAAAACCATTTTTTTTTTCACTGGCAAAGATTTTCTAACAGCAATGTTGGTTCCAGTATTTTATTTGAGTAGTTATGGCTAGTGAATATGGACAGTAATTTCAAAATAGAAGCATAATGTTTTCATGGGATATCTACCATTAATGTCTTTCCTGACTGTGTTTTGCACTATGGCACTCAAAATGTTTTCAGCTAAGTATTTTTGACAAAATGTACTGTATTAATTTTTCCTTGGCTTCTGTCTTAGTCTGTATTGCGCTGCTGTAACAGAATACTACACATTAGGTAGTTTATAATGAACGGAAATGCATTGGCTTACAGTTAAGGGGGCTGGGACATCCGTGACCGAGGGGCTGGCATCTGTCAAGAGTCTTCTTGCTGCATCATCTTATGACGAAAGGGTCAAGAGAGGGCAAGACTGGGGGGAAGGGAACTCTCCCTTTTTACAAGGAAACTACTCCCTTGATGAGAAAGCCAACCCCGTAATAACATTAATCTATTCACAAGAGCAAGCAAAAAGGTCTCACATCTTAATATAAGCACAATTTTGATTGAATTTCCGACACATAACTCTAAGGAGACACATTCAAACAATAGCAGCTACTATAAAATGTAGTTACTGATCATAATCTGAAGCCTCAGTTCTACCCTACCACCAGATAAATTCTTTCAATTAAGATATTTTATCAGGAGATTCAGTCCCAATAGCTGTTCTGACGTTCAGCTCATCTTGTGGCCATTAATTTAGTGCCTGTTGTGGCTGAAGTGAGTGCTGTTGTCCGCTTCTCACCTCTATTTAGGGTGGTCTAATTCATATTGCTGAGCTTCTACTTAAGTGTTATTTTTAAGTTTTCTGATACACTTTTTAAATTGAATAGGTGAACAGGAGAAGCAATCTCCATATGTCTTAGTGCAGGATGAAGAGCATCTCCTTTCCACATTTAGAGAGGAGGACAGCTAAGGAGTAAAGAAGGCACATTCTCAGTTTGGGGTTGAGAGTTTGTGATTCAAGATATGTAGTATTCTGCCAAATCTAGAAAAAAATATATAAAATATAAGGAAAGAACATGCAAAACACAAATATTTCATTTTTAAAAAAGCCTACAAGAGTTTCTGAGCTAAAGCTAAATTTCTCATTATCAAACATCACCTTAAGGAGGAGTGTTGAACATTTTTAAAGGGAATGAATATGGGGCAGACATCAGGTTCCATGTAGACCTGGAGCCAGACTGTTAATACCATAAGGCATGGCGAAGTCACAATTCAATTAAACAAAATGCTCATTACACTAATATTTAATAAATTAGCTTATTAAACATAGGATTTTCTTACAAATTTGAAAGGTTTGAAGAGAATAATCACTATGATTATTCATTCTACTTTTCAAAATTCCCAAAGTTTTTGTTTGTTTTAGATTTAAAAGAATGAATAGTTTATATTAATTATAACCACACAGGCAATATACAAATAAAGCATTTTTAAAAGTAAAATTAAATACTATAGCCAAAGATACATATTTTATTATGTAGGATGTTATAATATAGTTCTTTAACAATGTAAACTCTTTTATTACTCTTCTTGACTATTAGATTAAAAACACTTTGTAAAAAAAATGGTGAGCATATAAGACTTCAGTTTCTCTTATTAAAATTGAAAATTCTTAATTTAGAATTTTTTTTGTATCTAAATATTGTAGGCTTTGAATATTATGTAGTTAACTTTAAGACTAGGCTGATTTTTAGCCCTATCTCCTCTCATGTGGACACTTGAGTATATCTTATTTTAAAAAAATTAAGCTAATAATTTACAAGATTTATTAATGTCAATCATGTTCTTTTTTTTTCTGAAGTTTTCTGTGTTCTTTTAATTTACACATATTTTCTTCACTACAAGAAAACATCCACCGATAATTTAGTTAAATACATTTATGTTCTATCTATTGAGGATTCCAATTATTATTTCATTGGATGCTTTTGCCTGTCTTCTATAAGATACAGCATTTTGTGAATTGATATGATCATTTTGTGATTTTTCCCTTTGACTTAGTTATTAATTCAAGACTTTTCCTGTATCAAGTAAAACGTAAAATGTCACTTTTGTCTTTTGCCTTTGTTTTAGCTTATTATTTGTTTTTTAGTTGACATCGAGATTCCTTTTTTTGAGACAGAGTCTCGGTTTGTCGCCCAGGCTGGAGGGCAGTGGCGGGATCTCCGCTCACTGCAAGCTTCGCCTCCCAGGTTCACGCCATTCTCCTGCCTCAGCCTCCGGAGTAGCTGGGACTGCAGGCAGCCACCACCACGCCCGGCTAATTTTTTGTATTTTTAGTAGAGACGCAGTTTCACCGTGTTAGCCAGGATGGTCTCGATCTCCTGACCTCGTGATCCGCCCGTCTCAGGACATTGATATTCTTGTCATTAACTTGTTACTTCAGTTTTGCTATTTCTATTTTAATCTCATTCCGTTGTTTGAATGTATGGTCTCTCACCTATCGCTTTCTTATTAAATTTACAATCATATTAAGTTCTTCTATGTTATGAAATTAACACTACAGAATGTTCTCCTATTTCTTAAATTATATATTCTTCCATGCCAGACTTTTCTAAGTTCTAAATATCCTTTTCATTTTTTTAATTCCTTTTGTTTTTGTTTTTTTTTTTTTTAGACAGAGTCTCACTCTGTCACCCAGGCTGGAGTGCAGTGGCGTGATCTCAGCTCACCACAACTTCCGCCTCTTGGGTTCAAGCAATTCTCCTCCTGCCTCAGCCTCCCGAGTAGCTGGGACTACAAGTGTGTGCCACCACGCCTGGCTAATTTTCATATTTTTTTAGAAGCAGGGTTTTGCCCATTTTCTTTAAAATATTTATTATTGTCTTATGCTTTTGCCTCTTTTAGGTCACATGTTTTTGTTATGTCTATGGAGACTTCTATTCAGATCATCTGTTGGTTTTGGTCTATGGATGTCTTTTTCTTCTTGCACTTTCTGCTTCATTTGAGACCTGATTGTCTTCAGTTCTTAGGCACAGTTTTAAGATTTACGTTGTCCTCTAAATGAAAACTATTAATAGAGAGGAAAACAGCTTGGCTAGAGCTAATTGCACACAATCTTTGTCTTCTCTCTTGAGATTTTGTTAAATATCCTTCCTGGCTTAATTCTACTTTATATAATCACAGTTCTGGTAAGTGGTTAGTGAATTAAAATTTTCACTACTCTATGTTAGAAGCTGATATGGTTTGGATGTGTGTCCTTGCCCAAATCTCATGTCTAATTGTAATCCTGAATGTTGGAGGTGAGCCTGCTGGAAGGCGATTGGATCATGGGGGTTGTTTCTCATGGTTTAACACCATCCTTCTTGGTGGTGTTGTGATGAGAGTGAGTTATCACAAGTCTGGTTGTTTAAAAATGTGTAGCACCTTCCCTTTCTCTATCTTCGTCTTGTTCCAGCCATATAAGACATGCCTGCTTCTCCTTCACCTTCCACCATGATTGTAAGCTTCCTGAGGCCTCCCCAGAAGCTGATGCCACCATGCTTCTTGTACAGCCTGCAGAATTGTGTGGCAATTAAAGCTCTTCCTTATAAATTACCCAGTCTCAGGTATTTATTTGTAGCAGTGTGAGAACAAAGTTATAAAGAAGCTTTCTTATCTTTTCCTTGGACTTTTGCTACTTAAAGTTCATGGCATGAGGTTGAAGTATTTTTTATTTGTTTGATTAGTAGAAGTGGAGATATTTCCTTTCATTTACTTATTTTTCATGCTTGAGTTATTTAAGTATGCATGCTGTGTAGTGAATCTAGAACTACGCTTCCCACTATCATTTTTACTTGGAAATCAATATGGCTAACTCTTAATAAAAATTTTTAACGTTAAATTAGATTAAATATGGAAAAATACCGGTCATTATTTTCTTATTGACAGATACTATTTTTGTCAGCTTCCTAGTAATGGTTGATATAGATCTTACATTTAATATATAACCTACTATTTTTAGAATTTAAAATGTGTCATATTTCACTTATAAAATTATGAATCACTGGATTAAAATTTTATGTCAAAAGAGTACTTTCTGAAATATTCACTGAGTCATACACATTGACAGATTAATACATTATGCTTCATTTTAAAAGACGAAAGGAAAATTAGAAAGAAAAGACAAAGGCCAGGAATGGTGGCTCACGCCTGTAATCACAGCACTTTCGGAAGCCGAGGCAGGTGGATCACCTGAGGTCAGGAGTTCAAGATCAGCCTGGCCAACACGGTGAAACCCTATCTCTACTAAAAATACAAAAAAGTAGCAGGGCCTGGTGATGGATGCCTGTAATCCCAGCTACTCAGGAGGCTGAAGCAGGTGAATACCTTGAACCAGAGGGGCAGAGGCTGCAGTGAACTGAGATCACACCACTGCACTCCAGCCTGGGCAACAAGAGTGAAACTCCATCTCAAAAAATAAATAAATAAATACATACATACATACATACATACATACATATATACATACATACATACATAAAAAGACAGAGTTAATTTATAGTTTTAACCAAGCAAAATTTGAAAAAGATCTAATTGGGACAGAAACTTCTGATTCATTTTCAGTATTCATTGTGTCTTTCTTTTTTTGGTGAAAAGATATCAACCCATTTCTCCAACATGTTTTAGGACAAGATGGCTGCACAAGGAAAGATGCATTTTCCAATATATTTTTGTAGATAGATAGAGCCATGTGGCTAAGTTCCCAATGGGATGTTTGTGCAACTTCAAGTTGATCTCATTTAAAAATTAAAATTTCTTCTCTGCACTTTCTATTTCTGTCTTCCTGCTAGAAAGGCAGAAGTGGAACAGCCACCATTAATTCAGGTATTAAAGCCTCATGTCAAGGATGACAGGGTTGCCCACAGCCATGGAAGGCTTATCTCTGGTCTTTCCCATGTGAGACAAATTTCTATCTTATTAAACTCAGTTATTTGGAGTATACTTGTTAGGGGAGTTTAGTCTAGACCCTAAATATAATACTTCATTTTTTAAAAAAATAATAATAAACAGTAGGAGGAGTCCACAAATTAACATTTCATGATAGCAAGAAAATATTAGGAAAAAATCATGATTAGAAAATTATGTAGGTTATCATAGAAAGAGGAAAAAGATAAGATCTTTCATTGTATCCTTTCTTTCTTCTTTTCTATTTTCTTTTTCTCATAGGGATAAAATTTACAGAACCATAAAGGCTAGGGTAGGGAACGTGTTACAAGTAAAGTGAGAGACTTTAATAAATTTGAGGTGGCATCATCAATAACTATATATAGTAGTAGTGAAGAAGCACTATATAGTAGTAGTGAAGAACAAGATAAGTAGACTAATTTGCTATTTATATTGGAGGTAAGATGTAGAGGGCTAATGGGAAAGAGGTGTCCCAACTGTATGAATTGTGCATCAGGTATATGGGGATGTTAAGTCCCATAAAGGCAGAGTTTTGTTTTGCTTACAGCTATCATTTAGTGCATAACACAATGTCTTTCACATAAAAGGCACTAAATTAATACCTGTATAGTGAGTGAAATATGAAGTACCCCTTAATGAGATAATGACAACTATGGGTTGAGGGATACATGTGGAATATTACAAGTTCAGATTTGAACACATTAATTTGTAAATGACTGCTTGTCTTCAAAATAGAGATGTTGATTCATCACAGTCAAGAAATAGAAGGAAAGAGAAGTAGTTTGATGGTTAATTTGATGTGTGAACTTAACTGTGTTAAGGGATACCCAGATAGCTTGTAAAACATTGTATCTAAGTGTTTCTGTAAGGGACTTTCTGAAAGAAACGAACATTTGTATTTATAAGCTGAGTAAAGAAGATCATTCCTTACCAGAGTGGGCAGGTATCATTTAATCCACTAATGGCCATGATAGAACAAAAAAGTGGGGGAAATGTGAATTCACTCTCTGGGAGCTGGCTCGTTCATATACTGCCCTTAGAAATCAGATTTTCAGGTTTTTAGGCATTCAGACTCCAGAAATTACATCAGCAGGCTCCCTGGTTCTCCCACCTTTGGCCTCAGACTGAGAGTTACACCACTGCATCTCCTGGGCCTTGAACTGAATTACATCACCAGCCTTCCCTGTTCTCCAACTGGAAGATAGAATTTCATGGGACTTCTCGGCTTGTCTGATTGCCTGAGCCAATTCCTATAATAAATCCCCTCTTATATATCTATAAATACCCTATTGGTTCTGTTCCTCTAGTGAGCTCTAATACAAGCAGTCTGGACAGGAGATATAAATTTAGAATCTTTATTGTATAGATGGAACATAAAATCATGTGTAAAGATGAAAGCCCTCTAATCTCTCCCTGAATGAAGAGAAGATGGCCTATGCTGTGGTCCTGAGAAACTCCACAGCCTAGAAAAAGAGTGGATAAGAAAAGTCCAAAGAGTATCATTATGGAGGACCTTTCACCCACACATACCCTCAGCATGCTAGGGCCATCTATATAAATAAAAGGTCATGGTATCCATTAACTTCAGAGTGACAGGAAACCAGAAAAAGACAAACAGAAGGAAACTATGAACTTTCTTTTTTTCTGAGTTGTGATTTGATAGTGTTTCCTGAAAAAAGTAATAGGGTATCTGAACACACACATGTAGGATCTAGGGTTTCAATCAAATAAAATATATAGCAAAATTATCTAGCATATTTAATAATGTGACTAATCCTTATTGTGCCTTATGATAATTAGGCACAATGCTAAGCAGCTTGCATAAATGAATGTAATTATCATGGTGTTTATATAGCTAAATTCAATTTTTTTAATCAATTGAAGAGTAGAGAGGCAAAAAATATGGAAAGAAGCATGCTTCTTTGAGATATCTTCTAAAGCACTTAGTAAGTAACCTAGTGGTATTATTCTTTTGAGACAGTAATCAAGCCCCTCAATCAAAATCCTTGCTAATTGCCTTCCAAGAAAAGCCGGTAAAAAGCAATACCTGAGTTTAATTTCCTTGAAGTTTGTCATCTCATTGATAAAGGTGCTCCAAAGATGAGAAGAACATTGTTTAGTAAAAGAACAAACTGGTAGGTTAGGCCAAGGTAGTCTTAGAAAAAGTCAAAGTTAAAATTATATATTATAATAAAGTAAATGTTAGGTTGAGCAAGCAAGATCAGAAGAGAAAGTCATATTTTTTTGTCTCTAATACTGCATAGTAATACACACACACACACACACACACAAAGATAGATAGATGTAGATGTAGACACATCTCACAGTTGATAGTAGCATGATTCGTAGTAGCCAAATTTGGAAGTAATGCAAGTATACACTGATTAATGAATAGACACACAAATTATGGTATATACATGCAATGGAATATTATTCATACTTCAAAAGAAAGGAAATGCTGACCCATGCTACAGCTACAACATGGATAAAACTTGAGGACATTATACTAACTGAAATAAGCCAGTCATAAAATGACAACTATTATATGACTTAACTTATATGAGATATCCGGAGTAGTCAAATTCATAGAGACAGAAAGTAGAATAGTAGTTGGGAGATGGGTGTGAATGAGGAATTGTTTAATTGTTTAATTGGTTTAGAGCTTCAGTTCTGCAAACTGAGAAACATCTTATCATTGGTTGCACATCAGTGTGAATGTTCTTAGCCCTACTGAATTGCACCTTTAAAAAAGTCAACATGGCAAATTTTAATGTGTAAAAATTTAAATACACACATATATACAAACATACATCCCAATATATAAGGTAAAGCAAAAAAGTCTCAATTTTTAAAATTGCAAATCATAAAATATATACTCTGACAAAACTGAAATTAAATTTCAAATAAATACTTGGAGTATTTCTGAAATATTCTCATGTATTTACAAACAAAAAACACAATTCTGAATAACTGTGGGTCAAAGAAAATCTTAAAAATCAAAAGTATTTTAATTGAGTAAAAATATACAACTTATCAAATTTGAGAGGTGCGGCTTAAGCAGTGTTTAAAGTTAAATAAATAACACAAACACATGTATTAGAAATGTCTGTACCCCCATGTTTTTTTGCAGCACTTTTATACATTTGATGCAAATGTTGAGTATTCCTTTAAGTAAATGATTGAAGTGTCTATCAACAGATAAATGGATAAATAAAATGTGGTCCTTATACACAATGGGATATTATTTAGCCATGAAAAAGAAAAAAATTGTCATTTGGAACATGTTTAGAATTGGAGAACACTATGCTAAGTGAAATAAGCCATCCTCAGAAAGACAGATGTTACATGTTCTCATTTGTGTGTAGAATCTAAAACAATCAACCTCATAGATAGGAAGCAGAGGCTGGAGGCTGGAGGAAATGAGAAGATAACGGTTACAGATTACAAAGCTTCAGTTCAATAGGAAGAATAAATTTATTTTGAGATCTTGCACAGAGTTGTAATTGTCTATTTCAAAATTGTTGAGAGTAAATTTCAAATGTTCTTACTATAAACAGTTATAAGTATTTGAGGTGATGATATATTAACAGCATAATTATTCTTTATTGTATTCATAAATCATAACATCACTTTTTCCCATAACTATATACAACTATAATTTGTCATTTTACAGTAAAAATAAATAGAAGAGAAGAAACAAATAATCTCAGCTTTGACCTTTAAATATTAAAAAAATTTAACAAATTAATCCAAACTAAGAAAGAAATAAAACAGATTAGAGTTAAAATTAATGAATTAAAATATATAAAATAGAGAAAATTAGTAAAAATAAAAGCTATATCGTTGAGATTAGTAAAATTGATGTCTTTAGCCAGAGTCATCATGAATAAAGAGTAAAAACATAAATTACTTACTTACCTTACTATATCTTAAAAATATGTAGAATGCTATATAAACAAAAAGTACTTTATGTAAATATACTCACCACCTTAGACACAATAAGTAAAATTCCTGGAAAGATACCCACTGCAAAGTTCACCGAAAAAGAAATTACTTGGATAGTCTTATGCTTATACATGTATTCAAAAATTAAATTCATTGTTCAAAATGTTCCAACAGAGAAAACTCCACTGCCAGTTGGCTTTACTTGTTAATTATAGCCACTACCCTAGTAACAAATAGTACAAAATTAACAAGAAGATATGCAAATGGAAAACAAAATTAAACGGAGAACAATTTTAAAGAAGATAAATGGATGGCACATAAGAACACTAAAATATGCTCCACATTATTAGCTGTGAGGGATATGCAAACTATAACACCAAAACAAAATATTACTGCAAACCTATAAGAAACTCTAAAAGTAGAAACACTAAAAATGGCAAGCACTGCTGAGGATGTGGACCAACTGAAAGTCTCATTACACTGCTGTGGTGGAATAGTAAACATGTTGACCGTTTTTAAAAAGTTAAACACATTCCAACTCTATTATTCAATTTTTCCACTCTTTAATGTTTTCCAGAGAGAAGATAAAGCAGATGTCCATCCAAAGACTTGTATGTGAATGTTCATAGCAACTTTATTTGTAATAGCCAAAACCTGAAAGCAACCCAAATGTATGTTAAGAAGCGAATGGATACATAAATTGTGGCATATGCATACAATGGGATACCCAGCAATAAAAAGGAATGAACTATTCAAGTAGGCAACAAAGTGGGTAAATCTCAAAATAATTATGCTAAGTTGAAGACGTCAGATAGAGTACATATTGTATGATTCTATTTATATGAAATTACAGAAAACACGAACTAATTTAAAGCAACTGAAAGCTTATCAGTGCTTGCCAGTGATCAGAATGGGTGGAGAGAGGCAGTAGAGAGGGATATGACAAATTTTGGAGGGATGAATTATAAAAATGAAGACACAACTATGTGCTGTCTAAAATAAGTTCACGTTAATTATAAAAGAAGGTTAAAGTTAAAATATGTAAAAATATAACTTAAAAACATTTAATTTTTAAAAGGCTGAAGTGGCTATATTACTATCAGAAAAAGTAGATTTCAGAACATGGCCAATTACGAAGTGGCGACATTTGTATTTGTTGTTTCCATAGTATCTAGTAATTAAAATGAAAGGCATGTTTCTGAGTTTTAAGGGAGTTATACTTCCAGATTTTTTTTCAGCCTGACAACCTATGCCTAATATATAGCTTGCTCCTACAGAAATCCCCGGTTCTTAAAAAGACAAGCCCTGCTAATGAGTTATAGGTCCCGTTTCTCCTCTCTTCAGGTATGGCTATTGATAAATTGTGCAAAATAGGTTGTTTCAGAGAATAGAAAAAGAGGCAACCATATATGGAATCCAGAGTGCACACCATTGCCAAGTCTGGGAGTAGTCAATTCCCCACATCAGGTAGACATGGGATGCACTACAGAACCCCAAACATTGTGTTCTGTGTCTCTTTATTCACTGTCAAGTTACATTTGATACTATAATTATCCTGCCCTTTTGTTTGTTGCTGTTTTTGCTGGCCTTTCACTATGATCGTATGTTGGAGGTGTTACATGTGGTTAAATTTATTGTTTAGCTCAGAATTTCTGGACCATGATAAATTACAAACATACCTGATTTCGAGAAATCATATTGAGCATCCTAGATTCAGAGAACCACTGCCCCATGACATCAACTTAGGATTCTGCAGAAGATGAAACAGTTGCCTATATTTGGGCATTGGAGAGGGCATTTTTATTGCATGTAAAATTATCATAATAATAATTATATTAATAGCAACAATTATACTGAATACCTACTATTTGTCAAGCCTGATAGCAGCCTTTCAAGTTGAATCATCTTATTTAATCCTTCAGAGGATTCTGAGGTAGAAATCAAAGCCTCAGATAGGATTTAAAAAATAAAAATAAAAATAAGACCAGGCACAGTGGCTCACACCTGTAATCCCAGCACTTTGGGAGACTGAGGCGGGTGGATCACCTGAGGTCATGAGTTCGAGACCAGCCTGGCTAACATGGTGAAACCCCATCTCTACTAAAAATACAAAAATTAGCTGGGTGTGGTGGCAGATGCCTGTAATCTCAGCTACTTGGGAGACTGAGGCAGGAGAATTGCTGGAACCCGCGAGGCGGAGGTTGCAGTGAGCTGTGATCACACCATTGCGCTCTAGCCTGAGCAGCAGAGTGAGAACCCATCTCAAAACAAAACAAACAAAACAAAACAAAAACAAAACAAAAAAAAAAAAAACACACAAACCTGGCGAGGGTCTCATAGCTAGGAAAATAATATACATGGAATATGAAGCCAAGCAATTCCACTATTACCTAATATGCTAAATATAAATTAGGTATGTATGTTCTTGTTTATGTATGCTTGGAAAGAAAGGGGTGTGTGTGTGTGTGTGTGTGAGTATGTTACAGCCAACTTCCTAACTTGTAGCAAAATCTGTCTAATCAATCCAGAGACAGGGATTGACAATGAAATTTAAGTCTTTAGATTCATCTGTGCCTAAATCCTGATTAACTCTTGGCTTTTCCTTAATATTAATCAGGCTAGTTAATTTCTTGCTCCAGTTTCATTGAGATTTTGTTACATTACACAGAAATGTCAAAACAAGAGCTTTTTGTTGACATGATGCTTTCATATGGTTCTGAAGCCTGTAAAAAATCTTTTATTCATAAATATTTTATTTGTTGTGCATTTATTATTGCATGAATTTTTATCATCTTTCTTATATTGTTATGTAAAATACAATTTTAATCTCTTTTATCT
This sequence comes from Homo sapiens, assembly GCF_000001405.40. Lineage (NCBI taxonomy): Eukaryota > Metazoa > Chordata > Mammalia > Primates > Hominidae > Homo > Homo sapiens. The sequence goes on along the minus strand of NC_000001.11, from coordinate 105,990,083 downwards.
CTTTGAGAAAATTGTACACTCTTAGAGGGCAGCGTCCGTTTTATTTTCTGTTTTTTACTCTAAAATATCTTTGACTTTTTGTACATAATTAGTAGAAGTTTTGCTCAAGTAAATAGTGCTAAGTAGATGTAAGACTTTTTCACTTATCTTCTACAACGTATTTTATGTGTAAAGACTTCAATTCTTTCCTAACAGCAATGAAAATACTATATGGCATATTTAATTAATTTATTGATTTATTCAGCACATATATGATTAGAATCCCTTTCTGCTACACTAAGGTATTATAGATTTAATAAGATGAAATAGATTTTAGCTCCACTCTCAAGTTTATGTAGAGTGGAAAATTTTAATAAAGATTCAATAAATGTTTGTTGAATAAATACATTATAAATTCAGTGTTTCTAAGTCAAAAATGTTGAACCACAGTTGGATATATGGTTTTAAGCTTTGTTTGTGTGCAATAAACACTAGAGATATGCTAGAAATTTAAAAACATAAGTCCAAAAACATCATTATTTTGTGTTCTCATTTGTAGTCCAAAAACTGACACAGAGAAAAACTATTTTATTTGAAATTTGACTTTTTAAATTTAGGACAACAATCAAATAGATGAGCAAAGAAGCCTTTTGAAGCCAAATGTGGCCTAGATTCTTTCTTTTAAGAAATATCTTTTTTTCTTTCTTCTTCTTTTTTTGACCTGACTTAAAACTCACAGCTTCCACATCGACATCCAGAATAGATAAAATGAATTAGAAGGAAATAGGCATTTACTTATGAAACAGCTATCTCCTCTCAAGTCACGATTAACCTCAACTCCAGATTTTGTTTCTAAGTTATGCCCTTTCTTTCCTGTGCAAAATCAAAATGAACATTTCTTTAATGCTGTTCACTGAGGGCTTAAATTTTGTGCTATTTTGAAATAAGTATCAGTTGGCCTGATTTTTCAGGATATATCAAATTCAAACAAGTTTTTCTCTGGATGCTTATGTAAAGTCATACTGTTTAAATCACTAAGTTCATTTATTTGCATCCTATTTCATCACCTGAGATGATCTGAAATGATTAAGCAGTCAGACAAATGCTGGGGTTATTCCTATTTCTTGATTGTTTATTATTAAGCACCTATTAGACATGTTTGCAGTTGTGGTTGCAATAGGAATATAAGGCATAGCCCCCAGCTTTCATGAGCTTGAATTTTAAGTGGAGACTAGACACATGTAGTGTGTGATTATTACAAAAATAATGATAGACAAAGAAATATATCTGAAATGAAATGAGATTAATACTGGTGAATAGTAAAAGGAAAGTGCAACTATGAAACTAGAATTTCTGATTTCAGACTGAAATGTGTCACAGAAAGTTATTTAGCTGTAGTGTATAAAGGTAAAAATCAATGTTTATGTTTTAATGTTTTCATCATATCTTCAGAACCGTCATATCCATCATTGTCTTCATAACTAACATTTATTGAGCATTTTGAATGTTCTATGCATTGCTACAAACACTGTATGCATGCTAATTAATTAATTCTCACCAAACCCCTGAGTTAAGTATAATTACTGTTCTATTTTAGAGATAAGAGAGCTGAAGAAGAGTGAAAATAAAGAAACTTCTGCAAAGCCACACATGTAGTAAGTCACAGAGCTGGATTTATAATTATTATGGCAGCCATGTAGACTGCTGAGCTTATAGCTTAACATTTTGATGAATAATGCTGCCTATCTTAAGAATTTACTGATATTGTATCTACTGCCATTTAAAATACTTTTCTGTTCTTTTTGCCTTCCTGTTAAAAGTACTATTAAAATATAATTCTTAATAAATAGGAATAAATATAATTATTAATTTCAGCTTAATTTAAGTTTATTAAGCATCTGCTATGTTCAATGTGCAGTGGTAGGCTCTGTGTAAAATATAATATACAGTTCCAACATCAAAAATGTTATAATCTGTATTTCTGTGTACCTTAACCATTCCAAGGTGCTTACCGTTCCACAATGACATAATGCACTTTTTGATTTTGTACTTTACCACATTCTAGTTAAGGCAAGTTAATTCAACATTTTGTTATTCAGGAAATATTCAGATAATACAATTCCATACTTTATAGTGTCTTGAGAAGCAAGTAAGTTTTTATAAATAAAGTTCTTAGAATGGTGTGTAGCACATGGTAAGTGCTCAGTGAAGGTTGGCTAATATTACTCTAGACAGGTCAATTCCTTTACTGATGTTAATGAATACTTCTTTGTATTTTGAGACCCAGGTCAAATAATAGACACTTTGAAGAGCTTTCTAATTCACTGGAAAGATTTTTTTTAGAAAATTTTATACCTCTTACAACCATAATTCACTTATAGAAGCAACTGTATTCATCAATTGGCCTGATGAAGTGCCAGTTGACTTTTTCTCTAGCATTAGATGCACTTTCTGACACATTTCTGGTCATAAAAATATAATACTCTTTATGTCATGTGAAGAATTTGATGAAGCCATGCACAGTATAATTCTTTATCATTTTGGTATACCTGATTTTCAGTCTTTAAAACCTTATCAAGACAACTTCTACATATAGAACTCACTGATTATTTCACTTCCCTTCACTACTTCTCTATCTTTTCATGTTTTTTTATTTTTGTCAAAGGAACTATTCATTCAAGAGAGAAGAGAAATTGTGACTAAGACATAATATATTATTTATTTTGATTTATTATTTTACATAGATCTAAAATAATGCTGTGAGGCCTACATAGCACACAATATTCCCCCAAAATACACATAAAGAATAACCCTCAGAATGAAAACTAGCTAAGAACATGAATAAACTATATGTGAAAAATTGTATAAATGAGTTACATTTGGAAATATTTAGAAAATATCCATCAGACATCTGGTATATGCAAAAAGCAAAACAAAGTAAACAAATAATAGCTTATAATTAATTGTGGAGATTCAAATATTATTGAGAAAATAAATGGGAGCTAAATGAGGAGAACACAGGGACACATAGAGGGAGATAACACACACTAGGGCCTTTTGGAGGGTACACGGTGGGAGGAGGGGGAGGATCAGAAAAAATAACTAATGGGTACTGGGCTTAATACCTGAGTGATGAAATAATTTGTACAACAAATGCCCAAGACAAACATTTACCTATATAACAAACCTGCACATGTACCCCTGAACTTAAAATAAATGATAAAAAAAGAGACATAAAATCAAGATCAAAATATCTCAGCTAACCAGAAGATTTCCAACCCAGAGGGACTATGCAGAAGATATGAATAAACATAACTCAATATGGAGACATCATTAAGCATTTGTAGCACATGTTAGATATCAATATTATTCATAGGATGAATAAATAATAATGCACCAAAAATAGAAATAAACAATAAGAGTGATTGAGAAAATGCTGATTTCAAATGAATATAGACTTAACCACCATATACTTTTAAATTTGCACTTCAGAGAAATGAGACATAGATGTCTCCACTGACTATGAGTGTATTTGAGAAGGCTGGTTAGAGGGACTTCTTTTAAATCTCATTTCAGATTGATGCTTACAGTAAATTTTTGCTTGAGCATATTTTAAACCAGAAAACTGAACATGGGGCTATTGTATTCCACTGTAGAAAAGAAATTGGCTTATTATAACATAAGGTACTTCACATTTGTATTTGAAAAACATAGGTTTTTTGTTTTAATGTCAAGATGAGAAATTGAACTCTCACATGCAGGATATCTCCACCTTCACTTTTCTTCTGTCTGTGATACTTCATAAAGTGCAAAGAAATGAGATCTACATCAAATAAGTAGAGGCAGAGGACTTTATCCTCAAATTCATGTCTGTGTAGACACTAATGTGTGTGCACACACATAGCCCTACTTAACCTAGAGGAACAGAGACATCTAAGTGGGAACTTCAATATGAGTTTTGTTTCCCCCACTAGTTTAAGATAACTACATCTTCACAGACCAGCATTTCTGAAGAGAAACAAGTCCACAGCTCCCCAGTCTCATTGGAAACACAGGTAGATGCACTGAAGGGAACCTAGAACTTTATTTTTTTTTTAATTTCAGCTGTTATTTTAAATAGAGGGAGTACATGTGTAGGATTATTACATGAGTATATTGGACCCAAGTCGTGAGCCTAGAGTACCCAATAGGTAATATTTCAACATATACTCTCCTTCCTTCCCCACTAGTAGTCTTCAGTGTCTATTGTTCCCAGGTATATGTTCATGTGTGTTCAACGTATAGCTCCCACTTATAACTGAGAATATGTAGCACTTGGCTTTTTGTTTCTGCATTAATTCGCTTAGGATTATTATTTCTGACTCCACCTACAATGCTGCAAAGAACATTATTTCATTCTTTTTGGCTGCATAGTATTTCATGGTTCATATGAACTACATTTTATTTATCCAACCCACTATTTATGTGCACCTAGGTTGGTTCCATATCTTTGCTATTGTGAATAGTGTGGCAATTAACATACAAGTGCATGTGTGTTTTTGGTATAATGATTTATATGATTTATAGTTCTTTGAGTATATACCCAATAGTGTGACATTACTGGGTCAAATGATAGCTGTGTTTTAAGTTTTTTTTCTTTTTTGAGAAAACCCCAAACTGCTTTCTACAGTGGCTAAACTAATTTACATTCCTGCCAATAGTGTATAAGTACACCCTTTTGTCCACAGCCTCAGAAGCGTCTGTTGTTTTTGATTTTTAATAATAGCCATTCTATCTGGTGTGAGATGGTTTCTCATTGCGGTTTTGATTTGCATTTCTCTGATGATGAACATTTTTTCATATGTTTGTTGGCTGCTTTTATATCCTCTTATAAGGAGTGTCTGTTGATGTCTTTTACCATTCTTTATGGGGCTATGTGGTTTTTGCTAACTGATTAGTTTAAGTACCTTATAGATTCTGAGTATTAGGATTTTGTCAGTTGCATAGATTGTGAATATTTTCTTCATTTCTGAAGGTTGTCTATTTACCCTGTTGATAGTTTCATTTGCCATGCAGAAGCTCTTTAATTTAATCAGGTCCCACTTGCCAATTTTTGTTTTTGTTACAATTGCTTTTGAAAATTTGGCCATAAATTATTTGCCAAGGTTGATGTTGTTAAGGGCATTTCCTAAGTTTTCTTCTACAATTTTTATAGTTTGAGGTTTTGTATTTAAAGCTTTCCTCCATTTTGAGTTAGTTTTTTTATATGGTAAAATGTCTAGTTTCATTCTTCAGCATGTAGCTATGTAGTTATTCCAGCATCATTTATTGAACAGAGAGTTCTTTTTCTATTGCTTGTCTTTGTCAAAATTGACGAAAATCAGGTGGTTGTAGGTGTGCAGCTTTATTTCTGAGTTTTCTATTCTGTCCCACTTGTCAATGTGTGTGGTTTTCTGGGGTGTTGTATGTGTGTGTGTGTTTAACCAAAACCAATACCTTGCTGTTTTACTTATTGTAGCCTTGTAGTATAGTTTTAAATTAGGTGATGTGAGGCCTTCAGCTTTCTTTTTGGTTGGGATCACTTTGGATTTTCAGGCTCTATTTTGATTTCATATGTATTTTATAAAAGGTTTTTCCAATTCTGTGAAAAATAACATTGGTAATTATATCATCAATGCACTAAACTAACAAGGACACTCTGGACTTAATTTTGACACCTGACCAATTGGACCTACTTTTTATCTGCACATAGAACACATTTTAAGGTTTATCACATTCTAGGTCCTAATACAAATCTCAATAAATTTTTAAAAAATGAAGTTATACCAAGTAGACTCTTGGACCACAGTGCAATAAAAATGAAAGCCAATATCAAGAACATCTCTCAAAAGTACACACATACATGGAAATTAAACAACTTTCTCTTCAATAACTCCTGAGTGAACATTGAAATAAAGGATTAATAAACAATTTTAAACTAATAAAATTAGGGACAGAAATTACCAAAATCTTTGGGATGCAAACAAAGCAGTGTTAAGAGGAAAGTTTATAGCCTTAAAAGACCTTCATCAAGAAGTTAGAAAGATCTAAACTGATAATCTAACTTTGCACCTAAAAAAACTAGAAAAAAAGAATGAACAAACCGACACCCTAACTAGCAGAAGAAAAGAAACAAATCAGAGAAGAATTTGATTAAATTAAAATATAAAAATCTCTACAAAAGTTTGATAAAATTAAGAATTTGTTCTTTGAAAAAATAAATCACATTGATAGACAACTAGCTAGGTTAACGTAGGTAAAAAGCATATGTTGAAATAAGTGCAATCAGAAACGACAAAGAAGACACTACAACTGATGCTATAGAAATATAAAAAATCCCCAGAGAATACTATGAACAACTCTATGCACACAAATTAGAAAATCTAGAGGAAAGGGATACATTTCTGGCAACACACAGTTCCTCAAGATTGAATCAAGAAGATGCCAAAAACCTGAATAGACAAAAACTCTGAAATTGAATCAGTAGCAGAAACAAAACAAAAACCCTACCAACCCTCCCCCACAAAAGGAAAAAAAAAAAACCCTGGGCCAGACAGATACATGGATAAATTCTACCATACATAGAAAGAATAACTGGTGTGAATACTACTGAAAATATTCCAAAAAAATCATGGAATAGTATCTTCTTCCCATATCATTCTTTGAAGCCAACATGAGCCTAACACCAAGATCTGGCAAAGATACAATGAAGAAAGAAAACATCAGGTCAATATCCTGAATAAACATAGACCCAAAAATCCCCAACAAAATATACGCAATTAGAATACAGCAGCACATCAAAAAGTTATTTCCACATGATCAAGTAAACTTTATTCCTAAAATATAAGGTTGACTCAACATAGTTACGAGGTGAATAACCAAAACCCCAAAAACAAAATTCACCCCAAAACAAAATTAGAAACCAAAAACATACCATCATCTCAATGGATGCAGAAAAACTTTTGATAAAAATCTAGCATCTCTTCATGATAAACACCATCAACAGACCAAGCATTGAAGGAAATTACTTCAGAATAATTACAGCCATCTATGACAAACTTATAGCCAACATCATACTGAACGGACAAAAGTTGAAACAATTTCCCCTGAGAACTGAATCAGGTAAGGAGTAAAAACTCCTATTTTAACATAGTACTGGAAGTCCTAGCTAGAATAATCATACAAGAGAAAAAATAAAAGGCATCCAAATAAAAAAAGATGAACTCAAACTACCTCTGTTTTCTGACAATATGATTCTACACTTAGAAAACCCTAAGGCTCCAAAATCTCATGTTCTCATAATTCAAAACAGTAATCATGCCCTTTTAATAGTCCTCTAAAATATTATTTCATTCTAGCGTTAAGTCAAAAGTCCAAATCGAAAGTCTCATCTGAGCAAGGGCAAGTCCCTTTCGTCTATGACCCTGTAAAGTCAAAAGCATACTAGTTACTTCCTAGATACAATGGAGGTACAGGCATTGGGTAAAAACACTCATTCCAGAGGAGATAAATTGGCCAAAACAAAGGAGCTACAGGCTCTATGCAAGTCCAAAATCCACAGTCATTAAAGCTTAATGTTCCAAAATTATGACTTTTCATGTATCTCTTGCAAGGTGCACTGATGCAAGAGGTGATTTGCATGGCCCTGGGCAGCTCTTCCACTGTGGCTTTGCAGGGTACAGCTCCCCTCCTGGCTGCTTTCATGGACTGATGTTGAGTGTCTGTGGCTTTTCCAGGAGCACGGCACAAGCTGTTCATGGATCTACCATTCTGGAGTCTGGAGGACAGTGACCCTCTTCTCACAGCTCCCCCAGGCAGGCCGCATGGGAGACTCTGTGTGATGGCTCCGTCTCCACATTTCCCTTCTGCACTGTCCTAGCAGAGGTTTTTCCCTGAGGGCTCCGCCCCTGCAGCAAACTTCTGCCTGGATATCCAGGCATTTCCATACATCCTCTGAAATTAGGCAGAGATTTCTAAGCCTTAATTGTTGATTTCTTCTCACCAACAGGCTCAACACCACGTGTATGCCACCAAGACTTGGGGCTTGCACCAATCTGAAGCAATGGCCTGAGCTGTACATTATCCTTCTTTAGCCATGGCCAGGGCTAGACCAGCTGGGACTCAGGGCACCATGTCCCAGGGCTGCACAGAGCAAGGGAACACTGAGTGTGCTCAGGGAATCATTTTTTTTCTTCTAGGTCTCCAGACGTGTGAGAGATGGAGCTTCTGTGAAGGTCTCTGACATGCCCTGGAGATATTTTCCCTATTGCCTTGGTGATTAACATTTGGCCCCTTGTTACTAAATTTCTTAATCAGGCTTGAATTTATCCCCAGAAAATGGGGTTTTATTTTCTATCACATTATCAGGCTGCAATTTTTCCAAACTATTATGCTCTGCTTTCTCTTGATCACTTTGCCACTTTGAAGTTTCTTCCACCAGATACCCTAAATCATCTCTCTGAAGTTCAAAGTTTCACATCTCTCTAGGGCAGTGAAAAAACGTTGTCAGTCTCTTTGAATAGCAAGAGTGACCTTTACTCTAATTCCCATAAAGTTCCTCATCTCCATCTGAGGCCCCCTCAGCCTGGACTTTGCCATCCATATCACTATCAGCATTGTGCTCAAAGTCATTTACCAAGACTCTAGGAAGTTCCAAACTTTCCCACATCTTCCTATCCTCTGAACCCTCCAAGCCCCTAGGAAGTTCCAAATTTCCCCATGTTCCTGTCTTCTAAGCCCTCCAAGTCTCTAGGCTAAAGTTCAAAATTTCCCCATGTTCCTCTCTTCTGAGCCCTTCAAGTCCCTAGGAAGTTCCAAATTTCCCCATGATCCTGTCCTCTGAGCCCTCCAAGTCTCTAGGAAGTTCCAAATTTCTCCATCTTCCTGTGTTCTGAGCCCTCCAATTCTGTAGGAAGTTCCAAACTTTCCCACATCTTCTTGTCTTCTGAGTACTCCAAGTCTCTAGGAAGTTCCAAACGTTCCCACATTTTCCTGTCTTCTTCTAAGCTTTCCAAGTGGTTCCAATCTCTGCCCGTTACCCAGTTCCAACCTGACGTCCACATTTTCAGGTATCTTTACAGCCTGTGGTAAAAATTTACTGTATTAGTCTGTTCTCACCCTGCTAGTAAAGACATACCCAAGAATGGGTGATTTATAAAGGAAAGAGGTATAATTGACTCACAGTTCAGCATGGCTGGGGCGGCCTCAGGAAACTTACAATTATGGCAAAAGGGGAAGCAAACATGTCCTTCTTCACTTCAGGAAGAAGTGCCAAGTAAAAGTAGAGAAAGCCCCTTATGAAATCATCGGATATTGTGAGAACTAATTCACTATTATGAGAACAGTATGTGGGTAACCACCCCCATGATTAAATTACCTCCCACCTGGTCCCTCCCACGACATGTGGGGTTTATGGGAACTATAATTCAAGATGAGATTTGGGTGAGAACACAGCCAAATCATATCAATGGTCATGATTTATTTTATTTCTAAAAACAGACCTTTTTTTTTTTCCAATGTTGACATTTAACTAATGTCAACATTGGAAGAAGTGTAGGGTTTTACCTATAATTAATATACATGCATGCATATGCTTATTTGCATTATATTTATTCATATAAGTAATTATGTGTGTGTGCTTGTTTTGTTTTTGTCAATATTCTATATGACCTGCTGCCTCCCTATCTCTAGACTCATCTTGGGCTGCTCTCCATTCACTAACTATTCTTCGGGTGTATCTTTCAATGTCCATTTCACCATAAGTGCATGACGTATGATAGACTTTTTCTGGTACACTCCACATTACTTTGTCAAAAAGTCCATTCTCAGACTTCCCAATATATATTCTGATCTCCCTAATATATAAATAGTATATTTAAAAATACGTTATACTATTTATTCTGAGAATACCTCAAAATGAAATTAAAATAGAGTTGATTTATAAAGATGAGAGTGTTACTGAATTACTGAATGAACATTCTAGCAAATTTTGATTCAGATGGAAAGAGCCTAGTATCTATATTTGACAGGCTTCTGCCCTGAACAGATATGAACTTCATTAGCCACACACACACGCGCACACACAAAAACACATTAATTTATATGTTTCAGTATATTCAGTATATTTCAATCAGCATATTTCAATTCAATATACTTTGTATTAACCTGATTTATGTATATATATATAACTGAATATTTATAATATAAACATATAAATATACTTAGTATACTGATATATACATGTAAATACATATAAATATTTATTCAGAATATTCAGTATATTTAAATTCAACATGCTTCAAACTCTATCAGCCCGATATATGTATGTATAATTTCAGTATATTCAGTATATTTCATTATACTGAAACATAATCTTTGCCTACAAAAAGCGAGGTATTTTTATCCTGTATATTAAATTCATCACATATTTGTAAAGAATTAATTTCCTGTAGAAATTAGGTATAAAAATTGGGTATCCCAAATGATTATCAGTTAGCATTTTATTAGTGTCTCTGATGTGTACAGCTGTATAATAAATACACATGATATATAATCTGTAAACACTGTGCATGTCTATTTTTAACTTTAAGAATTCTAACAATGTTATTTTATGAAGTGGAATACATTTCAGAGAAATTTGCTCAGATAGTGCAACAAATTAACTTTCAGTCTAGATAGTTGGGAGATTTGGAAATCAAAGGTTATATTTCATCTTCTTGTTAAAAGACAAATAATTTCAAGGCTAAACCAAACATTCTGTTTCTCTAAAAAGGAATCTTGAATCTTGAGACTGTTTTGCTAGTGAATGTTTTTACTTTTCATTTTGTTGTTTAAGCTTGTTTCACATGTGCACCATTTGGTCTTTAGAGTTTTAAATTATTTTCTTTTGCCAGGACTCTGTGTCCACCACCTGAATGACTATCAATTCTGAATACCCACAAAGAGTGTGCCTTTATAATTTCTGTTTTGAATTTTACCATTCTATAAATTGGAAAGATGTTTCTATTCATTTATTTATTTAAGAAAACATAGCACACTGAAACTTGGCACTGTAGAGAAGTTAGTACCTTTCTTGCAGGAAACACCTCTTCATTAACTGCCATCATCTGAGCCGTCCACCAGACACTACACAGAAAAACGTCTCAACCCTTCCATAGTTCCCCAACTTGGAAAAATATGATCTGTTTGTGTAGAAGAATATCAGGTTAGCTAAGAGTTTTATTCTAGTGTCCTGCAAATTGATCTCAAATCTACAATATTTTTAAAACATGTCAAATTCATGGCAAATGAATGCACAGAATCATACTGTTGATGCTATTTAAATCATGTAGGAGCTTATACAAACTACTAATGAAAAGAGGCTAAAATATATTCAGGTTAAGAGAACATGCTGTTCATTTTCTTTATCAGCATTGGTAAAGTAATAATGGCCACGATGGTAGTGAGGATCATTAGCCAAAACTGGTTCCACATTATGGACAGTGGCCTAATAAGATATGATGTTTCCTCAAGCAAAAATGTGAGAAAAGGCTGTCTGACTTTTTGCTCTCTCAAAGTTTTCAAAATAATCTAGGATCCTATCTTTCCTGTTACAATGCTATTGAAACTTTCTTGTCATTTTATTCCTTAACCAGAGTAAAGGATGAAACTGCAAAATGCTACCTTATCCATCAGACTCTATCTTATTTTGCTACAACAAAAAACCATGCTGCCAAGAGTGAGAATGCTATTTAATTTGGTCAAACTTCTATGATTTCCTCCTAGTCTACTCCCAAAGATTTTTTTTTAAATCTAGAATTCCATAAGTTTATACCAGGGAAGTAGGACACTTTTCTAGTAGATATATATGCCTGTAGCTTTGGAACACTTTTATAGTCATTTAAATTTATTTTCTTATAAAAATATATTAAAAATTAGGCTACTTAGTCTTACTGATAAATTTTAGATAAATGGTTAATCTTATCTCAGGCCCATGCCAGTTCTATAATTATATTCTGTAATTTACATTATATTTAGGAAGAAAAAAATAATTCCTCCTCCTGTGATATGGAAGGCCTCTGATCTTAGGCTGCTGTATTAGTCTGTTCTCACACTGCTATGAAGAAATACCTGAGACTCAGTAACTTATAAAGGAAAGAGGTTTAATTGACTCACAGTTCCAAATGGCTGGGGTGGTCTCAGGAAACTTACAATCATGGTGGAAGGGAAGGGGAAGCAAACACATCCTTCTTCACATGGCTTCAATAGAAGGAAGTGCCAAGCAAAGGGGGACGTCCCTTATAAAATGATCTGATCTTGTGAGAACTCATTCACTATCATGAGAACATCATGGGGGAAACTGTCCGTACGATTCAATTATCCCCACCTGGTCCTGCCCTTGACATGTTGGGATTATTACAATTCAAAGTGAGATTTGGGTGGGCACACAGACAAACCATATCATTTCACCCCTGGCCCCTTTCAAGTCTCATGTTGTCACATTTCAAAACACAATCATGCCCTTCCCACAGTCCCTTGAATTCTTAAATCATTCCAGCATTAACTTAAAAGTTCAAGTTCAAAGTCTCATCTGAGAGAAGGCAAGTCCTTTTCATCTGTCAACCTGTAAAATCAAAAGCAAGTTAGTCACTTCCTAGATACAACTGGGTTACAGGCAATTGGTAAATACACCCATTCCAAATGGGAGAAATTGGTCAAAACAAAAGGGATACAGTCCCCATGCAAGTTCAATATCCAATACGCAGTCATTAAACCTTGAAGTTCCAAAATGATCTCTTTTGACTCCATTGTTCATGCAAGAGGTGGGCTTCCATGGCCTTGGGCAGCTCCACACCTGTGACTTCACAGGGTACAGCTCCCATTCCCTCTGCTTTCACAGGCTGGCATTGAGTGTCTGTGAATTTTCCAGGCACACAGTTCAAGCTGTAGGTGGATCTACAATGCCAGGGTCTGGAGGATGGTCACCCTCTTCTCACAGCTCCACCAAGCAGTGCCCCAGTGTGGGGAATCTGTAGGGGCTCCATCCCCACATATTCCTTCTGCACTGCACTAGCAGAGGTTCTCCACAAGGGCTCCATGACGGCAGCAAAATTCTGCCCGTACATCCAGGTGTTTACATACATCTTCTGAAATTTAGGCAGAGGTTCCCAAACCTCAATTCTTGTCTTCTGTGTGCCCACAGGCTCAACACCATGTGGAAGTCGCCAGTCACCAAGGCTTGGGGCTTGCACTCTCTGAGGCAATGGCCCAAGCTGTATCTTGGCACCTTTTAGCCACAGCTAGAGCTGAAGCAGCTGAGATGCAGGGCAGTATATCCAGCTGCTACACAGAGCAGGGGGGCCCTGGTCCTGGCCCAGGAAATCATTTTTCCCTCCAAGGCTTCTGGGCTTATGTTGGAAGGGGCTGCTATGAAGGTCTGTGATATGCCCTGGAGTCATTTTCCCCATTGATTTGGTGATTAACGTTTAGCTCCTCTTTCGTTATGCAAATTTCTTCATCAGGCTTTAATTTATCCCCAGAAACTGAGGTTTTCTTTTCCATTGCATCCTCAGGTGCAAAATTTCCAAACTTTTATGTTCTGCTTTCTCTTCAATTCTTTGGTACTTAGAAATTTCTTCTGCCAGATACCCTAAATCATCTCTCTCAAGTTCAAAGTCCCACAGACCTCCATGGCAGGGGTGAACTGCTGCCAGTCTCCCTGCTAATGCATAGCAAGAGTCACCTTTGCTCTAGTTCTCAATAAGTTTTTCATCTGTATCTGAGACCACATCAGCCTGGACTTCATTGTCCATGTCACTATCAGCATTTTGGTCAAAGCCATTCAACAAGCCTCTAGGAAGTTCCAAACTTTCCCACATCTTCCTGTTTTCTTCTGAGCCCCCAATCTGTTCCATCCTTTACCTGTTACCCAGTTCCAAAGTCACTGCCACATTTTCAGGTATCTTTATAGAAGCACATCACCCTTTTAGTTCCAATTTACTGTATTAGTCTGATCTCGTGTTGCTATGCAGAAATACCCGAGACTGGGTAATTTAAAGGGAAAGAATTTTAATGGACTCACAGTTCCACATTGCTGGGGAGGCTTCATGAAATTTACAATAATGGTGGAAGGGAAAGCAAACACATCCTTCTTCACATGGAGGCAGGAAAGAGAAGTGCCAAGTGATGGAGGAGTTCCCTTATAAAATCATCAGATCTTGTGAGAACTTACTCACTATCATGAGAACAGCATGTGGGAAACTGTCGCTATGATTCAATTATCTCCACCTAGTCCCACCCTTGACACATGGGAATTATTACAACTTAAGGTGAGATTTGGGTGGGGACACAGAGCCCAAATCACAATGACTAGTCTAGGATATGACTGATTATTCTATCACAATCTGGATTACCCCAGTCTGTAAGTCCTAGACTTTCCTAAAACTGTCTTTCCTAGTAATACCAGAAAAGTCATTTGTCAAGTTGGACATAATAGGCCACAAGACCATATCTGTGAACAAAACACGAGGAATCCTGTTATCCTAGTTCATTTTCTTTATGACATGCAATGCCACATGAGGCTTTAATTTTCATAGTCTTCTTGGGACTTTCAGGAGTTGATCCCCCTTGGAATGGAAAATTTACCAAAGTAGCACACTTCCATGCATCATTCACCAAAAGCTTGGTCATGCCTTAGTTGTAGACACTCTCAAGTCTTAATGACATAAAGCAACAATATTGTGTTTTTTTCTTATGTTGCATGTCCATTGAAAGTCAGTAGTGAGTGGGAAGCGGCAGTGTCCTAATAAGGCCCCAGCAACGAAACTGATGGAGAAGCCTCAATCAAATATTATTAGTGCCCTTACTAAGGATGTTATTCCTAAGGTTTGACCTGTCAAGCAAATGTCTGATGTGGAAGTATTATGCATCACTTGTGATTTTATCACATTGGCCACAACTACTCAAATGTTCCCACATAATCACAAGCAGGACCAGAAATAAAATTATATTATTTTCTTCAAAATGGGAAGGAAATAAAAATGTAAAGAGCACACATGACTACTAGAGTTTTCCTTTCTGGCTATCAAAAACCTCATTTTCACTCCTTCCCACACTCAAAGCCCATTTTCCCACTCTTTATGAGAAACAAACAGAAGTCTCATCCAGCTCCTTTACCGTTAAGCCATATTCTCAGGTGTCAAGGTGATAATCCTATTCTCTAAATTAATTCTACAAATAACTTCATACCCAAAAGGTTGATCCAAGGGCTGTTTTACATTCTAAAAAGTCACAAACTATTTTAATCCATATTGATGGATTCTTTGGCACTTACACATACTTAGCTTCCTACTTTTAAACTTTAACGAGTTTTATGTGCCAATAATTTCAAATAGACTTTTGGATATTTTGTTGCGATTTTGGCTTATTGTTTGGAGACATGCTTCTTCATATCTTGGAAAAAATTATGGTGTATTAGGCCTATCAGTATTAAGAAGAAAAGCTATAAATCTTTCATCTGAAAGAATTACTGGACATCACCTCAGACAACTGAGGCGTTTCTGCAATGAGTATATGAGTGTAGCTACTATATTTTTTATTTTATTTATGCAGAAAAGTAAGTTCTAAGAGACATTTTTGCTCAAAACCTTCTTAGTTGTATATTTTACACATTGGAGACAAGAAGTAGTTGTGTTTTCCAACACACCTGGTTGTCAAATTTTGGCTTCTTTCTTTTTATTCCTTTTTATAATGACAGCCAATTATTTCACATGTTCATTTCTTCCTTGTAGTATCTTGTGAAGTGTAGCCAGTCATGACAAGCAAAGGTTGGTAACATTCTATTTTTTAACTTCTTCTGTTGTCTATTACTGCATTGCTACATTATTTGCTTATAACACTATTGTAGCTCACTATTTACCAAAGGTTTTGTCACTACATTATACATATTTCATTCTTCAATCATTCAATTATAGCTTGTGCTCTTCTTGCCAAATAATAAGCAATTGATTATTTTATAGAAGCATTGCCTATCTGTATACCAATTTCTACATCCTCAAGGGTAAGCCGAGTTATGCTGTAGTAATAAAAAATTCAAAATCTTAGTGACTTGTAGCAGCAAAAATGTATTTCTTTTTTTTTTCTTTTCTTTTTTTTTTTTTTTTTTTTTGAGATGGAGTCTTGCTCTGTGGCCCAAGCTGAAGTGCAATGGTGTGATCTCAGCTCACTGCAACCTCTGCCTCCCGGGTTCACACCATTCTCCTGCCTCAGCCTCCATAGTAGCTGGGACTACAGGCGCCCGCCACCACGCCCAGCTAATTTTTTATGTTTTTAGTACAGACAGGGTTTCACCGTGTTAGACAGGAAGGTCTCGATCTCCTGACCTCGTGATCCGCCCGCCTTGACCTCCCAAAGTTCTGGGATTACAGGCGTGAGCCACTGCACCCAGCCCGCAAATATCTCAACTAATCAAAGATAAAGAGAAAAATTTTTCAGGGTGGTGGAGTAAGCATAGTCTTAAATACTGACAGTTGGGATGGCAAAATATAAACAAAGTAAATTCTAAAACAACTTAACAAATTAAATGCTAAATCTGGAAGGAACTTTCACATCAGTAACAGCCTCATAAATAGTCACGTAGTTACAATAATCCATAAGAGATCCAGAAGATGTAAGTCTAACATTTGGCTAAAAGAGCAAAGAATTGGCAATATTTGGCAAATAACCACAGTCATCTCTAGAGAGTACTTCTCAAAATGACCATAAGTGGATGCTGGTGGAAATGTGGAAAAGTGAATTATAAGCTGTTTGAGAAATTTAAAGTGTAAAATATTGAGGATATTTTCGTTATTTTCAATACTGTTAGGATACATGTATCTGAAGTATGTAAAGAAAGACTTGGTTGAAAATAAAGAATTGGGAATCTATATGTGAGTAAGAGTATTTCCCAAGTAGGATATGTAGGGGTAGAGGAGGAGAAGCCAAGGGCAGAAATCTTAGAACCTCAACACAGAATGGCCAAAATGAACTTATTTGGTCACATTAAATGACTGACAATATTCATGTGTATACTTGGTAAATCACAATTCCTTCTCAAAATAATACTCAATTTACATAAAATGAATGACAATTATAAACACATGTGAGGTTTATGATGCATATTAACATGCATTTATAGAAACAACAAACATATTGAAGTATTCTTGTTACATAGATTAATAAAGACATTAATGTGATTTATGCATTTCATAATGAGAACAAATGCAATTGTTTTGACAAAATGAAAGGTTATATTCAAATATTTTAAATATTTTTTCTTAGCAATTATTAAACAACCATGTGATTTTCATTTAAAATAATTGTTTTATTTGAAATAATCAGGTAATATAAAAATAACTTAGAAAAGCATTTAATATTCTCTATAAAATATAATCATGTATCAAAAGTCATGAATGAAATGGCATATAAACCAATACATATGCAAGGCACATTTAATTTTTACTCAATATATAATTGACTTATTACTCCATAATCATTGCTTTCCAGAAGAAAGGATTTTATAATTCAATAAAATTTCATTAAATGGAAGAAGTATGTTATTTGTCATCATTCAGTTGGGAAATTCCAATGAAAGCCTTAAGTCAGTATTTTAAAATCTATTCTAAGTTTCAGCAAGAGTTAGCAGCATAATGTTATTGATTCATTGCAACTTTGACTTTAACATCAAATTTATGTATTTAAACTATGTATTTTGTATTTATGCTACATAATTGTCACCAAACCCACTCAAGTTTCTTATCTGTCATAGTTTTCAAAGACATTGCTAGAAAAAATAATAATAAGTTATCTCTATACTATTCATAAAATGCTTTTAAAATATATGTTTTTTTCCTAGTGTTATCTCTGACCACTAGGAATATATGTGTATATGATCATTACATGAATTAGTGGTACACTATTTGCTCTTATAACAAATATATGCTGTCATTCCATGCATTTATCAAGGTTTTACCTCTTGAAGTAGAGTTAATGCTATGTGCCAGTCTAATGAAAATATAGACATCTGGAATGGGTTGTAGAAGTCTTATTTCAAAGAACTAGAGTTCAAAAAAATTATACTATTTAGTTTATAACTTACTTGGCAATAAAGTCTTTTCCAATTTTCAGGTAATTTTCTCTTATTTTGCTCCTTGGGTTTTGTAAGTGCTTTAAAAAATAGTCATAGTCATGTAGTTCAAAGAAAATTACTAAACCAGTCATGAAAATGACTTCCAGCTTTACGAGTTCAATAAATTCCTGAATGTCAAATGGCACATTATTGTGCATTGAAATTCCTGGATATATGCTTGCTCTTGTTGTCCTAGCCAGAAATTTCAAAATTGGGTTAAATTCTCAATAAAGATTCGCTTTTTCTAGGGTATCTTCTAGCACTTGTGTGCACAAATGAATAACTCAAAAATATTTAACAAATTAGTGTCAAATAATGATTTCCTACACAAATGTGGTTTCGTTTTTTGTAATGATGAGGTAAGAATCACTATCTGGAAAACTTGAAAGTCTTCTTTAGTCATAGTTCAATATTAAATTGAATCCAGCTTACGAAAATATACATTTATCCCATCATTTTATTGATAATGTTATTTATCTCCCTTTCAATCTATGGGACTTAATCCGTAGCTAATACAAGAAAAGGAAAAGTGGCTTTAGTCACTGTTAGTTTCCTGATGACTTAGAAAGTATATTATTATAATTATTTGTTTTTTCAAATACATACACAATTAGTGAAAATCCTTGTCTTTTTTTGTGGTTGTATTATTATTTTATTTTATTTTTTTATTATACTTTAAGTTTTAGAGTACATGTGCACAATGTGCAGGTTAGTTACATATGTATATATATGCCATGTTGGTGTGCTGCACCCAGCATCTCGTCATTTAACATTAGGTATATCTCCAAATGCTATCTCTCCCCCCTCCCCCCACCCCACAACAGGCCCCAGTGTCTGATGTTCCCCTTCCTGTGTCCATGTGTTCTCATTGTTCAATTCCCACCTGTGAGTGAGAACATGCAGTGTTTGGTTTTCTATCCTTGCGATAGTTTGCTGAGAATGATGGTTTCCAGCTTCATCCATGTCCCTACAAAGGACATGAACTCATCATTTTTTATGACCACATAGTATTCCATGGTGTGTATGTGCCACATTTTCTTAATCCCGTCTATCATTGTTGGACATTTGGGTGGGTTCCAAGTCTTTGCTATTGTGAATAGTGCCACAGTAAACATATGTGTGCATGTGTCTTTACAGCAGCATGATATATAATCCTTTGGTTATATATCCAGTAATGGGATTGCTGGGTCAAATGGTATTTCTAGTTCTAGATCCCTGAGGAATCGCCACACTGACTTCCACAATGGTCCAACTAGTTTACAGTCCCACCAACAGTGTAAAAGTGTTCCTATTTCTCCACAACCTCTCCAGCACCTGTCGTTTCCTGACTTTTTAATGATCGCCATTCTAACTGGTGTGAGATGGTATCTCACTGTGGTTTTGATTTTCATTTCTCTGATGGCCAGTGATGATGAGCATTTTTTCATGTGTCTTTTGGCTGCATAAGTGTCTTCTTTTGAGAAGTGTCTGTTCATATCCCTCGCCCATTTGCCAAACGATTAGGTATATGTATCTAAAAATCTAGATTCTAGAGTTTTATTAGCCATTCCTTTATTTTTTGGCCAAAGAATAAGCTCCTGCAATAAAGCAATAAAAGTCAAGCTTGATTAATTATATCATATCAAGGATTGAGTAAACAGGCTAACGTATTATCTTTTTTTTGTCTTCCTGAAAACCCCCACAAACTGATTGACACATCTACACAAACACCCTCTTTTATGCCAACGCCCTGCATCTGTGTCAAAGTGCCAGCTTAGTTACTTTACACACAAACAGCATCAGGAGGTATTTCCTTTTTATGTGTCATGACTTTAGGTAAGATATCTCTGTGAGATTTTGGAATGACTACTTCTATCCTAAACATCTTGAATCCTGAGTTTTTACAGAAAACAATTGTACAGTGAATTGTCAATAAAACTTTTACTATAACAGCATGAACTCTTATTTTTTTATGTTTCATATAAATACTTGTCATTTATACTAGCATAAGCAAATTTATTCATTTTATCATTCATTCACTGAATGGCTATTGAGCTCCTTGTATGAACTCAGACATCATACTAAGTTCAGTGCACAGAACTTTAACTAAATCTATCATGTTTTCTTGGCAGAATTTTAAATGTGATGGGGAAGGCAGAAATACATAAAATATAAGTAAGGCATTTAGTTAGTCTTTCCCTTCCATTTAGAGATAACATCAGGGAATAATGAGGATTTAGGCTACTCACATTCTTATTATAAACAACAACTTAGACTTAACAATTAGGCTTCGTATAAATCAGTATGTATCATTGTATTATGTCTATATATTTTATTCATTATTTTGTTTTAATTAGTGTGATGTAATACATATACATATACAGGACTACATGTGAATCAAACTAAATGAAACTGTCTGCATTTTTCTCTGTTTTCAACCTTATTATGAGAAGTTAGGAATTTCATTCATACTTTCAATGATTCTGCTTAAGATATTTAATATTCATTTTGAGGAATTTAAGGTATTTCTATATCGTTTTTATTTTAGGCATAGTAGGATTGTGCATTATTCACACGAAATCTGAGATGATTTCATAAATTTACAGTTTAAAATGTTTCTATAATTTTATGGTTGGGAATATCACCTTAATCTTGCAAAGTTACTGATTTTAATTTTGCTTTTAGAGAATAAACATATTGGAATAAACAAATTATATTGGACAAGATTCCAATCTGAAGATGTCTTAGTTCCACACTACTGTCTTAGTCTGTCTACACTAATGTCTTAGTTCCACACTACTGAGAGCTAAAAAGACAGATAATTGTCATGGTGTCTAAGCATCAGTCTGAGAGGAATTACAACTTAAAGGCTAATTGACAAAGACTGGCATTTTGAGTACAGGTGAATATGAATAATGTTGGAGAATAAGAGTAAAATGGTGGCTTTTCAAGGACAGCTGAATTGACCCTCAATGTGAGAGACACTTATGGACTCAAAGACATAGATAGCAGTTATCAAAGAGCAGTAGAGCACTGTAGCTGAGGCACGATGAAATAACCCCATGATACAGGTTGAGAAAGGCAAATGTGACAAAAAAAAGATAACAAACAATAGTTTAAAAGAGGCCCTGCGATTTATGCTACACAGTCCAAAACTGTGTTGTTGAAATATTGTTGGATGAAATAACATATAGAAACTGAACATTATCTATTTATTTATATACATATATAATTGTATACCCCACAAGTACCAAAATTGTGTAGAAAGAAAACGAGGCAAACCAATTTCTTCCCTTAATAGAATATAAGTTTCATAAGGAAAAAATATTCCTACATTATTTATCTCTAAAAAATCTCTAAGACAAAATAAACAAATATATAGTGAGGATGGCAGCTTGGCATCTTTTTACAGAAACTGGCTTACAAGAAAGACCATAGCTTCAATTAATTATTTTAACGCTCAGCCAACCAGAATTCCACTTCATAAACACGTATTGTATACATTAAATATATACTATATACTTACATTACATACCAGTAAAAGAAGAGTATCGCTATGTCATCCCAATAATATTATGTTGATACAGTACGTATTGGTATCATATTGTTTAATTAAGGGAAATTTTTCTTCATTTCGGTATTTTAAAAATATTGCTATGTATAATTTTTTGTAAATCTATAAACATAATTACAAACACCCAATATTGGGCAGCCTTACGGTTAGATTCTATGGCCAAAATATATTAATTTAACAGCCAAAGCTTTTCATATTATCATGAGAATGTTATATTCTCTTCAGTCAAAACTATTAATGAGTTCACAGCAGCATATTTACTTTAACCAATTTCCATTTGGTTTTATTTCCAAAAGTAGTTGAATCAGGGACAGTTTTTGTCATTTCCATGTCTGCTTGTGGTTTCATCACTTGGCAATTTATATGGATTACCCTGCCTTTCCCCAAAGAACAGTGAGGCTTGAATATAAATTAGGTCCTACAGCATTCTCTTTCAAGTGCAGGATCACTGGGTTAATCTCTACATGAAACGGTCTGGTTGCGGAATGGAAGATCTTCCATGTGGACTAAGGCTGGCAAAGTCAATATATTTTAGCGGATTTATCATGACACCCTCTTCAAAAGTTTCTGCATAAGAACTCTGTGTGGTCTCCGCTAATCTAGTGACTGTGATTTTCTTTGATATTTAATTGAAACACAGCTTTATCTTGTATCTTTATGTTTTCGGGCAACAAAGAACTAAGGAAACTGATCCCTTTGGGCCACTGCTTTTGGCAATAGACAGATTAGACTCAAAGCACGCACACCAGTTCATTTTAGTGTTTATTTCAAGCAATTATTGAAAGATGACAAAATATGTGATATTAGGAGTGCAGCAGATTCAAGATTAACAGCAATGGTTAGACATTTTTCAAATAGTACCATTTTCTTTTTAAAGATGAGAGTCACTTCCATTTAATGTGCACTTTTGTGCATATTAAAAAGTAAAGACAACGGCAAGAACTAATAAGTGATTATAGCAGTGCTGTAGGATCCAAGGTTAATACAAAAAAAGTCAATCATTTTCTATATACTAGAAATGAACAAGTGGAATTTGAAATTAAAAACACAATATTATTTACATTAACCCCCCCATGAAATCCTTAGGTATAAATTTAAGACAACATGTACAAGATCCATATGAGAAAAAGTACAAAACTGATGAAAGACATCACAAAAGAACTAAGTAAAGATGTTCCATGTTTGTGGGTAGGAAGACTCAATATTGTCAAGATGTCAGTTCTTCCAAAATTAATCTATAAATTCAATGCAATCCCAATCAAAATACCAGCAAGTTATTTTGTGGATATTGATAAACTGATTTTTTTAAATTATTATTATTATACTTTAAGTTTTAGGGTACATGTGCACAATGTGCAGGTTAGTTACATATGTATACATATGCCATGCTGGTTTGCTGCACCCATTAACTCGTCATTTAGCATTAGGTATATCTCCTACTGCTATCCCTCCCCCTCCCCCCACCTCACAACAGTTCCCAGAGTGTGATGTTCCCCTTCCTGTGTCCATGTGTTCTCATTGTTCAATTCCCACCTATGAGTGAGAACATGAGGTGTTTGGTTTTTTGTCCTTGCTATAGTTTACTAAGAATGATGATTTCCAATTTCATCCATGTCCCTACAAAGGACATGAACTCATCAATTTTTATGGCTGCATAATATTCCATGGTGTATATGTGCCACATTTTCTTACCTGATGAATGATGTGTGATACATACATTCATCCTTTTAGTATTTCTATTTCTCTGTTGGTCAGAGGATACAAAATTTCAGTTGGACAGAAAGAATAAATTCAAGAGACCCAGCAAGGTGACTACAGTTAAGAACAATGTATTCTGTATTTAAAAGTTGCTAAGAAAGTAGATTTTAAGAGTTTTTACCACACACAAAGAAAAAAAAGTCTGTGAGGTAATGGAAAGGTAATTAGCTTGATTTAGCCATTCTGCAATGTATATATATGTCAAAATACGTTTTATACCATAAACACATACAATTTTTAGTTTTTAGAAAAGTAAATGCTACACACTGGCAGGCACTAAAAATTTCTATCTCTTGGTATGATTTTTTAAAAAACAAACGAGTTATACAGAACATACACAAAACAATAGGATGTTTTCTGAGAAACATAGGGATATACTCCAAACTCTCTATGTAAACTAAATACTAGTTTTCCCTATTCATATTGGTAATATTGCTTACAGAAAGTACTAATTGTTGTATAATTTAATACTGCTAGTAGTCTTTTAATATTAATCAGTAAAGACAATATCTAATGATAGCTTTTAAAGATGATTTGAAATAGAGTAGTAAAGCAGCTTTGACCTGGATTTTTATCTAACACTCAAATTATTACCTCTTTGCCTATTACCATTGCCATCTATAGAACAATCCCTGCCCCTAGCGTTCACCCAGAGGAGATTCTCTAAGAATTAAATCATTAAAAATATACTGTCTGAGATAGTTTCAGCAATAGTTTATAGGCAAATTCAGAACACAAAGGGAAATTTTAAGAAAAAATCACTTGAAAGAACGGAGCTTTAGAAAGATATTTTATGTGGTAATGAACTTACCTTTCTAAATCTTCAAAATGTTTTCTACCCCCTTTTCTTCTATTGTACTTGTATATTTATTTTCTGATAAATGGACATGTTTTCTTCACTCTTTTTGCTCCTCTTTCTCTTTTGTGTGTGTGCATCTTTATAATTGCAGCTGGCTATGGGATATACAGAAAGACTCAATTGTTTTTGTTTTAATTGAATTATATATCTGTTTCTTGGTAAAAATAATTAATTTAAACTTTAATCTTTTAAAAATAATTATTTTTAGGTTTTTTTTTCTTTTGTCAGTGAAATATAAAACAACAAAAATCAAAAATGTTCTCATTCTGTACCAAATCACAGTATTATTATTTAATAGAATTTATGCATTTTTTTCATGATTAAAAACTACTCAGTATGTTTTTCACAAATGTAAGATTCAAAATAAATCTTTATTATGATTGAATAATCTTATAGCTATCTTAGAATATTACTATGTGAAATAGCATACAATGAATGAAGAGAATAGTCATAAATTTAAATAAAGTTTATACAGTGAATATGATAAACCTTACTACTGGATTATTCACTCATGTCAATACACGAATCTAATTATAATCTGATAGCTTAAAGAAGGGATATTACATATTACTATTATATAAAATAACTGTTTCCCAGAGATGCAAAACATCACAAGTTACGCCAGAGGCATGGAACATTTTCTCCATCACAGCTCTCAAAAGGAGTCAACCCTACAGACACGTCAATCTCAGACATCCAGCCTCTAGAACTGTGAGACAATACATTTCTGCTGTTTAAGCCGTCAAGTCTGTGGCACCTTGTAAAGGCATCCCAAGCAAACTAACACAATCATTTATATGTCTCTTTAAATTGTTAAACAAGATGCACATTATTGTAAAGAAGAACAAAAATGATAGCAGAAATCCTGTTTTATTTCTGATCTTAAATGAATTTGGATGTGCCGGTTTTACTCCCATTAATTGAATTTTGTTATAATGTAAGGATCTATCCTTCTGTTTTAAGAAAATTTAATCTGAATTAAATTTTGAAAATGTTCAAATTTTTTCCTATAAATATTGAAATTTATATTTGTTTTCTTCCTTCTTTAGTCCTTTGATATGCTCATATTAATGTTACACACACACAGCAGCGACAACAACAACATGCCTCATTTACATAACCATTTTGCAATATCTAGGACAAACCTTGCCTGATCACAATATAAAAATTTAAAATGTATATATAAATATTTTAAAATTTATACTGATGAAAAAAATCAGTTTTTTACTTTTCCTCCTGGTACTATCTTTGCCTGGTTGTAGTGTCAAGGCTATAATTACTATATACAATGAATAGTTGACTTGACTGATTTTTTTAAATTTTATTGGGACAAATTTACTTGAAAATTCGATAGAGCTCACCTGTACAATCATATTAGACTAGGTTGATTGTATATATTTACTCTTTTTAGGCATTTCAAAGTTTTCTCTTTCCTTTTATGCTATTTTGGCTGTTTATATTTTTCAGGAATGTTTCTCTTATATCTGTGCCTTCAAATTTATTGATACATAATTGTTGTAAAAGTATTTGACAATTATTTGATTAGCCTTTGCATAATTCTTGGAATTTCCCAGTTTTCAATCTGAGTTACATAAATTAACTTTTACTATACATAACACTCTCCCAAAATTTGGTGACTTAAAACAAGCACCGTTTATTTTTTCACAAATTAGTTGGTCAGCTATCAGTTCTAATGTATCTGTTAGCTAGAGACATGTCTCTTTTGATAGTTCACACATCACTTATCAATTGGTAGGTTAACTGAGGTTGGATAATCTGAAATAATCTCATTTATATATTTGGAGTTTAGTGGCTGTCATCTAAGTAACTTAGTTAGCCTCCACATAGCTCCTGATTCTCCACTAGCTTAGTCAAAGAGCAGAAAAGAGGAATATTATACAGTACAAGCACTTTTCTTTTTTGTGTATTATTATTTTTAAATGTGTTAAAATACATAAAACTTACCGTATTAACCATCTTAAGTGTAATGTTCAGTGGCATTAAGTATATTCACATTGTTATGCAACCAATGTGCAAGCATTTTTAAAGTTTGTATTTGTGCTGCGTTTGCTATCACCCGACTGGCCAAAGCAAGTCTTGTCAAGACCAGAATCAGTGAGGAAGGGCACTAATCAAGAAGATCAATAGAGGGAAGGCATTAGTGTAGGCATTTTCAATACTATCTATCAAATTTTCATTTTTTTCTTGATTAGGAGTGAATAGTTTTATATATTTTTAGTATTTTCATTAATAAATAACTAATAGCTCTTAAAATCCTAGGACAAATATTACAGTATTGCTAAGTAAACTAATGTAATGTTGATGTAGTTGAAATTTAGTTTTTCTTCTTGGCCAGAATTATAGTCAATTGTCAAATACTCTCTCTCTCTCTCTCTCTCTCTCTCTATATATATATATATATATACACACACACACATATATATACGTATATATATACACATATATATATATGTCCCACAATAGGCTGCCTGCAATACTATACATATTTTATATATAATATACCTATTATATATGTGAGAGAGTTAGAGATAGAATATATATAAATATAAAATATAGGTATAAATAGATATATGGTAAATATCTATATCTATGTATATTAGAACTTATAATTCAACATATATTTCATATACAATTTGTATTGATATGTATTATATATAATCTGTAACACGTAGTACTACACATCAAATGTTGCATATGTATGAAATATATATGTTATATGCCACATAGTTTTATATTAGGTTTGTGTATTAGTCAGGGTTCACTAGAGGGACAGAACTAGTAAGATATATGTATATGTTAAAGGGAGTTCATTAAGGATAATTGACCCACACTATCACAAGGTGAAGTCCCACGATAGGCCGTCTGTAAGCTGAGGAGCAAGGAAGCCAGAAGCGGCTCAGTCTGAGTCTCAAAACCTCAAAAGTAGGGAAGCTAACAGTGCAGCCTTCAGTCTGTGGCAGAAGGCCCAAGAGACTTTGGCAAACCACTGGTGTAAGTCCAAGAAACCAAAAACCAAAGAACCTGGATTCTGATGTTCAAGGGTCGGAAGCTTCGAGCATGGGAAAAAGATGAAGGCCAGAAGACTCAGCAAGTCAGCTCCTTCCACCTTCTTCCACCTGCTTTTTCTAACTGTGCTGGCAGCTAATTAGATGGCACCCATCCAGATTGAGGGTGAGTCTGCCTCTCCCAGTCCACTGATTCAAATGTTAATCTCCTTTAGCAACACACTCACAGACACACCCAGGAACAATATTTTGCATCCTTCAATTCAATCAAGTTGACTCTTAATATTAACCATTACAGAGTGTAAGAAGTTATGAGAACTAGTGGAGGAAGCAAAGAATAACAAAACTTTTTATGCACAATATACTATTATCTGTTATTATATTACTATGTGCTTTTTGTTTGTTCCAACAGTTTTCATAAAGAATTGATCAAAACTTCAAAATAAATATTTGGAAATACTTTTTCTTTTGAGAATATCGATAGGGCAAGAAGAAAAGATGTAGGGTAGGGAAGATATAGATATATACATATTTGACATCACAGTCTTGTCAATTATCACTTTACATATTATAATGTTAATGCATGATGAACATTATATCCTCTTTATCTGCTTATCCATTATTCTTATGTATTAGCTGATTGAGACTACAACAACAAAGTATCATAAATTAGGCGACTTAAAACAACAGAAATGTATTGTTTCACCCTTCTAGATACTAGATGTCTGAAATCATAGTGCTGGCAGGACAATGCTTCCTCTAAGAGTCTAAGTAAAATTCCCCCTTTCTTTCCTTCTGGTTCCTAGTGGTGTCTCATCAATCCTTGGTATTCTTTGGCTTAAAGTTGTATCACGCAAATCTTTGTTTCTGTTTTCCAATGGTATTCTCCCTGTGTGTCTTTGTCTTTACATCATCTTCTTATAAAAACACCTGTCATATTGGATTAGGATATGTCCTACTAACCTCATATTAACTGGATTTCATCATCAAAGACTCTATTTCCAAGTAAGTTTACATTCTGAGATTCTGGGAATGAGGATTTCAACAAATAATTTTGGGGAACACAATGTGACATATAATACTCTAATATAGTGTCTGAAACTCAGCACAATTGACATTTTGACTGAAATAAGTCTTTGCTTTGCAAGCTAGTCTAAGCATTGTAGGAGATTTAAAAGATTTAACAGAATCGCTTTCCTCAATCTACCAGAGGTCAGAAACATACCTTTACTCCCCACTGTGATGATCAAAGATGTCTGAAAATGTTGCCAAATATTTCCTGTGGAATAAAATTTTACCTGGTTGAAAAGCTACTATATATATATATTATATAAATATATATATAATATATATTATATATATTATATATATTATATATATATAATCTCCCTTATTTTGGTTTACTGCCTAAAATTTTGATCTGATATAAAAAGTTTATTTAAGCTGTCTTAAGATTCATGTTTAATTAGTATATTTTTCTGTCCTTCAGTTTCAGCCTGAACAGAACTAGCTATACTTATGTAAAATAAAATGGACATTAAGTGACAACCTATAAGAAAAGATAAGGGATCTATTCAGCAAGAGGATATAACAATTGTAAATATATATGTACTGTACTCAACTCTGAAGGACTCATATATATATAAAGAAAATGTTATTAGATATAAAGAAATAGACTGCAGTACAGTAACAGTTGGGGATTTTATCATCACACTTTTAGCAATCACCAGATCATCCAGATAGAAAATCAACCAGAAAAATTGGATTTAAACTATACTCTAGACCAAAACAACTTAACAAACATTAATAGAAGTGTTTATCTAATAGCTCCAGAATACACAGTCTTCTCAACTAGGCATGGAACATTCTCCAGAATAGGTCATATGTTATGACACAAAACAAATATTAACAAATTTAAGAAAATAGAGATCATATCAAGTATCTTTTCTGGTCACAATGTTCAGAAATCAGTAACAGGAGGAACTACAGAAAATACACACATACATGAATATTAAAAAACATGCTCCTGAATAACAAATAGGTCAATAAAAAGTTAAAAGGAAAGTTAAAAAAATGGAAACAGATAAAAATAATAAGCAAAACATACTAAAACCTGTTGGTTATGGCAAAGGCAGTTGTAATAGGAAAGTTTATAGCAATAAATGCCTACATCAAGAAAGAAAAACAATTTTAAATAAACAACCTGACATTGCATCTCAAGGAACTAGAAAAAGGAGAACAAACAAAACCATGAATTAGTGGAAGAAAGAAAATAATAATGAACAGAGCAAAAATAATTAAAACAGAGACTAAAAATAACACAAAAAGTCATAGAGATCTTTTTTCTTAAAAATAGACAAAATTGGCAAACCACTAGCAAAAGTAAGAAAAAAGGATTAAAGAAGTGAAATCAGAGATAAAAGAGGAGTCATTACAATTGATTCCACAAAAATACAAAGGATCATGACCGAACTCTTATGGACAACTCTATGAACACAAATTGGATAACTTAGAAAAAAAGTGATAAAATTCTTGACATATACAACCTACCAAAAATGAACTGTAGAGAAACAGAAAATCTGAAAAGACGAATAATGAGTGAAAATATTTAATCAGTAATAAAAAGTCTCCCATGAAAGAAAAACCTGATGGCTTAACTGCCAAACATTTAAGAACAAAATCTAATTATTCTTAAACTGTTTCAGAAAATTGAAGAAGGGGGGATACTTCCAAACTCATTTTATGGGGTCAGTGTGATCCTGATACTAAAACCACACAAGGAAATAACAAAAAGGAATACTGCAGGTCAATATGACTGATGAATATAGATGCAAAAATCTTGAACAAAATACCAGCAAACCAAGTTTAACAATCCACTATAAAAGTCATTCATTAGGATCAAGTGGAATTTATCCCAGGAATGTAAGGATGGTTTAGTATACACAAATCAATAAATGTAATACAGGACATTAATAGAAAGAAAAATAATACTATATGATTATTTCAAAAACTGCAGAAGAAACATTTGACAAAATTCAACCTCACTTCATGTTAAAAACTGCAATAAATTAGACTTAATAGGTATGTAACTCAACACAATAAAGGTCATATAAAAACACACAGCTGACATAGGAAAAGAAAGAAGTTGAAAGCCTTTCCTCTAAGATCTAGAGCAAGACAAAAATACCCACTCTCACCACTTATATTCAACATCGTACTAGAAAACCTTGCCAGAGCAATTCAGCAATAGAAAGAAATGAAAAACATTCAAATTGGAAAAGAGGAAGTCAAATTGTCCCTGTTTGTAGATGACATGAGCTTATATATAGCAAATTCCAAATATGACATCAAATATCTCTTGTAACTGATAAACACAATCAGTAATTTTGCAGGATACAAAGTTAACATTCAAAAATTAGTATCTTTTATATACACAGGTAGTAAACTATCGAAAATAGAAGTCACAAAAAAATCAATTTTAAATAAATACAAAAAAAGGAACAAATTTAACCAAAGAGATGAAAGAGCTCTACTCTGAAAACTATAAAACATTGATGAAAGAGACTGAAGAGGATAAAAATAAATGAAAAGATATCCCATATTTATGAACTGGAAAAATTAATATTGTTAAAATAGCCATACACCCCAAAGCTATCTACAGATTCAATACAATCCCTGTCACAATACCAATGACATTCTACACAGAAGTAAAAAATTAAAGACCAGGCACAGTGGCTCATGCCTGTAATCCCAACTCTTTGGGAGGCCGATGCAGGTGGATTACCTGAGGTCAGGAGTTCTAGAGGAGCCTGGCCAACATGGAGAAACCAAGCCTCTACTAAAAATATGAAAACTAGCTGGGCAAGGTGGTGCATACCTGTAATCCCAGCTACTTCAGGGGGTTGAGGCAGGAGAATTGCTTGAGCCAAGGAGGCAGAGGTTGCAGTGAGCTGAGATCAAGCCACTGCACTCCAGCCTGGGCCACAGAGTGAGACTGTCTCAAACAAACAAACAAACAAACAAACAAAAAATAAAATTTGTATGGGACTACAAAAGTCTATAAACAGCCAAAGCAAAAAGACCAAACCTGGAGGCATCACACTACCTGATTTTAAAATATCCTGAAATGCTATTGAGAGGTGAAGCCAGCTGGACTTCCTGGGTTGAGTGGGGACTTGGAGAACTTTTCTGTCTTGCTAGAGGATTGTAAATGCACCAATCAGCACTCAGTGTCTAGCTAAAGGATGGTAAATTCACCAATCAGCACTCTGTAAAATCAACCAATCAGCGTTCTAAAATGGACCAATCTCAGGACGTGGGTGGGGCCAAATAAGGGAATAAAAGCTGGCCACCCTTGCCAGCAGCAGCAACCTACTCAGCTCCCCTTCCAGTCTGTGGAAGGTTTGTTCTTCCGGTCTTCGCAATAAATTTGCTGCTGCTCACTCTTTGGGTCCACACTACCTTTATGAGCTGTAACACTCACCCCGAGGGTCTGCAGCTTCATTCCCAAAGTCAGCGAGACCATGCTCCCACCACGAGGAACAAACAACTCCCAAGACACCACCTTTAAGAGCTGTAACACTCACTGTGAAGGTCTGTGGCTTTACTCCTGAAGTCAGCGAGACCACAGACCCACCAGAAGGAAGAAACTCCAGATACATCTGAAGGAACAAACTCTGGACAGACCATCTTTAAGAGCGGTAACACTCACTGGGAAGGTCTGCGGCTTCATTGTTGAAGTCAGCGAGACCAGGAACCCACCAGAAGGAATAAATTCCGGACACACTATAGTAACCAAAACAACATGAAATTGGCATGAAACTAGACATAAGGACCTATGAAATAGAATAGAGAATTCAAAAATAAATCTACACATCTACAGTCTAGTGATTATTCGCAAAGGTGCCTTTTCAAAAAGGTGCCGTATTGTGATATAAACAGTCTCCTCAATAACTGGTACCCAAAACATTGGATATGCACATGTAGAAAAATAAAACTGGACCTCTATCTTTCACCACGTACAAAAATCAGCTCAAAGTGAATTACAAACTTAAATATAAGACTTGCAAATATGAAACTACTAAAATAAAACATAGGGGAAATGTTTCACGACTTTGGACTACACAAGAATTTTTGGTATGAGATCTCAAAAGCATAAGCAACAAAAGCAAAAGTAGACAAGAATGATTTTATCTAATTAAAAAGCTTCTGCACAGCAATGGAAACAACCACCAAAATGAAGCAACCTGCAGAATGGGACAATATTTGCAAACTATATATTTGAGAAGGGGTAAATATCCAGAATATATAAGAAACCCAAACAGCTCAATAGCAAAAGCACATAATTATTTTAAAAATGGGCAAATGTCCTTAGATATTTGTCAAAAGAAGACATAAAAATTTCCAGTACTTATATGAAAAAATGTTAATTAATAATTATCAGGGAAATGAAAATCAAAATCACAGTGAGATATCACCTCACTACGTATATATGTGTGAGAATTTTGAATGTTTCCACCACAAAGAAATGATAAATGTTTGAGGTGAAAGATATGATAATTACACTGGTTTTATCCTTGCACAATGCATACATGTATCAACACATTACACTCTACCCCATAACTATGTATAATTTTACATGTTGAATAAAAATAAATTAATGTACTGCGACATACATCAGAAACTGTTTGCCAGAAATTGGGGGAAGGTATGTAGCTAAGAAAGAAGAAACGGAAAAGGGCACATAGGAGCGTTTTAGAGTGATAGAAACCTAATGTATCTTGTTTTGATGCTTGAAAATACAGATATTTTGAAACAGGTTCACCATGCACTAAGTATCGATCCATTTGTAGGAAACAAAACATCACATGGCAAATTAAGTGAAGCAAATTTTTTACTCACAGATAGGAAGCAAGGGACAACAGAAGCCTAGAATTCCTGGTGAGCCAGATTTCCAAGGCTCAAGAAAGCCATCCAAGGAAAATAGAATCTCTCCTGTGCATGCTCCTCATTGCACTGCTGCTGAAGGACCCCAGAAAGCACTCCCCTCTGAGTTATATGCCCTGGGGATAATTGGCATTGCTGGACTGAAGTTTGGCAGGACATCCTGTTCCAGAAGGAAGCAGAACAGAGTACAGCCTGCTGTGGACAGTTCCTTTTTGTCTCAGGATGCTTCATTCGCAGCATATTCTACAATTATTCTGAGAGCTACAAGCAAGAAAGACGAGGGAGAACTGGGTTAGCTAAGGTAAACTAGGGACCTGTCCTGCAGATATATATGACTGTCAAAACATTGATATAAACATTCAAGGTATATGCATTTTATTGTAAAATAAATACATACTATTTATTGCACATTTATTAATTATAAGTTATTTTATATGTATTGCATATTCTAGTATATTTTTATCAAAGTCATGGCCAACTTTATAAAACCAAAGCATTATGTTAGGTCCAGCTCAAAATCCAGTTGTTCTTCAAAATATTCTCCAAATATTTGGCCTGCACAGGTCTCTTTCCCTTCTATAAACCCCTATCTATGCCATAAATTTTAACACAATATTTTATTTATTTTTATGTTATCAGCATAACTTTGGGGAGAATATAATACTTCACATATTGTATAGCATTACATTAAGAGTTACATTTAAATTATTGTCATTTTAATTTATAAGATTTATTAAAATATTAAGTGACTAATAAAATTAATTTTTAAAAGTGATCTACAAAAATTTTAAAACTTAGACCTTCATAAGTTTCTTTAAATTTTTTTTCCCAAATCTTATCAGATATCCCATAACATTTAGAGGTAACAGGTAATCCACCTAAAAAATTTACTCCCTGAATTTTGTTTGCGGTGTAATCGTTTTCTAATTTTGAAGTTAATTTTTCACTGTGGGAATTTAGATGTGCTTTCCCATTAAACATAATCAATCTTTTATTCATGTTAAGCTTGGATATTAGCATAGCTCTGAAATTAACACCCAGAAAACCATGAGTGGCCATACTTGCCCACTATCTCTTGATACTACAGTCCTTAATTTGTGCAACATGAAAGTATTCAGCAGTAATAACTAGTAAAACTAGTTTTCTCCCAAAGTTCCACTGAGCTTATGCTGTCATTTTTCTTCTATAATCTAGGTCTGTTCCCATGTGTGTATTAGTTGACTTCATCAATATTTAGGCACTGAAAATATATCATTTTGCAGAGCAGGTATACAGGAATAATAGATTATCATATTGGAAAGATTTTATGTTGATTAGAATACTACTGCAAATAAAAGGGAGATGATAAACACATTTTTAAATGTTTCCATTGAAGAGATATTCAAGAAATGAAATCTGTATCATATTTACAGCCAAGATCTCTTTACCTTCCACATTTTAAATAAATGTCCATTAACACATTTACTAATTGTTTAAACATTTATTTTCACATGACTTCATTTTCCCCAAACCTATCAGTTTTTGTATTTTGATATGACATTGTTGTCACAGTGTTAAAATTCTGGCATCACAGCAGATGGCATCAGTTTAGTGTCACCTGCTTCTAATATTTAATTCAGTGAAAAGTATAAGCTTAATTTACTTTAATAAAATATGAAAAGTATAATTATAAGACAATCTAACAAATTATTTAAATTGTGAAGATTTTACACTGTTGTCATAAATTTCTGTGACCAAAATCAAAACCTGTTTGCCCAATTCCAGAGTCAGATTACAACTTGGAAAGTATGTGCTGATCTGCAAGAGACTGTTGCAGAAATAAGATACTCTTGTTATGATTCTATGCTAAAAATGAACATTATTTAAAAATAAAAAGCACAGATATAAACAGAAGTCAGGAAAACAACTTGAAACTTAAAGATTTTATTCAATAATTGTTTCACTAAATAAATACTGATTTTTAAAAGTTTTTGACAAGAACAAGCATAGCACACCAAAAACATTCTAAAATTTTATTGAAAAAAGAGAATGAACATAAGCAAAATGAAAAATTCAAAGATAAAAATATATTTTTCCATGTGTTGTTTTTAGAGTAATGTGCATAAACTGTTGTAGAAGAAGAATGTAGAGGATATATGAAGGCACATGAAACTAATTTACAGATTATTAATCAACATAATCTCACTCTTTTCAACACACATTTAAACACCTGCTCTGTGACAGATTCTGGGACTGGTTTTGGGAAACAAAGGAGTCAAATAAATGCTCTCAAGGAATCTACCTTCTAGTTGGGGTGAGCAATACAATATGCATATTAAAGAAGACTAAAAAAAGTCCTGGTAGAGGCATGCATGAGGGTATTTTGGACACTCAGCAGAGGAAACTCTATTTTTGCTATGATAGAAGAGCAATCAAGACATGCATGTGGAGGTGATTTCAATGAACAGTAGATGTTTAATGAGAAAAGAAAAAATGAGCCCAGGTAGCGAGAATTGCATCATAAAAC
The DNA here is from genome assembly GCF_000001405.40 of Homo sapiens. Taxonomy (NCBI): domain Eukaryota; kingdom Metazoa; phylum Chordata; class Mammalia; order Primates; family Hominidae; genus Homo; species Homo sapiens. The sequence continues at coordinate 105,954,296 of NC_000001.11, read as the reverse complement.
AATGCAGCCATAAAAAGGAATGAGATCATGTCCTTTCCAGGGACATAGATGGAGCTGGAAGCCATTATCCTTAGCAAACTAACACAGGGACAGAAAACTAAACACAGCATATTCTCACTTATAAGTAGGAGCTGAACGATGAGAACATGGACACAAGGTAGGGAACAACACACACTGGGGCCTGCTGGGTGGTGGGAGTAGGGAAACCATCAGAAAGAATAGCTGATGGACGCTGGGCTTAATACCTAGGTGATGGGTTGATCTGTGCAGCAAGCCACGACAGCGCATGCTTACCTATGTAAAAAACCAGTACATCCTGCGCATGTGCCCCAGAACTTAAGATAAATGTTGAAGAAAATAATGTAGAGGTGGTAGTGTTATTATGCATTTGGAAAAATTCAAGGGCTACTATGTGCTCCAGTGAAGGGTATATAAAGCAAGAGTGAGAGATACACTAGAGAGATAGGTAGGATTGAGATGATTAAATGCCTTATGTGCAAAGCCAGTGTATTTGTACTTACTAAAGTAAAATTTATTTTTAAAAGATTTAAGTCAAAAATTGAAATACTGTTTTCTTGTTTTAGAAATATATTTCTGGCAACAGTGGAGAAGAATGATAGGAAGAGAATCATACTGGAATAGTATAGTCCTTTGGAATGTTGTTGTAATGAAGGCAAGAAGAAAAATGATCTTGAAGGCAAGAAGAAAAATCATATTGAAGGAAAGGAGAGATGAGTTTACCAAATATAATCTCAGAATTGTTCTGTAAATTTCATTTCTGCTTTAGCAGCCATAAAGAGCTCCATTTATTACAGTAGGAACAGAGGCAACAGCAACATGGGTGGCTGGCAGTGATAGAAAGGATTTTAGTTTTGATACATGGAATTTGACATGCTTTTTGAAAATCTTCAGATGGTGATGTACAGTAAGTTGTTGAATCTTTATTTTCCAAGCATCTACACATACACAACACACATATACACACAAATACAATTTCATTTAAAGCTCATCACATTTGTAATCTTTAAAAATTTATATTTCTTAAGAACTGCTCTGATCAGATAAGGGCTTAAGTAGGAGAAATCAAAACTAAAAGTAGATGATCTATTACAGTACTAAACTTTACATGGAAAGTATTCATATTATGGTGTAAGGTGTAGAAGTTCATGGCAAGCCAGCACTCTTAATGCAACTGCTACAAAAGACAAATAAATAAACTGTATAACTATATATTTGAAAAAGTTTGAAGAACTATTAGATAAATTCAGAAAAGATGAACTTAAAATCTTGAAGCATTTGCCATTTTTTAGTATTGGCAGAAGCTGGGTTTTACCCAGGCAAAGAGCCTTTATGGTTAGAAAAACACAACAAAACAATAATAATCTGATAGGTGGACGGGGCTGGTATGAAAGATTGGAACTACGCGGAACTCCAAATTCATAGTTGGTTCTCACCATTAAACATTTGCTGATTTCTGGGGACAGATAGGAATTCTAATAGGCATAGCTGGCAAAGTGAAGGGAAGTCTCCCACAGTCTCATATTACTTGAAAAACAAAGTTCCATTAAAAAGAAGAAGATGGCTGTCAACAAATTAGTAATAGGCAAATGGTGGATAGGAAGCAGGACTAAATTGCAGCTCCCACTCAGACAGAGAGTAGCTTGTGGAGACTCACATTGTGAACTTTTGCTCCCAGAACTACTGCAGGAACATATGAGGAAAGATGAGAGAATCCACAGACTCTTTGAAGGAAGCAGATTGCTCCTGCAGGGCCTGGGAGACAACCAAACACTGTGAGTGCCCTAAGTGTGAAAGTGGGAAAAGGGGATCTTCCACCCCCAAATACACATCCTCACTGGGAACCTGAAGGTCCAGATCATGGGAGAAGAATTTGACCTTACCTAGAGCTGAGATAATTTAGAGAGTAAAACAAAATATAGGATTAGAGAAAGCGGTGGGAAGAGTCCTGTGGGCTCTCTTGATCCCCAAGGAAGGCATTTCTGACTTTGTTTCACAGGGGTCCTTAGGGAGAGGTGCCAGAGGAATTGGAAAAAGGCCACAGGCAGAAGGAAGGCTCCAGCTAAACTTGGTAAGCATTCCAACTGAACATGAAGTTTCTTCGACAGAACTATGGGGAGGGAGTGAATCTGGTGTGCAGACAGGGGCAGGCAGGGAGACATAGAAGCTCAAAGCTGTGCTTGACCACTCCCTGGAAACAAACGCAGTGCAGTTAGGGGTGGGGTACGGTGGGAGTGAGAACAGCCTTTTGGGTTGCATGGCAGCTGGGTGAGGCTTGTTAACTGCTGGCTTTCCCACACTTTTTTGGTGAACTGCATGACACAGCAGAGGCAACCATAATCCTTTTGGGAACATAACTTCATTGACCAGAGACCACAAACCCCAACCTCCACAGCAGACACAGTAAGGCCCACCCAAGGAGAATCTGAGCTCAGACACACCTAACATTTTTCCCACCTGATGGTCTTTCTCTACCCACTCTGCTAGCATTTCTTTACCCAACCTGGTAGCTGAAGACACAGGCCATATACTCTTGGGAGTTCTAGAGTCTTGCCCACTGCCTGGTCCTCTCTGTACTACCACAGCTGATACTATCTTGAAAGCATCACCTCCTGGCAGGAGGTCAACAAGCACAAAACTAGTGCGATAAACAACAATAATACAACTAAGAACACCCACAGAGTCCATTTTACTCCCCTGCCACCTCTACTGGAGCAGGTGCTGCTATCCATGGCTGAGAGACCAGAAGATGGTTTACATTACAGGACTCTGTGCAGACACACACCAGTACCAGCCTAGAACCTGGTAGCCCCACTGGGTGGCTAGATCCAGAAGAGAAATAATGATCACTACAGTTTGGCTCTCAGGAAGCCATGTCCCTAGGAAAAGGGGGAGAGTACTATATCAAGGAAGCACTGAATAGGACAGAAGGATCTGAACATCATCCCTTGAGCCTGAGATCTTCCCTTTGACACAGCCTACCCAAAAGAGAAAGAACCAGAAAATTCTAGTAATATGACAAAACAACATTCTTTATCACTCTCAAAAAATCTTACTAATTTACTAGCAGTGGATCCAAACCAAGAAGAAATTCCCGATTTGCTAGAAAAATAATTCAGAAGGTCAAAGATTAAGCTAATCAAGGAGGAACCTGAGAAAAGTGAAGTCCAATTTAAATAAATCCAAAAAATGGTACAAGTTATGAGGGGAGAAATCTTCAGTGAAATAGGCAGCAAAAATGGAAAAAGAAGAAAACAATCACAGCTTCTGGGAATCAAAGACACACTTAGAGAAATGCAAAGTGCACGAAAAGTCTCAGCAATAGAATCAAACAAGCAGAAGAAAGAACTTCAGAGCACAAAGACAAGGTTTTTGTAATAACCCAATACAACAAAGACAAAGAAAAAGAATTTTAAAAAATTTTAAAAAGCGTCCAAGAAGTTTGGGATTATGTTAAATAACCAAAACTGATAATAATTGGTGTTCCTGAGGAATAAGAGAAATCTAAAAGTTTGGAAAACATATCTGGGGGAAATAATCAAGGAAAAGTTTTGCAGCCTTGCAAAACTTCAAATACAAGAAGACATAGACAGTCAAATACAAGAAGCTCAAAGAACACCTGGGAAATTCATTGCAAACAGATCATTACCTAGGCACATAGTCATCAAGTTATCCAAAGTCAAGATGAAAAGAATATTAAGAGCTGTGAGGAAAAAGCACAACGTAACCTACAAAGGAAAACCTATTAGATTAACAGCAGATTTCTCAGCAGAAACCCTACAAGCTAGAAGGAATTGAAGCCCTATCTTCAGCCTCCCTAAACAAAACAATTATCAGCCAGGAATTTTGTATCCAGTGAGACTGGCTTCATAAATGAAGAAAAGATACAGTATTTTTTCAGAAAAAACAAATGCTGAATTTGCCACTACCAAGCCAGCACTACAAGAACTGCTAAAAGAAGCTCTAAATCTTGAAACAAATCCTCAAAATATATCAAAACAGAACCTCTTAAAGCATAAATCTCATAGGACCTATGTAACAACACAATAAAAAAAAGAAAAAAAACACAAGATATTCAGGCAACAATAGCACATTTAATAGAATAGTACCACACATCTCAATACTAACTTTGAATGTAAAGAGCCTAAATGCTGTACTTAAAGATACAGAATGGCAGACTGGAAAATAATTCAACAACCAAGTATCTACTGCCTTCAAGAGACTCACCTAACAAACAAAGATTCACATAAACTTAAGGCAAAGGGGTGAAAAAAGACATTCCATTCAGATGGACACCAAAAGTGAGCAGGAGTAGCTATTCTTCTATCATAAAAAACAAACTGTAAAACAACAGTGGTTAATTTTTGCAGTGGCTGCTGCTGGTTGTAATTTTCCACGTTTAGTACTTCCTTCAGGCGCTCTTGCAAGGCAGGCTGGGTGGTGACAAAAATCTCTAAGCATTTGCTTGTCTGTAAAAGATTTTATTTCTCCTCCACTTATGAAGCTTAATTTGGCTGGATATGAAATTCTGGGTTGAAAATTCTTTTCTTTAAGAATATTGATGAGCATTTTTTCATGTGTTTTTTGGCTGCATAAATGTCTTCTTTTGAGAAGTGTCTGTTCATGTCCTTCGCCCACTTTTTGATGGGGTTGTTTGTTTTTTTCTTGTAAATTTGTTTGAGTTCATTGTAGATTCTGGATATTAGCCCTTTGTCAGATGAGTAGGTTGCAAAAATTTTCTCCCATTTTGTAGGTTGCCTGTTCAGTCTGATGGTAGTTTCTTTTGCTGTGCAGAAGTTCTTTAGTTTAATTAGATCCCATTTGTCAATTTTGTCTTTTGTTGCCATTGCTTTTGGTGTTTTAGACATGAAGTCCTTGCCCCTGCCTATGTCCTGAATAGTAATGCCTAGGTTTTCTTCTAGGGTTTTTATGGTTTTAGGTCTAACGTTCAAGTCTTTAATCCATCTTGAATTGATTTTTGTATAAAGTGTAAGGAAGGGATCCGGTTTCAGCTTTCTACATATGGCTAGCCAATTTTCCCAGCACCATTTATTAAATAGGGAATCCCTTCCCCATTGCTTGTTTTTCTCAGGTTTGTCAAAGATCAGATAGTTCTAGATATGTGGCGTTATTTCTGAGGGCTCTGTTCTGTTCCATTGATCTATATCTCTGTTTTGGTACCAGTACCATGCTGTTTTGGTTACTGTAGCCTTGTAGTATAGTTTGAAGTCAGGTAGTGTGATGCCTCCAGCTTTGTTCTTTTGGCTTAGGATTGACTTGGTGATGCGGGCTCTTTTTTGGTTCCATATGAACTTTAAAGTAGTTTTTTCCAATTCTGTGAAGAAAGGCATTGGTAGCTTGATGGGGATGGCATTGAATCTGTAAATTACTTTGGGCAATATGGCCATTTTCACGATATTGATTCTTCCTACCCATGAGCATGGAATGTTCTTCCATTTGTTTGTATACTCTTTTATTTCCTTTAGCAATGGTTTGTAGTTCTCCTTGAAGAGGTCCTTCACATCCCTTGTAAGTTGGATTCCTAGGTATTTTATTCTCTTTGAAGCAATTGTGAATGGGATTTCACTCATGATTTGGCTCTCTGTTTGTCTGTTATTGGTGTATATGCTCATCATCACTGGCCATCAGAGAAATGCAAATCAAAACCACAATGAGATACCATCTCACACCAGTTAGAATGGCAATCATTAAAAAGTCAGGAAACAACAGGTGCTGGAGAGGATGTGGAGAAATAGGAACACTTTTACACTGTTGGTGGGACTGTAAACTAGTTCAAACATTGTGGAAGTCAGTGTGGCGATTCCTCAGGGATCTAGAACTAGAAATACCATTTGACCCAGCCATCCCATTACTGGGTATATACCCAAAGGACTATAAATCATGCTGTTATAAAGACACATGCACACGTATGTTTATTGCAGCATTATTCACAATAGCAAAGACTTGGAACCAACCCAAATGTCCAACAATGATAGACTGGATTAAGAAAATGTGGCACATATCCACCATGGAATACTATGCAGCCATAAAAAATGATGAGTTCATGTCCTTTATAGGGACATGGATGAAGCTGGAAACCATCATTCTCAGTAAACTATCGCAAGAACAAAAAACCAAACACCACATATTCTCACTCATAGGTGGGAATTGAACAATGAGACCACATGGACACAGGAAGGGGAACATCACACTCTGGGGACTGTTGTGGGGTGGGGAGAGGGGGAGGGATAGCATTGGGAGATATACCTAATGCCAGATGACAAGTTAGTGGGTGCAGTGCACCAGCATGGCACATGTATACATATGTAACAAACCTGCACAATGTGCACATGTACCCTAAAACTTAAAGTATAATAATAAAAGAAAAAAAAACTTAAAAAAAAAAGAAAAAAAAAGAATATTGAATATTAGCCCCACTCTCTTCTGGCTTGAAGAGTTTCTGCCAAGATATCGACTGTTAGTCTGATGGGCTTCCATTTGTGGGTAACCTGACCTTTCTCTCTGGCTGCCCTTAACATTTTTTCCTTCATTTCAACTTTGGTGAATCCGACAATTATGTGTCTTTGAGTTGCTCTTCTCAAGGAGTATCTTTGTGGTGTTCTCTGTATTTCCTGAATTTGAATGTTGGCCTGCCTTGCTAGGTTGGGGAAGTTCTCCTGGATGATATCCTGAAGAGTGTTTTCCAACTTGGTTCCATTCTCCCCATCATTTTCAGGTACACCAATCAGATGTAGATTTGGTCTTTTCATGTAGTCCCATATTTCTTGGAGGCTTTGTTCGTTTCTTTTTACTCTTTCTTTTTCTAAACTTCTCTTTTCACTTCATTTCATTCATTTGATCTTCAATCACTGATATCCTTTCTTCCACTTGATTGAATTGGCCATAGACGCTAGGAAGAAATTGCATCAACTAATGAGCAAAATAACCAGCTAACATCATAACGACAGGATCAAATTCACACATAACAATATTAAACTTAAATGTAAATGGGCTAAATGCTCCAATTAAAATACACAGACTGGCAAATTGGATAAAGAGTAAAGACCCAACAGTGTGCTGTATTCAGGAGACCCATCTCACTTGCAGAGACACATAGGCTCAAAATAAAGGGATGGAAAACAAACAAACAAAAAAAAGCAGGGGTTGCAATCCTAGTCTCTAATAAAACAAACTTTAAACCAACAAAGATCAAAAGAGACAAGGCCATTATATAATGTTAAAGGGATCAATTCAACAAGAAGAGCTAACTGTCCTAAATATATATGCACCCAATACAGGAGCACCCAGATTCATAAAGCAAGTCCTCAGAGACCTACAAAGAGACTTAGACTCCCACACAATAATAATGGGAGACTTTAACACCCCACTGTCAACATTAGACAGATCAACAAGACACAAAGTTAACAAGGATATCCAGGAATTGAACTCAGATCTGCACCAAGCGGACCTAATAGACATCTACAGAACTCTCCATCCCAAATCAACAGAATATACATTCTTCTCAGAACCACATCACCCTTACTCCAAAATTGACCACACAGTTGGAAGTAAAGCACTCCTCAGCAAATGTAAAAGAACAGAAATTATAACAAACTCTCTCAGATCACACTGCAATCAAATTAGAACTCAAGATTAAGAAACACACACAAAATCGTCCAACTACATGGAAACTGAACAACCTGCTCCTGAATGACTACTGGGTACATAACAAAATGAAGGCAGAAATAAAGATGTTCTTTGAAACCAATGAGAACAAAGACACAACATACCAGAATCTCTGGGACACATTCAAAGCAGTGTGGAGGGAAATTTACATCACTAAATGCCCACAAGAGAAAGCAGGAAAGATCTAAAATTGACACCCTAACATCACAATTAAAAGAACTAGAGAAGCAAGAGCAAACACATCAAAAGCTAGCAGAAGGAAAGAAATAAATAAGATCAGAGCAGAACTGAAGGAGATAGAGACACAAAAAACCCTTCAAAAAAATCAATAAATCCAGGAGCTGGTTTTTTGAAAATATCAACAAAATAAATAGACCACTAGCAAGACTAATAAGAAAAGAGAAAAAAATCAAATAGATAAAATAAAAAATGAAAAAGGGGATATCACCACCAATCCCACAGAAATACAAACTACCATCAGAGAATACTATAAACACCTCTACACAAATAAACTAGAAAATCTAGAAGAAATGGATAAATTCCTCAACACATACACCTTCCCAAGACTAAACCAGGAAGAAGTTGAATCCCTGAATAGACCAATAACAGGCTCTGAAATTAAGGCAATAATTAATAGCCTACCAACCAAAAAAGTCTAGGACCAGATGGATTCACAGCCGAATTCTACAAGAGGTACAAAGAGGAGCTGGTACCATTCCTTCTGAAACAATTCCAATCAATAGAAAAAGAGGGAAGCCTCCCTAACTCATTTTATGAGGCCAGTATCATCCTGATACCAAAGCCTGGCAGAGACACAACAAAAAAAGAGAATTTTAGACCAAAATCTCTGATGAACATGGATGCTAAAATCCTCAATTAAATACTGGCTAACCGAATCCAGCAGCACATCAAACAGCTTATCCACCATGATCAAGTGGGATTCATCCCTGGGATGCAAGGCTGGTTCAACATACACAAATCAATAAATGTAATTCATCATATAAACAGAACCAAAGACAAAAACCACATGATAATCTCAATAGATGCAGAAAAGGCCTTTGACAAAATTCAACAGCCCTTCATGCTAAAAAAAACTCAATAAACTAGGGATTGATGGGACTTATCTCAAAATAATAAGAGCTATTTATGACAAACTCACAGCCAATGTCATACTGAATGGGCAAAAACTGGAAGCATTCCCTTGGAAAACTGGCACAAGACAGGGATGCCCTCTCTCACTACTCCTATTCAACATAAGGTTGGAAGTTCTGGCCAGGGCAATCAGGCAGGAGAAAGAAATAAAGAGTATTCAATTAAGAAAAGAGGAAGTCAAATTGTCCCTGTTTGCAGATGACATGATTGTATATCTAGAAAACCCCATCTTCTCAGTCCAAAATGTCCTTTAGCTGGTAAGCAACTTCAGCAAAATCTCAGGATACAAAATCAATTTGTAAAAATCACAAGAATTCCTATACACCAATAACAGAGAGCCAAATCATGAGTGAACTCCCATTCACAATTGCTTCAAAGAGAATAAAATACCTAGGAATCCAACTTACAAGGGATGTGAAGGACCTCTTCAAGGAGAACTACAAATGACTGCTCAATGAAATAAAAGAGGACACAAACAAATGGAAGAACATTTCATGCTCATGGATAGGAAGAATCAATATTGTGAAAATGGCCATACTGCCCAAGGTAATTTATAGATTCAATGCCATCCCCATCAAGCTACCAATGACTTTCTTCAGAAAATTGGAAAAAAACTACTTTAAAGTTCATATGGAACCAAAAAAGAGCCCGCATCACCAAATCAATCCTAATCCAAAAGAAGAAACCTGGAGGCATCACACTACCTGACTTCAAACTATGCTACAAGGCTACAGTAACCAAAACAGCATGGTACTGGTACCAAAACAGAAATACAGACCAATGGAACAGAACAGAGCCCTCAGAAATAACACCACACATCTACAGCCATCTGATCTTTGACAAATCTGACAAAAACAAGAAATGAGGAAAGGATTCCCTATTTAATAAATGGTGCTGGGAAAACTGGCTAGCCATATGTAGAAAGCTGAAACTGGATCCCTTTCTTACACTTTATTCAAAAATTAATTCAAGATGGATAAAAGACTTAAATGTTAGACCTAAAACCATAAAAACCCTAGAAGAAAACCTAGGCAATACCATTCAGGACATAGGCAGGGGCAAGGACTTCATTACTAAAACACCAAAAGCAATGGCAACAAAAGCCAAAATTGACAAATGGGATCTAATTAAACTAAAGAGCTTCTGCATGGCAAAAGAAACTACCATCAGACTGAACAGGCAACCTACAGAGTAGGAGAAAATTTTTACAATCTACCCATCTGACAAAGGGCTAATATCCAGAATCTACAAAGAACTTAAACAAATTTACAAGAAAAAATAAAAAAACCCGACCAGAAAGTGGGCAAAGGATACGAACAGACACTTCTCAAAAGAAGATATTTATGCAGCCAAGAGACACATGAAACAATGCCCATCATCACTGGCCATCAGAGAAATGCAAATCAAAACCACAATGAGATACCATCTCACACCAGTTAGGATGGCGATCATTAAAAAGTCAGGAAACAACAGGTGCTGGAGAGGATGTGGAGAAATAGGAACACTTTTACACTGTTGGTGGGACTGTAAACTAGTTCAAACATTGTGGAAGTCAGTGTGGCGATTCCTCAGGGATCTAGAACTAGAAATACCATTTGACCCAGCCATCCCATTACTGGGTATATACCCAAAGGACTATAAATCATGCTGTTATAAAGACACATGCACACGTATGTTTATTGCAGCATTATTCACAATAGCAAAGACTTGGAACCAACCCAAATGTCCAACAATGATAGACTGGATTAAGAAAATGTGGCACATATCCACCATGGAATACTATGCAGCCATAAAAAAAGATGAGTTCATGTCCTTCGTAGGGACATGGATGAAGCTGGAAACCATCATTCTCAGCAAACTATCGCAAGGATAGAAAACCAAAAGCCCCATGTTCTCACTCATAGGTGGGAATTGAACAATGACAACACTTGGACACAGGGTGGGTAACATCACACACTGGGGCCTGTCGTGGGGTGGGGGGAGGGGGGAGGGATAGCATTAGGAGATATACCTAATGTTAAATGACGAGTTAATGGATGCAGCACACCAACATGGCACATGTATACATATGTAACAAACCTGCATGTTGTGTACATGTACCGTAGAACTTAAAGTATAATAAAAAATAATAATAAAAGGAAAAAAACAGTCATTAAAAAAGACAAAGAGGGACATTATATAATGATAACAGGACTCTGTCCAACAGGAAATTATCACAATCCTAAATATATATGCACTAATACTGGAGCTTCCAAATTCATTAAACAATTACTGCTAGATCTAAGAAATGAGATAGACAGCAACACAGTAATAGTGGGGGACTTTAGTGCTCCAGTAACAGCCCTAGACAGGTCATCAAGTCAGAAAATCAACAAACAAATGGTGGATTTAAACTATACCCTAGAACAAATGAACATAACAGATATTTACAGAACTTTCTATCCAATAACCACAGAGTATACATTCTGTTCAGCAGAGCGTGGAACATTCTCCAACACAGGCCATACGACAGGCCTCAAAACAAGTCTCAATACATTTAAGAAAACTGAAATTATATCAAGTACTCTTGCTGACCACAGTGGAATAAAATTGGATATCAACTCCAAAAGGAACCTTCAAAACCATGCAAATACATGGAAATTAAATAACCTGCTCCTAACGATATTTGGGTTAATACTAAAATCAAGACGGAAGTTAAAAAATTATTTTTATTGAATGGTAATAGTGACACAATCTATCAAAACTTCTGGGGCACAGCAAAAGCAGTGCCAAGGGGAAAGTTCATAGCCTTAAATGCATACATCAAAAAGTCTGAAAGAGCACAAATAGACAATCTAAGGTCACACCTCAAGGAACCTAGAAAAACAAGAACAAACCAAACCCAAACCCAGCAGAAGAAAATAAATAACCAAGATTAAATCAGAACTAAACGAGACTAAACAAAACAAATTAAAAAAATACAAAAGATAAATGAAACAAAAAGCTGGTTCTCTGAAAAGGTAAATAAAATTGACAGATCGTTAGCCAGATTAACCAAGAAAAGAAGAGAGAAGATCCAAATAAGCATGATTAGAAATTAAATGGGAGATATTTTAACTGACACCACAGAAGTACAAAAGATCATTCAAGGCTACTATGAACACCTTTACACACATAAACTAGAAGACCTCGGGGAGATGTATAAGTTCCTGGAAATATGCAACCCTCCTAGCTTAAACCAGGAAGAATTAGAAATCCTGAACAGACCAATAAAAGTGGCAAGATTTAAATTGTAATAAAAAAATTGTCACCACGAAACAGTTCAGGACCAGAAAGAGTCACAGCTGAATTCTATCAGACATTCAAAAAAGAATTGGTACAAATCTTATTCACACTATTCCACAAGACAGAGAAAGAGAGAATCCTACCTAAATCATTCTATGAGGTCAGCATCACCCTAATATCAAAACCAGGGAAGGACATAACAGAAAAAGAAAACTCCAGACCAATATCCCTGATGAACGTAGATGTAAAAATACTCAAAAAAATACTAGCTAACTGAATCCAACAGCATATCACAAAAGATAATCCAACATGATCAAGTGGGTTTCATACCATGGATGCAGGGATGGTTTAACATTCACAAGTTAATAAATGTGATACACCACATAAACAGAATTAAAAGCAAAAATGACATAATTATCTAAATAGATGCAGAAAAAGCACTCAACAAAATCCAGAATCCTTTATGATTAAAACCCTCAGCAAAATCAACATAGAAGGGACATTATGTAATAAAAGCCATTTATAACAAACCCACAGCCAAAATACTACTGAATGGAGAAGAGTTGAAACCTTTCCCTCTGAGAATTGGAACAAGACAAGGATATCCACTCTTACCACTTCTATTCAACACAATACTGGAAGTCCTAGCCAGAACAAGCAGACAAGAGAAAGAAATAAAGGGCATCCAAATTAGTAAAGAGGAAGTTAAAATGTCACTTGACATGTTGATATGATCGTATACCTAGAAAACACTAAATACTCCTCCAAAAAGCTCCCAGAACTAATAAATGGATTCAGTAGTTTCAGATTAAAAATTTAATGTTCACAAATCAGTAGCTCTGCTATACACCAACAGCGACCAAGCTGAGAATCAAATCAAGAACTCAAACATTTTTATAATAGCCGCCAAAAAATTATTAGAAATATACCTAACCAAGGAGGTGAAAGACCTTTACAAGGAAAACTCAAACACTGCTGAAAGAAATCACAGACAATACAAACAAATAGAAACACATCCTATGCTCATTGATGAGTAGAATCAATATTGTGAAAATGACCATACTGCCAAAAGCAATCTATGAATTCAATGCAATTCCCATCAAAATTCCACCATCATTCTTCACAGAATTAGAAATGACAATCTTAAAATTTAAATGGAACTAAAAAAGAGCCTGCATAGCCAAAGCAAAGCTAAGCAAAAAGAACAAATCTGGACACAGTACATTATCTGACTTCAAACTATGCTATAAGGCCGTAGTCACCAAAACAGCATGGTACTGGTATAAAAATAGGCAAATAAACCACTGGAACAGAATAGAGAACTCAGAAATAGGGTCAAATCCAGCCAACTGATCCTCAACAAAACAAGCAAAAACATTAAGTGGGGAAAGGACACCCTATTCAACACATGGTGCTGGGATAACTGGCAAGCCACATGTAAAAGAATAAAACTGGATCGTCATCTCTCACCTTATACAAAATTCAACCCCAGATGGCTCAAGGACTTAAATCTAAGACCTGAAACCATACAAATTCTAGAAGATAAATTCTGGAAAAACCTTTATGATATTAGCTTAGACACAGACTTCATGACCAAGAACCCAAAAACAAATGCAGCAAAAACAATGATAAATAGGTGGGACTTAATTAAACTAAAAAGTTTCTGCATAGCAAAAGAAACAATCAGCACAGTAAACAGACAATGCACAGTGTGGGAGAAAATCTTCACAATCTGTACATCTGACAAAGGACTAATATCCAGAATCTACAAGGAACTCAGATTAGCAAAAAAGCCTAAACAGTCTCATCAAAAAATGGTCTAAGGACATGAATAGACAATTTTCAAAAGAAGATCTATAAATTGCCATGAAACATATAAAAATGTATAAAAATGCTCAACATCACTAATCATTAGAAAAATCAAAACCACAATGTGATGCCAACTTACTCCTGAAAGAATGGCCATAATTTAAACAATTAAAAAAAATAGATGTTGGCAGGGATGCAGTGAAAAGGGAGCACTACGGCAGTGCTGGTGGAAATGTAAACCAGTATGACTGTGGAAAACAGTGTATATATTCCTTAAAGAACTAAGAAGTGAAAGCAGAACTCCCTTTTGATCCAACAATTCCACTACTGGGTATCTACCCAGAGGAAAAGAAGTCATTATACAAAAAAGATACTTGCACATGAATGTTTACAGCAGCACAATTAGCAATTGCAAAAATGTGTAACCAACTCAAATGTCCATCAATCAATGAGAAATTGTGATATATATATATATATCACTATATATATTTTATAGTGTGTGTATATATATAGTGTGTGTATATATGTATATATCACTATATATTTATATACATATATAGCACTTAACAAAATCCAGGATCCTTTATGATTAAAACCCTCAGCAAAATCAGCATAGAAGGGACATTATGTAATAAAAGCCATTTATAACAAACCCACAGCCAACATACTACTGAATGGAGAAAAGTTGAAACCATTCCCTGAGAACTGGAACAAGACAAGGATACCCCCTCTTATCACTCCTATTCAACACAATACATACATACATACATACATATATATATATATATATGTCTATATATATGTCTATATATATATGTCTATATATATGTCTATATATATGTCTATATATATGTCTATATATATGTCTATATATATGTCTATATATATATACACACACACATATATAGAGAGACATATATATATACATATAGACATAAATATATATACACACACACACACACACCATGGACTACTATTCAGCCATAAAAAAAGAATGAAATAATGGCATATCAGCAACCTGGATGGAATTGGAGACCATTATTCTAAGTGAAGTAACTCAGGAAAGAAAAGCCAAACATTGTATATTCTCACTCTTAAATGAGACACAAGCTATGAGGATGCAAAGGCATATGAATGATACAATGGACTTTGAGGATTTAGGGGGAACGGTGCGAGTTGGATGAGGGATAAAAGACTATGAATTGGGTACAGTGTATACTGCTCTGGGGATAGGTGCACACAAATCTCACATATTACTACTAAAGAAATTACTCATGTAATCAAACTCCACCTGTTCCCCAAAAACTTATGGAAAAAAATAAATAATAAACAAAAAAACTAACAACAGAAGGAAATTACTTCCACATAATAACAGCCATACATGAAAAGTCTAAAGCTAACATCATACTTAACAGTAAAAAACTGAAAACTTCCCCTAAGGTCAGGAACAGGCAAGAATGTCCACTTTAACTTCTATGTAGCATAATACAAGTCCTAGCCAAAGCAATTAAAAATAAATAAATAAATGGTATCTAAATCAGAAAAGTAGAAGTTAAATGACATGTTTGTAAATGCCATAATATTATATGTGGAAAACTAAGCACCCAATTAAAAAAACTGTAAGAATTAATAAATAAATTTGCAAATTTGCAAGATATAAAATCAAAAATGTAAATCATTTCTATACATTCACAACAAACTATCCAAGAGGGAAATTGAGAAAAACTGCATTCATAGTAGTATCAAAAATAGTCTTCCATTCCATTAGAAGAAATGGAATATTTAGCAACAAACTTAACCGAGTAGGTGAAAGACTTATACACTGAAATTTGAAGCACATTGTTGAAAGAAATTAAAGAAGACACAAGTAAATGGAAAGGCATCCTGCATCCTGTATTCATGGATTAGAAGACTAAATACTATCAAATATCATCATACTATCCAAAATTATCTAAAGATTCAATGCAATTTTTATCAAAGTCCCAATTAGAGTTTTTACAGAAATTGAAAATAAAAATCCCCCAATTTATAGAAAACTGCAAAAAAAGCCCCAAACAGGCAAAAAATGTGAGTAAGAAGAATAAAGCTGGAGGCATCACATTTCCTGAATTCAAAATATATTACAAAACCACATTAATTAAAACCGTTTGGTACTGGCATAGAGGCAAACCTATAGACCAATGGAACACATTAGAGAACCCTGAGATAAATCTATACATAAATGTAGTAAACCAATATTTAATAGGTGTGTCAGGAATACACAGTGGGTAAATGATAGTTTTTTTTTTCAATAAATGATGTTGGGAAAACTGGCTATCACACACACACACAGAAATTGGATCCTTATTCCATACACAAAAAAAAAAAACTCAAAATGGTTTACAACATTAAATATAACACCCAAAACTGTAAAATTTCTTCAAGAAAATAAAGGAAAATACTTTACATTGATGTTGCAGTAATTTCATGGCTATGACATCAAGAGCACAGGCAACAAAAGCAAAAATAGGCAGTGGAACTACATCAAACTGTAAAGTCTCTGCACAGCAAAGGAAACAATAAACAAAAGGCTACCTATGGAATGAGAGAACATATTTGAAAACCATATATCTTATAAAGGATTAATATCTAAAACACATAAAAAAACTCGTACAACCCAACAGCAATAAAAAACCAAATAACTAAATTTAAAAAGGGACATATGTCTTAAATAGCTATGTCTTTAAGAAAGAAAAGCAAATGCCAAAAGGTATTTAAAAATATATTCGATATCACTAGTTATCAGGGAAATACAAATCAAGACCACATTTATAACTATCATACATATGTTAGGATGGCTGTATGTTAGAAAAAACAGATAACTAGTGTTAGTGAGGATGTGAAGAAATCAGAACCCTGATACACTGTTTCTGGCAAGGTAAAATGGTGACACTGCTATGAAAAAAGCTATGAAGGTTTTTCAAAAAATTAAAAATAGAATTACTATATGAACTAGCAATTTTACTTCTGGATATTTGTCCAAAAGAACTGAAATCAGGATATTGAGGAGATATTTACACTCCCACATCAACTTACAGCATTGTTTACAATGGCTAATGTATGCAAACAACCTAAATGACCATAGATTATTATTCAGTCTTAAAAAGAAAAAGAAAATCCAGGCAGATTCCACAACATGGGTGAACCTGGAAAATGTTATTCTAAGTGAAATAAACCAGTCACAGAAAGACAAACAATGTATTATCTCACTTATCAGTATAATCTAAATCAATCAAACTTACAGAAGCAAAGAGTAAAATGGTGGCTGCCAGGGGCTGGAAGAGGGAGAAATGGGGAGTTGTTCAATGTGTGTAAACTTTCAGCATGAAAGATGAATGAGTTCCAGAGATCTTCTGCATAACATCGTGCCTATAGTTAGCAATAATGTATTGTGCACATAAAAATATGTTATGAGGGTAAATCTCATATTGTGCTCTTAACACAATAAAAAATAAAAAAGAAGCATGGGGTTTGCCATAAAAGTAAATTTCTCCTTAATAACTTCTATCACATTTTGAAACAGTATGGAGAAGGAGGGTAAAAAGTTAAGCATGCAATCTCTACCTGCAGAACTTAACATTCCTGCTCTTTCTCAGATCGGAAGTATAAGGTACCTACTGGGGCCTCAGCTGAAAATTTCAGGAGAGCCACCCTGAGGAGCAAGGTGAACTAGATCTTACTCTGATTAACTTGAAAGAAGCAGATCCTTAGACTATTTGCCAAACAAGACAAAGGAGAAGTATCTCTAGCAGAGGATAACATTTGCAGTCTCTATAGTTCTTTGTCGGCTCATGAAATTTAAAAAAAAATCGTGATATATGTGAAGCATTAGAAAAATATGACCAAAAATCAAAGAAAGTTTTAAAAGAAAGAAAATTTATACATAATCCAAAAATTGGAGTTAGTGGAAAGGGATTTTTAAAAATATCTGTGATTGATAAGCTGAATAAAACAGAGGATGAGATAGAAGAAAAAACTGATGAATTTAGAGAAATTCAAGAGGTAATTCAAATGGATGAAAGTAACCAAATGGATATTTTAGAATTATAGAATTTAATTAAATACTTACTGGATGAATTTAACTGCAGGATTACTAAACATAAAGGCAATTCAACACAAAAATGTTAAACAGAAGGACTGAGAGGAAAAAATGGTGTAAAAAGAACAACCAATTCTAATCTATGGAGAAAGAAGATGGAATAATGCTTAGCCCTGGAGGCATACTGCTGAGATTGACAAAAGGGGCCTCGTGTTGTATTGGAAATGTTCTATATTTCAGTCTTGGTGGTTATTCCATGTGTTTGTAAACATATGTAAGATTAATGAGTAATACATGTAAATATTTTGCACTTTATGTATGTTATAGGTGTGTTTAGTTGTGAACATTCATTGTTTTTACACTTCTATGTTTACTTTTCATTATATATACTACAATTGTATAAAGTGCTCAAAAAAATTTTTTTTGAGACAGTCTCACTCTGTCGCTCAGGCTGGAGTGCAGTGCCATGATCTTGGCTCAGTTTAGCCTCCAGCTCCCAGATTCAAGCGATTCTCCTGCCTCAGCTTCCCGAATAGCTGGGATTACAGGCATGTGCCACCAGCCTGGCCAATTTTTCTATTTTTAGTAGAGAGGGGCTTTCATCATGTTGGCCAAGGTGGTCTCAAACTCCTGACCTCAGGTGATCCACCTGCCTGGGTCTCCCAAAGTGCTGGAATTACAGGCATGAGCCACTGCGCCCGGCCCAAAATGTATTTTGAGTAAATTGTATTTATTTATAATACCAGTATTGGTAGATAAGATTGATTCAATCAAGAAACCATCGAGTATCTCTAGTGTTATAATTGTACTCAGGTAGATCCATTAGTAGATTTAAAATCTAATGTGGGAAAGATATGTGATGGAATCAAATACAATAATATAATAATTTGTTTAACTATTGTAGATGCAGTGATGTGGAGGCAAAAAAGAGAATATTATTGATTAAAGGAAGATGAATTTACTTTGCCCGCATGGTTTCAGAAGTTATTATTAATCAGAATTGACTTAGACATATAGTCTCTTTTCTAAGGCTTTATAGTTGTATTTTAATAAATTATTACATGTAGTATATACTCTATGGTACTTCCTTCCAAGTATTTAACAGCTGCTTTGCAACAACACTTTGAATCATTCATTTAAAATATATAGAAAAATGTTAGTACATAAACATTTTTCACTGTCACTCTGGATCTTTCAGCATACCCTCTCAGCCTGCAGCTCTACAGGGAATTAGGTGACAGGTTCAGTCTGTCATCACTATCTGATACTCAGGGAGGAAGACAGCTTCTGAGAATGACAAAATGACGGTTTTGAAATATGATAGGCCACTTTATAACATGGCTTCATGACTGACTGTGACTGGTACTTTTATGTCACTTTCTGACATACTTTAAAAGAACAGTTGTTGGAAATGCTAATAATTCAGTTCAACTGAGAGTGTTTCTTTTCAATGAAGTACTACAAAAGCTTTATTCAGGCACAAGAAAATGTACATCCTGAAGGAGTTATCTGGTAGGATAATCCAATTTTCTTTAAATGACTGCTTCATGTATTACTTGTAAGGAGGAGAGGTAAAATATTTCATTAACTCAGTACATAAGATAACACAAAAATAAGTAAATTTAAAATATTCATTTTTTTTACATAGTATTTGTTCTATAATCCTTTTAACAAACTACTTTTGTATTTAGAAATAGAGTAGATAATTGGACATATATTGGTGATTTATGTTTTTTAATGTACGTTTACAAATGTATATACTAGACATGCTGCCAATTAATCATTCTATGTTAAGCCGTAATATTTGCATTGCAGTCTTTCAGGTGGGAGCACAGCTTTATTTTGCACCCAATAGTCTGTATCTCTTTAATTCCCGCTTTTTTAACAGTCTATCTTTCTTCCATAAGGTGAATGTTCTGAGTCAACTTTTCACACTGGAAGCTTATCTGAAAGCCCAGTAAGGTCAGGAAACACAGGACAAATATCTAGTTAGGGGGTAACTAAGACTTTGTGCTTGTTTTGTGATTGATTTTGATGTGGAACTTTTCCTTAGTTCAGCTAAAGGTGGGGTCCTAGTCACCTGGACACAAAAATTTAGGCTCACAGACCATTTGAAGGGTGAGTAAGGCAGGGTTTTATTGGGTGAAAAGGGAAAAAAAAGCGAAACAGTGACCCTCCACAAAGCCATAGTCCCTGCTGGTGAACTTCCCACCTGGCAGTTTGACTCCCAGTTTCCAGGGCCCAGGCCCCTCCCCACAGCAAGTGGGTGAACTTCTGTGGCTCCACTCCAGTGTGCATTCCTCCCAGTGCACAGGCTTGTTGGAGTTTTGCCAGGGAGTCCTCCCCACCTGGCTGTCTCAATTTTGGGACTTACATAAAAATTGTCTTCAACTTTTAAATATAACGTGTCAGAATGCCTTGCAAATGCATTGGAATATCTGTAAGTGCCTGTTTGTCCCACATCTGCCTTCTGAGAACAGATTATATAGACAGTCAGTTATACATTATTGACCATGTTTTGAATCTTGTGAGTGCTGTCATGGTCAAAACACGCTGGTTGAAAAAATTCCCCGAAACATTAAAAGCATCCTATTATATCTTTGTTGTCTTGTCTAGAGAACTCAGTCTCTTAGTATCATATATTGGGTGGTACGTCAGTTAGAATTTGGTCACGTGGAAGTAATATAAACCTGGCTAAAAAGTGGTTTAAACATCGAGGGAATATACTGTTTGCTTAATCAGATTGGTAGATATGGATGATTCTATTCAAGAGTGGTATTGAGGATGCATCTCTATCTACCATTACATACCACCTTCTTCAGCATATTGGCTTTAGACACTAGGCTCCAACCTCAGTTCTAACATGACTATCAGAGTTTTAAGCATTATGAGCTCCCAAGACATCCTGCAATGCAAAATAGAAATAAGAGAAAAAGTGTTTTATCCTCCAGGTGTTCTCCCGTTTATTAGAAAAAAAGAAAAAAAACAACTTTCCCAGAAGCTCCCTAATAGGCAACCCTTCATTTCTCATTGACAATCAATTTCAAAGGGATTTGTATGTGCATGACTGATCTACAGCAATTGTGAGGATTCACCAAAGCTGATCATTGTCCCCTAAAAAAAAAATAGAGCATCTGTTAGCAAGAAAAATAGCTTATGGCAATTGTACTAGTCTGTTTTCATGCTACTGATGAAGACATACCCGAGACTGGGCAATTTACAAAAGAAAGAGAGGTTCAATGGACTTACAGTTCCATGGGGCTGGGAAGCATCACAATCACGGCAGAAGGGAAGGAGGAGCAAGTCACATCTTACATGGATAGCAGCAGGCAAAAACAGAGCATGTACAGGGAAACTACTGTTTTTAAAACCATAAGATCACATGAGACTTATTTACTATCACAAGAATAGCAAGGGAAAGACTTGCTCCCATTATTCAGTAACCTCCCACCAGGTCCCGCCCACAACACTTGGGAATTCAAGAGGGGATTTGGGTGTAGAAACAGCCAAACCATATCATTCTGCCCTTGGCCCCTCCCAAATCTCATGTCCTCACATTTCAAAACAAATCATGCCTTCCCAACAGTCCCCCTAAGTCTTCACTCATTTCTGCATTAAATCAAAAGTCTACAGTCCAAAGTCACATCCAAGAAAAGGCAACTCCCTTCCGCCCATGAGCCTATAAAATCAAGAGCATGTTAATTACTCCCTAGATACAATGAGGGTACAGGCATTGGGTAAATACAGCCATTCCAAATGGGAGAAATTGGCCAAAACAAAGGGGCTACAGGCCCCACGCAAGTCTGAAATCCAGCAGAGCAGTCAAATCTTAAAGCTCCAAAAGGATCTCCTTTGACTCCATGTCTCACATCCAGGTCACACTGATGCAAGAGGTGGGTTCCCATTTTCTTGGGCAGCTCTGCTCCTGTGGCTTTGCAGGGTACAACCTCCTTCCTGGCTGCCTTTGTGGGCTGGTGTTGAGTGTCTGCATCTTTTCCAGGTGCACAATGAAAGCTGCCAGTGTATCTACCATTTTGGAGTCTGGAGAATGGTGACTGTCTTCTCACAGCTCCACTAGACAGTATCCCAGTAGGGACTCTGTGTGGGGGCTCCAAGCCCACATTTCCCTTCTGCACAGCCCTAGCAGAGGTTCTCCATGAAGGTCCCACCCCTACGGCAAACTTCTGACTGGGCATCCAGGTGTTTCCATACATCCTCTGAAATCTAGCTGGAGGTTCCCAAACCCCAGTTCTTGACTTCTGTGCACCTACATGCTTAACACCACATGGAAGTTGCCAAGGCTTGGGGCTTGCACACTTAAAGGCATGGCCTAAGCTCTATCTTTGCCCTTTTTAGCCATGGCTGGAATGGCTGGGATGCAGAGCACCAAGTCCCTAGGCTGCACACATCACCAGGACCCTTGGCTTGGTCCAGGAAAACAATTTTTTTCTCCTAGGCCTACACGCTTGTGATGAGAGGGGCTACTGTGAAGACCTCTGACACGCACTGGAGACATTTTCCCCATTGTCTTGGGGATTAACATTTGGCCCCTCATAACTTATTCAAATTTCTGCAGCCAGCTTGAATTTCTCCTCAGAAAATGGGATTCTCTTTTCTATTGCATTGTCAGGCTACAAATTTTTCAAACTTTTATGCTCTTGTTTCCCTTTTAAAACTGAATGCCTTTAACAGCACTCAAGTCACCTTTTGAATGCTTTGCTGCTTAGAAATTTCTTTGACCAGATACACTAAATCATCTCTCTCAAGTTTAAAGTTTCACAAATCTCTAGGGCAGGGGCAAAATGCTGCCAGTCTCTCTGCTAAAACATACCACGATCACATTTGCTGAAGTTCCCAACAAGTTCCCTATCTTTATCTGAGACTACATTAGCTTAGATTTCATTGCCCATTTGGCTATTAGCATTTTGGGCAAAGCCATTCAACAAATCTCTGGGAAGTTTCAAACTTTCCCATTTTCCTGTCTTCTTCTGAGCTCCTCCAAACTGTTCCAACCTTTGCCTGTTATCCAGTTCCAAAGTCACTACCACATTTTCAGGTATCTATAGCAGCACCCTACTCTACTGGTAACAATTTACTGTATTAGTCTATTTTCATGCTGCTGATAATGACATACCCAAAACTGGGAGACTGGGCAATTTACAAAAGAAAGAGAGGTTTAATGGACTTACAGTTCCATCTGGCTGGGGAGGCCTCAAAATCATGGCAGAAGGAAAAGAGGAGCAAGTCACATCTTATATGGATAGCAGCAGGCAAAACGAGGGCTTGTGCAGGGAAACTTGTTTTTAAAACCATCAGATCTCATGAGACTTAATTACTATCACAAGAACAGCATAGGAAAGACCTGCCATCATGATTCAGTTACCTCCCACTGGGTCCTTCCTACAACACATGGAAATTCAAGATGAGATTTGGGTGGGAACACAGCCAAACCGTATTAGCTATCAAGTAGAAGAGCAAAAATGGCATCATTTGCCACAGATGATCATTATGCAAGTGATTGATCCATCTTTTTTTGGTGAATTTAAATATATGTGTAAATAAATAGATAATGCATTGATTGGAAGGATTAGATAAGAAGTGTTAAAAGTAGAAACAGCCACAGACAAGGGAAGAAAGAGTCATTAGTGGGGGTTACTAGATCAAAATGTAATAGACATCTGATTCAAAGGCAATAGCAAAATTACTAGTATACCGTATCTATTGTCTGGGTCATTAGAGTTGCTTATGGGTCACTGGAGCTACTTTTATGTTCTGAATGGTGATAAATGATTTTCCAGTGCTCTTTGATATCTTGCCCTTTTTATAGAGTGTTGATTTTCTCTTTCCCTGACTTCTCTGTGTTCTCTAAAAATAAACACTACCACCTGAGTGAAGGCACATGAGAATACCTGTGCCCCTTGAAAACTAAAAGCACAAATACAGAGGGACAATATGAGTTATGATTACATTTATTCCACAAATTATTCATTCGATGAATATGTATTGACTTCTTACTAGATGCCTGGTGTTATATTTGTCTCTGGTGATAAAGGGTAAATTACAAAGCCTTTGCACCCACAGAAGTTAATGCAACTAAGGAGGAAGACAATATGCAGGAATACATATAGATAAGTAAAATACTCTTCTGGTAGTGTCAGAGGCATTCTAACCAGAGCGACTCCATTTTGAGTGAACACTAGGAAAATGAGGCTGAAACTTGCTGGGCTAAATTTCCAGAAAATTAGGCATTCCTAGCTTCTAGATGTTTATGGTTAAGGGAACAAATCAATAGTGTTTACTAAGACCCAGACTGAGAGTGTTCAGATATACTGATATCTAGAGAACAAAGTCATTCCTAATTTTGCTTTAAAGATAATAATATTGATTCTTGCAAAACATAGTAATTAAGAAAATTAATTCTTTATCACAGAACCTTGAAGCAGAACACATCTCCCATATATACAAACATTGCACCTAGGGTGAATGTGTTCTTTCTCTTACTTTCAGGAACCTCCTACTCTGTCTATGGGTAGCTGTCCTTTTACCACTTTACTTTCTTAATAAACTTGCTTTTTCTTTGCACTTCGGACACATCCTGAATTCTTTCTTGCATGAGATCAAAGAACCCTCTCTTGAGGTCTGGATTGGAAACGCTGTCTGGTAACAGTAGGAGTGAGGTTGGTGATGACAATGATAATGCAAATTTTCATGTAGTGAGAAAGTTCATAAGCACATTTTGGTTATTAGTACATTTAATCACCATTTTATCATAGGTGCAATGTGTTCAATGTACAGATGAGAAAACGAGACACTGATAAAACTTTTAAAAAATAAATAAGCTTGGTAAGGGAATTTTCAGTGAATGCTGGAATATCCACTGACGTACAATTGTGTGAAAGAGAAAAAAAGCAAAAAAAAGACCAGTGAATAAAAGGAAGAATGTAAGAGAATAGGTCCCACAGTTATGCAGTGATAGATTATGTAAAACTTTTTAGGCCATGATAAGAGGTTTAATTTTATACTAAAATCAGTGGGAAGTTATAAATGCATTTAGAACTAGGACTACTGTGATTAAACTTTAAAAAAAATCAATCTGCACTGCTTTGTGGAAAATAGAGCTTAAAGGTATCAAACTGGAAGCAAGAAAATCCGTTAAATATTATGGTAGTGCTACCAATCGATGGTGTGGGTAGGTGGCAAAAAATTAATAAATGGAAGTAATCAAATTCAGAATGTATTTTGAAGACAGTCTCAAAAGTACTTAAAAGTGCTGAAAGTTGACCAACCTGAGCCTTTTATATAAGGGGCTACAGTTCAGACATGCATAATTGGCTGTAGTTACACCATCCAGAGCTAAAAAGACTAAAAAGACTTCTGAAAAGGCATGGCAATCCTTGGAAAATACCATGCCCCTTTTATAACTGCATCTGCTAAGGGATTAGAATGTAGGCTGAAGCTGCTGGAAGCTAAATATACAATATAAAGAAAGAACCTGCGTGAGAATGGAGCACGAAGGAAATTAGCATCAAGACAGAGAGAGATATTGCCGTGCAATTTTTTTTTTGACTAACTGAATCCAACTCTATGTGAAACCAATTTTGCTTTTCAGATGTTTTAAATGGGTTAGAATAGGGATTTTTGTCATTTGCAAGTGAAATCTTCCACACTATTTTGTAGCAGGTTAGAAAATACTGATAATTTATGTTCTAACCTCTATTATTAAACAAATGAAGTAAGTGGTATAAACTTGCTATGCCAAAGTTTTCTTCTATGTAAAATGGGAATGATGATACTATCAACATCCCATGGTTGGTATAAGAACTAAAGGGAATAATATGCCCTTCAATCCATATTGACAATGAGTCTTATTTTTCCTTTCACATGTTTTAACCATTAGCCTACATAGAACAACAACTCAATTTTGGGGAGTTACTTTGTATATTCCCGACTCTATGCCTTTATTATGCTCTATCTAACAGCACTATTTCATGTAAGGAACATTTAATATGCTTGCGTGTATTGAGTATTGTATATTGTTAAGCATACAAAAATGAAAATATGTAATTCTTGCTCTTGAAATATCCAAACTAAGTTGAAATGCATTATGAAATTTATTGAATAGTATTTATATAAGCGTGTGTGCGTACATGTTAATTATAAATGTCAATAAAAAGGAAGAATGAATAAATAGAATATGAAAGTGAAGCAAAGGAAAATGAACTGGGCAGTGAAAGGGAGAGGAGTGGGTGGAGAGTGAAGTTGAGGTACCCAGGTTTCTTTGGATTTGCACTGATAATCTCTATTCTTGTGCAACTACTGAAATACTTTTGGCAAATGATTATGCCATAAACCGTTTGTTAAAATTTATCCTAATAATTATGAAGACAAAAATATACTTACATGTTACAAAGAAGGAAGAAGGCAACTGTGAGGAAGTTGTGATAATATATATAAATCACCCATTTGCTATTTTATTGGTCAGCACCCATCACCCTGTGATTGTGTATAATGAATTCCATATTATGAAATAGTAAATATTTCTTCTTTTTCTGTGTATATTTTTGTAATTTTTTAGATTGACCCATCATTTGGATGACCCGAAACCACAGATGCAATAGAAGAATGGAACAAATTTGTACATTTTGTCAATAAAAACTTTATCTTCAGCCCCAGAGTTTAGACACCTATATGAAGCTTCCAGGGATTGCTTTTGCCAGTTTCTCTTCCTGAAATACTCTCCCTTGAATAGTTGAAATGGTCACTCCCTTTCCTAAAATATTTCTCCTCAGAGATAATTTCCAGCATCATCATCATCTTATCAAAAATGGCACCATCTGGCAATATCTGACCCTTTATCTCACTTTATTTTCTTCTAGAGCTGTTATCAAAACCTCTTTATTGATTTGTTTTCTGTCTCCTAATATGTAAGATACTTGAAAAATGACATTTTGCTTTTTTCCCGCAATTTTAACCACAATTCAAACACCGTATTCTCATTAGATACTTGAGCCATATGTGGGCAACATAGTAGTTGCTAGGAAAAAATGATGATTTTTAAATGAATAAATAAAAATAAAGTAAAATTAATCCTTAGAATATTTTATTTTGAGACAGTTGTGGATTCACATGCAGTTTTAAGAAATAATTGAAAAAAATATTTTTAAGCTAAACACCAGATAATCCAAACGTTTTCCCATTTTATAAGGTAGTCAGTTTTCATAATCAGCTAGTCTCTTCACCCTTAAAAACTACTGGAAAAAAGAGCATTACCATTCAATCAAGCTGAATCTACTGTTTATTTTTTCTTAAGTCACATTCCCCACCCTTTATGTGTTTGCTCAATCAAATCAATTTAACAAAATTATAGAAAAAAGAAATCACACACCAGATCATAAACAGAAAAATTAACAGTATAGCCGGGCATGGTGGCTCACGCCTGTAATCCCAGCACTTTGGGAGGCCCAGGCGGGTGGATCATGAGGTCAGGAGATCCAGACCATCCTGGCTAACACGGTGAAACCCCGTCTGTACTAAAAATACAAAAAAATAGCCGGGTGTGGTAGCGGGCGCCTGTAGTCTCATCTACTCCGGAGGCTGAGGCAGGAGAATGGTGTGAACCCGGGAGGCAGAGCTTGCAGTGAGCCGAGATTGCGCCACTGCCCTCCAGCCAGGGTGACAGAGAGAGACTCCATCTCAAATAAATAAATAAATAAATAAATAAATAAATAAATAAATAAATAAAAATAAAATAAACAGTATATTCCATTCTTGCACATTTACATGGACATATTTTGCAAAGATAGAAAGAAAATGGTCCAGGTGAGGTGCCTTATGCTTGTAATCCCAGCACTTTGGGAGTCCGAGGCGGGCAGATCACTTGAGGTCAGGAGTTTGAGACCAGCCTGGTCACCATGGTGAAACTCCATCTCTACTAAAAATATAAAAATTAGCCAGATGTGGTGGCGTGCACCTGTAATCCCAGCTACTTGGGAGGCTGAGGCAGGATAATCTCTTGAACTCAGGAGGTGGAGGTTGCCATGAGCCAAGATCGTGCCATTGCACTCCAGTCAGGGGGACGGAGCGAGACTCCACCTCAAATAAATAAATAAATAAATAATAAATAAAGAAAACCATAAATATTACAAACCTATGATGTCAGTGCATTTTCAGATTTCTTTCTCAGTAGATGACTATCATAGACATTGTATTACAATGCAAAGAACAGAAAAATAAATGACTTATAGAAATAGAAGATACATAGTATTTTTTTGCCAAGCTCTCAAAATATAGATCATAAGGATATAATTTGTTTAAAGTAAAACTTTATTACCTAATGATTCAGTTAGTTTATTTTTGGAATCATTCATTTATTGATTCATCAAATATTGGTGCAACATATTTATATTGAACACTTAGAATGTGCCAGGCACTATATAGGGGTTGTATGCTTCAGAGAACAAAACAAAAGATCTTGTTTTCATGAATTCTAAGCTCTAACTGGAGAATACACACACACACACACACACACACACGTGTGCATATACCCACAGAGACAAAACAATAAAATATGAGGTCTAGAGGTGATACATCTATGCAGGAAAATAAAGCAGTGAAGAGAGTAGAGAAGCATAGGGCACTGGGGAGTGAGCAGCTGTAATTTTAAATAGTAAAGTAGAATGGCTAGAGAAAGCCTCCTTTGAAGTAATTTTTGTTCAAAGACCTGAAGAAACTAATCAGTGAATCACATTTTGTCCTTGGGAAAAAGCTGGCCAAGCAGTAGGAACAGAAAGAACAATGAACATGAGGCAGTTATGTTCCTGCTATTCAGGGTGGGTAGAGAAGCAGGTATCTTGGTCAGAGAGGAAATAGGAGTTGAATAATTTAGGGCTTTGCAAGCCAGTGTGACACCTTTGGATTTCGCCCTGAATGTGATGAAAGGGACCTGTATATTTTGAGCAGGGGGTATCATGCCTTTACTTTTGCTTCTTTGGATCACTCTAGCTGCCAATAGGGAGGCAAGGGCAAAAGCAAGGAGACCATTAGAAGTTTTAAATTGCAAAGTATTCTTAAGCCATTATCAATCTGTAAGAGTTGAGAAATGAAAATATAAAAAGCTTCCCATTCATATATATATATAACAGTTAATATCTCTGAAGGCTTTCAATGAGTATTAAGTAGCTGAAAAAATTTCCCTGGAAGAAAGCTCCAGGCTCCCCCTTTCATCATTGCCCTAACTCATTCACTATACAAAACTTCACACATACTCTCCTTATCTATGTGTAAAACACAGATATTTCTTTCTCTCCATTGTGTTCACCTTTTTTGTTTAAGGAAATGTAAGTGTTAAGCTTCAGCTATCCTTTTTTCATCTTTTAAGGCTTTGTGCATTAAGCATAACCCATACTTTGAATCATACATCAAAACAATTAATGTACAGTACTGAACTATAGAGTTGAATATAAAAGGAATTTCATCTCCACTTGAGGTACAATATATGTGGAATTTCCATTTGAATTAATGGAATTCATACACAGGCTCTGTGAAGAAATAGTTTTTAGGAGCTTTTAGAAGATTTATCAGAATATGTGTATAGCTCAATTTTTTCCATATGTCTATTGACTTTTTTGCTTAATTGGTTAATAAGAGTGCTTAAAAATTGACCTGACCACAAAACTCTTAATATTTTAATATAAAATAGAGTATCTTCAAAATCGTATCTGTAAGACTAATTGCTAAATGGCTGACTAATGCATACATGAATTCTGTTCCTGTGAAATTATTTTTCTAATCTTCCACTTAGTGATCACCATCCTCAAATGCTTACTTTTTCTAATTCTGTTGAATTTCAATGCCCTCCTTCTAATGCCGGGCAATTTTAGTTGGTTCTCTGCATATAAGGAAACTTACTACCTATTATGGAGCTATAAAAAGTGATAGAGAATCTTTACCCTGAAGGAATTTGTAATTGGTTATTTTAATGCAAATTTGAGTATAGTAACTGTTATACTCAAGGTGTGAGTTCAGAATTTTTTTCTATAGCAGATAATAACTGAACTAGACTAGAAGAAAGAACAAGAGTTCAACAATCAGAGATAAAATGTACTGATCACCTGTACCCTAGAGATAACCTATCATTTTTGTGCTCTGTTTGAAATAGTTTTTAAATAATCACTAGCATTTTTATATTTGTAATTCTGAAAACACCTCAGTATAAACCAATATTATTTATTTAACATATATTTTTGGAGTGCTAAGTATATACCAGGTACTACTTAAGAATATAACATATATCCACTCATTAAATACTTATAACAATTTTCTGAAGTAGGTACTATCTTTATCCAACTTTACAAATGAGTTTCTTGTACACTTATTCTCCTACAGTCCTTTATTCCATACAGCAGCAAGCCACTCAGAGCACACACCTCCCTGCTCTGAACCCTCCAATAGATTCCCAAACTACCTAAAGAAAGATCAGAATTTCTGATTGAGGTCTATAAAATATTACATAATCTGGCCCCTGTCTAATTTTCTGTCTGTTATTTTCTTCTACAATTCTCTCTATCACTGTACCCCAGCCACATAGGCCTTCTTTTGGTTCCTACATACAGTTAACCAATCTCATTCCCTTCTTAGGTTTTGTACTTATTCTTTCCTCTGCTTGCAATGCTGTGCCCCCAAATCGTCCTATAGCTTGTTCTTCTTTTTCATAACCAAGATCTTAATAAAATATCAAATTACCAGAGAGACACAGCTCACATATTCTAAGTATTTGTCACTTTCTATTTTACTATTTTTCTATTTTACTCTCCTACATAAAATTCTTTATGCTCTTAACAAAATAAATGTTTTCCATTTCAATTTTGTTTCTAAGATCCTTATCTGTGTCCCCCACTTTTGAGCTTTAAGCTTATTGAAGGCAGAGAGATCTTGTTTATTTTACAACACAGAGTCCCTGCAGCTATAAAAGCACTATGGCCAAAAGTACTCTTGGTAAATAGCTGCTGAATGAATAAATGGTTACATAAAGTAACTTCAAATCTATTTTTAAAACTTTAGGTTTCTATACAACTTTTCATACTTCCCAATCCATGCTCTTAATTTGAAAATATTCAGATTAGCAGACAACACATCTGCCAGTGACTTAATCTTAAATTTCCAAGCTTTCAGAACTGTGAGACATACAAAATTTTGTTGTTTGTAAGACATCCAGCCTATAGTACTTAATTATAGATGTCTGAACAAACTGAGACAAAGAGTTAAATTATTGTCTAGTAGAACATAGTCAAATAAACTGGACTGATGGTATTTTAACATATTCCATCTGGTTTTTGAGCTAATAATCTAGAAGACCCTGATATTCCTTTTTGTGTGTGTGTAAATATTTACTGTCAAGATTTCCTATAATTACTTGCTTTTATACTTGGCATTCGTATAGTAAGGAAAGAGCCTTAAATATCAAGCATGTCTTTGGGTGGAGGTGATCCATATCGCCACACGGAGGGCATTACTAGGAGGGGTTTCTCGTCATATCTCCCTTATTTTCCTATGAGGGCCTACAAGGTCATGTGTTTCAGATGGAATAGCTTCCAGAGGGAGGACAGCTATAAAGCTACCTCTGACTTCAGAGTAGGAAAAAAAAATAAGCCTAAATTATGTTGTGTGTCTATAATTTCTAAGTTAATTTATCACAAAAACACAGCATAGTCTAGCTTATCCTAATAACATGAGCAAATTATAGTTTTGGAAACTATGCAATTATTTTCTAAAATGTGTTATGTCTGTCTAATAAAGCTGCATGATAATATAAACAGATTATAGTTTTTGAAAATGTTATTATTTTCTGAAACCTATGTAATGCCTGCCTAATAGAGCCACATATAAGTGGACAAATTAATTAGCAAGCAATGTAATACATTTCCATCCCTTCCAGTCACAGTCTCTTAGCCAAAACTGGTGACAAGGGAACAACCTACCTGCAAGTGAAATATAAAGGAGCACACTGAATATGTGATGGTGAGCTCTCATTGTCTAAGCCAGAGTGTTATATTATCAGAGGAGATGCTATGACACAAACATTGACACTAATCATATTTAAGTAGGTATAAAAGATTCAAGTATACATTATAAAATGTTTTTTAAATTAGCTACTACAAAAAAGATTTCAGGTAAAAATCCACCTCAAAGATTTTATAGCTAGAAATTATCCTTAGACCAACAGATATTTTAACTTTCAGAAGTAAAATACACAAGACCTGGATAATGAATGAAATGTTAATATATGTACTTCAGTTATACCTTTGCTCCTAGAAGTTAACTGGAAAGTTGCAGTGAAACGGTATTTATAATTGCACAGTAGCCATTATAACTTGGCATGGAATCTACACATCTAAAAATGCAATTCTCTGAATGTAATTATTACCAAATGAAGGGATTCTAAATTGTCATGCTTTCTTGAAATGACATTTATACCAATGTAAATCAGTTTATCTAAATGTTGGTATTTTGTGACTATTTAATATATATTATGTGGCTACAATGTTCAAGTCTTAAAAACTGAACATTCTAAACTTCTTTGATGGTATTTGCAGATTCCTTTTGTTAAAATTAAGAAATTATTCAACGGATTTAGACAATTTAGAAAAACATTTAAAAATAATACACATGATTCAGCAATATGGCATTTAATCTTCCTTTTTCAAAATAATTATTTCTGTGTCCATGTGTTCTCGGTGCAGCACACCAACATGGCACATGTATACATATGTAACAAACCTGCACGTTGTGCACATGTACCCTAAAACTTAAAGTATAATAATAATAAAATTAAAAAAATTATTTCTGAGGACAATTTTTAAAAATAGTTATCAGTGAGTTAGAGATAAGACAATATACCTTTCTTGTTCTAACTCTAGTCAGGTTCCTCTAAGCCCTCTAGACCTGGACCTTTGTGTCAGTCATTGTAATACCTACATTTCTTAATTTTGGTAAGGAATTTGCTAAGTTAGTTTAGGGAGAATCTCTCATCCTTGATATATGATCCCCTAAATATCTGATGAAGTTCCACAACCCCACATTTCCCCACGTGATATCTGATCACCCTGATTTAAGTTCGGCAAGAAACCTGATAGGTCTTTATAACCAGAATCTCCCCCAATGCCTGATATTTCTTCTTAGTAATTTTCCATCCACTGATCCACATCCTGATTCTTAGCTATAAACCCTCACTTGCCCATCCTATATTGGGAATTGAGCCCAGCTCTATACTGAGATCTCTTTCCCTCCACTGCAATAGGTCCTGAATAAAATCTTTTTTTTTTCATTTGTTTGTTTCTTTGTTTGTTTTTTAACTGTCCAACTGTGGTTTCCTTTAACAGTTAACAACCATAAATACAGAAATCCTTTCAGCAATAAAAAAGATAATTAAAATGCCAAGTGGGTAATATAAAAATAAGTGGTAATTTGGTGAATTAGAGCTAATTTGTTTAGATACAAAAAGCTAAATATGAAATTATAGCAGTTGAGAAAAGAATTGTTTTTCAGGACACAGAGAGTACAACATCAATATAAATGTGGAGATAGAAATGATATATTCAGGTGAACATTAAAGGACTGATCTAGCTGATACTGTCGTTTTCATAATACGCATAATCCTATTAGTTTTAATACAAGTTAAAATGTACTGAGAGTACTGTTCTAAGTGCTTTGCAGGTGCTTTGTCTTTTAATCCTTATAAGCACTTTATGAGGTAGGGACTATTGCTATCCCCATTTTAGATATAATTTTAGATATAGTTTTAAGAAATAAAACTCACACCAAAATGGAAAACAAAACATTAATGCTCATAAACCAAGTACCTTTTGAAAGTCAGGGTTGGGATGAGGCTTGGAGAGAAAAAGAAACCATGGTTTTAGGAGGCAACCATGTGCAGAGGTGACGCATGCCAATAGAGTTATAATTTCTGCCATCAAATCCCTTTCAAAACCTCTCATTATTAGCTTGTCTAGCTTGCTTAAGTCAGTTCTTTTTAAATAATCAGTGTTCATTTGTTGTTTTTCATGTCATTATTTAATCTTATTTCCCGTAACCACATTTCTCCATGGCCCCAGTGGTGGTAACAGCCTCTTTGTTACTACCAGCAGGATAGTAATATCCTTTGGTATTTCAAAGGATATTTCAATAGTTTTCCTGCACCCTAAAAATAGTTTTATAAATAGCCTCTCTGCACTCTGGTAGGGAGACCACATAAAGTTTAGGAAGAGGGACATCCCATTTCCTGAGCCTTTGGACACTCTTCTACAGTGTGCCAGGAAAGTTCCAAATTTTACCTCATCCAACCATAGGCCGTATTGAGTCTAGGCCTTAATTAACTAACATAGCACATGAATTACTCCTCTCCAAGGTGTTCTACCCAACTCACTAAATTTTAAACACTGTGGCAAGAAATGTGTCCCGCTGAGCCTTCAATTTTGCCCAACTTGCTCAATTATTCTTCTGTTCTCCACATATACACCACACAGTCCTGCAGAAATAGATTTGTGAGACTTTATCTTTCCTCAATGGTTGTCTCCTCATATAGGCCTTTATATCTTATGAGAGATGGTGCTGGGGTGAACCTCTTTAATGACTTACAGCAATAAGAATGTAAGTGGTAGTTCTGAGGTAACTAAGCTTCAACTTTTGAGGCAATTTTTCCAGAAGAAGTTACAGAAAGACTTCCATGCAGTGGAGGAACTGGCTTCTTCAAAAAGAGGAAGGATGTCTGTCTCCAGTAGCAAGTGAGGTTTACAGAAGCTTGGAAATTTGGAATTCTTGGCCTTATCTATACCTGCCAAAATGTCCTCATATTCTAAGGTCCTATTCATTCCTTAACAGTGTGCTTACTTTAACATAAGAGTTATAAAGCGTGAAACATTTGACAATCTAACTCTGTATCTCTTAATCTTAGATTCAGTCTGAAACTCCCAATTATTGCAGGAGACAAGGGACATTTTTAAATTTCCATGGAAGTGCTTAATTATATGTCCATCACTTTTAATTTCTTTTTTCTTCATATACACACTTCAACACCCTTCTAAGAAGCCAGGTGACTCTATAAATGTAGTGAATACTATTTCCAACATAACAGTGGCATAGTCACTTGTACTCGCAGTATATTGATCTGAACCTGTACCATATTCCATACAACCAGTTGGTTATTTGATTAGTCATAATTGTATTGCTTACCATGGATATCTTGTGTTCAGTTTCCCCCCAGCTTGATGGTTATCTCTGAGCTCCTTTAATAGGTGAACAGCCTAATCCAAGAATTCTATTGGGAGGGTTTATTTCCTAGAGACAATTTCAGTACCAATTACTGTATTAAATGAGTTAAATCACAAATCAGATGCATTCCATCAAATTAGGATAATTTGAGGTTTTAATTAAGTATGAGCAGAAAATAGAGAAACCACAGAAAATTATGCAGCATACTGAGATTAAGAACTATAGAATTACAAACACTTAAGACCCAAATGTTTAGGAGAAGAAGCACTATACAAAACTTGAAAAAAAAAAAGTAAATATAAAAGTGTTGTCCCGGGAGGCAGAGGTTACAGTGAGCCAAGATTGCACCAGCGCACTCCAGCCTAGGAGACAGAGGGAGGCTCCATCTCAAAAAAACAAAAATAAACAAAAAAAGAAAAAAAAAAAAGAAAAAGGAAAAGAAAAAAAAAAAGGTTATCCTGAGAGCAGGAGTGACCTTCGTTTAACAAGCACCTAAAGCTGGATATGACTCTAGTGGGAGTAGAAATAATAGGTACCCATAATTATTCTACTCCTTCCCTCTCTTTTCCCTCTGGGTCTTCCAACTGGCTAAACCAAAAGAAAAATAGAATTCCATTGTATATATATATACTACATTTAAAAAAATCCATTTGGCCACAAAAAAAGAATGAAATCATGCCATTTACAGCAACGTGGATGGAATTGGAGGTCATTATTTTAAATTAAATAGGCAAGGAACAGAAAGACAAGCATCATATGTTCTCACTCATATGTGGAAGCTAAAAAAAAAATTGTTCACATGGATGGAAAAATAGAGAACAGAGACTGGGAAGAGTAAGGAGAAGTGAGAGGATGAAGAGAAGTTTCTTAGTGAGTACAAACATACAGTTCAATAGAAGGAATAAATCAAATGTTCGATAGCAGAGTATGGTGACTATAGTTGACAAAATTGTACTGTACTTTAGTGATGGACACCTTAAGTACTCTGCCTTGATCACTATCCATTATATACATGTAGCAAGATTCCACATGTACCATACATTTGTACAAATAAACAATGGAAAACAGAAAAAAAAGGAAGATTGGGCACAGAACAAAGTGGAAAAGGGTGGAAAGCCAATCTGGAGGGGCAAGTGGGTGATATCTCACAAATAATACCTATGATGACCTTTCTCTCCTTAACATTTCTGCTCAGGTATCTAACAGGTTTTTCAAGCTTACCAGGCCCAAGCCTAAAATCTGCTCATCCTGGGTTCTCCTTAAATCAGAAAAAATATCCTCATTGATTCATGTGTTCAGACAAGCAAACTCAGTGTCATCTTTGACTCTTCAAACTCTATCATATATTGTATCAGTAAAATATACTGAATCTACCATCTGAATGCAAGAATACAGGCTGACTCTGACTACTTCGTACTTCCTCTGCCGAGACTACTCTAGTCAAAATGACCGCTGAAATAATCTTCTTGATATTCTTCCTGCTTTCAACTTTAAACACTTGTAGAATATTTTATAATTACCGTGATCCTATAAAAATAAGCCATTTCATCATTCCCATGTTTAAAACCTTAAGAAGACTTCCCATCATATTCAAAATAAAATCCAAAGTCCATATTGTGGCTGATAAGACTCTAAAATCTATAAAATTTAGGTATCTTTATATCCATATTTTCTATATCTTTTTGTATCAGGCATTCTACTTTAGTCACCCTGACCTGCTTCAATTTCCTTGACCACCACCAAGCAAATTCCTGCCACAGGCCACTTGCCAATCCTCCACTTGGAATTCTTTCATTCCACATATTCAGAGGCTTTCTAAGTTCATATGTATCTCTGCCGAAATCTCACCTTCTCAGATAGCTCATCCCGAATCACCGTATATAAAATTATATGTATGTATATGTGTATGTGTATGTCAATAGTTACTAAGATAGTATGATGTGGCCAAAGGATCTCAGTAGTGATTTTCAAATGTTTGTTTATTACAATTAAAATATAAAATATAGTTTTATAAAAATACTTTAATTGAAATGTAAATATGAAGCACACCCTTCTCTTACATTAAATTTTAAAACGATTAACGTAAATGAAGGTGTGTATAGACTATAAGGTATTGACAGATTGAAAAGAATTTTATGAAACATATTTTACTTATATCTTAGTGACTTTTTCTCTAATACTAACTCACCCCTAATTTTGAGGTGAAATTTTAGCCATTTTTGTTTCTTTGAAACTTTATTGGTAGCTAAAATTTACACTGGAGTGGAGGTGGAAGAACTTCTTCAATGGCATTAAATTATGTCCATTATTTTTCTTTGGCTAAATGTTTCTTATAACATCTTAAAGTTCTGTGAGAACATTAAAGAGAAAACCTTGCTTTATGCTTTCAACTTTCCTATTTTAGGGTTTACAGCTTGTTTGTTTTGACATGCAGAAAATAAACAAAAAGAAATAGGATAAAATGCAATAATAATTCTGCATTTCATTATTTACAGAAGTACATATTTTGACTTAACTTTCTAGATGTTTTAAAAATATGTATACTCTCGATTCCTATGAACTTTGATTCTGCATATAAATTCTATCACAAAATATGTAATACCCAGAGAATGTTTTCTGAGACTTAAATACTTTTAAAATTGACCGGGCACGGTGGCTCATGCCTGTAATCCCAGCACTTTGTGGGGCCAAGGCGGGCAGATCACCTGAGGTCAGGAGTTTGAGATCAGCCTGGCCAACATGTTGAAACCCTGTCTTAAAAATACAAAAATTAGCTGGGCTTGGTGGCAGGCAACTGTAGTCCCAGCTATTCAGGAGGCTGAGGCAGGAGAATCACTTGAACACATGAGGTGGAGGTTGCAGTGAGCTGAGATTGTGCCACTGCACCCCAGCCTGGGTGACAGAGTGATACTCCATCTCAAAAAAAAAAAATTAAAATTTAGGGATCCGTCAGTTCAAGGCTGCTTCAGAAATAAAATATGTTTTTAAAAACCTCTTTTTTAAGGGCTTGCATTGTTTTAAAAGGAACGGGGGATGGTAAATTATATATAATCGAGATTTTTTAAAAGAGAAATTTTAATTTGTTTCATCACAGTTGCAAACTTACTTTTCCTGTGTAGTGATCATTAGAGAAAATAATGGCATTTTTCTCAGGAGAAAATTAATTTCCAAATTTAGAAAGTAGGTGTAATTTAACATTTTACTAACATTGTTGCTATTTACATGAAGATGATATAGATGTTGAATTATATTTTACCTTGAAGACAGAAAATGGAAACTAATAGTTTTAGGTAAAAAGTTAGCTGAAGCTCTGCAGTTTCACACATGCCCATGTTTTCTTTCTCTTGCTCTAAGTTCAGAACAGCAAATAGCAAGTAGAACTGAGATTTTGTCGAGTGTCTCACTCTTGACTTGTGAATGTGAAATAGACTTTCAGCTCAGAGACTTTTCTACATCACATTGCGTGCTATGTGGTGCTCTTAACTCACAATTTCTTTTTTGTAAGAGTGAATAAAGGCAGTTGTACTCACAGTTCCCATTATCTCTAATTGCACAAGCCTTCATAGTATTTGCTTTGTTCCTTACTAGTATGAAATATCAGGTCTCCATACTATTTACAAAGACAATAATAGAAATGTAGACAGGTGAATACAGAAAGAGGTTGATTTAGCAAAAGTTTGCAGTGGCAGATAATTCAAATAGAAAAAAATATTCTTACCTCTGTTCCTTTAGTGATTTGCAAACAAGTTGGAAGATTTGAAAGACCTGTTACCTATGTAAAAAGCAATTTTTTTATGACTGTTTTATTCATTAGCTGCCTCACTTCTGGTTGTTTTCTTTTGTAGATGAAACAGAAAATGTTCTCTTAGAGTGATATGTTTATAGGTTTTTTTTCTTTTCAAACCTGAAAGGTATTTAAAAGAAAACTTGCAAATTGTAATTTTTAATGCTTAGAATGTATTTAATGTAGTATATAAGAATCTCTTATGTATAATGTTCTTAATATTCTTTATATTTAAAATTTTTAACTTATTACACTCTTTGCACTTGTCAAAAACTATTTTGCCCAAAATCTTAATAGATTATAATTTTTGAGTTAATAATTGATAGAGTCTGGATATTTGTCCCTGCTGACATCTCATGTTGAATTGTAATCCCCAATACTGGAGGTGGGGCCTGGTTGTGAAGCAGGATTTTTCCCTGACCCCTATGTGGAACTCCAACAGGGTGCCTTTGTTGCTCAGCCCACCGCTCTCAACTTCTTGTGGGAGGCAGCATGTGAGCCAGGCAAAACTGGAGTGCCGGAGTGCTAGAATCAGCTGGTTGCTTCGGTGCCAGCGGGATCAAACTCCACTCACTCAGATCTGCTGCATTCCACCCCTCACAGGAGTGACCACACAGGTGAGTGAATGCAGGAGCCAGAGCAAGTGCTTTTGGGTGCTGGCAGGAGTGAACTCCATGCAGGCCCTGTGGCAGTGTCCAGGCGGGGTGCCTGAGACTCACAAGGCCCCAGGGTGCATGTGACAGTGCTCTCTTATCTCTGCCACCCATGGATGGCTTAAGTGTTTACAGCTCAGTGGGCCCACCACCCTTTCACATGAGGCAGCTGTCCTTCACCATCAAGGGCAAAGAGCCAGTATGACAGCCTTTTGTATTCACACTCATGGCTCCTGAGCTCTTGTCCGGTGTCCAGGAAAAATGAGGTCACAAGAATGAATTAAAGAATGATAAATGCAGGATATTTTATTGCCTCTGAAAGTGGCTCTCAGTGGGTAGAAGAGCTAAAACAGGGATGAGGTAGGTAAATAATCTTGCCTGGAGTCTGGCCATCTCAGGCCAGATTCGTCTCTGAAGTTACGCCATCAAGCTGTTCCTCTGAAGTCAAGCTGCTCCTCTGAAGTCAAGCAGCTTCTCTGTGACATCCAGCCGTAGTCTCTGACATCCAGCTGCTTGTCTCCTCTCTGTCAGCTGACTCTGGGTCTTTATAGGCACAGAATGGGGATGGGATGGGCCATGAGTAGTTTAGAAAAAGGCAACATTCTAGCTGGAAAACAGGGATAGAATTTCTCACTTTGGGCCACGGTTTCGGGCCTTTCTGCTTGACAGTGGGGTTGTGTCAGGGACTCACCCTTTTCTGCCTAAAATTTCTCTGCCCTCTGTCCCTATCATTTCCCCACTCTGAAGAGGCGCATCTAACTGCCATTGGAATATGGATAATGACTGATCTTAGCTACTTTCTGCTGACAGGGGGCATTGTTTTGGAGAGAATGACATTCAGATTTCTTCCAGAGGTCTACCTAAGGGTCCCTGGCAAAAGAGAGCCATCATCTGAGGCTCCAGTTGTCTGACTGTTTGGAGTTTGATGGCCTCTAGGCAAGAAGAAACAAGCTTTACAAGGTTAAGTATGCATGGATTAAATATGTGTATTGCACAACAAGGGGTTAAAAAGAGAGAATCTAGTACCAAAGATTACAGAAAGAAGAAATGAAATAGGATAAACATTCTGAAAATGACATAGAACAGAACAAAGGTAAGAACAGCAAGCATAGAGAAGACTATAAAGAGGAAACTCATGGGAGGTTAATTATTAATACTTACCTTTTATGTTTTTTAGCTTGAGGTCCCTGATCTCTTCACATTGGTACTTTGGGAGTTCTTCTGGGTTGACGGAGGTAACTGTCAGCTTCCCAGGCCTTTATTCAGTTACAATAAATCCAAGAATCTATTACAGTGACTTTCACTGCCATAAGAGTAGAAGGAAGTAGAGTATAAGGTCCCTCCCAATCTGGACTTATAGAGGGAGAAAGGGAAGAAAGTACCTTTACCATTACTAGGTCTCCTGAGTTGAATAGAGGTGGCCCTAGTTCAAGGGATTGGGCCTTTGGCAGTTGTTTCAGTTCCTGTTGGAAATGAGCCAAATAAGGTATATGTTTAATCAAATCAGAACTTTCTTGATCTACCAATAAATCATTTTTGAGAAGAGGCCTTCCATACATTATTTCAAAAGGACTCAAACCTATCTTTAAGGGTTGTTTCTAATATGTAGTTGGGCTATGGGGAGAAGGGTTGTCCAGGGGAGATGAGTCTCCTAAGACAGTTTTCTGATGTGCTTTTTGATAATATCATCTGTCTTTTGTACCTTTCCTGAGGATTGTGGCTGGATTTAAGGAAAGGCAGGTTCTTGATTGGACTGAAGATCCTTCTAATAGCAGAGCTTGATACCTGAGGAGGTAGTTGTCCATTAGCCAGAGACCCCCCTAAGAAGACAGCAGTTCTGCCACATTATGTGTGGTTCAGGTGGGTTCCTGATGATGCCTGGGCAATCCTTCCTAAAATGCTCTGGCTTACCGCATCTGTAGCAGTTAATAGGTGCACCTTGGGAATTCTGGAGTTTGTGGGCTTGCATGATGGCCATTAAAGCCTCTGTCTCTTTCCTGTATTGCCTTTTTCTCTCCTGGGCCTCCCTATTTCTATTATAAAAGACCAAGGTGGCCAATTTCAGGAGGTACTCTAAAATACTGTCTGGTCCCAAGGCCTATTTCTGCAGCTTCCTCCTGATATCAGGGACTATCTGCATAAAAATTTATCCTTTAGGATAAGTTGTCCCTCTACTGAATCAGGAGATAGAATGGTGTGTTTTACCAAGGCCGCTCGTAGCCTCTCCAGGAAGGCAGTGGGGTTCTCATCGAATCCCTGGTCTATTATGGATAGCTTGGTATAATTGAGAGGGTTAGTTCCAGTCCTACATATTCCCTCCATTATGCACACTGAAAGGGTCTCCTCTTCCATTGTCCCATCTCATCATTAGGATCCCATTTAAGGTCATCCAGTAGTACTGTTTCTCTTCCAGCTGGATAAAATTCAGGCCCTTTCTTAACACTATATGTAATACAAAGCTCACCCCCAAATCTCTCTGCCACTTGCAGGAAGGCCTGCTTCTCATTGTTAGTCAGGATTTGACTCAAAAGTAATACAACATCTTTCCAGGAGATTTCAATACTTGCATTAAATTCTGGAAAGCCTCTATGTATCTGTCAGGATCATGGGAAAACTTCTCAAGATCCACCTTAATTTGCCTTAAGTCCTGTAGAGAGAAGGGGACCTGGACCTTACTGGAGCCAAGCTCACCAGGCACCTGTTGGAGGGGTAAGAGTAAGACTGGGGCTTGTCTTGGGTAAGGATTCCTCAGATTGGGCAAGTGAGAGAGAAACTGGATAGGGAAGACAGGGTGGTCCTGGAGGGGCAGGGCCAGAGGGAGTTGGCTCCTCTGCTGGAGGTGGAGGTGCCACTCAGTTTCATTTCTTTAGTTTCTTGGAATTGCCCCTTGTAGCCTCTCCTGAGATGGCAAACAGGAGGGCTGGATCAATCCTACACTGTCAGCAAAGGTCTAGACTACCCTTCAAGATAAAGAAATCCTGCAAATATGGGGCCTCAGACCATTTGCCCTCAGGTTTACAGAAAACATCAACTGCAGGATGGTATCAAACTGAATGGTTCCTTCCTGAGGCCAAGACACTCCTTCCTGCAGATCATTATTTGGCCAAATCTTTGTGCAAAGGGCTAAAGGCATTTTTTCTTTACAGCCTGAGGACCAAAGCAGTCCCAGTGATTCAGGATACACTCCAGAGGAGTATAGACTGAAGATGATGAAGATATTTGGTTGCCTATTCTCAAAGAAAGGGAAATAGACATCCCTCATGTCCCTTCCCTCTTTCAGCAAAAACTTGGGGTGTGAGGAGAAAGAAAATGGGCATTCCCATTTATCTCTTTTGTCTTTTTTCCCCTGAGTCCTGGTACTCTTAGATGGATGCCACCCATGTGTGCCATTGTGGCCTGCACCTATGAAGCAGGGAGGGCCTAGAGAATAGGAATTATGCACACTCACCTACGCCTCCATGTTCCCTACTGTTGACAATGTTTGGGTTCCCTGGACCTTA
The DNA here is from genome assembly GCF_000001405.40 of Homo sapiens. Classification (NCBI taxonomy): domain Eukaryota; kingdom Metazoa; phylum Chordata; class Mammalia; order Primates; family Hominidae; genus Homo; species Homo sapiens. The sequence goes on along the minus strand of NC_000001.11, from coordinate 105,911,087 downwards.
TCTATGCCATGGAGCATGGCCTCCTTCCATGAAATGGGACCTTCATTGCCAGGAATTAGTCCTGCCCATTTACATCATGCCTGGTGCCTGGCTTTGGATCCCTCAGATCTGGTTTTCCTCTTTAGGGCTTCAACCCAAAGTTTAGAATTGAGTTTGGGCCAAAAAGGTTTCTCAGGGAGTGCATAGATTCATTTAGATTAAGTCCCAGAGGGGCCTTGCCAAATTTGCAGCTATTAGCCAGTGGAGTCATTCCTCCACTGCTTCCCTATTATAAGCAGAATGCTGAAGTAGGGAAGAAAAGCCCGTTTGCATAAAAAACGTAGAATAAAAAATAAATAAATAAAAAAACAGCTTAAGTGGGGGGAAAAAGCCTCTTGCTCTATGAAAATGGGTTCCTTTAATTACTCTATCGTTCCTCTGGCTCTAACCAAGCTGGATCCCTTGGTCGGGGGAGAAAAGACTATATGGGCCCATAGCAGGAGGGGACAGTGAGCAAGAAACACTGGCCAACTGCATGGAGCCCCTGGCCGCCAGTATTTCCGTGGGGCCCTGGTGGCAGCTGCAGTTCTCTCCTGCCCCATGTAGCTGTTGGGTATGGCAATTGCATGCTGCAGACCCTTCCAAGCACCCCAGCTGGAATGGGAGGAGGTGAGGAGGAAAGCTGCTGTGCACCACACATGCTTGCAGCTATCGGGGTTGGAGTGGTGGTCCTACCTCTAAGGTCAAATGAAAATCTTATTGTTCTGAATTGCATATCTGGTGGCTGGGCCAAACACTCATTCTAATTAGTAACATTTCTTCAGTTTGTAGCAAACCCCTTATCATTATAAGACAAGAAACAGAAGCCATTTCAAACTGTGAAAGAAGAAAGAGAAAGATATCATAGAAAAGTCTGGGGGTCATGGCTGACACTCTAATGGGCAGTCAGGGACTGGGGTAGTCTAGGGGCCTTCTATCAACACCAAGGACTGGCCACATCCAAATGCTTTTAGTTGCCCCAGGACTTTATTCTGGTCCCACACAATGGCTAGACCTCTGTGTAGGTAAACAGAGCCAAAATTCTTTCTACCCAAAGAAAGAGATAGGTGGCAGTGTTGCAACCTGTCCTCTGCAAATGGCACAGCTCAGGGGAAAGTCTGAGGGAAAAGAAGTCTGGAAAAAAAGTGAAGAGACTGATCCAGCGGATCCACATTTACTCACCCTTCTTACAAATTCCAGACGAGCTCCCTTATGAAGCAGGATATTTCCCTGACCCCTTCATGGGACTTGGAACAATGGTGCCTCAGTTACTCAGCCTGCCGCACTGTCAACGCCTCATGGGAGTGAGTACATGAGTGAATGAGCTGGAAACTGGAGTGCGTGAGCTCTGGAATCACCCAGACACTTCAGTGCTGGTGGGATCAAACTCCACTCACTCAGACCTGCTGCATTACACCCCTCACAGGAGGGAGCACACAGGGGAGTGGGTGCAGTAGCTGGAGCTAGTGCTTTTTGGCACTGGCAAGAGTGAACTCCATGCAGGCCATATGGTAGCATCCAGGCAGGGTGCCGGAGACTTCTGAAGCCCCAGGGCACATGTTACAGTGCTCTTTTAGCTCCGCTGTCTGCAGAGGGCTTAAGTGTTAACAGCTCAGTGGGCCCTTCGCCCTTTCACATGAGGCAGCTGCCCTTGGCCAGTGAGAGCAAAGGGCCAGTGTGACAGCAATTTGTATCCACACTTGTGGTTCTCAAGCATCCAGGAACAATGAGGTCACACGAACAAATTGAAGGATGGTAAATGCAGAGGATGTTGTTGCCGATGAAAGTGGCTCTCAGCAGGAAGAGGATCTAAAAAGGGGATTGGGTGGGTAGGTAATTTTCCTTTGGAGTTCAGCCATCTCCAGCCAGACTCTTCGCCAAAGTTACACTGTCAAACTGTCCCTCTAAAGTCAAACTGCTTCTCTTCAACATCCAGCCGTAGTCTCTGACATCCTGCGGATTCTCTCCTTTCTTCTGGCTGAGGGTAGGGTCTTTATAGGCACAGGATGGGGGACGGGGTGGGCCATGGGTAGTTTAGGAAAAGGCAACATTCATGCAGAAAAACAAGGACAGAATTTTTCACTCTGGGCCATGGTATCAGGTATTTTGTCTTGAGGGTAGGGTTTTGTCAGGGACACATTCTTTTCTGCCCAGAATTTCTTTGCCCCCGACCTTATCACTTCGAGGTGATTGGATCATGGGGGTGAATCTCTCAGGAATGGCTTGGGCCATCCCCTTGGTGATAAGTGAGCTCTTACTCCTAGCTCACACAAGATTTGGTGGTTTAAAAATGTGTGGCACCTCCCCACCCATTCTCTCTCTTTTTCTCTCTCTTTTGCTTGCTCATGCTTCCTCTATATGAAGTGCCTGCTCCTGCTTTGTCTTCCAACTTGATTGTAAGCTTCCTGAGGCCTCCCTACAACCTGATGCCAGAACCATGAGCCAATTAAATCTCTCTTTTAAAATAAATTACTCACTGTCAGGTATTTCTTTATAGCAAGGCAAGAAAGGCCTAATAAAATAATGTTAATAATCTGAGTCACCCAAGTTTTTTTTTTGGTAAATTGTTTACAAAGACCATATAGTTTTGCAAAGTAATAATTCAGTGTTTTTTACACTATAATCCCATAGTGTCTGTTTAAACATCAGACCATCCCTTAAACTAGTCTTCTGAAAGTCTTTTTTTGTAGCCATTTCAGTAGTTGTTCATATTTAATACTTGTATATGAAATAATAGAATAATACTTAAATAATACTCTGGGCCATGAATACATTTCTCAGAAAGTCTTTTTGTTGAAATTTAACATAATCAAATTACACGGATTAAATTATTTATTGTAAAAATTCTGCCTACCACTAGGAAAAACTTAACTCTGCATTTTTCAAAGTGTAGTTATTTCCCAAATAAATAAAATATGGCAAAAAAACTATGTATATTTTGTGGGCCAACATATATGCTATGTCTTCTACAGCTGTTGTCTTCTGAGTTACTTTAGGATGTGCCATCCTGTTTTATACATAAGTATCTAAAATATGTAAATTTTTTCTCTGAATGTGTGATTAGTTTATTTCTAGTCAAAGGAGATTTCCCCCAAGATCAAATTCAATCATCTTTCTATATTTTGGAATTCTACTTGAAATATGCTTATTTTTATTTATGAAAAATGTTCCAGAATATCTGCAAGTGCAATTTTGTAACACTTATTGTAAGCATATTTTCCAATTTAAAATCGAGTTTACAGCTAGAAATAGCAGAACAAATGAAAGAAATATCATTATGAATTTTTAATGCTGTGAATTCAATAGCATGGCTAAGAAAACGAATGACAATCCTTTGGCAATATTTTTATTTTAAGATCATAGTAGGAGTGGACCGAACATGTTTAATAAATGAAACTGATAGAAATCTAGAATATATCATTTTAAAGGCTTTTCACTCAGCACACAATAGTTCATATTTAAAAAACATTTAAAACTGAATTTGGATAAACTGCAAATATTGAGATGGTCCCATGGTCTTTCATTTTTAGATGTTTTCAATGCTGTGCCACTTATTGATTTATTATCTCTAATGTAGAAATTTCCCCTTTTTATCTGCTCTGTGAGAATAAATCAACCCTTCTAAATATTTTTCTGTTAACATTTTACACTGAAGCTTTGTCAATAAGGAAAGGTGAAGAAACACTGCAGAATATAAAGCTTTGTTTTCTGCTGTTTTTGCGTTCATTTGGTATGTTCCTGCACTGTACCTGGCTTTTCCTGGCACTAGGCTCCTGTAGTGCCCACAGCTTCACCACTGCCTGCCTTCTGCTATGCATGGAGGCCACCGGCATTTAGCAACCAGCTTCTCTCTTCTGGTACCACTTTTGGCTGGTTTTGTAGAAAACTGCCCCTGGTGAGACACACCCCCATGAATTACTTTCACCACACCTTGGAAAACATTTTTCTGGCAAGTCCACCATAGCCATTTCTCTGCCCTTCAGTGAATCACAGCTGTGTACTCTCCAAGGATATTTTGTAAGGCCCATATGTGTCTTTGGGGAAGGGGGTGCTATTTCTTGGATATTCTATCTCAGCCATGGAGTAATAATTCTTATTTTGATCTTTTTTTTCTATAGTCACTAGTGAATTTATTAGAGATTCTGGGGTATGTTATCTTATGCAGGTAGATATATCTCCATTCACAAATTGTTTGGTTGACTGAGACTTGGACTCAGCTGTAGACTATAGTTAATGAGACTGAATTGCCATATCATCTGTGGCATAATTCAGAGTAGGAGATATAAAGGCTTAAGTAGGTAGGGCAATTGACCTGAATTTATTACTCAATTTTCATTTGTAGTTTTGATATTTTTATTGGGACAAATCACCATAACCACTGTTTAATTTTCTTGTGCTTTAAAATTACCAAAAACTTAGTGACTGAAAACCTCATGTATCATCTTACAGTTCTGGCCATCATAAATCCAAAATAAGCCTTAGTAAGCTAAAATCAAGGTGTTTGAAATGCTCAGGTCTTTTCTGTAAATTTTAGTGGAGAATTTGTTTCATCAGTTTTTCAGCTTTTAGTGGTCACCTATACTTCTTGGTTTGTGGTCTCTTTCCATCTTCAAAGCCAGTAGTGTTGAAGCTTCTCTCCTAACTGAACTCTACATCTGACAAGCACATCTTTTCTTTATGATTCTGACCCTTCTTCCTCCCTCATACAAATACCTTTGTGTTTATATTGGGAGTCTCTGGATAATTCAGGATAATCTTCCATTGTGAAGGTCCTTAATTTAATGAATGTACAATGTCTCTTTTGCCATGTAAGGTAACATATTCATAGGTTCTGACATTAAGACATGGTCATCTTAGGGAGACTGTATATAGTTTATCACAATCTCTGTCACTCGATATGAAGCTATAGATCTGACTAATTCCTTATTCTCCATACTAATCTGCAAGTGGTTTGCTTTTACCTGGCAGGTCCAACAGTGTAGTTCTAGAATGTTGTTTCAGGGCTTTGCCAATTCTTTTCCATGTCATAATATAGTCAATAGGGAGACTGATCATCTTGACAATTCAAAAAACATCTAAGTAGTCTACTAAGCTAATGACATTCTACTGATTAAACCTGATAAGGAGGAAGCCACAAGCACATTTTATGAAAAAGTAGGTGGAAAATGTACCCAACACAATTTCATAAACCTGCCTTCCCAGTGTAGGTTTTGTTATTTCAATGCTCTGGAGCATGTCAAGATAGCTTCTCCAAAGAGAAAGACAAGTTATCATACCTCTCATTATGTACTATGAGCAAAGTGCACAATACTTAGTAGTCTATTTTGGATTTTTCAAGTATTGTATATTACCTTTTAGTGTGCTGCTTTGGTTCATCTACAGAATTGTACACAAGATAGCCATTTATAAGTGGGTACGATAGCAAAAGAAGACGACTCCACAGCAAATTCACATTCAGTCTGTAGTATAAGGCATTCTAATAATTGGGCCTTGTAATTCAACAGATTTATTAATATTTATAATGTATGAAGCATATAGGAATGCTATATGAGTCTCTGGTGAGCAGAAATAGAAAAATTGCAGAGAAAATCTCCAGGATTTTTAATAAAATCTGTGCCACGTTTAGCAGATGATACTATTCTCCTTCTGAGAAACAGACTCTGACTTGCTACTGGGTCTTGGTAGAGAATGAAAGCCCAACCATGGAACCTTAGATGATCAACATACCTTAGCTTTGAGTCATTTCTCACATTAGGCATGATCAGGAATTCATTTCAGAGAAAGTAAAGTGCAAAAATAAACTTATACTCATGTAATGCATTTGTTTTACCACACATTTCATCACCTGAAGAAGCTGGCCTAATTGAAAGATACACTGGCATATTGAAGACTCATTTTGACACCAGTTGAGAGAGATGCCTAAAAGGATAAAATGTACTTCAGGATACAATATGTTTTAAATCAAAATTCTTTATATAGTATGCTTTTCCACATAGCCAGAATCCTTGAGTCTGAAAAAAATAAATGTGGAAATGGGAGTGGCTCTATGATAGGAATCATAATATACCTAAAAATCTACCCAATTGCCGAATAATTGTTTCCTGCATAGTATGTTTGAGCTCAGTTTCTTTGGAGACAGTAATTCTCAAAGTGGTATGAATCTAGAAAGAAAACTCAATTAATGGTTTCGCTAAATTGAAAGAGGAGACTACCTCCTGGACTTTTGGGACTACCTATGCCATTAAACTAATGGAAAAAAAGGAGGATTAATCTACAGGATGGAGTGATTCACCTTAACTTTTAAGTGAAAAAGTATTGCTTCTACATAATGAAGTCAAAGTAGACTATATGTACAACCCAGCAGATTCTCTGGGGCACTTTCCAAGTATATCCATGCCCAATTGTAAATGTTGATAGAAAATCTCAGAAATCAGAAAAAAAAAACACAAACAAACAAACAAACAAAAAAACACATACTGAGGATTTCAGACTTTCTGAGAATGAAGATTTAGGTCAATACAGAAAAGAATCTTGACCAGAGGAGGTGAACTCAAGGGCAGGGAAATACTGAAATGGTAGTTTGAATGAAGCTATAGATATAAATTAAGGCCTTGAGAACAATTACAGAAATCAAGACTGGTAACTTTGGATGTTTTCTATGTTTCTCATTACGTATATGTATTTATTTGTATATATGAATCATTATTTTCTTTATTCTTTACATTTTCATTTTTTAGACTGCAGCAGAGTGTCTGCATTAGAAACCTCCACATGAAGGGCTTTTCAACAACATATGGCAAATTCTAGAGGAATGATTTTCAGGAAATTTCAGCAGTGCATCTCCACAGTGACTGCTCTGTCATTCAGTAAGCAATAGTCTTGCCATCTCCAAGATATATCTTCAGTCTTATATCTTTGAACTGCAGGCAAAGGCTCTCCTATAGCTCAATCCTATGGGAAATGCCTACGATGTCTGTTACTTCAGTAATTTTTGGAGATATGCTTACTTCTTACTAACCAACTTATAATAATTTCAACTCCTGTTGTAGTTAACAGTTTTTTTTACAGTAAACTGCTCAAATACTGCATGGTTACTATCTCTGGATTGGTCATATATTTATACATATAATAAATTACATTGATTCTTTAATATTAAACTGATCTTAATATCTGGTGTTAACCTCACTTTGTTATAATGCATTTTGCATTTCTTTATTATGGTATTCAATTTTCTAAATTTATGTTACATATTTTTGCATCTATATATATTTTGGATATTGATTGGGGTTTTTAACCAATCAATGTTTGTTAACACACATGTTATGTCTACCAAATCGGCTTACAAATAAAAGAGCACTCATAAATTAAGTAAAAATGTCCAAGCATTTTTCATGTTCACATGACTTAAGTAAACCTTTAATAAGCAACCTGGCTTTAAGATTATTGATAAAATAAAAATGAAATACCCTCAGAATTGTCAGCATACATTTTTGTCTGGGTTTTCTATTTGTCTTTGCTAGATATTTTGAGATATAAGGGCTTGTCACAGAAAGTTACGGAATCATAAATCTAGCCACAACAAAACAATTTTTGTGTCAATTTTTTGATAAGTAAGACTGATTTAATATTGTTGGTTTAATGAAAACAGCTGAATATTCTGGTGAAAGAATTTCATTGGTGAAAATGTCCAGGTAGTAAACCTTAATTTTCACAGAATATAAACTGGATAACAAGAAAATACATAAATATTCTAGATAAACTCTTAAAATATGAATGTATAAGTGCTGTAGGTGAAGTTTTTGTGCAATTTAAAATATTTTTATCAAATGGTTACATCATTTCTAATTCAGAAAAGGTTAGAAACATGTTCTAAAAAATGTGGAATTCTTCACATTCATAAAATGCTAATACCTGATAGGCAGCTTAGGATTTCTTGCTTTCTTGGTTTTCACTAAATCTTACTTCCTTGGTTTTCACTAAAATTTAAGGTTACCAAGGATAAGAATTATAGTTAATATATAGTTATATATATAAAATATACCTAAAGATGTGTTATTAGTGGGACAAAGAATTATGTTATCTAATTCAGAAGTTATATTAAAGTTAATTTAAATTATAGACTTTAAAAGGTTATTTATGAAACATAGTAGTAAGGAACTAGTAAGTAGGGGAGAGAGATGTGAGGAAAGTAATGTATATGAAAATGCATTTTTGGAGAGAAAATTTATAAAAAAAGATAATTTTATATGATAAAAGACATTGTATGGTTAATTTTTTGACCTAGGATAAAATGACTAGTTATTTAAGAAGAAGGAAAAAATCTGGGACTGAATGGAAAGCCCAGACATGTTGTGGATAGTCTGTGTAAGTCATATGTGGTTTTTCCTGTTTCTCTGTGTACCTATCTTTATGCACATATGGAGAAAATAGAAAGTTGAAAAAGTTTAGATAACAAAATATTATTTAAAATCTGACAGACAATTGGAGAAATTTGTCTAATTAAACTTTTCGTAGTTAAAACTCTTAGTCTTGATTAAGTTAAAATATGAAATATTGTAAGGAAATGTACTGGCAGTTTAGCAATTATTCTTTAATATAACTAAGCATGAAGCCAGATTTAGTGTGGAGCCAAATCTCACATACATGCTTGCATTACTACATATTATGTTTGCTGTTTTTCATGGATAGTTCTAGCACTGGAGTAATTACTGGTCATGTGCCTAAAGTGAACTTCTTGATTGCATAGGATGTGTGGTAATATTGGTGGACTTAAGGACACTGAATTGTGTATCAGGAATAAAATATTAATCATGTGACTTTTAGGCTCTAAAAGTGGCCCCCAAGGTAGACTGAGTTGGAAACATTTAGGGTTAGTTTCCTGTTTTTTTTTTTTGCTTCTGATTTTCATTTGGTTGCTGTTTTTTTCTTCTTTGGGTTTATGGCTTGTGTATGCAAAAATATAAAACCATTGATGATTTTTATTTTCTAGTGGAATAATTTTATTTGGTTCTGTGAATAGTTATTTTGTTTCCTGTGGATTTCTAGCAAGTCATCATTTGCTTTATTTATTTATTTATTTATTTATTTATTTATTTAATTTTTGAAACAGAATCTCACTCTGTCACCAAGGCTGGAATACAATAGCCCGATCTTGGGTGACTGCAACCTCTGTCTCCTGGGTTGAAGTGATTCGTCTGCCAGAGCTTCCTGAGTAGCTGGGGTTACAGGTGCCTGCCACAACATCCAGCTAATTTTGTATTCGTAGTACAGATGGGTTTTCACCATGTTGGCCAGGATGGTCTCAAACTCCTGACCTCAGGTGATCCACCTGCCTCAGCCTACCAAAGTACTGGGATTACAGGCATGAGCCACCAAGCCCAGTCCATTTATTCTATTCATCTAAAATTCCTAGGCTACGTTTGTTGGGCCTGCAGGAATTGATGGAGCACACCAGCCATTTGGAATTTGGCTGGTTTTGTTTGCTTCTGATTATCTAGAGATCTATGAGAGCTTTAAGCTTACTGGCCAACAACAACAATAGCAACAACTACAAATACATAAAAGACTTTTAAAATAAGTTCTGAACAGAAATAGTACATTATTTATTATTTGAAAAAGTAGATGAGAACAAAAATGTTTAAATGATGTTTATTTCCTGGACAATTCAATTCAATTAATAGCTTGAGTAAATTTCAGATATTTTCCTGTAGATAATGAAGAAAATCTGTGATATGGGTGCAAAGTTTTAATGTTCAGGAGACTGGCCTTGTCGTTTAGAAAATTATATTGATTGAAGTTTCTCTCAAACTTATTTAGTTGTGTTGACCATTATTAAAATTAAGTAACATTCACTTGAATTAAGTAGTAATAAAAATGTGAGACTTTCTAATGAATTTTGATCCCGACCATTTTATTACTTATGAGCCTTCATGTGTGTACTCAAAAACAAAAAATGTGCAAGTATTGCACTGGTTTGAAGATTTTGGTGGAAAAAGTTAGCAAATCCATTGTCAGTACTGTATCTAGAAACCAATCTTGGAAATATGCAATAATGCTCTTTTTAAATAGCTGAAAAGAAATTACTCTTCCTTTCTTACTTTTTTATTGTTTTGTTGTACAGTATTTAAGTGAAAGGAGATAATTTATTCTTATTTCACTTATCAGGTTTTAATGATGGAGAGAAAAGTAAGTTGTCTTACTTTGATATGCTTGGCATGGGATCTATGACATTTTTTATGCTTTTGGTCACAGTCCTGTTACTATAATGCTAGTAATTAGATGTATGCAGTGAATAACCTAACTACTTTTATACAGTAGCTCGAAGTTCTGCAGGTGCGAACTCCTAAACACCAAATAACAGTGTTTTGATTTGTAACATGTCAGAGGAAATGATAGGACTTTCAGTAGTTAAAATACCTTATTAACTAATTTTGTGCTGTTAAATTACAGGGCTTTGACTTCTGGGTCTGAAAAAGTCACTGACTCCTGCTAAATTTTGAGCATTGACATCAGTTGAAGCATCATCATTGGATCTGAGAGAAAGAAACAATCAAAATGAACTGCTTTTGTGAGACACAGGGCCATAAATTAAAACTATTCAATTCCTCTAGGACCAGGGACTGATGGGGAAGAGGTGGGTGAGTGATAATGTAAGGGTTGATTTTGAGAGTTAAGATTAGTTCAGAGTTTTTCTATAAATTAAACATTAAAATCAAAAACACACTGATGCAAGGCCAACCTCTGGGCCCAGGTGTTGGGATAACAAGGCTTTCTTGAAGCATTAATCCACTTTTTAATAAAAAACTGGAAAAATTTCTAAAAATTTATGGAAATCTTACTTTGTGGTCAAACTGATTAAAATTAGATTTGTTTATAAGGTTATATTGAAATTGCTTTAATACTAGCAATACATCATACAAAGGTAAGCTTTAGTTTCCTCTTTTTAACAAAGTATAATATTAACAGGTAAAATTATTTGTTTACCTTTGAGTAAACTGCAGGGAGAAAATGGAGGGGGAAGAGAGATTTAGTTGGCCTCATGCTGCTTAAGTATTAGGTCTTATTGTTTGGGAAACTGTGTTTGCTCTCTATTAAAGAGTAAACATTTTTGTTTTATCATTTTGGCTAATGAATGACTATTTTATAATGACTGTGATCCTACTTTGTGTCATCAAGTATCTTAAAACTTGACACTTTCCAACAGCAAACTTTTAAGATCTAATTTCAGTCTTTTTGTCCTTTAAATAACTTTTTTGAATATTAGTTTCTCTGAAGCCAGAGACAGACATATTAGTCTTATTAGACTCGTTTGTTATGTTAGTATTAGGCAGGATGCATTGTCAAACCTGAGGTGGTGCTTAGCTTCCTTATAGATGTGTTGTTAATGTGTGTTCCAGGATTGTATGAGATTACTAAAATTTTGATATGTTTTGATATTTATGTCGTCAGTAATAATTATGATTATATTAAATTGTTGTATGCAGCAGAAAAAACACATTTTCTTGTCAACTGTGTCTTTAACTATGGCTGTCCTAAGACTTTTGTCATCCACAATTGATGGTTTGCTTTGATCTTTCTCAAAAAAAATTGGCTTATAAACAGCTACAGTCCAAGGCCTGCTTCCTTGGAAGAGTTCATGAAAATTACTCTTGAATGCAGGTTTCTGATAACTTGGAGACTTTTCCATTTGATTAGAGAGAAAACTTTCAGGACACTAATTGAAAGTCTGATGTATTTGTGAAGATTGCTAACTCAATATGAAGCAGAACAAGAGTTGATTGCATGGGCTAAGCTAATGGAGGACAGAAATAATTTTTTATGGCTTTTTTTATTTGAAATATTGCTTTTTGTTTTGTTTTTCAAAATCTGGAGAATCTTTTTCTTTTAGGCTATTTATAGCCTTGGAACATACTTTAAGTGTATTGTGTATAGTTTCGTAAACATAATTTGAGTCATGTTTCTCTTTCTTTGCCCAATTTCTCCAGAATTTGTAAACTATTTGTGAAACGTCTTAATTCATGGTATTGTGTTTGTTTGCATACAGTTAATAACCACAAGTTTTCTTTTGTAATGAGACACATTTGAAGGAACTGGTTATTTTCTCAGGGCTCTGACCAAAATGACCTTTGAGATGTTTCAGTAAAGCCAATTAGGGAGAGTATATATGGACAATGATTCTTGTCACATTTTTTGTGGGTAATCAAGCCAAGTATATGGGACTAAAGCTAATTTTTCAAGTAGATTGGTCCTTCTTTGATTTGTCTTTGGTGGAAGTGGTGGACTGAAGAGAAATATTGTATGTCAGAAGAAAACTCTATATTAGATTAACCTTTGATTCCTGGGTGGCTACATGGTCAACCATGGTATGGAGCTTCTGACAACACCCCTCCTCAACATGAAGTACCCAGAAGGATTGACAACTGGATTCCTCATGATTGAGGAATTGATAAATAGAAAGGGGGTACTGAAACCAGCCCAAGAGTCCCATAAACAGTTGTTTTTGCATAAACATATAAATTGATCTCTGGTGTTTCTGTAACAACCCAAAAGAGTGGAAAAAGAAAATGTGGTATTTATACACCATGGAATGCTATACAGCCATAAAAAAGAATGAGTTCATATCTTTTGCAGGGACATGAATGGAGCTGGAAGTCATTATCCTCAGCAAACTAATGCAGGAACAGAAAAGCAAGCACTGCATGTTCTCATTTATAACTGTGAGCTGAACGATTAAAACATACGGATACATGGTGGGGAGCAACGTACACTGGGGCCTGTTAGAGGAAGCTGGAGGAGGGAGGGAAACCATCAGGAAGAATAGCTAATGGATGCTGGGCTTAATACATAGGAAATGAGTTTATCTTTGCAGAAAACCACCATGGCACATGTTTACCTATGTTATAAACCTGCACATCCTGCACATGTACCCTGGAAGTTAAAACAAAACTTAGACAAAAAAGATAAAGGAACATTTAATATTACTTTCAAGTTAATATATAATTTTTTTCTTTATTTTATTTTATTTTATTTTATTTTGAGACTGAGATCTCCCTCTGTCACCCTGGCTGAAGTGCAGTGGTATGATCTCGGCTCACTGCAGCCTCTGCCTCCTGGGTTCAAGTGATTCTTCTGCCTCAGCCTCCCAAGTAGCTGGGACTATAGGCACCCACCACCATGCCTGGGTAATTTTGTTGTATTTGTAGTAGAAATGTGTTTTCACCATGTTGGTCAGGTGGGTCTTGAATCTCTGACCTCAAACAATCACTAGCCTTGGCCTCCCAAAGTGCTGGAATTACAGGCACATAATTTCTTACTATAATTATTATTATAAATTATTATTGACTTTTAAAAATTGAAAATAAAACATCAAAAGATAAATAAGGGCCTAAAATATACAATTGTGGTATATAAGAAAAATGAAAAGTAATTAAGTAGACCTTCAATGCATATTAATTACATGCAATTTAAAGTAGTTTGTAGTTAATGATAAGCATAAAATATGTAACTGAAGAGATTAACTATTTAAATGTAATCAATAATTAACGTTGTATTTATTTTATATTGCTATACTTTTTATTATAATACAACTTTACTTAGATTATAATTGTAATGAAAATATGCTATTACATGCAACAAATATTACTTCTCATGGCTAATAACTTATTCTATAATTGAAACATTTTTGGGTATTATTCAGATTTCCATGTCTATGCATATTTACATTGTTAAAATAAAAACAACTTCTCGGATTAATAGTTGACCTTTAGTAGTGACAGATATAATTGAGGTTGACTTTAATTTTCACTGTTGAACTCAAATTGCCTATCAGAAAATTGCTAATTCTGAATAAATAAAATATTTATTATAGTATTTTTGTGAATAATCATAAAATAAATTATTTTAGCCAAATTAAACTTAAGTCAAAATGTAAGCTTCTTCATATCAACAAATATACAGGTTTCAAAAATGGTATAGTTTGGAATATACCTCATATAGTAAAATGTTAATATTCAATTTAAGAAATATTAAATTAATTTTGTAAATAAAATGTTATTTGAACACAGTCTCACTCATATCAATTGTAGGTCTGCAGCTGATTTCACACTACAACAGCAGTTATCATATTGCTTGCAAAGCTTAAAATATTTGCTGTTTGGCTCTTTACAGAAATTTTTCTTTGGTTCTGGCCTAGAGCAATGCTTGGCCAAATAATTTACTTGTTGTTATATTTATTTCATTTTCTTTCATTTGCTCAACCAATTCTCACTGTGCCTCTAATATCTGGGTTTCATAGTTTGTAATTGGGTAGCCCAGTGTCTGGGACTTTGGATTTATTTATATCTGTGAAAATCAGCAGGGTTATGGGCCTGACTAGGTCTCATTAAAGCTGAGTAATGGTAAGTCTACTAAATAAGCAGACACAGATAAAATCCTTGGTGTGTGATTTGTAGTTTGTCTGGGAATGCAGTTCATGAGAACTGAAGAAAATTCAATAACACAGAGGTGAAATATTTCAATAGTAATGGCAATATACATAAGAAAGGCAGATTGTTTTCTTTACCATAGCTGCCTTCTCTTATCATTAGTTTTGCAGAGAATATAATAAAAAATGAAAACATTCTATGTGAATTTTTATTTGACCTTTCAAAAGAAGTATGAGAAAACTGTATTTTTTAAAGGTACGTTGATCAGAATAAGCTAAATTTTGCTTTGATCATAAACTACTCCCAATTCTCATCTGCTTATAAAAACTAATGTGTGTCATTTAAGTTAAATGGTCATTGTGGGTCAGTTTTGCTCTATACCACATTGCCTTAATTCCATCTCTGTAATAGGCAGAGCAGCTCATATCTATAATATTGTTGGTGTTGAGGAAAAAGAAACACAGAAAACAAGTGAGTTCTTAAAACATCAGCTCTGAAGTGGCCAAAAAGTTATCTGACCACTCCTAGGTCCAAGAGCATAGGGAAGTAAAATCCTCCTGCAAGTAGAGACACTAACAAGCCCGCCATAATTTCTTTTTCAGGGACAGAAAGCAAATAATTAAATATTTTGATCAATAACTTTAAAACACTGTGTTTGGCATATAATCTTGGATTCTTAGTAGATATATGTGTGTATAGGATTCTGTAAATATGTGGGCAACAATTTGATAGCAAATCTAATTGGGGGTAGGAGAGGGATATAAGAAACAATGAATAAATCACCTAGGTCAGAATATGGTTGCTTCTGATAAAAGGTTTTTGAAAAATGTCAGCATATAGAATAACTTGCAAATGTTATGGTACACAAAAGAGACAGGTTCAAAGAAAATTCTGGGCTCAAAAGTTAATATTTTAAATGTATTTCCTATATGGTGTATAGTTTGCAGTATGATATGCTATCACTGTCTTTCAACTCTAATGTCTCAAATTATTTGGACTTTTGACAATACTATATCAAATATTAAAAATGATCAGATTCTTTACATTTTATGGATGAACAAAAAATATGGCCTCAGTATATAATTTAAACTCCTCTTTTTTCCAACTTTCTCCTTGGAGAAAGTAAATTTCAGCATATTGAGGGAATCACAATTGCAATTCTGAAACAGCAAGTTTTCTAAGATATTTTTGTCAGAGAGTGGGTGCCCTTGTATCTCTTAGCAGCAGGCTAAAATAAATGGCCATACAAAATATATAACCTGTCTTTCTTTTCTTGAAACTGAATCCAGACAGATATCATTGGATCTCTTCAAAAGAAACCCAAATAGAACATTTGCTGAATGTGATCATTAGAGGGAGAGGCAAATTCTCTTGAGTTTCAAATATATATAAAAAAGATTCCATGAGTTGAACTTTAGTGAAGCTGCTAAACTCCAGGGACAATGAATATATACTACAAAGTTTCAGAGGGGAAATTTAGAGATTTAAAAAAAAAAAAAGAATCATACAATCATTGAATCTATCACTAATGACACAATGTAAAAAACTGTAAAATACAATCTATAGATACGTGAGAGGAGGAAAACAAAACTGTAATGTCAGAATCTTGCACTCATCAGAAATAACATACGTCTGTTCAAAGGAGCAAAGAAAGACATTTCAATGGGTTTTATGGCAGGATGGGATGAGGATATCATCACATCTTCCCTAAAAGCAATGATCAAGCTAGATACATTTAATATATATATATATATAAGCTTATAAAATATATATTTTTATATATATTTTATATAAGACATATATAAAAATATATATATCAGAGCTCTGGTAAAGATATACAAAGACATACAACAAATTTAAAAAGGTTTATACATGAAAACTACTAAACCTTTGTGCAAAATAATGTGAGACTATGGCATTCTTATCTGAGTCTTCCTTCATTCCCTTAACTCAGCCTCAGTGACTCAGTTATTCTACCAGAGACCAGTCATGAAAAACAAAACACCCCATCACTAAAGAGAGCCCATTGTGACCCTGGATCTCCAGATTCAGAGAGGAATATATTTTGTGAGATTGACAGTAACATAAGCGAGTTTAGAGAGAGTGAATGACAAAGGCCAGCATATCCATTAGCCAGAGCTTGTGATTATGTATGAGAAACAATAGACCAGATTTAAATTTTGACAGATTAGCCAAAAATTTAAAAGAAAGATCCAGGAAATGAATAACTGTAAGAGGTTATAATAAACACACCACATATTCCTATGGTTGGCTGGAAGGCTGCATGTTTGTGGGAGAAACTACAGTGGGCCTCATTTATCCATACATTCCTGGCTAACTGGGAATGTGCCCAACTTCAGAAAAGATACAAGATGGCCAGCTAAAGTGAGAGTGACACATACTTGTGAAACACCTTGAATGCATTATTTCAACACACACACACACACATGACCACCAGTAAGGGTGGTAGCCTTTAGACTCAAGATGTATAAGCACAACTTTTGCCTAATGATGACATGAAAACTAAGCTATGTAAACACAGAAGCGATCCCTAGTGACTCAGACTTAAAAATTTAGATTTAAATTCCAAAAATTGTTTAGAAATATCTGTGAACAAATGTCATGAGATTGCTCAGATTTAATCCAGGCAAGGTGCTAAACAATAACAACAACAAAAAAGAGCAACAAAACAACCTTTGGAAGAAAACTTAGAATTCACTAAAAATATAGTATCTAAAATGACAATTTTTCCATGAAAAGTTAAGAGACAACAGAATATATGACACACACACCAGTAAAATGCAGCCAATAGAAAGTGTTTGATATTAAAACTAGCAGACAAAGCTTTTAAAGCAGCTATTATGAATACGTTCAAAAAAATAATGAAAACCATCTTCAAAGAATTAAAAAAAAAATGATCACAATGATTCAACATAAACAGAATGCCCGTAAAGAAAATAAACACTAAGAGAAACAAATAGAAATTCTGGAGTTGAAAAGTAAAAAGACTAAAATAAAAGATTTTCTAGAAGTTTTCAATGGAAGATTTGAAATGGCAGAAGAAGGCATCCATATACTTTAAGATACAGAGATAGAAATCTGAAGGACATAGAGAATATAATATATATTATCTTTTTTCAGTAAATCAATGCCTCTGTTTGGAATCCTCAGTACTAGATTTTTATATTTCTCAGACAGGTCTACCTTCACACATCTCCCCTGAAACTAAAGGGCTTTTTTCAAACAATGGTCAACCATTGCCATTGCATCTTCTCTTGTCTCCATCTCAATAAAAGCCTGACTTTTCATCCTCATCAATATGTAATTCTTTATTTTCCCATAAGGCTCAGCAAGCTTGAGAACAGCACTATCAGAATAGGCAGAATGGGGCAAATTGCTGCGATGTATCACACATCCAAGCTCTTGCCTTCGATCAAACTTCTGATCTGGCTTTCCTTCAGGTTTCTTTATTCTTTTATACTTCTGGGATAAATGAACTCTCACTGGCTTGCCTAATACTAATGCTGGTGTGGTTGTATAATAATCCACTGCAGCCTGAGCATCCTCTGTGGTTGCCCTTTCAATAAATGCCTCATTAATTTTATTTAGAATCAGATGATTTGAAATGACTCCAAATGGTTCTACCAGCTGTAATAGCTGGTATCTCAAGTTTTTCCCTCACTGAAAATCCATGATGTGAACAACTCTGCTCGTTTCCACTCTGCCATTTTGTATGTGTCTAGTTCTTTGCAGGTTTCCATTTCCAGCACCCAGATTTCCTCTTGGTCCAATTGCTGGTCCTCCAAGATGAAACGAGGGAGGTGGAGATCCCAGAATTCCTGGTGCTGGGTTTGTAGACTGCTGAGACATGAATGGATCACCCATTGTGTGTTTTGTATCATTGTCAGGATCCCATTCTGGGTAGATTTCAAGAAGAAGCTGGCATCGACGACTGTGGCTTGCTCTATTGATATGTTGACTCAACTCCTCATTAGAATGAACTGGCAAATCACATATAGAGCACAGATGGGTATAACCTTTCAGTAAGAGTCCATGAAAGTCTTCAATATTGCTGCTTGGAGGAGCGCCCCTCTTTTTCTCAAAGAGAGATCTCTCTTGTAAAGGGTCAGGACCATGACCAAGTCCCATTCTTTCATACTCACTGTCAAATTTATGATAGTTACGCGAGGTCTCACCAAAAAAAGAATCATCCCTACACCTTTTTTCCATCTCGTAATCTGTCATCTTCATAATCCATTCTGTCATAATAGCCAGATTCTCGAGAATGACTTCCATGATCATAATCAAGCACCAGGTTGAGACTAGGACCATGATCATCAAAACTATCTCTTCTAAAGTGCCTTTTTTTCTTCTGAATCATCCCTAGGTACTCTGTATGGTGGCTCCTATGCAGCAGATCTGTCATCTCTACCATTACTCAAAGTAGGGCCTTCTTCAGTTCTCCTCCTTTTAAGCTGTAGAAGGATTTGGGGAAAATTCTCAGGAGTCATCTTGTCCTCTGGATAACGACTCAGTTCATCTAAGTCTCTAGGAGACAGACCAAAGCTGGCCAAAATGTTACTGGCCTGGTCTGCATCTCCACAGTGTTGAGAAGATAAAGGGAGTGGACCTCTACTTCCAATGTTAAATATAGACTGTAAATTATAGGAAGAAGTACTAGCAGAAGACCGTGCACTATGAGCTCCTTTTTGATTCAATGAAGAATTCGTTCCAAGATTCATTCAACTAGCAAGGCGTGCAGTACCCTGGTTCATCCTTCCTAAGAGATGCTGGCATACTTAAAGACTGGGTAACAGCAGCAGGAAGGCCTATGCCTGCCGCAGACAGGTCACACCCATGACCCTGTTAGTCCCTACTGGGAGATGACTGCTGGAATGACTTGGACACTGCAGAACTAGCTCTTGTCTATTTTATAGATTAAAAAAAAAAATTTTAAAGACGGCCAAAAAGAAAATTCAAACTAGAAAGCCAGGTAAACTTTGCTTCAAAAAATGTTAACGCCAAGAAAAAAGATCAGTAAGGACTGCAGAATCTTCTTCAAGCTGAGAACCAGCAGACAACTCTCTCTCCCAGCGAGCAGATCGCGGAAGCTCCCACAATCCCCCGCAGCAACGGCGCTGGTGAGAGGTGGCAGCAGCGGCTGCAGCCCAAGAACACTCCAGACAGCAAAGAATCTCCAAGTGACAAGAAATCCAAGATGGTTCCCAGAAGACTGAAAGTTCAACCGAAGATAAAGAACGAGAAGAGAAGTCCGGTGAAGATGGTGAGAAAGACACAAAGGATGACCAGACAGAGCAGGAACCGAATATGCTTCTTGAATCTGAAGATGAGTTACTTGTAGATGAAGAAGCAGCAGCAGCAGCACTGCTAGAAAGTGGCAGTTCAGTGGGAGACGAGACTGATCTTGCTAATTTAGGTGATATGGCTTCCGATGGAGAAAAGGAACCTTCAGGTACTGTGAAAAACGATGCAAGTGCTTCAGCAGCAGCAAAGAAAAAGCTTAAAAAGCGTCGTTTCCCAGGGAGTATGGAAGGTTTTCTCACTCTAGATGAGGTTGGTGATGAGAAAGATTTGGAACTTCAGGAACTTCGTAAATCGGGCATGGCATTTAAATCTGGTGACAGAAATGATGATGGTTTGGTTGAAATTAAAGTGGACAAGATGGAGGAATTTAATCAAGAAAACGAAGCAGCATTGGAAAATGGAATTAAAAATGTGGAAAACACAGAACCAGGTACTGAATCTGCTGAGAATGCTGATGATCCCAACAAAGATACAACTGAAAACGCAGATGGTCAAAGTGATGAGAACAAGGAGGACTATACAATCCCAGAAGAGTATAGAATTGGACCATATCAGCCCAATATTCCTGTTGGTATAGACTATGTGATACCTAAAACAGGGTTTTACTGTAAGCTGTGATCACTCTTATACAAATGAAGAAGTTGCAA
Organism: Homo sapiens; assembly: GCF_000001405.40. Taxonomy (NCBI): domain Eukaryota; kingdom Metazoa; phylum Chordata; class Mammalia; order Primates; family Hominidae; genus Homo; species Homo sapiens. Next base: position 105,890,674 of record NC_000001.11, on the reverse strand, counting down.
AGAATACTCATTGTATCAGCCTTCCTCATTATCAGAAATTAAAGAAATTTCTGAATAAATTTGCAGACAAACGCAGACAGAAGGGAACTTAAGATATGTAAGAAGATTTAATGATTTCAAAGAAAATAATGGTCCTTTGTTTTTAATGTTAACCTTTCTTAAATACAATACTGATAGTTAGAAGAAAACTATTGTACTCTTTTGTTTTAGTGGAGAAATAATAGATGTCTGTTCATGTGTTCAGTGTTACAGCAAAAAAAAAATACACATATGGTTAAGTTAATGAATAGTTTTTGTTTTATCAGAATGGCAACAGACATAAGTAATTTGTAGAGATTGACTTCCTAAGCTACTTAAGACAACTTGCACCACTAAGAAAAAAATGTAGAACCATTTGGAAAAATGAAATGTAGTAGTTCCAAGTTTCAAAGAAATGTCAACATTTTATTCCATTCAATAAATAACAAAACCAATAGTATTTTCATTACTTTCATCTGAAACATTCCATGTTTTAATCTGAGCCTTGCAGACTTTCATTTGGAGTTTGAACCTGTTTTGGTTGCATTTCATTTTTGGGGAACTTCATTAATGTGAGATTGGCAATGCAAATGCAGGTGCAGTTTTCTGTTAATGTTAATTCTGTTGTTTAGGTAATAAGAAATATTAAGTAATTGGCTTTAGAATTTGTAATCTTTCCCCTGAGTTCCTGCTAGATTTCATATTCTAGTAGTCAATGTATTTTCAGTGAAATGTAAAAATATTCCCATTCTCTTTGACCAGTATTAATTTTTGAGATCTTATTGCTTGTCACTTGAACCCTGTAATTGTCACACATCTCTGGTATAAGCAACATTTGATTTTTGAAGTGTGTAGACCATCTTTTCATATTTTCAAGATGTAATTTTACATTTCTGCATTTTAAAAACATTTTGGCCATAATCCTAGATGCATGCTTCTATTTCATGTACCTGCACATGTGACCTTTGTGAACAGAAATTTGCATGTATAATTTGTGTTTGCTTGTAACTTTCTGGTTATATACTGCTTACATCTGTGGATTCAAGTTACTGAAGTGAATACCAGTAAAAAGAAAACCTTAGGCCATCTTCATTGGTTATACATGTTTGGAATGTTAACCAAAAAAAAAGAAAAAGATAATATACATTAAGAAAAATTAACAGTATTTCAGAAACCTGTGAGACAAAGAATCCAGTTTTTAAAAGGGGCAAAGGATGGCCGGGAGCGGTAGCTCATGCCTGTAATCCCAGCACTTTGGGAGGCCCAGGCGGGCGGATCACGAGGTCAGGAGATCGAGGCCATCCTGGCTAACATGGTGAAACCCCGTCTCTACTAAAAATACAAAAAATTAGCTGGGTGCAGTGGCGGGTGCCTGTAGTCCCGTCTACTCGGGAGGCTGAGGCAGGAGAATGGCGTGAACCGGGGAGGCGGAGCTTGCAGTGAGCCGAGATCACGCCACTGCACTCCAGACTGGACGAAAGAGCGAGACTCCGTCTCAAAAAAAAAAGAATAAATAAATAAATAAATAAATAAATAAATAAAAAGGCAAAGGACATGAACAGTTCACTGGAGAAGATATCTCCGTTTTAATAAGTACATGAGAAGATGCTCAAAATCATTAATCATTAAGAAAATGCAAATTCGAACTATAATGAGTTAGCATTATATACCCATGAGAATGAGACACAAGATATCCGTTCTCATATGTTTATACAAAAGATAAATTATAATAAGTGTGAATAATGTGGAGAAACTACAACTTTCACTCTGCTTTTGGGAATATTCAGTGATTCAATCATCTTAAAAAGAGTTTCACATTGTTCCAAAAAAATTAAACATAAATATACCATATAACCCTTAGTAAATGCCCCTTTATTCCATTTTTGGTATTTCCACAAGAGAAATAAAAATATATGTCCATAGAACATTCTTGCATGTCAGTGTTTGTATTAGTCAGGGTTCTCTAGAGGGACAGAACTAATAAGATGTATATGTATATAAAAGGGAGTTTATTAAGGAGGATTGACTCACACGACCACAAGGTAAAGTCCCATGATAGGCTGCTTGTAAGTTGAGGAGCAAGGAAGCCTGTAGTGGCTCAGACTGAATCCCGAAACCTCATAAGTACTGAAGCCGACAGTGCAGCCTTCAGTCTGTGACCAAAGGACCGAGAGCCCCTGTTGGTGTAAGTACAAGAGCCCAAAAGCTGAAGAACTTGGGGTCTGATGTTTGAGGGCAGGAGGCATTTGATGGGAGAAATATGAAAGCCAGAAGACTCAGCAAGTCTGCTATTCCATCTTCTCCTGCTTGCTTTATTCTAGCCATGCTGACAGCTGATTAGATGGTGCCCATCCAAATTCAGGGTGAGTCTGCCTCTCTCAGTCCACTGACTCAAATGTTAATCTCTTTGGAAATATCTCACAGACACACCTAGGAACAGTACTTTGAATCTTTTGATCCAATCAAGTTGACACTTAGTATTAACCATCACGGTATCCAAAATAGTACTGTTTCTTACAGCTCCAAACAAGACATTATCCAAATTTTCATTAACTGGTAAGTGGATGAACAAAACATGGTGTAACTTAACGATGGTGTATTATTAGGCAATAAAAAGAATATATTATGCATACATTGTGTTATATGAATGAATCTCAGAAACATTAAGTGAAAGAGGCCAGGTGCAAAGGACTCTCATATGATACATTTCTGTAAAATGTCCAGAAAGGCAGATTTATATAAACAAAAAGCAGATTAGGGGTTGCATCTGGTTGAGGATAGAAAAAGGAACTGACTACGAAGGCACAGAAATGAACTTTTTTGTGTGATGTAAATCTTCTAAAACTGGATTATGGAGATTATTTTGTAAATCTATAAATTTGCTAAAAGTCATTGATTTTCAATGAGTGAATTTTATGGTATGTAAATTATACCTCAATCAAGATATATAAAAATGAAAACATCCAAATAAAAGGAAAACAATCTGAACATTCCAGGACCCAGAATATAACTATTTACATACTTTCTCTAAGAAAAATCATTAAAGATGTACATGCATGAAACGAAAATTCAGTCAGAAGAGAAATCCTGTGGGAAGGAAGAATAAATGATACAGGAGATTATGTAAAATACACCCCTCTGTTTTTTATATCTTTTCATTTATCTGTCTCTAGCCTTCTGTCCACTCATCCATCCACCTTTCCATCTATATCACTATGTTGAACTCAATAGAGTACTTTCAATAATGCTGTATTTTTCTCCTATGACTACCTTCAAAAATACAGTTTCATATCTTTCCTTACTCATTGGAGAAATCAGCAGATCCCCCAGCTGCTGAATTACTTTCAACTACATAAATAGTCTAATAGGTATTAAAAAGTACACAAAAATCTCAATAAAAATGTAAGTCTCAAATCCACTTATTACTTCTTTTGAGTCGGGGTCTTGCTCTGTAACTCAGGCTGGAGTGGGGTGGCAAGATCAGGGCTCACTGCAGCCTCCAACTCCTAAGCACGTGATAACATGCCCACCTAAATTTGTGGATTTTTGGTGGAGATGTGGTTTGGCCATATAGCTCAGACTGATCTCAGACTGAGATTGAGCTAGATCTGATCTCAGCCAGATTGAGACTCCTGGGCTCAAGCAATCCGCCGGCCTTGGCCTCCCAAAGTGCTGGGATTAAGGTGTAAGTCACCACTCCCACTTTACTTAAAAGTTCTTAGCAATTTAAGGATTATGGTGAGTATAAAATACACAAGTACTTAACTTAAAAATATTTTACTTTACTGAAGTTGTTTGGACTATTTTTGCATGTCAAATGCTTTTCATCATAGTGAGAACAGATCTCCTTATAAACAATTGTATATTTTTGAGTTTAATTGAGTTAAGTAGATGAGTATTTCATGGTCAAACTGAGATTTTCTAGAAGGGATAGCCTCTCAATATTAGAAATTCAAACACATAATTTATTCCATCAAATTATTATTTTAAAAATAGAAACAATTAGAGCTGTCTGTATTCCATATATAGTAAAGAGTTAATGGTTCTTTAGAAATAACCTGTTTGTTTTAACCAGAGAGCAAATGAATCATCATGGTATGACAAAAGCTAATAGCCTGTTTAGAATTTAGAGAAAGCATGTACTGAATGAGTCTCTTTGACATTTGCTAGTTCTGTATCTAAGACCACTAGACACTGGTAAATAACATAACTTAATTTTGTATGAAGCTTCAGCCTAAGAAAAAATATATACTGAATTATAGCAAAAGAGAAGAATGGGATCTACTGAAATATGTTCCTCCAGATTTAAACTCAGTCTCAGCTTCAGACCTATGCTTTTTTATAGATTTTCCTGGGTTTAATGGAGAAACCAAAGTTAAAGGAGAATTGTTTTTGTTATCTACTTTGGCATAACAAATGTACCCAAAACATAGAGGCTTAAAAAATCCATTTATTATCTCCCAATTTCAATGGTTAGGAATCCAGACACGATTTAGCTGGGTACTCTGTTTTAAGGTTTCTCACAAGGATACAAATATAACATTGGCTGGGCTATGATCTCATTAAAAGGCACAGTAAGCTTGCTCATATGGTTGTTATTCCTCAAGGGTTATTGTAATTAAGGACACAATTCCTCACTGGCTGTTGACCAGAGGCCACCCTAAGTTCCTTGTGATGTGGATCTCACCATACAAACAGTGTGATATAGAAAGTGTGAGCAAACAGAGGTACAGTTTTTTATAGACATGTTTCAGAAGTGAAGTGACACTTTTGTCATATTTTATTTTTAAAAGCAAGTCACTAGGTCTGGCCCACACATGAGCGGAGTGGAATGTGTGAATGTATTGGATACCAAAAAGCAAGCAAGAATTACTGGGAGTCGTTTTGAAGCTGGTTAGCATAAGCCCCTGTGATAATAAAATTTCATACCTATTTCCTAGGCATTCTTGGAACCCTGTATCTGGATAGAGTGTCTTCGTCCATGTGGACTGCTATAGCAAAAATACCACAGACTGGGTGGCTTATAAACAGAAACTTACATCTCATAGTTCTTGAGGCTAGGGAGTCCAAGAACAAGGTTTCAGCAGGTTTGGTGTTTGGTGAGGGCGTGCTTCCTGGTTCACACATGAGTATCTTCTCACTAGGTCCTCACATTACAGAAGGGGCAAGCCAGCTTTTAACTCAACTTATAGAAGTTAATTTTCATATTTATTAAAATGTTAATTTAATTATATGTACTTATATTCATATCCAATTAATAGTTTAAAATTTTTATCATGAATTGATTTTTGGAAATTATTTCAAATACTATACTTCTATCATGATTTTTCCCAAATTGTTTTCCTCTCTTTGATTTGATCTATCTAAAAGACTCATTATTATTTTTTGAAATCTATAATTTTTAAATCTCCTATTTATTCAGTTTTATGATATAGGACTTGTATTTACAAATGATTGTGTTTGATCAGAAAAGTTATACTTCAACAATGTACCCAGTGGGCTGGCCTAATAGGAACAGCTCGGGTCTGCAGCTCCCAAAGAGACTGATGCAGAAGGCAGGTGATTTCTGCATTTACAACTAAGGTACCCAAATCATCTCTTTGGGACTGGCTGGATAATGGATGCAGCCTATGGAGGGGAAGTCAAAGCACGGTGGGGTGTCACCTCACCCAGGAATCACAAGGGGTAGGGAGATTTCCCTCCCCTAGACAAGGGAAGCCGTGAGAGACTGTACTGGGAGGAACGGTGCACTCCAACACAGATACTGCACTTTTCCCATGGTCTTCACAACCAGCAGTCCAGGAGATTCCCTCCGGTGCCTACACTACCAGGGCCCTGGGTTTCAAGCACAAAACTGGGCAGACGTTTGGTCAGACACTGAGCTAGCTGCAGGAGTTTGTTTATTTGTTTGTTTGTTTTCATACCCCAGTGGCACCTGGAATGCCAGCAAGACAGAACCATTCACTCCCCTGGAAAGGGGACTGAAGCCAGGGAGCCAAGTGGTCTGGCTCAGTAGGTCCCACCCCCATGGAGCCCAACAAGCTAAGATACAATGGCTTGAAATTCTTGCTGCCAGCACATCAGTCTGAGGTCAACCTGGGACGCTAAAGCTTGGTAGGGAGATGGGGGATTCACCATTGTTGAGGCTTGAGTAGGTGGTTTTACCCTCACAGTATAAATAAAGCTGCCAGGAAGTTTGAAGTGGCTGGAGCCCACTGCAGCTGAGCAAGGCCGCTGTGGCCAGACAGCCTCTCTAGATTCCTCCTCTCTGGGCAGGGCATCTCTGAAAAAAAAAGGAAGCAGCCTCAGTCAGGGAAGTATAGATCAAACCCCATCTCCCTGGGACACAGCACTTGGGGGAAGGGGTGGCTGCGGCCCAGCTTCAGCAGACTTAAACATCCCTGCCTGACAACTCTGAAGAGAGCAGCAGATCTCTTAGCACAGCTCTGATAAGGGACAGACTGCCTCCTCAAGTGGGTCCATGACCCCCATGTATTCCGACTAAGAGACATCTCCCAGTAAGGGCCGACAGACATCTCATACAGGAGAGCTCTGGCTGGCATCTGGCGGGTGGCCCTCTGGAATGAAGCTTCCATTGGAAGAAATAGGCAACATTCTTTGCTGTTCTGCAGCTTCTGCTGGTGATACCCAGGCAAACAGGGTCTAGAGTGGATCTCCAGCGAAATCCAGCAGACCTGCAGCAGAGGGCCCTGACTGTTAGAACGAAAACTAACAAACAGAAAGGAATAGTATCAACATAAACAAAAAGGACATCCACTCAGAGACCCCATCCAAAGGCCACCAACATCGAAGACAAAAGTAGATAAATCCATGAAGATGGGATGAAACCAGTGCAAAAATGCTGAAAATTCTAAAAGCCAGAATGCCTTTTCTCCTCCAAAGGATCACAACTCCTCACCAGCAAGGGGACAAAACTGAATGGAGAATGAGTTTGACCAATTGACAGAAGTAGGCTTCAGAAGGTGGGTAATAACAAACTCCTCCAAGCTAAAGGAGCATGTTCTAACCAATGCAAGGAAGCTAAGAGCCTTGAGAATAGGTTAGCCGAATTGCTAACTAGAATAATCAATTTAGAGAAGAACATAAATGACCTGATGAAGCAGAAAAACACAGCACGAGAACTTCGTGAAGCATACACAAGTATCAATAGCCGAATTGATCAAGCAGAAGAAAGGATATCAGAGATTGAAGACCACTCAATGAAATAAAATGAGAAAACAAGATTAGAGAAAAAAGAGTGAAAAGAAATGAACGAAGCCTCCCAAGAAATATGGGACTATGTGAAAAGACCAAATATATGTTTGATTGGTGTACCTGAGAGTGATGCAGAGAATGGAACCAAGTTGGAAAACACTCTTCACGATATTATCCAGGAGAACTTCCCAAACCTAGCAAGGCAGGCCAACATTCAAATTCAGGAAATACCGAGAACACCACAAAGATACTCCTTGAAAAGAGCAACCACAAGACAGATAATTGTCAGATTCACCAAGGTTGAAATGAAGGAAAAAATGTTAAGGGCAGCCAGAGAGAAAGGTCGGGTTACCCACAAAGGGAAGCCCATCAGACTAACAGTGGATCTCTCGGCAGAAACTCTAAAAGCCGGAGGAGAGTGGAGGCCAATATTTAACATTCTTAAAGAAAAGAATTTTCAACCCAGAATTTCATATCCAACCAAACTAAGCTTCATAAGTGAAGGAGAAATAAAATCCTTTATAGAAAAGCAAATGCTGAGAGAATTGTCACCACCAAGCCTGCCTTATAAGAGCTCCTGAAGGAAGCACTAAACATGGAAAGGAACAACTGGCACCAGCCACTGCAAAAACATACCAAATTGTAAAGACCATTGACACTATGAAAAAACTGCATCAACTAATGGGCAAAATAACCAGCTAGCATCATAATAATAGGATCAAATTCACACTTAACAATATTAACCTTAAATGTAAACTGGCTAAATGCCCCAACTGAAAGACACAGACTGGCAAATCAGATAAAGGTCAAGACCCACGGGGGTGCTGTATTCAGGAAACCCATCTCAAATGCAAAGACACACATAGCCTCAAAATAAAGGGATGGAGAAATATTTACCAATAAAGGGATAGAGAAATATTTATGAATCCCAGATTCATAAAGCAAGTTCTTAGAGACCTACAAAGAGATTCAGACTCACACACAATAATATTGGGAGATTTTAACACCCCACTGTCAATATTAGACAGATCAATGAGACAGAAAATTAACAAGGATATCCAGGACTTGAACTTAGCTCTCGACCAAGTGGACCTAATAGACATCTACAGAACTCTACACCCCAAATCGACAGAATATACATTCTTCTCAGCACCACATCACACTTACTCTAAAATTGACCACATAATTGGAAGTAAAACACTCCTCAGCAAATGTAAAATAATGGAAATCATAACAAACCATCTCTCAGACCACAGCGCAATCAAATTAGAACTCAGGATTAAGAAACTCACCCAAAACCACACAATTATATGGAAACTGAACAACCTGATCCTGAATGACTACTGGGTAAATAACAAAATTAAGATAGAAATAAAGATGTTCTTTGAAACCAATGAGAAAAAAGACACAACATACCAGAATCTCTGGAAAACATTTAAAGCAGTGTGTAGACGGAAATGTATAGCACTAAATGCCCAGAATAGAAAACAGGAAAGATCTAAAATCAACACCCTAACATGACATTTAAAAGAACTAGGGAAGCAGGAGCAAACAAATTCAAAAGCTAGCCGAGGCATGAAATAACTAAGATTAGAGGAGAACTGAAGGAGATAGAGACACGGAAAACTCTTAAAAAAAAATCAATGAATCCCGGAGCTGGTTTTTTGAAAAGATCAACAAAATAGATAGACCACTAGCCAGACAAATAAAACAGGAAATTGAGAAGAATCAAATAGATGCAATAAAAAATGATAAAGGGGTTATCACCACCAATCCCACAGAAATACAAACTACCATCAGAGAATACTATAAACACCTCTATGCAAATAAACTAGAAAATCTAGAAGAAATGGATAAGTTCCTGGACACATACACCCTCCCAAGACTAAACCAGGAAGAAGCCAAATCCCTTAATAGACCAATAACAAGCTCTGAAGCTGAGGCAGCAATTAATAGCCTACTGACCAAAAAAATTCCAGAACCAGAAGGATTCACAGCCAAATTCTACCAGAGATACAAAGAGGAGCTGGTACCATTCCTTCTGAAACTATTCCAAACAAAAGAAAAAGAGGGAATCCTCTAACTCATTTTATGAGGCCAGCATCATCCTAATACCAAAACCTGGCAGAAACACAACAACAAAAAAAGAAAATTTCAGGCCAATATCTCTGATGAACACTGATGTTAAAATCCTCAATAAAATACTGGCAACCTGAATCCAGCAGCACATCGAAAATCTTGTTCACCATGATCAAGTTGGCTTCATCCCAGGCATGCAAGGCTGGTTCAACACACGCAAATCAATAAATGTAATCCATCATGTAAACAGAACCAAAGACAAAAACCACATGATAATCTCAATAGATGCAGAAAAGGCCTTAGACAAAATTCAACAGTCCTTCATGCTAAAAGCTCTCAATAAACTAGGGATTGATGGGACTTATATCAAAATAATAAGAGCTATTTATGACAAACCCACAGCCAGTATCACAGTGAAAGGGCAAAAACTGGAAACATTCACTTGGAAAACCAGCACAAGACAAGGATGCCCTCTCTCACCACTCCTATTCAACAAAGTGTTGGAAGTTCTGGCCAGGGCAATCAGGCAGGAGAAGGGAATAAAGGGTATTAAACTAGGAAAAGAGGAAGTCAAATTGTCTCTGTTTGCAGATGACATGACTGTATATTTAGAAACCCCATCGTCTCAGCCCCAAATCTCCTTAAGCTGATAAGCAACTTCAGCCATCTCAGAATACAATATCAATGTGACAAAAATCACAAGCATTCCTATATACCAATAACAGACAAACAGAAAGCCAAATCAGAAGTGAACTCCCATTTGCAACTGCTGCAAAGACAATAAAATACCTAGGAATACAATTTATAAGAGATGTGAAGGACTTCTCAAAAGAGAACTACAAACCACTGCCCAAGGAAATAAGAGTGGACATAAACAAATGGAAGAACATTCCATGCTCATGGATAGGAAGAATCAATATTGTGAAAATGACCATACTGCCCAAAGTAATGTATAGATTCATTGCTATCCCCATTAAGCTACCATTGACTTTCTTCACAGAATTGGAAAAAAATCTACTTTAAATTTCATAGGAACCAAAAAAGAGTCAGCATAGCCAAGACAATCCTAACCACAAAGAACAAAGCTGGAGGCATCACACCACCTAACTTCAAACTATACTACAAGGCTACAGTAACAAAAACAGCATGTTACTTGTACCATAACAGATATATAGACCAATGGAACAGAACAGAGGCCTCAGAAATAACACCACACATCTACAACCATCTGATCTTTGACAAACCTGACAAAACCAAGCAATGAGGAAAGGATTCCCTATTTAATAATGGTGTTGGGAAAACTGGCTAGCCATATGCAAAAGGCTGAAACTGGACCCCTCCCTTACACCTTACACAAAAAATTTACTCAAGATGGATTAATGACTAACACAGGAACAGTAAGACCTAAAACCATAAAAACTCTAGAAGAAATCCTAAGCAATACCATTCAGGACATAGACATGGGCAAAGACTTCATGACTAAAACACCAAAGCAATGACAATGAAAGCCAAAATTGACAAATGGGATCTAATTAAACTAAGGAGCTTCTGCACAGCAAAAGGAACTCTTACCAGACTGGACACGCAACCTGCAGAATGGGAGAAAAATTTTGCAATCTATCCATCTGACAAAGGGTTAATATTCAGAATCTACAGAGAACTTAAATTTACAAGACAAAATCAAATGACCCCATCAAAAAGTAGGCAAAGGATATGAACAGACACTTCTCAAAAGAAGACATCTATGCAGTCAACAAACATATGAAAAAAAAAAGCCCATCATCATAGATCATTAGATAAATGCAAATCAAAACCAGAATGAGATACCAACTCATGCCAGTTAGAATGATGATCATTAAAAAGTCAGGAAACAACAGATCATGGAGAGGATGTGGAGAAATAGGATGCTTTTACACTATTGGTGGGAGTGTAAATTAGTTCAACCATTGTGGAAGGCAATGTGGTGATTACTCAAGGATCTGAAGCTAAAAATACCATTTGACCCAGCAATCCCATTACTGGGTATATATCCGAAGGATTATAAATCGTTCTACTATAAAGACACATGCAAACATATGTTTGTTGTGGCACTGTTCACAATAGCAAAGACTTGGAACCAACCCAAATGCCCATCAATGATAGACTGAGTAAAGAAAGTGTGGCCCATATACACCATGGAATACTATGTAGCCATGAAAAAGGATGAGTTTGTGTCCTTTGCAGGGACATGGATGAAGCTGGAAACCATCATTCTCAGCAAACTAACACAAGAACAGAAGACCAAACACCACATGTTCTTACTCATAAGTGGGAATTGAACAATGAGAACACATGGACACAGGGAGAGGAACATCACACACTGGGGCCTGTTGAGGGGTGGGGAGCTGGGAGAGGGAAAGTATTAGGAGGAATACCTAATGTAGACGAAGGGTTGATGGTTGCAACAAACCACCATGGCATGTGTATACCTAGGTAACAAACCTGCACATTCTGCACATGTACCCCAGAACTTAAAGTATCAATAATAATAATAATAATAATAATAATAATAATAATAATAATGCACCCAATGCCTGTATGCTGTATACATTTTTTTGTTTTTGAGACGGAGTCTTGCTCTGTCGCCCAGGCTGGAGTGCAGCGGCGCAATCTGGGTTCACTGTAAGCTCTGCCTGACGGATTCACACCATTCTCCTGCCTCAGCCTCTGGAGTAGCTGGGACTACAGGCGCCCGCCACCACACCTGGCTAATTTTTTTGTATTTTTAGTAGAGATGGGTTTTCACCGTGCTAGCCAGAATGGTCTAGATCTCCTGACCTCGTGATCTGCCTGCCTCGGCCTCCCAAAGTGCTGGGATTACAGGCGTGAGCCACCACGCCCGGCCTGCTCTGACTAATTTTTAAAATGTATTTCCATACTTTAAAAATCTGTTATTTTTCATTTTTATGGGTACATAGTAGATGTAAATATTTATGTGGCATGAGAGCTACTTTGATACAAGCAATCATTCAAATTAGATTGTATGTTAATACACTATAAACCTTTTGTTTTCTTCAATGGATATTTACATGCTTCTCGTCTGTAAAATTACATCAATAGACATCTGCATGTCTCATCAATATAGCTATGTAAATATTACTGAATTTTAGTTTTCTTGCTTGCAAATGGAAACAATATCTAACTGAATAATAAAAATATTTGATTATAATCTACCAAGTTTATATCTAAATCCACTTACAAAAATATGTCTAGATTTACCAGTTTCAAAGGCATTGGTTATTATGGTCCTAGATCTAGATTAAATTTTGTCTTTAAATTGATAACTTAGTTGTTACCAATATATGTAATATTGATAACAGAACATATAAAGATTACCAGGTAAAAGAGAGACAAAAATTAGCTCAAGACACAGAAGTATTGGCACATGATAAATGTGTAAGAAAGTTTATTTTGCTCAAAATTTAGAAAAATATAAGAGAATTATTTAGAAACCAGAAAAGACAATGAGATAAATTTTAAAAGGAAAAAAGAGGTAAATATCTGGTATGGATAAAATCAAAATGGGGAAAATATTCAAAATTTGATCTTTTGAATGATTGGATCAACAAGCTTAAAGAGAGAGAGGACCAAAAATATAATGAGAAATATTAAGACAATTTTAATAAGAAAGACATCAAATATTGTGGTAATAAATTTGAAAAACTATAGGAAATTCATGCCTTAGTAAAATATAAGTAACCAAATTTGACCCAAGACAAACCAGTATCCTTAAATTGGTAATTAGATTTGGAAATGCATATAGCCAAAGTCAATATTTTAAAATAGACATTTTGAATAGATACTTACATAGCTGAGTTCATATGATCTGGTAAAGAATAGATAATTCAACATTATTTCAATGATCCAGAACAGCAAAATATGCATAACTCTCCATTCAATATTTTCAATTTTGAAAAACCAATATATATAGTCAGTAGAATGACTGATAATAATACTAAATGAGAAAAATGGCTATATTTTGCTTATGCCTATAAATACAAATATTTTAGTTAAGTATTAGCAAGTAATTTATAATCATAATATTCTATTGTTTTAACTAAGAAGATGCGCTTCTTAATAGGACACCCCAAATATAGCAGCTCAACAGCAATAAATGTGTACTTTTCTTATATTAAATTGTGCAGCTCATGTAGGTCCTTTAGTGAAATAGACAAGCAGGACACCTATGCCCTCCATAACACATAGCTTGTGGAGCTTACCAGATATTATTTGTAGCCAGTGGGACAGGAAAAGAGAAAACTAGGACAAGAAGCTTGTTTTTTAATGAAATCAACTAAAAATTGAACATACCATTCTACTCATTGTCCATTAGCCTGTATTCTGTCCTAAAAACACAGTTAGCTGAAGGAAGGATTAAATAAATGTAGTGTTTGGCCAGATGGCCAATTTCACAGTTTTAACTCTATGGGTTCCATTACTGAAAAGAAAGAAATGGAGACTAGATAACAATGAAAATTATTTTTTGTCACAAAAAATGAGTGGATTTTATTCCAGGAATGCAAAGGTGGTTCAAATTTGATTTAAATATTTAATTACACTCTCAAAGTGTAACTAGTAAAAACAACATATATTGACTAATTTAATGTTGCACTCAAGACTGAGCACCTCATATGAACCCTTAGTGTCAGAAGATATCTTACTATATTTTACTAAACCATTTACTCTCTACTCTCATATGTAACTATTTTTTAGTTTGTACTCTCTTCAAAAACTTTCAAGAGTTCCCCCCATTTCAAATATCAATAACCTTGCTATGTATTTCATAGAGAAAATACATTAGCAGAAAACTTTCTCATCCTTTGCCAGCAACCTTTCAATTATGTGTAACTATACAATACATACTTCTCTGTTTTCCCATTACAGTACATGATTCTCACTGTAAAGTACTTTTCTTTTTAGTTCCAGGTAATGCTATCTTTTTCTACCTGTATTTACTCCTTGAATGATTTCATCTAAGCTCATAGCTTTAAAAATTATCTCCTTGGGAAAACCAATGCACCTGTATAAACAACTAGAAAAAAACCAGGGAAAATACAAAAGAAAAAAAAAACCACAAACATTATTTAGGAGTATCAAAATCTCTGGAAGTAAGGAAGGCTACCAAATCTAAAATTCCAGAGAGGGGAAATTCTGTCAAAAAGCTACATCCACTTATTTGAGGGAAACATTTCTGTGTCCTGGGCATGAGCAAAATGTTTAAGATAAGGATCATTTCTGGAAAACAGAGATACAAGCAGAGATTTAGGATGTAACATGAAAATGAAGAGATAAATTTAGAGATCCAACGAGATGCAGGTATAAATAAACAATTAATAGAAGATATTCAAACTAAAGAATATAGAGAAAATACAGAAAAGTATGTGAGACACAATTATGACACATTGAAAAATATCTAACCATATTCATAGTTTTTTCTACTTCTGACACAATAATATTTTGTTTTTCTTGAAAATCACCAGGTCCCTCAACATAATTTAAAACTTTTCTATGGTATCTACTTTTTTATTTCAAATCAAGAAAATTACAAGAATATTGACTATTGTTATTTTGTGTATCTCTGTTTAGGATGTACAACTAAATGCAGTAAGTCAAAAACAAGACATTTGTACAGATATTGGCACATACCAAAAAAAAAGTCCATTCAGTGATCATACACTTGCACACCTAGAAAATCTTACAACAGACAAAAAAAAAGTATATTATTATTAAGAGAATTTGTCAAGGGACTGGGTATAAAATAAATCTTAAAAAATCATAGCTAATATTCCAAAGTAACACAATGCATATTTTTAGAGCAAATAATAAGAGATTGCCCACACTAAACCAGGTACTTTTCTAGGTACTTGCAAAATATCAGTGAAGATCCCAGCCCGCTTGTAATTTAGCATTTGAGAGGAGAGAGTCAAAAGAAATAATAAACAGATAAATTACAACATATTTGAGAAAATGATACATGCCACAGGGAAAAAATATTTATTTATTATTATTATTGAGAAGGGGTCTCACTCTGTAGCCCAGGCTCTAGTGCAGCAGCATGATCACAGCTCACTGCAGCCTTGAACTCCCAGGCTTGAGCAATCCTTCCACCTCAGACTCCCAAATAGCTGGGACCACAGGTGTGTGCCACCACACCAAGCTAATTTTTGTATTTTTTTTTGTAGAGATGGGGTTTTGTTACGTTTCCCAGGCTGGTCTCAAAACTCCTGAGCTCAAACAATCCACCTATCTCAGTCTCCCGAAGTGCGGGGATTATAGGCATGAGGCACCACGCCCAAGCAGAAAAGAAAATTTAGAATTGGCTTAAGATAAATGGGGGTTAAACATACATTGAATAATTGCAATATATGAAAGAGTTTTCTGTTAGAGTGAAATATAGAACTATAATGTTCCAGTTCTCAAAAGGGGAAGAAGCATAATAGTATCACTTCCCTATTATTCATCCTCTGCATTCAAATATTAAGAGAACTTTCTAAAATTAAACTTGGCTATGCTAATCATTTGTTTAAAACCCCTCCTCAGTGCCCAAAGTATTAGCATAACATAAATGGTGCCTCATGATTTGGTTTCACTCTACTTATCAGAGTCATTTCCATGTTCTTTTCCCATTTGAGAGATGCTTTGAAACACTGAAATGTTCTTCTTTCCTTTTTAAAGTATCCTGCCACCTTTAAGACTGGATAATCCATGTCTAAACTACAAGACCAAGCTGAAATTTTTATTACTGTTATGGAACCTGTCTTGAAGTATCCCCGATCAAGTTAATCAATCTGTATTTCACCTATGATATGAAGATATATATATATATATATATATACACACTTAATTCATGTAACAGTAATATATTAAAGTATTAACATACTATATAATTATGATGATGTTAGCATTACTATACACACATTATGGGATTATTCCCTTCTTCCCCTTTTGAGGACTGGAACATTATAGTTTTATATCTCACACTAACAGAAAACTCTTTGATATATTGCAATTATTCAATGCATGTTTAATAAATAATAAGTAAACATGGCATAAAAATAATTTTAATTGTGGACTTTTATTATTAAAACACTTTTAATTATTATTTAATTAACAATTTTAATTATGAAATCTGCATTCAAAGAATCATCTGTATTTATTCAGATAACATCAAGAATATGCCAGGAATGAAAAATTAAAAAGTAAACTGAGTTTCTTTTTTTTTTTATCCCCAAAATGGTGGATTAGGTGTTTGTAGCCTCTCATCAAATCTTTGTGACTGTTTTGCTATTTCCAAATGCCACAAAAGAGCAAAATAGAGCTCAAGAATCAACTCTTTGAGCTTTAATTCCAAAAGGAAAATGGGAATACACCAAAATCATGATGGTCACACCAGATCCCAAGGAGGAGAATGTGGGCAAACAGCCCCTGTGACAGTGTATAGCCAATAAAAGTGAGTGAAGTCTGAGTATGTGAGAGAGCTTGGAATGCGTGCCTCGGTGTGGAGCAGAAAGTGGGCCTCTACACCACAATCACCGTCAAGAGAAGGTGGGGCAGCTCAGGCGGCCAAAAAAGACACATCAGGAGAGGGAGGAGAATCCCTCCCTCCATAACTCACCTTTCCACTGGGGATCCAAGCAACTCAGGCTAAAGGAGAGCACTTTGATTTTCCCAAGCCCTGGAGCTAACATGGGGAGAGGCTTGGAGACTCTGGGAGGGAGAGACACTCGGAAAAGCTTCTGGCATTTTCCCAGACCCAAGGCCAAGAGAAGGATGCCATTCTTAATCCAGGGGCACATGAAGTCAATCATTCTTTGGTGACCTGTCAATGTGGCAATGCAAGCATTTTAGTCTTGGGCCAGAGACTGAAACACGTGCTCTAAAAGCACTGATGTGCCTTGTTTGGCAGCCTGAGCTGCCCCACCTTTTCTTGACAGTGATTGTGGTGTAGAGGCCCACTCTCTGCTCCACACCCAGGCAGGCATTCAAAGCGCCCACTCACCCAGATTGGCAGTCGGACCCACCAACCCTTCCTGTTCAGAGACCTAGGTGCAGGGGGCCCTGTCTGTTTCACACTAAGGCAGATCTCCAGGCCTTCAGAGCGTCTCCTCATCCAGATAGGCAGCATGAGCTGTCTCATCCTTATTTCACAGACACTGTGGTGCAGCCAGACCTTCTTTGCTCCACACCCAGGCAGATATCCAGGCAGTCAGAGCTGCCATTTGCCTGGATTAACAGCCTGAGCCACCCCATCCATCCTGTGCAGACATCGGGCTGACCAAGGAGTTCAGACAACTGTGCACTCCCACAGATTAGCCTATTTATAGAGGCAACAGAGAGCTTCTTTCAGGAAACAAGGATCAAGTATATACCCAGTCACATTGGCCTCAGCTGGCTCTTATCCATAAGTGCCATCTACTGGCTTGTAAGTCAGACCACAAAATCAAATATAAAACCTGCTGACAGAAGTGCATTGGACCACAGAAGGGAAGCCAAAAATTCTACTCAATATTATTTATAGTCACACACACTAGGGAAGGGGAGGAAGGGAAAGGGAAAGAAAAACACAATAATATTATACGGAAAGAAAAAGATAGAAAAAATCCTACCCACATGAAAATAAGTACAAAAATTAGAAGTGCCATTATATGGAGATGAGGAGAAACCAACATAAAAATCACGGCACCACAGAAAATCTGAATGTAGTAACACCATGAAAGGATTATAGCAGCTCTCCAGTAATGTTCCCTAACAAAAATGGAAACTCAGAAATGACAAGTAAAGAATTCCAAATATGTATTGCAAAGAAGCTCAACAAGATCCAAGACGACATTGAAAATCAACACAAAGAAACTTCCAAAACAATCCAGGAAACAAAGATTATAAACATATTAAAAAGAATTTAATCTGAGCTACTGGAATTGAAAAACTCACTTTAGAAATTTGAAAATACAATTAATAGATTTATGAATAGAATGGACCAAGCAAAAGAAAAAATTAAAAAGCATCAAAAGAGGAAAAGAAGTTAAATTATCTCTCTTCACTGACAATATGATTTTATATCTAGAAAACCCTAAAGACTCTCCCAAAAGGCTGCTGCACCTGATAAATGATTTTAGTAACTTTCAGGAAACAAAATCAATGTATAAAAATTAGTATAATTTCTATATATCAATTACATTCAAGCTGAGAGCCAAATCAAGAACACATCCCATTTACAATAGTCTCTCTCTCTCTCTCTCACACACACACACACACACACACCACCCACCTCCCCCCACACACACACAAACTAGAAATACATCTAATAAAAAAAGTGAAAGATCCCTGGAAATATAACTAGAAACACTGCTGAAAAACTCATTGATCACACAAACAAATGAAAAAATATTCCATGCTCATGTATTGGGAGAATCAGTATCTTTCAAATGGCCATACTTCACAAAACAATCTGTAGATTCAATGCTATGCCTATCAAAATACCAATGCCATTTGTATATAATTAAAAAAACTCTAAAATTCAAAGGGAACTAAAAAAGAGTCCGTATAGTTAAAGCAATTTTAAGTAAAAATAACAAAACTGGAGGCATCACATTACCCAAATTCAAACTTGCTGTGGCTACAGTAACCAAAACAGCATGGTACTGATACAAAAACAGACACATAAACCAATGTAACAAAATAAATAATCAGAAAATAAACCAGAACACCTATGCCTATCTGATCTTTGACAAAGTTGACAAAAATAAGCAATGGGGTAAGGACTCCCTATTCAATAAATGGTGCTAGGATAGCTGGCTAGCAATATGCAGAAAAATGAAACTGGATCCCTACTTTTCACCATACACAAAAATTAACTCAAGACGGAGTAAATATTTAAATTTAAGACCTAAAACTCTAAGAATCTAGAAGAAAATCTCGAAATACCATTGTGGATGTTGGGCTTGGGAAATAATTTATGACTAAGTCCTCAAAAGCAATTGCCACAACAACAACAACAAAATGAGAAGTGGGACCTAATTAAACTAAAGAGCCCCTGTGCAGCAAAAGAAACTATCATCAGAGTAAATAGACAACCTACAGAATAGGAGAAAATATTTGCAAACTACGCATATCTCAAAGGTCTAACATCAGAATCAACAAGAACGTACACAACACAACAACCAAGAAACAACCCCATTAAGAAGTGGGAAAAATACATGAATAAACACATCTCAAAAGAAGACAAACAAGTGGCTAACAAACATGTGAAGGAATTATCAACATCACTCATCAGAGAAACGCAAATCAAGATTGCAAAGAGATACCATCTCACACCAGTCAGAATGGCTATTATTAGAGTCAAAAGCAACAATATGCTGGTGAGACTGTGGAGAAAAAGGAATGCTTATACACTGTTGGTAGGAATGCGAATTAGTTCAGCCACTGTGGAAAGCAGTTTGGAGATTTCTCAAAGAACTTAAAACGGAAGACCATTTGACTCAGCAACCCCATTGCTAAGTATGTAGCCAGGAGAAAATAAATTGTTCTACTAAAAAGTCACATGCAATTGTATGTTTTCTACAGTATTATTTACGATTGCAAAGGCATGGAAGCAGCCTAGGTTCCCATCAACAGTGGACCGGATTAAAAAAATATGGTGCATATACACCGCAGAATACTACATATAAATCATAAAAACAAACAAAATCATGTCTTTTGCAGCAATTTGGATGCAGCTGGAGGCCATTGCCCTAATTTAGTTGACACAGAAACAGAAAACTAAATACCACACATTCTCACATATAAGTGGAAACTAATCTTTGAGTAAATATGGAAAAAAAAGATGGCAACAATACATGCTGGGGACTCCTGGAGGCTGTAGGATGGAAGGGGAACATGGACTGAAAACTAACTGTTGGGTATTACGCTCATTCCCTCAGTGACAAGATCAATCATACCCAAACTTCAGCATCATGCAATATGCCATGTAACAAACCTGCACTTGTATCACCTGAATCTAAAATAACAGTTGAAAGTAAAAGGGAAAAGATATCATTGAATCAATTAGCTAAAACTTTTCTGTTTGACTTATGTGTTTCTTAGCACATTATGGTACATATTGCCAAACAAATGTATGTAATAAGTGTATTTTGTAGATGTTTATATGAAAGTTTACAGGGCCGTAGAAGTGGCATTAGCAACTGGAAAAGATTTCAAACCAGAAGTCGATATTTAAACTATAGACTTCCAATAACTTATAGTATTTGTTAATGTAATATTAGAGATGCTCTTAAATTTTCTTGAGTGGTTGACATTAAATGCTGATTAATATTATCCCTGTATACATAATATAATCAATAAGCAATTGGTTATACAGAAACCAGTAGTTTTTTTGATTAATAATAAACCTGTCTACATGACAGGAAAATGTGGACAGAATGGTCTTAATGTCTAAACAAACTTAAATTTCATGTAAAGATTGAAGACAGTATCCTTATTTTCTTTAGATTATAAGCACTTTCATATTGTTTAGTACCCATTTGTTAATATTATATTTCAGATGCCTAAAAATATAATTAAAAGTTGTGCCTTAGCTTTGTGAAATGAGACATTTGTTATTATTATTCTTTTAAATTTAGAATGACGCAAACAGAGCAGAGATCATAGCATATTTGTTTCTTATTAATTTCACTCGAAATTTTTCTAGTTGTTTATGAGATTATAAATATTTATTAAGTAATAAACATTTTATTCTAAACAGTTTGCCCTATTCGGAATATAATATTATACAATATGTAAACAATCACAATGCAAAATTAATTAGGGTTACTTATGTATAATAAATAGAAGTATCTCTGGTCATATTTGACAGTTACAGTTCACTAAATTACCCAAAAGTATTTTGATTTAAAATATTTTCCTAGAAGAATTGTCTTCAGGATTAATCTCTTCTCATAACAATTGTTTATGAATCTGTTGTACTAATAGTAGTAGCCAGTTTTATAATTATATTTAGCTAAATAAAAGTTATAAGGAACAGAAAAGAGCTATCAACAATTAAAGGCAATTTTAACAGTGGAGCACAAGAAAATTTTTGGAGGTAATGAATATGTTTATTACTTTAATGATGGTGATCTTTGACAGGTTTAAGCGTATATCCAAACTCATCAAATTTTGCACATTTCATATGTGCAGCATTTTGTTTATTGACCATATCTCATTAAAGCTGTTAAAAACCATAATTTTAGGCAGGGCGCGGTGTCTCAAGCCTGTAATCCTAGCACTTTGGGATGCCGAGATGTGCGGATCATTTGAGGTCAGATGTTTGAGACTGACCTGGCCAGCATAGCGAAACCCCGTCTCTGCTAAAAAATACAAAAACTAGCCAGCCATAGTGGCTTACACCTGTAGTCTCAGCTACTTGGGGGAGGCTGAGGCATGGGAATCACTTGAACCCAGGAGGCGGAGGCTGCAGTGATCCGAGCCCATCGCGCTCTTGCACTCCAGTCTGAGTGATGGCGCAAGACTCCATCTCAGAAAATAATAATAATAATAATAATAATTTTAGGAAAAATGAGTTTTAATTTAAGCAAACTAATTAACATAAAGCATACAGAGCTGTCATCAATTCTAAAGAATTAAAGGGAAAAATCAGAGATGTTCACCCATGATGCTTTTTCCTTTTTTAAATTAAAAAATATATATATAGATTCAGGGGGTACATGTGCATGTTTGTTACATGAATATATTGTATGATGGTGATGTTTAGGCTTTGCATTTACCTATCATCTGAATAGTGACTATTGTACTTACTATGTAATTTTTCAACTCTCACCCCTTCCTACCTGGCCCTCTATTGGAAGCCCCAGTATCTATTATTTTCCTCTGTATTTTCTTGTATACCCGTTATTTAGGTCCACTTGTAAGTGAGAACATACAATACTTGATTTTTAGTTTCTGAATAATTTCACTGAGAATAATGGCCACCAACTCCATCCTTGTTTCTGCAAAAGACACAATACTATTTGTATGGCTGCATAGTATTCCTTGGTGTGTGTGTGTGTGTGTGTGTGCCTGCGTGTATATACACATTTTCTTTACCTAATCATCTGTTGATGGACACTTAGGTTGACTCCAGACAATGGGGAAAGGACACTCTATTAAATAAATAGTGCTAGAAAAATTACATAGTCATATGCTGAAGGATGAAACTGGACTTTATCTCTCACCATACACAAAAATTAACTTACTATTGATTAAAGGCTTAACTGTAAGACTTCAAACTGTAAGAATCCCATAATAAAATCTAGGAAAAACTCTTCTTGATGTAGGTCTTGCCAAATAATATATGAGAAAGACATCAAAAGCAAATGAAACAAAAATAAAAATAGACAAATTATGTTTAAACTAAAGAGCATTTTCACAGTGAAAAAATAATCGACAAACAGCCTACAGAATGGGAGAGAAAATATTTGCAAACTATGTATCTGACAAAGCACTAATATCCAGAATCTATAAGAAACTCAATTCAACAAGAAAAAAATAAATAACCCCATTAAAAAGTGGGCAAACGCCATGAACAGACATTTTTCAAAAGAAAACATACAAGCATCCAACAAACGTAAAAATGCTCGTCTTCACTAATCATCATAGATATACAAATTAAAACCAAGATGAGATGACATCTCACACCAGTCAAAATGTCTGTTATTAAAAATTCAAAAACAACTTATTTTGGCAAGGATGTGGAGAAAAAGAAATGTTATACCCTGTTCATGATACTTTTTCTAAGTAAAAACACTAAATATAATAAATTATTTTTATTAATTTTGTGTTATGATTATATGTGTGTGCATATTGTATTCTTTCCAAAGTACATTGAAACAATTGTCTAATATATTCTCTGTTATCATAATTGGTGTTAGAAGAAAAAGTGGGTGGCTGTTAATTTAATGATAATATGGAGGAGGTTACTAGATTTCACCATCTCTCATTCCATATAAATTTATTATTTATTATTTAAATCAGAAATGTTTTCTTGTCTAATAAAAAACAAATATTCTCAAAGATGATCCACTTAGCAAATAATGTTATTGCAGAGCTAGCCATGATGAAGCCCGAATGAGATTGCTATGTGTTAGTTACTTGGAAGACGAAGGCAATACCTTGTGCAAAGGAGGCATTAACCTGAAGAATCAAAATTACGTGGCAGAGGCAATGCAAGCATTCATTTCTCAACTCTGCTTTCCTTCTCCAGAGTCCCTTATTTTTAGGAGAGCCATGTTTCTAAATCTAGGCACAGAATGTAGGCAGAGGTGAAGAAACCCCTTCCAGTCTCTCATATATTTGAGAATATAGGTTAGTTGAACATCCTCACTTGATCTACTATGTGAGGAAAGGGATCAGATTTTGTGACTTCTTCCTTCCTTCTTCCTGATTCCCTCTCTTCCCCTCTTCTTTTCTAGTTTGTTCCCTTATTTCTTTCATTTCTCCTATTCCTTTCTCCTTATTCTCCTGCTTCTTCATCTTCTTCACTTGTCTCTCCCCTTTTGTTTATTTACTTTATTTAACTTTTTGAAATGGTCTTCAGTACTCAAAGATGTCTGGATGGCTGAGTGGTGGTCTCCACAGAACATATTTATATCTAGATGCCTCCATGTTTGATCATCTACTTGAAATTGTAAGGGGGGGGGAATATGTTTTCTTATCAATTGCTAGGATTACGAATGATGTTCCTATACCAAAAGACCAATTAACAAGAGAAAAGTATACAAATTCCTGATTATAACTTTTAAATGGCATGAGAGTTTTGAGAAATGAAGACTTCAAGAAATAGAAAAACGTGTATTTTTATGTTTAGATTTAATTAATAGTGGACAGTTGTGGAGGAATATGATTGGAGGACAAAAGGTATGATATAATGATAATGAAGTAGGGCTAACTTAGCAAGGCCCGTTTTTTTCAGATTCTTCTTTGTATCCCTGTGTGTTCAGAGATAAGGATATTCTTTGCCTCTAGGTATAGGGAGGGCACCTCTTAAATGAAAGTCTTATGACCTACTTCAGGAAAATGTCAGATAATCCTTTGTAGTTTTTATGACCTGCTTCAGGAAAGAAGGGCAGGGAAAAGTGAAAGACTGATCTTGCTTCTGCTATTTTCTCAAATGACAAGATGCCATATTTTGGGGTAGAATGTAGTGAACCCCATCACTGTGTTGAAATTTATAAAAACTAGGAGTCATTAAATAGGAAATATATATTTTCTGAATATTTTTAAGATAGAATACTTAATTTTTTGTTTCCAGCAGTATCAGTTACAGAAAATTTATTCTGTATGAAAATATTTTCATAATGTTTTATGTTTCCAGTATTTTTACAGTAGGTAATCTGAAGATGTTGTAAGAATATCAGTTGTCCTAAAATTTTAATGCAATAGTTATGCGATCCCTGACATAGTAAGAAGGCAGTCTTTTGTAGGGTTCTTCCAAATTATTACTTTAGTGAGATAATCATTTAACTCTTACAATAAACTGTAATTTTACTGCTGGCTTCAGTTGTAACCTACTGCCTTATTGGATATTTTCACCTGCTTCTGTACTAGCCCCTCTGACTAAGCATGTTTCAACATTTTTTCTGTATTAGTCATCTGGCTTAGACAAATCACTTCTTTGACCCTTGGGTTTCTAATATATGGAATAAATAAATTATCTTACTGATTTTCAATCTTTTTCCTAGCTTTTAGGTTATATGTAGTTTTATTTTGGTTTTAGTCTGCTCTGCCCAAAGACACGCTCCTCATGATTTTCTTCTTTAAATAACACCATGATTTATTCAGGTATTCACATTTAAATTTTCAAATTTTCTCCATCCACACTCTTACACAAAAAACCCTATGCATTCTGTTCTTTTTAATGTCCTTTCCTCTCTCCTTCATTCTATTCTCATATTTGTCATGTCAATTTAGATCCTCATTAATTTGGTTCTGAATTCGTTGCATAGATTTCTAATTATACACCTTTCGAGGGTCTTCCTTATTCTCACTAATCTGCCAGAACAGATCCAGTCATATTCAAATGAATTCAATGACCATCTCTCTCCCCTACCAAATTAACTATAAATGTAATAACATTCTGACATTCAGGATTTCTGCAACTATCTCCAACCCTCACCCTATTGCTTATCACGAAATGACATAAAATTGTACTCCAACTGAATTGAAACTATGTTTTTCCTAAAGAACATTTTTCTTTTGTCCCATGTTGCTTTTTGTTGCTTAGTTTTATTTAGTTTGGTTTCGGCTTTGTTTATCTCAAGAAATTCTTTGTGTGTGTGTGTGTTATACACTTTGCTTTCTCTGGAATTTCTTTTCCTTTTTCATCAAAAGGCAGGTTTTTTTTTTCTTTTAATGAAAGTTCCAACCAGTTGCCATGGCAATTTTGTTATCAAAAATAGAAGCTTAAAGGAACCTAGGACCAACTCACTGATTTTTTTGAAAATGAAAACTGAGTACCACATGTTTCAATGATTTGGCAAGGTCACCGTTTACCTGGAGCTACAACAGATAGCCTACCTCATCACAGGGAGACGTATTCAAGTGCTGATTTATTTTATTTTGCTGCATCATAGTGCTTCCCACCTATATTATTGTAGTTACACATTTATTCCTTGAATTATGGTATTTCTGTATTTATAGTTTTCTTCTAAAAGATTATAATCTTGACTGCAAAGAATAAAATGCATTTACCTTTCCTATTGCTCTTTAAAATGGAAAATATATATATATATCAAAACATCTTCAGATCATAAAGTCATAACTAAAGATTCCAGTTCATTGAAATACTCATGTGATCACTATCTATATCATCTATACCTGTTATCTATATGTATACTTATACCTATATTTAAATATGTATCTACAAATTGTCATCTTTTAAAAAAGAATAGCAGCACATAGCACTCTTTTACCAGAAATATGTCAAAAAACATTGAAATGCATAACTAAAAATTACTTCATATGTTCTTATGTAATTGGAGAACTAATTTTTGTTTAAAGAACATGGCACAAATGAGTGAGGTGGTTTGATGTTTAATTTAATTATTAGTTAAACCTATTTTACCAGTTCTACATGAAATAAGCATTTGCTTATTGTATTAGTCCATTTTCACACTGCTATAAAGACCTGAGACTAGGTGATTTATAAAGGAAAGAGGTTTAATTGACTCACAGTTCCACATGGAGGAACTCACACAGAGGCCTCAAGAAACAATCACAGGGGAAGGGGAAGCAGGCACATCTTACATGGTGGCAGGCAAAAGAGAGCAAGCTTATAGGAGGAACTGTCAAACACTTATAAAACCATCAGATACTTTGAGCACTCACTAGTTATCACAAGAAAAGCATGGAGGGAACCGCCCCGATGATCTGGTCACCTCCCTTCCTCTACTCTCTACAGATGAGGATTACAGGTTCCTCGCTCAACACATAGGGCTTATAATTTGAGAAGAGAGTTGGGTGGGGACACAGAGCCAAACTATATAACTCATGGTTAAAATACCTGCCCAGAACTACCTTTGATTTAAAGAAGCCTACATTTGCATATTGCCTAGATATGTATCTAAAATCCTGTTTACAGTTTTTGAAGAAAAGTCTCATTTCTAAGCAAGGTTGTGATTTGACTGCCTTTATTGAAGCAAAATCTAAACCAACACACACACACACACACACACACACACACACACACACACACACATAAATATATAAATATTTTTCCATAAACATTTCTGGACAGAGGGCTAAATTCTCACTGCTTTCTTTGCATATATTTTAACAGATATATAAAAGACCTATATGTAAGTTATTTCCAAAATTTTATTATCTGGCATGCTTAAATATCTTTGATTTTTAAAGAAATGTATATTCCAGGCATAATTTAATACTGAATAGTTTATTTTCTTTGAGAAAGTGAATATTATGTAAGATTGCTGAGAATCACCAGTGGAATTATTATTATTATTATTTTTTTTTTTTTTTTGAGACAGAGTCTTGCTCTGTTACCCAGGCTGGAGTGCTGTGGCACGATCTCAGCTCACTGCAAGCTCCGCCTCCCGGGTTCATGCCATTCTCCTGCCTCAGCCTCCCGAGTAGCTGGGACTACAGGTGCCCACCAACATGCCTGGCTAATTTTTTTTGTATTTTTAGTAGGGACGGGGTTTCACCATATTAGCCAGGATGGTCTCAATCTCCTGACCTCGTGATCCACCCGCTTTGGCCTCCCAAAGTGCTGGGATTACAGGTGTGAGCCACCACACCTGGCCTGGAATTTTTTTAAGTTCTCAAAAAACAGCAATAGTTAAAAAAGAGTTTAAAACAAGCAAACACTTATTTTCATTAAAGGCCATATGTAAATACTTGGTGGTAAATTTTCCCTAGCTTATGTGAATGGTTCTTAGTGTTTTACTTCATGTACCTGTATTCAGTAGGAAATTGGGAATTCTGGACTTTGCAATAATGGTGTCAACACATTCAGTTAAATGAGAAAAATGTTACCTAATTGGGGGAGAATACAATCACTCAAATTGGTCATTTTTCATTATGTTGAAAAAGTACTGAGATAATTAGCTGAAATTCCCAGGTAAACAAAATACTTCATCATTGTGAAAGCACAGTCAGTGTAACTAAAATACCATCCAGACAAATTAGTTGTTCGTCTGAATACTGGACTTTCATTTCTGGCACTTACAGGATGAGTTACTTTTACCAAGTCATTTAAGTTCTCTCATACTCAGTTAGCTCACTCGTAAGTGGAATAGAATGATTGCAAGTAGACATGGAATCTGCCACATGACAGAAACTCCCTCTTCCCTTCCAAAGTAGGGAACCTTTAGTTTTGTTAGTGAGAAACAATGATTGAATCACCTTCCTGTGGCGTTTACCTTTTATTATCTACTCCAATGGAGACTATCACAGCAATTAAAGAATCCAGACAGGCAAATCAAAGTAGAAGACAACCTAATTTGAAGTTGGGATTTAGAATGAATTAAGTATTTTTAAATATGATTCATGAAATTTATATAGTGGAAAAAATATCTTGCAGTTAACATTTTTTAAAAAGTCATAAAGTCTATAGGCACAAGCAGCTTCTTAAAGTTCTTTATAAACAGTTATGTGGATCGATTTTATCACATGGGACATTCATTCAATAATAATCCTAAAAGTGATTAGGGAATGTGTACTATGTGAAAAGGATAGTACTAAGACACAGGAGATACTACAACCCATTGTGCTTACGTTATTACTTGGCTAAAGATAACACACCGAATGAACAGGAAGTTACGCCATGAAAGAAGTAAATGTAGCTTGCCCTTTTATAAGTTAAGAAAGGGTACCTCTTCCTCAGTGGACGCATTCCAGAGCAAGGGAGTAAGCATTAGTGAGTTTAATGCCAACTAGATTTCATCTCCCATTTTTCTCCTTGGTTAAGGTCTTTCGTAGAATATATTAAAAGCACAACAGAGATTTGTGGTCCCAGGTTAGGGATTGTAACCAAGTTTTTTTGGGTCATGATGTTAAAGATGGTTGCCACTTGGTGACTGGCAAATTAGCAGACAAAATATGCAAACTATAGATGGAGGTAGTGAAGAAAACATGACAGAAAAGAGTAAACTCTGATGGCAGAACTGTTTTCCATACTCTCAGTTTTTATAAGACTCTTGGCTGCATTTATGTCCCTCCTCTGAATGGAAGATGGGTGTCCTATCAGCCTAGGTCCAGGGAAATTTTGATGTAAGTAAACTTGTATCTAACCCCTTCTCTCTTACGGTTTCTGTGTGGACCCACTGACTTCCTGATGACTCATGATTTGTTCATAGCTCATCCTCTAAATTTATTATTTTTCATATGATTTTTACCTGAGTAAATCTTTTCTCAAAAATATTTAACAAGAAATTCAAGCCCCATGTGTTTCTTTGCACCCCTGCTCCCAGCTACCTCAGGGACATCACCAGGGTACCGTGCAAATGCTGCAATGAACGGTCAAGATTCGTTTTACTTGTTTCACAGAAAAATCCATCTATTTCCTATTTATCTCAGACTGTCATTTGCTCTTAGAAATCTAAAAATATATACTTAAACTCAAGGGTTAATGACTTCTCCTTATTTATGCATTATTTTGAAAAAAAGTTTCCAATACCTTAACCTAAAATCAAGTTCCATGAAGGAAAATGCACAAGATCCTTTAATTCAAATCAAAGAGCTGTTTTGCTTTTCCTTGATCCTGCCTTAAGGACCTTAGTAAAATGTTCAGAGACTGTGATTGATCATTATGCTTTGGATGTTTGTGCCCTCAAAATCTTGTGTTGAAATGTGATTCCCTATGTTGAAAATGTGGCCTGGTGGGAGGTGATTGAGGCATATCCTCATAAATGTCTTAGCACCATCTTCTTGGTGATAAGTGAATTCTTGCTCTGAGCTCATGTGAGATCTGGTTGTTTTGGCACCTCCCACCTCTTTCTCTCTTGCTCCCACTCTTGCCATGTTACAAGTCTGCCTCCCATTTGACTTCCACCATGATTCTGAGCTACCTGAAACCTCACCCAAAGCAGATGTCAGCACCACCCTTCCTATACAGCCTGCAGAACTGTGAGCCAATTAAATCACTTTTCTTTAAAAATTACCTAGCCTCAGGTATTACTTTATAGAAATGAAAAAAGAGTGGCCTAACACATGGATCAAATTAGTTAATATCAATTCTGAGTTTCATTACGTAAAAATGTTCACACCCAGATTATTACACTTAATCATCCTCCTAGCCATCCTAGTAACGATAAAAATGTAGATTATTGCTATTATCATACTACTATCTGAGGCTCATACAGATTAAATGACTTGTATGAGCCTCAGATACTCATACAGTACTTATTCTGCTCAACAATTCAACAATGATAGAAATAATGGACTGATCCAAAGTTTATAGTAAACAAATTTTTCTTATTCTATGACTTTGAATTAACAATAATTTTCAGATAATTAAAACAAGACATTTACATCAAACCTTTGGCCAACTACAGCCTTAGAATGAAGGCTATTCTTTGAGTAACAAAGCTCAGTACTGTGGCTAATGATTCCTTTTTTTGTTTAAGTTAAAGTTACATGGGGTTTATAACACAGCAATTATTCCACTTGCCATATGCTTTTTGTGGATGGAAATACACTTTTAAATAAAACCACTCCTTGTTTAAAGAGACATCCTTAATTATGCAGTTTGAAATATCTATTTATTTATATAGTTCTCAATATATTGCAAACATTGTTAACTCATAGTTTCTCAACCCATGTCTCTTTATTGCTTATCATGCATCATCTCATATTTATGTGCTCCTCTGATTAAAGCAGATTCTAGAGAATATATAAGTGCATGCTTCGAATGGTGTCTCAACTGTTCTAAGATAATCACACACATTTGTGTGCCTGCCATGTTTATATGAATGCTATAAAAGTGAATTTATTTAACCATTACTAATAACTTTTGTTAATATTCGCAATTTATGGTTTAATGATGTTTCTTTCCCACAATTGCTTTCTACAGTGAAAATGTAGTGAGGTAAAATCATTTATTTTCAATGAAATAAATTGACTTTACAGGTTAATGTGCTTTCATTCCAAAGCTAAACGTTATCATTTTAGTCAATTAACTTTTTGTCCTTTATTCGAAGTCCAGAAATGATAAGAAGTTACTTTGTTACATTATCCATTCTGAGAATTTCTCTGAAGTTGTAATTACTGTACTGAGAATTTTAGATTTTTTGCACTTTACCAGTCTTGAAGAGGCAACATGGTATCAATGTAAGTGGAATTTTCCTTAATGGATTTTATCTGGTGGTCAAGACCTTTTTAAAGTAATAGAAGTAAGGTCTTAATGTTCATCTGATACAAATAACTGCACTGAAAGGAAAAAGAGTTCAGATTAATAATCTTCTATAAATGCAGCAAAAGTGTGCTTTTACTGTAAATGAAAACCCAAAGATGGAGTCTGAATTTGCAACTGTAATGAGAATTTAATACATACCCTTCTTCCAGGCAGTTCACATTTTCTGCCTGTTTCAACCAATTCTTAACGCGTTTATTGCCACTAAAATGAATTGTAAGTCACATAAACATATTAATCATTTGAAGTTAGTATTATATTTTACATCTGAAAGATCAGATTTGAAAGCCTACATTGGAACCCATACTCCTGAGTCTGGAATTCACGGATGAAAATCTGTTCTTAAGACTTCTCTAAACTTTTATCCTCTAGTCTCCCGAAAATGACCTCTCCTGTCACTTGGTTCACTGGAAATGCCATAGCTTTTCCTGAACTCCAGTTGTATTTACTATCCTAATCAAACGTTTGGCATACGTTGTATACATCCTTACATTCTTAGGCTACAACAAAAACTATATAGACTTGTCAGTAATCCAAACGTGTTGTTAATGGTAGCAATGGGGAAAATAAACCAAGACGTTAAAAATGCACTGTGCAATAGTCTAGCTGGTGCTTACAACTCTTTGAAAGTCACAAAGGAAGAGGGTCCATCTTGTTTGAAGGGGCTCCATTAGGCAAAGAAGGGCTTATAAAGATGAACATAATATAATATAATATACATAAGAAATTTTATATAACATAATATACCATAATATACATAAGAACATAACATAATATACATAAGAAATTTGCATGCAATTATAAAATATCTTAGGAATTATGAAGAAGGTAGTCGAATTTCAATGGAATGTGTTCCAGAGTTGTTGCAGGAGAATCATGAAATATAACAAATTTAGATGATCCAATGAGGAGAACATCCCAGTTTAAACTGATATATTTTTCATTTTTATCGCAAGAACACCATCCATAATGACAATGGTTATTGAAGCTAGAAGGTCTTAATTCAAACAAAATCATCAGTGTTTACTAAATAAGAGTGTATGGATAGTTACACATGAATATTAAATTGATATCCCCAGTAAAGACTTCAGTCCCGGTTACTTCAATAATTAACATAAATACACAATATACAATGTGCAGGAGGACTATCAGCTATTTTAAGAAGCTGAAATAGAATAGGCTAATGTACAGATATGTTGCTCTTAATTTATTTCTGTCATAATAATATCTAACATACCATTGACTAAATTAAGATGAAAAGTCCATCAATCTTGGAAAATATTTTCATATTAACAACACTGGCTCAGTGTAAATCTGTAAAAGAATATCTTAAATACTAAGATTCTTGGCTTGGAGTAAGCTAAAATGACTTTATTATTAATAAAAATACTAATTAAAATTAAAATTAATCAAGAAAATATACAAGTAAAATAAATTATAAAATATTATGATAAAATATAACAGAATATTTTAAATTATGTTTTATTGTAAATATTCAGAAAATATTTAATAATTATTAACATTTATGCTTTGTTTTATAAGATACATCTCATAAAGTTATAAAGATGAACATAGATACATAAATGATTTTCATGTAATTATAAAATATCTCAGGAATTATGAGGAAGGTGGTTGAGTTTCAAAGGAATGTGGTCCAGAGTTGTCGCAGGAGAATCATGAAATGTGACAAATTTAGATGGCTGAATGAGGAGTGTATCCCAGTTTAAATGAACAGCTTAATCAAATGCAGACAAGCCAAAGTAAACCCATAATATATGATCAAGATATGAGATATTATAAATAATAGTTGGCATAAACCAGAAAAGCACTGATAGAAAGGTTCTTAGCATCTAGAAGTAAATAATGAGGGGCTGTTGTAGGTTTTGAACCCAGATGAATGTCAGGAAATAATATTATAGAAATCTTAGATGGACAAGTAAATGTAAATGAGATTAAAATAGAAGGAGAATCCCAAAGGCAATGAAATATCTACAAGATGGAAATGTTGTGAACTGAAGTAGCAGCAATGATGAGGTAGAAAGTATTGTAAGAATAAAATGATTTTAAGGATGATAGTTGTATAACTATGATAACAATGATAGGTAAATGAGTAAAAACAGGAGTAATTATTTAGTGGCCTAAAAAGTTACAAAGATACCACAAACAAAAACTGAATTTCTCCTTGGAGGTTATTTTGTGGAACAAAATGGTGATCTCCGTTTTAAATACTGAGTTTGAAGTAATTACTGAATATCCAATGAAAATGACATGAAAAGGAAGTGTATTGGTGATTGCAGTGGCTTTTAATGCAGCTTTACAAAAATTGAGAAAGAGCTACGTGAAACTGATTTAGAGTGATTTTCAGTATATACTATTTAGTGAAAAAAATGTAAAGGAATATACATAGTATGCTACCTTGCTTGTAAGAAAGAAATGAAAATTGACATGTGTCTTTTTCTCATTACAAAAAGAAGCACTAGAAGTACAAATAAATAAAGTTAGTACAAAGGATGGGTTGAAGGGAGTGAGTGACAAGGCACTTCTTGAAGTTTATCTTTTTAAACCACTTTGACTTTTAAAAACATATTAATATCATTGTTATAAAAAGAAATTAAATCGGTAAGAATATGAAAGGGGGAAGAAACCCACTTTAAAAGACAACAAATAAATTTAATTATATTTCAGGTGAGTACACTAACCGCACTGCAGGAAGAGAAAGAAAGGGAAAAATGAAAGAAGAAAAAGGAGGGAAGGAAAGATAAAGGAAGAAAAGAAGGAAGGAAGAAAAGAAGGAGGAGAGAGGGAGAAAAAAGGAAAAAAAGGAAAGGAATAGAAAGGAAAAAAGGAAGGTAGGAAGAAAGGAAGGAAGAAAGAAAGACAAAGAAGAAAAGAAGGAAATAAGAAAGAAGAGAAAGAAATAATGAAAAAAAAACTTCTCCTGTTGACTTATTAACACATAGATACTAGTTGATTGTGTACCGAGTCTGGAGCAGGATGGGCTGTGAGGATTAAGGAATAAAGTGCAAAACACTCTGATGTAGTTTTAGTAGATATGTAGTGGTAAGTGAAGTTTAAGTTCTGAAATTAATTTCCATGAAATATAGAATTAATTGAATCAAACGTGCTGATGATTGTTGGTGGGATTCTCCATTCTCAGTGTGGAAAATAAACAAATGGGGAAAACAATAAAAGAGCACATGATAATGGATTAGAACTGGAAGTACCTTTGCAAACTTATGATTCTTAAAATATGTAAATGTACATATACATATATTTATAAGCATATGCATATATTATATGTGAGTGTATTGTGAACCCCAAAAATCTAAGACATGTCTCAGTTAATTTAGAGTTGATTTTGCCAGCATTGAGGATGCGTGCCCGTGACACAGTCTCAAGGCGTTCTGACGACATGTGCCCAAGGTGGTCAGAGCATAGTTTGCTTTCGTACATTCTAGGGAGACATGAGACATTAATCAACATACGCAAGATGAACATTGGTTCAGTCTGGAAAGACAGGACAACTCGAAGCAAAAGCGGGAAGACTCAAAGTGGGGCGGGGGCTTCCAACTCATAGGTTAATAAGAGACAAATGTTTGCATTCTTTTGAATTACTGGTTAGCCTGTCCAAAGGAGGAAATCAGATATGCATTTATTTCAGTGAGCAGAGGGGTGACTTTGAATAGAATGGGAGGCAGTTTGTCCCTAAGCAGTTTCTAGCTTGGCTTTTTCTTTTAGCTTCTTTTAGCTTAGTGATTTGGGGACCCCCAGATTTATTTTTCTTTCACAGTATGCCTGTATATGTACATGTCTGTTTATATTTGCAAGTGTGGATATGTATATGTGTACGAGTGCATTAATTTCCTAATCCTTTTCAAAGAAACGGCAACAAAGCAAACATACCCCACTGGACATGAGAACACTTAGTACTCAGATCTTGATCTCTATCAAAAGAGATTCTTGAACACATGGATGATTACAGGTCTGTGGCAGGTTAGGTATGAGATAAATCTAGAACATCATTTATGCAAGAAAGTAAGAATGGAGGCAAGTCACAAGGAAACAGGAGCTACCTTGCTTGAAGAGGATTCACTATGCAAATAGGGGCCATTTGAGGACCCAGATAATTAAATTAATTATAAAACATTGAAAATAAGAATTCATGTAATTACCTCAATTTAATTATTTACATATTTATTAATGTTATATATATTAAAATATATGTAAATATATTGCCAATTTTTATATTACACACACATACCCACACAAACACATATCAGAACTGAGGGCTTTTTTGCACAGTAAGATATCAGAGTTGTAAACGTGGAGGGAATGCTGAAATTGAAAAATGTATCTTTTTTTTTCTTTTTCTTTTTTCTTTTTCTTTTTTTTTTTTTTTTTGAGATGCAGTTTCGCTCTTGTCACCCAAACTGGAGTGCAATGTTGTGATCTCAGCTCACTGCAACTTCCACCTCCTGGGTTCAAGTGATTCTCCTGCCTCAGCTTCCCAAGTAGCTGGGATTACAGGAGTGCACCAACAAACCAGACTAATTTTTATATTTACTTTAGTAGAGTTGGGTTTTCACCATGTTGGCCAGGCTGGTCTCAAACTCCCGACCTCAGATGATCCACCTGCCTTGGCCTTTCAAAGTGCTGGGATAACAGGCATGAGCTATCGTGCCCGGCCAAGAAATCTATCATTTTATAACAAACAC
Source organism: Homo sapiens (assembly GCF_000001405.40). Classification (NCBI taxonomy): domain Eukaryota; kingdom Metazoa; phylum Chordata; class Mammalia; order Primates; family Hominidae; genus Homo; species Homo sapiens. Next base: position 105,854,707 of record NC_000001.11, on the reverse strand, counting down.
AGTAAAGACTGGATGATAAATTAAGAGGCAGGTTTGAATAAAGAGGAGGATATTCCAGTGTCCCAACAGACTGCTTTTTAGTTGGAAGGAAAAAAACCATCAAAACAAAATCGTAATTAAAAACTGAAAAATAATTCAATAGTCTGACTGGCATCAACTGTGAGTGGCAGATGGATATGATTTTCTTCTAGATGTTATATCCTGAGAAGACACAATCATCTATGTAGTATTTTGATCAGTAATGCATAGCCTCAACCTAATCATGAGGAAACATCTGAAAAGCAGAAATTGAGAAATACTCTATTTGAGAAATAAATGTTAGCATACTGTTTTCAGAAAAAATGTCAATGTCAAAATGACAAAAATTGGCCATGAAAGTGTTCCAAATTAAAAAGACTAAAAGACATGAGGAAGAATTGCAATACCTGACCCTAAATTAGATCCTGTACTAAAGGGGTAGAAATGCTATAAAAAAATCATGAAATCAGTCAACAAATTTGGATTATGAGTAGCAACTTATATGAGTAATTATATAAATATTGTTATAACTTTTCTAAATGGACTGTGGTTATATGAGAGAATATCCAAATTGTTAGGAAATGCACATAGAAATATTTATAGGTAAAGCACCATGATATATGCAACTAACCATCAGATATTTCAAACATTATGCAGATACAAGTCTATTTACAGTGAGTGTGAGAGAGTGTGTACAAGCAAATAAGTGATAGAGAAAATGGGGCAAAATATTAACAATGGCTGAGTGTGAATAAAAGATATAATGATATTTCTTAAAATATTTGTATTTGTACAACTTTTTATGTTTGAAGTTATTTTTAAATAAAATTTACAAATGTCCAACTTAGTTTCGAAATGAAAAACTTTTTAAGCACTCAAGATTAAGAATTTGGGGGGTTGAAGAAATATGGAAGAAATACATAAGTAAACTCTTTGTAAAGGCATATATATGTAGGTTGTGATGGTTAATTTTGTATGAGAATTTGACTGGGCCATGGAGTACCCAGATATTTGGTCAAACATTATGTTCTTTGTTTTTGTGAGGGTGCTTTTGGATGAATTTAACCTTTGCATTGATAGCCTGGATAAAGCAGATTGCTCCCCCTAATATGAGTACGTCTCATTCACACTGTGGAAGGCATCAGTGGAACAAAATACTGACCATCCCCAGAATAAGAGGGAATTCCTCCTGCTTGACTGCTTTTCAGTTGGGACAGGCATTTGTTTCTGGACTCAAATTCAAACATTACCCCTTCCTGGGTCTTGAGACTGACAGCTTTTGGAATGGAACTACATCATTGGTTCTCCTTGTTCTCGGGCCTTTGGACTTAAACTGGCATTATGCTGTCAGCTCTCCTTGGCCTTGAGCTTACCTACTGCAGATATTGAGAGTTGTCAGCCTCCAAAAAATTATGTGAACCTTTTTTTTTACAATAATGATTATCTATCTATCTATCTATATCTATCATCTATCTATCTGCCTGTATGTCTACCTATCTATGTAATCTTCCTATCTATCTATCTACCTATCTACTTACCTATCTATGTATTTACCTGCACATCCTATTGGCCTAATATTCTGGAGATCTCTAATACACATGTTTGTATATATTATATTACTAGCATAAGAAAAATATCTGACAATGCAGAATAGATAAGAGTATCGGAGTTTCTGTTTTATTTAGAAGCAAAAATTATTGAAGTGCCTCATAACATACTTCTTGTACTTGATATGTTTTTCTGCCTTTACTCCTTTGGAAGATCATCCAGACTTTTAGCTTTAAATATTATATATTTTCTGACAACTGTCAAATTTGTCTTTAGCGCAGAGCTCTATATTGAATTACAGACATTATATTAAATTGCCTACTCAACATTACAACTTAGACAGCTAGTCAGCATTTCAAACATAATATTTTTAATTTGTATACCTTAGAAACACGATCTGAAGCAAAACCTTTTTGTCTCCCTTGCACTTCAGAGTTGTGCCTACATCTGGTAAAAAACAAACAAACAAACAAACAAACAAAAAACAGAGCAATACTATGATACATTCTTGGTTGGAAACCAGTAAACTATGGAATTGTTCATCATACCTTTGCTAAAATAAATTGGGCCAAGTGGAGTTGGACTACAGGCTTCTGCCACAGTGTACAAAACCAAACTTCCGTTTTTCCTTTTAAATCTGATATTTTAGTTGTTTATTGCTGCAGGAGAAATTAACACAAAAGTTAGTAATTTAAAGCAATATGCACTTATTTCCTTACACAGGAATGGCTTAGTCTATTGTTTATACTACAAGTTTTCTTATGAGTTTGTAGTTAAGTTCTTGCATGTAGCTGCAATAGTTCCAATCTCAGTCAAAGGCCATACTGCATATATATCATACACTTCAAAAAACACATAAAACTTTGAAAATGCATATAATACAGAGTTCAGAAAAGAATCTGGCAAATTATCTAAAAAATACACCAATAATAATGATTACTAACTCTTATTTAGTCTTTGTTACGTGGCAGGTGTATCAGGCCGTTCTTGCATTGCTGCGAAGAAATACCTGAGACGGGGTAATTTATAAGAGAAGAAGTTTAATTGGCTCATGGTTCTGAAGCTGTACAGAAAGCGTGGTGTCAGCATCTTCTTCTGGGGAGGACTCAAAAAGCTTTTATTCACGGTGCAAGGCAAAGTAAGAGCAGGCACTTCACATGGCTAAAAAAGGACTAAGAGTGGGGCGAGAGTGGGAGTGTGTTACACACTTAACCAGATATCACCAGTTCTCACTATTACAAGGACCGCACCAAGCCACGAGCAATCTTCGCCCATGACCCAAACACCTCCCACCAGACCACACCCCCAACATTGAGGACACATTGCAACATAAGATTTAGGCAGGGACAAATATCCAAACTATATCATTCTGCCCCTGGTCTTCCCAAAATCTCATGTCCTTCTTAGGTTCCAAAATACAATCATGCTTTTTCAAAAGTTCCCCAAATTGTTAACTTGTTTCAGCATTAACTCAAAAGTCCAAGGTCCAAAGTTTCATCTAAAACAAGGCAAGACTTCTACTAATGAGCTTGTAAAATCAAAAACAAGTTATCTACTTCCAAGATACAATGAAACTGTTAACCCAAAATATCTACAACAGGTCTCACTCCATTTGGAAAGTTTATTTTGCCACAGCTAAAGATGCACCCTGACACAGCATCAGGAAGTCCTGGCAACATGTGCCCAAGGTGGTCATGGGTACAGTGTGCTTTTATACATTTTAGGGAGATATGGCACATCCATCAATATGTGTAGGATGTACCTTAGTTTGATCCAGTAGAGTGGGACAGCTCGAAGTGGGAGCTTTCAGGTTAGAAGTAGATAAGAGACAATAGGTTGCAGTATTTTGAGTTCTTGTTCAGTCTTTGACTCAATTCAAAATTTAGTCTGGCTCAGTAAATGTGCATCTTTACATAAACAATAGGGCAGAGGAAGCAATCAGATATGTATTTGTCTCAGGTGAAACTTAGAGGGATGACTTTTGAGTTCTGTCTGTCATTTGTCCACAAGAAATTTCCTGTGGGCAAAATGTGAGAGAGGTATGTAGCTTCTTATCTTGGTAGCTATCCTATTTAGGAATAAAATGGGAGGCAGGTTTGGCTGACATAGTTCCCACCTCGACTTTTCTCTTGACTTAGTGATTTGGGGGTCCTGAGATTTATTTTCCTTTCACAGGAGTATAGGCATTGGAAAAGAACATTCTTATTCCAAAAGGGAGAAATAAGTCAAACAAGAGGGGCTGTAGGCCCCATGCAAGTTTGAAATACAGCAAGTCAATCATTAAATCTTAAAGTTACACAATAATCTCCTTTGATTCCATGTCCTACATCCTAGGGAAACTGGTGCAAGGGCTGGACTTCCAAGGTCTTGGGCAGCTTCACCCCTGAAGTTTTGCAGCATTCAGACCCTGTGGTTGGTCTCACAGGTTATTGAACGCCTGCAGCTTTTCTAGGTGCAGAGTGCAAGATACCAGTGGATCTACCATTCTGGGGTATGGAAGACAGCAGCCCCCTTTCCGCAGTTCCACTAGGTAGTGACCCACTGGGGACTTTATGGAACCTCCAACCCCAATTTATCTTCCACACTGTCCTGTTAGAGTTTCCCTGTGTGGGCTCCACCTCTGCAGCAGGTTTTGGCCTGAACATACAGGCTTTTCCTTACATGCTCTGAAATCTTTGTGAAGGCTTCCAAGCCTCCTTCACTTTTGCATTATGTGTTCCTGAAGTCTTAACACCATAATGTGGAAGCTGCCAAGGGTTACATTTTGTACTCTCTGGAGCTGGAGCAGCATCTCAAGCTGTACCTAGACCCCTTTGAGCTGAAGCTGGAGCCAGAGTGGCCAGGGTGTGGAAAGCAGTGTCCCAAGGTTGCACAGTGCAGTAGGGCCCTGAGCCTGGCCCATGAAATCTTTCTTCCTTCTTAAGCCTCTGGACCTGTGATGGGAGGAGCTGCCGTGAAGGGCACTGAAATTCCTTCAAGGCCTTTTTCCCATTGTCTGAATATTAACACTTTCTCTTTTAGTTATGCAAATTTTTCTATCAAGTGGTTGTTCCACAACCTGATTGAATTCCTCTCCCTAAACAGCTTTTTCCTCCTCTGCCATATGTCCAGTCTGTGAAATTTCCCAACTTTTACTCTCTGTTTTTCTTTTAAATAGATATTTCAACTTTAAGTCATTTATTTGCTCCTGTATCTCAGCATAGGCTGTTAGAAGCAGTGAGGCACATTTGAATGCTTTGCTGCTTAGAAATTTATTCCACCAGATATTGTAAAATATGTTTCTCAAGTAAAAACTTTTACAGAACCCTAAGGCATGAATGGAATGGAGCCAAGCTCCTTGCTAAGGCATCACATATGTGACCTTTTCTCCATTCTTAATAAATTTCTCATTTTTATCTGAGACCTCAGAAGCCTGGACTTCACTGTCCATATCACTGTCACTATTTTGGTTACAGCCATTTAACCAGTCTCTAAAAGTTCCAACTTTCCCTCAACTTTCTTTCTTCATCTGAGCCATCTAAAGTCTTTCAACCTCTGTCCATTACCTAGTTCCAAAGTTACTTCCGCATTTTCAAGTATCTTTATAGCAATGCCCTACTGGGTTCGGTACTAATCTTCTATATTAGATAGTTCTTGCAGTTGCTATAAATACCTGATACTCAGTAATTTATAAGAAAAGAGGTCTGAGTGGCAGGCTGTACAGGAAGCATATTGCTGGCATCTTTTTCCAGGAAGGCTTCAGGAAGCTTTTACTCATGGTTGAAGGTAAAGCAGGAGCAGGCACTTCACATGGTGAAAAACAGTAGGAAGAGAGGGGGATGGGGAGGTGCCACACACTCTTAATCAGATCTCACAAAGACTTTTGCAAGGACAGAACAAAGCCATGAGGAATATGCCCCCATGACCCAAACACCTTCCATCAGGCCCCACCTCCAACATTGAGGATTACATCTCAACATGAGATTTGGGTAGGGACAAATATCCAAACTATATTAGCAGGCATAAAAGCTATGGCTCACTATTTAAAATATTACCATTTGTGATTCTGATAGTGACCACCAAATATAAGTATTTATATGTTCAATATGGGATACTTCAGTTTTCTAAAAGTTAGCTAATTTCTCACGGTCACACAACTGTTAATAAATTGCTCACGCCTGTAATCCCAGCATTCTGGGAGGTTGAGGAGGGCAGATCACTTGAGGCCAGGAGTTCAAGATCAACTTGGACAACATGGCAAAACTCCATTTCTACTAAAAAGTAAAAAGTAGCCAGGCATGGTGGCACACACCTGTAATCCCAGCTACTTGGGAGGCTAAGGGATGAGAATCACTTGAACCCAGGAGAGGGGTGTTGCAGTGAGTTGAGATTGATTGCCTTGTGCCACTGCACTCCAGCCTGGGTGACAGAGTGAGACTCTGTAAAAAAAAAAAAAAAAAAAAAAAAAAATTCTCCTAGTATTTTTATTCTTAATAATGTATTTGTCTGTGCATTCTAATTTGTGTGCTTTATATTTATAGCACTTCCATAAACCTGTGTTCTTCATGGTTGTTTTAATTACAGTTAAAACTTTTGTGCACTTAGGATATATAGAGATATTAACTAATAAATATGTCTTAAAATTAGAAAAACAGATAGATATTTAGGTATGACCAATGTAGTTGGCAATTCCCCTTTAAATCATAGAAATTTATATGCCTTGATTAGAGTATTATAAACCCCATGATGAAGAAATAGTTGCTCAATGTATACTGCAACATGCATAGAGAAAATCCTAAGTATTTTGTTGTAAAAATAAACACAACAGACTGATGGAAATATCAATGACTGTATGGTTTTGCATATATAACTGGAAGAATTAAGAAACCATATAATTAGATGTAAAAATTTGGGAGATCAGTAGATTTTCTTTGTGAATGTATATCAAATATCAAATATCTAAGCTGATTTTTATTAAGGTGGTTGGGAATTTAAGAAAAAATAATCAGTGAAAGAATTCTAAATTATTATGCCATAATTTGCTATTGTGGCAAGTTACGCTGAGCTTGATGAGAACAATTTGATAGAATGATGAGAAAACCTTGATTCAACTGAGGTCAAGAGGAAATGAGACAAGTAAAGTTGGTTGTAATAGGTTTAAAACATAATTATAAAGCAATTAACTATATAACGGAGTATAGAGTGAAGCAATAGCTACAGAAGGATATTGAGATGAGAGACTGTAACTAAAGAAGGAAGGTGTTATGTACTGTGTGTATGCTGATAGAAATAATCCAGTAGATAGATTAACATTAATGATAAAAAAAAAAAGAGAAGCAAGGATTGCTCTTGGGATACCCTTAAGGAGAAAAGAGGAAGATGGGGTTGGGGTTTATGAAAAAGTCAAACCCAGCTGCCATCTTTTCTAAGAAAATGGGTATCAGAGGGCATGTTTACAGATGCAAATATAGTAATATATTTTTGGAGAGAGATGGTGGAATGCCTCTTGATTAAATATATTTTCTCCTTGAAAATAGATAACACCTTTATTTCTTGTGATTTAAGAAAGGAGGGTAGATAATCAAAGTTTAAAGAGAGAGAGGAGTTTGTATAAGAATAGATATATATTCTGTAAATATCTTAGAATTGATGGATCAAATAGAATTGGTGTCTATTTGATGTTGGTGGTCATGAATATAAAGTGAGAACAGTCATCAAGGTTGTCATTTTTTTCCAACTGTGTTTAGCTGTCCTAGAGAAGTTTGAGAGTAGACAGAAAATGGGATTTTGAAAGGCTGCTGTTTTTCCAGGCCAGAATAACAGAGAATAAGGATGAATATAATAATAATTCATGTAGACTGGATGAGGAAACAAGTGAGGATATAAAGGGGCTGTACAATGCTGGAAACTAAGTCAATAGTTGAAAATTGCAAGTGGGCAAAGGGGAGAAAAAGGACAGAGTTTTCAATGGTCTCATCAGAGATCATAATTAAAGAAAATGCTTTTATTTGTAAGAGGAATCATAAGTTACAAGCAAAGACATGTACTATAAAGGGCAAGACCAAAAGAGAGAAGAGGTCAGATTTCCAAAATGACAGATTATTTGAAAGATATTTTACTTATACTTAAAATAACAAGATTTATAGTTTGAATACTGAATATTGAATTTCAATCCATGATCTTTAAACCTGATGGACTGTAGAGAGAAGGGAAAAACAATGATTTGGAGGAACAAAGAGGACACCTTTTCCAAAGTCAGGGCCAATAGTTAGAAGACTTTATGGCTGAAGGACGAGTTGCTTAGTGGAAAGCTAGGTTTTAATTAGACATGTTTTAAAAAGTTCATAGAAGAGGTTGAGGATATAGGAGATGACAGACTGTGAATTTCAGAGGGCATAGTGGAAATCTTTGGGAGTCTGGAAAGATGTTAGGATTGGAGACATATTAGCATACGTGGAAGTCTAGGGAAGGCAGTTTATTTGGTAATCCTGGGGGGATATTCCTGATGATATTTTAGGCAGATTGGGTTGGTATTGGTGTGGATATTATGGAAATCGACTTGCTTCCTGACACACAGAGATCTGTAGCTCCTTCTTTACTTACAACAGAATGAAATGAAATATATATATTTTTAATTTTCATTAAGTCATGTGTTGTCTAATTGAGGGTGTAGATAATATAGATAAAAAGAACGCACACATCCACATATTAAAGTAGGCAGATAATAAATAAGTAGATACATTTTAACTGCATATCAACAAAATGTTAATACTTGTGGTTTCACAAGAAAAGAATTATTCAAATCCACACATGTCTCCCCATCTCCATAATCTAATGGGCTCCATGCAAACATACTCTTTTCTGAGACTACCTGACAATTTCTAAGTGATGAAATGGTATCAGTTCTTCCCTTCTTTAAATTTTTCATCCTCATTGCAGCTAGATAAATAATTTTGAAACGAACATATGATCATTTGGTATTTACTTATTAAAAGATCTCCATGGTATCCCATTTTCTTTTAAGAAAAAAATATTTCTTTAAACACAATTTAAAATTTTATGCAAAAGGGTGCACTAAGTTCTCAAGCCTCCTTTCTCTTTTCACTCCTGCTCCCTCTCACTATGAAAATTTTGTACTTGTGGTTACTTCTGCGTTTCTTACCTTCCTTCTTCTTCCAGTTAACATATTCATATCCACACCCAAGGCCAATAACCCATTTCCAAAGGGATAACTTCCTTGTCCTCCCTGAGTGCATCAATACCCTCACAGATGCTTGTATGGTGCCAATTATCTCTTATTCATGGCACTTGCTAATTTTGCAATGTTACATTAACTTGAATAGCTATATGAGCAATATTAATCTTTTTCACTAGACTCTAAACTCTAAGGTGACTTCCAGGTTATGCCTCTGTTTGTCATTATTTAAGCAGATCACAGGCATCAATCTTGCTTACAGTTAATCAAATCAATTAGTTGACAAATTAATCTTTTTCTTTTCTTAAATATATCTGAAAATGCATTCAGTAAAACGCAAAGATCAGATAAAAAACCGACAGAACTAGGGTATGTGTCCATGGTGATTGTTTAAGAGTGAAAAAAATTAGAAAGCCCTACAATAGAATAGAGAAAAAAGATCAGAGTAGGTGATTTTAGGAATAAAATGATGGTTTCTGTACTTGAAACATAGACAATAAAAAGAAAATAGAATAATAAGAATTCTATTGTGAATTCTCCTGTCCTTTTCCACATGAGTAAATAAACCCTAGCTTTGTCTTCCTCATATTTCACATTTTCAATGTGTGCTGCATATTGAAGAAAACAACCTGCTTAGTCTGGTCTTAAAGGTTGCCTGCTTAGTGACCAGAAAATTCACTTTTAAAAGAAACTTTATGTGCCAGTGATTTAGACCTGTTCTACTTTAACTGGAGCACTTGAAATGGCCCTGAAGAATGCCATCCAAAGTGCAGCATTAGGGGACGTACCAGCCACAGTGAAAGGTCATGCTTGGCTTTCCATTCACAATTCCCTTTGTTGCATGTGTTTCTGATTATTTTTCTTTTTCCTAAAACTCCCTAGCACATTCAATTTGGAGCTCTTCTAGTACATCAAAATATGCCAACACAACATAATTCTTTGAGGAAATTTGAAATTATTTGAGGTAAAGATATACTCAGAAGAGACAGTGCTCTCTCTTGTAGTTCTCAGATTAAATTCATCCCCGGCAAAACCCCTTGTTTGTTATTTAATCGAGCTTTTATAATCTTGTGACAGAGAGAGAGCTCAAGACTCTATACAACATTAATTTGCAGGCATTAGTTTGTATGTTTCCAGAAAATCTTTCTTAGAAATGCACAAATATTCTTGTAAAAGATGATTAAAGTACATGTTTGATTTTCTGACTGTTGGATAATTTGTATTTATCCACAGCAGGAGTTGCACAAAGATGTGGCATGGCTGTTATCTTTTGTATATCCCCTATATTGCCTGTTGAACATTATTTTTTATTTATTGATATATTTACATATTTGCTTACCATAAGCTTCCAGGCTTTTTCTTTATTCTTAAATAATGCACACTTCTTTCTATTTTCAAAGGGAATTTAGATCGATTTGGTTTGGGGTATAATATTTTTAATTTAAGGTAAAATATATGATAGTTCTATGTAGATTGAAATTAGATTGAATTGTAAGTTATTAAAATCGGTGGTAATTAAAATAGAAGTGGATTGCTTAAGTCAAATCACAGAGTACGAACTAAAAATATAAATTTCAGCACGTATGATATACTTTTGGGGGTTGAGTGATTTCAGCTCTCTAAATCTTTATATCTCTACATCAAATTATATTATCCTACATTTCATATCAATACCAACAGTCTGTACATATGCCAGTGTTCATTTATATGTCTGTCTGACCCGTGGCTTGAAATGATATCAAACATTGTGGTCAACATGTAAATTAAAGCAGGTCCAAACATCTAAGAATTATGGTCAGTTATCAAACAATTAGTTCGTTTATAATTTTTGTATTTTATCAAATATATATATATATATATACTATTTTTCTTTCTTTATATTGAGAATTTCTCTTCATTTTCTTCTATTTTACAAAATGTCTTGTGGCTATGCGTATTTAACCTTAGAGTTTAGCAAGTCCTTACACAAATATTTGATAACCGTACCATTGAGATCAACCCTGGGAGTCTCTTAACATGCATTGTTGGAGTGGAATCCTTGATGTGCAGGAGATGTTCATACCAGCCAGACAGTGCTGATTTTGCACAACTCATTCCAACTCTGTTTTTAGTGACTTCACATTAGTGGCTTGAAATCAGCTCTGAAAGAACTATTTGCACTAAGAAAATTACTAAAATCTATGAATCGGTATACAAATATGTATATGTGTATTTTAAAATATATACCTTTATTTCAAGTTTCAGGATCACATTATTAAGAAAGGAATGCCTAACTTTCATGTGAAAATTTGGCAAAGCTGTGTATTTACATATTATATATCAGTAGCATGCACATTAATTTTTCTTTTCAATTTTCAGCAATATTAGCTCTATGGCCAACAAAAAATAAGAGATTGTTTTCGGGTGGTCATGAAAACTCTCTGGTCCTCAGACTGTGAATAGAGTTGAGAGTTAATGTACCCGTTCTTGTCATTCTATTTGTATAATTACTCAAATTTATGCAAAAAATCCATCTATTATCACATGGTGTGTGGCCATACTACCACCATAAACATCAAGTGCAAGCATCCAGTTGCACTTCCAAAGCGTGTGCTTCAGTTTGTATTTTATTACATGTAACCACAAATGATAACTTCATGAACTGTGATGTTATTACATGATGTGATTACTAACATCCCATTTTCCATGGATATGAAGGCCAACATTGCATTTATGGGTGCAAACAAGCCAATCACGAATTTCCATCTTTGTGAGTCAATGTACTGAAACTAATCTAGGTATCAATTCTGTATCTGTTAAGGTTAAGTAGTGGGGAGAAACCATGAGGTAATTTGAATATAAAATCTTTAATATAAAGAATAATTGACAGGAGATTGGAGAATGGTGAATTGGCTAACAAGAGTTAAAAAGAGCATTAAAGAACACAGAAAAAGCAGGTGTAGGAATTAGCTACTGCTCATGAGGCTGGAATAAAAGGACCTAAGAAAGAGACTTCCTCATCATGTCAAGACTGGAACTGAGATCTTTTTGGAGGAGTCATATCCTCAAATCACAAGATGCCACATAAGATACGGAGGTGACTCGGTGGTATAACTTGCTACATTTTTTTTTTTCTGGGTTGTAAGAGAAACTCATCCACGGAGAGGGGATGGGCCTTAAAACTCACTTTACTAGAACATGGAAGAAGCTGGAAACCATCATTCTGAGCAAACTATCGCAAGGACAGAAAACCAAACACTGCATGTTCTCACTCATAGGTGGGAATCGAGCAATGAGAACACTTGGACAGAGGGTGGAGAACATCACACACCGGGGCCTGTCAGGGGGTGGGAGGAGGAGGGAGGGATAGCACTGGGGGATATACCTAATGTAAATGATGAGTTATCAGGTACAGCACACCAACATGGCACATGTATACATATGTAACAAAGCTGCACGTTGTGCACATGTACCCTAGAACTTAAAGTATAAAAAACAAAACAAAACAAAAAAATAAACAAACAAAAAAACCCTCACTTTACTGTCCCTTGTATGGATGCTGGGGAGTCTGTTCGTGTGAATGTGCCTCATCTGTGGCATTCCACTGCAAAGCTTCCAAGAGAGATGACAGGGAGAATTTGCAGGCTGATGAGTGTTTCTTTCTGCTGCTATCAGAAGAAACCAGATAGTGGGGGCATATCTTCAGGGGCTGGATGCTTGAGAAAATACACTGTGCTGAAGTCAGGTGCTAGAGAAAGCTGTGCCCTTCAGGAAACTAGCAGAAAAGAAGCTATGCACTTTGCATAAGCCAAGTTTTGTAGGAAGTGTGCATTGCAGGTGCCTAGAGGTAGAGAAAACTGTGTAGGTTAAGGAGACAAGTGCTGGAAAAAGCACATTCCTTAGAAATCTGGAAAGTGAGACACAGTGGCATCAGGAAGAAAAATCCCCCTCCTCCTCTTGTGTTTCTTGAGCACCCTCTACTAACATGGCTTAACACAATGTCAGCTAGCAAAGGAAACATATTTATGAAACCTACCTCCATTATCCTGGAACAGCCAAAACAGCTGATTTGAAGATGAAAGTTAATACATTTATAAATTTTTTATGTGTTATAAATTGTAAGAATCTCTAAAAATAAAAGTAACTTGTCACTTGTTGAATCATTTTTATTGAGAAGACACTTCATAGAAAAACATCACAATTCTTGAAGTATTTGATGTATGAAATAAAATTAGATGTGTTTTCTTTACTCTTACTTTGTATTATAAAATGACCTTAAGATGTGAATTAAAAAAAATCCTCTCTGCCTAAATTCAACAGATTTAAATATTTTGCCTATATGTTTTAGAAGGTACAAAAGAATAGACAGCTGGGGGAATATGTGTGTCTTTAGGAGAGGGCCACCAAGTGAAAGAAAGGTGAAGAATGAGAAAATAGTAGTATAACAGATGTTAAACAAAGTGTGGCCTTCATCTTGTCATGGACTTTGTTATTTTGATGTTCCAGTGCAATGTGAAGTTTCTGGGTTATTACTTATTACTAAATGTGGGCTAGGTACCAAAAGACAAGAATGAAACATGACAAAGAATATTCTTAAAATATAATAGGAAATTATTAAAGGCATATCAGCTTTTTCTTCCTGAAAAACACATAATAAGTAATCATCTCTGTCTTCTATTTCGTCCCAGGTTTCAAGTTATATTTTGTTATATAATAAAGCATTGTGGCCCAAACAATATCCCTATTGTATCAGCCGGCAGCCATTGTTCAACCAGAAGAGCAAAACCACTTGGTTATATATTACATATTTTTGTTGCAGGAAATCAGCCTCATACAATCACAGGAGGTTGTTAAAAAGCCTTTATAATGCTTTTTGTATCCACATCTGATGTGTAATCTTGAAGTTGCAGGGTAAGCAGCTGATAGATGTGAAGGAGGAATATCAAAGGCAGGCAGCAATGACAGAATAAACTGGAACCCTAAACTGAAACCAGCCATTCTTCTTGCCTTTGACTTTGGCATTAAGAGTATCATGCAGAAGCAGGGGCCTTGTGTTAGAAAACTGAACCTTTCCAAGGAGTCAAACATGCTGAAGGAAAACACAAGAATAGGTAGAGCAGTTACACATCCAGCTACTGCTTCATGGCATTGAAATGAGTCATCAGATCAACAAACATGCGTGTGTGTCTGTGTGTGTGTGTGACTTACACAGAGAACACACACGAGAGAGAGAGAGAAAATGGTTGCTACCTTCCATTTACCCTCCAAATCTCCCAAGAACCTTCTCCTAACAATCTTCTAATGTGTCCACATTAGAAACATATAAGATAGGAACTTCTCAAAAGTTTAGCTCAGTCTAGTTACGATGACACATAACACTTAACATGTGTTTTACATAACAGTAATCTTTAAAAATCAGACTATCAAATATGGTGCATTAGTCCATTTTCACACTGCTATAAAGAACTGCGTGAGTCTGGGTAATTGGTAAAGGAAAGATTAATTGACTCACATTTTAGCCTGGCTGGGGAGGCCTCAGGAAATTTACCATTATGGCAGAAGGCGAAGGGGAAGCAAGGCACCTTCTCCACAAGGCAGCAAGGAGAATGACCACAAGAGAAACTACAAAATACTTATAAAACCATCAGATCTCATGAGAATTCACTCACCATCATGAGAATAATATGGGGGAAAATGTCCCCATGATCCTATTACCTCGACTTATTCTCTTCCTTCATACTTGGAGATTATGGGGATTATAATTCATGATTTGACTTTCATGGGGCACAAAGCCTCCTCATACCATTCTGCCCCGACCCCTCCCAAATCTCATGTCTCTTTCACATTACAAAACCAATCCTGCCTTCCCAACTGTCCCCCAAACTCTTTGGGGGATTTGGGGAATAATTCATTCCAGCATTAACCCCAAAGTTCAAGTCCAAAGTAACATCTGAGACAAGACAAGACCCTTCCACCTAGGAGCCTATAAAATCCAAAGCAAATTAGTTACTTTCAAGACACAATGCAGGTACAAGCATTGAGTAAATGTTCCTGTTCCAAATGGGAGAAATTAGCCAAAACAAAGGGGCTACAGGTCCCATGCGATTCTGAAATCCATCTGGGGAGTCATAAAATTGTAAAGATCCAAAATGATCTCCTTTGACTCCGTGTCTCACATTCAGATCATGCTGAAGCAAGAGATGAGCACCGCAGGACTTTGGGCAGCTCCACCCCTGTGGCTTTGCAGGGTACAATGCCCCTCCCAGCTGCTTTCACTGCTGGTGGTCAGTGTCTGTGGCTTTTCCAGGTGGAAAGCTGTCAGTAGATCTACTATTCCGGGTTCTGGAGGACAGTGGCCCACTTCCCACAGCTCCAATAGGCAGTGCTCCAGTGAGTACTATGTGTGGGGGCTCCAATCCCACATTCCCCTTTTGCACTGTTCTAGCAGAAATTCTCCATGAGATCTCCACCTCTGATAGTTTCTGCCTAGATATCCAGAAATTTCCATACAACTTCTGATATCTAGGTGTAGATATCCAAATCTCAATTCTTGTCTTCCATGTACTGGCAGGACCAACACCACAGAAGCTACCAAGGCTTGGGGCTTGCACCCCACTGAAGCAATGGCCCAAGCTGTACCTTGGCCTTTTTAGCCATGGCTGTTGCTGGAGTAGCTAGGACACAGAAAACCAAGTCCCTAGGCTGCACAGAGCAGCAAGGCCCAGGCCCATGAAACCATTTTTACCTCCTAGGCCTCAGGCCTGTGAGAGGAGGGGCTGCTGAGAAGGTCTCTGACATGCCCTGATGTTTTTCCCATTGTCTTGGTGATTAACATTCTGTTCCTCGTTATTTTTGCAAATTCCTGCAGCTGGCTTGAATTTCTCCCCAGAAAATTGATTTTTCTTTTCTACCACATCTTCAGGCTGCAATTTTTTCAAACTTTTGTTCTCTGCTTCCCTTTTAAACATAAGTTCCAATTTCAAACCATCTCTTTGTGAATACATAAAACTGAATGCTTTTAAGAGCATCAGGTTACCTCTTGATTTCTTTGCTGCTTAGAAATTTCCTCTGCCCGATACCCTAAATTATCTCTCTCAAGGTGGAAGTTCCACAGATCTCTAGGGCAGGGTCAAAATGCCACCAGTGTCTTTGCAAAAGCATAGCAAGAGTCACCTTTATTCCAGTTCCCAACAAGTTCCTCATCCCCATCTGAGGCCACCTCAGCTGTTCATTGTCCATATCACTATCAGCATTTTGGTCAAAGCCATTCAACAAGTCTCAAGGAAGTTCCAAATGTTTTCATATCTTCCTGTCTTCTGAGCCCTCCAAGTTTCTACAAAGATTCAAACTTTCCCACATTTTTTTGTCTTCTTCTGAGCCCTCCAAACTGTTCCAGCCTCTGTCTGTTACAGTTCCAATATCCCTTCCATATTTATGGGTATCTTAATAGCAGTACCCCACTTTCTGTGGTATCAATTTACTCTATTAGCCTGTTTACACACTGCTATAAAGAACGACCTGAGACTGGGTATAAAAAGGAAAGAGGTTTAATTGACCCACAGTTTAGCATGTCTGGGGGTGGGGGTATCAGGAAATTTACAATCATGGTGGAAGGCAAAGGGGAAGCAAACAACCTTCACAAGGCATCAGGAAGGAGAATGACCACAAGAGGAAGTACCAAATACTTATAAAACCATCAGATCTCATGAGAACTCACTATCATGAGAACAGCATGGGGGAAACTGCCCCCATGATCTAATTACTTCCTCCTGGTCTCTCCCTTGACACATAGGGATTTGGGTAATTATGGGGATTAAAATTCAAGATGAGATTTGAGTGGAGACACAAAGCCTAACCACAGTGTATGGAATTTTGGTGCCATCAGAAAGTCAACTTTTAAAAAATACATGTATTTATTTTTTTAATTGACAATTGTTGTGTATATTCACTGGGTAAGTAAATGTGATGTTTTGATATATGTATATATCATAGAAAGTTGACTTTTGTTTATTTCTTCATTGATCAAATGTTCACCTGTTAATATGTATTTTTTAAATATTGTTTTATTGCTATCAGAATTAGCATTTAAGTTCTCCTTCACGGGAAACTGCTACAGGGAGCATAATTGATTCATAGCCCCAGCCACTTTTCTTTTGGAGTAATCATAATTTTGTTTCAAGGCCATGTATAACCTGGCTTGCTCTCAACCAATAACTAAGCCCAATGGAGATACTAGTGCCAGCCCATTAGGATGGGATTCAGAACTTCTCAATTGAGCAATGTTAACTCAGGGAGTGCTTGTTTGCCTAGCTGAAACTTTCTTAGAAATGTGTTGTAGTCTAATATTCTTACCCAATGCTTCCCTTTCTGTCCATTTCACTGGTAACAGAACAGTATCATAAGCTGTTGTTTCTCCCTGCATACTCTTCTTTCTTTTATCCTTTGCAGATATTCCCTCAAAAAAAATCGATTGCACATGAAATTCCTTTTTGTGCTGTTTAAATTATGCTACTAACTAGCTATTTTACTCAATAAATACTTAAATGTCTCTAATGGCATTGTTGTAGAATACAAAAACAAAATAGGCAAACTCAACAAGCTTACATTCCATTGTGGGACAAAAGGTATATAGAAGTGATCAAGTATATACAAGAGAATATTTTATCCTGTATCTTACATAGAAAGTTCATGTAATGAATACTTCATGGAATTTTAAATTTGAAAAGTTCCAGTTACCTAATATGTATTTACCTAAATACTTCTGATATAGGAAGAGGGTCATTAAAGGACCTTATAGGAAAAATAATTTTTATACTATATTGTATGAAAATGTTGTAATTGTATTAAATCCTGAAATAAAAATAAATAAATATTCTCAAATTTATTTCTTTATATTTAAATATGTTCTGAATTGTTGACTACATCATCTCCTTCTGGGTGTCAGAATGTGTCTAACTCAGCCAGGGTATCATTTGTTCATTAATAGTTAGAGTACAACACTAGTGTCATTAAATCTTGCTTCTCCTGCAAAAATCTTGCTTCACCTTGCAACCTACTCACATTCTCAGAATTTGACAGATATCAAACAATAAATGAGACTAAGCAAAAAAGACTTGACCTTACAAGTGGGGCTAAAAGATTAAATACTAGAGAAGAGATGATTGCTTTAGAGATAGTGTAATAAAAACTCAGTTCATCAGTGTGTTGTTTCTTTTTTTGCTTTTATTTACTCATCTATTATGTGGAACAGATATTAAATAGAAGGCTAGTTATAGATCACTATACCTGTAATATATATACATTTTATGACATAGTGTAGTGCAAAAGAAAAATATTTTATCTATTTAAAGAAGCAAATATATTCATTTACAATTTTTTAAAATTTCATATATACATTGTAAAAATTTTACAAAATACAGAAGAAATTAAAGAATGTAAAAATGTCTAAAAATTCGATCCCTGATAAATAATTGTTATTGATATATTTATATAAACTATTCTTTAACATGTTGCAAATAACTTTCTATGTAACTAAATATTTTTCTGAAACAGAATTATAATAGATACGATATTTCAGAAAATATATTATGGATGTAAGACTGATATGAGATATATATTCAATTATGATCATTTCATACTTTTTTTTAAGTTTTGGCACTTTAGTTCTGTGATTTACATGTGGGGGAGCAGGCATGGGAGGATAAGAAATGAAACTTTGTATTCTAAATATTTAAACAGTTGTCTAATCATTTACACAATAATTCATTTTATCCTCAATGATAACATTTCCTACTTTAGTAATATAAAAAGATAGATTTACATGTTTTTGTCTATTTTTAAAATTATCTTAAGACAATTATTTTGATACTATTAAAACCTTTTCCTTATGGAAGTTTTATAGTACTTTTTTTAGTTGATAATGTGAATCATTCTATTTTTTTCAACAATATCTTGGCTACCTTTTTATATATAAGCTCTAGGAATATTTCATAATTATGTACTCTGTTATAGATTCTGTTAATCATGCACTGTAATTTATAAATTTATTTTAAAATAATGAACATTTTTAATATATTTATTTTTCAAATATATTTATTTTTCAAATCGGGATATTTGTGTATTTCTTTACTTATCAAATTGTTATTTATGCACTTCAGTAAAATTTTAGTTTTCTTTATCCTGATCCAGAGCCTTTCCTACTAATTTTATTTCTATTTATTTTACATTTTTTCATTGTTTCATACTTTTAAAAAATATCATATTTAAACAGATATTTACTGTAATATTGGAATAACTGATTTGGGAATACTTGGTTACATACTAGAGACCATCTTGAGTTTTTCAATTTTTTTTTTGTATTTTATTTTCTCTAATATCATTTGCAAATTATGATGATTTTTATTTCCTGTATGCACACACATAAAGACACACATTTCTTTTACTGTGTGTATAAATATATGTGTATGTTTTTGTCTATATATATTATTATATATACAATTTTGTCATGTATTGCATTCAGCTATAATTTCCAGAAAAAGTGATAATTGTGAGAATGATTATTTTTGATGTAATTCAGATATTACTGAGATTCCTTAATGTTTCTTCATTAAATAAAATGTTCTCTACTGACTTAAAGAGAGCTTTAAATCATTTATGGGATTTACATTAATTTTTAAAGATTTCATTTTAAACAAAAATGAATACTGAATTATTTCTAAAACATTATAACTTCTATAATGTCTGTGATATTCCCATTTGCCTATTAATAATTTGTATTATTTTGTGATTTAAATTTTTGCTTTCTTTTTCTCCTAGATTTGTTGGTCTGCTTATTTATTTGTAATTTACCTCCAGTAATTATTTTATTCAAATGACCCATAAAAACATAAATGGTACTTACGTTGGTGATGATTTTTTCTCATCTGTCATCTCTTCCAAGTTTCATATCTCATTTTAAAATTCTTTTTTGTCTCCCATTATATATTTATTTGATTGCTGTACAAAGTTAGAATATAATTTTCACAGTGCATTAGAACTCTTTCCTTATTTTAAGTAATTAATTTTCAAATTTATTTTATAATGCCATTACTTACTTTTGTATTCAGAATGTTTTCGTGTTTTCTCTTCACTTCTTCCACCTTTTTCCTTCCTTTCTTCTTTCTTTCCTTTCTTTCTTTTTCTTTCTTTCAATACATATTTCTACATATATATCTATGTGATATATGATATCTATATGTGATATTTTGTTTGTTACATGCATTCATCATGTAAGGATCAAGTCAGGGTATTTGGGGGTATCCATCACCTCAAGTATCTATCATTTCTGTGTGTTGGGAACATTTCAGCCCTCTCTTCCAGTTTTGAAATACATATACATTATTGCTAACTATAGTCACTCTACTCTGCTATCAAACGTTGGAAATTATTCCTTCTATCCAGCTGTATGTTTATACCTCTTAACCACCTTCACTTTATCCCCTCCATCCCCACCCACACAACCATCCCAACTTCTGTTATCTACCGTTATATTCTCTAGTTCTATGAGATAAACATTTTTAGCTGCCACTTAGGAGTGATAGCAAGCTATATTTGTCCTTCTGTGCTTGTATTATTTTACTTAATATGATGAGTTCCAGTACCATCCATACTGTAGCAAATAAGATGATTTCTCTTTTTTTTATGGTCAAAGAGTATTCCATTGTGTATATACACCAGATTTTCTTTATTCATTCATCAACTGATAGGCACATGAACTGATATAGGTTGATTCCATATATTTCATATTGTGACTAATGTTGCAATAAACATGAGAGTACAGGTATCCCTTTATGGAATGTTTTATTTTTATTTTTTTGGATAAATATCCAGTGGTGGCATTGTTGGATCATATGGTACTGCTAATTTTAGTATTTTGAGAAATCTCTATATTTTTTCCACAGTGGTTATACCGATTTACATTCCCATCAATAAAGTATGAGAGTTCCCTCTTATCTGGATCCTCACGAGCATCTGTTAATTGTGTCTTTTTAATTGCCATACTAACTGAGATGAGATGATATCACATTATGGTTTTGACTCAGCATTTTTCAGATGATTAGTGATGTTGAACATTTTTTCTTATACCTGTTGGTCATTTGTAGATCTTCTTTTGAGAAATGTTTATTCATGTCCTTTGGCTACTTTTTATTGGATATCTTGTGTTTTTTTCTATTGAGTTGTTTGAATTACTTATATATTCTGGATATTAGTCTCTTGTCAGATGAATAGTTTGCAAATGTGTTCTCCCATTCAACAAGTTGTCTCTTAATTGTATTGATGGTGTTCTTGGCTTTGCAGAAGATTTTTAGTTCAATACAGTCTCATTTGTCTATTTTTTTGTTTTTGTTGCCTGTGCTTCTGAGGTCTAAGCTATAAAATCTTTATCTAGACCAACGTCCTGAAGTGCTTTCCGTATGTTTTCCTCTAGAAGTTTTATGGTTTTGAGTCATATGTGTACGTCTTTAATCCATGTTGAGTTTATTTTTGTATATGGTGAGAAATAGAGGTCCAGTTTTAGTCTTCCACATCGGATTTTCCATTTTTTCCCGAACCAATTATTGAAAAGGGTGCCCTTTCCCCAATGTATGTTAGCCCGGAAGCAGAAAATTTAGAAAACTACTAATTAAGAAGGCTGAAGAGGAATCAGTCATCCCTAGAGGAGACAGATTGTTTTATCTTGACCTAATTATATGTGAGCATTCAACTTGTTGCAGGACTATTTTTATTGTTAAAAACTAAATGACTTAATCATTATTTTAAAGCAATTCCTTCTCACACTTCTGAGTGGCTTGAACTTTCAAGTAAAAGTTAATTATTATGAGATTTATAACTATCAATTATTTTACAAATAGTGATCCTAGTATTCCTCAGCAATAAATCAGCTTACTTACCACAGCAAGCATATGAAGAAATGACAAACTGAAGTGTTATATTTTGTAAAAAGACCTGAATATCAAGCAGAGATTAACGTCTTTGAGAAAAGTTGAGAATAATAATTTTTACACGATGTGATTGATCAATTTAGTACCAGAAATGGGCAATTACTTTGATGGGCAATATCTAAGTTAGTCAAGTAATGAAGAAAATATTAAGAAGTGCTTATATAAAAAAGTAACTTCTCACAGTTACAGTAACTAAGTCTTCGGCAGTTTTAGTAACCTTAGAGATAGAATTTACTTTTCTTGGTTAAGGTGCCTGTTTTCCCTTTACCCTTTAAAATGGTAGCTGTATGACAACAATAATTTATATTGCTTCATAATAATATCTGCTCCATAGATTTGCTGAATAGATTATGAGAGATGTGTATGGAAAACACTTACTAACGTCCTCAGTAAACGGCAGCTGTTATTACCATACACCTCGGACTTAACACAGGTCACCCTCTGGCCTCATATGTGGTCTGATGATGCTGAAGATAGGGAAGGATAGAACATTGAGAACATAAGGGACTTTAGAGATAATCATTTGAACCTCTCCATTTTCTCAGAAAATAAACTAAAATTTAAAATAAATACAGTATATTTAGGAAATTGTGTTCATTTTTTATACATTTACTAAATTATGTTAAAAATCTGTAGACAATGTAGGTTATTTCTCAGGAAAATTAACAAGGATAGGATGTTTAAAAATCATCTCACGAGAGAAACCGATGTGTTCCACAGCTTATTAAATTTATCATCATTCAGCCAGAGTTAGTAGGTCTAGGTAAATTAGGAATTTTTGGCAATATCTAAGAATGTTTTAATGCACTTTGCAATTTGGCAAATTGTTAAAAATTATAAGAAAAGAGAGAGAGACATCGTCTCCCTTCTTAATAAAGAAAAATATTAGTTCTGACTTTACCCTATATTGCTTGTGGGCATATGTTTAATTTAGTTGAATTGAACTGAAACAGCCATAGAATATAAAGTGACCAAAAATGTTTCCATAAGGGAAAAAAATTCTAGAAGGTAAGGGGAAACTAACTGTACCATATATTTTAATAAACAGTATAATTAAGAATTCTGACAGATGAATATATGCTATTATTTATTTATTCATTTTTGAAATCTACATGGTGACTATAATGTTAATTGTATGTCAGTGTGGCTGGATCACGGTGACAACATATTTTGTTAAATGTTACTCTGGATGTGCCTGTGAAGGTGTGTTGTGGAAGAGATTAGTATCTTAATTGGTGAATTTTGAGTATAGCAGATTGCCTTCATAATGTGGGTGGACCTCATCTGAACAGTTGAAATCCTTAATAGAACAAAGAGCCCACCCCATCCTTGGAACAAGAAAGAATTCTGCCAGAAAACTGCCTTTGAACCCCCATTGCAGCTCATCCTGTGTCTCCAGCCTACTGTCCTACTCCACAGTTTTTACTTTCAAACTTTCACAATCATGGGAGCCAATTCCTTAAAATAAATCTTAATCTTTCTCTCTCTCTTTCTATGCACATATACACACACACACACAATCTCTCTCTCTCTCTCTCTCACACACACACACACACACACACACCCCATTGCTCCTGTTTCTTGGGAATATCCTGACTAAAACAGTGCTAATATTTTCTCATTGAATCTTAGCAAATAGGAACAGGTGGCTGTAATGGCAGTAAAAAAATATCGTATTAAAGCATTATCTAAACAAAAAATCAAAGTCATTCAAACAAAGGATAATGAGAAATTAAATAAAAATAAATACCCTAGTCCGTTTTTCTTACTGTGTAGTTTGTGGATTACAACTGAAAAGCATCTAAATAGGTTTCATTTGGATTCATAGACATAAAATATAATTTTCCTGTTGTTTTAAAGGTGGTATATTATCCAATGTGACCTCATTTGTGTTACTTATTACAGTTAAAAAATTTAAACTGTTTTAATTTTTTTAAATAGTAATAAGAGAGCAGTGTTGTAAAATATGCCATATTTGTAGTATGATAGTTATGAGGGAGGATCTATGCCAAAGCTTACTTGTGAAGCAGGAAGGGGAAGCAGTTGAATTTGCCTAACTTACATACCAAGAGTGACTAAACAAGTCTTTTTACTTTTCCCTATACGCCTCACCTATTCAACACTGACAACACTGGGAGTCTAAGACGTTAATGGTAGACAGATTGCAGTTATCCTGGCTTATAGTTTCATTCAACTCTTTCTAATTGGAGCCCCAGACTTGGGTCTCTCACAAACCACATCCTGTACAACACTGCTCTGATAGATTAAAAAAGTAGAAAAAAATGAAAACAGCAAAGGCAGACTGGGTTTTTAGGAGACAAGCTGAAAGAATACGATATCCACATAGCCTCAAGCTCTTCACTGTGATGAAGGCTGTGAAGAGGTGATAATGCTCCTTGTCCTTCCTGGCAGACAGATTTAGACAGGTCCTAAAGGCCAGAAGGTAGATTTAAAATTAAATGGCAAACAGTTACAACCAGTACAAAAGTAGTGTTCACTATAGCTGTCTGCATAGAGTGTTGATAAGACATGTACCTGTAACCTAGTTCTCCGAAAAGTACTGAACTGGGGGGAGAAAATTCAGAGTAAGCAGGTAGGTAAGTTTGATGAACAAGGAGCTCTGAAACTGGAGGGAGGAGCAGCCAGGCAAACCAGCACACGGAGGGCGTTCTCAGGAAATCTAGGTCGGCTCATAGGTAGAATTTAGAATCAGAGGGCCGCTGGAAACAGGTTATGATATCATTGTTTCTAGCATAGATGACAGTTACACAGATATAGCCAAGTTTGTGCTCAAATTATTTTAAGGACGTGAACATTCTTTTTAAATCTCTCTTGCAGAGTTATTTTACTACAAGAAATTTTGTATTTCTGTGAATTTCACAGTATTTGCTGGTCTCTTTCCCAACTGTAGGTGTTAGGGATGTTTAACATTAGCACCTCAGGCTCTAATAAAAAATCTGTGAGAACACTGACTATCAGAGCACCAGTTTAAAGTGTATCTGTACCCTGTTTGTACACATGAATTAATTTAGAGAAACGGTTAACTACATGCCCTTCTTCAGTTATTCGCTGGTTACTAAGTAAACGGACAAGGTGGCAAGAATGACATTGTGTTTGCATTTTTGAGTCATTTTTCTAGGAATCAAGGGAAATATGATTTAAGGGAGTCAGCTATTTTCATAGTATCAATGAAAAAGAATAATGTTTTTTTGCGTGTACTGGTCGGCAGCAATTATAATTACAGTCATTTGTAGTCTTTAATTTGTAAAGTAATTCTAAGCAATTCTTTGAGTATTTCTTTCTTTTTTTTCACATATACTCTTTCAGGAATTGGAATAAGTTACCACCAGAAAGGTTCAGCTCCTGGTTACGGCCTTATGACCCTTAAATAAACAGGCTTTTCCTTCACATATGTAGTTAACATAAAGTAATGACCTAATTTCTTCCACAAGCTAAATGTATGTGATAAATTGTCTCTTTTTTTTGCAATCCATTCTAATTAGTGAATAAACTCTTTCTATTTGTCCTTTGTCCGATGTCTCCACTACTAAGCAAGTCAATATGGCATAGTAGTTCTTAGGACTCTGGAGCAAAAATGTTGGACTTCAAATCTTGGTTCCAGATCTTTCTTTCTAGCTATTTGATCCTGAGTGATTTAATTGTCTCCTTGCTTTAGTATTCTCATCTATAAATTGTGAAGAATAACAGTACCTAGTGCATATATTTTGTGAACATTAAATAAGTAAACACACACACACTTAGAATAAACTCTGGCACACAATGAGCACTTTATTATACACACAGGATTAGGTATCATTACTACAGTCCTTATAATTTACTCTATTTTATCCATTCCATTATCACCTCAGTCAAACCTTTATCATCTTCCTTTTAAATTATTCCAACAGCCTCCTATCTAGCATTTTTCTCTATTCTTCATCCACTTCAAGTTCATACACAGTTGCCAGCTTGACCTTGCTAAAATGCTAAGCTGGTTATACCATTATATCATATATCAAAATTTTGAGCTAGTTATATCCACAGATTAAAGTTATTCAATTTTCTCCATCTTCCTTAAAAGGAAGTTACAATTATTTTTACATTTCCATCCCTCTGTGACTTGGCAGCTTCCTGTCACGTTAGCCTCATCTATTTCTACTTGCCATCTTGAACTTTATGTTTTAGTTCTATGGAAAAATTCGTATCTCATTCGATACTCTATTTTTTTCTAAAAGAATGCATTTTTACATTACACTTATTCTGCCTTTTATACTGCATTCTTTAACAGTAAAATTCAATTCATCCTTCAAAAATCAATCGTTCATAAAATGTTCTAACCCTCCCTATCCCCATCTATGTTTTATGTATTCTGGACCCCCAACATAAAAGTGTTTTTACTTGTTTAAAGCATTTTTACATTTGGTTGAAGTGGTGTCTTTGTTTCTCAACTAATTTATGAGCTATCTCACAATTATTCTGTATTTTATCTTAAAATTTCAGAATTTACCACATAAAAAGTCATTGATAAATTTTTGTTGTAATAATACATAATGCAATTACTTTAAATATATACTCTCTTAGAACTTCACACATGTAGGGTATGAGCCAAAGCCACTGGTAAAGGCTTTTTACTTTTTAAACTAGAAGGTACACATTAACCTTAAGGAAGAACAGAATTTAGACTCTGGGGTAGGGGTTTAAGAAGAGTACTTGAAGAAGACACGAAGGTATTATACACTACCCAACTCTCCTTGTGTGCTTAAAAATATTAAAAAATAGAAAAGAAAGAAAAACCACAGAAATTCAAAAGTACGGTTACAACCATATACTACTTGCCTACTTATTATTATATTTGCTTTTTTTCTTTTTTCTTATTTTTTAATTGTAAATTGAAAAATTATGTTTGTATGTATTTCTGGAGTACAAAGTGATATGAATGCAATGTGAAATAATTAATTTAATTAACACATTTGTCACTTCAAATACCTATCTTTTTTTGTGGTGACAACATTTGAAATTTACTTAGTGATTTTGAAATATACAATACATTATTATTTACCACATTCACCATGCTGTTCAACATAGCTTCAAAAAATAAATAAATAAACTGATTGCTCCTGTCTAATTAAAGCGTTCTACCCTTTGACCATAATTTCCCTATTTTCTCCATCACCCACTCCCAAACCCCTAACTCCCATTGGTCTCTGGTAAACCACCATTCTGCTCTCTGCTTCTGGGGTTGATTATTTTAGATTCCACACAGAACTGAGAACATGTTATTGTCTTTCTGTGCATGGCTTATTTCACTTAGTGTAATGTTCTCCAATTCCATCCACGTTGTCACAATGTGACAAAATTTATTTCTTTATAAAGGCTGAATAGTATTCCTTGTGTATAAGCAGGCTTTCCATATCCATAGTTTCTGCTTCCTTGGATTCAAGAAAATGTGAATTGAATATATTTGGAATAATTTTTAAAGTGATGGTTACACCTGTACATGTATATACATGTACAAGTATAGACTTCTTTCTAAACAATATAGTATAACAACTATTTTAAAAGAATTTATGTGGCATTAGTTATTATAAGTAATTTAGAGATAATTTAATTTATGTTGAAGGATGCACTTAAGTTATATGCAAATACAACACCATTTTACCTAAAGGGCTTAAGCAACTGTGGATTTTGGTATGTGCAGATGTGGGGTAGCGTTCCTGGAATCAGTCTCCTAAAGATAACAAGGGACAATTGTATATACCACAGTATCTTGACATTCAACTTTTGATGCACACTTTTAGGTTGATTTCATAACTTGACTATTGTGAATAATATGGCAATGAAAATGGGAGTATAGATATCTCTTGATACACTACTTTCAAATCTTTTGGGTAAATATGTGGAAGTGGGATTGCTGGATAATAAGATAGCTGTGTTTTTAGTTCTTTTGAGGGCCCTCCATACTGTTTTCCATAATGTCTGTATGAATTTACATTCTCAACAATAGCATATAAGTGTTTCATTTTCTCCACATTCTTGTCACTCTTGTTATCTTTATCTGTTTCATGATAGCCATTTCAAAAAGAGTATGGTTTTAATTTGCATTTTTTCTAACAGTTGGTGAAGTTGAGCATCGTTTAATATATCTATTGGCCATTTGCATATTTTCTTTTAAGAAGTGTCTGTTCAGATGACTTGCCCATTTTTTAAATTAGATTGTTTCCTTCCAATTGATTTTTTAAAATGTGTATTTTTTATACATTTATGGAATACAAGTGCAGATTGTGTTGCATAGATATATGGCATAATGGTGGAGTAGGAGCCTTTACGGTACCCGTCACCCAAATAGTGTACATTGTACCCAATAGGTAGTTTTTCATCTCTCACCCCCCTCCCACCCTCCTACCTTTTGGAGTCTCTAGTATCTATTTTTTCTACTCCGAATGTCCATATGTACTCATTGTTTACTTCCCACTTATAAGTGAGAGCATGTGGTTTTTAACTTTCTGGTTCTGAGTTATTTCACTTAGAACAATGAGCCCCAGCAATATCCATGCTGTTGCATAAGACGTGTTTTTATTTTTTTACAGCTAAGTAGTATTCCATGGTGTATATAGTCCATATTTTTTTATTCAATAATTCATTGATGCTTTGGTTGATTCTGTAGTTTTGCTATTGTGAATAGGGCTGCTATAATCATATGAGTGTAGGTAACTTTTTGATATAATTTCTTTTCCTTTGGGTAGATGCCCAGCAGTGGGACTGCTGGATCAATGATAGTTGTATTTTTAGTTCTTTCAGAAATTTTTATACTGTTTGGCATGAAAGTTGTACTAATTTACATTGCCACGGAGTGTAAGTGTGCCCTTTTCTCCACATCCTCACCAACTTATGTTGTTTTTTCACTTTTTTGTAACGGCCATTCTGATGGTATTTCATTGTGGTCTTAACTTGCATTTCTAGGATGATTAGTGATGTTGAGCATTTTTTCATATGCTTGTTGCCTCTTGTATATCCTCTTTTGAAAAATGTTCATGTGCTTTCACCACTTTTTGGTGGTATTTGATTTTTTGTTGTTTTGATTGAGTTTCTTGTAGATTCACGATATTAACCATTAGATGCATAGTTTGCAAATATTTTCTCCCATTCTGTTTCTCGTTTATAGAGCTTTTTGAGTTCCTTATGTATTCTGGACATTAACACATTGTCTGTATGTCTTGCAAATATTTTCTCACAATCCATAAGTTACCTTTAGACTCTGTTAATTATTTTTTATTGCTGTGCATAGCTTTTTAAAAATTTTTATGCAATCTCATTGTCTATTTTTGCCTTTGTCAGCTGTGCTTATATTTGACAATTAGATTTTTTACACTGCATATTCTTAATTCAATCTTGAGGTATTCTTTATTTTCCCCTTTTAGATTGGATCCAGAATTGTGTGCTGTCTTTTGAACTCAGAATTATATATTATAATATATAATGTTTTATGATATATATCAAAATATTTGTAATTATTTTGTTATTTGAAATTATGATTTAAATGCCTTCATATCATATTATGTTTTTGTAAATAATTTACATAAAAGTTGTAAAAAATACCACCAATTAACAATAAAAATAGATCCTTACCTTCTATAAAAACTTAATTCTGAGAAGGTAATAAGTGAGCCACACATTACTATCTTTCCACACTGAATATATTAAGTTTCTTCATAGACAAATATAATAAATTACCTTCCCTTATAATTGTTTGAGTCAAGAGGTGAGAAAGATTTTTGTGACCAAAGGTCAGGGAGGTAAGATTGTATCCTCAACTAAAAAAGGGAGAGAAAAATTTATCTTCATTAATTAATTTTTTAAAGCTGCATAAATGTAATACTCATAACAGGTTACATGATTTGTCCAGTATGTATTTTAGATCTATGACTGATGTTAACACAGGGAGGTAAATATCACAAATTTTTTAGTATTAGTTGAGATTTTAACATGACATGAAGTTCTGTTTATTATTGAGGCTGTTTTCTTCTTTATAATTATTCTTCTACTGTTAGACAATTAAGTTATGTAAAAATTTTGTCAGTTTTAAAAGTATTGCTTCAACATCTTTGTACCTAGATTTTTACTGAATTACTGATTACTTTCCTCATGAATAATTCTTAGTCAAACAACTATGTAGAAAGTATGAATTTTGCTATGGCTTTTTGTAAGTATAGATAAATTGCTGTCAAAAAGCTCCTTCTACCCATATTTTCTTGTTTTCTTTTTAATAGTTCATACTTTATGCATATGCATGGTCTATCTTAGTATAACTTCATCAATAAAACCATTTCAAATTTTGATAGCACAATATTACCTTATTGCTTAAAATATCCATCTCTGTTAAGAGAATAGCTTTGTATTTGCGATATGTGTTTGTGGGTTTGTTTTTCTTCATGTATTTTTATTTCCAATAATTTTACAATACTTGAAGCTTTACAAAGAAGAGTGTATACATAAGCAAAATTTGCTGGAACATAAAAACTGTTATTACATTGAGTATATATGTAGTAAAAATTTCCATTTATACAAATATGCACCCATATCTGTGTGTAGCAGAAAAATGTAAAAGAAAACCAGCACTAAATGAAAACTATTGATGGAAAATTTTTATTGTTATATTTATACTATTTTGTATTTTATATGTACAAGGAGTGTCTTATTTTTATAATTAGTGAAATGTATTTGTTTTATTGAGGCATAATTTATATACCACTATGTAAATAATTATGTTTAAAGTGTATAGCTTCTTGAGTATTGTCAGATATAAACGTCCTTGAAGCCATCAACATAATCAGTACAAAATGTTTCCAACAACCTCAGAAGGCTTTTGGTCCTCCACACAGTCTATCACTCTTTATGTCCCTGCCTCCCTGTCTGCTTTCTTTTTTTATATATTAATTTGCATTTTATTAAAATATATATTTATCTATATATAAAGAGAATCATACAGTTTTAAGTCCTTTGTATATGGTGTCTTACACTCAGCAAGAACATGTGCACTGGAGTAAAATGCTCATAAGTTTGAACAACAGCCAAGTTTCAGAGCTCAGAACACAATACCTCAACATATGACAACTTGCCATACTGAGTTTTTAAAACTGAAGGAATTGAGAAAAACACAAAGCAGGAAGTTAACTCTCTGACCTTCTCTGTCTTTCCTCCTGAGAAAGTAGATCATAAGACCTTCATTCCAGAGAGCTCCTACCTTATACTCTTATACCCTGAAAACAAGTAGAATCTGAACAAACAGGCGGTGCTAAGTTTCCCTTGATTTATTACCATCACAGCATACTGTTGTACTTTTTTTTTTTTTTTTTTTTTTTTTTTTTTTTTTAGTAGAGATGGGTTTTCACTGTGTAGGCCAGGCTGGTCTCAAACTGCTGAACTCAAGTGATCCACCCGCCTCGGCCTCCCAAAGTGCTGGGATTACAGGTATGAGCCACCATGCCCGGCCTGAAATGAATTCTTTTTTTTTTTTTTAATTATACTTTAAGTTTTAGGGTACTTGTGCACAATGTGCAGGTTAGTTACATATGTATACATGTGCCATGCTGGTGTGCTGCACCCATTAACTCATCATTTAGCATTAGGTATATCTCCTAATACAATCCCTCCCCGCTCCCCCCACCCCACAACGGTCCCCAGAGTGTGATGTTCCCCTTCTTGTGTCCATGTGTTCTCATTGTTCAATTCCCACCTATGAGTGAGAATATGTGGTGTTTGGTTTTTTGTCCTTGTGATAGTTTACTGAGAATGATGATTTCCAATTTCATCCATGTCACTACAAAGGACATGAACTCATCATTTTTTATGGCTGCATAGTATTCCATGGTGTATATGTGCCACATTTTCTTAATCCAGTCTATCATTGTCGGACATTTGGGTTGGTCCCAAGTCTTTGCTATTGTGAATAGTGCTGCAATAAACATACGTGTGCATGTGTCTTTATAGCAGCATGATTTACAGTCCTTTGGGTATATACCCAGTAATGGGATGGCTGGGTCAAATGGTATTTCTAGTTCTAGATCCCTGAGGAATCGCCACACTGACTTCCACAATGGTTGAACTAGTTTACAGTCCCACCAACAGTGTAAAAGTCTTCCTATTTCTCCACATCCTTTCCAGCACCTGTTGTTTCCTGACTTTTTAATGATTGCCATTCTAACTGGTGTGAGATGGTATCTCATTGTGGTTTTGATTTGCATTTCTCTGATGGCCAGTGATGGTGAGCATTTTTTCATGTGTTTTTTGGCTGCATAAATGTCTTCTTTTGAGAAGTGTCTGTTCATGTCCTTCACCCACTTTTTGATGGGGTTGTTTGTTTTTTTCTTGTAAATTTGTTTGAGTTCATTGTAGATTCTGGATGTTAGCCCTTTGTCAGATGAGTAGGTTGCGAAAATTTTCTCCCATTTTGTAGGTTGCCTGTTCACTCTGATGGTAGTTTCTTTTGCTGTGCAGAAGCTCTTTAGTTGAATTAGATTCCATTTGTCAATTTTGGCTTTTGTTGCCATTGCCTTTGGTGTTTTAGACATGAAGTCATTGCCCACGCCTATGTCCTGAATGGTAATGCCTAAGTTTTCTTCTAGGGTTTTTATGGTTTTAGGTCTAACGTTTAAGTCTTTAATCCATCTTGAATTAATTTTTGTATAAGGTGTAAAGAAGGGATCCAGTTTCAGCTTTCTACATATGGCTAGCCAGTTTTCCCAGCACCATTTATTAAATAGGGAATCCTTTCCCCATTGCTTGTTTTTGTCAGGTTTGTCAAAGATCAGATAGTTGTAGATATGTGGCGTTATTTCTGAGGGCTCTGTTCTGTTCCATTGATCTCTGTCTCTGTTTTGGTACCAGTAGCATGCTGTTTTGTTTACTGTAGTCTTGTAGTATAGTTTGAAGTCAGGTAGCCTGATGCCTCCAGCTTTGTTCTTTTGGCTTAGGATTGACTTGGTGATGCGGGCTCCTTTGTGGTTCCATATGAACTTTAAAGTAGTTTTTTCCAATTCTGTGAAGAAAGTCATTGGTAGCTTGATGGGGATGGCATTGAATCTATAAATAACCTTAGGCAGTATGGCCATTTTCATGATATTGATTTTTCCTACCCATGAGCATGGAATGTACTTGCATTTGTTTGTATCCTCTTTTATTTCATTGAGCAGTGGTTTGTAGTTCTCCTTGAAGAGGTCCTTCACATCCCTTGTAAGTTGGATTCCTAGGTATTTTATTCTCTTTGAAGCAATTGTGAATGGGAGTTCACTCATGATTTGGCTCTCTGTTTGTCTGTTATTGGTGTATAAGAACGCTTGTGATTTTTGTACATTGATTTTGTATCCTGAGACTTTGCTGAAGTTGCTTATCAGCTTAAGGAGATTTTGGGCTGAGACAATGGGGTTTTCTAGATATACAATCATGTCATCTGCATACAGGGACAATTTGACTTCCTCTTTTCCTAATTGAATACCCTTTATTTCCTTCTCCTGCCTAATTGCCCTGGCCAGAACTTCCAACACTATGTTGAATAGGAGTGGTGAGAGAGGGCATCCCTGTCTTGTGCCAGTTTTCAAAGGGAATGCTTCCAGTTTTTGCCCACTCAGTATGATATTGGCTGTGGGTTTGTCATAGATAGCTCTTATTATTTTGAGATATGTCCCATCAATACCTAATTTATTGAGAGTTTTTAGCATGAAGTGTTGTTGAATTTTGTCAAAGGCCTTTTCTGCATCTATTGAGATAATCATGTAGTTTTTGTCTTTCGTTGGTTCTGTTTATATGCTGGATTACATTTATTGATTTGCATATATTGAGCCAGCCTTGCATGCCAGGTATGAAGCCCACTTGATCATGGTGGATAAGCTTTTTGATGTGCTGCTGGATTCAGTCTGCCAGTATTTTATTGAGGATTTTTGCATCAGTGTTACAGAGAACGCCACAAAGATACTCCTCGAGAAGAACAACTCCAAGACACGTAATTGTCAGATTCACCAAAGTTAAAATGAAGGAAAAAATGTTAAGGGCAGCCAGAGAGAAAGGTCAGGTTACCCACAAAGGGGAGCCCATCAGACTAACAGTGGATCTCTCAGCAGAAACTCTACAAGCCAGAAGAGAGTGGGGGCCAATATTCAACATTCTTAAAGAAAAGAATTTGCAACCCAGAATTTCATATCCAGCCAAACTAAGCTTCATAAGTGAAGGAGAAATAAAATACTTTACAGACAAGCAAATGCTGAGAGATTTTGTCACCACCAGGCCTGCCCTAAAAGAGCTCCTGAAGGAAGCACTAAACATGGAAAGGAACAACTGGTACCAGCTGCTGCAAAATCATGCCAAAATGTAAAGATCATCGAGACTGGGAAGAAACTGCATCAACTAATGAGCAAAATAACCAGCTAACATCATAATGACAGGATCAAATTCACACATAACAGTATTAACTTTAATTGTAAATGGACTAAATGCTCCAATTAAAAGACACAGACTGGCAAATTGACTAAAGAGTCAAGATTCATCAGTGTGCTGTATTCAGGAAACCCATCTCACATGCAGAGACACACATAGGCTCAAAATAAAAGGAGGGAGGAAGATCCACCAAGCCAATGGAAAACAAAAAAAGGCAGGGGTTGCAATCCTAGTCTCTGATAAAACAGACTTTAAACCAACAAAGATCAAAAGAGACAAAGAAGGCCATTACATAATGGTAAAGGGATCAATTCAACAAGAAGAGCTAACTATCCTAAATATATATGCACCCAATACAGGAGCACCCAGATTCATAAAGCAAGTCCTGAGTGACCTACAAAGAGACTTAGACTCCCACACAATAATAATGGGAGACTTTAACACCCCACTGTCAACATTAGACAGATCGAGACAGAAAGTTAACAAGGATACCCAGGAATTGAACTCAGCTCTGCACTAAGCGGACCTAATAGACATCTACAGAACCCTCCACCCCAAATCAACAGAATATACATTTTTTTCAGCACCACACTACACCTATTCCAAAATTGACCACATAGTTGGAAGTAAAGCTCTCCTCGGCAAGTGTAAAAGAACAGAAATTATAACAAACTGTCTCTCAGACCACAGTGCAATCAAACTAGAACTCAGGATTAAGAAACTCACTCAAAACCGCTCAACTACATGGAAACTGAACAACCTGCTCCTGAATGACTACTGGGTACATAACGAAATGAAGGCAGAAATAAAGATGTTCTTTGAAACCAATGAGAACAAAGACACAACATACCAGAATCTCTGGGACACATTCAAAGCAGTGTGTAGAGGGAAATTTATAGCTGTTTTACTTTTATAACACTTCTCAATCATTGTCCATAACAATACAGTTTCCCCTGTATTTGTTTCTTCATTTCTTAAGGCTCCCATATCACCTGTATTATTAAATAAATTAGTGTAATATTCTCTTGTTAATCTGTCTATGCCATAGGAACATTAGCCATGAACTTTGTAACAGGAAGAAAAAATATTACTCCTTCTTCCCTATACAAACCTCTCATTAATGTGTTTGTTGGTAAATATTTACATGCCTAAATTATGTTTACTGTAAAATTGTGATATTAATACTAATTTTAGAGGGTATTTGGAGATCATATAAGAAACCATATGCAAAATATAATGCAGGCATACCTCTGAGATATTGTGGGTTCAGTTACAAACTACCACATTAAAGTGAATAGTACAACAAAGTGAGTCACACAAATTTTTTGATTTTCTAGTGCATATAAAAATGATGTTTACACTATGACATAATTGAATACGTGTGCAATAGCATTATGTCTAAAAGAACAATGTACAAATCTTAATTAAAAATACTTTCCTTTAGGGTGTTATTATATATTTATTTAGCCAAAGGGCCACATATATTGCTGTGCCTTCAACAGCTAGCCTAGATGGGTCTAGGAAACAAGAAGTTAGAGATAAACTATTCCACCATCACTCCCAGTGACTCTCCTATGGAATTTGTCCTATCTGTATTTATTACTATAGGAATCCTGGATTATTGGTGTTAGATCCCAGCAGGTGGGCACTTCCACCAGTGGGTAGGTTAAGGATTGCATTAAATCCGATATAATACCATGGCGGTGAGGGCATTTTAGGGTCTTCAAGACAGTAGACTATAGACATAGAAATGAGTTACTATGCTGGTAGGTATAATTGACTCTGATCATGTTGAGGAATTAGGGGTGTTGCTACATAATGTGGTCAAGGTATAATAGGCCTAAAATCCACATGAATGTCTTTTGCTGTTATCATGCCTGATGAAAACAATGAACAGAAAACTGCAGCAGCCACAACCTGACAAGCAAAAAAAGAACAAAGAGCAAGGACTTGGGATACTCTGTAATAAAAATCTGTGCCATACCACCAAGCAAGTCACCTGGTCCAGCTGACATGTTTACAAGGAGTGATAAAATTTTAGAAAGATGGATAAAAGAGAGAGATAATGAATTATCACCTTGAGACAAGCTAAATCAGTGAACACTGTAGTTTGTTTCACTAGCCTCCATATTATTCATTTTTAAAGACAACAGGTGAACACCAGTTTGGAGAGTGAGAGCCAGAGTAAACTTGAAGAAACAGTGGACATATTTTGTTGGTGCAAAGGGTACATTATAGAACGTTCTTTTGGTGCCACATGTGACATTCCCTCAGGGCTGTTCTGATTTAAGTCAAACTCTGGTGGGCAGTATTTGAGCAAGTGGGCATATCTCATCTCAAGTGCCTTTCAACGCTCTTTGCTTTTGTTTGTTTGCATGGTTGGTATTTCTTTCTTTCTTTCTTTTTTTTTTTTTTTTTTTTTTTTGGCCGGATGCTCTTTCTGAAACCGTGGAAGCTTGCTAAACCTACCTGCATGTGTGGTCTAAAAATGCATAAAAATAAAGCCCTCTGGACCTATCTGCACACAAAGAAGGATAAGAGTTAGCACATAAATGGGCCAGTCTTCATTTATAGTAAAAATTCTGAGCACATTTTGTAGTTACTCAGAAGTCCTGAGCAGTTGCCCACAAAAAGAACCAGTTATTTAATACATCTATTTTTTGGCTTTTTTATTCACTTCTCCAACACATCTAACTCTCTCACTACTACTTATTGGGATGACCTCCTAAATAAACAACCTACAAACAATTCCTGGTTACACGCTTTGCCTTTGCAGTGGAACAAAAGCAAGATTACACACTAGAACACCTAGTAGTAGCTGTAATTATTTCTGCTTAATATTCTTGAAATTGACTTAACTTTGCTAAGCCATATGCAAAGCAGTGAACACAATAAACACCATTCCTCCTTCCTGGACTTTCTAAAGGAAAAAAGAACTTAATTTGTTTAGATAAAGTATGGCTCGAGTGGAATGTGCAAGGGAGAAAATACCTTGGAACCAGGTAGAGGAAATAGGTAGGGTATGATAATACAAGGCCTAAAAGACCATTGATTAGGTGTAAGCAAGTATTTCTGTAATAGATATTAATTTTAAGAAAGGTACAAAAACATCATTTTATCTGGTTCAGAGACGATAGTAGAGTGAAATAGGATAGCAGTGGATGTGAAAATAAATCCAACTTACAAGGGATGTGAAGGACCTCTTCAAGGAGAACTACAAACCACTGCTCAATGAAATAAAAGAGGATGCAAACAAATGGAAGAACATTCCATGCTCATTGATAGGAAGAATCAATATCATGAAAATGGCCATACTGCCCAAGGTAATTTATAGATTCAATGCCATCCCCATCAAGCTACCAATGACTTTCTTCACAGAATTGAAAAAACTACTTTAAAGTTCATGTGGAACCAAAAAAGAGCTTCCATTGCCAAGTGAATCCTAAGCCAAAAGAACCAAGCTGGAGGCATCACGCTACCTGACTTCAAACTATACTGCAAAGCTACAGTAACCAAAACAGCATGGTACTGGTACCAAAACAGAGATATAGACCAATGACACAGAACAGAGCCCTCAGAAATAATACCACACATCTACAACCATCTGATCTTTGACAAACCTGACAAAAACAAGAAATGAGGAAAGGATTCCCTATTTAATAAGTGGTGCTGGGAAAACTGGCTAGCCATATGTAGAAAGCTGAAACTGGATCCCTTCTTTACATCTTAAACAAAAATTAATTCAAGGTAGATTAAAGACTTAAATGTTAGATCTAAACCCATAAAAACCCTAGAAGAAAACCTAGGCAATAACATTCAGGACATAGACATGGGCAAGCACTTCATGTCTAAAATACCAAAGCAATGGCAACAAAAGCCAAAATTGACAAATGGGATCTAATCAAACTAGAGAGCTTCTGCACAGCAAAAGAAACTACCATCAGAGTGAACAGGCAACCTACAAAATGGGAGAAAATTTTTGCAACCTACTCATCTGACAAAGGGCTAACATCCAGAATCTACAATGAACTCAAACAAATTTACAAGAAAAAAACAAACAACCCCATCAAAAAGTGGTCAAAGGACATGAACAGACATTTCTCAAAAGAAGACCTTTGTGCAGCCAACAGACACATGAAAAAATGCTCATCATCACTGGCCATCAGAGAAATGCAAATCAAAACCACAATGAGATAACCATCTCACACCAGTTAGAATGGTGATCATTAAAAAGTCTGGAAACAACAGGTGCTGGAGAGGATGTGGAGAAATAGGAACACTTTTACACTGTTGGTGGGACTGTAAACTAGTTCAACCATTGTGGAAGACAGCGTGGCAATTCCTCAGAGATCTAGAACTAGAAATACCATTTGACCCAGCCATCCCATTACTGGATATATACCCAAAGGGTTATAAATCATGCTGCTATGAAGGCACATGCACCCGTATGTTTACTGCAGCACTATTCACAATAGCAAAGACTTGGAACCAGCAAAATGTCCATCAGTGATAGACTGGATTAAGAAAATGTGGCACATATACACCATGGAATACTATGCAGCCATAAGAAAGGATGATTTTATGTCCTTTGTAGGGACATGGATGAAGCTGGAAACCATCATTCTCAGCAAACTATAGCAAGAACAAAAAACCAAACACCACATGTTCTCACTCATAGGTGGGAATTGAACAATGAGAACACTTGGACACAGGAAGGGGAACATCACACACTGGGGCATGTTGTGGGGTGGGGAGAGGAGAGAGGGAAAGCATTAGGAGATATACCCAATGTAAATGAAGAGTTAATGGGTGCAGCACACCAACATGGCACACGTATACATATGTAACAAACCTGCACATTGTGCACGTGTATCCTAGAACTTAAGTATAATACAAAATAAAAAAAAAAACGCAGTAAAGAAGCATTGTTGATGTAGAATTCCAGGGCTTACAGATGAATTTGATGCATTAAATAATAGTAAAGCAGATGAATTAGAGTTGTCTTCTAGATCTATTGTTTGATTGAAAATGTAGAAAATGTAAAATTGACAGAGATGGAAATTAGTAAAAGTGAGGTTTGGTGAAATTTTGAAATCAAGTATCTACTTTGTGCATGTAAAATTTGAGATATCTGGGAGACATCAATTGTGGATGTTAATAAGTAAATGTATTTATAAGAACAGAGCTAAGGGGATAAGTCAATTGGCCCAGAATACTCTAAGAAGGAGAGAGATGATACTTCTTTTAAGTTTTCATTGGTTTGAAATAAAGGAAATGGCAATAATCCTAAAAGCATCAGTTCACATTCAACTAAAATTGATAGTTGCCGTCAGCAGAAACAGTAAATTTAGAAAGGTGCTATTTCAGTAACATGAAAGTCAGAAAATAAAATATTAACCACTTTTTAAACATCAGACTCTAAACAGATCTATCTAGATTATGTCTTTTCTAGGCAAGAGAGTAATGCTACTTAGGAATGCCACCTAGGAATGATACAAAGCTGACAAGAAATATAACAATTTTACTTAATTATGTGTTCCATTCAGTGCATGTAGTAAATCCTTATTTTAATATAAAGCAATATGTAATTATTGATATATAATGAGTTTTTCCTAGTCTTTGCTAAGCAAATGTTGGACAAATATTAAAAATATTACTAAGAAAAGGTGCCAAATTATTAACCTGTACCAGAATTCTTAAGTTTCCATACATGCAGCTATGATCATAAACCAAATAAGCAAGTTGCCACTCAGACTTTCTATTCCACGGTGAACCTAGAAAAAGTGAAGAAGAATGTAAGGTGGAGGAAAGTATCATCCAACCAAACGTTGTATTTGTTCCTGGGAGTCAAAAGTCATGGCTTTTTAATTAGGAACGGAGTCTGTTCACATATCTACATCAGTAATTTGTCAGTGCATTAAGGTCAGTTCTATTCTTGGGTGAATTTGTCTTCACCATTATATTGGTATTTGCCATTTTGTGAGTCTTCACTAAGAAAGGGCATATGGACACAGAGACAGGAACAGAATCCCAGTAAAAGTAAACCATTTGCAGTATATCTATTCTATCCATTTTTTAAAAAAATATTTGTACATGTTCTTCAGTCATAATCTACAAAAAAACATGTAGTATTTACCAATGAAAAGCTATTTCTGGTTTCTGAGTGTATCTACTGTTTTCAGGTCATCAGCAAAGCATACAAATGGTGACAATCATAGTGAATCTGCTGATCTCCTTAAGGCAAAAGGAGCTATGTGACGTCAAGTTATCTAAATACACAAAGAAAATTTTGCCCATTTTCTCTTATTTTTTATTTTAAAATACACAATTATTATTGACTATAGTCACCCTGATGTGCTATCAAATAGTAGGTCTTATTCATTCTTTCCACT
Organism: Homo sapiens; assembly: GCF_000001405.40. Classification (NCBI taxonomy): domain Eukaryota; kingdom Metazoa; phylum Chordata; class Mammalia; order Primates; family Hominidae; genus Homo; species Homo sapiens. The sequence continues at coordinate 105,814,190 of NC_000001.11, read as the reverse complement.
TTTTATTTTGTACCCATAATCATCCTCACCTTTTCCCCAGCCTCCCACTACCCTTCAAAGATGCTGGTAACCATCCTTCTATGCTCACTGTCCATGAGATCAAACAAAAGGTGAAAATGTGAGGTTTGCCTTTCCGTACCTGGCTTATTTCACTTGAGATCATGATTTCCAGTTCCATCCATGCTGTTGCAAATGACTGGTTATCATTATTTTTTTGGCTGAATAGTGCTCCATTTTGTATATATACCATATTTTCTTTATCCAGTAATCTCCTAATGAACACTTAGGTAGCTTTCAAATCTTAAACATTGTGAACAGTGCAACAAACATAGGAGTGCAGAAATCTCTTCTATACACTGATTTTCTTTCTTTTGTGTATATACCCGGCAGTGGGATTGCTGGATTGTATGGTAGTTCAATTCTTAGTTTATTGAGGAAGTCTCAAACTGCTCTCCATAGTGACTGTACTAATTTGCATTACCACCAACAGTGTATAAGGGTTCCTTTGCTCCACATCTTCTTCAGCATTTGTTATTGCCTGTCTTTTGGATATAAGCCATTTTAACTGGGGTGAGATGTGAGATGATATCTCATTGTTTCGATATGCATTTCTCTGATCATCATTGATATTAAGCACTTTTTTATGTCTGTTTTCCATTTGTTTGTCTTTCTTTGAGGAATGTCTGTTCAAATCTTTTGCCCATTTCTTTGACCAGATTATTAGATTTTTTCTTATAGAGTTGTTTGAGCTTCTTATATATTCTGTATATTAATCCATTGTCAGATGAGTAGTTTGCAAACATTTTCTATCATTCTGTGGGTTGTCTCTACACTTTATTGACTGTATCCTTTGCTATGCAGAAGGTTTGTAACCCAATTTGATTCCATTTGTCAAGTTTTGCTTTGATTGACTGTGCAGGTGGTGTATTGCTCAAGAACTCTTTGCCCACACCAATGTCCAGGAGCATCTCCCCAAAATTTTCTTATAGTAGTTTCATAGTTTGAGGTCTTAGATTTAAGTCTTTAATCTATTTTAATTTGATTTTTGTATATGGCAAGAGATAGTGGTCTAGTTTCATTCTTCTGCATATGGATATCTAGTTAACAAACCCATTTATTGAGGAGCCTGTCTATTCTCCACTATATGTTCTTAGTAACTATATCAGAAATAAGTTCACTGTATATCTGTGGATTTGTTTCTGGGTTCCCCTATTCCATTGCTTGGTCTATGTGTCTGTTTTTATGCCAGTACCTTGCTGTTTTGGTTACTACAGCTGTGTAGTATAATTTGAAGTCAGGTATTGTGATTCCTGTAGTTTTGTTCTTTTTTTTTCTTTTTTAACTTTTATTTTAAGTTCAGGGTTACATGTGCAGGAAGTGCAGTTTGTTACATAAGCAAATGTGTGCAATGGTGGTTTGCTGCACAGATCATCCCTTCATCTAAGTTTTAAGCCTAGTGTCCATTCGATATTCTTCCTGATGTTCTTGCCTTGGTTAAAATAGCTTTGCGTAATCTGGGTCTTTTGTGGTTCCATATAAATTGTAGGATTGTTTTTTCTATTTCTGTGAAGAATGTCCTTGGTATTTTGATAAGGTTTGCATTGAATCATAGATTGCTTTATGCAATAAGGATGTTTTAAATTATTGATTCTTTTAATCAATGAACATGGAATATTTTCCATGTTTGGTGTCCTCTTCAATTTATCTCATCAGTGTTTTTTTAGTTTTTATTATAGAGATTTTTCACTTCTTTGGTTAATCCATAGGGCTTTAATTTTAGGTGTGGCTATTGTAAATGTGATTATTTTTACATTTCTTTTTCACATTGTTTATTGTTAGCATATAGAAATGCTACTGATTTTTTATATTGATTTTGTATCATGCAACTTTACTGAATTTGTTTATCAGTTCTAATAGTTTTCTTATGGAATCCTTAGATATTTCCAAATATAAGATCCTATCATCTGTAAACAAGTATAATTTGACTTATTCTTTTCCAATTTGAATGTCTTTTATATCTTTCTTTGTCAGATTCCTCTAGCTAGGACTTCCAGTGGTATGTTGAATAACAGAGGTGACAGTGGGCATCTATGTTGCTTTCCAGATCTTAAAGAAAAGGCTTTTAGTTTTTCCCCCTTCAGTATGATACTAGCTGTGGGTCTGTCATATATGACTTTTATTATGCTGGGGTATGTTCCTTCCATCTCTAGTTTCTTGAGGGTTTTTATCATGAAAGTGGTGTTGAATTTCAACAAATGTTTTTTCAGCATCAATTGAAAGGATTGTACAGCTTTTATTCTTCATTATATTAATATGATACATCACAATAATTGATTAACATATGCTGAGCCCTCCTTCAAACCCAGGGTGTATTAGTCCATTTTCACAATGCTATAAAAATACTATCCGAGACATGGTAATTTATAAGAAAAAGGAGGTTTAATTGACTCACAATTACACATGGCTTGAGAGGTCTCAGGAAACTTGCAATAATGGCAGAAGGAGAAGCAGGCACATTCTTCACAAGGTGACAGGAAAGACAGAGAACAGTGCAGGAAAACTAATATTTATAAAACCATCAAAACTCAAGAGAACTCATTATCAAAAGAACAGCATAGGGGAAACAGCCTCCCTAATCCTATCACCTCCTATCAGGTCTCTCCTTCAACATCTGGGGGTTACAATTTAAGATGAAATTTGGAAGGGGACAAAAAACCTAACCATATCACCAGCATAAATTCCACTTGGTCATGATGAATGATCTTTCTAATGTATTGTTGAATTCGGTTTGCTAGCTATTTTGTTGAGTATTTTTGCATCAATATTCATCAGATAAATTAGTGTGTAGTCTTTTTTTTGAAGTGTCTTTGTCCAGTTTTGGTATCTGGGTAATACTGTCCTAGTAAAATGAGTTTGAAAGTATTTCATACTCCTGCATATATTTTTAATAGTTTAAATAGGATTGATATTGTGATTGTATACGGAGTGTCAACCTGATTGGATTGAAGGATGCAAACTGTTGATCCTGGGTGTGTCTGTGAGGGTGTTGCCAAAGGAAATTAACATTTGAGTCATTGGCCTGGGAAAGACAGACCCACCCTTAATCTGGGTGGGCACCATCTAATCAGCTGCCAGCATGACCAGAATATAAAGCAGGTAGAAAAATGTGAGAAGGCTAGACTGGTTTAGCCCCCCACCAGCCTACATATTTTTCCTGTGCTGGATGTTTCCTACCCTTGAACATAGAACTCCAAGTTCTTCAGCTTTGGGACTTGGATTGGCTTTGGCTTTCTTGCTCCTCAGCTTGCAGACAGCCTATTATTGAATCTTGTGATCGTGGAAGTTAATACTACTTAATAACTCTCTCTCTCTTTCTCTCTCTCTCAATCTCTCTCTCTCTCTCTCTCTGTCTCTCTCTCTCTCTCTCTCTCTCTCTCTCTCTCTCTATATATATATATATATATATATATATATATAAAATTAGTTCTGTCCCTCTAGATAATCCTGACTACCTGACTAATACGGATTTTTGGTACCATTACCAGGAGTGGTTCTAGAGAAGCAGAATATTAAAGATGGAGTTCTTTCATTGGTCTTGGGGCTTCTGAAGTTGGCTGCTTAATATGACTAGACCTCAAAATGCTAAGGACTCTACTTCTAATAGTATGAAGAACATTGATAGTTCTTGATGTGAACTGTTTTGAGAGTTATGTAAAATAAATGCATTTGACACTCCTGATTTACTGCTTATGAGAGCCAAGGAGTTTAGTGAGTCTACACATAATACCTTTGACCATATGTGGAGACCAAGGAACACAACGAAGTTGGGTATTTGCTTCTAAGTTCACTGGACAAAGTGATGAAAGAAAATGATGAACTCAGAGATTCTAACACCTGGCTTCAAGAGCAGACAGTGGGCCTCAAATCTGCTAATATTGCCCTGAGTGAGAGTCTTATCTCCTGTAGAGAAAGAGCTAAAATTGTGGAAAAACTGGCACAAGCTCTTATGTGAGTGGCTGAACTTCAACAAAAGGTGCATGCACAGTCTTGCCAGGTGTCTACTGTTAATGTGAGGGCACTGATTGGAAAAGAATGAGACCCTGCAACTTGGAATAGAGATGTGTGGGAGGACCTTGATGAAGCTGGAGAAAATGAGCTTGTGAACTCTGATGAAACTTTTTTGCCAGAAGAAACTGCTTCCCCATCCCCAGTAGTGGCAACATCCTCTCCCTGACCCATGCTGCCATTAGGCTTTCTACCTTTGTCTGAGGAGAAAAACCCTGCACTGCCTGAGGCAAGAGTGATGGCCTCCTCTAGGGTAGTTGCCAGGCAAGATAATGTTGATTCTCATCAGGAGCCCCAAGGCTCCTTTTTGCTTCTAGACCCATAACTAGACTAAAGCCAGGCAGACCCCTAGAGGTGAAGTTTGATGTTTCTTTGTTGATTTTTTGTCTGGAAGATCTGTCCAATGCTGAAAGTGGGATGTTGAAATCTGCAGCTATTATTGTGTTGGGGCCTATCTTTCTCTTTGCTCTAATAATATTTGCTTTATATATCTCAGTGTACCAATGCTGGCTGCATAAATATTTAAAACTGTTTTATCCTCTTGCAGAAAAGACTCCCTCTATCATTATATAATGACTTTCTTTTTGTCTTATAGTTTTTGTCTTGAAATCTATCTCATCAGATATAAAGATAGTGACTCCTTTTCTTTTTGGTTTTGGTTGGCATGCAATATCTATTTCCATCTCTTTATTTATAGTCTATGTATGGCTTTATAGGTTAAGAGTGTTTCTTGTAGGCAACAGATCCAGAGGTCTTTTTTAATAATTCAGCAAGCCAATGTCTTTCTATTGGAGAATTTAATTCAACGTTATTATCAGTAAGTAAAGGTTTACTTTTGCCTTTTTTTTATGGCATTTCTGGTTGTTTTACAATCTCTTCTCTCTTTCTAGTCTTCCTTTGGTGAAGGTGATTTTCTCTGGGTGATATGATTAAGTTATTGCTTATTTTACGTGTATCTATTGTATATTTTTGGTTTGAGGTTACCATGAGGATTGCAAATACTATTTTATAATCTATTATTTTTACCTAATAACAAACACAAGTTTATTTACATAAATAGACTGGCAAACAAGCAAAAAGAAAACTAATGAAAACTCTATACCTTAACTTTGCCACCCCACTGTATAACTTTTTGTTGTTTCTCTTTATATCTTTTAATACCAACTATGTCTTGGAAACTTGTTGTAGTTATTTTGATTGTTTTATCCTTTAGTCTTTCTACTTAAGATAAGAATAATTTGCACAACACAGTTTCAGTGTTATAATATTCTGTTTTTTTGTGTACATACTATTACCAGAGAATTTTGTACCCTTTGAGTGATTATTTATTGCTCATTAATATCCTTTTCTTTCTCATCAAAGTACTATCTTTAGCATTTCCTGTAGGACAGGTCTGATAGTGATAAAATCCCTCATTTTTTTGTTTGGGACTATCTTTGTTTCTTGTTCTTGCTTGAAGCATTTTTTTTTGCCAGATATAATATTCTATGCTATTTTTTTCTTTTTTTTAAACATGTCATGCCACTCTGACCTGACCTGTAAGATTTCCACTGAACACTCTACTGCCAGACATATTGGAGCTCCATTGTATAGTATTTGTTTCTTTTCTCTTACTGCTTTTAGAGTCTTTTTTTTTTAAATCCTTACCTGTTAGGAGTTTGATTGTTAAATATCTAGTCTTCTTTGTGTTAAATCTGCTTCTTATTCCATAACCTTTTTGTACTTGGATAATATCTTTTTTTAGGTTTGGAAGTTCTCTGTTGTTATCTCTTTGAATACACTTTCTACCTCTACTTCTTTCTCTGCTCCCTCTTTAAAGCCAATAACTCTTAGATTTGCCCCATTGAGGCTATTTTCTAGATTCTGTATACATGCCTGTTTCTTATTCTTTGTTTTTTTTTTCCCCCCTTCTGGCTGTATTTTCAAATAGCCTGTCTTTAAGCTCACTAATCCTTTATTCTGCTTGATCAATTCTGCCATTAAAGAACTCTGATGCATTTTTCAGCTCTAGAATTTCTTCCTGATTTTTTCATTATTTTAATCTCTATGTTAAATTTATGATACAATCCTGAAGTTCATCTCTGTGTTATTTTGATTTTGGGTGGATTCCCTCAACATAGCTATTTTGAATTCTCTTCTCTGTTTGAATAGCTATTTTGAATATCTCTGTTTCTCTAGGATTGCATCCTGGTGGCTTATTTAGTTCATTTGGTGAGGTCATCTTTTCCTGGATGATGTTGATGCTGGTAGATATTCTTTGGTGTCTGGACATTAATGAGTTTGATATTTATTGTAGTCTTCACTGTCTGAGCTTATTTCTACTCATTCTCATTGGGAAGGCTTTTCAACTATTTGAAAGGACATAGGTGTGGTGATCTAAGCTGCATCTGCTTTAATGAGCACCTGAAGTGCAGTAATGCTGTGATTTCTGTAGACTTGTAGAAGTACCACCTTGATGGTCTTGGACCAGATCTCAGATAATTATCTGGATTATTGGGTAGAGATTCTTGTTCTCTCAGATAATTATCTGGATTATTGGGTAGAGATTCTTGTTCTCCTCCCTTACATCCTTCCAAACATACAGAGTCTCTCTCTCTCTCTCTCTCTCTCTCTCTCTCTCTCTGTCACCTAAATCTGGTAGTGGAGTGACAATAGCACCCCTGTGGCTACCACTACTGTGACTGAGCTAGGTCAGACTTGAAGCCAGCACAGCACTGGGACTTCCACAAGGCCTTTTATAACTGCTCTCTGGCAACTGTCTATGTTTGCTGAAGGCTATGGGACTCTACAATCAGCAGGCATTAGAGCCAGCCAGGCCTGTGACCTTGCTTTCAGAACAGCAAGGTCTCAAATGTCCTCAGTGGGCCCAGAAGTGCCCTCTGGAAGTCAGGGACTAGAGTCAAAAACCTTAGAAGTCTACCTGATATTCTGTGTATTGGGACTGAGTTGGCTCTGATGCCTGCTGATTGTAGGCATCAGACTCTGTCTTTTCCACTCTTCTCTCCCCTTTCCAAAGGCAGAGGAGACTCACCCAACAGCCATCACCACCACAGGTCATAGAAAGTATTTCCAGACTACCACCAATGTTTGCTTAAGGCTCTAAGTCTCTTAAGTGAGCTTGTCCTGAATGCTGCTTGCCCCAGGACTCACCCTTCAGGGCAGTGGGATCCCCTATGCCCCAGGGCATGCTAAGAAATGCTGTCTAAGAGTCATGTCGTAGAATTGTGGATCCCAAGAGCCTGCTTGGTGCTCTACACCCTGTGGCTCTGATGGTACCTAAGATGCAAGACAAAGATTCCTTTACATTTTTCTCTGCTTCTCTCAAGCAGAAGGAGTTTTGCCCCATTGCCATTGAGGCTGGTAATGTGCCAAGTCTAACCTGAAGCCAGAAAATCTCAGAGGCTCATCCAATGCCCTCAATGTAGTACCTGGGTATTGTTGTCATTATTCAGGGTCCAGGGGCTCTTCAGTTACCAAATGATAGATGCTGCCAGGACTGGGTCCTTTCCTTTAAGGCAGTGGGTTTCCTTTTGGCCCAGGTGTGTCTACAAATTTCATCTGGCAGATAGACCCTGGAACAGGGGCCTCATGTCTCTGATCGGTGCCCTATCCTGCTGTGGCTGAGCTGGTATCCTAGATGCAAGAAAAATTCCTTCCCGCTCTTCCTTGTCCTCTTCTCAAGTGGAAGATAGGGGTCTCTTTGAGAGCCATGAGTGGTGCAGCCTGAGGTTAGAGGAGGGTGGTACCAGCACCCCCTTTGCTGCCCAGGTGGTGTCTCAATATTTCATGTCCCCACCCCCAGTGCACTGTCTCTAGAACTTGTCTAAGAGTTGCAGGTCTTATGCCTAGATTGCCTTTCAAGTTTGCTTGGAGACTCAAACTGCTGTATCCCTTGGTGGCAAGGTTTGGAGGCACTCAAGTTTGGACCGCTGGCACTGGTGATTCCCCTCTGGCTAAGGATGGTTTTTAATGCTCCCTCTATGGGCTCTAATAGGACAGCAGTTAGTTCAATGTCTCACGGTTGCTGTGTTCTCCCTCCCCTAGAGTCCAGATAGACTCTCTGCACTGTGCTGCTACTGCTGCTGCGGGATGGGAGGGGGATGCATCAGTGATTCAAGACTGTTTTTTAACAATTTTTTCAGTGCCTCTTTCAGTTACAATCACCTATTATGAGTGCTCACCTAATTTTTGATTCTTATGAAGCTGTTTTATTTTTTCTGTAGATAGTTGTTCACTTTGTGTCCTTGCATGGGAAACACTGGGTGGAGCTTTCTATTCTGCCATCTTGCTCTGCCTCCCAACAAAGGAAACTTTAAAATGTAAATGTTATTTTTTAATTTTTGAATGGCTTATTCTGTAGTGGAGATTTAGGACATTGTTGCTGCTTATCAGGTTGACTATCTCTCACAAAATGATCTTTTGAGCATGTTAAGGCATGAGAAAGGCATCAGAAATTACAAATATATATACCTGTAAAAATTATGAGACCTGTATTTCTTAGCTCAGAAATTCAGCTTAGAAAACTTACTTTTAAAGTTTTTGAGAAGCAGTGAAAACTGTTGGTAGAATTTTCAAATTTATTGAGAAAAGATTGTCTGTCTTTAACTTCTTAATACACTCCAACATTTTGACATCAACATATAGGAAAATGAAGACATATCTATGTATTTTTTAATTAGACAGTTTTGCATAAATTTAGTATCAGGAGTGTATGAAACTATCTACAATATGACATAAGAAAGATTGTCCATTTACCTTCTCAACTGAAATTATCAACTTGAAATATTCTTACGATAGAGTTACTTTGGGCTTTTTCAAAAACACAGGGAAAAAAGCAGCATCCAAAACAAAAAAGTAATATCACTAATTGAAAATGTACCGAAATGGCTAGAAGAAGTGCATACAAACATCCTCTTCCCATTTTTATACTTCCGTTTTAATGAGAAGAATCACCTTTTTTCAATAGTTAATTTCTTCACAGGTGTCTGAATCACAGTCACTTTTGCCTTCTGAGTAATTTTTTTTTAATTTTACTTTAAGTTCTGAGATACATGTGCAGAACGTGCAGGTTTGTTACATAGGTATACATGGGCCATGGTGGTTTGCTGCACCTATCAACCTGTCATCTAGGTTTTAAGCCCCACATTTATTAGGCATTTGTTCAAATGCTCTCCCTCCCCTTGCCACCCCCCACAAACAGGCCTCAGTGTGTGATGTTCCTCTCCCTGTGTCCACGTGTTCTCATTGTTCAGATCCCACTTATGAGTGAGAACATTCAGTGTTTGGTTTTCTGTTCCTGTGTTAGTTTGCTGAGAATTATGATTTCCAGCTTCACCCATGTCCTCATTCTTTTTTATGACTGCATATTATTCCATGGTGTATATGTGCAACATTTTCTTTATCCAGTCTATCATTGATGGGCATTTGGGTTGGTTCCAAGTCTTTGCTATTGTAAATAGTGCTGCATTAAACATATGTGTGCATGTGTCTTTATAACAGAATGATTTATAATCCTTTGGGTATATACCCAGTAATGGGATTCCTGGGTCAAATGGTATTTCTGGTTCTAGATCCTTGAAGAATCACCACATTATCTTCCACGATGGTTGAAGTAATTTACACTCCCATCAACAGTGTAAAAGTCTTCCTGTTTCTCTACATCCTCTCCATCATCTGTTGTTTCCTGACTTTTTAATAATCGCCATTCTAACAGGTATCTCATTGTGGTTTTGATTTGCATTTCTCTATTGACCATTAATAATGAGCTTGTGTTCGTAGGTTTGTTGGCCACATAAATGTCTTTTTTTGAGAAGTGGCTGTTCATATCCTTCACTCACTTTTTGATGAGGTTTTTTTTTTATTGTAAACTTGTGTAAGTTCCTTGTAGATTCTGGATATTAGACCTTTGTTAGATGGGTAGATTATAAAATTTTCTCTGATTCTATTGGGTACCTGTTCACGCTAATGATAGTTTCTTTTGCTATGCAGAAGCCCTTTAGTTTAATTAGATGCCATTTGTCAATTTTGGCTTTTATTGCAATTGCTTTTGGCATTTTAGTCATGAAATACTTGCCCATGCCTATGTCCTGAATGGTATTGCCTACGTTTTCTTCTAGCATTTTTATGGTTCTGGGTTTTACATTTAAGTCTTTAATCCATCTTGAGTTAATTTTTGTACAAGGTGTAATGAAGGCCTCCAATTTCAGTTTTCTGCATATGCCTAGCCAGTTTTCCCAGCACCATTTACTGAATAGCAGATTTTTTCATCTCCTGACTTGAAATCTAATAGAGAGATTTCTTTACCCTCATAATGAAAATCAAGATTGTTCATATCCTTATCTCAAGACCCATTACTAAACTAACTTTGTTACTGTGCTTTGCCATATTCCTGCTACACTCTTCTCTCTTTTACCTGGGTAAATCAGCTTTTATATCTGATTTTATATCTGACACTTTCTTATGTAAATCTTCTTTAACCTCAGAACTCATAAGCTATTCAACATCCATGCTCAAAATAAGGTATTCAGGCCACTGGATTTTTACATTCTTGCACCCATCACAATTGCAATTCTATTATTATTTTTGTAATTATTGGCTAAGTATCTATAATTTCTGATACATGTTAAACACAAATAGAACAAAAATTAAATTGTTTTTTCATTATTTATATTTCTATGCTTGAATTGTGTCCTGATTATATGAAAAAGGAGTTCTGTAAGTAATAATTAAGATGATAATTGTTTCACATTTACAGCCATCTATAGTTGAATCAGATTCAGTGCAGTGATAAAATATGCACAAATTGATCACAATGTAGTCAACATATTGATCAACACAGTGATCAATTTCAATATTTAAATAAACACAAGGGTAATAATTTGATATTACATAATTTATTATTGGAAAATTCCTGATATTATACAAAGTGTGAATTGATTATTCTTTTACCAAATCTAATTGAATTTTGTAAAAATTACTGACTAAAATTTCAAATCAATATTTGATTTAAATACTTGATACTGGGTGTCATTTTCACTCTAACATTCAAGTATTTAATATACTGGTCACTTATTTGCTCTAATTGTGTTGGTATAAATATTATTTCATAGTCAAAAAGGTAGGTCCTTCATGAAATCCGGTAAATATTACAAATGTATTCGTTATTTTTACAACTTATCTCTTGTATAAATAGTGACATTCTTAAGGGTAGATGTGAACTTGCTATTGATGACATGAAAGATATTTTAGAAGCAACAGTTTTGTCTACCTATTGTTTTGCCTCTACAATAAGTCTTCTGCATAACAATGGTTATAGTCTACTTAGCAGTATCCTTAAATTTTTTTTTATCCATAGTGAGAAAAATGTATTTAAGTAAATGTATTTAAGTAAATGTTAATCTGTTCAAATTTTGTGGATTAGGAATATACTCATAATAAACAAAGTATCCAAATACCTTACAGGAAGATGATCATGAAAGTTTAAAACCTTTAAAATAAGATTTAACTGTGTTTTTAAATTAAAATTTAAATATTTTGTCATGATACTTCAGTTTTGAAACTATTAATGCCTTAATACATACTGTAGCAACTAATATATGTTGTTTTAATTGACATATTTTTATGTTGATCCTAAGAATTTAATAACACTACAATTCTGGTCTATTTACCTCAATTTTTATCTGCATATGAATATATAACCCAGAGATGACTACAGAAAACTATAAATTAAATTTTGCTTATATTTCCCTAAATAGAAATCTAATTTATTTAGAAATTTAGCAGATTTCTTTCAAAAAATATAATTATCAATATCAGTCAGTTAATATGGCTTTGTTCTGTGTCCCCACTAAAATCTCATCTGGAATTGTAATTCCCATGTGTCAAGGGAGGGACCTGGTGGAGGATGATGGGGTCATGTGGGTGGTATTTCCCATGTTGTTCTACTGATAGTGAGAGAGTTCTCACAAAATCTGATGGTTTAAAAATGGAAGTTTCCACTGTGTTCTCTCTCTTTCCTGCCACTATGTGAAGAATGTCCTTGCTTCCCCTTTGTCTGCTGCCATTATCGTAAGTTTTCTGAGGCCTCTCCAGTCGTGGGAAACTGTGAGTCAATTAAACTTCTTCTGTGTATAAATTACTCAGCATTGGGTAACATCTTTATAGCAGTGTGAAAACAGGGTAATACAGGAAAAATTGGTACCAAGAGTGGTGCACTGCTATAAAAGTAACCTGAAAATGTAGAAGTGACTTTGCAGTTGGGTAACAGGTAGAGGTTGGAACATTTTGGATGGCTCAGAAGAAGACAGGAAGATGTGAAAGTATTTGAAACTTCCTAGACACTTGTTGCATGGTTTTGACCATAATGCTGATAGTGATATGGAAAATGAAGTCCAGACTGAGGTGGTCTCAGATGGAGACAAGAAACTAATTGGGAACTGGATAAAAAGCTACTCTGGCTATGCTTTAGTAAAGTGATTGATGGGATTTTGCCAATGCTCTAAAGATCTATGTAACTGTTTACTTGAGAGAGATGATTTAGGGTATCTGGAGGAAGAAATTTCTAAGCAGCAAAACATTAAAGATGTAGCCTGGCTGTTTCTAAAAATGTATGCTCATATTATTGTGAACAAAGAGATGGTCTGAAATTGGATATTATGTATAAAAAGAAAGTACAGCAGAAAACTTTGGAAATTTGCAGCCTGACCATGTGGTAGAAAAGAAAAACCAATTTTCTGGGGAGGAATTCAAGCTGGCTGCAGAAATTTGCAAAAGTTAAGAGTAACCGAATGTTAATAGCCAAGACAATGGGGAAAATGTCTCCAGGGCATGTCAGGCACCTTTACAGCAGCACCCACCCCCACCATCACAGCCTAGAGGCCTAGGAGAAAAAAATGGTTTTGGGGCTGGGCCCAGGGCCCCATTGAACTGTTCAGTCTTGTGACATTGCACCCTTCACCCCAGCCACTCCAGCTCCAGCTGTTGCTAAAGAAGGAAAAGGTACAGCTTGGGCCATTGATTTTATAGGGTGAAAGCCTGAAGCCTTGGTGGCTTTCACATGGTGTTGGGCCTGTGGGTGTGCAGAATACAAGAGTTGAGCTTTGGGAGCCTCTGACTAGATTTCAGAGAATGTATGAAAATACCTGAAAGTCCAGGCAGAAGTCAGCTGCAGGAGTGGAGACCTCATGGAGAACCTCGACTAGGGGAATCCAGAGAGAAAATGTGGGATTGGAGCCCCCACACAGAGTTTTTACTAGGGCACTGCCTAGTGGAGCTGTGAGAAGAGGACACCATCCTCCAGACCCAGAAAGTTAGATCCACTGACAGCTTGCACCACGCACCTGAAGAAGATGCAGACCCTCAATGCCTGCCCATGAAAACAGCCACAGGAACTGTACTGTGCAGAGCTACAGGGCTGAAGCTTCCCAGGCTGTAGGAGCCCACTCCTTGCATCAGCATGTCCTGGATGTGAGACACAGAGTCAAGGGATACTTTGGAGCTTTAAGATTTAATGACTGCCCAGCCTGGTTTTTGACTTTCATGGAGCCTGTGGCCCCTTTGTTTAGGCCAAATTTTCCCATTTGGAATGGAAACATTTACCCAATGCCTGTAACCCCATTTTATGTTGAAAGTAAGTAACTTGATTTGTTTTTACAGGTTCATAGTCAGAATGGACTTGCCTTGTCTCAGATGAGACTTTGTACTTGGGCTTTTGAGTTAATTCTAGAATAAGTTAAGACTTTGGTGGACTGTTGGGAAGGCATGATTGATTTTAAAATGTGAAAAGGACATGAGATGTTGGAGTGGCCAGGAGCAGAATGATATGGTATGGCTCTGTGTCCTCACCAAAATCTCATCTGGAATTGTAATCCCCATGTGTCAAGGAATAGACTTGGTGGGACATGTTGGGATCATGAAGTTTGTTCCCCCATGCTGTGCTCATGATAGTGAGGGTGTTCTCATGAGATCTGATGGCTTAAAAGAGGCAGTTTCCCCTGCACACACTCTTTCCTGCCACTATGTGAAGAAAGTTCTTGCATCCCCTTTGCCTTTTGCCATGATTGTAAGTTCCCTAAGACCTCTTCAGCCACGCAGAACTGAGTCAATTAAACCCTTTTTTGTTTATAAATTACCAATCTCAAGTAGTATCTTTATAGCAATGTGACAACAAATTAATACAGTTAACAAATGAACTTTCTTCAAGATATAGCCAGAATCTGACCATGACTAACTACATCCCAAACTATCATTTTAGTCCAAACCTGTATCATTTCTCTTGTGAGTTATTACAATAGCCTCTTTATTGATCTCAAAATTCTAACCTTTACTTCCTGCAACCTAGTGTCTAATATTAACTAGAGCAAAAACAATCTTTAAAATTAGCTGAAGTCCTCCAAGACCTATACTTTTATTTTTTTCTAGTCTAAGTTTCTACTACTATCTGTCATTCTTTGCTCACTCATTTTCATTCAATGTTTTTCTTTGATTCCCCTTCACATGCTTCTGACTTAGTATTTTTGCTGTTCCCTTTTTCTGGAGTACTGCCCTCCCCCAACCCATGTAATCTGTACAAACTGTGCTTCTCCTGTAGGTCTTTGCTCAAACATTACCTTCCTGGTCATGTCATCCCATACAAAATTACATTCTCCCCCATCTGAGAATCAAGGAGAAAGAAATCCTGCTTTCATTATTTTCCTCTGCATCAATTAAACCCCAACATCATACACGCATACATACAAAGGCACACATTTGCTTGCTAGTCTCTGCCAACTTAATTTTAATTTTCAAATGAGCAGAATTTTTTTCTTAACTGCTATATATTTAGCACCTAGAGCAGTGCCTGACACATTGTATGTACAAAATAAAATTTACCAGTGAAAGCAGAAATAAATGAATGTAAAGCAGTCTTTAGATCTAGTTAGTTAGGGCTGAATCGATTGGTTTACAGTATAAGAACATGGCAGCAGCAGAAAAAGCCCAAAATATAACACTTGTTAAAACATGAAATGTGGATAATATTTAATCAAAGTGTAACTATTTCCAATTAAATGAGGAAAATAAGTAGGCATTCTTACCTACCTAATAAAACACACATGTACATGTGCATAAAATTATGTAGATAAAATAAGGACATAAAAAAGAAATTATTAATATTTAATAAATTCAGTCACCACACTTAACTATTATAGACAATGCAATCATGAAAGGAATGCTAGTGAAACACCTGACTAGATGACATTTGTTAACTTTAATGATCAAATGTTTGTATAAACAAGTGTTCAAATACATAAGTAAATGGCAGATTATTGAAATGAGAAATACAAATTACTAACATATGGACTGACTAAATTTAGTATGATAAAAAATGAAGTGAGAAAAGATAAAATATTAGGTGAATAAATAAATACTTTGTCTAAACAGTTGGTGTTCTAAAAATCTATTGTAATTTAGTCTGATTTTTTATTATGTTTTATATCCAAAAACATAAATTCTAACATAACAGTTGGAGTTATCTAATAGAGTAATTTCCAGTGTTATTCCATGGGTGAAGTCTAGACTAGTGATATGAAAATCACCTGAGGAACTTAATGAAAATATATATTAGCATGTTCCACTCCTAGAGGTTCTAATTAACAGGTCTGAAGAAAAGCCAAGACTTTAAAAAATGATCATAAAGCTCCCAAAGGGGTTTAGAAAACTGTGCTATCCAGTTTTGAGAACCAATAATATTTTTCAGAGATCACGAAATGGCTGTCAGTGGCCTGATTTCAACAAATAAACATGATATTTTTGGCCTACAGAGGGTTATCTCGTGATTTCAATTTATATATAAATATTCACATTTATAGCTTCCTGTGAAAATAAATCTAGCAACAGAGAATTTGCATTGTTATGTTACGGTAATGTACTAGAACTGTTAGTAACTTCCTCCTTCATATAAGATATTTATTCATTCATTTATTCAAACTAATAGTTATTGATGGCCTATTCCACATTATATTACTCTAGTTGCTTAGAAAATTAAAGTAAGCAAAGTAGATAAATTTATCTGAAGTACTAGAACCCAAATTCTAGTGGGAAAAACAGAATGTAGGTATGTTCCGTTTTCCACACTGTCCCCATCAGTCACCATAAACTTCAGCACATTGGTCAATGTGTTGCTGTCATTGATCAATATACTTGCATGTCTGTATTTTTGCAAAGTGTGAAACTTTCTTCCATTTTTTTTCATATTAGTTAAAGCAGAGGTAATTTCTACAATAAACAACAAAATATTCAGCTCTTAACCCACAATATTTTGATTTCTATTTTATGTTATACTTCAATGTGTGTGTTCTTCCAAATTGTGATTTGGGAATTCATCTTCCTTTTATCTTGTGACATTTAGATCCCCTGGGACTCAGAGATCATCTGTGATCAGTTAGTGGAATGGAAAAGAAAGGGTGTAAGTGGTACAGTTCTCTCATAATTGTGTAACTATGTCATTCCATATTCTGGAAGTGAGGCACACCATTTTTCCTCACATTCCTTGGGTAATAATAAATCTCATGTTGCGCCTAGATGCAAGGGGCCTGGGAAATGAGGTCCTGGCCTGGGATGCTCCTTTAACTCTATGGGATGGAAAAGAGAACAAGAATGTTTGCTAGACAGATAATTTGTGTTTTCCAAACTGTGAAAGTTTAAAAAATGAGATATATACCTAGAAGGCTGCATAATTCAAGAAAAAAACAGAAAACATATTTTGTCTATCTTTGGTTCAATGCAAATAAACAAGTTTTAGCTGGAAAGCTTCTGTGTTTCCTATGTCATTCATTTATACTATACTCTTGTCACCCATTGGCAATTGGTTTTTGACTTCTGATCTAGGCCAAACTACTACTTTGGAAATAAAAAATAATCAGATAACGAAATAGAGGTTTTCCTAAAGTCACAAAATAAATTTACAGTAAGGCTAGGAAAATACATGAAATGAGTCTAACTTGAGTCTTATTTCATTTACACTTTTGTTCCTCTGTATTGTTCCTCTGATATGACTGCAAAAAATATGTAGAAAAGTATGTGTATGTGTACCTATATTATTTTTCTATTTTTGTGTTAATAGATGTTTATTTTTATCTTCACAGTATTTCCATTTTTTCTGGCAAGACCACTACCTTTGGAAACACCACCTCCTACTTTTCATGATTGTTTTGAAGCAGCCTATTGGTATACCCTGCTATTGTGGGCACATGAGTGAACATGTGATACAACTCTACTAAATCAAAGTACATAACCATAGCAAAGATTTGCCCATGAATTTGCATGTGATTAAAAATGGACCCATCACAGTTTTTCCTTGAGAATAGAACGAAACAGCAGAAGTGTGTGCGGAATTGGTGGGTTCTTGGTCTGGCTGACTTCAAAAATGAAGCCGTGGACCCTCGCAGTGAGTGTTACAGTTCTTAAAGATGGTGTGTCCGGAGTTTGTTCCTTCAGATTTTCAGATCTGTATGGAGTTTCTTCTTCCTGGTAGGTTCGTGGTCCCGCTGACTTCAGGAGTGATGCTACAGACCTTTGTGGTGAGTGTTACAGCTCTTAAAAGCGGTGCGTCTCGAGTTGTTCGCTCCTTCTGGTGGGCTCACGGTCTTGCTGGCCTCAGGAGTGAAGCTGCAGACCTTCACGGTGATACGGCCCATAAAGGCGGCCAGGACCCAAAGATGAGCAGCAGCAGCAAGACTTATTACAAAGAGCAAAAAAACAAAGCCAGGAAACATAAGTGGGTTGCCACTGCTAGCTCCGGTGTCCTACTTTTATTCCCTTATCTGGCCCCACCTACATCCTACTGATTGGCCCATTTTACAGAGAGCTGATTGGTCTGTTTTACAGAGAGCTAATTGGTCCGTTTTGACAGAGTGCTGATTGGTGCGTTTACAGACCTTTAGCTAGACACAGAGTGCTGATTGGTGCGTTTACAAACCTTTAGGTAGACAGAAAAGTTCTCCAAGTCCCCACCCAACCGAGAAGCCCAGCCGGCTTCACCTCTCAGTGGCACTTGCTGCAGGACTTTGCGGCACCTAGCCCAGGCAGTCCGGCAGCCCAGAGGGAGCTCATCCCCAAATCAAGCACAGGAGGGGCAGGCCGGCCGTGCAGAGTGTGGGGCCCGCAGAGCCGGCGCCCACCTGGAACCCGCGCTGGCCAGCGAGCGCCCCGCGCAGCCCCGGCTCCCGCTGGGGCCTCTCCCTCCACACCTCCCCGTGAGCAGAGGGAGCCGGCTCCGGCTTCCGCGAGCCCCAGAGAGGGGCCCCCACAGCGCAGTGGCGGGCTGAAGGGCTCCTCCAGCGCGGCCAGAGCGGACGCCGAGGCCGAGGGGGCGCCCAGAGCGAGCCTTGCCACCTCTCAGAAGGATTTTCCATCCCTTCTACTTTGCCTTCCTCTTGGTAATGGTAAAACTTTTTTTTTTTTTTTGCGGTAACTCTATCTCATTTTCTACAAAGTTTGAGAAGAAATCTCTCCCTCCAAATTTGTAAGGGACTGGTGATATCTTTTGTCTGAGATATGTATATCCTCTGAAAGCGTAGAGCTGGGACAATAGAAGTGGCCTGAAAGAAAAAGCATGAACCTGAGAAACGTTGTATGCAGGTGGATTAAGGTACATTTCTGCGATTAATGTGAAAACTTTGCGAAAGTTTACTGAAAGCTGAATGGTCATTCCTGTTGGTTACTGGGATATAAGTTCTCTCTCAATAACTGCCCACAATCTCAGCCCAAAACGGCAGCTTGCTGAAGTGGAAACTCCAGAAGCCGAAGTGTGTGGAGTGGACCACATAGAAATGGGAAAATAAAATTAAGCCAGATACAAATTTCCTAAGTTAGAACATTTGACATGACACTCAGAGCAATTAACAAATGTATACCCTCACAAGTGAGTCAGAATTCAAATTTTTGCCACGTGGAGGAAAATGATAACATGTATGGATTAAACAAAAAGCAGCAAGAAACAACAAAAGGAGGACAGCAAGAACAAACGCGACAAGTATATGACGTTGTTCACTAACAAGAACTTAAGATAAACAAAGTGAAGAGCAGAAAGCTAATCACTATGGTTAATACTAGAAAAAAAGGGAGTATTTTCTCTTGCCGTCACCTGTGCCCCAATGCTTGGGAAGATGCTTATGGGCTAAACACCACAGAATCCCCAGCATCTTCCTGCAGCCTACTGGAGCTGCAATTGCAACTATATGTCTAATACTATAGTCATGTAGGAGAGTTTAGTCTTCAATTGGAGTTTCTCATTTCAAAATGTATGGAACAGAGTTTTACTCAGTAATAAACTATTTGTGAAGACAGTACATTGAGTATTAAACAGACCTATCCACCCTTACCCTTTTGCTTTTGTTTTTAGAGCAAGACTGTTTTTTTTTAGAAGATACATCTTGTTTTCTTTTTATACCGGTTGCATTTGAATTTATTGTTACATTTCATGAAAAATATAACACATCAACATTCTGCTTTCTAGAACTTCTTAGTTATTTGACCATCTCTTCTGAGACTTTTTGGGAGTCTAGTGACCCATTAGCCTTTCTGGAACAGTGAGCTTTGAAGGAGGAGAGAGAAGGAATGTCTAACATGAGAAAGGGGCTGTGTTCAATAAAAGACTGTTACTGTTATTTCTGATATATGCATAGTACTGTTTAGTCTGGCCTATTTTTCTAACTTTTTATATCACTTATGGTGATTTTCTCTAAGTGTTAAATTAGATAAAATTAAAATTAAAAAATCCCAGTTGTTTCTTTTAGGGTTATGAATCAATCAGTGGGATCTGCAAATATCTGAGACCTAATTGTAACAAAAGGGCCACAGCTGGTTATTTCTACTAAATTTATTTCTGTCCTTTGACCAAATTAGACTACATTTTTAGTCATCATCGTATTTAGGTATGACTATGTGACTGAGTTCTAGACTGTTGAATGTGGATGAAAATGACACATGACATTTGTACGTTCGGGGCACAAAAAGCCTCAAGCATAATTTTCTGTTTTTTAAATGTCCTATTTGCTGGAAAGATTTGGCATATAACAGAGGACTGGAGGAACCTAGAAGAAGTTAGAGCCACAATACAGAGAAGCATGAGCTGCTATATCACTTATGGATGGCTGCCTGCAAAACACCAACACTGAGAAATGTAATATGTAAAGCCACAGAGATTGCTTGTTTGTCTCAGTTCTTCTATTCTTACCAAAAGTGGTTCATATTTTTCCTCCCAGTACTCCTGGGGCCCATAAGAATCACAATATTGTCTAGCCACTTGATTTTAATGCTTAGGCACAGTCAATGGCATGTGAGAATTGTTTCCAAATTTATGACCTGCAGGATATTGGTTTCCTATGAGCCCACTGAACACCACAAGGGGGCAGAGTTGCCTAAGCCCATCAATTAGCTAAACAAAATTTGCAACTATGACCCATTCAAGATTAGGCTTCTCTCTGGTGATGTGAACTCTTGTTTCTTTATTTCAGATATGTAGCAGCTTGGTGTAAAATGTTTGATATAGGGATATATTCATTGATGTCCTTGCTTCTTCTATTTGTTATTCAAAATTTAGGAACAAAAAAAATTCAGATAGCAAGTATACCTTATTACTACTGGACTCTATATTTCTATTTCTCATTATATAGATATGCATGTATCATTTTATATACTTATGTAGATATATAGAAAATACATATTTGCATAAGTATAAACAAAGATATAAATATACATATGCTGTTTATTTTTACAAAGTCAATGACTGTAGGTAAAAACGGCACTGTTAAGTAATTTAAACTTCCCCAACTTCTGAATACATTGTTTTCAAAAAAGTTTTAAATTACATATGTTCACAGATGTATGTATATTAAAGATTTACAAAGTCTAGGCCTTCCCTTAGCTTTGATGAGGCACTTTTTAAAGTGTGCTAATTGGAATTAGAATTTGTACAAAGCTACTACTCAATGTAGTTGTACCTGCAGAAGCATCTGACCCAAGTCACCAGTGATTTGAATTGTAGATCAGTGACTGAAATTGCAGTACTCCAACATTATGTAACACAAGTTCTGACCCACCTAGACCTAGTTAAGTATTAAAAATTTTGTATGACAAGGTGATAGCAACCACAAAACTGATAATTATAGAGAGGCAAATGTAGAAGTGAGGAGTAGAAAAGACAGGAGTGAGAAAAGAGAAGAGGGAAGAAATGGGGGAGGAAGAGGAGAGGAAGGAGAAGAGGGGAAATATATAAAAAGAAGAGGCAGAAGAAGTAGGAGGAGGCTGAAAAGGAGCAGGAGAAAAAGAGGAAGAGAAGGAGGAGAAAGAAGAGGGTAAAATAAAAAAGAAAAAGGAGGAAAAGGAGAAGCTAATGGCAGTGGCAGCACAGAAGAAGTAGGAGGAGGTGAAAAAGGAAGGAGAAATTTTCACCCAAAGGTGAGATAGAATACATGGTTTTCTGAGCAGTGCTTAGATACAGCATAAGTAAAGAGAAGCATATGGGGAAATAATATATCAAAATATTAACAAGTATGTTTTATTTTTAACTTCCTTGTATGTATCCTTTATTAATTAAAATGTTTTTGCTTCTGCAGGATTTGCATCACTAATATGGAAATACAAAGCAAAAGAAATGTCAGTATTACACTTTTATCTATAAAAATAACTTTTTCAGACTGGGGAGATAGATACACAGAAAGAGGTATCTCACTATATATATATTTCATTATGTATATACCCTATAAGTAAAATTGTATATATGTAAAGTATATATAGATAAATATACATACATAAATAAAATTTTAATTCATAATTCTCACACTGTTAAAAGAACAAGTGTTAACAGATAGTACATTTTTAGAGGCTTACTATTAAAAGAGCATTGAGTATGCTTTTCAGACAAAATTGGCAGAATTTAGAATTCTGTATATTTCATTCTTTGTCAACATGTTACATTTTTGTAAGGCAGAATGATTTGCAAACATTAAGAAAAATTGCCTAAAAAATGCCTGAAATAATTTTAGTTTTTATTTTTTTTTCTTATTTTGTTACAGCATTTTTGGTGTAGGGGTAATAATTCCACTTCTCTTCCATTTTTCTGCTCACCAACTTCTTATAGTGGGTCAGATATCAATGGTACAATAAAAGCTTGACTGAAAAATATAAAATAAGGGCCACTTTGAATCAATTTAGCACTAAACATGGTGGGTACTATAAATGGCTAAGTGGGAGTTGGGAGAATACACGATCCAAGAAGACATCACAAACCCTCCTTTAGCCCTCTGTTCTAGGTGTGTATGAGAAAAAGAGTTTCTAGGAAGACTACAGTCTTGAATCGTATTGTAATTTGTTACAACAAACTTTAATTTTTTTCATTGTTCTTTTTTTCAGGAAATTAGTAAACCTTTCTAAGTTACTTCTGTACCTGTTTTTTTTCTGTTGTTTCTATCTTTTGAGAAAAACAAAAATTGTGAAAGAGTTAGACATGGCAAAACATTATCAGGTTATTTGATTCTATGAAGGTCTGCATCCTTCATGGTCATCAAACTATTTTACAACTTGATATATTCTGGAATTTTGATAGTAATATAAATAATTAACTTTCAGAGAAAGTAAAATTAATGTTGTCGAAAGGAAGTATAATTTATTCTTACCCTCTTCTGTGAATGATGGCAGTTTTGTATGTATTAAATTCATTTCAGCATTCTTCATTGCCTATATATTAATATAATCAGATTATTTTTGATGCCTTTCTAGTTCCCTCATTCTTGAATTAGTTAAATAAAGTATTTGACCTGTGTTCACATTTTATATTTATACAAAAGTTACATTTTTTCCTCTGTTGAATTATCTTTTTACTGTGTCTTATGATCTAGAAAAGATCATCTCTATCAAGGTTGGAGGGGAAATGGCCTTAGGATGGTGAGATTAAAATTTTAACATCTTCAATGTGTCTGATTTTCAAATTAGACTCATTATTCTGAGCTGTCTGTGATGGCTAATTTTATGTGTCAACTTGACTGAGCTAAAGGATGCCCGAATAGTTGGTAAATTATTATTTCTGGGTCTGTCTCTCAGTATGTTTCCAGAAGAGATTAGCATTTGAATCAGTAGACTGAGTGAAAAAAGATATCTTTCACCAATGTGGGTGAGCATTATCCAATCTTTGTAGGGCCTGAATAGAATAAAACATGGAGAAAAGGTGAAATTTCTCTCTCTCTTTGAGCTGGGACATCTTCTGCCCTTGGACATAAGAGATCCTGGTTCCTGGATCTTCAGACTCTGAGACTTACACCAGCAGTTTCCTATTTTCTTACGCCTTCAGACTAATTATATCATCAGTTTCCCTGGTTTTCCAGCTTGCAGACAGCATAGAAGGGGATTTCTTGAACTAGATAATAATGTAATGCAATTCCCATAATAAATCTCCTCTTAAAATATAAAAATGTATACATTACATGCCTGTATCAAAATATCTCACATACCCTATAAATATATACACCTACTATGTACCCACAAAAATTAAAAATAAATAAACATATGTATATATTTCCTGTTACCTCTGTTTCTCAGGAGAATCCTGACTAATACACTATAAAGTCAGGAACACTTCTCCAAGAACTGTTAACTGAAAACCAAGAGACATATGTTCAGACGAATATTGTTTTATTTAATAAATATCAAGATTAAATAATGTATTGAATTAGTATTATATTATTAGTACAATAAAATTGATATTTTAAAACAAATGACGTCAATTTCATTGAAAAATTGATTTTAGAAGGTATATTTGACCATTGAAATTAGTCACCACATTCTGTGATTTGTAATTTTCTCAATGTTTTATTAATAATTTATACTTACATGTGTTTATAATTTCCTGAACTGTTCTCACAGAGGTGCTTTATTGCATCAGCTTGAGATAATCTGTCTTTCCAAAAATTTTTACAATAAACTAATATTTTAAAACCATTTCTTTACACAATTAATGTCCCCAATGGTGCAATGTTGAAAATCCACATCTTTTTGCATCAGTTAACACAGGGCTTCTTCCAAGATAGGTACATTTGTATCTGTATTTATTCCACATTGTACATACTTTCTATTGTCTTGTCTGTTACATTATTATAATTTATTTTCAGGATTATTTCCTACTACACTGTTAACTCTTTAAAGGTAAGGGCTGTGAATTTTCTTTGTAACATGACTTCTCAGGAGAGTGGTTGACACAAAATAGACACTAATAATTTTTGAAGCTGGTTCCTTTGGGGATATGGTATTGTTTGTGACACACCAGAGTGTTACATCTTCTGAATGAAGTGCTAAGAGTTTTAATTCACTGTTCTCCCAAAATCAGTCCTTCAGGTTTCATTGAGATTTTACCTTCACTTTTCTTTTTGAAGTATCAAAATTTGCTAAGAAAATTATGAGATTAAACTAAATATTTTATAGGCTGTAACATCAGGATATTTTTCTTTAAGCTAGTATTAGACTAAGGGCTGAGTATATATAAAATACTGTAGTGGAACAATTTACTACATACTACCAAGTGCATATTCAATATAAAAGCTGGCAAAACACTTTCATGTATAGAACTATTTAAGAAAAAATTATATCCCAGGAATATGTATTTATTGTTTAAGTCTCAAGTTTTTACATATGCAAGAAGTATCTAGGTCTGCAGTGACCTTTTATATGTTGTTTATTGGTATTACTACTATTATTTTATTATTATTACTTTTAATTTTTAGTCTAAATGCATTAATTATATATAGAAAAAATAAGATACCCATTTAGCAACCATGCATCTCAAGCCTCAATAATTTCCTCTATTTGCTTCATAGAATCACATATTCATATATATATATATATATATATATATATATATATATATATATACACACACAATGTAAGGCACACATCCCAAATAATATTAATTTGTACTATTTTCTCCTCACTTAATTAAATCTCTTCTTTTCTCCTTTATTCCAACTGCTTCTACATCTGCCAAGTGTTTTAACTTCATAAAATTAGCATTTTTCTACATTTTTACTATCTCCATATAGATACATATTTTACAACATTTCTTAATGTTTTAAGCTTTGTATCTGATATCATATTTCATATATCCTTTTGCAATTTTTTCCAGTTAGACTCGTTTTGAGGTGTATCCATGTTGTTCCACGTAGTGAAGTTTTTTTTAAATATTCATTTTAGCTGATTCTACCAGTTTAATTTTTTATTCTTCTGTTTATTGACACTTAACCTAGTCTTTTAAAATTTTTGAGATCAATACTGTAGTGAACATTCATGGGCATATCTCTTTATACATATGCATGAACATTTCTCAGTGTTATCAAGTTGGGAGTGAAAAAATTGTGTTACAGAATGTGTACATCTTCAACTTTATTTAAGGTGTCCTATAAGGTTTTATATGTTGCTTCAGTATTTGGCGATTTTTTTCTATTGGCCCAGATTTTAGTTTACCTTAAAATAATTTTTTGCTATCTGCTTTTTCACAACAAATATAGTATTTATGTGATTTCCAGGGGAGTAATGAATGTCTTACATTTTCTCCCTTTAGCATAATTCTGCTGTTTTATTGAATTAAAATTAAAAACATGATGTATTATTTTGAAATTACTCTACTTAATAAATGTAAATTAGTATGACTGCATTACAAGAAATATATATCTTTGGGCCAGGCACGGTGGCTCATGTCTATAAAATCCCAGCACTTTAGGAGGCCGAGGTGGGCAGATCACTTGATGTCAGGAGTTTGAAATCAGTCTGACTAATGTGGTGAAACCCCATCTCTACTAAAAATACCAACTTAGCTGGGTGTGGTGGAGTGCACCTGTATTCCCAGCTACTTGGGAGGCTGAGGTAGGAGAATCGCTTGAACCTGGGAGGCGGAGGTTGCAGTGAGCTGAGATAGCACCATTTCACTCCAGCCTGGGCAAAAGAGTGAGACTCTATCTCCAGAAAAAAAAAAAAGAAAGAAATACATATCTTTGGCTTTCTCAATTCATAGTGGGATATCTTCCTTACTTCTACCAATATATTTATTGGTAGAAGTAACCATATTAGAGATCTGTTTTTCTAACATAATTTTGAAAAAGAATGAGTAGTAAACACTGATTTTATTTAGGAAAAACGAAATTAAATAGTGAGTGATCCTAACATGGCTGATAATATCAGTTTAGCCACAAAAATGGAAGAAGAATTGGATATACAAATATTTCAAGTCAGAATTATTAAAGACTGAAATAACAAAGTCATTGAACATTAAAGGTGGAATTTAGAAACATTTCTCAGTTACATTAAATGGTATTGATGGCTAATTCAATGGATAAGAAATGTATAATTTTGATGTTATTGTTGAATTTTTCTCTGAGAACAAACACTACAGTTAGTCATTTTGAAAAAGGTATCTGAGACTACAAAGAAAGAGAAAGGCTCCGTTTAACATTTTAATGTTTTAGACATGAAGTCCTTGCCCATGTCTATGTCCTGAATGGTAATGCCTAGGTTTTCTTCTAGGGATTTTATGGCTTTAGGTCTAACGTTTAAGTCTTTAATCCATCTTGAATTAATTTTTGTATAAGGTGTAAGGAAGGGATCCAGTTTCAGCTTTCTACATATGGCTAGCCAGTTTTCCCAGCACCATTTATTAAATAGGGATCTAAAACACCAAAAGCAATGGCAACAAAAGCCAAAATTGACAAATGGGATCTAATTAAACTAAAGAGCTTCTGCATGGCAAAAGAAACTACCATCAGAGTGAACAGGCAACCTACAAAATGGGAGAAAATTTTCACAACCTACTCATCTGACAAAGGGCTAACATCCAGAATCTACAATGAACTCAAACAAATTTACAAGAAAAAAACAAATAACCCTATCAAAAAGTGGGCAAAGAACATGAACAGACACTTCTCAAAAGAAGACATTTATGCAGCCAAAAAACACATGAAAAAATGCTCACCATCACTGGCCATCAGAGAAATGCAAATCAAAACCACAATGAGATACCATCTCACACCAGTTAGAATGGCAATCATTAAAAAGTCAGGAAACAACAGGTGCTGGAGAGGATGTGGAGAAATAGGAAGACTTTTACACAGTTGGTGGGACTGTAAACTAGTTCAACCATTGTGGAAGACAGTGTGGCGATTCCTCAGGGATCTAGAACTAGAAATACCATTTGACCCCACCATCCCATTACTGGGTATATACCCAAAGGACTATAAATCATGCTGCTATAAAGACACATGCACACGTATGTTTATTGCAGCACTATTCACAATAGCAAAGACTTGGAACCAACCCAAATGTCCGACAATGATAGACTGGATTAAGAAAATGTGGCACATGTACACCATGGAATACTATGCAGCCATAAAAAAGGATGAGTTCATGTCCTTTGTAGGGACATGGATGAAATTGGAAATCATCATTCTCAGTAAACTATCACAAGAACAAAAAACCAAACACCACATATTCTCACTCATAGGTGGGAATTGAACAATGAGAACGCATGGACACAGGAAGGGGAACATCACACTCTGGGGACTGTTTTGGGATGGGGGAAGGGGGGAGGGATAGCTTTAGGAGATATACCTAATGCTAAAAGACGAATTAATGGGTGCAGCACACCAGCATGGCACATGTATACATATGTAACTAACCTGCACATTGTGCATATGTACCCTAAAACTTAAAGTATAATAATAATAATAATAAACATTTTAATGTTTAGAATAAAAACTGATTTCAATCTTTAGGTAACTAATTTTTTAAATGAAAAAGAGTGGATACTGGGAGGATCAGCAGAGTTACCCAACAGAGCTCAGTCCTGACTGCAGGTGTATGAGCAAATAAAATGTTTCCTAGACTCAATCAAGGGCCTCAGTTTTACATTGGTTTGTTATTTAGTAATATATCACTAAACCAAAATCCAAGTGATAATGTCTAGAAATTAAGGTTTGCTGCTAAAACAGAGTTAAGACCAGGGATCCAGATTAGGAAGAAACCAGCATTTAGAGAGGAGCTGATTCCATTTTAGGAGATAAAATGAGCAAGGGAAGTATTCAGAAAAAAAATAAGTTCTAATGGCAGAAAGATAAACTTTCCCAACTTTTAAGATTTAAGTAGATATGGAAGATCCACCAAAATACATTGAGCACTGTCAATAATTTTAAGTTATGAAAACCTACATAAAAATTGGGTTGATTGTGTAATAGTGAATTATGATAAATATTTAATTGAATAAAGGTCAAACAGAATTTTTGTTTGCAGAGCTACTGATTTTGCAGTGAGGAGGTCATCAGGGCCTCCTGAAGTAGCAATTTTAATGAAGTGTACGAGCAGCATGCTTCTTATGCCAGGTTGAGTGGGAACGGGAGAAACAAAGTGGAAATAAATTGTGTGTGTATCTACGTATGTGTTTTGGATAGAAATTGATCACATTTTAGATTGACAGTAAAGAAATAGAAGAAAACTAAATGAATAGAAATTTCAGGAAAGATAAGGGAGGTCAAAGTGAATAACTGATTAATTATGAGCATATGATTGTTCTTACCTTGGAGAGGAGGAAAGGAGAAAACTCTTTTCTAGGAGACAAGAGAAGACTTTTAGAAGTGATGACTACATACACATGCTATTTGAAAAGAAGTGCGATAAATGTTAGTTTGCTAATAGATTTACTGTCATGTACTTTACAACCAACATCCTGTAGGTCAGAAATCTGGTATACGTCTTAATAATTTAAACTCAAAGTGCCAACACAGTGCGTTCCTTTCTGGAGGCTCTAGGGGAAAATACATTTCCTTGACTTCTAGATACCTCTTACATTCCTTGGCTCATGGCCATCTTCCTTCATCTTTAATGCCAAGAACAACAAACTGTTCTTTTTCACATCATGTCTCTGATGTCTCTTACATGGACACATCTCTTTCTCTGACCCAGCTGGGAAGGGTTCTCAGCTATTAAGAACTTGTGATTAGACAGGGCTCACCCCAGTAGTACAGATTAATCTTTCCATGTCAAAGTCTTTAATTTAATCACATCTGCAAGGAATTTTTTAGCCAGAGAAGTAACAAATTCATAGGTTCTTGGGATTAAAACATATATATCTTTGGAGAGCCCTTAGTCTGTCTACCACATATCCTTTCTTGATAATAGGTTAGCTTTGTGGTATGTCTTTTGTCAACAGCATATAAAAAGGAGTTACAGTGTAACACTTCTAGGAAAGTTCTTTAACAGGAAAAATAGACTCTAAGGTTTCATATGCCCTTTCTGCTTGATTCTGCACCATCTTGCTTTCTGAAACATGACCAAATAAGCTAAGCCTCTGAGAAGAGGTAAATAAATGCTGCAAAAGAGAAAGCTAGAAGTTACTATTCATTCTCCAAGTTGTCTACATCTGAACCTTTTTATATAAAAGAAAAATATTTAAGTTATTATTTTATTAGACTTGTCTTAATAGCTTTTTGAAAAAATTTCTAACCAATATGCTTTATCAGAATGAAGCTGAGTTGGTCATTATAAAAGAGAAAGACCTATGTTGATTGCAAAATGGGTTTTATTTTAATGACTGAATTAGATTATCCATTCAGTAAACTTATTCCTCGGTAGCACACAGACTTTTACCAGTTGAACTGACAAACTATACAGATATGGACGAGCTATCTAGAACTACAATGCAGAGTTGATGTTCTATTAATAGCTTAAGTGTAATTAAGCCAACAGTTAGACATCAATATAAATGTCAGTATTATAAAAAAGTAGATTTTGCTGCTAGGACAATATGGTAATAAATTTAATTAGAATTGTAATTGCTTTTTGAATCAGCAAATCTTAACTGCCATAAAGAAATACTAGCATTTTAAATTTGTCACATATACACTCAATTTTATATCTCACTTTAAAAATATTATATTTTCATGTAGAATATCCAATAAATTGCCTAGTATGAGACAACACTGATAATACCAAAGGAAGTAAAAGATCTTTGAGAGCTTAAAATAAAAGCTAAAAATATTCCTTTTAGGTTAATCAAAGCATCAGCTATCTTTACATCGTTCTTTCTGCGTGATCCTCTCGGATTACAACAATCTAAAGTTTTACATTTATGTTTCACTGCGGATTGTTTCATATTTTAAAAAGAAGCAAAGTTACATAGTCGTTGGTTGAACCAAATTATTTTCTAATACTAATGGAGGAATTAAGATTATTAAATCAACCAATCACATATTGTTTGAGCTTATTTTTCACATTTTTAGAGAAGTGCATTTTTGCTTACTTTAGATATGAAGTCAATTCCTAGTAGTATGTGCTCTGTGAACCATTTCTGATAAGTACAGTACTATGTCAGTTCTATTCTTCATATTAGGTTTTGCTACATTGCACACACAATTAATATTATCTGTCCTGATAATATTGGTCTAGTAGCATCTTATTTTGTTATGCATTAATGAATAGGTAATTCAGTTTGTGGCTTAGTCTGTTCACCCATTCTTATTTATCTCTTTTACAAATGAAATGTGTAAGTATTAGATGCTGTATTAATATCATGTAACACACTAAGCACATTCTTAAGAATATGACCGATTTTGTGTTCTTTACTTTTTCAAAAATAATATCAAAATTGTGCCTAAATTATTTTTTTAATGCTGCTGTAGTGGATTGAATGATGTCCCAACCCCCAAACTAAAGATGTGTATACAACCAAATACTTGGAATCTGTGAAAGTCAACTTATTTGGAAAAAAAAATTAACAACATACAGAAAATGAAAAGCAATTAAAAACAAAAACAAAACAACAACAACAAAAACACCAAGAAACAGAGGAGAAGATACTGTGAAAATAGAAGCATACGTTGCATTATGCATGTTCAAGCTAAAAAATACCAAGTATTGCCACTAGCCACCAGAGTCTATGAGAGATTCCTTGAGCAGATTCTTCTCCAGAGCTTCTAGAGGGAACATATTCCTGCCAACAAGTTGATTCTGGAATCCTGATCTCCAAAAGAGTAAGACAATAATTTTCTATTGTTTTAATTCATTTAGTTTGTGGTGATTTATTACAGCAGCCACAAAAAATAATGATACGGCTATCATTTGCCAATTATTTTTAATTCTTAAGTACTATTGTTCACTTTATAGTTTTTAAAATCAATTTGCTAAAACTAATATTTGGTTTCATTTTACTAACTAAAAATTGTATATAAAGATTGTCTTAAATTTAGAGGAAATGTAGAGGATTTAATATATACCCTTTATTCCAGTCCCTTGGACCTCCCACTATAATGAAAATAAAGTGTTTTATATATTTCTACCCACAAGGATCAAGAGAATGGGAGACAAAACCTACCATTTGCAACAACATGGATGGAACTGAAGGACATTACATTAAGTGAAATAACCCAGGCTCATAAAACCAAACTTTGCATATTCTCACTTATTTATGGGAGCTAATAATTAAAACAATTGAATTCATAGATAAAAGGAGTAGAATGGTTACCAGAGGATAGGATGGGTAGTGGTGGTGGGGTGGGATGGGGTGAGGTGGAAGTGAGAATGGTTAATGGGTACAAATGGGTAGTTCAATAGAACGAATAAGATCTGGTGGTTGATTGTAGAGTAGGGCGACTACAGTCAACAGTAATTTACTATGCATTTTAAAACATTATACATTTATAATAACTAAAAGAGTATAATTGGAATGTTTGTAATACAAATAAATGGCAAATGCTTGAGGTGATGAATACCCCATTTACACTGATGTGATTATTATGCCTTATATGCCTCTATCAAAATACATCATATTCCTCATAAATAATATGCCTATTATGTACCCATAACATTTTACTTAAAAGAAAACACACTTTGGAAATCGTAAAGCACAATAAAAATAAGCATCATTGAATTAGTAGACAAGAGAAAATTGAATCCTAGTTCAGCAGTGAGGACATTGAAAAGCAACCTGAATCTTAAGGGAAAATGAACCACAAATACAGAAGATTGGTATAATGTCTGTTTAGAAACATGATCGAATTCCCCTCCTCAATCCCTGAGATCCTTTTCCCTACTCTGGAGAGTATGGCAACTGTCCCTGCATTCAAATGCATGCATGCACACTAGCAGAAGACTAGAGATTTATTCTCTGAAGGAAGAAAAACAGAAATTGTCTTTACTAGACATATCTAAGCCTTACAGGAGGAGGAGTTTCTACAGTAAATTAAAGAATTTGTGGAAAAATTTATTGACTAAATATTGTGACTGCTGATCTTTATTCTCGGCAAGCTGAATAGTATTCTCTAAGAAGAGTATAGAAAATTCAACTCTGGGGATTGGGCCAAATAAAGAATAAAGATCTGAAAATACTGGCAGCAGTGATACTCCATCAGAATAGCCCAACTGGTACATTCCACAGTGAAACCAATAGTCAATAAACCAATCCTCTCCATACACAGGTGCTTTACTCAGTTTCTAGTGTTCCCTTCTTTAATATGAGAAGACAGCTCATAATAATGACATACTGAGGAACACTTCTAGTGAGAAAGACAAAAATCAAAGCATTATTTAAAAATAAGCAATTTGTGGTGAAATAAAACCATACAGGGAGAATGACACTATATATCCTAGTAACACTTATATCCAAAGAAAAATAAAAAGATATTATAAGTATTCAAAATATTATAAAATTAATTTTAAAAATGAACATAGAACAAGAAAGCAATTTTGGTAATTAAAACTTTCTTAACAAAAATGAGAATCTCTATAGAGTTGAAAAATAAATCTGAGAATGAACTCCCTTAAATCATGCACATGTTCATAAACACACACACATACAGAGAGAAAGAAAAATGAAAAAAAATTTAAACGTAGAAACATTAGTGATTTGGGTCTGACATCTAACCCAAAAATCCTGGGGATCCAGGAAGAAAGAACAGAAAAAGAGAGAAAAGAAAATCATTGAATAAATAATTAAATATATCTCATAGAATTGTGAAATGTAGATTTACAGATTTAAAGCATTCAATGGATTGCCAAGCACAGTGATTAAAAGTAGGCTAATACCAACTTATATTAGCAACAATTTTCAGAATTTGGGGAATAAAAAATGCTAAAATATTAAATTGAAGAAGACCATGTGAAATAATCAATAATCAACAAGTCACTGAATTTTTCAGAGATAATACTGAAAGCAAGGAGATAATGGAACAAAGACTTAAACATTAGAATGTTATTTCTAACCTAGAATTCTATTTCCAGCTGCATTATCATTTCCATTCAAGTAGAATACAACTACTATCTTACATATGACATCTCAAAAGCTTTACCAGCATGAATCCTTTTCAAGAGTGCTGATTTTGGAGCGTATTAGTCTGTTCTCATGCTGCTAATAAAGACATACCGTGACTGGGTAATTTATAAAGGAAAGAAGTTTATTTGACTCATAGGATGGCTGGGGAGGCCTCAGGAAACTTACACTTATGGCGGAAGGGGCAACAAACACATCCTTCTTCACATGGTTGCAGGAAGGAGAAGAATAAGCAGAAGAGGGGAAATCCCCATATGAAACCATCAGATTTCATGAGAACTCACTCACTATCATGAGAACAGCATGACCACCCACATGGTTCAATATCCACCCACTGGGTCCCTCCCATGACATGTGAGGGTTATTGGAAATACAGTTCAAGTTGGTATTTGGGTGAGGACAGAGCCAAACAATATCATTCTACTCCTGGCTCCTCTCAAATCTAATGTCCTAAAATTTCAAAACACAATCATACCTTTCCAAAAGTCCCCAAAGTCTTAATTCATTTCTGCATTAACCTGAAAGTCCAAGTGCAAAATTTTATCTGAGATGAGGCAAGTGCCTTCTACCTATGAGCTTGTAAAATCAAAAGTAAGTTATTTAGTTTCTAAATACAATGAGGGTACAGGTATTGGTTAAATACACCTGTTCCAAATGGGAGAAATCTGCCAAAACAAAGGTGCTATAGGCTCCATGCAAGTCCGAAATCCAACAAGGCAGTACTTAAATCTTAAAGCTCCAAACTAATCTCCTTTGACTCAGTTCCTTACATCCAGGTCACACTGATGCAAGGGGTGGGCTCTCATGGCCTAGGGCAGCGCCACCCCTGTGGCTTTGCAGGGTACAGTCACCCTCCTGTCTGCTCTCACAGACTGGCATTGAGTGCCTGTGGCTTTTCCAGGTACATGGTGAAAGATGTCAGTGGATCAACCATTCTGGGGTCTGGAAGATGATGGCCCTCTTTCACTGCTCCACCAGGCAGTGCCCCAGTGAGGGACTCTCTGTGGGGGATCCGACCCCACATATGCCTTCCACGGTCCCCTAGTAGAGGTTCTCCATGAGGGCTCTGCCCCTGCAGCAAACTTCTGCCTGACATCCATGCATTTCTTTACATCCTCTGAAATCTAGGCAGAGGTTCCCAAACCTCAATTCTTGACTTTTGCGCATGCAAAGGTCCAACACCATGTGTAAGCCACCAAGGCTTGGGGCTTATAGCCTCTGAATCAATGGCCTGAGCTGTAAGTTGGCCCCTTTTAGCCATGGCTGGAGGTGAAACATCTGGATGCAGGGCACCATGTGCTGAGGCTGCGTAGAGAAGAAGGGCCCTGGGCCCAGCCCAGGAAATCATTTTTCCCTTTTAGGCCTCCAGTCCTTTGATGGGAAGGCTGCCGTGAAGGTTTCTGACATGACCTGGAGATATTTTTCCCATAGTCTTGGAGATTAACATTCTGCTCCTTGTTACTTAGGCAAATTTCTGAAGCAGGCTTCAATTCGTCCCCAGAAAATGGGGTTTTATTTTCTGTCACATCATTAGGCTGCAAATTATCTAAACTTTTATGCTCTGCTTTCTCATGAATGCTTTGCCACTTAGAAATTTTCTTCACCAGATACCCTAAATCATCTCTCTCAAGTTCAAAGTTCAACAGATCTCTAGGGCAGGGACAAAATGCCACCAGTCTCTTTGCATAGCAAGAGTCACCTCACTGCAGTTCCCAAAACAGTCCTCATCTCCATCTGAGGCCACCTCAGCCTGGACTATATTGTCTATATCACTATCAGCATTGTGGTCAAAGCCATTTACCAGTCACTAGGAAGTTCCAAACTTTCTCACATCTTCCTGTCTTCTGAGCCCTGCAAGTAACTAGAAAGTTCCAAACTTTCCTACATTTTCCTGTCTTCTTCTGAGCCCTCCAAACTATTACAACTTCTGTCTGTTACCCAGTTCTGAAAGTTGCTTCCACATTTTCAGGTATCTTTACAGCAGCTCCCTACTGCATAGTACCAGTTTACTGTACTAGTTTATTCCCATGCTGCTAATAAAGACATACCCAATACTGGGTAATTCATAAAGAAAAGAGGTTTAATTGACTCAAAGTTCAGCGTACCTGGGGAGGCCTCAGGAAACTTACAATCATGGCAGAAGGGGAAACAAACACATACTTCTTCATGTGGTTGCAGGAAGGAGAAGAATGAGTGAAAGGTGGAAAAAAACCCTTATAAAACCATCGGATCTCAAGAGAACTCACTCGCTATCACGAGAACAGCATGGAGGTCCCCACCACCAGGATTCAATTACCTCCTACCAGGTACCTCCCATGACATGTGGAAATTGTGGGAACTGCAATTCAAGATGAGATTTGGTTGGGTACATAGCCAAACCATGTCATGAAGATACTCCCAAAAATTAGAGGGTAAATGAAAAGAGGATGACATAGGATTCAGAATATAAGAGAGGTATTAAAATGTTCCCTGGGATAAAGTTTAAGAAAAAAGTTAGATGA
This sequence comes from Homo sapiens, assembly GCF_000001405.40. Taxonomy (NCBI): domain Eukaryota; kingdom Metazoa; phylum Chordata; class Mammalia; order Primates; family Hominidae; genus Homo; species Homo sapiens. The sequence continues at coordinate 105,778,295 of NC_000001.11, read as the reverse complement.
CAGCTATGAAACAGAAAGTATATATTTTTAGTATATTTCAGATTGTACCTGGTCCAAAAAAATGATATGGACAAATGCCTTTTGCATTTCAACATGTTGAATGTAGATTTTAATAATTCCATGGGAAAAGTATTTGTGATTGAACTTACAATAATTACATTAAAGACTAAGCAAATGCAAAATAAGGCATCTATTAATTTTAGGGGAAAACAGGTTGATCAAGAAATGTTTAGATAGCTGAATACAATGGGGCTGGGTTGAAAATGACATGTATGTAGTCTTAATGCAAACAATAAATAATATTCAATATAAAATAATGAAATATGAACAAATATAAAATAATACACAAATAAAAACATAAAGTAACAACTTTTAATTTATGGGCTATTAATACTATATAAGTGTGTGTGAATGTGGATGTGTGACTATGAATGTGTCTGATGGATGTGGTGATGCAGTGCAATATATCACACAGATAAACACTTATCCTCCATGGCAGGACATTAAAACATTTGTAAAGCTGATAGTTTTAAGAAGCTGTTGTATGATCATTTTGTTTAAATTCAAGAGGTAAAGCAAAAGGAAACCAACAACAGATAAAAAAGTGGCGAGTACCTGGCTCTGAGACATCAAAATGGACCTATGTGGGGCACAGTAGGTGTTTTATACTGTGTGTGGAGAACGTACTCTAAGGTGACCCATCTCCTTGCATTCATGATCTTGAGTAATCTCCTCCCCTGAGTATGAGCAAGGTGTGTGACTTGCTTATGACCAGTACAATGAAAGTTATGGGAATGCCAGTTTTATGATGTTACCTAAGATTAAACCTGTGTTGGGCCGGGCACGGTGGCTCATGCCTGTAATCCCAGCACTTTGGGAGGCCGAGGTGGGCAGATCACAAGGTCAGGAGATCGAGATCATCCTGGCTAACACGGTGAAACCCCGTCTCTAATAAAAATACAAAAAATTAGCTGGCCGTGGTGGCGGGTGCCTGTAGTCTCAGCTACACGGGAGGCTGAGGCAGGAGAATGGCATGAACTTGGGAGGCGGAGCTTTCAGTGAGCCGAGATTGTGTCACTGCACTTCAGCCTGGGAGAGCGAGACTCCTGCCCCACAGAAACTGTAAGATAATAAATGTGCTTTACTTTGAGTCATCAAAATTGTGGTGATATTACAAAACAAAAAAAATAATAATTCACTAGGCCTCAGTGAATAATTTGATGTTTAAATAATGTGCATAAAGGACTTCGATAAAAATAAAAACTAAAAGTAAAGAAGGCACAACTTTTTAATACAAATGGCATGGTGTACAACCTCCCAGATACCTTTGGATATGGTTTCCTTAGATTACATTTTGAGCCAAGGTGTCAAAGACTAGTCAGGGCAGCCTAATAAGGATGGAAATAACAATTCATGTAGAGGAGTTATGGGTTTACATTATAGTATTTACTTATGTCTTTCCCAGTCTCCTTATTGCAGCTATAAATAAATAAGTTTCTGTTCCATTCATGGGTATTTTTTATGACATGTAGAACTAGCATTATTATCTTAATTATTCTAACAGTGATCATTCCAAAGGCTATTTATTTCTTAATGTGGGAATTACAAAGGCAAACTTTCCTCTGCCTATCTCGGCTTATTTCAAAAGCAATTATTTTGAACTTTATTTTTACAAAGTTTATACCTCCTGAAGATCAAAGAAAAGAAAAAGACAGAAAAGGAAGCTTTTCTAGCACAGAGTTTAAACCAATTAGTAAGCAGGAAAATCAACAATTAGCTAACAAAAATTTACTAAGTGCCCAATAAAGATCACGCATTGCTATACAGTCTTAAGGTGAACAAAACAAAACTGACAGAAGGACTTGTTTTTATGGAGCTTTTCTTCTCTCTTATTGATTAAACTAAAATAAAAAATACTATGAAAAATATGTTGTGAATCTCACACAAAGAAAATATTAAGTCAAAAACACAAATTTCTATTGTTATCGCTTTTTTTTATTACTAAATGGACAATATGCTGCATGAGAGTTGTTTCCCACTCAGTACTTGGCTATTATCTTCAATGATTAATAAAAAAATAAAAGCTAAGAATTATGGGCTCTTTCCTTCCTCTAACCTCTATGATATGAATTTTATACATACGTTAGTTTATTTAAACTCACAACTATTCTGTGAAGTAGGTAGAAATTTTATCTCTATTTTTCTTATGGAAAACTAATGTTTACATACACTGGAGCAAGTTGTTTTTACTATCTACTTTGTAACTTTTTAATTTAAATTTTATTTTGTTTGTTGTTTGTACAGCCACACCTGCAATATTTTGGTTACCTTCTGCGTGGAATACCATTTTTCATCCTTTCACTTTTAGCTCATTTGTGTCTTTACAGCAGGTTTTTTTTTTAATTCATTATGCCAATCTCTGCCTTTCACTTGGAGAGTTTAATCCATTTAACTTTAAAGTAATTATCAATAAGGATAGAATTACTTTTGTCAGTTTGTTATTTATTTTTATATGCCTTATAGCATTTTATTTCTCATTTCCTGTATTACTATCTCTTGTTTTTAATGTTTTACAGTAAAATATTTTAATTCATTTTTCATTTTCTTTTTTGTATAGTCTTTATTTTGTTACTATAGAAATTATATTTAATATTCTAAAGATAAACAATTTTAATTTGAATTAGTATCAACTTCAATAACATATAAAAGTTCCACTCGTTTACACCTCTGCCCAACATTTTCAGTTGTTGATGTCACAAAATTACATCTTTGTGCATTGTGTGTTGAAAAACATAAATTAACAGTTATTTATTCATGAGTCTCTTAAATTATGTAAGCAAAAGGTAGCAATGCAATTTATTGTTACAGTAATACTTGGTTTTATAATTCCTCATATATTTATCTTATCTGAGATCTTTATTTATTCATGTGATTTGCGTTACTATCCAGTGTCTTTTCATTTCAACCTGCAGGACTCCCTTTAGGATTTCTTTCAGAGCAGGTCTGGTAGTAACAAACTTCCTCACCTTCTGGTTATCTGGAAATGTGCCATTTTTTTCTCTGACTTTTGAAAGATAATTTTTATGCATATAGAATTCCTGGTTGACAGTTTTATTTTTCCTTTAGGACTTTATATATGTCAGCCCACTGCCTTCTGGCCAACCAATGTAATGAGAAATCTGCTGATAATCTTTTTGAGGAGTCCTTGGTGTGTGATAACTTACATTTCTTACTTTGACTTTGGCTTTCAACAGTTTGATTAAAATGTGTCTTGCTGCGAGCATCTTTGAGTTTATCCTACTCATAATGTGTTGACCTTCTTGGATGTATGTATTCCTGACTTTGATCAAGTTTTAAAAATTTTCTTCCATTATTTCTCCAAATACTCTCTCTGTTTCTTGCTTTTTCGTTCTGGAATTCTCACAATGTTTAAATGGGTCCACTTGATGAAGTCTCCATGTCTGTTGCTTTTCTTCAATATTTTTTTCTTTTTATTCCTCAAATATGATCATTTTAATTGTCCTGTCTTCAAGTTAGCTGATATTTTATTCTGTCTACTCATATCTGGCTTTTTTTTCCACCAAATTTAATTTTAGAATCAGTGAGTAAATGTGCAAGTTTGTTACTTGTGTATATGGTGTGATGTTGAGGTTTGGGGGTACAAATGATCCCATTATCCAGGTACTGAGCATAGTACCCAATTACATCTGCCTTTAAATTCTTCTAGCTAATTTTAACATTTTAGTTATTGTTATTTTTAGCTCTATTTTTGTCAGTTTTAAAGGCTTTTTATCTCTTTATTAATATTTCCTTTTGTCTGTACACAATTTTCTCCCACGATATTCTCTTTTTTAAAAAATTTCTTTGATTATGTTTTAGGTAACTACTGTAAAACTCTTTGGCTAATAGGTCTGCCATCTGGTCTTTCTCAGGGATAGTTTCTGTTTTTCTTTTCTTTTGAATGGGCCATACATTTCTGTTTCTTTGTATTGTTGTTATTATTGAAAGCTAAAAACGTCGATCTAATAATGTGGTAACTATGGAAATCAGATTCTCTTCCTTCTCCTGGGTTTTCTGATGTGTTTTTTTTTTTTTTTTCAGTTTGTTTGGTTTTGGTTTAGTTTTGATAGGTATAGGCTGCCTCTGTGCCAAAGTGTGAACTTAAGCTCTTCTCAGGTCTTTTCTTTTCCTGTACCTTTCCTGTGTATGCATAATGACCTTCTAATTTAGAATTCAAATGTAGTTACTTTTGAATGTCTTAGTCTTTAATGCTTGGATCCCCAAATAAGAAAAGGCATAACACTAAGTAAGGGAGTAGAATACTGCACTTTAACTCCTCTGGATATTGTTTAACTTCAGAGGAAGGGGCCTGCAATGAGGGGAAGGTAGTATGTATGTGTGAAATAATGGCTGCCTGCCTCTGTGTTTCAAGCTCCATGATCATAAGCAGAACTCAGTGATGAAAATACAAATCCTCATATATGGAGAACAGGATTTTGTTTTTCACTCAGGTTTCTACAAATTGCATGCAAGTTTCTCCAGGAACACAGGCACGGCTGCTTGCAATAAAGCTGTGGGTAGGGAATGGGTAGCCAATTCTGTACTAAGGTAAAATTAATGAAAATTCAGTGCAATTTACTGCCAAAACTTTCTTCTATATATTTAAAACTTTCCATAGACTCCAGATATAAAACATTATTACATCAGATAGATTTTTCCAGTGCAATTTTTACCCAGGTAAAGAAACATATTTCTGGCACTTAGAATTCTCTTACTCAAAAAGTCATTTTAAGTAATTATTTGAAACACCTATTTGATATAATATAGATACAACATACTGCCTAAAATTAGAAAAAGAAAATTAATAGCAAAAAATACATTAAAAACATGAATACTTTATTTTGATTGATTAAAATTAAATCTCAGGTTTACATATATTTGAAGGACTGATTACACATAATATAAGGTAGAATCCTACGAATTTAACAGTCAGAATAACCCAAGCACATCATGCTTAAAGCATTTTAGTAACAATAGCTTTTACAAGAACTGATGCCACACATTATATGAACATTTTAAATATTAAATATGAGAAGTGTTTTTCTACAGAGTTTGCACTAATTTACATTATCACCAACAGCATATAAGAGTTCGCTTTTCCCTGCACGCTCATCAACATCTGTCATTTTTTGTCTTTTTAATAATACTTATTCAGACTGGAAAGAGCACACATTTTTGTCAGAAGTGGGATTCAAACCCATGCCTCTGAGAAAGACTGTGACCTAAATACAGGGATTCCTCAAGTAACTAAAAACAATTGAACAACCATTCAATCCAGTAATTCCACTGCTGGATATCTACCCAAAGGAAAAGAAATTGCTACATTAAAAAGATTGCCGTAGTTGTATGTTTATCACAGCACTGTTCACAGTAGCAAAGATATGGAATCCACCTAGGTGTCCATCAGTGGATAAGTGGACAGAGAAAATGTGGTATGTATACAAAATGAAATACTATTCAGCCATCGCAAAGATTAAAATATGTCTTTCTTAGTAATATGGATGGAACTGGAGGCTATTATCATAAGTGAAACAACTCATACATGAAAAGACAAATACTGTATGTTCTCATCTATAAGTTGGAACTAAATATTGTGTACACATGGACGTGGAGTGTGAAATGATAGACATGGAGACTCAGAAGAATGGGGAAGTAGGAGGGAGTAGATAATACAAAATTACTTAATGGGTACAATGTAGATTAATCAGGTGATGGATACCATAAAAGCCCTGACTTCACCATTACACAGTCAGTGCATGTGAAAAATTACACTTGGACCTCATTATTTAAACACAAAGAAGTATGTTTTTGTTTGTGTTTGTGTTTATGTTATATTTGTCTGTGATGTAATTTCTCCTATGTTCCTAAATTAGTTAATTTTAATATTTAGAAGATGAATGTTTAATTGCAAAAGTCCAGTAGATTATAAGTAATACAATAAAAAAGTTTAATATAGTTGAATTAGTGTTTAAATTATAAATAATTCTAAGCATGATTCTTATGTTTCATAAAGATATACAAAGGTATTAGTTTTGCCTAACCCCACACTATGAATATAATCCCAATTTAGTCTGAGTCACTGCTTCTCTCTTTAATGGGAAAATTACAGATGGATTTATCACATGCCATAGATAAGGATCAAGTACATGGGAGCAGGTAATTGTCAACCACTGGTGAGTCCCCTCTCTCACAGTCAGCCCAAAGAGGTGACTTGAAGAAAATAACAGCATACATAAAATGTATAATGTTTGACTACAAATAATCTCAAACTATTAAATATTCAACTAAATTTTTCCTATTGTCTTTATTCTACTGGCATTTTCCAAGTAGTAGCAACTGCAAAATAAGTTTACTGTTTATCAGACCAGAAAAAATAAGATAAAGTTTTGCATTGAGTTAGAAAAACCATTTGATAAAAATAAAATTTGTGTAAGTGTTCCCAATACAAGGCAAAACTGTGTTTATATTTTATTTTATTATAACATTAAATATTTGGTTATAACATTAAATATTATATACGTGTTTCATTTATTTGTGTCTAATATCTCATAAAAATGAAATTTTAAAATTCATTCCAGGATGCATAATGCTTACAAAAAGGTTATGTTAGCAGCTTTCCAGTGCTTTCTGCTACTAAAATAACTCTTGTTTTCTCCATAAATTGTGAAACTAAATAGCTGAAATCTGTAGTTAAGCCTGTCTCACCAGATGCCTTCTGAAATGATCTTTTTGATAATCTAGAGAAAGCAGACATGTAATTCCACTCTTTAAAAAATCATGATAATTACTTTTAAAATTAAACGTCGAAAATTATGGTCTTGATTTACATTTTCTAAGTAAACAAAATAGTGTTACTTCAAATTCTTCCCAAGTAAATTTTATTTCTGCTGATATTTTGGTTTAAAAGTCCTGGAAGGACATAAAGGTCATTTCTGCGCATTACCATTCCCCCAAAGCAATGGCAACCCTTATTTTCTATTAAACAGATACATATTTTAAGGGGTTTATCCACTTACACATATTTAAGGGTTTTATTCATTTTTCTAGACCTACTATTAAAACGTACCTCCATTTGGGTAGCTTAAACACAGAAATTTGTTGTGTCACTGTTCTGAAGCCTAGAAATTTAAAATTAAGGTTTTCACAGGGTTGGTTCCTTCAAACATTAAGGGAAGAATCATGTTTAGGCCTCTCTCCTTGGTTTGTAAATGCCTATATTCTCCCTGTGTCCATTCACATGGTTAACCCCCATGTGTATATAAGTGTGTGTGTCAAAAATCTCTCTTGTTCATAAGGCACCCAGTCATTGGATTAAGGTACACCCAACTAACATTATTTTCCATAATTACCTCTGTAAGGACCATATTTCCAAAAACGGTTACACTCTGAGCTACTGAGAGCTAGGACTTCAACATAATAAGGAGATACAATTCAACACATAACAGGAGTAAAATAATTACTTAAGTTATTATTGAAAATATTTTAAGGGCATTCTTGTCTTAACTTATAAGAATAAATAGTTATCTTCTTTCCATTAAGTATTTGGATTTTACTGATTTCTATGGCCATCTTCCTATGGGTTTATATAGTAAGTAGAACTAAATCAAATTCTATCATCTTGGAAAATTCAAAATGATGAGCTCTTTAAGAAATACTGCTTCCAAAACTTCCTACTATTTAAAGTAGTCTGACATAAAAAGACTTTAGAAAATGCCATCAATGGAGTAAAATTTAGTTTTGGAAATACATGTTTTAAATAAAACTACTCATAGCATTTTAATATAAATAAGATACTTTATTTTTGCTAGTCAGGCTGTCATATTCTTAAAAAATGAAAGACTACTTACAAATACCTTATAAAATGAAAATATTTTACCTTGTGTCTTTGATATCTCTTATATTTAAGATAATATTGGAGTTTAAAAATTTGGTTTTACTCATCCCAGTGTAGTCAATTAGAAACAACTGACATGTTTTTTCAAGCTAGAATATAGAACAAAAAACTGAGGAGACTGTTTAGTAAAAAAGAGACACACACTACTGATTATGATATTTTCCTATCTCAGACTCTGCAACAAGTTGAAAAAAATTCATAAATAGGGATAATGAATACTGTTTAATAGATCAAAAAAGCCTCCACTGGCAGAGTTAAGCAGACCTTCTCTCTTGTGTTCCAGAAATCACTGTACTTATTGTTTCAATATAACACTGTGCTGCATTTTAAATTGTTCTTTTACACATCTGTTTTCCAAAAAGATGGTAAACGTTTGCAGAGCAAAAAATGGCATTCCTGGTGCCTGTGCCTCAAAGTTTTAGATACATAAAATACTTTTGAAATGAGTGCAGGCATTTATTTATTTCAAGTCATGGAAGCTTAGAAAAATACCAATTTTCATATAGATTCTCATAATAAACAATCTGTTACTGCAAGTGATAACAAACCTCCATGTTTATTGAAATTTAAACTTGAAAATATCCCATCTAAAATATTTATTGATTCTTTGTTTGAGAAATGAATTATTTGGTGAAAGTTAGCCCATGCTTAAGAGAATAAACTATCTACAAATAAAATGCAATTGTGCATTTTGAATTAATTGAACACAAGCTACGACTTCTCTTTCAAAAATTTGAATACAAGAAGAATAGGTAAAAATCAAGGATAAAGAAGCATTACCAATCAGTTAAATGGTAACTATTAATATGTAAACAAAAGTAACATTTGTTGTGTTTAATCAAAACTGAGTTACTAATTAAATAATGTTATATATAGATGCATATTATATATGTATTTTTAAGAATCATATGATTATATGATATATAATATCATGTATAATCACATATGATTATATGATATATAATATCATGTATAATCACATATGATTATATGATATATAATATCATGTATAATCACATATGATTATATGATATATAATATCATGTATAATCACATATGATTATATGATATATAATATCATGTATAATCACATATGATTATATGATATATAATATCATGTATAATCACATATGATTATATGATATATAATATCATGTATAATCATAGATGATTATATGATATATAATATCATGTATAATCATCTATGATTATATATATAAGATTCTTAACAATGTTGAATGGTAATATGGCCCTCATGAAGAAAAAATAAGAAATTTTTAAGTAATGCAATTTGTACTGGGATCAGACTGGCTAACAGCAAATACTAAAAGAAAAAAATTATTACCATTACTTTCCTGAACCACCCCCATTCCACTCACATATAATAAAACATACAAAAATGGACTGTTATGTCCTACAATAGATGACAGCATTTTTATTAACAAAGAAAAAAATACTTTTTGTGAAAGTGTCATTTAGATATAATAAAGGAGACATCTAAGAGTTCATAGAAAATGAAATTAAAATAGAAAAATAAAATATATAAAGTTTATTTGCAACATAAGCTCCATAAAAGTCAAGACACCTTTATAAGTATGTATGATACCAGCCATTTAGCACACCTTTAAAGAACTGAGAATTCTGGAAATTTAACTGTGCCAAAATAGTTTTTATTTTTATTGTCTGAAAATAATGGGTGTCCTTTACAGATTTTTTTAAGATTAGGGAACAAAAAGTCAGAAGGCGCAAAATCAGGACTGTAAGGTGAATGAATAATAATTTTCCATTTTAAGTCTCACAAAATTGGCCTTGTGTGATGAAAGGGATATGCAGGTGCACTGTCATGGTGGGGAAGGACTCTCTGGTGAAGCTTTCCTGGGTATTTTTCTGGTGAAGCTTTGGCTAACTTTCTCAAAACACTCTCATAGTAATCAGATGTTGTTCTTTTGCTCACCAAAAAGTCAACAAGAAAAATGCCTTTAGCTCCTCAGAAAACTTTTGCTGTGACCATTGATCGTCACCAGTCTGCTTTTGCTTTACTGGACTACTTCTGCCTCCTGGTAGCCATTGCTTTGCTTGTGCTTTGTCTTCTGGATTGTGCTAGTAAAGCATGTTTTATCTCTTGTTACAATTTTTTTTTAAATAAATGCTTTAAGATCTTGAGCCCATTGTTTAAAATTTTTCATTGAAACTCTGCTTTTGTCTGCAGATCTGCTCTTGTCTGCAGGTACAACCATTTTGGCACCTACCTAGTGGAATGTTTGCTTAACTTTAATTTTTCAGCCAGAATTGTGTAAGCTGAATCAACTGATAGGTCTACCTTGTTGGCTATGGTTTGTACTGTTAATCATCAGTCCTCTTCCATTAGGGCACAAAGGAGATGAATTTTTTTCCTCACAAATTTATACAAATGATCTGTCACTACAGGCTTCATTTTCAAAATTAGTTTATACTTTCTTAAAATGAGTTACCCTTTTATAATCTGCTTATTTCTTTGGGTGATTGTACCAATACACTTTTTATAAAGTATTGATGATTTCACCTTTCATCCACTCAAGCTTCACCATAAATTTGATGTTTATTCTTAGTTTAATTTTAGCAGAACTTATTCTTCCTAGTGCCTCCAACTAAACCTTGTCTAGACATGTTATAACAAGTTAGTATGTATTTATTTTGGTCCAACACATTTTTGAAATCTATGAAATATTTAGCATATGCATTTTTATTAACTTTTTGAAGACATCTTTTAATCAACTTCAAGGAGTAAACATTAAAATTTGTAATTCTCTGGAACATTTTGGAACATCAAGTATGTGTCAATAAATGTTTTATGTACCAACTAGTGTATAATGCTCCTAAGACACAATATCTGACCACAAGTCATTTACTGCCTAGTAGGAAATTCAGAGAAGTTAGCAGGCAATTTCAATTAGAAAAAGATAAGTTTTAAGATAGCAAAACTTTTAAGGAATTATAAGACCTAACAACATTATAAGGAGTAAGAAAACCTTCACAAAACATTATGAGGTCTCAGAGATATCCACAAATTGACGAGGTGAGTGGAGGTAAATTGTTCTAGGCAGTTTAAGCATGTAAAAAAGGCATGAAAGTGAAAGCTCAACGCTTCTAGAACAGTTCATGACTTCTAGCATGCTCATGAGAGTCAACGTAGAGGCCTGGCCCGTGGTGAGGCTGGAGAAAAAGAATACCCAGATGATAGATGTTCTTCTTGGCTATGTTTAGGTATTTGGACTTTTTCTTTTAGGATATGAGAGAAAATGTGAGTATCTTAACATACTGTGGCCTTTCCAATTTTAAAGCCATCATTCTGCCTTCAGTTTGAAGAAAGAATTAGAAAGGGATAAAGGTATAAAAGTTAACAATTTGGTTCTTATAATTCATTCAAAAGATGATTCTGGCCTGACCTAAGGCAGTTGTAGTGGGTATGCAGAAAGTGGAAGCTAAGAAATCAAGAAAAAATAGAGAATGCTCAAGTGTTTATATTGGATAATTTAGTAGAGTGTGCCTCAATTGTGCCCATGGCATTTTTATTTATAATTGACAATATGGAGAAACTAAAGCCATAGAAAAGAGATTTTTCTTATTTTCATTTCCTGAGAGGATGGGGCATGTCACATCATGCAAGGCCACTTAGTAAAGCACCAGGTTTTGGCCAGGGCAGAAGCAGGAATGAGAACGCCTAGGCCAGACCCTTTACTGAGGTTTTCATGGCAAAGGCAAAATAAACAGAAGTGAAAGTCTCAAAATAAAAAAAGAAAAATTAACTCCGGCTATCCTTCTTGAAGTTATCAGCAAGAGTTATTAGGTTGTTATCAGGAAGTTATCAATGAGAGCAGATGGTAGTAAATTGGAAAGATCTCAGCCATAGGGAATAGAGTGAGAAAGCGGCTGAGGGAAGAATCCTCTGATCCTTGATGCAACTGAATACTAGGTAAGTCCAGAGAAATGTGAATTCATTTTTGGGGGGCTATTTTAGACCCTCTGTAATTTGAACATCTTTATATTTAGCACCCTTAGTCAGATATAGGAATAGTCAAAATATATGCTTACATCTATTAAAATCTAATAATAGAGAAGTTTTGCTTTTGTCTTTTTTTTTTTCAGAGACATGACTTCACTATGTTGCATAGGCTATACTTCTACACCTGGGCTCAAGATGTCCTCCTACCTTAGCCTCACTGCAAGCAACTGGGACAACAGGTGTGCCAACATGCTGATCTTTTTGTTTTTCTGTTTTGTTTTTAAGAAGGCAAAAATACCTTAATAAGCTATGATTCCTAACAATATACAAGAAAACCACTGTGGGCACTTAGCATAATAAAAATGCTGTATAGATGATTCTAACAAATTTGAATGGGATTGTAAACAAATCCTAGTCTTCTTATCTTCTAAATACACTATATAGTCTTAAAGAGACGCCCAAGCTGATTTTTTGCACTAGATTTATACGATATAGTTCACATACATTGTTTGGAATTTTTAACATCATATTCTCTAAAAATGCTTAAATCAGCCTATTCTCTAGATATTCTCTCTCTGATCCAGCTATAAATTAGTGGTATAAATTTTTGAATAATATTTTGCATTTTTCCACACATATTTCTTCCTATAAGAGAAATAAATTCAACTGATTTTACCTCAAGCTGTCAAACTTTTGAGTGAATAAATTTGATTTAATTCTCCCTACAGCATCCTCATAGTTGTCATAGTGCTTGACAAGTGCATGAAAATTAAAGAACCCCAATATGATTAGCATTTCAATAGAAAAGACAATGCAGCCACTTTGCAGAGATCCTGAGAAATGGTCAGACTTCCTATAGATTTAGGAACTAGAAAAGACAGAAAGTATCAGTGGATTTGGTGTAAAAGTTGAGAGAGGAAACTACCAAAATGATTTTCAGTTTTACAGCTTGGACCTTAAGTAGGTAAAATATGTCACCGATATGGGAAAAAACTGGATCAGGTAGAGCTTCAATAATGTAGGAAAATGATAATTTCCGTGTGGTACATATGAAGTGTAGATGCTTCAAAGTACTCGGGTGAGATGCAAGGTACACATTTCTCAAAAGTAAGCTCTATGTGATATACACTTGAGTGCCATTAGCATATATATATATATATATATATATATATACACACACATATATATATACACATATACACACACACACACACACACACACACACACACACACACACACACACACACACATATATATTAGAAAGACTGAGCCCACCCATAAAGGAGATATTTGCTAAAAAGAGAAAATGGCCTAGGATGAAGTTTGGAAAAGAAACCTATATTAGAGTAGAACAAAAGGATACTGAAAAACAAATTGAAAAAAATTGTTAGTGAGATCAAAAGAAAATTAGGTGAAGGCCATGCCATGAAAGCCAAGATAAAAAATGTTTCAAAACAATCTTTTTAACTGATCTGAATACTATTAAAATTTTAATAAGATTAAAACTAAAAGTATACCTTTTCTTAACAGAGCTAGAGGTCTGAAAGAGTGGATTGAGAGCAGTGGTGGGAACGCTATAGCTTGGAAAGTTAACTGGAAGTGAGACATAAAGCCAATGTGTTTGATAAGTTTGTCAATTAAAGGAAAAGTGAATCATTGAGGTAATGAGTATTTTGAGATCGTATCAAACAGCTCTATAACATTCAGATAAATGTTGCTTTTGTTGTTCTTGCTGTTTTAAGGACTTTTTAAAATTCACTTTTAAAAAAGGTGTTACAAGATCAACTGTTGGTTAATAACAATGATGATTTTAAAAAAAGATTTAGTGACTGTACCCCCAGGAGGGTGTGGGTATAAACAAAGGAGAAATGTCCAAAAGAAGATGAAGAGGACATGGTTCATAATACAGGTGGAGAGTTTAGCCTTTTCTGGAAGGAGAAAACTTTCTTTTTTGTGACGGAAAGAAGAGGAAGTGGAGAGAAATATAAAGTAGATTTGTAGGTTTGTGGATAGCAAAGTTTCTATTAACTCAGCAAATCATGAGGAAAATCCATCAGCTATTTTTTTCTTGGTTGTGCTTGGCAAGGACTATTAGAGGATAATGTAAAAGACAGGGAATAGTCAGTTGAGAGAGTGAAGAGTGGGGCTTAAGTAGTTATATATAATCATATTACTGAATAGTATTAGCACTCAAAAAAGAATGGCAACCATAAATTTATTATTTGTAATCATGAATTTACAACTATACAACTGGCATACCCAGTTGTATGACTTTTCTCCATCAATATTCAGCTTCACAGTGGAAAAATATAGCTATATATTTATTCATCCAATGTGGGGATTTGTTATGAGAACATGTTAGAATAAAACTGGAGCTGAATTGGGTAAGTATAATTACAAGAAAATGATTTTAATGTTGGTTCAGTGTTCTAACGAAATTAACTAGGAGGAGTATGAAAGCAAATTGATTCAGAGAAGGTGAGACTATCAATGGTTCGAAGCTTTTCATGGATTGAACAATACTTACATGTTAGGGACATAGCCAAGTACAAGTAAACACTTGTGTGGTTTTGGTGAGATCGTTGAACACGAAAATATCTGGTTTGGATTGTAGTGCAGTTTTTAATGACAATATTATTAGGGTTATCAAAAAGTGGATAGCTGAGATAGCCAAGGTAGCTGTGGTAGATATATAAATGAGCACATTAAAAACTTAAGAATGTCTACTTATATATAAAAGTCATCGAAAGGTGATAGCAGAGCACTGATGTTATGACAAAGGTGGTTAGCAAGTAGAGGTGGTGAGGCCATCAATGAATAATGTAATCTTGGAAGAAGTTAGTGTATGACCCTCAAAATACAGAAGAGCTATATGAGTATTAAGTTTCAAAACCAATTTTCTGACATTAACTCAATGCCCTACAGTTCAATTCAATTCTGACACAAATTACCCAAAGTTAGTGTCGGATCTCACAAAATAAAGAAAACGTCCTTAAGTTCTGACATTAAGTACTCAGAAAAAATGTCGGAACCCACAAGTTGGTGATCTCACAGTTCCCAGCAAGACTTCCCTTACTTGAGATACCAACTAGGAGAGGGGTCTTCAGGATACTCACACCCCTGCCTGGCTTAGCTGCAAATTCAGGGCTTCCCATGACCATCTTTCAGGTTTGATATTCATCAGAATAATTCCCAGGACTCACTGAAAGCACCACACTTCCATTTACGGTCTTATTATCAAAGATATATTTCACAATAACCAAATGGAAGAGACAAATAGGTTAAATTCTGAGAGGACAGGGCACAGTACCTCTTGTCTGCCTGGAGTTAGGGACAGCTGGTGTTCCTAGCTAGGAAACTTCCAAAGCCTCATTGTTGACAGTTTTTACAAAAGTTTCACTGGGTAGACATGATTGATAAATCATTGGCCATGCCGTGAACTTGATCTCCATACATCCTCTCCTCCGTAGAGGTCTGAGGCAGGGGTGGTGCTGAAAGTTTAAGCTTCCTTACTAAGTGGTTGTTTTTTTCCATTCTGAAGTGATCTTAGGGCCCCGCAAGGCATCATCTCATTAAGATAATCAAATCAGTCCTATCATTCAGGAAAGTCAGGATTTATGAAGCTCTGTGCCAATAACTGGAAGCAAAGATTAAGTATAGTTTTTAATTCAAGGAGTAGGGTTTGTTATGTGTTTATTTTCAAAATGTCAGTCATAAGATGAATTCTTTAGAGATAAATATTCTTTATTTAATACAGTAGAAAAGTATAATACTAATGCCTTTTTTCAGCATTCATGACATTCTTTTGTGTAAATTATATGATATGAACTAATGACAATGATAAGATTTGCTCCTTCAAATAAAGAAAACCACATTTATTGAGCACTAAGTGAAGTAATGCATAGGCGTTAACTCATAGAGTCTTTAAAGAAATTTTATATGGGTAGGAAATTTAGACTCAAAGATTTAAAGTGAACATTTAGTGAGCATGAATTGGCTAGATTTCTGACTCTAGAGTTCATATTCTTCCTATTAGTTCAATAAACAGAAACATAATTAAATCATTAATGATATATTTTTTTAAATTTTTAAACAAAAGACTTCCTAGGGGAAATTTCCTTGTTATTTTTAATATGTTCTAAAGTGTCTCCATATGCAGTGCTAATCCATAGGCCCCTGTAATCCACAACATTGATCCTTCCTCCTGGTAAACGATTCAGGCAGAAAGAAAGAGAAAGAAAGTCTCTTATCACTATTTCTGCTTCCTACATACATCTTTAGAGTCAATTTTATTATAGTGGCCATCAGAATGGTCTAACACATCCAATAATTTCAGGAATAATAACACAATTTTTTTTGTGTGTGTGTGAGAGAGAGAGAGAGAAAGAGAGGGAGAGAGATTGAGAGGGGGAGAGATTGAGAGGGGGAGAGAGAGAGAAAGAAAGAAACTGTAGAATATTTGGCCAGAAAATGTGGTTGTAAAAAAAAGTATTAATTCTTATTGTTATAATTTGTAAGATTTGTCTTTCGAACATTAAATTCAGGTTAATGGAAATAAACAATAATAGATGTTTGACCTGTAGAATTTGACTTTTACAAATGCTCCTTCTTTTTATGTTCCTTACACTTATAAAGAGTTTCTAAAATCTTGTCTGGTGACTGTTTTTCATGTTGTGTTATCATGCTACGGTAGTATAAATTTCAATGTCTCCCAGTGAGGGAAATTTCCTTCAGATTTTCCTCTAGAGTGACTTGAATCACTCTAAAATTGCCACCTAGGAGCTTTCCTGTGGTGACTGGTTCATGGACCTTGCCAGCAGTTTAAATGTTAAGAAAAATGAACAATGACTGATGATGCGAAATTTGTGCAGAGTCAGTAGTTGCAATCTTTCAGCTGTATGCTCTCCTTCAAGGAATGTAACCCACATAACAACCCCCAGGAAGTTGTTGCAGTATGAAAATAAAATATAACTTGACGATGTCTTTGCACAGAAAGGTTTCCTTTTCAGGCTTCAGAACAATTCTAGGCCATGTAACACCAGTGCTATAGCTCTTTCTTCCCCAAAGGGTAAGACAAATATTATATTTCTGTCCCACTTGACCTTCTTTCCTCCACTGTCAGTGTTATAACCTCAATGTAAGTTCACAGAGATAACAGGATTTGTACTTTTCTCAGCCTCTTGTTTTATCGGTGGATTCTTGATGAGAAGTAACACCAGCTGAAAGCTTGCTTTGAGTATTTTTCTATTTCTGTAACCCCGAGAGTTTTGCCGTCATATTTATCCTGAGCCAATAGGCATCTTACTAGATCATAGCCGATAGAAATAACACAAAAAAGCACTGCCAAGCTGTGGCACTCTCCTTAATAAACTATTCATTTAATTGGAATCTTACTGCCAGAATTACTCCACAAACAGTATAACATTCTACACCCCAGGATAGAATTTTTGACCATAATGAAGAACCAATGCTCCTAAGAGTTTATGGATATGGTTGGAGTGCAAAATATTAGAAAGTGGATATGCATTTTTTTCTGAGAAATATTTGTTATTTACAAACTTATTTCTTACAGTACTCAAAAATGAAGATAACCACACACACATCAATCCTAATGCAAAGTAAATTATATTCTAAATATTAATTAATCAATTGGAAGTATTTCTCAGCAAAATTTGACATAAAACAATCATGTATTTAACAATCTACATATATAGACAAAGTGAATAGAAATCTTAGCTATTCCTTTGTCAAGGATGGCAATAACTTATTGTGAGGATCTGTTTATCATCAGACTTCTTAAAGAGAATTTATTACCGTATTTAAAATTAGTATAATAGTTATCACAAATGATTATCAACCATTTATTGATTACATTATACATGTGTAATATCTAGCAAACCGATAAAGAAAATCCTTGCTAAGGCACAATTATCTAAGGGGAAAAGGAGAGAAAGTTGGTATCAGTTAACGTATCTATTTTACCAGTGTGAATATAGCAGATTCGCCATAACTCTGATTCCCATGTTGCAGCTAAGGCAGGCAGCATATTACTGTAGTGTAATAGGGTTCTATTAGAGGGACACAACTAATATATATAATATATATTATATATTTTATATGTTATATATTTATATGTTATATATGATATATGTTATATATCATATATAATATATATTATATATATCATATATAATATATATTATATATATCATATATAAAATATATGATATAAATATATTGTATATATTTGTATATAATATATAATATATAAATATATTGTATATATATTTATATATATACTATATAAATATATTATATGTATACTTATATATGTATATATGTATAATTAATTATATATTATTATATAATTTATATATATATAAATAATATATAATATATTATATTATACATAATAATATATATAATATATATTATATATAATAATATATATGATATAATATATTATATATAATAATATATATGATATAATATATTATATATAATAATATATATGATATAATATATTATATATAATAATATATATGATATATAATAATATAACAACTAATAATATATATATCCATATATATACTATTTTCTATATATATCCTATTTTATATATATATATATCCTATTTTATATATATATATAGAGAGAGAGGGGAGTTTATTAAGTATTAAATTACATGATCACAAGGTCCCACAATAGGCTGTCTGCAAGCTGAGGAGCAAGGAGAGCCAGTTCAAGTCCCAAAACTGAAGAAGCTGGAGTCTGATGTTCCAGGACAGGAAGCATCCAGCATGAGAGAAAGATGTAGGCTCATAGGCTAGGCCTGTCTTGCCTTTTTCAGGTTTTTCTGCCTGCTTTGTATTTGGTGGCTGCTGATTAGACTGTGCCCACCAGATTAAGGGTAGATCTGCTTTCCGCAGCCCACTGACTCAGATGTTAATCTCCTTTGGCAACATCCTTCGCAGACACACCCAGGATCAATACTCTATATCCTTCATCCAGTCAAGTTGTCGCTCAGTATTAACCATCACAAGTCCACCCGTTGTCAACTTGAAGATATACACATCTAATAAGATCATACATGATCCTCAAATAAAGACAACAGTAAGGTCATAATTACACATAATGTGATACAATTTTCCTTCGTACAACTGGAAACAAACAAATCCCCAACCCAAATACTATTACATAAAGTTAATAATACTTAAATGCTATTATGAAGTCAATAAATCTTATAACACATGATAAAGGAAAAAGGAAATAAAATGAAGATTTTTTTACTACAAGTGTATACATGCACAAACATGGTTTTAACAAAAGAAGAAAGAAATACTCATGACAATTACAGTCCTCGTTTCTGAAGTTAGTCACGTGGTCATAGCTGTTATTGATGACTACCTTCTTCTACTACCCATTCTGTATTCCCTTTGCCTGCAGCAAGCACCTCAGCAGGTCTTGGTATTTTTTCCTGGTGGAGTAACCCAAACCTTTATTCATGAAGGCTGTGGGTCATTTGCAGTGGATTGGGCTGTTGTATTTTCCCATTGGCCTTCATACTAAGAGATGCCCTAATGGATCTCCTGTATTCCATACATACTCTTCCTTACCTCCATTGTGGAGCAGTAGACTGATTTCATCTTGATAGTCCAGGTCAGTCACTGCAACCAACACTGTAACTCCCTTCTTACCCTGTTGGCTTAAAGGTAAGGGGAGCACAAAGTGTCCAGGTGGCAATCTTAACTTCCATTTTAATGGAATAATTGTTGTGTCTCCTGGTGGCAACATTCCTCACTCTGGAACTAAGACCTTTAGGCCAGCAGAATGTAATGTTGTGGGAACAAGAAGCAAAAATTTTGCTAGTGGGTTACTTGGGGTCATAGTGAGTGATGCTAGTTCCACTTCCACTCCTTCATTCCTGGACCTGTGAATCCTGGTTATAGGAGAAACAGTATCATATATTGGATGATGATTGAATGCATACACTACCTCTGGAGAACTTTGCCCCAGCCCTGCAAAGTATTGTCACTTAGTTGGTGGTATAATTGTGACTTCGAAAGCCCATTTCACCATTCTGTCAATCCAGCTGCTTCAGGATGATGGGGAACATGGTAGGACCAGTGAATTCCATGAGCATGAGTTCACTGCCACACTTCTTTAGCTGTAAAGTGAATGCCTTGTTCAGAGGCAATGCCATGTGGAATACCATGATGGTAGGTAAGGCATTCTGTGAGTCCATAGATGGTAGGCTTCACAGAAGCATTATTTACAGGATAGGCAAACTCATATCTGAAGTAAGTGTCTATTCCAGTGAGGACAAATCTCTGGCCTTTCCACAATGGAAGAGTCCCAATATAATCAACCTGCCACCAGGTAGCTGGCTGATCACCCTGATGAATGGTGCCATATTGAGGGCTCAGTGTTGGTTTCAGCTGATGGGAAACTGGGCACTCAGCAGCTGCCATAGCCAAGTCAGCCTTGCTGAGTGGAAGTCCATGTTGCTGAGACTATGCATAACCTCCATTCCTGCCACCATGACCACTTTGCTCATAGGCCCATTGGGGATGACGGGGTAGCTGGGGAAAGAGGCTGAGTGTTGCCCACAGAATGAGTCATCTTATCCACTTGGTTATTAAAATCCTCCTCTGCTAAAGTTACCCATTGATGAGCACTCACAAGGGATATAAATATCTTCAGTTTTTGACCACACAGAGAGGTCCAACCACATACTTCTTCCCCAAATTTCTTTGTCACCAATTTTCCAATCAAGCTTCTTCCAAATTCTTGACCTTTAAGTCAAACCATTGGTTACAGCCCACATATCAGTATACAATCGCAAATCTGGCCATTTATTCCTCCATGCAAAGTACACAACCAGGTGCACTGCTCGAAGTTCTGCCCACTGAAAAGATTTTCCTTCACTGTTATACCTTAGGGTTATCCTAGAAAGGGGATATAGTGCTTCAGCTGTCCCATTTCGGGTGGTGCTTGCATATTTTACAGAACCATCTGTCAAGCAGGCTCTTGTCCTCTCTTCCTCTGTCAACTGTTCATAGGGAATTCCCAATGAGACCATCAGTGCAGGCTGGGGGAGAGAAGGCAGGTGGCAGGAATGGAGACCATGGGCATTTGAACCACTTCCTCATGTAACTTACTTGTGCCTTCAGGACCTGCTGAAGCCCAGTCACATGTATACCACTTCCATTTGGTGATGGAATGCTGCTATGTAAGACCCACTTTATGGCTAGATGGGTCAGAAAGCATCCAGTTCATGATAAGCAGTTCAGGTTGCATGGTGACTTGATGACCCATAGTCAAACATTCAGTTTCCACCAACCTGTACCAACCCAGTAACAGGCCAAGAGCTGTCTCTTAAAGGAAGAGTAGTTATATGCAGAAGAAGGCAGGGCCTTGCTCCAAAATCCTAGAGACATCCTCTGTGATTCACCCATGGAAGCCTGCCAAAGGCTCCAAAGAGCACCCCTATCTGCCACTGACACCTCAAGCACCATTGGATCTGCTGGGTCATATGGCCCAAGTGGCAGAGCAGCTTGCACAGCAGCCTTGACCTGTTGCAGAGCCTTCTCCTGTTCTGGAACCCACTTAAAACTGGCAGCCTTTTGGGTCAGTCAATAAATGGACCAGAGTAACACATCCAAATGAGAAATGTGTTGCCTCCAAAATCCAAATAGCCCCACTAGGCATTGTGCCTCTTTCTTGGTTGTAAGAGGGTCCAAATGCAGCAACTTATCCTTTACCTTAGAAGGAATATCTCAACAGGCCTCACACCACAGAACCCTGAGAAATTTTACTGAGGTAGAAGGTCCCTGAATATTAGTCAGATTTATTTCCTATCCTGTAGCATGCAAATGTCTCACCAATAAGTTCAGTGTGTTTACTACTTCTTGTTCACTGGATCCAATCAGCATAATGTCCTCAATTTAATGGATCGGTATGATATCTTGCAGAAGCGAAAAGTGATAAAGGTCTCCTTGAATAAGATTATGACACAAAGCTGGAGAGTTGATATACCCCTGAGGTAGGACAGTAAAGGTATATTGCTGGGCTTGTGAGCTGAAGGCAAATTGCTTCTGGTGGGCCTTATGGACCGGAATGGAGAAAAAGGCATTTGTCAAGTCAATGGCTGCATACCAGGTACCAGGAGATGTGTTAATTTGCTCAAGCAATGAGACCACATCTGGTTAAGCAGCTGTAATTGGAGTCACCACTTGCTTAAGCTTATGATAGTTCACTGTTATTCTCCAAGATCCATCTGTCTTCTGCACAGGCCAAATGAAAGAGTTGAATGGGGATGTGTTGGGTATCACCACTCCTGCATCTTTCAAGTCCTTGTTGGTGACACTAATCTCAGCTGTCCCTCCAGGTATGTAATATAGATTTTGATTTAGTATTTTTCTAGGTAGAGGCGGCTCTGCTGGCTTCCACTTGGCCTTTACCACCATAATAGCCCTCACCCTACCAGTCAGGGAGCCGATGTGATGGTTCTGTCAGCTGCTAAGTATATCTATGCCAATTACACTTTCTTGCACTGGGAAAATGACCACAGAATGAGTCTGGGGACCCACTAGACCAACTGTAAGTCAGGCCTGAGCTAAAATTCCATTAATTACCTGACCTCCATAAGCCCCTACTTTAACTGCAGGACCACAGTGAAATTTTGGGTCTCCTAGAATCAACGTCAACTCAGATCTAGTTGCCAGTAGTCCCCTAAATGTTTAATTATTTCCCTTTCTCCAATTCCCAGTTACCCTGGTAAATGGCTGGAGGTCTCCTTGGGGAAGGATGTCAGAAAGATTCACTGCTTAAATAGTTGTAATATAGTGGGATCCTTCCTTCAAGAGGGTGACCCAGCCTCCCCTTCATTCAAAGGACTCTGGATCTGTAAACTGGCTCAAGTCTGGAAATTGATGGAGAGGCCATGATTCTCCATTTGTGTAATTCAAGTTGCTCTTTTGTCTATTCAACCTAGAAGTTTTCCATTTGTATAATTTAAGTAGGAATGCAGTAAGCTTCCTATCAATTTTACTTCTAGGAACACTGATTAATTAACCGATGCCAGAGCTCTACACGAGTCAGACTATTCTGATTGCTGCTTTGCCTCTGCTGTCCATTACAGTAGCTATGCCCATCTTGCTCACCTTTATGAATGAGTGCTGCCACTTGACCCCTGACACTTCGGAGTCCAATTATTCCCATTGTATTTAAATTTTGTAGTTGAGTGACTGTCAGATCTGACATACGGATAAATGCAATTACAGGGCTCCACAAAGATGCAGGTGCTGCCTTCACAAATCTATTTTACAAGGCATTGGTCAAGGGTATATCTTCTGGACCCTCACAGCTAGGATGAAAAGTTCTAAAGTGACTAATCCACTCCACTATCCCAATCTCCCTAAGCCTTTGGATCCCTTCCTCTACATTCAAGAGTTTATTGAATGAAGGTGAGTTTGTTTTATCTAAATTATATACAATCCAATCAAGTTGACACTCAGTATTAACCATCACATGGAGTCAACAGGTGCAACAGCCTCTTACTCTGCAAATCATTGCCAATGAGGTTTAATAATAAAACTTATATTTGTAATGCTAGCTTCTCAATTCTCCAGCTTCCTAATTGCAGTAAATTTTGTCCTGAGTTTACCATTCTGGTGGCCTAGCATAGAGTCTACACCTTCAACCCTCCAACAATTTATTAATAATTGAATTCCCTATATTAAATTGATAATTATAATAGCTATAGTAGTATTTGTTAACAACTGAATTATGAATGATTCCTCTACATGAAACCAAGGCATTTCTAGCTCACTCACAGTGGCTCTCTTTTAATCCATATTTCACCTAACCAAGCAAATAAACTATTAGAGCCTTTTTTAACTCCCTGAGCCGCAACATTAAAAGCAGATTCCCTTCCTACTTGGCCCAAATCAGTAAACTCAGCCTGATCCAATTCTATGTTCCTTTCACCATAATCCCATGCCTCTAATATCCTTTCTCATACCTGTTCTCCAGATTGGTGTTTATATAAATTAGAGAACTCAAACACTTCTTTTGGAGTGTAGCACAGCTCCTCATGGGTCACACTCTCAACCTCACCTCCGGGGGCCTGCTGGGACTCTAGTTACAGGTCTAGAAGAAAACAGAGGTGTTGGTAGTGGCTTCTGAGGAGAATTAACATTATCTTGCCTGGCAACTGCCTCAGGGGAGACCATCACTGTTGTCTCAGGCAGCACACGGTTTATCTCCTCAGACAATGATGGAAAGGCTGATGGCAGCATGGACATGAGAAGGATGTTGCCACTACTGGAAATGGGGATGCTGTTCCATCTGGCAAAAAAAGTTCATCAGGGTTTACAAACTCAGCGTCCCCAGCTTCATCAGGGTCTTCCCACATGTCCCCATTCCAAGTTGCAGGATCCCAATATTTTCCAGTCAATGCCCTCACTTTAACAGTAAATACCTGGCAAGGCTGTGCATGCACCTTTTGTTTCAGGTCAGCCACTCTCATGATAAGAGCTTGTGTCTGTTTTTCCACAATTTTAGCTCTTTCTCTACAGGAGATAAGACTCTCACACAGGGCAATCTTAGCAGATTTGAGGCTCAGTGTCTGCTTCTGAAACCGGGAGACAGAATCCCCCAGTTCATCATTTCCTTTCATCACATTGTTCAGTGAACTTAGGAGCAACCAACCAGCTTCATTATGTTACTTGGTTCTCCACATGTGGTCAAAGGTATTATGTATAGAGTTTCTAAACTCCTTGCCTTTCACAAGCGGTAAATCAGGAGTGTCAAATGCATTTATTTTGCATAACTCTTTAAACAATTCATGCCAAAGACTCTCAGTGTTCTTCATATTATCAGAAGTGGATTCCTAAGCAATTTTTGTTCTAATCCTATTAAGCAGCCTACTCCAGAAACTTCAAAACCAATGAAAGAACTCCATTCTTAATATGCTGTTTCTCTGGAACCACTCCTGATACCAAAATCTGTATTAGTCAGGGTTCTCTTAGAGGGACACAACTAATAGGATATATATATCCTAATAGGATATCATATATATATGTATCATATATATATACATATATACACACACACACACACATATATATACATATATACATATATATACATATATAATATGAGTGTATTAAGTATTAACTTACAGGATCAGAAGGTCATACCATAGGCTGTATGCAAGTTGAGGAGCAAGCAGAGCCCTGCTGAGTCCCAGAACTGAAGAACTTGGAGTCTGATGTTCGAGGGAAGCATCCAGCATGACAGAAAGATGTAAGCTCAGAGGCTAGGCCCGTCTCACCTTTTTCAGGTTTTCCTGTCTGCTTTACATTCGCTGGCAGCTGTGCCCACCAGATTAACGTGAATCTACCTTCCCCAGCCTACTGATTCAAATGTTAATCTCTTTTGGCAACATCCTGGCAGACACACCCAGGATCAATACTTTGTATCCTTCAATCCAATCAAGTTGACACTCAGTATTAACCATCACATGGAGTCAACAGTGGCAACAGCTACTTATTCGATAAATCATTGCCAATGAGGTATAATAATGGAACTAATACTTGGAATGCTAGCTTCCCGATTCTCCAGCTTCCTAACTGCAGTAAATTTTGTCCTGAGATTATCATTCTGGGGAACTGGCATAGAGTCTATGCCTTCAATCATCCAACAATTTATTAATAACTGAATTCCCTATATTACATTGATACTTATGATAGCTATAATAGTATTTGTTAACAACTGAATTGTGAATGATTCAAAAGAGAGAGCAAATTATCCCTAATCATACTATCAAGGTCTAAAATTATACATCATCATTAATGTTGCATTTTCCTCTCTGTTATTTATAGATGTATTATTCTGAATAACATTTTTATTATACTAGAAAAAAAGATTTTTCATACTGTCATTTTGACCAAACTCAAACCTTATTTCCTTATGCCATATAAAGTTTAAAAATTATTAAAAGTTAAAATCATGTTCATTTGTTTTCAATATAAGAGACATTCATCAATATTTGTGTAATCACAATCCAAATTATCTTCCTGTTTTGTGGGAGTTCCTCATTTTGTGTCTGCAAGAGAATCAGAAACCTCCCTTACTTACAAAATCCAAAGGTTATGTGTTGTTTGCTCCTTATACTTCTGACTGATCCATTCAGAAGACATTTCACAACAAAGAACACAAATTCAGGAGAAAGTGGTGAAACAGTAACAACACTGAGAAACCTAAATACATTCACGATTTTAAACATTTCATAAAATATTTAAAAACCATTAAACAGGGATAGATTTCTTTATTTGAGGCAAATACTTCCACATTGTGCTAAAACATCTCAACTGATCTGTTATATATTATTTAGGAGAAAATTTTTTAAAAAATAAAAATTTACATTAAAAGCAAAGAGGGAAAGTGTGCCATTTAGCATAAATTTCATGCAGGTAAAACTTTTTTCCAGTTAAAGCAATTATTTGATACTTTGAGTTAGCATCAGCTTGAACTCACGGTGACTGCATTACGTGCTGAATATATTGAAGGTACTGGTAAAGACAAATATAAACTCAGGACTGCTAGTATTAACACGAGACAAAATAGGATTCAGTGGAAAAAATTATTAAATGGAACAAATATTGTCATTTTACAATAATAAAAGTTACATATAAATATCAATGAATACATACCCATTATTAGTTTTATGCATAATAATCATATTAAAACATATAAACTAATGCTATAAATGTAAATTTTTGAAAATAATTATTTTTATAAATATTAAAACATTTAATTCAAATACAGAACTTATTAAGACTGAATATATTAAATATATAAAGTACTTAATATACATCTCAAAACATTCAGATTGCTGTATAAAAATAATAGCAGAGAATCTAAAAATATGAAATAAATTACATCAGAAAGTACATTTTAAAAATCAAGGAGAGCTGGCTCTGGAGCTCCTGAAATGAAGGGAATCAGGCAGATAGTGTAGAGATGCAAAAGGGGTGCCAAAATTGTAATGGTGAGGGAACACTGATAATGCTGCTTTCAGAAAGAGAAGTTCCCATTCTCACTGAGAAAATATTGATCGTTGGTAAATCAGATCATATATAGCTGAAAAATTTTAAAAAGGAAGATAGTAAAAAGTGTGCAGGGCTTAAGGTATCAATATCAGGATGGAACTGATTGTAAGGAAGAAGCAGGTAACATGAAAACTGAAGAAAACTCCCCCATAGACATTTTATGGTGAAAAGAACAAAAAAAAAAAAAAAAAGAAAAAGAAAAAGAAAAAAAAAGAAAGAAAAAATAAGAGTACGTCAAAAATTTTTTAAAAAATAACAAGATTGCCAATTTTTCCCTGCTTAAAAAAAATGAGCATTACTATTGAAGAAGTAATAGTCTATTGTATCGAAATGAGAGAGTGTCTTGAACCAGTAAACCTAATTAGCATTCCACAATATTCATCTTTCTCTTCATATAATGATTACTGTTTATTTAAAAGAATAACATTTACAAAATAACAAACATACTACAGGCTGTATTTTCACAATGCTAACATAGGAAAAACATAGAAAAAAATAAGTGGAATATTCAAAATGATAAGTCTTCCTCTTCCAAATAAAATCAAGCTGACTCAACTATAATATACACTTCAATCTGAATGAACATTAATGATTAAAAATATTAAATATAGAAATGAGCATTTATAGATGTTAAGGCATAAACAACAATAATACAAACCTGATACCAGAATTTCAATATCTAGAATGAAAACAGATTACAAAAGAATATATAAAATGAGAATTGAAAAGATTCAGAAAAAATATGGATAGAAAAGATAAAATCACCTGAGAAATAAAGATTTATTAACCAAAGGGAGGATAAATTTAAAATTTAATGTGTGATCGCAGAACTGCATAAAAACCAACTTCAAGATGAAAATAAAAATAAATATGAAAGAAAATTCAGAAAGTAAGTAATCTATATAGAGAAAAAGCAAAACAAGAGCCAATGTATATGTAAAAGAATGTAATTGAAGCCCAGGTGTAAGCACACACAGAGATAAATGCACATAATAAAATTAATATTAAAAACAATAATTCAAGATCATTCTCCAGGAAATAAACAAGACCCGATTCTACATGGTGAAAGGTTTCATTATGTATCATTACATAATTGACCAAGAACATTCAAGTCAAGATATGCTGTGGTAAAACTACTATGCTTTAAAAATTTACAAAAGCAGTAGAATTAAAATGAAATTATTTGGGATCCAGGAATTCATAATAAGATACTTCCAAATGAAAAAAAAAATCAGACACTGCAAGAAAAAAATACAAAGCCAAAGTATAGTAGAATACAATTTCCAACAGGCTTAAAGTAATTGTGAGTTAAATTATATATATATATATACACATATATATGTACATACATGTACATACATATGTACATATATGTGTACATATATGTGTATATATCTATATAGAGAGATATAGAGAGATAGAGAGCTGCCTTTAAATATCAAGGTTATAACAATACTTTTATATATGCAAGACCTCATGGAGTATTGTAATTATGAACTCTGAGAAGTCAACTGGAGGGTGAGCTTTATTCCACAAATTGATAACCAGCAATTTCTTTAAAAAAGGCTCATGGCTACATTAAACATATTAAATTGTAGATCCAACAATTATTCAAGTTGGAAACATGGCTAAAGATTAGATCAAAATATGATTTGTCACATTGGTAACATATGTATTCAACTAATATACTCATCTGACAACTAGAACAATAAGATGGTTAAATAAAAATAAAATATAAATCTATTTTAAATATGTATATTTTAAATATATTATAAAATAAATCACTTAAAAAGTACAATTTTTTAAATTTTATTATTATTATACTTTAAGTTTTAGGGTACATGTGCACAACGTGCAGGTTTGTTACATATGTATACATGTGCCATGTTGTTGTGCTACACCTATTAACTCATCATTTAGCATTAGGTATATCTCCTAATGTTATCCCTCCCCTCTCCCCCCACCCCACAATAGTCCCCGGTGTGTGATGTTCCCCTTCCTGTGTCCATGTGTTCTTATTGTTCAATTCCCACCTATGAGTGAGAACATGCGGTGTTTGGTTTTTTGTCCTTGCGATAGTTTGCTGAGAATGATGGTTTCCAGCTTCATCCATATCCTACAAAGGACATGAACTCAACATTTTTTATGGAAAAAGTACAAATTTTTTAAGGTAAAAAAAAGGTTACTATAGTCTTGTAGGGTAGTTTGAAATCAGGTAGTCTGATGCCTCCAGGTTTGTTCTTTTTGCTTATGACTGTCTAGGATATACAGGCTCTTTTTTGGTTCTATATGAAATTTAAAGTAGTTTTTTTCTAATTCTACAAAGAAAGTCAATGGTAGCTTGATGGGAATAGCATTGAATTTATAAATTACTTTGCGCAGTATGGCAGTTTTCACAATATTGATTCTTCCTGTCTGTGAACATGGAATGTTTTTCCATTTGTTTGTGCCCTCTCTTATTTCTTTGAGCAGTAGTTTGCAGTTCTCCTTGAGGAGACCCTTCATGTCCCATGTAAGTTGTATTCCTAGGTATTTTATTCTCTTTGTAGCAATTGTGAATGGGAGTTCATTCATGATTTGGCTCTCTGCTTGTCTATTGTTGGGTTATAGGGATGCTTGTGATTTTTGCACATTGATTTTGTATCCTGAGACTTTGCTGAAGTTGCTTATCAGCTTAAGGAGTTTTGGGGCTGAGATGATTTTCTAAATGCACAATCATGTCATCTGCAAACAGAGACCATTTGACTTCCTCTCTTCTTATTTAAATACCATTTATTTCTTTCTCTTGCCTGATTGCCCTGGCCAGAACTTCCAATACTATGTTGAATAGGAGTAGTGAGAGAGGGCATCCCTGTCTTGTGCTGGTTTTCAAAGGGAATGCTTCCAGCTTTTGCCCATTCAGTATGATATTGGCTATGGGTTTGTCATAAGTAGCTCTTATTTTGGGATATGTTCCATCAATACATAGTTTATTGAGATTTTTTAAGTACCAAAACAAATATATAGACCAATGGAACTGAAGAGAGACCTCAGAAATAACTCCACACATCTACAACCATCTGATCTTCAACAAACCTGACAAAAACAAGCAATGAGAAAAGGATTCCCTATTTAATAAATGGTGCTGGGAAAACTGGCTAGCCATATGCAGAAAATGGAAACTGAAACCCTTTCTTACACCTTATACAAAAATTAACTCAGGATGGATTAAAGTCTTAAGTGTAAAACTCAAAACCATAAAAAGCCTAGAAGAAAACCTAGGGGATACCATTCAGTATATAGGCATGGGCAACAAAACTAAAATGCAAAAAGCAATGGCAACAAAAGCCAAAATTGACAAATGGAATCTAATGAAACTAAAGAGCTTCTGCACAGCAAAAGAAACTATCATCAGAGTGAACAGGCAACCTACAGAATGGGAGAAAATCTTTGCAATCTACTCATCTGACAAAGGTCTAATATTCAGAATCTACAAGGAACATAAACAAATTTATAAGAAAAAAACAAACAACCCCATCAAAATGTGGGCAAAGGATATGAACAGATACTTCTCAAAAGAAGAAAGTTATGTGACCAACAAACATACGAAAAAAGCTCATCATCACTGAACATTACAGAATTGCTAATCAAAATCACGATGAGATACCATCTCATGGCAGTCACAATGGTGATGATTAAAACATCAGGGAACAATAGATGCTGACAAGGCTATGGAGAAATAGGAATGCTTTTACACTGTTAGTGAGAGTGTAAATTAATTCAAACATTGTGGAAGACAGTGTGGTGATTTCTTAAGAATCTAGAACCAGAAATACCATTTGACCTAGCAATCCCATTACTGGGTACATGCCCAAAAGAATATAAATCATTCTGCTATAAAGACACATGCACACCAATTTTTATTGCAGCACTATTTACAAAAGCAAAGACTTGGAACCAACCCAAATGCCCATCAAAGATAGACTGGATAAAGAAAATGTGGCACACATATGCCATGGAATAGCATACAGCCATAAAAAAGAATGAGACCACGTCCTTTGCAGGGACATGGACAAAGCTGGAAGCCAGCATTCTCAGCAAACTAACACAGGAACAGAAAACCAAACAGTCAATGTTCTCACTTATGAGTAGGAGTTGAACAATGAGAACACATGGACACAGGGAGGGGAACAACACACACTGGGGCCTGTTAGAGAGTGGGGCCCCAAAGAGGGAGAAGATTAGGACAAATACCTAATGCATATGGGGCTTAAAACCCAGATGACAGGTTGATAGGTCCAGTGAACCACCATGGCACATGTATACCTATGCAAAAAACCTGCACATTCTGCACATGTATCCAAGAAATTAAAGTAAAACTTTTTGAAAAGGAAATAAGAAAACAGACCAATAGAGATGTATACATTGATACAAATATGTGTATGTATATAAATAAAATATAATATTCATTGTAGTTATAATATTAAACTGTTTGTAGTTAATTTTATGTGTCAACTTGACTAGACTAAATGTTGCCCAGACTGCTGGTAAAATCATTATTGTTGGATATGTCTGTGAAATTGTCTCTGAAAGAGATTTGCATTTCAATTGATAGGCTGGGTAAAGAAGACCACCTTCATCAATGTAGGTGAGCATCATTCAGTCTGCTGAGTGCCTAAATAGAACAAAATGGTAGAGAAAGGGTGAACTTGCTCTTTCTCTTTGAATTGAGGTATTCATGTATTCTTGCCCTCAGACTTCAGCACTGCTGATTCTTGGGCCTTTAGACTCAGAATGGGATTACTCCATCAATCACCTTGTTCTTAGGCCTTTAATCTCAGACTGAAATACACCACCTAGCTTTCCTGGTTTTCCAGATTGCAGACAGTGTACTGTGGGGATCCTTGGCTCCCATAATTACCTTAGCCAATTCCTACATTAAATCTCCTCGTGTGTGTGTGTGTGTGTGTGTGTGTGTGTGTGTGTACATTTTTTCTCTCTGTGGAGGACCTAGCCTACCAATACTCTCTTAAATATGAGAGTTGAAACCAAATATATCAGGCATAATAATCAATGTAAACATGCTTAACTCACCTATTTTATTAAGTTTCTAGTTGTTTTTGTTTTACTTTTTAAAATAGATTTATAAAGGGAGTGCAAGTGCAGTTGTGTTACACAGATATGTTGCACAGTGGTAAAGCCTGGGCTTTTAGTGTGTTTATTACCCAAATAGTGTACTTTGTACCCAATAGGTAATATTTCACCCCTTACCCCCCTCCCACCTTTCCGTCTTTTGGAGTCTTCAATGTCTATTATTCCACTCTCTATGTCACTGTGTATCCATTGATTATCTCTCACTTACAAGTGAGAAAACAAAGTTTTTGGCTTTCTGTTTCTGAGACATTTCACTTAGGTTAATGACCTGCAGGTCCATCTGCCTTGCTGCAAAGACATGATTTTATTTTTTGTTTTGACTGCATAGAATTTCATGATGTGTATGTGCGTGTGTGTGTGTGTGTGTGTGTGTCACATTTTCCATATCTAATCATCCATTGATGGACACTTAGGTTGATTCCATGACTTTGTTGTTTTCATGACATTATTAGTGTGAACAGTGCTGTGACAAACATATGAATGCTTGTGTCTTTTTGATATAACAATTTCTTTTTTTGGGTGGGGGCGGGGTGGACACCCAGTAGTGAGACTGCTGGACTGAATGGTAGCTCTGTTTTTAGTTCTTTGTAAAATTTCTGTACTGTTTTTTACAGAGATTATACTCATTTGCGTTCCCACCAGCAGTGCATAAAAATTTGCTTCCCTCTGCATCCACGCCAACATCTGTTGTTTTTGATTTTTTAGTAATAGCCACTCTGACTGGTGTAATAAAGTGTTTCATTGTGGTTTTAATTTGCATTTGTATGATGATTAGTGATGTTGAACATTTTTTCATATGTTTGTTGGCTACTTATATGTGTTCTTTGAAAAATATGTGTTAATATTATTTGTCCTCTTTTTAATAAAGTTATTTGTTTGTTTCTTTTTGAATTGTTTGAGTTCTTTGCAGAGTCTGAATATTAGCATTTGGTGAATGCATAGTTGGAAAATAGTTTTTTAAAAAGATTTCCAGTACATTTCACAAAGCAGCATCCAAACTTATATAACTTAAAATAGATATATCTAAAACAATGGCTTTAAAAGCTAAACTTAAAAGAATGACAAAGGTAAAACAGGTAAACCAAAAAAAGAAAAAAAAAGTAGGAGTTAGAAAACTTGTATTAGACAAACTAGAACTCAGCCCAAAACAGTAAATAATCAATGAAGAGCATGCTATAATTGTAAAAGCCACAATTCACTTCCATATAATATATATTAAAGAAATGCAAGATGAAATAGACAGAAACACACTCATAATAAAAGATTTAGTGCCCTATGTTTTAGGCCATTATAAGACACGTGGACAAACATTAAGGAAGATTTAGAAGGTCTAGATAATATAATCAGTGAGGTCGATGCTGGTAAACATACTCATTACATATTTTGACATTAGAGAATATACCTTTTGTTCCCAAGAACGTGTGAAACATTCACAAAGTAAATCATATAATAGCTCATAAGAAATCATCAATACATTCTATGAAGCAGAAAAAATACAGTAACTTTTTTCACAGTTCGATAAAACTAGGACGAAATAACGTTTTAAAAGACTTTCTTCAGGAAATAAAAAGAATAGAAAGCTCCTTGTTTATTTGGTGAGAGTAAGAATAAGCTTAAAATCTGGGATGGCAGAAAATAAATATAAGCTTAGGATGAAAGGGAAAAAATATACTATAAGGCTATCTGTCTTACAATTTTGTTATGAAAAACCAATTACACAACTGGTGGAATAACTATAGGAAAACACTTGAAATGTATGCAAATGAAATGCAAAAGTATAGAAAAACAGTCAAAATTTTTGTTATTTTATATAATTTATTTATTAAAAATGACTTCTCATTTCAGCTCTGAGAAAAAGAGACTTTGGAAGTCATCAATCCTATCTTTATCACAAGGAAAAAGCTTTTTTTTTTTTTTTTAAAAAAAAAAGTCTTTCTTTGTACCCATTAGAGAATTGACCTTGCAGGGAAAACCACCACCCTGAAATCAGCAGACAGGAAAAATACAAAGAATTTTGGGAGATATACCTAATGCTAGATGACGAGTTAGTGGGTGCAGCACACCAGCATGGCACATGTATACGTATGTAACTAACCTGCACAATGTGCACAAGTACCCTAAAACTTAAAGTATAATAATAAAAAAAAATTAAAAAAAAAAAAAAAAGAATTACAGCTGAGAGTTGATTACCGGGAGTGGAAGTCAATGGAACTGTCAACTGGTAGAAACACTTTAGAAATAATTTTCACAAATTACTAAGGCTGCGTTTGAATTAGAATGAGAGTGAGAAACTTCCTGAAGCCAGTCTTAGTGAGTCTCACATCTTTCTGGGTTTTACCTACTGGAACCCTAGGAGATTTTCACAGTGAAGAGCCAAGCCAGTTTTTGTTTCACTCATGGTCTGGGCAAGGGAAGGGTAACGTTTTTGAAATATGATTTCATTCTGCATGATAAAGGCCCATTTTTCAGAGAAAATATGTTTTCAGAGCTTTATCCCACAAAGGGATAAGGCGTTTAGTCAATAGCAACTCTGTTAGACTTCCTATCTTACATAAAGTTGAGGAAAATATTTATGAAATATTTGTGAGGGTCAGAGCCTAGGAAAACAGTCCATCTTGTCTGAATGTTTGTGTCCTCCAGAATGTGTATATTAAAATCCTAATTGTCAGGGTGATGATATTAGAAGGTGGGGACCTACGGAGTTCATGAGGTCTCCATCCTCATAAATGGGACTAGTTCCCTTTTAAGGAAACCCCAGAGAGCGAGCCAGTGTCTTTCATCATGTGAAGACACAGCAAGAAGGAACTGTCTATAAGAATGGGCCCTCACCAGACACTGAATCTGCCTGCACCTAGATGGTGGACCTCCCTGACATTGTAACTGTGAGAATTAAATTTCTACTGTTTATCAACTACTCAGACTAAGATATTTTGTTATGGTAGTTTAAATGAATTATGAAAGTCAAGTAAAAATAGAAAATTAAAGCTATTATTTTACATTAATTTATTTCTTGTCTGACACTCTTTCTTTCTCAAAGCAAAATTGAATTTCTGATCTGTATTATTTTCCTTCTTCTTGAAGAACTTCTTTTTACATTTCTTGCAGGACAGGTCTGCTGTATATGAATTTTCTCAGTTTTTGTTTGTTTGGGAAGTTTTATTTTACCTTTACTTTTGAAGGATATGTTTACTGTATACTACATGCTCTTCTTGTTTGCATGGTCTCTGGAGAAGGCCCTGGTAATTCTTACCCTTGTTTCTCCATAGGTAAGGTGTTTCCCCCTCTTTCTGGATTAATTCAAGAATTTGGTTCTGGTTTTCTGCAGTTTGAACATAATATGCTTAGGAGTAGATTGTTGGGTGTTTATGCTGCTTGGTGTTCTTTGAGCTTCCTGTATCTGTGGTTTGATGCCTGTCATTCAATTTGGATAACTTTAGGTCACTATTAATACAAATATTTATGTTTTGTGTTCCTCTTGTCCTTCTGATAATCCAGTTACACATATGTTACACATTATGCTCCACAGTTCTTAGATATTCTTTTTTATAAATTCTTTTTTCTTTCATTTTAGTTTAGAAGTCTATTAACATGACTTCAAGCTCAGTAATTGATTCCTTCTTTAGTCATGTCTAGTCTACTGATGACCCCATCAAAAATATTCTTCGATTCTGTTACCTTGCTTTAATTTTTTATTGGTTATTAATTTGGTTATTTATTTAAACGTTTATATCTTACTCATCTGGTTGTGTATGTTGTCACCTTTTTCCATTAGAATTCAACATATTTATTACAGTCATTTTATATTTTCTCAATTATTATTCTAAAATCTCAGCTATATCTCAATCTAGTTCTGATGCTTGAATTGTTTAGTTCCTTATAGATTCTGGATATTAGGCCTCTGTTAGATGCATGGTTTGCAAATATTTTCTTTCATTTTGAAGGCTGTCTGTTTAGTCCACTGATAATTCCTTTTGCTGTACAGATGCTCTTTAGTTTAATTAGGTCACACTTGTCTATTACTGGTTTTGTTGCAAATGCTTTTGTGACTTAGTCATAATTTACTTGCCAAAGCCCATGTCCAGAATGGTATTCTATAGGCTTTCTTCAGGATTTTTGTAGTTTTAGGTTTTACATTTAAGTTTTTTTTTTTTTTTTTTTTGAGTCAGGGTATCACTGCAGTTGCCCAGGCTGGAATGCCGCAGTGTGATCTCAGCTCACTGCAGCCTCAACCTCCCAGCTCAGGTTATTCTCCCACCTCAGCCTCCCGAGTAGCTATAATTACAGGCACACACCACAGTGCCTGGCTAATTTTTTGGCATTTTTAGTAGAGACGGGGTTTGACTGTGTTGCCCAGGCTGGTCGTAAGCTCCTGGACTCAAGCAATCTGACGGCCTCAGCCTCCCTGAGTGCTGGGATTACAAGTGTGAGTCACCATGCCCGGCTTACATTTAAGTCTTTAATCCATCTTCACTTAATTGTTGTATATGGTGAAAGACAGGGGTCCAGTTTGATTCTTTTGTATACGGGTAACCAGTTATCCCAGCTCACTATATTGACTAGAGAGTGCTTTCTTCTTTCCTTGTTATTATCAAATTTATCAAGGATCAGTTGGTTGTAGGTGTGACACTTTATTTCTGGGTTTCTATCATGTTCAATTGATGTATGTGTCTGTTTTGTACCAGTGCCATACAGTTTTGCTGACAGTAGCTGTATCGTACAATTTAAAGGTGGATAGTATATTGTCTCTAGTTTTGTTATTTTTGCTTAGGATTACATTGGCTATTTTGGCTCTTTTTTTGATTGCATATGAATTTTAGAATAGTTTTTCTTCTAATTTTGTGAAAAATAACATTGGTAGTTTGATAGGAATATTGTTGAATCTGTAGATTGCTTTGGGAAGCATGGTCACATTAAGAACATTAATTCTTCAAATCCATGCACATGGGATGTTTTTCCATTTATTTGTATCATCTGTGATTTCTTTCATCAGCTGAGAATTTTCCAAATCTTTAAGTTCTGTTTCCTTTTTATTGTAAATTCTGTCTTTACATTGTTTCTCATTTCTTGCATTTTAGTATAAGCATTCAAGAGAAGCCAAGCAGTTTCTTCAATACTCTGCTTAAATGTTTTCTCTTCCAAATATACAATCCCATCATTCTCAAGTTTTACATTCTACGAAACACTAGGACATGAACACAATTCATCCAAGTTCTATGACACTTTATAACAAAGATTAACTTTCTTTCAGTTTCCAAAAACATGTTCCTAATTTCCATCTAAGACCTCATCGGAATTACCTTTACTGTCCACATTTTTACCAACATTCTGCTCATGACCAAGTAGGTAATCTCTTAGAAGTTTGAGGCTTTTTCTACAGTTCTTCTCTTATTCTAAGCCTTCAATAAAATCGTCTTTTATGGTTCATTCATGCTGTTTCTGGCATGTACTTCAAAATTCTTTCAGTCTGAAACTATTAGAAAGTTCCTAAACGGTCTTCAAAATTATAGGTATTTTTTCATAGCAACACCCCACTCAAGTACCAATTTTCTTCTTGGTCCATTTGGGCTGCTCTAACAAAATACCTAAGAATTGACAACTTATACACAATAGAAATTCATTTCTACAATTATGGATACTGAGAAGTCCAAGATTAGATACTGGCATATTTGGCATCTAGTGATATAGAAGTCAATTCTCCAAGAAATCATATAATACTTTCTTGGAAACACAAGACAACAGATGGTCAGAGGAAGTGAGGCAAAAACTGATAAAACTGAAAAGAGAAGTAGACATGCCCACTATTATAGTTAGAGATGTCATAACTCTTCTTTTGGCAGTTGATCAATAAAGCAGGCAGAAAATCCATAATAATGTAAATATTCTGAAAGTACTTTTAATCAACCAACCAAATTTACATTTATAGAATAATTCACTCAACAAAAGCAGACATTACTTAATAAACATTCTTAAGTTACCATGAAATATTCATTGAAATAGATCACACACAGAGTCATAATAAAATACAAATTATACAATGCATATTATGAGACCACAATGGAATTAAAATAGATATTAGGAGAAGAAAGATAGCTAGAAAATCCAAAAATATTTGGAGATTAAACCGAACAGTTTGAAATGATACAAAGGTCCAAGATTTCAAGATAAACTAAAACAATTTTTAAAATAAGTAAAAATGAAAATAAAACTTCTCCAAATTTATGATATGCAGTTAAATAAGCAAACAGAGGGAAATTTATGACATGGAAAGCGTCTTTTAGAAAATAAAATTATCTAAATTAAATAATCTAAGTTTCCACCTGAAGAAACTAGAGAAACAACAGTGATTTAATATCAAAGTAAAAATGGTAAAATAAGTTATAAAAAGTAGACCAGAAATCAGCTAACCTAAAAATGAAAAAAGGATAGAGAAAATGATAATAAAAAATCATTCATTAATTACAGATTCAATAATATTGACAAACTTCTAGCCAGATTCACTAAGAAATAAAAAGAAATTGTCAATAATGCAAGTGAAAGAGGATTCATCACTAGTGACTCTATAAACAGGAACATGATAAAGGTATACTATGGAAAACTGTATTCAACAAATTTGATGGTTTAGATAAAATATACCAATTACTTGAAAGACATAATCATCTATTGAAATAATTTCAGCAGACCCATAACTACCAATAAAAGAAAATTAAATTAATAACTTAAAACTCTCCTCCAAACAAGAAAGCACTAGGCCCAGATGATTTCACTGGTGAATTCTACCAAATATTTAATGAATTAATGATATTATTCTTCCATAATCTCTCTCATGAAACAAAAAGCAGCAGGAACACCCCATAATTCATTCTATGAGGCCATCCTAATACCATAATTATAATGGCATTAATGTGAAGGAAAACTACAAGAAAACTGTTGATGAACTGATGCTATGTTTAGTTGAAAGGCAGAAGACCTAGAATACTCATTACAATACCAAAGTTGAAGAAGAGAGTTGGAGCATTACCTGACTTGTCAACTGAGATTCGCAAAAAGGACAAAGGCAATTCAATGTAGAGAGGACTGTCTTTTCAACAAATAGAGGGGGCAATTAGACATCTATATGCAATAGATAGATGATAGATAGATAGATAGATAGATAGATAGATAGATAGATAGATAGATAGATAGATCAATCTAGACAGAGACTTCGCAACTTTCAAAAAGTTACCTCAACATGTATCATAGATCTAACCATAAAATTCAAAATTATAACGCTTCCAAAAGAAAACACAAAGGAAAATTTAGGTGAAGTTTGGTTTGGTGTTCACTTTTTAACTACAAAACCAAGAGCAAAATTTATGAAAATGAGCATTGACAAATTGTACATATTATAATTAATTGTTTTTCTACCAAAGAAACTACCATTTAGAAAGTGAGGAAAGCCACAGATGAGGAAAAAAATATATATGTATATCTGATAAAGAACTTCTATCCAAAATACACAAAGATCATTTAAAACGCAGCGATAAAACAAACAACCTAATTTATAAATTACCAAAGATCTGAACAGACACCTCACCAAAGAAAACATACAGAAGAAGAATAAGCATATTAAAAGATGTTGGACATTGCTTTTTATTACAGAATTCAAATTAAAATGACAGTAAGATAACATTGCATACTTATTTGAATTGCTAAAACAAAACAACAACAAATGTACATCAAGTCGTAGTAAGTTCCCAGAACAACAGTAACTTTAATTAATTTCTGGTGGGAATGCAAAAGAATAGAGCCACTGTGAAAAACAATTGTTAGTTTTTTACAAAGATAAACATAGACATTGCATGCTACATATTAATTGCACTTTTAGGAAACAGCCAACTGATTTGAAAACTTGTGTCTACACAAAAGGCTGCACATGATGTTTATAAAAGCTTTGTAATCACCAAGAAGTGGTACAATCCAAGTGGTCCTTGAATAGGTGAATGTATAAAAAGACTATGGTATTTCCATACAAAGGAATATTATTCAGCAACAAAAATAATCTATCAAGGGAAGAAAACATACTGATGGACCTTCAATTAAAATTGCTAAGTGAAAGAGATAAGTATATAAAGATTATATAATGTATGTTCCCAATTATGTGACATTCTAGAAAAGGGAAAACTATAGTTGGGTCTCAGAGTATAAAAGAGGTAATGCATTGAGGAATTTTTAGGATTATGAAACTGTCCTGTATGATACTATAATGGTAAAAACCTGATATTATACATTTGCCAGAGCCCATACAAATTTACAGAACAAAAATCAATTCTTTGAGTATGCAAATTTAAAAAAATAATTTTGGAGGTCCGGGTATCCCAGGAAAAAAATGTAAAATGTGACAAGAAAATCTAACTATATTACAAATATGAAACAACCTCACTGAAAGATGGTGGAAGAATATTGACCTAATTAATATTCAAAATGAGTGGAATCTATGACTCAAGACAAATTTAACTGTGCATAAGTACTGTACTTTAACTGATAAACTTATTTCAATAGATTCATAGGTTAGCAATTTTGATACTCCCATGAATGTATGCTAGCACTGTGTAATTATGTAAATGGATGGCTAATGGTGGGAGATGAGTTTCTTACTGTTGAAGTGAGAATTTACAGATATTTAAGTGCAGAAGTCTTAAATGAGCCACATGGTAATGGTTTAAACTCAGAGACATATTTATGAATTCACGTTTATATTAACATAAATACAGATGGTTACATACGGAAGTATTTAGTTGGAATACACACAGCATGTATATATAAACTCCTTGTTTTATCAGCTGAGAAGGTCTAATAGCAAAGATGCCCAGAAGCACACATATTGCCAGATATTTGTTTCTAATGCAATTCTATAATGAAAGAAACCAGTGTTCCTTAGAGAAATGGCTAACACTAAGACTGGAAATATGTAAAATCATCCTGGGGCTCTCTTAGTATCAGAAATTAAAGAAATGCTTAAATAAGCAAACAAACAAGAAAGAAAATCTCACACTGATGGGGCTATGTCAGAGAGTTGCAAGAGAAAACAGAAAATATCCCCAATGGTGAAATGCTCTCAAAGAGCTCCCAGTAGTCTTAAAGCAGGAGCAATTTAAGAAAGAACATAATTAGAGTAGAATTAGATTTGAATCAAAAGAGTAAAATAAATACCATGTGCGTATATTGATTCCCAAGATAAAATTTATAAATGAATGAATGAATAAATGGGAAGAAACAATAAATCTGCAATTTAAAATAATTCAGAATAATTTATGAAGAAATCCTTCATTAAGAAGAGGAAGCATAGCTCCTACTTCTTCAGTTTGGGCTGCATTTAGTGACTACTTTTCAAATAATATAGTATGGAATAGGACGGGGAGCAGAATCTTTATAACACAAAAACCTGAAAAATACTACCTCCGCCAGATGGTTAAGGTTAACACCTTATGTCTTAGGGATTATTTATTGACCTAGGTGTAAACATCTAAACACTAGAAATCTTGTGGAATGTTTTATGGTAACGCAAATCTTGATCTGGCTCCTGAATGTCTTCTAAAATTTGTTCCATTTGCTGCTTGACTTCCTCCCTCCCTCCCTTCCTCCCTCCTTCCCTCCCTCCCTCCCTCCCTCCCTCCCTTCCTTCCTTCCTTCCTTCCTTCCTTCTTTCCTTCCTTTCCCCCTCCTCCTCCTTTTTCTTCTTCCTCTTTC
The DNA here is from genome assembly GCF_000001405.40 of Homo sapiens. NCBI lineage: Eukaryota > Metazoa > Chordata > Mammalia > Primates > Hominidae > Homo > Homo sapiens. The sequence goes on along the minus strand of NC_000001.11, from coordinate 105,736,380 downwards.
TCTCTCTTCTCTCTCTCTCCTCTCTCTCTCTCTCTCACCTTCTGTTATGCCTTTATTTGTCTCTGCAAACTTAAACAAAATTCTACTGCATAAGATGGGACACCTCAACAGAAAAAAAAGAACCAGGAAATATTCCTCGAAATAACATAGTTCAAATGTAAACATTAGAAGAGATAAATTATAGGAAAGAAAATTGTGGATATTCATAGAGAAACCAATGACTAAACTTTAAATGTAGATAAAATAAATTACTTTGATTGAATCATATATAATTATCAAATTTTCACTTGATAATATTTTGAACAGAACAGAAAATATAGGAAGCTATATTAATAAACTTAGAATCAATCTAAGGTTGAAACAAAACTATTTGAAGGAACAAAATAACTATTTGAAATAAAATTATTATTTTAAACAATATATTAAATCACAGGGTTAATATCATTTTTATATGTCTAGAACAATATTGAAATAATCCTTAAATCCCAATACATTTTTAAGCCAATTCAGTGAAATGATCATAAGATATTTAAAATTACTTTTGGCTTAAACATTTTATAAGTTTGTGGTACAATGTAGATTATATGGTCTGATATAGAATAAATACAACCATGGATATACATATACACACAAAAAAACCCACACATATTTTAGAGATTATATATGCATATTAAAGTCTTTATTATCTTCAATTTCAAATAATTACTATAGTCAGTTTTTAACTGATTGTATATGGCACAGAATTTAAAAGGTAGACAATGATATATGTACACTGAAAGCAAAGACTCTTGGTCTTCTAGTCATCAGTTCTCATAGAAAAAAAGAATTGAAATTATTGAATCAAGAAACTATACATTTTAAATTTTAATTATTTTGACATATTTTGTCAATTGAAGTTATACCAATTTACTGTTGACCCTCAACACATCCTTTTTATACCAAAAACTTATCAAACTTGTTGATTTTCATAAATTTGATCAATAAAAATGGGCAATTTTGATTTCAAGTTGCATTTCTCTTATAATAAACATGGTTGACTGTTAATATTTAAAACTTAAAATTCACTTTTTGGAAACTGTTTTTTCATGTCTTGGTTAATTTTTCTGGTTTCTTATACTTTTCCTATTGATTAATAGGTTATATTTATATATTAAGGAAATTAACTTATCAAATAATTATAATTTTGTGTACATTTTTAGTTTATCATTTCTCCTTTGTTTATGATGATGAAATCCCCAAATTTAACATTTATTTTTACACAATTATTGGTCTTTAACAAACTGTGACTCTGAAATAATTATTTCATGTTTTCTCATAACACTATTGTGGTTATATTATTCTTGTTTAAATTTTTTAAATTATTAGGCATTTATTTTGTTTTAAAACCTGTATATATGAATCTTCTTTTGATGGAGGTGAAAAAATGGAATTTTTATGTTTATGTTTTTTTCAACTACCATCCTACCTTCTTAACAGCATTTATTAAATAATGTACCTCTACCTCCACTGATTTGCAATATGGCATTTACTGTAAATGTATTTCCAGTAAATATATGGTACTATACAGTATTATAATCTTATGGGACCAGTCTTATATGCAGTCTTCTGCTGACTGATGTCTCACTATGCAGTGCATGTCTGTTTTTCTAAAACATACATACACAGACATAGAGAAACATATATATACACACACAAAATAAATATATACAGAAAAATATGTATATGTCAATATTCCTGTGTAATATTTTCTTTAATAATCCATATCAATATTTTCTTTCAGGAAATAAGCAGGGCATCAAAAGATTATTTTTATATTTACTCGAAACCATTGGACAATTCCATCAACCTAGTTTAAAACACATTGGAAAACACTGCTAATCTTGTTTTTAATTGTATACTTACATAGGTTTTACTAATATGTCACTTACAGTTTTTATATACTCAATGTTTTTTGTTAGCTTTATGTATATATGTGTTTAAAAATGCTAAATATTTCAAGTTTTTATGCCAAAATTATAATTCTTTTTTTTTTTTTTTTTTTTTTGAGACGGAGTCTCGCTCTGTCGCCCAGGCTGGAGTGCAGTGGCGGGATCTCGGCTCACTGCAAGCTCCGCCTCCCGGGTTCACACCATTCTCCTGCCTCAGCCTCCCAAGTAGCTGGGACTACAGGCGCCCGCCACTACGCCCAGCTAATTTTTTGTATTTTTAGTAGAGATGGTGTTTCACCGTTTTTAGCCGGGATGGTCTCGATCTCCTGACCTCGTGATCCGCCCGCCTCGGCCTCCCAAAGTGCTGGGATTACAGGCGTGAGCCACCGCACCCGGCCAAAAATTATAATTCTTTATAATAATTATGTATGATCTTTCCTTCAGTTTTGATGCAGTTGGGGTTTAATTTTTGTTTGCATTATTAATTCTTTATAAATTCGGAAGTTTCTCCTGTATGAATGTTGGGAAGTAATATATTGTTGGCTTGGGGGATAGGTATGGTAGTTGTCCAACAATTTTACTTAATTTTTATTAATAATTCCATTTCTTCTACTGTTTATGTTAAAATGTATATGTTCCTAATAATCAACAATTTTTAACTCCTATTTAAATTTATATATTTACAATGCGAAATGTAATCTCGTGATTACATTTAAATTCTCTTGTGGATATTTTATATTGATATTTCTATTTTGTATATGTTTCTCCTTACTAGGTTAAGTTTATCTTAATACATTTTGCTCTTTTTTTCCAACGTAGTAGCTCTTAGATTTATTTATATGTTCCATCATATTCTATTTTATTTCATTAATTACATTTTTCCAATTAGATCTATTTTCTACCTGAATTACTACTTTCTAAGTTGAATGTCTTATCTGTTATTGTAGCTATCTCTTTTGCATTATTACTGTTAAAAAGTGAATAGTTTACTTCAACATTTATCTTAGCTGTATCCTAAAGGTAAGATTAAAGTGTGAGCTAATTGTTCTATGTCGTTACATGTTTTGGTATACTTTACCATTGAATGAAAAATGAAAATTAAATTATTCTTTTGATTTACATTTCTCAGTTAATTTTCTGTAACTTATGACATGGTGTGATTTCATATTTGTGCATACATATTTATTATTTGGTGTTATTTTTGGGATTATAAATGCTCTTCCTTTTTAAACATATTTCCTTTGATATTAAAAGTGCACCCCAAGATTTTAGAAATTGCTTTATTGAGGTAAAATTTATATAAAATAAATTACATTAAAACTGTTCAAAAAAGTTTTGGCACGTGTTCATACATGAAGCCATCACAAAAATAAAGGTAATAAACATTTCTATTTCTTACACTGCTTTGTATTTTTTCTCTTCCTTACAGCTGCTACATCCTTTTGCTCAGTTGAACACAAACTTGCTTTAATCACTATATAGAAATCCCTGACTCATAAGGATTTTGTTATGAAAAGTGGTTGTAGAGGAACAGAACATTAAAGATGAGTTTTCTAAGCTGATACTGTTTTTGAACAGGTTAAATGTGAGATGCCTTTTAGACTTCCAGTGTGAATCAAACACATGGATAAAAAATTCTAGTTACAGAGAGAGATAAGAGCTAGATACAAATTGGGAATCAATTGTATCTAGAATACAATAGAAATAGTGTTTAAAACATGTGACTGATGAAATTATGTAAAGGGGAAGTATAGATAATAAAATAGATTAGTTATTTTCAAGAATGGACGTAACAATCTCCAGAGTAAAAAAAAAAAATACCAATTGGTTATGAAGTTTCGTATATTACACATGTGTGTTTGTGTGTGTGCGTGTGCATGTGTGTGTGCCTGAGTTTGTGTAGTTGAAGGGATATCGACTGTGTGGAGAGGTAGTTGTAGTGTTTAGTTTTATCCTAATAACAAACATAGCAGTTTCAGTTCTGCCTGTACTTAAGTATCACCTTCATGCATTCTCTATGACCACCTCCATGAAAGATATTTCTGCATGCTTTCTTGTTAAATTTCAGCTCTTGTTTTCTTCTATGGAGTTCAGAGTATCTTCTGCAACCAGCCCTCAGATGCCATTCCCACTGTTAGAAACAACACACTGCTGATTTTTGGTTTTGCCCCTCATGAAGTATCGTTACTTTAGACAACTATTCTGACAGAATTATTTCTGAAAACTGCGATTGCATGGGCCTTTTTTCAGCATCTTCACATACCTCAGTTTAATCTTTAGTGACTTTGACAGCCCTTCCTCATGTGTGCTGGTTTTGGGTTACAAATCATTCACAGTTTTAGAGAAGTCAGTTTGCAACTCTATTACGCATCATTTCTGCTTTTTTGATATAATTTTAATACCTTAAAATTTCGGCTATTATGAGCTTAAACTCTCAATGGTGATTTTTTCTGAGAATAAAAATAGTTTCCTGGTTTATGATAAAAATATTTATTTTCTTTATATTTCCTGGACATATCTGGCCTTTCTTTGTATTACTACTGTAGGACTAACAAATATTAACTTGAGTTAACCTTAGCAACAACTTATAAAAGTGTATAGTATACTTAAATTAGCTTTTATCTGACCTTTATGAGACTTGGGTAAGATGGATTTTTCTGGTTTATTCTGTAGAATTCTTTTTTTGATCCTAGGGTGGCCTTGTAATTCTCCACATAATTTATCAAAAGTAACATTATTAATAATCTGCTGAGCACACTTTTAAACATAGATTTCTTCTCATTGATTAGTATATCTTCATTATGACTTACAGAGACTTTTAGGTTAGTGATTTAAGCTCCAAGACGCAACAGGTATTGCATTTCTTGACAATTGTTTCATGCCTCAGGTTGTACTAGGCATAGAGCTAAAGAACATTTTTTCCCCACATGACAAATGTTAGGTTTTGTAAAACATCTCTGATTACAAAGTATCTTCTTTTAAATGACTAAAAACAATGAAGACTTAGATAAGAGAGTCATGCATTTTCTCCTAGGTCAAAAAGAATTACAACTTAACTGTCAGCTACCATGAGAATCAAGATTTGTACATCTTAGTATCATAATTCATTAAATAATGTGTTTTAAATTTGTTTTTTTTTTGCTGTTTTAGCTCAATATTCAAAATATTCCCTAAATTTCTATGCTTATTAATGGCAGATGCATTTTTGAGCTAGCTTTTTGAATCTGCTTATTTTACTAATTCAAAGGGAAGCACAAACAGCTGTGTTTAATCTATAACTTGAGTATTTTGCATCTAATTGGTTGTAGTTGAGTAAATATATACTTGTCCTTACAACGTTAAACACGTAAGCAGCGGTGTTTATGCTATTTATGTGTGATTAACTTGTAAAAAATTCATCAATTGTACTGAGATCTGCACAGCTTATGTAAAAATTATGTATAAAGTTTTGAAGAATAAAAATGGTTTGACAAGTAGGCAGCCCACAAAGGAACTGACACATAAAGGGAAGAGGATCAAACAGGAATATAGCAGGCATATTCACTCTGTAGGCTGCAATGTCTGGCTACACTCCAACGGAGTTGAAAGAACAAGCAGACATGAAATATAGAAAAAGAATAGAGACATGAATCTCAAGGTGGAGAAATGAAAGACCATTTGACATTCAAAAATGATTTTTTAATTTTACATCTTTGACACACAGTCAATAAACTCACCTCGGCTTAACTTAGTTGACAATGCATGCAACTGTTTTTCTAAATCTGAGGAAAGCACACAAAAGCATGTATTTAAAAAATGTTTCTGCTGAATAATGTGAACCTACTATTTTAGTTTCACCAATTTTCCATAACATAAAAGTTAATGCTAGTAAATTTTGTATGCAAACCTAAATTCAGAAAATCTTTAAATTTTTAACATTATTTAATATATTTTAACATTTTGTGGCAAGGTCACGTGTTAATTTGATTAAGTGTAAGGTTCTAATTAATCAAGGCATGTAACATGTTGGTTTATAATTTTTATTTATTTGTCAATCATCTATTATTTTAAATTTGAAAACCTGTTTATTTTGGTTTTGTATGTAAAGTTCAAGCCCATCAAACATCTGTATGGCACTCAACTTATCTTCGATTTATTCCTTTGAAAATGCTCTTGGGTAAAACTATATAAATATGATACTATGGCAAGTAACTCATAGACAACAAAACCATACTAAAGTGAGAACATCTGATAGTATATCAACTTTTAATGAAAGGTGGTATTTTTTTATTTATTTATTTTTTTTATTATACTTTAAGTTTTAGGGTACATGTGCACATTGTGCAGGTTAGTTACATATGTATACATGTGCCATGCTGGTGCGCTGCACCCACTAACTCGTCATCTAGCATTAGGTATATCTCCCAATGCCATCCCTCCCCCTTCCCCCACCCCACAACAGTCCCCAGAGTGTGATGTTCCCCTTCCTGTGTCCATGTGTTCTCATTGTTCAATTCCCACCTATGAGTGAGAATATGCGGTGTTTGGTTTTTTGTTCTTGCGATAGTTTACTGAGAATGATGATTTCCAATTTCATCCATGTCCCTAAAAAGGAAATAGTGAATTTTTTTTTAGAATTTCCACATGCAAAGCTCACTCAGTTTTCATCCCTGCATGTATAAATCTTAAAGAAATAATGCTATCTGGGTAGGATGGCCATAAATATTAAATTACCGTAATAAGTAAAAAGGTGGTTACTGCTTACTGACATTTCTGTACTTCAGAATATGTGCTTTCGTATTCTGATAAATGCAGATAAAATGCCCTCCCAAAAGGTTCTTTTGAGTTAAACTTCCTCCACTAGGTATCTTTGTCTTTCTAAAGTGCAAACAGTTATAATTTAATGTTGGCTCAATTTGCATGGTCTTGATAAATTTTGAATTGGTAAACATTTTCATTTTTTACTGGCAGCCCATATTGAACTTCTATAAATCAGCTAATATTATTTATTCATGTTTTCAATAAATTGGTTCTTTTCCAATTAATATTAGGTTTTTTGTTTTATATCTTTTGTAGTTATTTTCTTCTAGTCAGTCTTTATGCATTCTGGTTTCCATCTTGCTGTGGAAGATCATCCCCATTACCATACATGAATTCAATTGAATTTCTATTTATATACCCTGTAAAGTTTATTCTACACATGAATGTATAATCAAACATAAAATATCACCAATGTGCCATGACATCAATCTTCATTCCTACCCCCTTAAAAAACTGATACTTATGTCTCGGAATTATCTGTGGATTTGTCTGAACCCAGTTTTTCTTCACTGTTACATTGGTTTAAACAGGAGTTACTATTCATGATTTTTATTAAAAGTGTTCATTTACCAAGTCCCATTGATACTACAGTTGTGGAAACCTTAATTTTATAATATCATATGACTTTTCCTAATCTTAATTTTATTTCAGTGCCAGGCATCAAATTATAAATCCCTTTTCTCTGGGATTTTTATTTGGGAAACAATTTTTTGGAAGTACATCTTGAAACATTAAGATAATAAGCTATAGGAATTTTATCTCTTCTCTATTGTTAGTTCTCAGCATTCATTCTTGAAGTGCAGAGAGAAACACACTAGTATTATTACTATCTGTTAAGAAAGAAATGTTGGGATCTTTGTTTAGGACAGGTAAATAGAAACATTATGGCTTTTAGGGAAAGTTATTATTTTTGTTCAGTGTTAACCATTCTCAGTTTAATTTTCAGTCTGGCTCTTGGTTTATGTGTTCCAAATGGAATTATATGCTGTATTTATAATATTAAACTACAACTCAATTCTGATGGTATTTCAGTGGGGGAACATGACCTATTATATTCAAATGAATTTGTATGTTGTCTTCATATTTCTTATAAACTAGTGATTGTGAATTTAAATATAATTAAAAGTATATTTAGACTAAAGAGATCATTTGACATTTAGATATCGTAATCAATCAGAATTTTTGTGTTATCTATATCTATACTTTATTTCCTTGTACCAATGTTGTTACCTTCAAGAATTTGCCTTCCTAATGTTCTTTTCCAGGACAGTACTAAAGTGCCCAGAATATCGTAAAACTAACTTACCAATATGGCAAGAAGAGAGCAAATTCTTGCCATTTAGAGAAGAGAAATAGGTAAATGCTTTGAAATAGTTTGTTCTGTGTTTTATATAGTTAAATATAGACAGGAAACAGAAACATATAGTTCGTGGAAGCTATAGAATATACGGGAGCTACAGGATATTGTACCCCCAAATTTTGCACTCTTTAACTACTTAAACATGTCAAAGGCTAAGATGTCTGTGAATATATCTGAAGAAAGTTACAAACTCTAGATTTTAGAAAATAAGGACAAGTCATACAAAATATAATCTCCATTCTGTTATGTCCATCATCATGATTATTAGAGTAGAATTTGAGGTTCAGTAACAGATTTTTTAACTTTCCTTCTTCAGAATGAGAGAATTCTCTAAACCTGAGCAGCAGGTATTCAAAGAAAAAAAAAAAGAAGCCATTTATAATGCTACCTGTAATGAATAATATATTTTTGCATTATCATAAATCTTACATTAATTGTTAACCACAGTAATTTTATTTGTTTCAATGTAAATAAATGTGTGTTTTAATTAACAGCATAGTAAATTATTTTCTCTTCTGTGTAATTCATGTTGATGGACTCACTCTGATAGGTGCTTGCTCTTTGGTTATTCAGAGAAATATGTTCCAATTCTTTCATGCTCAATCAAAGATTTGTTTCAGATTGTCTCCTATTCAGAATCTTCTTTTGTTTTTCTCAGTATTGATTTCATTTTTATCAAGCTTTACAAATAAGAAAATAAAAGGCCCTATCTGTATTTTTTTTATTATTCCTGCCCTTCGATAGTGTTTTCACTAAATAAAAACAATCTTTTCTTACCTGAAATTTTTAAGCCCATTATAACCCATTTCCTTGGTATACTTTTGACCTCCCATTTTTTTCTTTGTTAATGATGTTACGGTCTCTTCTACAATGATGTCACCTCCTTGTTTTTCCATCCAACATAATGTTTGCTATAATAGAATCTAAACACTGAACTCTTTTATTATAGATTTTGAGAAGACACTTTGATTAAATTATTGAATTTACTTTTTGTCTTTTGAATAAAGACAAATCTGTGCAGTATTCACATCTACTTGCTTACCAACTGTATAAGACTATCTGTGAAAATTAGAGAAAAGCTCCTAACTTTGCATTTAGTCACTTAAAAAAATCTAGCTCAATTATAAAGTCTAAAGTGATTTTAAAACACTTTTTCTTGACTAATTTTATTTTTCAAGGCAAACTATGTTTTTATTCTCCAAGAGATGTTTTTATATTCTACATTCAGCTTTCTCTCACAGCCTCCAGAGGTGTACTTTTATTGATTTAAATTCATATCTTCTTTATTCTTTAGCCAAGCAGTTTCAGTTGTATTAAAAGTATTTGTTCTGGAATGAGTGAGAATATTTTTAATTTTGAGCTCATAAATTTAGTAACTAAATTTGGAGTCATATTTTTGTAGTTATTTTTTGTCAAATATTGTAATTTTATTATTCACAAAAGTATAAATTAGTTGATAGTCATTTTCAGGCCTCTTAAAAATATAAAATACATGTAACATACTTCTAAGACCATAATTATCTTAACTGTGCATTGAATAATTACTTTGAAGGAAGGTAATGCAACTTTCACTCTTCCTGAGCTATTCCCATTACATTACCTTAGTTTTTGCACATCTTAAATATACATGTTTTAGTTAAGAAGTATTAGGAGAAACATATCTCTCTCTCCATTTTAATTCACTCCAGTCCTCCCCAAAGTTCAATTTCAAGTCAGTTTCGAATGTGTGCTCCATTTTCTGAGGAGTCAATAGTCTCATGAGTGGTATATGTGGTTGTCTGTTGGGAGAAATGATCATCTGCGACTTTGGGAGGATAATTTATTTTCATATTAACAGGATGCGAGTATCTGGATCTTCCACACTTTGGCTTTTTCTTTTCTGTCTCTTTTAAATATCTCTCTAATAGTGGAAAATGGATTGCAAATACATGCTTATTTGTCGAATGTCCCATTTAATTTCTTTTTCTTTCTTTTCTTTTTTTTTTTTTTTCCAGAGGGAGTCTCACTCTGTCACCCAAGCTGGAGTGCAGCGCGGTGATCTCTGCTCACTGCAACTTCCACCTCCCGGGTTCAAGGGATTCTCATGTCTTGGTTTCCCGCTAGCTGGGACTACAGTTGTGCACCACCACCTCCGGCTAATTTTTGTACTTTTAGTACAGACAGGGTTGCACCATGTTGGCCAGGCTGGTCTTGATTTTCTGACGTTAGTCAGACACCAAAGTGCTGGCATTATAGGCATGAGCCACTGCACCCGCCCGGCCTGTTACTATTATTTAAATTACATCAACAGATTTTAAAAGCTGTAACAGATTTACAATTGGCTTTTTTTTATTAGTCTCACTTCTTACATTTACTAATATTGCAACTTAGATATACTAAGAAAATATTCAGTTTTTATTTCGTTTTGTTTTTAATCCCCAAGCCACTGTGTTCTTCTTCATAAGCCTTCACTTTTTTTTTCATGAATTTTGAGTGACACGTTTTCACCTGCCCCTTACAGTTGCCCATAGTGTACTCATTTTGTTCCCTCTCTAGAACTTCCTACACAAGTGGACTTTTGCCAGTCCACTGTCATGTTTTAGGCTTCTCCATCGCCTTGTAGGTAAAGGATAAACCGCTATCCCCATTTCAAACTACCATATACATGGGAAAGCCAAACATACTTTCAGTGTTTCAGGATTCTCCTCTGCAAGAGTCCGTATTTTGATATAGAGGACATATACTCATGTTCTCTGCTTGTTTTGCAGTGAGGGTGCAGGTGTATCATCTAAAGCCCTCCTGTCAGTTACATTATATCTGGGCTGGTATTGGGAGTTAGATGAAAGAATTCCAAGTAGAATATTTGAGTAATTTTTTGCAGCAACAGAAGTTGGAATACCCAGATTTTAGAGGCTGCATTTCCAGCAATAGAGTTCTAAGTTTAGTATTCATTGTGCAAGCAACAAAAGTGGTAATGTCAATCTTCTGTAGAACATCAACAATATCTTCATATGAACAGTTCTGTCATGTTACTTTTGATAATTTTTTATAGCTATGAAGCTTCCAATTCTGGCCCTTTACCCCTTTGGTAAGATTCATGTGCTAACCAATATATTTTAGTAAAGCTTATTTCTTCTTAAATTAGCCAGAGTTACTTGCTGCTATTTCAATTTTTTGATTCAATAAAATATGTGATATGATTTTTCAAAAATTCAAATATTGTTATATTACTGCTTTTTATGTAAAGAGATGGGAATGCAGAAAACTTTCATTTTTATTGCTTATGTTTACACATTTATATAAACAAAATTTAACATAATGTGTGTCTACACCTATACAAAGTTATCCTTTGTACATACCAACCAAAATGTGATAAATAAGTCCCCATTAAAAAAAATCGTTCAGAATTAATTAGCTAGTGTCACCAGCAGGAAGATACTTAGTTTTAATATTTGGACAAATAGTAATAAAGATGAAATGTACTTCACAACACTGAGAGAGAATAATAGACTTAGATTTAGGGCTTAATTCTGTCACTACTAAGCTCTATGCCCTTTTGCAAGCCATTTAATCATTTTTGGTCCAATTTATTTCCCTGTAAATGTATTGAGTTACATGGGGCCCTCATAATACCTCTTCCTCTAAATTTTAGGCTTTGTAATAAAAATTCCTAAAAGAAGTTAAGTAAATATTATGGGTTTAGCACATTTGGAATGTTAAAGTAAGTTTTTAAAGTAAATATTTACAAGTTAATCTGAAATTACAGAACTAGCCAAAGAGCAGTTTTGGAGAGTGGCCATTAAATATAGAGGAACGATACCTTATCTTAATGTTGTAAGAACATGTAGGACTTTATTAAAACTTCCAAAATTGAAAGCCAATTACTTTAAAAACTTTTTCCCTGCACATTCATTGCTAGAAAACAGTTAATCCATCTTTAAAAATACCAAAAAAAAAGTCTAAATTGGCATGTGTCCTGGAAACTGTTTTTGGCAATATTAGTGAGGTAGATTGTGTCTTCACTCAATTTCACTTTTCCCATCTGCACCAGTTTCTCATGTGACAGTTTCTCTCTATAGGTTTCTGGCAACCCAACCAACATCAGTTGCTGTAAATATTATCATAAGAAGGAAAGGAAAGAAAGCTTATTTCTTTAATGTACAACTAATATGTTCAAGTTTTAATTAATATCCAATAACTAACATAAGATAATACTTTTTTTGATAAAGCCATATGAACCTTTTTAAACAATCAAGGATTTGCCTTTATCCTACCAATTAAATCTCAGCTGACTGAATACTCCCTTTTATTTTTCTTTGAAGAATGTATACAGATCCTAAAATAGGTACAGATATTTATTTTCTCCAAGGTTATCCTTGTTTTGCTCATTTTGAGTCAGACACCACTTAGATTCCTAGCTGGAGTCATGATTTATTTTTCAACAACTGCAACAAGACTGATAATATGATTTACTCTATTTATTGCATTGGAGTTCCAATTCTCCGAAATCCAAGTCTTGCATTTGCCCCATTTTTGCCATTTCAGAGAGTCACGAAGACAAATAATAACACTGGCCTCTGTACATAATACTAAGAAAGCTCAAGCAGAATTTATACGCAAATGTGGTTACCATAGCAAGTTATATTGTAAACCAGTGACAGTCAGCAATGGTGGTACTACTAACTTAAGGTCATTTTATACATTTGCAGGGATTTTCTTGGTTTCCTCAATAACATGAAGCTGCTGTAACACACATTTAATGATGAGGGATCATAGACTTTAGATTTGCTCCATGATGCCTGTTATCTGTCAACATCCATTGTCATTACCACTCACGTAACTCTTCCCACTGCTCTCCCTTCCCCAATATAGCCAGAATTGAAGGATTAAATCTCAGGATTTCCTTGAAAATAAGTTTGGATATTTTTATTTAGGTTAATCCAATGAGATTCTGTTGCCACATATTTGGAAGGTGGCCATAATGTGAATGCCATCTTTCTGTGACTACTGTCATTCACTGTTGTTTAAGAAAGTTGTTGTTTTCCTACATCGGATTTCATTGTCTGTTAAGTGGCTTTACATTTGTCGAAAAATAAAAAAAAAAAAGAAACATAGCTCTGGCTTCTTTATAAGACTCACTGACACCAGCTTTAGGTGTCCACACTGCAGTATTCTTTGCCTAGAGACTGCTATGTCAGTGCTATCATTCCCAGATCTAGACCAGCAGAACTAATCTTAGAAATAGAAACTTTGTAGTAGGAAATTATGGAATTGGGTATGTTTGGGGGAAATGCATTTCAGCAGGACCAGGCTAGAACTTGTTTCTTCTGTCATTCCAGTGCTTTTGTAAACTCCTAGTTTTCCATATTAAATCCATTGCCATTTGTAATACATTTAATAGTTTATGTTTCCAGTACTAAATTCTTATTTCATTCATATTATGAACAGGAATGCTCATTGTGGTTCATGGTTCACTGAATAAAGGATTCCTCTTTATTCCATGAGATTTTTGGGTATTCTCCAAGACCTTCATTTTATTTTATTTTATTTATTTATTAATTTATTTTTGAGATAGAGTTTTGTTCTTGTTGCCCAGGCCAGAGTGCCATGACACGATCTGAGCTCATTGCACCCTCCACCTCCTAGGTTCAAGTGATTGTCCTGCCTCAGCCTCCCAAGTAGCTGGTATTATGGGCATGTACCACTGCACCTGACCCTTCATTTTATTTTAAATATATATTTTTATTTGACATGAATATATAGAAAATACAAATCTAATAAATAGTGACAAAAAGCAAAGCCATTATTACCTGGGGCCCCAGGATGGAGGAATGTTTTCAAGAAAAGCAAGAGAAAATATTGAAAGATGATGGAAATGTGTTCTATTTTGATTGCTGTGGCAGTTATACAGGTGACTAGATTTGTCAACATTTAATGAAATGGATACTTAAAATAGATGCATTTTTATTCATATAAAGCATAATTTGGTAAAATGAATTTAAAATGATTAACTTCTGCATTAAGTGTGTCATTTACCAAAACACTTTTTCATATATGAACCGTGTTTAAAATTATTTGTGCCTAGAATTTAACTGTTTAAAATAGACAAATGCTATCTATTTTTGCAGTTTTAATAGAGACAGAATTTTCCAGGAGTACTACTGCCTTAATTGACAGAGCTTGCTTTGGAACTCTTCCAAAAGTATTTTACTCTTCCTAAATATCATAGCAACAGTGGTAACATATTTGTCAATAAAACACGCTAAACTAGTTTTCATCTGTATCTTTCATATTCACAGTGATTCTAAATTTAAGAACAAACATCTGATATTACATCAGGCCTTCTAATGTAATTATGCAAGATTACTTACACAATGGAATTATATAACGTCATAATAAAATACTTTTTATTTATTTCTCCTTTAACAGTAAATTTTTGAGATATACATTTATATTGTGGTAACAGATAGAAAGCTTTGTTTGACTGCTAATCACACCGCTTATTCATTCATTTTAAGAGTATGTAATAAGTATTGTCTGAAGTGCTTAGATTACTGCAATATTATTATTATTATTATTATTAATAATACTAAAGAAATCCCTGGCTGCACAGATTTTGTCTTCTACTAAGGTAAACTGATAACAAAAATAAATGGAAAGTCTGGGCGTGGTGGCTCACTCCTGTAATTCCAACACTTTGGGAGACTGAGGCAGGTGGATCACCTGAGGTCAGGAGTTCAAGACCAGCCTGGCCAACATGACGACACCCCGTGTCTCCTAAAAATATAAAAGAAAAATTAGCCGGGCGTGAGGTCCGCTGTCCTGCTGACCACAGTATTCCCTGAGCTATTAAGAACTCTTGACTTTTTGAGTCAGAGTATGGGCATTATTTTTAGTATTGCTCTCTCTTTCTTTCTCTCTTCTCTCCGTTTGGCAATTGGGTTTGTAAAAGATTCATTTGATGTTGCTCAATGTAAGTCTAGATGATAAAATTTATTTTCATTTGTTTATTAAATTCTAAACACTTGCCAGAGAAAAAAGGAAAATGCTGCTTTTAAGAGATTTTATTTCTTTCTTCATCATACCTACAAACTTATCTAGCTCACAGAATCTTCATGAAAATTGCCTAGGCTGATTGTTTAAGATATGCATGCCTCAACTCATCGTTTTGCCAGACATAATTAATTAGCATTTCTGTGGGCATAGCTTGAGAGGTTGTATTTTTAAAACATAACCCAGATGTCTTTTTGCACTAGTACCATCATCCAAAAGAAAAGGAGTTTTTATTTGATTGGCCTTTATATGTGCACTCCTGGTCTTTGTGCCTATAGCTAGGATGAAGTGGAAAGGTGCCTGAGCTCCCCACTAAGGGGAAAAATAATACTCATCCATAATGTTATAACTAGAATATACTGATTTTTCACTTTTAATGTGAATCTGTATTCAATATATTATTATCTTAATGTTGGTTCCCTTAGCTCTTTATTCATAAGTGAGATTAGACCAGTTTTGAGGGAGACTATATTTGACAGGTTTGTGTTTTAGGGGAGTGATGGTTTTACAAATCATATGGGAAATACATTTCTTTCACTAAATTTTGGGAGAGTTGTGTAACCTGGACAGTATTTGTTCCTTTGCATTTTGAAATAATCTATAAATCTTCCCTTACTTTTTTTCTAAGAATACCAACAGTTTTTGATGGGGTTGTTTGTTTTTTTTCTTGTAAATTTGTTTGAGTTCTTTGTAGATTCCGGATATTAGCCCTTTGTCAGATGAGTAGGTTGCAAAAATTTTCTCCCATTCTGTAGGTGGCCTGTTTACTTTGGTGATGGTTTATTTTGCTGTGCAGAAGCTCTTTAGTTTAATTAGATTCCATTTGTCAATTTTGGCTTTTGTTGCCATAGCTTTTGGTGTTTTAGACATGAAGTCCTTTCCCAAGCCTATGTCCTGAATGGTAATGCCTAGGTTTTCTTCTAGGGTTTTTAGGGCTTTAGGTCTAACATTTAAGTCTTTAATCCATCTTGAATTAATTTTTGTATAAGGTGTAAGGAAGGGATCCAGTTTCAGCTTTCTACATATGGCTAGCCAGTTTTCCCAGCACCATTTATTAACTAGGGAATCCTTTCCCCATTACTTGTTTTTGTCAGCTTTGTCAAAGACCAGACAGTTGTAGATATGTGGCATTATTTCTGAGGGCTCTGTTCTGTGTCATTGGTCTATATCTCTGTTTTGGTACCAGTACCATTCTGTTTTGGTTACTGTAGCCTTGTAGTATAGTTTGAAGACAGGTAGCGTGATGCCTCCAGCTTTGTTCTTTTGGATTAGGATTGATTTGGTGATGCGGGCTCTTTTTGGTTCCATATGAACTTTAAAGTAGTTTTTTCCAATTCTGTGAAGAAAGTCATTGGTAGCTTGATGGGGATGGCATTGAATCTATAAATTACCTTGGGCAGTATGGCCATTTTCACGATATTGATTCTTCCTACCCATGAGCATGGAATGTTCTTCCATTTGTTTGTATCCTCTTTTATTTCCTTGAGCAGTGATTTGTAGTTCTCCTTGAAGAGATCCTTCACATCCCTTGTAAGTTGGATTCCTAGGTATTTTATTCTCTTTGAAGCAATTGTGAATGGGAGTTCACTCATGATTTGGCCCTCTGTTTGTCTGTTATTGGCATATAAGAATGCTTGTGATTTTTGCACATATATTTTGTATCCTGAGACTTTGCTGAAGTTGCTTATCAGCTTAAGGAGATTTTGGGCTGAGACAATGGGGTTTTCTAGATATACCATCCTGTCATCTGCAAACAGGGACAATTTGACTTCCTCTTTTCCAAACTGAATGCCCTTTATTCCTTCTCCTGCCTGATTGCCCTGGCCAGAACTTCCAACACTATGTTGAATAGGAGTGGTGAGAGAGGGCATCCCTGTCTTGTGCCAGTTTTCAAAGGGAATGCTTCCAGTTTTTGGCCATTCAGTATGATATTGGCTGTCGGTTTGTCATAGATAGCTCTTATTATTTTGAGATATGTCCCATCAATACCTAATTTATTGAGAGTTTTTAGCATGAAGTGTTGTTGAATTTTGTCAAAGGCCTTTTCTGCATCTATTGAGATAATCATGTGGTTTTTGTCTTTGCTTCTGTTTATATGCTGGATTAAGTTTATTGGTTTTTGTATATTGAACCAGCCTTGCATCCCAGGGATGAAGCCCACTTGATCATGGTGGATAAGCTTTTTGATGTGTTGCTGGATTCAGTTTGCCAGTATTTTATTGAGGATTTTTGCATCAATGTTCATGAAGGATATCGGTCTAAAATTCTCTTTTTTGGCTTTGTCTCTACCAGGCTTTAGTATCAGGATGATGCTGGCTTCATAAAATGAGTTGGGGAGGCTTCCCTCTTTTTCTATTGATTGGAATAGTTTCCAGCCATCCCATTACTTGGTATATACCCAAAGGATTGTAAATCATGCTGCTATAAAGACACATGCACATGTATGTTTATTGCGGCACTATTCACAATAGCAAAGACTTGGAACCAACCCAAGTGTCCAACAATGATAGACTGGATTAAGAAAATGTGGCATATATACACCATGGAATACTATGCAGCCATAAAAATGATGAGTTCATGTCCTTTGTAGGGACATGGATGAAACTGGAAACCATCATTCTCAGCAAACTATCACAAGGACAGAAAACCAAACACCACATGTTCTCACTCATAGGTGGGAATTGAACAATGAGAACACATGGACACAGGAAGGGGAACATCACACACTGGGGACTGTTGTGGGGTGGGGAGAGAGGGGAAGGATAGCATTAGGAGATATACCTAATGCTAAATGACGAGTTAATGGGTGCAGCACAGCAACATGGCACATGTATACATATGTAACAAACCTGCACGTTGTGCCCATGTACCCTAAAACTTAAAGTATAATAATAATAAAAAAAGGATACCAACATTTTAATTTTCTGTTTCATCAATCACATACAAGTAATAGTTTCTATTAAATGACATTTTTTTCTTCAGACATTTTAATAATATTTGATTACCTACAGTTGTAAAAAATATTATAATCATAAAATATTTATAATTATGAATGTTTTTCCAGAGAAAACCTCTTCTTAATCTGGCTTAAAGTAGAAACATCTTATACACCAGGAAGTTCAGAGGTATTTTAGACTCCAGATACAATAGCAGCTCAATGATATCAACAAGGAAAGGAATTATTTTATCTATTTGCTCTGAATCATCAGTATTGACAGCTAGCCGTAGTTAGCTTCTGGGCTTGGATGCTTCCTTGTTTACACCTAGGAAGAGAGGCGAAACCACTTCCCCAAACATGGAATTAAAAAATCTTGCACTCTGATTGAGCCACATTATGTCACCTGTCTACTTCTAATCCAAAAAAAGGTTAATAAATAAGTACAAGATATATGGGTTGACTAACTAATAAACATCCTTCTTTAGATGTGGGTATATGTACAGAGTCATTTAAGAGAGAAAAAAGAAAATGGGCCTTTTCCAGGCAACCAAATGATTTCTACAAAATTATTTTTAAATATTTGAAGGATCTTACAAGAACATTTTCCACTTGGTAGATTATAACTGTGCTTTTAATAAATAATTTATTATTCATTTAAACATTTTACATATTTCATATTTATTAAACACCTAAAAATTGGTTTCAAGGAGTATTACTGATATGTTATAATGCATTTTTCTCATTCTTAAGATCTAACATTAATTAACTTTTCAATATGTTAAATAATAGCTTTTTTTAAAGAATAGTATATTTTTCAGGTTATTGATATGGAATATTTTTTTCTATTTTTTCAAATAAAATGATAAACTTTAAAATTAATTAAATGCCCAAAGTGTAGTAAGTAATATGCTGAAAACATTATTTATTTTCACAATAACCTTATGTGGTATTACTATAATATCAATTTCTGAGAAGACAACTGAGTATAAAGAGGCTATGCAGAAACTAATAGAAGATAAGTGTTATCTTAGTAGCATTTTCTGGTGTAGACTCAAGGCGGTGCCAAATTTATTTCTCCAATGATAATGGTTGTTTGCCTCCTCCTGGTATGGAAAAGGGAAGGAGGAACATCTTCACAAAGAAAAGGTTATACTCTGCCTTGAGGCTTTTGAAAGGGATAGAAAACAAAGTGTCCTGTTTATCAACTGCCTTCAGCTTAAAATAATCCTTATGCTAAATAAGCATATTTTTGGGTGATTTATTCTAATTTCCTTTAACCATAAGCTTAACTTCTAGGCAATACTGTCTAATATACACACAAAGAGTAACTTCATTTGGATAAAATTCTTAAATTTGCTGTGTATATTCAGAGTTCTATTGACACTTCTTTCACATTTAGTGAGACAGAGAAGTACAATGTCAAACTAATAAATACATTTTCTTGGCAGCTTATCGTAGGAAATGTAATTTGCAATGTTATTCCGAAAACTTGCAAGGATTTATCTAAATAAGAATTGCTTTTTATTGTATTTTTTTCCCACAATATAACATAATCCTCTCACTTAAAAAAAAAAGTATTATTGTACAAGAAAGTTTCAAGAACAGCATCAAATTACCCATAATGTCCCCACCCAGATATAATCATTGTTTTCATCTGTTTTTCATCTAATATTTAATTCATTTTTCTATCTTTTACATACTAGTGAAATAAATATCTGAACGTTTTAAAGCCTTTTAAAACTTGTTTTTTAATTGCTTTCTAAAAAAGATAAACTCTCTAGCAATAGAGTGTATGTTTCTCTGTACATGGTTCACAGTATGATCAATGAAAATCAGAATTATAATGTTTTATGTATTTTCCATTTTGTTGCATTTAGGTAGTTCTATTTATTTTTCTTGTATTTATTTTGATACATTGCAATTTTTTTATATTTAAAGTGATCAAATTTGATTTTAATTTTTAAAGTTAATTATATTACCCATTTGTATTTCTGATTCTGCTATTCTTTTTTTGTGGTCCTTTTTTATATTTTTATTTTGGAAAAATAGTTTATCTAGTAGGAACATTTTTTTTTTCAATTTTTGAAAATATGACCCTAAACTATTTTCAGCTGAATACTTGAATACTGTAGCTGAGTAACCATTTTTGTTTTTGTTTTTGTTTTTTTTCACATACAAACTTCTATTGTCTAACAGATACTTATCTACTGTATCTCTCATAGTTTTCAGACTTAATATGGTATAATGTACTTCTTCTTTCTATGGAAACTGAACCAATTAAGAAACAAGAAACCATGCATTATAACTAGAACTCTTCTATTTTTCATCCATGATGCCAGCAGTTTACTTATTTGGCCTACCTCTTCGCAATCTTGACTAGGCATATATTGGTCTTATTGATTGACAGTATTTTCCATGAGTTACAGTTTTCAGATGCTTTTGGAGGAAGTACTAACAGGTACAAAAAATGAATATATTTGGCTATCATAAATGAATTATCAGTAGAGTAGAAGGATTGCTATCATGTTTTCTTGTTGACACTGGAAGTGTCTACTGGAGCTTATAATCAAAAGATGCTAGAGGAACCAAGCAGAACTACATCATTTTTCATGTTGATGGTATTTGCATTAAATTTAAATTATTAACCTAATTTAAATTAGCACCATTTTGCTGAATTGAAAATGACTACCTAAGCCAATTAATAGGTTTCTCTGAGGCTAATTTTATTTTATTTTCAGTGAATTTTATCTCATATCTGAAATGCCATAGTTTTTTTATTAAAAAGTTGGTAGTATTCTACAAAAGGTGTTTCTTAGAATGCTTTTTTACCATTTTAAACCACATGCACCAGATTTACATTTTAGAAAGAAAAACGATTAACACAGAAAATTTATGCTAAGGGAATTTATAGACGGGAGATGATATTAATATTCTAAAAGAGAGATAATGAGCACTCTTAGTTAGTAGGTGTCTAGGAATGAATAAAATAACTACAAATTTAGAATGCCTACCTACTGGTACTTCTTTGAGTGTTGTACTACAAACAATATTAAACTTGATGTATGTAAAATACTAGCAAACTGAATCCAGCAGTATTTAAAAAATATACCATGACTAAGTAGAATTTATGTATTATTGTAAAACATCATATAAACAGGTTTATAAACTTTACACCATCATTTCAATTGATGCAGAAAAATTATTTGACAATATCCAACATACTTTTATGATTAAAAACCCTCAACAAACAATGAATAGAAGGAATACATTCAATCTGATAAAGGACATTTACACAAAACTCCCAGTTTGTATTACATTTAATGGTGAAAGACTAGATGTTTACCCCTAAAATCAGAAACAAGTAAAGGATGTCTGTGCTTGCCACTTCTATTGAACATTATACCGGGAGCTCTAGCCAGAGCAATCAGTCAAGAAGAAGAAAAAAAAAAGGCATCCATATTGGAAAGAAAGAAGAAAAGCTGTCTTTTTTCTCACAGGGTGTGGTCTTGTATATGAAATCCATTAAAAACATTAGAACTAATAATTTAGTTCAGAAAGATTACAAAATACAAGCTTAATATACATAGAATTTACTACAATATTAGAACTAATATTTAGAATCCATTAAAAATATTAGAACTAATAAATTCTTAGTAATGTTGCAAACTATAAGATTGATATGCAAAACCATTGGTATTTCCATATATTTTCCAGGGATGACTGAAAAATGAAATTAAGAAAACAGTTTGGTTCATAATAGCATCAAAAGAGTGAAATTCTTACCAATATATTTAACTTAATAAGTACAATATTTAACTGTAAAAGCTATGAAAGATTGTTGAAATAAACTAAAAGATTTATGTAATTGGAAAAAACATCTCATGTCAATGGAATAAAGGCTTAACATTTTTAAGAAGGCAATATTCCCAAAACTGATCTGCAGATTCAATGTCATTCCTATATAGAATTTTAAATGATCTCTTTTTAGAAACTGATAAGCTGATTCTAAAGTTGAAAATAAATTGAAGAAAAAACAAAATAATCTTGAAAAAAACACTTTCCAATTTCAAAACTTGCTACAGAGAAACAGTAATCAAATCAGTGTAGGCATGTAGATGGAACAAGATTTTGGCTATCATAAATGAATTATCAGTAGAATAGAAGGATTGCTATCATGTTTTCTTGTTGACACTGGCAGTGCCTACTGGAGCTTATAATCAAGGATAGGCATGTAGATCAATGAAATAGAAACAAAAGTGCAGAAATAAACCAATACATATATGGTTAAGTGAATTTTGACAAGAGTGCCAAGACAATTCAATGGGAAAAAGAATAGGCTTTGAACAAACGGTTGAGTTGCTCCAGTTGGGACAACTGGAAACTGTGTAGTCAAATGCAAAATAAAGTTGGATCCTAAGTCACTCCATATAAAAAAAATTAACTCAAAATAAATCAACAACCTAAACGTAATAACTAAAAGTCTAAGAGTCGTAGAAGAAAAGATATGGTATTTTCATAACCATGGACCTGGCAAAGAATTCTTAAATATGGAAACAAAAACATGAGCTTCAAAAGAAAGAACAATATAGGTAAATTGGATTTCATCAAAATTAAAAATTTTTGTAATTCAAAGGACACCATCAAGAAAGTGAAAAACCAAACCACAAAATGGTAGAAAATATTTGCCAATCATATATCTGACAGACAAATTGTATTTCAAATGTATGACAAACACTTAGAACTCTGTAATAAAAAGACAATTTCCTAACTAAAAAATGGGCAAAGATTCTGAATAGACATTTCTCTAAGGAAAATATGCAAATATAATAATCTCATGAAAATATGCTCTAGTTGTTAGTCATCAGGGAAATATAAATCAAAAACATGTGTCACCACTTACCAAACACTAGAATGGCTGAAATTAAGAAGTGAGATGAAAATGTTGGTGTGGACATGGAGATATCAGAACCCTCACACATTGTCAGTGGACAGTAAAATGGTGCTGTCAATTTGGAAAATAGTCTGGCAGCTCCTTAAATGAGTAAATCTAGAGTTACCATATAACCCGGCAATTCCACTTTTAGGTATATACTGAAAAAAAACGAATATATATACACACAAAAAAATTTGTACCCAAGTATTTATACAAGAATTATACATAATAGACAATATTTGGAAACAACTCAAATGTTCATCAACAGAGAAAAAGATAAACAAACACATGGTAAATCCATAAATGGGGCTGGGTGCTGTAGTTCATGCCTGTAATCCCAACACTTTGGGAGACTGAGGCGAGTGGATCACCTGAGGTCAGGAGTTCAAGACCAGCCTGGCCAACATGATGAAACCCGGTCTCTACTAAAAACAAACAAAAAAAAGTAGCTGCGTGTGGTGGCAGGCCCTTGTAATCCCAGTTACTCAGGAGACTGAGGCAGGAGAATCACTTGAACCCGGGAGGCGGAGGTTTCAGTGAACCGAGATCGTGCATTGCACTCCAGCCTGGGCGTCAAGAGGGAAAAAAAAAAATCCATAAATGGAATATTACTCAACCACAAAAAGGAATGAAGTACTGAAACATGCCACATCAATAAACCTTAAAAATATTATGCTAAATGAAAAAAGCCAGTCACAAAATATAGCATACTATATGCCATCTTGGAAATAAAGTTCAGAAGAAGGATATCCGTAGAGACAGAAAGTAGATAAGTGGTTGCTTACTGTGTTCCTTAGGAGTATTGAGGGTTTAGAGCAGCAATCCCCAAACTTTTTGGGGTACAGAGGACCGGTTTCGTGGAAGGCAATTTTTCCATGGACAGCGGGGTGGAGAGGGAGGGAATGGTTTCTGTTTGAAACTTCCACCTCAGATCATGCAGCATTAGCTAGATTCCCATAAGTAGCACACAACCTAGCTTCCTACTCACACAGTTTACAGTAGGGTTTGTGCTCCTGTTGCGCACCTAATGCCGCTGCTGATTTGACAGGCGCTGGAACTCAGGCGGTGATGCTAGTTCGTCAGCTCCTGCTGTGTGGCCTAGTTCCTAACAGGTTATGGACCAGTACCAGTCTGTGGCCTGGGGGTTGGGGACCCCTGGTTTAGAGGAATGATAGGTAAAGTGTAACAGGCTTTCATTGTGGTGATGAAAATGTTTTAAAATTGACTGTGGTGTTAGCTGCACGTATCTGTGGACACACTACAAAGCATTGAATTGTACCGTTTTAAAGGGGGCATAACATAATATGTGAATTTTACATAATAAAACTATTGTTAAAATATACTCCTTTGAATTCAGAATGTTCTCAGTGAATAGATAAGTCTGAGTTATAAGAATTATTCATGGTTTGGTAAAGAAAATACTGGTTTATACAAAGACATCATTCATAATCTCAGATTTCTGATTGTTCAAGTTATTACTTTGATTCTCATTCCCCAAATTTGTATATATTTAAAAACTTTACTTTACTTGTATACCTGGATGAAAACATTGATATTGATTAATTTATTAGGGTTAATTTATTCTTGTCACACTGAGTCATACGGCAAAATAGAATACTAAATGAAATGAATTATCCATATTCAATAAATATATTTCTCTTCCTAAAGTATTTTAATATATTTCCATAACAACAAGCACAAACAAGGAGCAATCAAGCAATATGACCATTCTTGATTCAAAAAGGCTAAAACACATACTTTCCCAATTTTTTGCTCACACTGATAGAGACTGAATTTCAGCTTGTTAGTAAAATATGTCATTCTCTCAATCTTCCAAGTTTATGAATATTTTCAAACATTATTTTGCCCAGTAATTATGAAGGCAAATAATTTGAATGATTAATCACAGTTTATATATTTATAGAGATATTACATCCAGCTTTAGCATACAAAGTCAACAAACATTTGTAATTTATTTTCTTCCTCATTATACTAAGGCAATCTGGGGCATCAAGCACCATCTCTGAATGAAAAGCTTTTTCTTTGGTAACCTGACAATAATTCATTGAAAATTATTTTAAATGGTCTATAGACTTGGTTTGCCCTCTTTTGGCAAAGTTTTGAAGTACAAATGTAAAGACACTGGTGACAACTATATATTTTTTCTGGTTTTGAAAAAGGTTACTGTCTTTTATTTTCTTTCATTATCTAGACTTTCAACGTTATACTTCTGAGAACAGAAATTGTTATTGATATTACACTTAATGGTTTGGAACAGCAAATTTAATTAACTTCCAATATTAAAAATGACTCTTCAGTGATAAAAATACAAGTTACATAATTTTTGGATTTTAAATGTTATGAAACTTAATATCCATCCTAAATTTTGAAACTGCACAAACTTAATCATCCATTGATTTTCATAAAAGAAAGGAGAACACTAAAATTATATTATGCTTTCATTGTCTTCCTAGTAAATGGTCAATATTCATTTTTCAATTTAGTCCAAATGGTAGCTGCTGCTTTCTGACCTACCAACACATTGCCATTCTTATTATTTTGGAATTGTAAGCTCATTTCAACATGCCAAATTGTTGTTTACATTCCAAATATTAAAAGAAGATTTTAATTCCATAATTCTCTGTTACTTCCTTTCTTAACACATTTTTTTAAAACACAGAATTAACAGTTACAGATCGGTTTTTCTAAGGTAAGAGTTTAGTTTTAGATTAAGAAAGGATAAAACTCTCCTTGATTTCATATTATAATACTTTTGTAGCTGCTTAGAATTTTGATGTAAACAAATAATCATTAAATTTTAGGGGAAATAGAAGCTTAGTAAATTAGACTTTGACTGAACTCTGTTTTCTTGTACTTTATGACAAAATTCTAATGTAGATTCTCAAAAAATAGAATATTTCACCTTAAGCAATACAATCTTCAGCAGACTGAAACAATTTGTTTGATTCTGTGGCATACCATGAAATTTATTTTATTCTTTCCTTAGTACAAAAATAATTTCTATGGTATATATTTATTCTGCTTTTGAAAAAGGCATTGTATATATTCATTTTTGATGTAATTGCTTTTTTATTTTCTAGATTGTTGAACTTAATATTAGATGTCTTAGTTTTATAATTAGAATTTTTAACTAAAGAATAACAAAATTACTTCAAAGAGCATTAGTCTGAGAAATGTCTTTTAATTTGATCTTTAAATGCACATTCATGATTCTATTTCTTTTTATGGTAAAATTATCTCCCAAAATTATATATGATAAGGGTTAGAGTTGTCCTCCTAACATTAGTGTATATTATATTTGTTACACTTGGATATACTAAATAGTATGCTGATTTATATTACTAAGATAACATAAATCTTCTTAGGTGACCTGAAGTAAATTAGTTAATCTCTCTGCTCCATTTTCACATCTTGGAAAGAAGGATACTAATAATACCTAAAAGTAATATGATGATTAAATTAGATTAATACATGTAAAGTGCTTGGCAAGGTGCCTGGCATAAAATGTGCTCCCAATAAGTATTAACTATTATTATTAGAACAGTTAGACCTAGATATAGCTTAATATTAATTAACGTTAGTTATAGATCCTTGGGGTGATGTTAACTGTAGAAGAATTATAAACTAAGGGTCTTTCTTAGAATTTGGTTTATTGCATTGCTAATTTCTTCTTTGTTAAAGAAAAAAACAGGCTTTATGTATATTACAATGATGTAAAAACAAATGATATTTAAACTAAAAGATTAAATGAGAAATCAAGAACAGAAGGAGAAAATATTGTTTAAATAATTAAAAAATCAGACATAGAACTTGAAACAAATATGCTTAAGATACATGCCCAGTCTCATGATTTCCTAAGAAAATTTTTACCTTGAATAATAAGTAGGCTTGAAGGAAATGTGTCATGTAATTATGTATTCTAGAATGTGATTGGATAGTATATTTAAATAAATGTTTTTTAGTACTACTCAGAAGAGAGGAAGCCCTTGAATTACCTTGAATACAGAAAAGTTCTTCACGATTTCCAAGAAGCTGGGTAGTCTATATTACACACTACAATTTGCCAATTTGGATTTACAATGACAAATGAAGAGCAATGATATGTCCAACTTGAGAAACAATTGTCTTTATATTATTATTGCAGAACATCCTCCCTGCATACTGTAAGAGGGAGAAGATTAAGGCTGTGAATCAGGCTGTACTTTAAAATAAAAAAGATTTATGTGATTTTGATCAAATTATTGGACTACTGTGTTGATTGGTATCTTGTAGATTTTTGGTGATGTTAAGAAATGAAAGAGATGAGAGAGAGAAGGACTGGGGTGGAGAAAAGAGAAGAGTATGGATAGTGAGAATGAGAGGAGAGGTGAGAAAGAGAATAGAGAGGAAATCTGGAAAGCAGTAAACCTCAAAATGCTATTTGAATGAAATAAGATGTCCTTCATAAAGGATTTAAGCACTGTCAGTTCAAGGTGGCCAATCAAACAAACACAGTGGCCTCTCCATCCTAGGAAACCAGCATAGAATTAAATTCTTAGTGAATCAGAGGCTTTAAAAATGCGATGAATTACTATCTCTCAAATAATAAAAAATAGATTATTTTTTCTTATGTTCATTGCCTAAGGTAAGCAGAACTAGAAGCTATTTGTACATGTCTTGTGTCACTACTTACACATTATTTGTGTGGTTTCATTTTAGGTACATATACTATAAATTGACATTGATTTTAACGATGACTCTATATTTAATTGGTGAATTCATCCTGTTGATCTTCATTGTAGTTTGTGAAATGTTTCTATTCATTGTGTTTTCTTATTTTTTCTTTTCCATATCATGGTTTAAGTTTTATATTCTTCCTCTCTGTACACATTCTGAACCATTCAGTTTTTATTTTTTTCTGTTATTCAATTATTTATTTTATTTTTATTCCATTTGATGACCACTTCTATTTATGAAAGTTGTGCATTATACATCTATTCCTTTGATCATTACATTCACTTTCAAGACAGCGTTTCTCTAATCTTAATTTTCACCTCTACAAAATTGTAACAATTGTAGGTGAGAATTTTTAAATTGTACACAACTCACCTTGTTTCATTTTTATCCAGAAAACCAATTTTTCTTCAATTATGAATTTACTAAATTATTTTTTCATCATTTCTTGTATCTTATTTCTTGCCCCTGAGTTTACTAAACTTTTCTCAGCAATGTATCCTACAATAGTGGTTACTTTCAGGGGTTTCAAAGGTGACGGATTTTAACAATTTCTTAAAATGTAAAAAAGTTGTAGTTGCTGAGAATCACTTTTAAAACAGTGCCGAGGTGGGTGGATCACGAGGTCAGGAGCTCAAGAGCAGCCCGGCCAGCATGGTGAAACCCCCTCTCTACTAAAAATACAAAAATTAGCCTGGTGTGGTGTGGCACAAGCTTGTAGTCCCAGCTATTCAGGAGGCTGAGGCAGAAGAATCACTTGAACCTGGGAGGCGGAGGATGTAGTGAGCCGAGATCATGCCACTGCACTCCAGCCTGGACAACAGAGCAAGACTCTGTCTCAAAAAAAAAAAAAAAAAAAAAAAAAAAAAAAAAAAAAAAAAAAAAAAAAAAACAGAAACATAGAGATGTAATACGATAAAGCCAAGCTACTTATTTCCCAGCTTCAACAATTATCAAAAGTTTAGTAATCTTGCTTTATTTATACATTTCTTACCCATCCCACCATCCCATTTACACAAATTTAAAGTTCTTAATTATCTACAGTATTTTAATATAAATCATGGACGTCATGTAATTTCTGCTATTATTATGTCACTTTAATTGATAGTAATATTGAAAATTATATGGTCACCTGGCTATTATCACATCTAATAATTTTAGGAATAACTACTTAATATTATGTATTATGCAGTTCACATTCAAATTTCCCAAATTGGCTTTGAAGTGTCCCTTGAAATCCGATTTTTAAAATTAAAATCCAGGCCAGGTGTGGTGCCCCATGCCTGTAATCTCAGCACTTTGTAAGGCCAAGAAGGGAAGACTGCTTGAGCTCAGAAGTTTGAGAACAGCGTGGACAACAGGGCAACACAGTGAGACCTAATCTCTACTAAAAAAAACAAAATAAAATTACCTGCGTGTGGTGGTGTGCACCTCTAGTCCCAGCTACTTGAGAGGCTGAGGAGAAAGGATCTCAGCGCTGCAGTGAGTTATGACTGCACCACTGCACTCCAGCCTGGGACAACAGAAAAAACTACGTGTCCCAAAAAAGGAATGAAAATCCAAACAAGACCCAACATTCTCTTTGGTTTTCCATTGCACAATCCTTTTCTATTATCTAACAGTCCTTTTATCTTCCCTTTCTGTCCTGTTTTTTACTGATGGAAATAGATAATTTTTTGGAAAGTTTTGCATTCTTTTTGGCACTGTTTAACATAGTTCTATCTCTTTCATTTCCTTCAAACTGATGGGTGATTTGTGCACTTTTTGTTGCATCACATACACAAAATTATAATGATATTTGGTAGCATCCATAGAGTGAAACTAAGATCAATTTGTGATTTTAATTTGTGAACCTAATCCCTCCATTACAAAGCCAATATTTCAGCATCAATTTGTGATAGTTGCGAATATGAATGATAGTTTTGGCTGTAAGGCAAACCCTGGAATAAAAGATATTGTTTTTCAGAATTAAAAGACAATTGTTAAATGTGCTATCAACTGAATTCTAATCTTTTAAAACATTTTTATTTTCGTTTTTATAGAAAGTTTTGCAGTATATATTCCCTACTTTTGGCACTTTAAAATTTAACTATTATGTGTCAAGATGTGGATTAGGTTAATTTTTGTCTGTTGGTTGTTGTGATCTTGACCTTAAACCATTTAAGTCTTTCTTCCATTGGGATAATTTGTTTCTATGATTTCTTTATATATTACTCTGCCCCATTTTCTCTTTCATTATTTTATTTTTTATTGTCTCTCAGTGCTAACTACTGAAAGAATATCTCAATCTGATTTTTTTATTTTTCATTTTTATGTATTTATTTAGTTATTTTTTGAGATGGCGTCTCCTTCTGTCGCCCAGGCTGGAGTGCAGTGGCACGATCTCTGCTCACAGCAACCTCCGCCTCCAAGGTTCAAGCGATTCTCCTGCTTCAGCCTCCTGAGTAGCAGAGATTACAGGTGCGCGCCACTTCGCCCGGCTAATTTTTGTATTTTTAGTAGAGACGGGGTTTCACCATGTTGGTCAGGCTGGTCTCAAATTCCTGACCTGGTGATCCACCAGCCTCGGCCTCCCAAAGTGCTGGGATTACAGGCATGAGCCACCGCACCCGTCCTCAATTTGATTTTTTATAATTACTTTTTATTGGTAGAATTTTGTTATTACTATTTCTTCCTTTTCTTTTTCCTCCCCTCCTTCTTCCTCCTCTTCTTCTTCCTCTTCTTATTCTTATTTTTCTTATTATTATTACATAATGATGATGGCAAATATTATTCTGCCACAAGAATATTAGCTCATTCATTTATCTGGACTTTCATATTTCTTATTATTGTGGTAGTTTATTCATAGCAGTAGAATATAAAATAAAAATTATATAATATGTGTTGTATATTTTCCCTTTATTTAGAATAAGAAATATATGCACTTCAGTATTTTTTTTTACTTTGTGTTCTCAAAATCTATCAATTTATAGTATATGGTGGATATTCAATAATCTCTGATTAATTTTACTAATGCATGAAACAGACTCAGGACTCTAACTAGAAAACTCTCATAAATAGATAATATAACTTATAATTATATGATATAAGGTTGGAACTATGGTAACATGACAAAATTAAGGACATTAAATGGGCTTTGGTGCCTGGGATCAGAGTTTTCAACATATCTAGGATGGCAGCTAAACCCCCCTGGTTAAGTAGTTACTATCTTCCCTTGAGCTCTTTTTCTCCAATTGTTGTCTTACTCTCACAAGGCTGAAGATTGGTAAGGTGGGAGAAGTCAAGATGAAAAGTCCAAATCCTCGGGTGGCTATTTTAAATGAACTCAGCTCCAAGGGTTTAAGGAGTAAATTCTGGTTTGTTCTTTTTTAGGTATATCCTGGGGAAAGGATAAGCTGCTTCTGGTTCAAGAAAATAAATTCTTCATATGGTTCTCATCAAGGCTTATGTTTTATAACAAAAATCTTAAAATATCAAGAAAATCAATAATAACAGTGTACATTTGCAGGAGCTTTTCTTCTATTTATTTAAGTTCTAGGACGGTAGCTTAATGGCTGTGGTTAATATAGATGTCTGATTAATAATGAGTTCCAGCTATATCCACAGTCTTACTCTCATCCCCTGAGCTATGGCTTGCCTTCTATAAAAATAAGAAAGTAGGAAAACCAAATATCACAGAGTTTGGCTTAGGATTCCAAGTACTTGAGGCAGAGGTACAGGACCTAAGAGCAATAAAGATTTCTGCTTCTTTATTGTCCAGGAACAATCTAGCTTCATCAAAATATATGATGAGCATGAAAATAGAAAAATAAACTCATCCTTTGACAATAAGAGGTTGAATTTTAACAGTGGTAAGCTTAATTCTGATTATTTGGCAAGGTGATACAGCACTATTGAATATATTGCATAAGCTGGATAAATATGCATTCTATGATTACTACAAAGCCTATAATAGCGTAGGTGCCTCATTTTATGTTTTATAGTATGGCCATGTGATTTACTTCTCTGTAGTAAAATAATTTGTTAGCCGCATTGCTTTTGAATGTATTACATAAAAATAGGTGTTTTAGAATACCTAAGTGCCTGTAAAGTTCACTGAAGGTATTAGAAAGATGAGACTTAACTTATGTAAAATGTTTAGAGCAAATTAGATATTCTGAATGTTATTTAAAATGGCAATGAAACAGCTCAATTCAGCAAATTATTGCTTGGTTCAAAATTTATGAGAATTAATTACTATAGAGTGTTGGAAGATAGAGAGAACACCTTACCATGTACTGTGGGGAGAAGAAATCTGAGCTGGTTCCTGAAACATGGTTCAGATTTATACTGGCTAAGAGAAAAGTGGTGGCAACTGTAGATATGTGAAAGTGGGAAGACTAAAAAGTATGTTCTGAGTTAAGTGATTGAAACTTTTAGCCTGAGTGAATTAACATTTTAGAGTTTAGGGACTCTGAGAAGATCATATAGTCTTCATTTTTGAAAGCTTTGAGTGTCAGGCTCAGAGTGCAATTTATCCTGTAGGCAATAGGAAATAACTAAACATTTTTGAGCCGAGATGTGGCATGATAGAAGGTTTATTTTAGGAGTATTGACTTATCACAGTATGAAAAATGAATCGCAATATGGAAAGAGAATGGCTCTTGAAGAAGAAGAAAGAAGTTATCCTAGAAGAGAGTTTAGGCTGTACAGGAATGATATAATTCATTTTTAAAACTGCTAAATAAACATTCAAGCATGAAGAGATAACAGTAAAGTACAAAGTAGAGAATGGGGAAATGATTATAATTATAATGGATAAGACTCAGTCACTAATTAGATTTTTTTTGGGGTAAAAGAATCATAAACCCTCTGGTGGTATCAATAAAAATAAAAATTTGGTTATTTCATCTGATAAATATATAACTACTTTTAAAAATAATAAAATATCTATAATTTTGATAGCAAATTTACAATCTCCTGAATTATATATAGTATGTATATATGTACACACACACACATATATATGGCAAAGATAGAAAGTTTCTTTCTAAATATTCCTTATCTTGGAAGGAGTCCACATTGCTTCCATATTTTGATATGTATAGAAGCATCCTTTAAGTAATCTATGTGATTTCAAGTGATTAAACATCACAGTCTTCCATTTGTTGAGGGATGAAAAATTATCTTATATTTTTGCAATATGAAAAATGCTTTCCTCAATGAAGTGAAAACTATTTTTAGTGAGTATAACAGACTTTATGAAGTTAAATATTGCTGATGATTCTAATTCAAGTAAGGAGGAAAAAAACTCTTGTCACAGAATCATTTTTCTATAAGGTCTCCATGGGATTGTCAGAAGGCATGCAAAATATATTAGAACACCACCTTATTTATGACATGGCCCACATCTACAAGAAGGCCAATTGGAGTAGGAAAATATAAAATGCTCAGCATGTTCAGGACATTTATTTCAATGCATATATCACATTCCTTTTTTTTTTTTTCTTGGTGACAAGCTAAATCTTTCCTAGTTCCACTGTCATAATTGCCATGCCGTGGCATCAAAAAGGTGCATGAATTCAGGAGATTCTATCTAAGATTCTTCAATTCTATCATAATATACCTGTAAACAGTGCACTAATAGGAACCCAGAATGCAAAATAAAGCCAACAACCGTCAACCTTATGCATAATTCAGGAATATCTCCCCTTCCTATGGAGATTCCCCCCTCAATTGAGCCCTGTAATTGATTTATAGCCCATTTTGCTGTGGTTATCTCTGATTTCTACTTTCAACTTGTAATTAGTTGAGTAACACCTTTTGATTTTTCATGCATAGTCTTGCTTAACTCACCCAGATAGGTGAAAATTTATCATATTTATTGTACATATTAATTCCATAAATCAACTCTCAAAATATATCTTACGTTATCATTGCACATGAAGTTTCTGATTTTCGTTGAAGACGGCATTTCAACCATGTATGTGATTTCTTCTCCCTTTGAAAATTCGCATTGAAATGGACAAAGGAATAAATGAGAGGGGAATATTTTAATTTTCATTTTTAAACAAATGTATAAATAGTATATGATAAGATCCACTGGTTAGAGTCTTTGATAAATTGAGTTTTTCTCTTTTCTTTTTCTTCTTAAGATAAATCGCGCTTCAGATAATGATCAAAATTGTCAGTATTTATGTATGTTAAGAAAATAACTTAAAGTGAGTAGATAGAATCTCTAGCAGAATCAAAAATAACCAAACCATCTGAAAGGCAGAGGGAAACTTTAGAACAATTGTGGAAATAAGTCAAACTCAATTATATGAAAAATTTGGAAGAACACCAAGTTCTAACATATGTATATTTCAGGGTCTACGATGTACTCAAAATGGTACAGCTTCATTTGACATGAATAGAATAGTAAAAAAGCAGGTTCTTGTTACTGAAAGCTCCAAGGACAGATAGTCATCCCAGTTATAGAACTAGGAGTCATAACCTATCTAACCACTAATTGTCACAACAAGTATGAAGAATGAAATATCTAAGATGGTGGTAAGTATATTATGCCCATTTTCCCTGGCATTATATCAGTTCTCATTTGCAACAAGTCAATGGAATCACATATCAAACATAGATTCATCTGAGACGACAAAGAGTATAGAATAAATTTAGGGGCAGTTGATATGCATATGAATCAACCCTACAGCTGGATTTAGGAATGTGGAATGCTAACACACTTCAAGGTAAATATGGTATGAGAATCTTAAAGAGGGAGAAAACATCTTCTATCACATTGTTCTTTGATTGAAGGTACTCATTGCTAGGTAGAGAAGTGAGTAGGGTGTAATGACTTACTAATCACAAAAGAAACAAAAAATTAGTTTGCCATAGGAATAAAACTGCCTGTCTTTATCTCCTCAATTTTCACAGCTAATGAAACTTTGCTGTAGAAAACAAAAAGAAACCTGCGAGAAAATACATTTCTATTGCTTAAGCCACCCAGCCGAAATAGACTAGTACAAAAAGCCTCTCCTACAAATGAAGAATATTCAAATTATTAAATAAAATATTCAATGGAAAAATGTAATCTAAGATATAAGACAAAGTATACCCAATGAAATGGATTTACCACAAAAAAGCAGAAAGTTTGTATGAGAGAATATGGGTGTGTGTGTGTACGTGTGTGTGTGTTTGTGTATGTGTATTTAAAAAGCCAAAAAATGGAACTAAAACAGATAGGACAAAAACTAGAGACAATAATGCAGTAGGAGAAAAACTAAGGACATGTGATATCATAGAAAAACAGATGAATTGAGAGAAAGGAGTAATCAACTGTATGAAATCTTACAGAAAATTTGAGAAAATCACAGCAATAATTTGACACTAAATTTGTAACACAAAACTTGACTCATTTCTGGCAAAATCATTTTAAATAAAGTGAGAAATATCAAAGCCAAATTGGAGGAACATGAGGAATATCTGGGGCATGTGGAAGTGGAACAGTCCAGAAAACTTTTTTCAAAGCGCTTTTCTATAAAATACACCA
Source organism: Homo sapiens (assembly GCF_000001405.40). NCBI lineage: Eukaryota > Metazoa > Chordata > Mammalia > Primates > Hominidae > Homo > Homo sapiens. The sequence goes on along the minus strand of NC_000001.11, from coordinate 105,701,130 downwards.
GAACAATAAGATTATAGTTGGAGGAAGGCATGATGTCAAAGGATGGCTGTTGTTATTTTAAAAGATGTTGAAGCATTGTATTGAAGGAGATGCTCCAGAAATAGGCTAACATGAGACTGGCCAGCAGTGTGAATTTTTAGTGTCCTTTTGTACCATGGAAGCTGAAAAGCTAAAAACAACATTTCCCACTCTGTCTTATAGACTATTCTGCATGAGAATTGGATTCTGGCAATGAGATGTGCTATTTGAAAAGCAGAGTTCAGGCAGAGGACATTGTCATTCTGTTTCAGCTATTTCTTACCACCCAGACGGATCACGGAGACATGGATTTTTCTTTGGTAGAGTTCCAGGGTCAGATGATGAGTATCATGGGTCTAGAGAAGCAGTTTCAGGGTTGAGAGCAGTAGCTTTTTGATCCCTAGATTGCATCCATGATGGTGTGTGCTGTGACATGACAGTTACAACAGAAGCTTCTTGATTATCTATTCCCCCATTGTAGCACATGTAGTAACTACCTTTCCTTTGGTTATTCTTGTGGTCTTTTTTTCTGGGAGTCATTCCTTAAAGCCAAGACAATACAGACTGTTCTCTCAGTCTCAAAGATATTAAAGTAACTTATATTTATTCATGGGTGGATATAGGTTTCATGAGAACTATTTGAAAGTCGACTACAAAGGATAAAATACAAAAGTTTGTATATAGAAGTAGAAATGAAGGTAAATATTAGAAGGAGAAAAAATGACAAAATATAAATTTTAAAAACCATAAAACAAGGGAGGTTGAGGCGGGTGGATCACCTGAGATCAGAAGTTCAAGACCAGCCTGGTCAACATGGTGAAAACCCATCTCTACTAAATATACAAAAAACTAGCTGGGCGTGGTGGTGGGTGCCTGTAATCCCAGCTACTCAGGAGGCTGAGGCAGGAGAATTTCTTGAACACGGGAGGTGAAGGTTGCGGTGAGCCAAGATCGCTCCACTGCACTCCAGCCTGGGCAACAAGAGCGAAACTTCGTCTAAAAAACAAACAAAAAACAAAACTATAAAACAATATCAGAAAGTATAGAAAAATTAATATAACTTAAAAATATGTGTTTTATATACTTCTAAGCATTTTCTTTTTTTGGAACCACTAACTTTGATCACTTCTTCATATGACAATAACTTTGTAATATCATTTTATGCAGAGACAATAGATATAATTTATTCCTGCCTCTAGCATGATTGCTTGACTATTCTTTTTAATTTTGAGAGTTATATGCATAAAACATGATTTATATGCATAAAGCCACATCCATTGTTTGTAACACTGTTATCATTTTCTGCCTTTCAAAACAAGATTCTGAAATTCTGATAAACTCTATTGGGCACAATTTTTATCTACAATAGATTTATATTACATATATACCATATGTGTGTGTATATATGACAATATATTCATCACACACACAAATTTACATATGTGTTTACACACATGTACACACACATAACATATCTAATTTTATTTGATGCTTAATATTTCTGACATGAAGAACTTCTGTTCTGTTTAGACATTGATGAGGAACACATCGTCACTTAGACTTTTGCACACAATGATTGAAATACTTCTGTGTCTATATACTTCAACTATTATTTAATCCTCTGTTGCAGACATTCTCCCAGTGACAGGAGCCATAGTACTTGTTTATATCTTGATGTAAATGCTGGCCTTGAACTTTCATAGGGTGAGTTAGGATTTTCAAATGTTGGTGATTAGGACTATTCCTCAATGCTGTTTCCAAACTGAAAGAGTTAGCAAGAGTTTAACATTACTTGGAAATGATCCATATAAATGTATCCCACCAAGGCTAAATAAATGTATGTTAAATTCAGTTTTTCCATAAGTAAATCTCCAAATATGATGGAGGAGAAGGAAGAGAGGAAAGGGGAAAGAGTATTAATATGCAGATAAAATATCTTCATTTGGAAATTTTTAACCAAGAGAATATAATGCAACGTCCTCTCTTAAGCCTTAAAACCAGTACAAATGAAAGCCTCTAAAACAAGCTTCATTAGCCTCATGGCAAGTCGGCATCTCCATATATTTCTACCATTTCTGCTTAAACTAGTCAGAGTGGTTTCTGCTTCTTGAAAATATATACTATCATGAGACAGAAATTAACATTATTTTATGTACCTTCCACCTTAATAAAATTAATTTTAAAAACATCAATGGCTACCTTAATTTGATTGAAACCTTACTACTCAACATGGCTTAGATCACTCTGCATGTTTCCTGTTCCTTTCCAAACTCCCATGTTGGTACAATTTCAACCATGCTTCCTGTAAGCTACTAACACTGATCTCTCTTCTTTTCCTCAAATGTGGCTAAATAATTCCCACACGAAGAGCTATTGTTCTTGGGCCTAGAGCTGTGCTGTTCCAATAGATTAGACACTAGCTACTTGGGGTATTTTGAATTTAAATCAATCAAAGACAATTAAACTCTCATTTCTCAGTTAAACAGCCATAATTCTAGTGCCAGGTGGCACATGTTCCTAATGACTAGCATATTGGATATCACATATATTGAACATGTTCATCATTGCTGGAAGTCCCAATGGTTGCTGTTGGCCTAGAATGTTTGGCTGGAATTTTTCATACTGACTCATTGTCATTATTTTCGACTCAGATATCTGGTTGCTGTAGTTATTGTCACCGTCCACTCTAACCATTAGCTTCCAAACCCTATTATTTTCCCTTCTTGCCACTTACTACTAATCTGAATATGTATTTATGTATATGATTATTTATTTGTATATTAATATTTTGTTCTTTGTTTTGATGAGTATATAAGTGTGTTTGTATATGAGAGTTATATCCCCAGAATTTTCAAGGATGCTTCCTGGACAGTTGGATCCAATCTCTGGATGGACGGGATGCTAGCCTTGAGAAGTCTAGTCTGCTCTTTAAAATCTTCATTTTCATCTGATTCTGCATCAGGTAAGTGATAGATTTTGATGTTATGTTCTTCAATTTCATCCAGAATCCTTTTCTTCAGCCGCTGCCGTTCCTTCAGGGTGAGAGTGTCAGCTTTTGCAATGACAGGCACAATAGTCATGAGCTCGTTTTCGTATTGCAAATAGGATTCTTACCTACAAAATGAGATTCACTAAACTATTTTTACTCAACCAAATTAAAAATTTTTTTAAGGAAAATTAGCAGTTGGTCTATTCAGAATCCAACTTTTTATATTTTATACTGCACTTTAGTGTATTTTCTGTAACTGTAGGTATAGAAGATCTGCCTCCCCTGTGGAAATTGGGGTCTGTTGGTGGGCGTGCCCTTGAAGCCCGGATTGCGTTGAAAAGTGTTCCTGCCCTAAGGCCTTGGTGCCCTGAACCTCTGATGCCTACCGGGTTCTCCTGATTTGGGTTTCCTTTAAATACTCTCTTTTTGAGTCATTTTCTGATGGGAGGAAAGTAGCAGTAATCACTTTTTTGTATGCAGGCTGTCTCATTTATTTTTAGCCATTGTCATTTCATTCATTTTGTGTAATATAAACTGTGTGTCATGTCAAAGTGAAAGACATTTCAAATCTGTAGCATAGGCTAGTGGGCAGGTGCGCACAGTTGAAGCCACACCTGGTCTGTTTTCTGTGCACTGTAGCCTTAGTGTCACCTTTCCTCTTGTGTCTCCCTGTGGTGCACTCCAGCGGTTGCCTTTTTTATCATTTCTACGGAAGTTGGGAAATCCAACCCCAGAAAGTGACAGATGAAAGGAAACAATGGTTGTGTAGGGAGATGGAGAAAATGCTTAATCTGAGGATGAGACAGGGTTTTTTGTTTTTTGTGGGGGCTAGAAAAAACATAAAATGAGGCAGTTAAATAATAATAGTTATGAAGATGTGCTACAGAAAATAATCTGGTGTTCTTGCTAACTTTGCCCTTCATTGTTGCTTAATTGTAAATAGCCAAAAGCTATATGTTATGGCTTCTTGTGTGAAGGTAACTAAGAAAAAGTGTTCCATGACTTCAGAGTACATCCATGCAGAGTCCATTATTTGAGTTTGACATTTAATAACTTTGCTGGAAAATCTGCAAAAAAGAAAAACAAGTTTGCTAGTGACAAAGCCCCACATACATGAGTGAAAGTACTTCAGGCACGCTGCCTCCTTGTAACAGCTATGCAGGGAGGGAGGACCCACACTGCTACACTTCTGATCCCCTTTGGCTTTACTACCCAAATCTAAATAGATACATTTGATAATAGATAACTGCTCTTTTACTATGAGATAGTCTCTACCTATAGAAATGTATTTTGAAAGCACTTATTTTACACAGCAATTTTGTATCCATTTAAACTAACCTTTTATCAAGAAAGCACTATTGTTTAGATATTTAAAAAAATGAAAAAGCAATCTCATTACTGGGTATATACCCAGAGGCGTATAAATCATTCCACCATAAAGATACATGCATGCAAATGTTTACTGAAGCACTATTCACAATAGCAAAGACATGGAATCAACCAAAATGCCCATCAGTGACAGAATGGATAAAGAAAATGTGGTATATATACACCATGGAATATTATGCAGCCAAAGAAGGAATGAGATTATGTCTTTTGTGGGAACACAGATGGAGCTGGAGGCCATTAGCGGGCAAACTAATGCAGGAACAGAAAATCAGATGTTGCATGTTCTCACTTATAAGTGGGAGCTAAATGATGAGAACTTTTGAACACAAAGGAGGATACATCAGACACTGAGGTCTGCTTGAGGGTGGTAGGAGGGAGAGGAACAGAAAAGATAACTATTGAGTGCTGGTCTTAATTTCGGATGATGAAATCGCCCAGGTATTCCTGGGCAATGAAGTAATATGTACCACAAACACCCATGACATGAGTTTACCTATGGAACAAATTTTCACATGTATCCACGAACCTGAAATAAAAGTTTAAAAAATTATCAAAATATCTATCATGTCTTCCAATGTCTTGCTTAACTATAATAAAATATTTTTTTCAAATCCCTATTTTTCTAGGAAAAGATGAATGGAATACTTTTTATACTGTTACAGTATGGAATAAACCTGTGAAAATTAAACATTCTACCGTTTAGTAGCTCAATACTTATATGGAATCCTGTACTTGATTTTAGCGTGAATATTAAATACTATTTTAATTTTCTTTACTTCTCCAAAAGCTACTGTCTTTTATGTGTTTCATTTTTACAGAGATTCTCATCTCTACTCCAAATTTTATAAACCCAGAAGCCTTTTAAATATTTTATAAGGTTGTTTTATTCTGCTTTCTTTAATGCCAATTCATATTTCCTTTCCCCTCTTGGAGTAGTTTGGCTCTCATCTTCATGAAGCTGTAGCTCACCCTCTGACACTCTCACTCCCAAACATGACAGAAGTCTACTATGAACAGATGCAATTTGTTAAATAAGGAAGTAAGAAAGAAGTCCAATGTTATTAACTAATTTTATCTAGAAACAGATATTTTTAAAGAAATGTTTTCAGAAAGAAAATGTGCCAGTTGATATTCTTAGATAGTATATCATACTCATCTTTTATTTTATATAAATGCAGAGAATTCCACTTTTGGACAAGATGAACTTGTACTGGATTTATCTTACTATGTGAAACAACTAAAATTGTACAAAATATATAGAAAAAATGAGTTACAAGATACTATATGTCAGGTAACAGACAGCAGTGTCTACTGGTAGAAGAGTTTCTTGACTTGGATACAAGGAGAGAGAGTCAAGACTGAGCCTGGAAGATTGCCTGAATTGAGCTGCAGACAGACTGATAAAACCAAGAGGCAAGAATTCTCAAGGGAGAGTATCTCAGAGAAGAGTGGTGGACAAAGAGAGAAATCTGGAGATCTGTGTAAGATCTCCTTCAGGTACTCAACTGACTATTGATTCTTGCACGAATGTACAGACACTCTCTAACATATGGAAAGAAATAGTCAGAAGGATTAGAACTAAAAATGCTTTGTGTTCATACAGGGTCAGAAATAGTGTACATTTCCACTAGCCAAAATGGAAAGTCTCCAGATTCATGGGGCATAGAGTGAAGTACACAAAGACTCTTACCTTAGTAGTTGCAGATAATTAGAACTAGTCTAAGCTCTGCTCCAGACCTGAAGAAAAAAATATCTTAAAGCCAACACACAAAGGATCCAACTATTTCTGTGTGAATTAATTGCATCCCTGAACAAAACTTCGCGTTTAAGGAATATAAAATTGTCCAACAACAAACAAAGTAAAACTCACAGTATCTAACATCCAGTCAAAATTTATTAGGCATGCAAAAAGTTGAAAACACCAACGTGTCATGAAGAAATAAATCAAAATCAAACCAGAACTGAAATAGATATCTTAAAATCAGATAAGGAAATCAAAATAGCTATTATAAATATTTCATAACTTTTTAAACACATGGAATATTTATAATAACCATTTTGATTTTAGTTATAAATGTAATACTATTTATAATTGTATAAGTATAATCATATAAATTATAATTGGGATATATGTATACACATACATATAAACACACACATATGTATATATCTTCCAAATTAATCTTATAAAGATGAAAACTTCAATGTGTGATGAGAGTGCTCCATGGATAAGATAAACAACTGATTAAATATTGAGTAAGAATTAGTGAATTTAAAAATGTATCAAAATATCTCAAAATACGCAATACTTAAGGATAAATCTGGTATATCATTTCAATATACTTGGACAAATCATTTGACTAAATCCAACACCTATGCCTGTTCAAAATTTTCTATAAGGTAGGAGTGCAAGGGAGTGTCCTAAATAAGATAGAGGCCATCTATGTGATGAAAAAGTGAATGTTATTAACCTAAGATCAGACAAGGACATATATTCTTATCACTTCTAGTCATCTATTCATACATGTAGGTATTATGTGATATATAAGCATTATATATAATGCGTGTGTATATATATTCTATACATAATGTATATATATATATTCTACTGGTAGAATATATGTAGTAGAATATCTACAGTAGAATATATATATTCTACTGGTACATGTGATGTAAACTGTGGTAAAATTTAAACCTGTTATAATCAGTCATTCTTGAATTTTGTAACTCAATAAATTATGGTGATTATGATTCCTACTATTCAAATAATTATAATGATAGCTAGATTTAGAAAGAAGTGAGTATCAAAAAAATTTCCAGATATAATGTTGAAATATTATGGTACCTGCAGTCAAAACATTGAGGCAAATTGATAGCACAAATGAAAGAGATGTTCAAGAGTGACTTTTTCTGCAAATATATTAAAATCTTTGTCATAAATGTCAATGATTGAAAGTTTAAATTATACAAAATCTTACTTTAAAATCTTTCTTTTTTCCTATAAAAAATCTTTTTTTCCATATGTTAGATAGTGTCTATACATTCATGCAAGAATCAATAGTCAGTTGAGTACCTGAAGGCGATCTTATGTAGATCTCCAGATTTCTACCTTTTTCCACCACTCTTCTCTGAGATACTCTCCTTTGAGAATCCTTGCCTCTTGGTTTTATCAGTCTCTCTGCAGCTCAATTCGTCTATTTCACTTGGTGCATTGTTCATACAAAATATTATTTACAAGGTACTAAACATGATGCAGAGAAATTGAAAGAAACTAACATGTGGTGGTATGTGGGTGGCTTTAGGACTCCTGTTTCCACACTCAAAGACAATTTCTGGAGTTCCAAAATTACCTGGCAATATATCCCCTTCCTATCTTACATAAGTTCTGTTGGGTTCAATATAATTTTGTGATTTGTACACAGATATTATGTAGCATAAATAATGACAAAATAAACATATAATGGATCATATAACTTTTAAATTATGAAAAGTTTTTAAAAATTCAGTAAGCTTAAAGATGCATGATTTATTTATAATTGTACAGGCCGACCCTATTCTTAGGTAATAAAAATAGAAAACTTCAGTTAGCAAATACCTTTAAATTACTTAATGGACTTCTTTCAAAAGTTTCTGTAACCTATAAGTTGACTTGCTGGAATATTTGGCTGAATAGGTAATAGTAAATTCATGTGAGAGTATTACTTAATTTGGAAAATAGATTTTTTTGTATCAAAATAAACATAAAATATGTATTGTTTTATCTTGATAACTCATGTTTAAACACCTTGTATCTGGAGAGAAGTCTAATCAATAAATATGTTGTAATGATTCGTTGGAAGCACAAGGCAATCTGAAGAACTAATGGAATGTTGGGAAAATGACAGCTAAAAAAACAAAATGGAGCTGTCATCGTGGTGGTGATAATGCAACTGCAAGCTAACATGGAAAAGGTCAGGTAAGGGTTACAAATAAGGGCAGAGAGTAAGCCCTATTCAGATTTAGATACAATAAAGTGTCACTTAGCAGAGTTGGAAACATGCTTTGATGTGAGGTTACACAGCGTACAGAAAGAACAAGTAAAAAAAATTGCCTGGTCATGGGTGGAAAAAATAAGAGTCCTTCTTGTTAACTAAAGCTGTTCTCTGGATCATCTCTAGATCTGATCTTCACGATGGAAGAAAAATAAAATATAGCTTTAAGTAGGCAGAGTTTCACACAATGAGAAGCATAATAGATCATATAGCCGTAAGTACAATTACTTAGTAATGCCACGAGCTTCAGCTATTGGTACTTATACTGGAAGTAGAGCCAGGTTTTATTTTAATTTTGGGGGTGGTGGTTGGTCTTATTAAGCCTAAAGGGTCAATATAATAAAAAGACAGAATCAATTTTCATATTAATGAATCTAATATTTAAAACTTTATGCTATGTTTCAAAAGATTGTATAGTTTCATTTTGTCAGTTATAACCTCTTACATAAATTTTTTCCTCTGCATTAAACACTGAATTGATATTTGATTGTCTTTGTGATTAGATAGACAGAAGAGGAATATGAAGACAAGGGTGAGAAAAATTGATTTACTTTGTCATCATGTAATATAATGATTATATTATAAAAATTAAAATATACATAATATATTTTCTCAAGTTGTTGGCTTGTTAGTTTGTGCTGCTTTAAAGAATATAACGTTTCAAATTTTAAAATCTTAAAAGAAGAAAGAGGCAGTGAAAGTCTTTGGTAATTGACATTAGTTTAAAAAGTGTAGTATAGTAGACCCTTTTAGAAAAAATTAAAGTGTCACTGGAGAAAATATATGTAAATAGGAAAAATATATTGAAAAAGATGCTATAATACCTGGGGGTAGCCATGAAAGTAAAAAGGGAAGCTGAAAATAAAAACACAATTTATATGGTTATCTTTTTCCTGTTGATTTCTAAACAACAAGCATTTGCTTAGGACTTGTTTCAGTTGTGTAACAACCATCCCACTTCTTGATGATTTAGAGTGATGACTTACTGTTTGTCAGCCTCATGTGGGCTTACTGGACTGTTCTGTTCCATGTGGACTTAGATGGGACTTCAGGGCAATCGTATCCAACCGTAGGCTTGACGGAGGGTTAAGCTACTGCTGTTGACCAGAGAGGCTGGATTCTCTTTCAGTGGCCTCTTCTTCTCGTTGCTGCAGAGTCCTGATAGCATAAGGGCTGGGTTCCAAAAAGCAACCTTCAAGGAGGTACCATTTCAAGAGTAAGATAGTGATAACTGCCAGGCCAAGTAAAAGTCCCATTTGGGAAAGAAAACTTGCCAAGAGCCAGGATGCAGAGATGCATGGTCACCAAAGGTCTTCATATAGAATTTTGTATATAGACAATGACAGCCAGTGGTCATCTTTAAAAATGATTTAATTTTATAAATATAAATGTCCTGAGATTTGGTTTGATAAATATAAAAATGACCAATGCAAGGAATACCCATTTAAAAAACAGGGGAAAGAGGTTGCAGAATAGCAGAATGATAAAATAGAGACTGATTTCTACTTTATTCTAAATTAATATATACAAAATATTCTAGCAATTGACTGGCTTTTTGAGATTAGTGTGTAATCTCCCAAAGTATTTTAAATCACCAGTACCCAACATTTTGGGCACCAGGGACCAGTTTCATGAAAGACAATTTTTCATGGGATAGGGGAGGGAGGTGTTTCAGAATGAAACTGTTCCACCTTAAATCATCAGGCATTAGATTGTCATAAGGAGCAGGCCATCCAATCTCTCACATGCACAGTTGACAATAGGGTTTGGGCTCCTATGAGAATTTAATGCTGCCTCTGATTTGACAGGAGGCAGAGCTCACCTACCACTCACCTCATGCTGTGTAGCCCGGTTCTTAACAGGTTACAAACCAATACTGGTCTGCAGCCCAGGGAATGGGGACTCCTGCTTTAAATTATAAAACTTAATTACATGGTAAGTTTTAATGCATATATTTAAAACTTTTGTTTTGGAATGTGTGTGTGTGCAGATATACTATACAGTGATAATATGTTAAATGTAATCTGCTAATATTAAAAACTCACAACTGTATAGATGGATGTCAAGACAATATACAGCACCATGCAAATTAAGCAGTGTATAAAACATATTTAAAACCAACTGAGAAAAACATCAAATTTCTAGTCATGTCACTTACTAGGGGTATTAACCAGCATTTATGGTTGAGCACATGAGAAATCTGACTTAAGCATTAAAAAAAGCATTTACCAATGCAGAAATGCAAAGAAACCTGCAGAAATGGGCATGGATGATAAAACAGGAAGAAGAGATGGCAAAACATCAACGGTCACAGCAAACATACTCCAGGACTTTCCAGTGGGGCCACAACACTTTTGACCATAGAGATTGCAATGCTGTACCCACAGGCATTGGCTTTGGATGACAATTGTCAAGTTTGCTTGTCAGTGCTGCCACTGCCTCTCTGAGGACATAATATTGCCTCATTGCTACTCTATCTTCCTTGAAAATGATTGCAGTGTGGTCCGTGCTTCTGGTTGTCACTGGCTCCCAATTCAGTCTGGTTTCCTGCTCCTAGCTACAAGTGGTAGTGGACCCTTTTTTTCCTACCAAGACTTTATAGGAAGGAAATAGGGCTTTGTGGCTTCTTCTTTTCCCATCCTTCCTGATGTCCCTCTTTCCTTGGACCAAACAAACAAAAACATATTTTGAAAAACTGAACTATTTTTCTTTTCTGAAAACACATTTTGGTAGTCTAAAATGGATTTAAAATTCTTTACTAATTCAATTACAATGCATAGATTTATTTTATAAATTATCAATTAATATAATGAATAGATCAATGGAAAGATCACATTACCTGAACATTCCTATGTGTTTTTTATAGTAACATTGAGGTTCTGTCTCAAACTTACAACAGCAAGAAGTAACATACAATTCAGAAACAATGAAAATATAGTAAAATAGAAATACAGCTATAATATTCCACAGAGTGGAAAAGTTAATAATGAACAAATAGAATTCCCTTAAAATCCCAGTTATTAAGAAGTTTATTCTTAACGGAGTGCAGTGGCTCACACCTATCAACTCAGTTAATTAGGATGCTTAGGCAGGAAAATTGCTTGAGTCCAGGAATTTGAAACCAGCCTGGACAACAAAGGGAGGCCCCATCTCTAAAAATATGCAAAATAAAATCATTTTGTGGATGTTGTGGTGCACACCTGTAGTTGTAGCAACTCAGGAGGCTGAGGTGGGAGGATTGCTTGAGCACAGGAATTGGATCAATCACATCCCAAACCTCAGCATCACACAATATACCTATGTAACAAACCAGCACATGTACACAATGAATATAAAAAAAGAAAAAAGTGAAACAATTGTTCACAATTTGAAAAAAAGAACTTTTCCTTTATACTATTTTTTCACTCAAGCAAATTTAAATGAAATGGCAAAATGCAATAAATTATTAGTCTTGTAAGTGAGCTTCAAGGTAGTTAAATATGAAATAATGAAATAACACATCATAAAATATCTAAAAATAAAAGGCACAAAAATGTATAACCTGAAGTTTATCATGAGGAATAATTAAATAAAAACAGAGGGACATTGTACAAAATAACTGGCCAGTGCTGTTCAGAAGTGTCAACATCATGAAAGAATAAAAGGACTGTGGAATATTCCAGAATAAATGAAGCTAAGAAGATATAACAATTAAATGAATTCAGACACAGAAGACAAGACAGTAGAAAGAGACAATGACAAAATGAGCATCCCATGTGTGGATTAATCACTTACAGCTTCACATCAGTTCTAACTTCCCAGTTTTGAAAATTGTACTCTTGCTATGTAAGATGTTAACATATGGGGGAGCTGAGCATATGGCATGTGAGAATTCTTTGTCCTGATTTTGCAACATTTTATAATTGCAAATTAAAATTAAAACTGTTTAAAAATTAAGTTAAATAAGTCAAATTTTATAAATTAAATAAATGAACAAGCAGAATAAATATAATTGAAATCATGCACCTCTATAGACAGTTTTTTTTCTAACTGGGTTAAATATATCTGGAATTAGACTTTACTTAAACACTCTGTGTATTGATATAAACCTTATTCTTGGTGTCTCAAATATTCACAGAATTCCAAAACAAGTAGATGCATTTAATGGGTGTTCTGTACACAGACAGTTTAAAGTACATTCAACACGAAATTGAGATAAATAAAGATTTTTAATTTATACTTTTATTTTCTTAACGACATAAAATAATGAATAACAGGCTGGGCTCAGTGGCTCACGCCTGTAATCCCAGCACTTTGGGAGGTCGAGGCGGGCGGATCACGAGGTCAGGAGATCGAGACCATCCTGGCTAACACGGTGAAACCCTGTCTCTACTAAAAATACAAAAAATTAGCCAGGCACGGTGGTGGGCGCCTGTAGTCCCAGCTACTCGGGAGGCTGAGGCAGGAGAATTGGCGTGAACCCGGGAGGTGGAGCTTGCAGTGAGCCGAGATCGCTCCACTGCACTCCAGCCTGGGCGACAGAGCAAAACTCCATCTCAAAAAAAAATAAATAAATAAAAAATAATGAATAACAAATCATGAGCCTTTTTAAAAGGCTAATAAAACAAACATATTTTATTTATATTCTTCATTACCCATAAAACAAATTGTAAACTCTGAGGTTAAATGGTGCAAACTTGTGGATGACATGAGGTTTTGGAGGCCTGAATGAAAGCAACTGCTCTTAAGATGCACACACTGGACCAATAAGAGGAATATTTAGGGTGCAATATTTCAGAAAACCATGTTTTCCCTAGAATAAAAGAAATAAAACAGTTTGCTCTTCACCCCCAATCTATTTAGAGCAATTTGTCCCATCCCACTGCTGATATTTCAGTCAAATTTTGTGACTTTTTGCTATTTTTGTTTGTTAAAATTTAGGGTGTTAAAAAATCTATATCCAGTTCACAACTTAGTCAATGTAAATTTAATCTTCATATGAGGATTGTCTTGCTTCTTGAAGGTTCTTCCCTCTCCCTCCTTTACCTTGGATTGGCATCCAAGTCTGAGCAAAATTGAGACATTACTGATGGCAGAGGCGGCCTGTCTGCACAGGCCACTGCCATGAGGCCAGGTGCAGTAGGGGAGGCGTGGCTGGGGCTGGATCCCGGACCTGGGAACAGGGGGTAGCCCCACCTGCTTCTGAGTTTGAGGAGCAGGATTCCCACCCTCTTGGGCACAACTGCAGCAATAGGCGGCTGCAGACCTGGGCAATTCTGCCTCATGGGGACCTGTGAAGCTCACCTCCCCCTATAGGATCAGAAGTGCCTGATTCCACTAACCTGGCCTCTCCCAGCTCTCAACACCCCTCCGATTTCGGAACAAAGTTGAGGCTAAGCCCAGGTGCTGTCACAACCCAGCCGGCTGTGTGCGCACTTGGGAAAGTGCTAACACACCATCCCCCTGCCTCACTGGCCCTCCCTAGACATTGATTGGTTGTCGAAGAGCATGGGAAGGCCATGGGGGCACTGAGGGCAGCTCCACGTGGGCCTGCAGGTGCCCCTTGGCACCAACAGCCAGGGAGCTGTGGGCATTGTGGACGGCAGTTTGATGGTGGCAAGACGCAGATAGGCTCCTGGGTGGAAAGGGGCGGGTCCAGGTGAAGCTCCACCTTCAAGCCAGGGATGACCTGAATCCTGGGGACCAGGCTGCCAGTTCCAGGGACCAGAGTGAGAACTTATAGTGTTTTGTCTGGTCCCACCATGGCCGCCCATGGACCAATCAGCATGTACTTTTTCCCCTCTGAAGCCCGTAATAGCCCCAATCTCCACTAGACTTGGGTAGACAATTGTACGACCTGCCTGTGGATAGGAGCTTCCCACTTCAGGTCTCCACTTCCCTGAGGGCTGCATAGATGATGGGATAACCTGTCTGAGAATAGGAGCTATGAACTCCAGGTCTCCTTTTTGCTGAGGGCTGCACAGATGTGGGGATAACCTGCCTGCAGATAGTAGCTCCCCACCTTGAGTCTCTTGAGAACTCTTTGAATAGGAGCTACCCACTTTGGGTCTCCTGAGAGCTGTTCTACCTCTCAATGAAGCTCCTCTTCACCTTGCTCGCCCTCCAGTTGTCTGCTTACCTCATTCTTCCTGGACATGGGAGAAGAGCTCAAGACCCAGTGAACAGCAGGACTAAAAGAGCTATAACACAAACAGGGCTGAAACACAACCCCCCATACACACTTGCCACATTATGGGTGACAAGGAGAGAAGAGCTGTGGCTCTTTGGGGAGCTCAGATGTAGGGGCTCCCCAAGCCAGGCCTGTGACACCCTCTTTGAGGTTCTGCAGTTCCTGGCATCTCCAAGCTTCTGGTGTCACCCCTTCCCCTTGTCCAGGTGCAGGTGCCCACAGCCCATGTGCAATATACCTAGTGTAGCTGCAGCCTCGCATGGAGCTGGAACCTGTCACAGTGCCTGGAACTGCCTGCCCCAACTCAGCAGCCAGCATGCCTGGCTGTGACAGTGGCTGAACACCTCACTCACTCGCCCACACACCCTTTGCCACTCTGCACCTGGACTCGAGCAAAAGGTGCTGCCAGCCACAGAGGCTTCTCTCAGGCAAATCTACACTCTTAAGGATCCTGTGACATTACAACATAAGGTAATGGTCAGTGTGTTTTGGTCCCTATTTTCTCTCTGCTGATTGCCATCATTGGCTTATCTTGTTGCATTCTGTTTTGTGAAAGACCTCCAAACGTTTCCTTAAAAGAGCTGCACAGTCTGATATAGATTATGTTTGGCAGAAATCCCTCTGTGTTGATGATACCCCTGGGAGACTCAGCTACCCCTTCTTTTTGAGACTGTCAGGCAGAATCATGCTCTCATTCCTTCGATGGCTCTGTTTTTTTTGTCTCATGTTGATATTCTCTGGCAAGCAGACAGACCCACTCTCATGTAACTTCTGTGCTTTCATTGTCCAGAGAAATTGTTACTATCCTGTTTCACATTATTTGAGGACATACATAAGAAAATTAGGGGAAAAGTGGTGACTGCAATCCTTCCTCTTCCACATGGCCACAACCTCTACCATTTCTCTCTCGTTATTGTGTCTCCTCTTTCCCTTCATCTTATAGAGTATTTCCCTTTCATTCAAAGAGACTGCCTATCACTGATTTCTACTCAGGAAAGGAAAAGTAGCAGATCCTTCTTTTTCCTTAGATATAAAATCACTTAGTAGGAAATCCTCCCATTCCCTATCCAGCACTCTATCTTGGCTAAATAATGAAACTTTCATGTGTCATGAATTCCCATTTTACATTTCATACTAATGTGTTCCAAAAAAAAGATAATAATGTGGCCTGGTTCAATTAATACTTAGTGAAAGTAACTTCTGACTTTGAATAATAATCTATAATCTATTAGTGAGGTAAAATGACAGCATGAGTTCCCCTGAATATTGTTGAGAATTGTAGATTTATCAGAATATGATTTCCTATTACTGTGACTTCCTATCTTTCCCCTCATTGGTACTCTGATTGGATTCCCTTATCTTGTCTTCTTACACAATGACATGAAATAATCAAGGGATGTCCTACTCTTTGAGGTGTAGTACCCCACTTCAGCTTGCATCAGCTGATATTTAAAAGTAACAATCTGGAAATATCAGAGATATGGGGCAGGATTGCTAATGGTTAACCACCATTAGTAGTTTTATCTGGCAGGAGTTTGTTTTCACAGAAGCTGAGTTTTATTTAGTTTTGACTCATTGAGCCTGAAATGCTTAGAGACACTTCAGGGAACTTAGCTCCCTGCTGTTCAAATGGCAGGGCTCAGTAAATGAGTTCCTTAGGTAGATGCCAGCACATGCTGCTTTAGATTGTAAGATTACATTTTAAAATCTACCAAAAAATTATAGGACCAGGTTTTAAAATGAAAAGGAGTATTAGTGACTGCCCTGAGTTCCTTATAATTGATGGAGATTTATCATAAAGACATTTAGGATTCTTAACCCTTCCATATTTTCATTCTTAATGTTTCAATATTTTGTTAATATCACCACATCTGTATATACTATGACATACTGGTTTATTCAAAATTAACAAAAACAATGCAATATCATAAAATAATTAATATTTTAACAGCTGATGGTAACAAATGTCACCTTCTTGAGAATGTCTAAATCAATATGCAAGTTTTAGCATTGTCTACATTTAAAAAGAAAAAATGCTAGATATATAATTAAAATGTACAGCAAATATAAATATGTATGAAATTTTATGCCATGGAATATAAAAATTCAATTAGAAACATGTCCTCAATGAAAATCAGAAAAAAATCCCCTCAAACGTATATATTTTAAAACATACATCATTTTGCCTCGTTGAAATGGGAAGTAGAATAAGATGTTTACATAGATAAATAAGTAAAATTATTTGAATCACATGTATTTCTTAAAAGTTTTTTAGTCAACATTATTGTGGTATAATTGACATTTAATGAGCTGCATATGTTTAAATTGTACAATTTGACATTATGGCATACATATACACCATGAAACTATTACCAAAATACAGATACTCAATGTGTGTATTACTACATGTGTTTCCTCATGTCCTGTGTAATTATTCCTTCTCTGCCACAACTATCCCTGTCATCAAATGTCCAGGAAACCACAGATCTTTCTTTGGCTATGCAACAGTTTGCATTTCCTAGAATTTTATACAAATGAGGTCACAGGGTATGTACCTTTCTTTGGATTGTATCATTCAGCATAATTAGATTTCACATAAGCAACAGCAGTGTTTGAGTTCCTCCATTCCAAAAATTAATATAAACTGTCTTTTAATTTTTAGCCATTGAAGTAGTTGTACAGTAATATCACATTGCAGTTTTAATATGCATTTACCTAATGACTAATAATGTTGAGCCTTTTTTCAGGTGCTTACTTGGCATCTGAATATCATCTTTGGTAAAATACGTGTTTTTATCATTGAACAATTTGATTTTTTAATTGAATTATTTTCCCTTTATTGACTGTTTTTTATATACTCCACTTATGTATATTATTAGATACTTGATTGGCATTTTACTAAAACAGTTTAAACATTTTTTTCTTATTTTAATGAGGTTCATTTTTGTAATGTGCTAATTTCCTAGTCTAATCCAAGGTCACAAAGGTTTCTCCTATGTTCTTTCAAAAGTTTAGAACTTTAGCTCTTATTAAGGTATGTGTTCCAGTTTGAGTTAATTTTTTATATAGAGTGAAACATGTCTGAGTTTGTTTAATTTTAGTTTTTACATATGCATTTCCAATGGAAAATTCTCTGCCTTTTAATTGGTGTATTTAGACAATTTACATTTAATGTGGTTATTGATTTGATTAGGTAGAAATTTATCATCTTGCCATTTGTTTTACATTTATCTTCTTCACTTCTTTTTTCCCTTTTATTTTTGTGTTTTAGTGATTAATTCAATAAATTGAATGCTTCTACTTTATCTTCTTTGCTGGTTTAGCAACTATAACCTTTTGTTTTATTTTAGTGGTTGCTTTTCTATTTATAGTATAGATTTCTTATTATTATAAGAAATCTTTAGGTAATATTATAACACTTAGCCTATAGTTTAATACTATAAGTAAAAAAGTTTCATTTCTCTCCATTAGACTTTTGCGGTAATATTGATGTGCACTCTACACAATACATTGTTATTTTTATTGTTTAAATTGTTGATTATATTTGAAAAATATTTATATAGCAAGATAATGTATTCATTTTATCTGGATCTCATATATTTACCAAGGAAGCTGTCATTTCTTATTCTGTCCTTGGAGTAGATCCATATTCCCATCTTGAATCATTTTGCATTTTCTTAAAGGAATTCCTTTAACATCTTAAAGTTGGGTCTGCTCATCACAGATTATTTCAACTGTTGAACGTCTGAAAGTCCTTATGATGCCTTAATTTTTGAAAGATATTTTCTCAGTATAAAACTCTATGTTCACATAAAGTTTTTTCTTCCAATACTTTAAAGAAGTTGTTTTCATACATTAAAGAGTTTGTTCTATTCTCTTTTTACTTGCATGCTTTTAGTAAAAATTTTGTCATCCCCTCTATTTTTGTTTCTCTATATTTTTTTCTTTGGATGCTTTTACTATCACCTGATTATAGGTTTTGAATGATTTATTATGATATATATTCATTTAGTTTTCTTGATATTTCTCTTGTGTTTGAAGTTTGAATTTCTACAAGTCTTGAGTTTATAGTTATTATCCAATTTGTAATATTTAGAGTTATATTATTTTAAAAATATGCTGTTCTTTCTATAAAAACTAGACATTTTAGGATATTATCAAGTCTTAACTAAGAATTTGGTGGGTTTGGCGAGAAGTGTACCATGGAGTAGTTAAAGACTATATTTCCTGATTGACTTGAAGACAGAAGGGTGGTTGAATGTAGTCTTGAAGTGTACACTATAATAAATTAGAAAAATAAACTAGCTTTGGTTATGCCAAATTTGAAATATTTTGTTAACAATGGAAACCATTTAAAAATGTATGTCAAAACCATAATTAACTCAAGGCACTCAGAAAGAATTCTAGGACTTGATGGGAAGCAATTTTTAAGCAGAAAACCTGAAGTGCAGTCTGGATAGGAGGATGAAAATGTGTGAAAGATTTTATGATATACTTAACTCTTTTGTTTTTTCACACACCTGATTCAATTCATCCAGAAATTATTTTGACCATGGCTTAAATATAACCAGATTCCAACCACTTAATACCTCTAGGCCTACCATTCTGAGCCAAGTCACCCATTAACTTTTATTAGGAAATACTCTAACTCCATACATTATCTCTCTGCTTCTGCTCTTGCTTCAGTTAGTCTCTTCTAAGCATAGCAGCTACACAAATCATTTACAAATTCTAAGCCAAATATTACAATTTCCTTACCAACATCCAATTTATTTAGTGTAAAATCCAATATTCTTACACTGGCCTATTAGCCAGGCCATGGATCTAATTTTCCATTCTCATAGAATATCTGCTCCTAGAATACCTGACTCAGTTCTCATAGAATATGTGCTCCTAGAATACCTGACTCCAGTATTTCCTCTGTCTAAAATATAGATCCCCTGTATCACTAATATAATTCTTATCCAAATGTTTTCTTTTCAATAGACTACCTACTAGCCTATTTAAAATTATTTTTATACTTTGATTTTCTATAAAATATGTAGCTTTCTATCATACTATATAATTTATAAATTCATTTACCAAGAAGACGATTTTGGTTTTGTTCACTGATATTTTTTATTTTTTACTTTAATTTTAATTTTTTATTTTTGTGGTTACATAGTGGGTATATATATTTATAGGAAACATGAGATGTTTTGATACAGGCATGTAATGTGAAATAAGCACATCATGGAGAATGAGATATCTATCCCCTCAAACATTTATCTTTTGAATTACAAATAATCTAATTACACTCTTTAGTAATTTTAAAATGTACAATGAAGTTATTACAGACTATAGTAGGTCTTATTTATTCTTTCTATTCTTTTTTCTGTACCTATTAACTATCGACATCTCCTCCCCAGCCCCTTACTACCCTTCTCAGCCTCTGGTAACCATCCTTCTATGCTCTATATCCATGAGTTTCAATTGTTTTGATTTTTTAGATCTCACAAATAAGCGAGAAAAGTCAATGTTTGTCTTTCTGCGCTGGCTTTTTTCACTCAACATAATGATCTCTGCTTCCAACCATGTTGTTGCAGATGACTGGATCTCATTCTTTTCTGTGGCTGAATAGTACTCCATTACGCATATGTACTATATTTTCTTTATCCATTTATCTGTTGATAGACACTTAGGTTGGTTTCAAATCTTAGCTATTGTAAACAGTGCTGCAACAAGCATAAGACTGCAGATATCTCTTTGATATACTGATTTCCTTTCTTTGGGGTATATACTCAGTAGTGGGATTGCCAGATCCTAGGATAACTCAATTTTTAGTTTTTGGAGAAATCTCTAAAGTGTTCTCCATA
Source organism: Homo sapiens (assembly GCF_000001405.40). NCBI lineage: Eukaryota > Metazoa > Chordata > Mammalia > Primates > Hominidae > Homo > Homo sapiens. The sequence goes on along the minus strand of NC_000001.11, from coordinate 105,680,679 downwards.
GGGGTTGTACTAATTCACATTTCCATCAGCAGTGTATAAGGGTTTCCTTTTTCTCTATATCCTCATCAGCATTTGTTTTTGCCTGACTTTTGTATATAAGCCCTTTTAACTGGGGTGAGATGTAATCACCTTGTAGTTTTGATTTGCATTTCTCTTATGTTCAAAGACATTGAACACCTTTCCATATGCCTGTCTGCGATTTGTATGTCTTCCTTTGAGAAATGTCTAATCAAATATTTTGCCTGTTTTTTAATCAGAAGACTGAAACCGGACCTCTTCCTTACACCTTATATAAAAATAAACTCAAGATGGATTAAAGACTTAAATATAAAACCCACATTATTAAATATTTTTCTATAGAGTCATTTGAGCTCTTTATATATTCTGTTTATTAATTCTTTGTCACATGGGTAGTTTGCAAATATTTTCTCCCGTTTTCTGAGTTGTCTCTTCACTTTGTTGATTGTATCTTGTGCTATGCAGAAGTTTTTTAACTTGATGTGATCTCATTTACCCATTTTGCTTTGGATGCCTGTGCTGTGGGGTATTGTTCAAGCAATTGCCCAGATCAATGTCTTGGAGATTTTCTCCGATGTTTTCTTATAGTAGTTTCATAGTTTGAAGCCTTAGATTTAAGTCTTTAATCTATTTTTATTTGACTTTTATATACGGCAAGAGATAAGGATCTAATTTCATTTTTCTGCATATGGATTTACAGTTTTTCTAACACCATTTATTGAAGAAAAGGCAATCCTTTCCCCAGTGTATGTTCTTGACACCTTTGCTGAAAATGAATTCCCTGTAGGTGTGTGGATTTGTTTCTGCGTTCTCTATTCTGTTCCACTGGTCTATGTGTTTGTATTTATTCCAGTGATATGCTGTTTTGGTTACTATAACTCTGTGGTGTAATTTGAAGTTATGTAATGTGATTTTTCTAAAGAAAAATTAAAAATAATAATAAAAAGAGAGGCAATCAACAGTAATAGAGAACTATCAGAAAAAACAGAATCAAATAATTAGAAGTATTGTGAGATAATAAAATAAATATAATGTGTAGAAAGTTCATATTTTATATTGCAATAAAAGTTCATACTTAACGTATGATGACTTTAATATTCAATACAAAATATATAAAAGAATGTAACTAATGGAATGAAAAATAAACACATGATTATATAAAAGATAAACTTAAAATCTGAAAATAGAAGCTAAATATTAACAAATAAGAGACTATGTACTACTAGTTTTAAAGTGCATACAAATAAAGAACACTAAAATAGTTAATTTTAGTAAAAATAAAGACTTAAAAACAATTACAATTAAATAAGTCAAAGTAAAAAGGAAATTATTTAAATCAAATAGCTTTGGCATTAGGGTCAATAAGATTGAGTAAAAATTCAGAATTTTAAGTCTTCAAGAAATAGATTTAATTTTCTAAGCCTTGAATTCTCACATGTAAAATAGAATAATTTTTCACTTTTTAACTTAGAGATTGTTAGGGGTAAGATAATGCACTTCATGAATGTAACATGGATCTTAGCACATAGTAAATTGTTAACAAAGGATTGTTATTTTTATAGTAGAACAAGCTATTCTAGAAAATGAGCCCTGGAGAAGGAGAAGTGGATTGTAAATACCAATAATAATTTGGCATCACGAAATTGTTGAAGGTATGTTAAAATGTTAAACCATATAAATTTTTGTATAAGTTTATGCAAGTATAGGTGTATATAATTTAAAACCGAAAATACAAATTAAATCTTAGCAATCAGAAACTAGACCTACTGAAAACCTAAAAGTGTATAAAATAAAACACATTAAATGGTACTTGTATCTTATCCCCTATGCCAAAGGGAGCCACCTCATCAACTACCAAGAGGTGATCTAACAATAACTCTCAGCTTTAGCACTCCTCCACAGCCCATTAATAGAAAGTATTATTTATGCTCCCAGTTACCTTCTCCCAATAGTCATAGTCACCTTCCTCTTGAGTTAATTGTTGTGTCCTATTTCTTGAATAGTCCTTTATTTCTTGCCTTTAAGTATCTGCATATATTTAGCCATTACAACCCATTTCCTGGGAGGACTATCACTGCATTCTAAAATCCTCTAGTGATTCATAGCACTGTCACTATCTGCAAGTTGGAATTGCCTAGGAAGCTGTAATGAATCAAAAAAAAAAAAAAGTAAGCAAACAAGCAAAGCAAATGAAATCATCCACAGATTGCCAGACTATACCACAGGTCAATTAAGTCAGAAACTCCGTGAATTCGTTCCAGAAAATATGTTCTGTATCTCCTCAGGTGATTTTCAGCCTACATTGAGAACAACCACTTTGCATCACGTATAAAAGACTCTTGATGGATATCTTATTTTAATATTTGATTTTAGATAGGGTAATTATTTCTCTTTCCATTTGCTCTTTATTGTCAGAGTTTCTTTATCCAAATTTTGTACATAGTTTCTATTTTTTTAGACTATGAAAGAAAATATTGCACTGTTCAATTTAATCTTCAAAAAGCTCAGCAGAGCAGGTCTAATCTAATACACATGGTGTTTCTTTCTTTCTCAAATAGCAGAGTGTGACCCATCAAAAAATATCTCCAAAATACTATTTTTTTGTTTATTTTTGCATTCCTATGCTTATACTTATATAACCTTTGGTGCCTGATTTCAAGTAGCAATTTTACTCAAATCTCTCACCATGTGCATTTAATACATGAAAGAAAAAATATTTCAGTGATCCAAATGGATGCTTTGAAAAATGTATTGGGAGGAGGGAAGGACCAGTTTACAATGAGTATTTATGTGAATCATAGGAAATACAGCAAAACAGTTATTTGCTCATCTACTCTACTATTATGAATGCATTTATTTGTGCATGTGTATGTATATGTGAACCTTTAAATTAAATGTGACACTACCATTCTAACCACAGTTCTAGAAAATCAGAAGCAATTACTTAATTAGATAAATCTCAATAATTTTTAGAAACTTCACATTTCCTGCAAGCATAACTTCTCAATGCTGAAAATATAGAGTGCCTCAGTTTTAAGTTGTGGTAAAATAATCTGGGCACCACTCTAGAATTTACCTTCTAAATTTGGCATTCTAATTTCATCTCATAGCCCTGCCTACAAACATGGTTTGAAAGTCCCTGCCATTGTATTGTGGTCCTTAGTCTTGACTTTATATTAAATCACTTGGGCTGCCTTAAAAAGAATACTATGACACTATTATGGATTAATTAAATAAGAAAATGGGAAATGGTGGAATCAGTGCATCATCATTTAGTGGTTTTTCCTTGAATTTTTGCTTTTTTAAAAAAATAGTATATTTACTTCTATTATTAAAATGTTCATCCAGGACAATATTATATGAAATGGTTAAATTAGAGTAAACATGGTAAGAATTCTAGGATATTCCTTTTTTTATAAGAGCAAATCACGCAAGTGCTTGCCCAAGTTATTGGGAGGATCTACATGCTGGAAGAGACAACCTCAATATTTTCTTAATGGAGGGTATGGGAATATAAATAAATTTCCATAATTACAGTCCTGGTAACATGGATACAGAAAGCTGGAATCATCCTCTCCAGAAGATTGATGGGAAAAGTAGAAGCAATTATGAAGAAAAGGTCAGTAACACTAAGCAACTCTCAACAGCACTGCTAGAAAAGCCAACTTTATTTAATTCTCATAACTATTGAAAAGGTTGGTAGTGAGTATGGATTACAATAGGTATGCAGTAGATTTCTTCAAAAGATTAAAGAATAACTGTTGTTGCTTTAACTGGGCTTCACAGACATGTAATATTTAAAATACTTCAAGTTGACCTTTCAATGGAAGAACAAAGCTGAAATGCCAACCAACTAATCCATTCCATGTGTTCTATGTTCCTATTTATAAGAGGAAATCCTTAGAAAAATTATTTCAAAGTCAATAAAGAAACTATTTCAGAAACAAAATATTTAGAGTAATATTTACTGAGTGTGTATGTAATTTATTTAAACTTATACATTATTATTTTAATTTTACAACTTTGTTGTTCAAATACTGCTTTCAGTTGCACATTTAAATATTTCTGTTGATTTGTATGTCAGCATTTTAGGACAAGATTACGAGTAGCTTGTGAAACTTATTAAGTTCAGAGCTGTGGTTCATAGGTCGACCTCACTGATGATAGCTTTACAAAGGACACTTTTCTATGAATATAATCTATATTTGCTATTATAAATATTGGGTCACAGACCAAAATATGATGAATGTAAATTCCAGGAAAAACTTGTTAATTACAAACAAGTTATTTATTGGTTAGTAGCAACAGAATCTCTCTACTATCAATCTGTCTATCTATCTATCTATCTATCTATCTATCTATCTATCTACTATCAGTCTCTATATTCTCCCAGCAGATAATGACTGAAATGTCATTTTATTCCAGAAATATAATTATTTTCCACATTGTAAAGCTTAATTATAATATACCTAACGAAAATGACAAAAATCCTAAAAGTGTATAGCTAAATATATATTTTTTAAAAAACTAAATAAGCCCATCTAAACAGCATCCAAATCAATGACACCACATAACTTTCAACCCAGAATTTCTGAATATGCCTTGTTTTAATTATCTCTTGTCTTCTACCCCATAATTCTCAGGAGTAGCCATTTTACTATCTTTTAAAAGGATAGGTAGGTTTGTCTGATTTTTGCATGTTATAGAAATTCATATGGAACAAAAAAAGAGCCCACATAGCCAAAGCAATCCTAAGAAAAAAGAACAAAGCCAAAGGCATAATACTAGCTGATTTTAAACTATACTATAAGGCCACAGTAACCAAAACAGTATGACACTGGTAAAATACAGATACATAGATAAATCAAACAGAATAGAGAACCGATAAAGTGATACACCTGCAACCAGTTGATCTTTGATAAACCTGATGGTAACAAGCAATGGGTAAAGGATTCCCTATTCAACAAATTGAGCTGGGATAACTAGTTAGCCATATGCAGAAGAATAAAACTGGACCCCTTCCTTTCACCATAAACAAAAAGTAACTCAGAATGGATTTAAATGTAAGACCTCACATTACAAAAATACTAGAAGAAAACCTAGGAGATATACTTCTTGATATCAGCTCTGGCAAAGAGTTTTTGGCTACTCCTCAAAAGTAATTGCAACAAAAACAAAAATTGACAAATTGACTGATTAGACTGAAGAGCTCCTGCACAGCAAAAGAAACTACCAACAGAGTAAACAATCTACAGAATGAGAGAAAATATTTGTAAGTCATGCATCTTATATGGTTTGGCTGTTTCCCTATCCAAAATCTCATTTTGAATTATAATCCCCACATTTCCCACGTGTCACGGGTGGGACCACAGATGAAGGTAACTCTATCATGGGGATCATTCCCCAGTGCCATTCTCATGATAGTGAATGAGTCACACAAGATCTGATGGTTGTCTAAGCGCCTGCCATTTCCCCTGTTTGCCCTTCTCTTTCTTGCTGACCTGTAAATAAGGTGCCTTTTTCCCCTTTGCCTTCTGCCATGATCGTAAGTTCCCTAAGGCTTTCCTAGCTGTGCATAACTGTGAGTCAATTAAACTTCTTTGTTGTATAAATTTCCCAGTCTTGGGTATTTCCTTTTAGCAATGTGAGACAGAACTAACACAGCATCTAACAAAGGTCTGATGTCCAGAATTATTTAACAATCCATTTCATTATTATTTACTAATTAATGAATTAAACAATTCAATAAGCAAAATACAATTCCAATGAAAATCAGCAAAGGACATGAACAGACACTTTTCAAAAGAAGACATATGGCCGGGCTCAGTGGCTCACACCTGTAATCCCAGCACTTTGGGAGGCCAAGGTGGGCAGATCACGAGGTCAAGAGATCGAGACCATCCTGGCCAACATGGTGAAACCCCATCTCAGCTGGGTGTGGTGGTGCACACCTGTAGTCCCAGCTACTCAGGAGGCAGAGGCAGGAGAATCTCTTAAACCTGGGAGGCGGAGATTGCAGTGAGCCAAGATCATGCCACTGCACTGCAGCCTGTCAACAGAGTGAGACTCCGTCTAAAAAAAAAAAAATACAAGTGCAACAAACAAGAAAAAAATTTTATAATCATTAACCATCAAACAAATCCAAATCACAATGAGATATCTTCTCACACCAGTAAGAATGTCTGTTATTAAAAAGTCAAAAAATAACAGATGCTGGCAAGAGTATGGAGAAAAGAGAATGCTTATACACTATTGGTTAAAATATAAATTAGTTCAACCACTATGGAAAGCAGTTTGGAGATCTCTTAATGAACTTAAAACAGAGCTACCTTTCAACTGGGAAATCCCATTCTTGGGCATATACCCAAATGAAAATTAATATTTCTCCTAAAAAGACACATGCACCTGTATGTTCATTGCAGTGCTATTCACAATAGGAAAGGCAACTTAGATGCCCATCACTGGTGAATTGGATTGAAAAATGTGGTTCCTGTAGGCCATGGAATAATACACAGCCATACAAAGAATGAAATCATGTCCCTTGTGGCAACATGGATGCAGCTGGAGGCCATTGTACTAAGCAAATTAATTCAGGAACAGAAAACCAACTACTACCTGTTCTTACTTACATACACAAGTACACATGGACATAAAAATGAGAGCAATAGACTACTAAAGGGGGAAGGGAATCAGGGAGGAATGGGCTGAAAAACTACCCATTGGGTACTATGCTCACTGCTTGGGTGATGAGATCAACCATATCCTAAACCTCAACATCACACAATATATCCATGTAACAAACCTGTGCATGTATCCTTGAATCTGGAATAAATATTGAAATTATTAAAAACATAATGTTGCATATCATAAATATGTATTGCCATTTTTTAATTAAAACTAAATTTTAAAAAGGAAGAAAGAAATCATATTGTATCATATGTATTATTCTGTGTCTTACTTTTCTTGCTGTACATCAAGTTTGTGAGGGTCATCATAATTTTTTGCTGCAATTGAAGGTTTTCCATTCTCATTGCTGTTTAGTATTCCATTGTATGAATTATCACAATGTATTTATTAATTTTGCTGTGGATGGATATTGCATCTTTTAAAAAATAAATCCAATTAAGTCAAATCAGCATTAATAACACTCAGTATTACATTAAATCAGTGTTTACACTGCTGAGTTATTGGTGATTGCAAACTACCAAAGAAAGGCTATTGAGAATAGCATCCCTGTAAGGCTTCTAATGTAGAAACCATATTTCATAGTAAAACCATATTTCAATAACAAAATATAGCACAGATTAATCAAAAGTGTTGAAGAAATGTATTCATTATGTGTATGTATGTCTATATTACAATAGTTGAGCGGGACGAAATGGATGTACTTATGAACCAGAACGTGCCGACATCGTCTCAGATAAAGAGAGAAACTCACTGAAAGAATATGACTGAAGTAAGAATCTGCTGTGAAGAAATAAGGTAAGTGTCTTTTTCATTGAATAGAAAGGATATTTGGGTTGATAGAATGACAAATTTTGAACCAAGGGCCAAATATGGTACCTTTGGGTGTTCAATATATATTAAAAGGCATGAGGCAGGTTCAGCATTTTGATAGTAAGTCAAAGTTGGGAACTACACATTGGAAAAGTGGAGGAAGTATAAGTTAGTGTTAAGCAGGCTGGAGATATTTGTGACCATTTGTGAAACTGAGACGGGGTGGAAGAGATGGTAAGAAAACTCAAAGTATAATAACTAGAATTAGAATTTAGCAGAATGTTCAAAAAGAGTGTTGAAGAAGAGGGTAATATCAAGCCAGATTTAAGGGTTATAATTAGATACAAGGAAACAAACATGGGGTAGAGTTCATAGGATTGTAAGAAGTGGTGACATAATAGTTTAACTAAAGGTATGACACTTCATTCCAGAATATAGTATTTCTGTTCACTATTTTATGTTTAAAATGCCTTCCTGGAGTGAGGAGACAAGATACAGGGATTTTGACTCTTACCTTATTTGACCCATCAAATCTGAACAAGGGAAATAATTTTAACAGAAAGCTAAAATTTTGGAAATTTTGATTTTAAATCTACTTGTGCTAGTTTATTAAGGTAGTATATTTTCCTTAAGAATGAGGAAATGCTTATTTAAATGGGCTACCTTTCATGATGTTCCCTAAACCCAAAGTAAGTGATGTATTTTCTTCCCTACTTCTCTATACTGTCTTTCCTTCTTCTCCAGTATATTGGAGAGAAAACGTTGGGAAGAAACAATAACATTTATTTAACTGATGGCTGTACTTCACTCTTGGTTACCATGGCTAGCTACTCTGATGAATTCTATTTTTTAACATTTCTGAATTATTCCAATACATACCTATGTAGAATAAAAATACATAAATAACACCTAAAAATGTGCATTTTACCCCCTTGGCATTGTAGTGTCATTAAATTTTCTAGCGTCTCTCTTATACACAGATATAACTGAATTTACTTAATTTTAGGAACAATCTAAGTCATTACCTAAATTTCCTCAGATAGCCGTATTTCCCAGAAGTCTGGAATATATCTGAGTATTTTTTTTCACTTACATTTTCTTCATTAGAAAGAGTAATAGCTTTTCTCTGTCCTCCTTATCAATTAACATTTTCTTTAATTTCTCTAATTTTGAAATCATTTTCTTTTACATTAGTTGTGACTGTATTATTTTGATTTTTATTTTGTTTTCTGTCCTTGTGAACTCACTATTTAAAATCTGATTTCATTATATTATTGCCTTGTCTTGGTGCTCTTACTTTACAGAATCATTATGGTTATTATGTTCTTTAAAGCATGAAATGGGTGTCTTCCCCTTAATTTTTCCCTTAGTATCTTCAGATTCTTAAACTCTAATTTCTACTTTTATTTTTTATTGTAATATATTTGCCTATTTTACATTATTTGCTGTTGTTAATATTGCTGTTGCTGTTTACATTCAAATTGAGTGGCTCTGTTCAAACCTTCTCTTGGCTTTAATCAAGTGTGAGTACATTCTTGTCTCCCATTGCACCAAATCTGACCATTATACTTGTTCTTTTTTGAGTGAGATTTTGAAATCTTTGGTTTGAATTCCCTCTCATTTTAGTAGCCTAGGATAACCAGTCAGGGGTACAAAGAGACTTCTGATACATCTATGTCCAATATTTTTCTTGAAATCTGAACTCTGCTATTTCTTCAAAAACTTTTTTTTTAATCACCTGCATGAGCATACATCCTGAGAATGAGTGGTCTATTCTATTCTGGGGACACCAGGTTTCAAATAATTTGTTTTTGACATTGACAAATTTTGTTTTTCCTTCCTCTGCTAAATCCTGCGATGGAGAGGGATAATAAATTGAGTTGTTTATCCTCAGGAGTTTTACATTATATTTTTCCCATGTTGGCTACACACTCTCTCACTCAGTCTTCTTTTTTCCATATTAAGAGTAATTAGAAAAATATTAGAGATTTTTTCTGCTCATCTACATTCCCCTTTCACCTTCCATAGAAAATGGCTGCCAGTCTAGGAGTCATTTCATTCAATGTAAAGCCACCAGAAATATTAGCTACTGGACATACTCTTGCTGTGTCACACTCATAGTCACTAAAAAAAAAGTCCTTAAAATTGCATAATCTATTTATAAATATGTCAAAAGTCAATTTTTTTTTTCGTTTACCACAATGACTACATATTCACTACCCTTTTTAAACTTAAGACCCTTAATTCCCACATCTTAGAAGATGGTCCTGCCTCCTATTTCACAGAAAATAATGACAGCCATCAGGAGAGAACACCTTTAACTTCTTTGCAACTAAGTTACCAGCATGTACAACATGCTTTCCTCCTGTATTCTTTATACCAATAGAAGAGCTGTTTCTTTGATTAGGGTCTCTTTTTTCACCTACACCCTGGAGTTCATGCCTTTTTAACTCTTCAAGGAACCTGAATCCAAATGTATCTTTCTCGTTTGTATCTTCATCTCATCCTCTAATTTTAATAACTTTATTGAATCAGTATTAAAATACTTCAATAATTAATTCAACTTTAAATGCATAATCCTCTCTTTTATTACTCCTGCCAGGAGCCACTCTATCTCCATGCATAGAGTAAAAGTTTCTTAAACAGTTGTCTAAACTTTTAGCTTTTATTAAATCTACTATGTCTCTTAATCCAATAAACCACTAAGCAGTTTTAATGCTATGTCATAAATACTTCTAAATTCAATCTAATTTTGCCGTTTTCACCGAAAATATATTCATCTGGGCTACAACTTTTTTAAAGAAAATTACCTTAGTTGAATCTTTAAGCTAACTCACTTTCAAACTACAGCCATATCACTTAAGAACGGGGATACATGCTATACAATTGAGGTTTGTGTAAGTCAAACACATCATTAGGAAATGTAATTATGCTTCAAGCATCATAGAGTATACTTACACAAACCTGGATGATATAGCCTACTACATTCCTAGGTTTTATGTAGAGCCTACTACACTTGGGCTATAAACATGTATACTATGTACTGAATAGCACAGGCAATATGGCAGTTTTTTACCATTGTATATCTAAACTTATCTAAACATAGAAAAATACAGTACAAACGTGGTATAAAGGATAAAAATGGTACACCTCTATAGGGCACTTACCATGAATGGAGGTTTCAGCACTAGAGGTTGCTCTTGCTGACTCAGTGCGTGAGTAGTGAGTGAATCTGGGGACCTAGAACATTACTGTACACTACTCTAGACTTTATAAATGCTGTACACCTGTGCTATCCTAAATTTATTATAAAAATAAAAATTGCACTATTATGATGTCTACAACATAGCTAAGCAATAGAAAATTTTCATCTTCATTGTAGTTTTATGGGACCACTGTGTTACATGTAATCTTTCATCACCAAAATGTCTTTATGTGGCACGTGACTATAATCAAAGCAATCAGAGTGGACTTCCAGTAATGCAAATATATTAGCACATCTCCTTTTAATGGTTCATTCACTTCTTGTTTTCCTTACAATGGAATTCAACCCTTAAACACAATAAGCAAGGTTCTACAAGATCTGTTTTGTAGACTTATCTAGCCTTAGCTTCTTCTCCTTTACCATATGCTTACTATGCATTAGCTATAATAAATATTTCCAGTGCTTCCCAAATACAATGCATCTTATTTCCATTATGACACACTCTTCCTTTTTCTCTTCTAGAACAAAAGTGCCTACTGGTAGCTACTGCTCCTCTTTTGTACATGTAAGTTAAAAATTACATCCAAAGGGCATTTTTTTCCTTAATTATTAAAATAAAGTTTTTGCTCTGTTTTTAATGATGTCTATCTTTTCTCTCTAATAGCTTTAATTATACTTTATTGTTATGACTTTTATAATGAACATTTTTGCAAACTATAAATGCTCTGGAGGTAAAAATCATACTGCCTTTTTTTTCAGGAAATCCCTATAGCTAGTACAGTTGCCGAACCCTAATATATGTTTCTTTTCTAATGAAAGGGAGAAGAAAGTGGGTATGAACCTAAACAGGATGCTGATCACATTTTCAGAGATTATGATATGAGTACTGGAGAATGAATTAGCTTCCACTGAGAGTGTTTGAAAAGAAATTGTACCTTAAACAAAAGGTGAAGATGTTGTAAACATTTGGAGAAAACATTTAGAGATAAAGTTATTAAAGACTGTAGGGAATTCCAAAGAATGAAGCAGAAATATAAAGAGTAGAGTCAAGAAAATCAGGAGAAAAGGAAATGGAATAATGACTCAGAGGAGAAGAAATAGTGAATAGGAGCAACTGTACAGTATTAAGAATACTGTGTTCTATGAGTTCTCTGCTTCATTTTTCTATTTTCAGATACACACACACATGCGCGCGCACACACACACACACACACACACACACACACACACGCAGACATTATGGTATAGAAAACTCTTAGGTTAGCTGAAATATCCTGATTCCTTCCCCACAGTCTAAATCATTTTGTTGGATTTGTATTTCTTTAGGTTTTTCTAGGATACCTGGTTAGCTTACTTGAATTCTGATACTTTAATTTATAGTTTAATGAGCTAATAATTCTTTACATTATATTTGAATTTTAATAATTAACAGTATTTTTCACACTAATAAAGTGGATGTAAATTTTTCTGAAAGTCTACAAACTAAAAATATTAAAAGTAGAATTTTTTTCCTGTCCTTTCTTGATTCACATCGCAGGCAGCAGTCTTTTGTGCATACATACAAAATTGACCTTGGAGAGAAGGAACATAAACAAAATTAAGTGGCTATTCAAGAAGGCACTTCTCTTCAACCCTCATAGTTTCTAAAGGCTAGTATTTAAAAGCCGTCTGCTAATTTTCTCTGGTCATTTCCCTAAGCCAGGTCCGCATTTTAACATAGCATAATCACAAATTCATTGCAATGTTTAATTCTCTTCTTTCTTGAATGGAAAGTTAGAGCAGGTGAGTAGTGAATTTTCTGAAGGCAGATAGATCATTGTGCTTTAGGCTCAAATAATATGCTACTGTATTCTATCAGTCCCTTAAACTACAGATGAGAGTGAAGGGAGTAATGGGATGGGAAGCAAGGTAGAGCTTCCTTCCACAGTGGTGACCTCCTGAGCATGGAGGGAAAATTGAACTGACTCATGCTTGGAACCAGATGATGAATACCTGAGAGGAAATCCTCTGAGTGGTGTTTATTTTCCACGCTTTATGCTGATCTAAAAAATGTTCCAGTTCATATTCTCCGTGGGATGTTCACAGTTGCTGAAATTACTGCAATTCGCAGGCCATAATATTCTTGGGGAATAAAGCTCAACAAACTATAGAGAATATTGGCCAGTCATTAATATTAGCATATTAATGCAATCAGAGTGACTCTAGAAGGAATCTGAAAGAGAAAAATAAAATGATTGTATTTTACGTGACCTTTCCTTTAAATAAGCATAAGGAAATAGTTGTGAGAACGTCTGTGAATAATTTCTAAGATCCATATCAATTCTCAATCACAGAGAGAAGATTTTTATCCTTTCTTTGAACTATTCAAGGTTTTAAAAGCTTTATGTATTCCTTTATATATGTATATATGTATGTATGTATGTATGTATGCATTTATAGGGGCAGTTACTCAAGTGTGTGTAAGACACTGGCTAAAATTTTGACCTGAGTTTTCTAGAAAAGCACCCTATATTTTAGTTAACTTATCTAGTTAATCAATTTTTCAAATTAGTTTTTATTTTAATGAGTATGCACACATTATATCTATCTCTGTAACTATGCATGCAGGTATAAATATATATATATCATCTGTCTATACACATAGAGAACATAATGAAATTCTAGTTTCTGATAGCTTTTGTTAACATTTTTATGTTTAAACTTTTTGTATTTAAAATGTTTCTATCTTTCAAACATGAAAAAGTGTCTTAGAGCTCTTTAGGAGATTTTTAAAACATCTCACCATTTTATAATTTTAACCATTCTTTAGAACTTATTTTCAAATATATTCTATAATTATACCTATAATTTATTTAATCAAACACTTTTTATTAGAAATTTTTTTCATTTTTAGATGCTTCAGAATTATAAACCTGGGAATTATAGGTATATTCTTAAATAAATTTGAGGACAGGTTGTCAATTATTTTCCTAGAAACTACTGAAAAGTGTTTATCATATTATACTAAATTACCCTCTCAAACTGTAAGTTCTTTTTGTACACCCAGCAGCGCTGTGCAATATTGCTAATTTCTTTCCAGAAATTAGAAATTATAAAAGACATACATACACACACAAAGAAACTAATATTGCTATATTATTGAGATTTTATCTTTCAGTAAAATCGCTCTTTTAATTTGCATAGCTTTGGATGTTAGTGATATAAACTATTTCTTCATTATTAATTAATTATCACAAAATTATTTTTATTTGTATTTTAAATTTATGTGAAGTACTTAAATATGTTTACTATCTTCTTTCTGATTTCCAGACGTTCATTCCCAATTCACTGTTTGCCTTTGAGTTCTGAAAAAAAAATTCTAAACAATATTTCTACTTTTATGTAAATAAATATATTGTCTTTTCTCCTTTATGCTTGACTTTTAGAAAGTTTGTTTCCAGTAGAAGTCACAGTTATATTAAATAAGTCACTAGTAAGTCCATTTACGTGTTTTCAAAATACCGATATGTAAACAGTGATCACTGTTGCTGCTAGCATAATCCCGTTTTCTGTATAAATGAAGGTATTTACAGAAATGTCAGATACGTTTCAGGAAGGGGAGCACACCACAACTGAATTAGCCAGCTGGCAGGGAAGGTTAATAAAACTCTTATGACAAATGTTATCACATAAAAAAAGAACTTATCAATGTTATTTAGACATGGAAACAGGATTCAAGATCCAAAAAGACTGGTGGTTCTAACTTATAGTGTGGGAGCAACCACATTCACCTATCTTCTCTCATCTTACCTTGGCAAATGTATGTACCCAGGTTAAAAAAATTATATAAGGATGAACAAACCGAAAGCCTCAGACCTGTAGTTTAGGGTAGGATTAGAACCAAAAATCAAACTACTTGGTATGGTAAGCAAGAATAAAGATTGTTCTCGTTCCAATATTAAAAGAGATAGCTAAAATAACCAGTATTTTATTTAGGCAATGACGGAAGTCTGAGTAGTCTTCGATAGGTGTGTTGATAATTCTGGCTATAGCAAATGAGAGTTCATTATTATTTTTCGGTGTAAATATCAGATACAGTAGCCTCAAAATTGTAGTTTTACTTACTCCCATATCCACTGAATATTTATTGGGGCAGGTAAGACATATTATAAAGTTATTTCTAAAAATTGTTTGAGAAGCAGATTCTTTAAGAAACTTTGATTTTGTAGATTGAGACTCCAAGTAAGCACTTAGCAGATAAAATCAGTGCCATTCAGGTAATATGTATTTAAACAATAAATTTATCTGGATTATTAAAAGCTGTAGGTTAAGGTAGGATTAGAACCAGGAAAAATTATGTAATAAAAGTGATAAAGAATTTCTGAGGACATAAAGTATGTGTAAGTGGTCTAAAATGCTAAGGAGAAGAGGACTAAACCATCAATTGGATCTAACAGTTGGACTAAACCGTCAATTGGATCTAACAGTTTGTAAACAAGATGAAATACAGACAGTTCCTAACTTACGATGGTCCAAGTTACATATTTTTTTACTTTACGATGGTGCTCATATACCCAATCTGTTTCTCATTTTTAGTACAGTATTCAGTAAATTCCATAAGATATCCAACACTTTGTTATAAAATAGTCCCTGTGTGAGATGACTGTGTACAACTGTATTCTAATGAAAATGTTCTCAGAATGCATAAGTTAGGCAAGGCTAAGCTATGTTGCCTCAGTAGGTCAGGCATAGTGAATGCATTTTTGACTATGATAGACACTATTTCCAATTGGCTTATTAGAATGTAACCCCATTGTAAATCAAGGAGCATCTGTATATTGTTCCAATAGACTGGATGCATCAGTGATGGTGAAAACATATGGAATATAGATGCAAATGTCCATTATATAATATAAAAGGAGAAAAGAAAAATGTTAAGACTGAAGATATCCAATAGCAAGTTGGTGAAAAAGAATCAAATATGGTGTTATCCATGAATGAATGCAATTCTAGGCACGTGGTACTTAATAATAGAGCATAGTAAAACTAAGATACCCTCTAAGAAATTCTCTGTATTCCAAATATAATCTTCCTCACCTGTACTGTGGAGTCGTTGTTCAGTTTCTCCTTGTTATTCAGGATCACTGACCTCAGCCAGCACAGTAACTTCCTTTTTTGCCTGGTGATTCAGAGGCATAAGGAGCCCTGAGTAGACGGGCAGTACTATTAACCTTCATATCAATAGAAGCACTGTTGCGTCTCCTGATGGAAGCATTCTTTACTTTGGAAATAAGATCTCTTGGTCAGTAGACCATAAAGGCGCAGGAACAGAAATCAAACATTTTTCTAGTGAGTCACCAGGGATAAGAGTGAGTGGTGCCAATTCCCTTTGCACACTTTGATTCTTGAACCTGTGAGTCCTGGCTACAGGAGAAACAAAACCATGTATCGGATGCTGATTCTGAGCATATACAACCTTGTGGGGACTCTTGCCCTTGCCCTGCATGTTATTGCCACCTCATTGGCATTGTAACTAAATATTCAAAAGGCCAGCCTTTGCACTGTTCTGTTGAGCCAGTTGTTTCAGAACAGTGGACTACATGGTAAGGCCAGTGAATTCCATGAGCATGGGCTCTTTGCCACACTTCATTTGCTGTGTAGTGAGTTCCTTGCTGTGTGAAATACAAAGATGGTAGATGTGGCATTCTGTAAGTCCACAGATGGTAGTTTTTGGCAGAAGCATTGTGTGCAGAGAAGGCAAATCCATATGCAAAGCGTTTTTGCCAGTAAGAACAAAATGCTGTCCTTTCCATGGCGGAAGCAATCATCCTTTCACGGTAATCACCCAAAGGAATGGTGTGCCATCAGAGACTCGAATTTGGCTTTTGCTGCTGGCAGATGATGCACTCAGCTGTGGTTATTTCCAGGTCAGCCTATGCGTATGGAAGTCCACGTTGCTGGACGCCTGTGTAACCTTCCTATCTGCCAACATGGCTACATTTTTCATGAACCCATTATGGATGACAGGGTTGGTTGAGGAAGAAAGCTAAATGATATACACCGAATGAATGATGCTATTCAGTTTATTATTAAAATCCTCTCCTGCAGAGGTCAACTTTTGAAAAGCATTCACAAGGGACATAAATAACTTCATTTTTTTTTTACTTTTGTATATTCATAGAGGTTTATCTGCCCCTCTTCCCCATATTTCCTTGTTACCAGTTTTTGAATAATGTTCCTTCCAAATCACTAGCCATCCAGCCAACCACTGGCCACAGACAGTGAATTAGTACCTCATCACCTGTTTGGCCATTTCTCCTTCAAAGCAAAGCGAACAACCAGTGATACATATCAAATGAAAAAATGTCAAAAATTTATAAGTCTCTATAAACAGAACTTTGAGTAACTAAATGATTCCATTCTCATATAAAGGCTTACTATACCACAATTAAAAACATTTTATACATAAATATTGATTAATATTAAAAAGTATTTTTGTATGTCTTCATATATATCAAGTATGATTTATCAATTATTTTACATGAATATTTTCTGACATTTCTATGAATATTAATTTTGTAATTAAAAATGTGAAATATAAACAACAACTAGTTCATCAATCCAGTATCCCCCTTCATTTCTTGCCTCTTTCCCTTCTGGTTCATTGCTAAACTTCTTTAAAGTATTTTACATACTCACTGCTTCCACTTTACCTTTTAGGCACTCTCAACCCCACAGAAATCTGTCCTGTGTTTACATGAAGTCTCTGAAATTTTTCTAAACATGTATACTACTAACCTCTTGACATTAAGTATTCAATGGAGAATGCTTCATTTACCTGATCTCTTTTTTTTTAATTTTATTATTATTATACTTTAAGTTTTAGGGTACATGTGCACAATGTGCAGGTTTGTTACATATGTATACATGTGCCATGTTGGTGTGCTGCACCCATTAACTCGTCATTTAGCATTAGGTATATCTCCTAATGCTATCCCTCCCCCCTCCCCCCACCCCACAACAGGCCCCGGTGTGTGATGTTCCCCTTCCTGTGTCCATGTGTTCTCATTGTTCAACTCCCACCTGTGAGTGAGAACATGCAGTGTCTGGTTTTTTGTCCTTGCGATAGTTTGCTGAGAATGATGGTTTCCAGTTTCATCCATGTCCCTACAAAGGACATGAACTCATCATTTTTATGGCTGCATAGTATTCCATCATTTACCTGATCTCTTAATATGATTCTATACTTTGTGAATTGCCTCTTCTTTTAAATTGTTTATTCCCTTATTTTCTATGAAAGCATATTTGCCTGATTTTTTTTTATTTTTCAATTTTATTTAAGATTATTTGGTAAACTCTTCTTTCTTTTGTTGGCATTCTCCCAAATTCTGATTTCACTTTTATACTTGCTCTGCATACTTTTGTTATTTCATTTATGCTCATGGTCTCTCTTAAACTTAAATATGTATGATTTTTTTTTCTTACTTGTTGCCCAGGATTTTATCTTGAGCTTTAGATTCCAATTACCCCCAACCCCCACCATTGCATTTGGTTGTCCCAAGGATAACATTAACTTCCTTCTGTCCCCTTACTTTCTTCCCACCAAAACGCTAGTTTCTTCTGGGTTTTACAGTTTCAGCAAATGTAATATCCATTCATTCAGCTATCTCAGTTAGATACATGAGTAAGCTTTGACACTGCTTTATGTCTCTTAAAAACAAAATAAAAACTGTATTTTTTCTCTGTTCACTATTATATCTTAATTAAATTTTTATCTCGTTGATTCCAATCTTAACACATTCTAATGTCTTCTCACCCCACCTTTTGAAATATCTTGCTTAAATTCAATTTGTCCATGCCATATATCGTATTGGTCAGGGTTTTTGTTCAGGATAATAGAAACTACAAATTGCTGTAGGCATTTCAATAGAAAGTTGCTTAATCAAATTTAGTGTTTAATGTAGTGCTTAACAAAATGTTTGCAACGGCTGGAGGAAAAATATTGGGAAAATATTTTGCTAGATATAGGGTTTTATATAACTTGCCTAATTCAGAGAAGTTTTAGGAGCACAAGATAATACACAGAGTGATCATACCTTTCTGGGGACATAAAAGTGAGTGAGTGCAATTAAATGCCCAAGAGATGTTACAAAACATAACTTTTCTCAAAGCCCCCAGTTCTGCTCCCTACTGCTGGATGAGCTGTAATGTGACTTCATATGTTCTTCCATCTACCAAATTTAGCAAAAAATGACTTTTGCACACAAAAGATTTGGGAAGAGGTATTCAAAGTTCAGTTCCTGCAAAGCAAGAGAGAACATAGACGGGGACAAGAGTACTGGGTTACTGACCTGCAAACAAAATCACCAATAAAATCTTCTATACGCATATGCAAAACTTGTAATTTTATAGATTTTTAAATAGTTTGATCTAAATTTTAAACCTATATTAAAAGATCTTTTAATATCTTGCCTCTACTTAATATTCCATCTTTATTTAATCACTGACTATACTGCCAATTTTTTTAGTAAGCTAATTTCGCAATTTTAAATTTTTTCCTGTATTTTCCTCCCCACATCAAAATTCTTTTCTCAAAGTTTTTTAAATGAAATTTCATTTAAAATAATTTTTCTGCATCTTCATTAACATGTTCTTCTACTTCACAAATTCCTGAGAATCTGTAATTATACCTGTCAATGCATTTTTAATTGTATGTTGTAATTAGCCCTTTTTATGGGGTTCTACCCAAATTGGTTGCATGCTTCTTGATGACAGGTATTATTTCTTTACAGAATTGCATACCCACTATTTTGTTTATATAAGGCATTAAATTATTATTTGAAAGAATATATTAATGAATGAATTTTAACAATGTCTCTTTAGTGTTGATCCTAAGTTCACTTTTTATTTTATAATTTTTGAAGTTAAAACAAGATTTTGGTTAATACTTATTCAAATAAAGGCAAATTTTGTTTCATTACCTCTTCTTTTTTTTTTCTTTTTCTAAACTCTTTTTTTGTTTGTTTGTTTGTTTGTTTGTTTTTATTATACTTTAAGTTTTAGGGTACATGTGCACATTGTGCAGGTTAGTTACATATGTATACATGTGCCATGCTGGTGCACTGCACCCACTAACTCGTCATCTAGCATTAGGTATATCTCCCAATGCTATCCCTCCCCCCTCCCCCGACTCCACCACAGTCCCCAGAGTGTGATATTCCCCTTCCTGTGTCCATGTGATCTCATTGTTCAATTCCCACCTATGAGTGAGAATATGTGGTGTTTGGTTTTTTGTTCTTGCGATAGTTTACTGAGAATGATGATTTCCAATTTCATCCATGTCCCTACAAAGGACATGAACTCATCATTTTTTATGGCTGCATAGTATTCCATGGTGTATATGTGCCACATTTTCTTAATCCAGTCTATCATTGTTGGACATTTGGGTTGGTTCCAACTCTTT
Source organism: Homo sapiens (assembly GCF_000001405.40). Taxonomy (NCBI): domain Eukaryota; kingdom Metazoa; phylum Chordata; class Mammalia; order Primates; family Hominidae; genus Homo; species Homo sapiens. Next base: position 105,660,517 of record NC_000001.11, on the reverse strand, counting down.
GCTATTGTGAATAATCCCACAATAAACATACGTGTGCATGTGTCTTTATAGCAGCATGATTTATAGTCCTTTGGGTATATACCCAGTAATGGGATGGCTGGGTCAAATGGTATTTCTAGTTCTAGATCCCTGAGGAATCGCCACACTGACTTCCACAATGGTTGAACTAGTTTACAGTCCCACCAACAGTGTAAAAGTGTTCCTATTTCTCCACATCCTCTCCAGCACCTGTTGTTTCCTGACTTTTTAATGATTGCCATTCTAACTGGTGTGAGATGGTATCTCATAGTGGTTTTGATTTGCATTTCTCTGATGGCCAGTGATGGTGAGCATTTTTTCATGTGTTTTTTGGCTGCATAAATGTCTTCTTTTGAGAAGTGTCTGTTCATGTCCTTCGCCCACTTTTTGATGGGGTTGTTTGTTTTTTTCTTGTAAATTTGTTTGAGTTCATTGTAGATTCTGGATATTAGCCCTTTGTCAGATGAGTAGGTTGCGAAAATTTTCTCCCATTTTGTAGGTTGCCTGTTCACTCTGATGGTAGTTTCTTTTGCTGTGCAGAAGCTCTTTAGTTTAATTAGATCCCATTTGTCAATTTTGGCTTTTGTTGCCATTGCTTTTGGTGTTTTAGACATGAAGTCCTTGCCCATGCCTATGTCCTGAATGGTAATGCCTAGGTTTTCTTCTAGGGTTTTTATGGTTTTAGGTCTAACGTTTAAATCTTTAATCCACCTTGAATTGATTTTTGTATAAGGTGTAAGGGAGGGATCCAGTTTCAGCTTCCTACATATGGCTAGCCAGTTTTCCCAGCACCATTTATTAAATAGGGAATCCTTTCCCCATTGCTTGTTTTTCTCAGGTTTGTCAAAGATCAGATAGTTGTAGTTATGTGGCGTTATTTCTGAGGGCTCTGTTCTGTTCCATTGATCTATATCTCTGTTTTGGTAACAGTACCATGCTGTTTTGGTTACTGTAGCCTTGTAGTATAGTTTGAAGTCAGGTAGTGTGATGCCTCCAGCTTTGTTCTTTTGGCTTAGGATTGACTTGGCAATGCGGGCTCTTTTTTGGTTCCATATGAACTTTAAAGTAGTTTTTTCCAATTCTGTGAAGAAAGTCATTGGTAGCTTGATGGGGATGGCATTGAATCTGTAAATTACCTTGGGCAGTATGGCCATTTTCACGATATTGATTCTTCCTACCCATGAGCATGGAATGTTCTTCCATTTGTTTGTATCCTCTTTTATTTCCTTGAGCAGTGGTTTGTAGTTCTCCTTGAAGAGGTCCTTCACATCCCTTGTAAGTTGGATTCCTAGGTATTTTATTCTCTTTGAAGCAATTGTGAATGGGAGTTCACTCATAATTTGGCTCTTTGTTTGTCTGTTGTTGGTGTATAAGAATGCTTGTGATTTTTGTACATTGATTTTGTATCCTGAGACTTTGCTGAAGTTGCTTATCAGCTTAAGGAGATTTTGGGCTGAGACAATGGAGTTTTCTAGATATACAATCATGTCATCTGCAAACAGGGACAATTTGACTTCCTCTTTTCCTAATTGAATACCCTTTATTTCCTTCTCCTGCCTAATTGCCCTGGCCAGAACTTCCAACACTATGTTGAATAGGAGTGGTGAGAGAGGGCATCCCTGTCTTGTGCCAGTTTTCAAAGGGAATGCTTCCAGTTTTTGCCCATTCAGTATGATATTGGCTGTGGGTTTGTCATAGATAGCTCTTATTATTTTGAAATACGTCCCATCAATACCTAATATACCTTTTTTGGTCTCCATTTCACAACTATTTTAAAAACACAAGAATCTGTGTTTACCTCTATTAAATTTTGTCTATGTTTCTCCTCATATCACAGGATTATCAAGGTCTTTAAAAATAAGGTTAGTCTAATTTTCTAATGTAATAACTGTCTCTTCTATAGCCTTGATGTCATCTAAAAATTCAGTAAGAAAGTTTTCCAAGCCATCATCCTAGATGCTAAAGCCATTATGGTACAAAGTAGGATGGGAAGGTCAGGTCCATGTCCTTGGTGACCTTGCCACATACTCTTCAAATCTTCTAATTTTTAAAAATCCATGAATCATTAATCAGTCATTTAATGGGCAAGACTCCTTTTGTCTCTACTTCTATCCTGCCTATCAGGAACCCTGAGAGCCTTACGTTCACAGCCCTGATCCCTCCTGTCTCCTCCATCTGTTGTGAAAATCTGCCATAAAATTCATGTTCCGAAAAGGCAATACTTTGGAATTTGTGAGAATGCATGGTAGCCTGTACTCTGAAATATGTCCCATTTAATTATAACTAAAAGTGAAATATAGGTTTAATTGGAAGTTGTTTCCAAAATGAAACTTTTTTAAAAGAAAATTATTTATAAGTAATTAGAACATTATAAATTATACAAATGTGTAAAAGTAAATACAAAAATAAAACATGAAATAAAGAATCAAAGATGAAGTAAAAATAAGATAAAATGAGGAAATTTTGTTACTAATATTTTATTTTACTAATTTTCATTTTTGTCTTTGGCTCTGTTTATATGCTGGATTACATTTATTGATTTGCATATATTGAACCAGCCTTGCATCCCAGAGATGAAGCCCACTTGATCATGGTGGATAAGCTTGGCCTGATCTGTGAATTTTCACAGTCCTTTGCTGCTATGTGCCCCTCTCCTTCATTTGAAGTTTTCCCAGTGGCACCACTGTGTTTCCCTGCTCCCCACTCCCAAACTACCTCCCCTTCCTGAGCTCTCCTCTTCTTTGATTGTTTCTCTGTTTACCTGATGTTGGTTTATAAGCATATGTTCACAAACAAAAAATAATTCATATATATATATAATTATGAATTATTTATCAATTTTTTCTGTTTTAAATTTTCAATTTTCTTTAATGTTTAATAGTTGCTCACATTTTTTAACTGTTAAGCACAAATATTTTGGCATTTACACTTAATTGTTACTTTTTAATTTTTCCTTTGTTTAGGTTTTCCTAGATTTTTCAGACCTTGGGAGAGTATCTTTCTATTTGAAATCTGAATATTTGCATATGAGTTGAAAATAATATCTGAACGCTCATACAGCAGGCCACAGAGCCCTGTAGTTCTCCAACTAAGTCTCAGGGTGCTAGAGGAGTGCTTACATTACATTGTATAAATGAACACTGCATTCTACAAATCCATCTGGGTTTTCATATCACCTAAGCACTCAGACCCATATTGGACGCTTACTTCAGGCTTCTTCAGGCCTCTTCTGGACATTTGGGTAATTAGTGTCTGCAGCTACTTGATTGCTACTGGTTAACTAAAGGGGTACTTATCTTTATTTACCAGAAACAATGTAGATTGGTAACACCTTTTAATAAAACTTTATTGCAGCTGTTGTTGTTTTCTTTTGCCATAACATCAAAGCATACATTTGTAGCCTGGTTACTGGTTTATTCTATATGTATGAAATTGATCTAATGAATATCAATACTAAATTTTAGAATATCGTATTGGCTAAACATGGGAACTTTGTATCCAAATGTACCTGTTTTGATATCTCTCTGTATTGCTGACTAATTCTGTGACCATATCCCATTACCCAGTCTCTCTGCATCAGTTTCTATATGCATAAAACTAGAGAAAACAATGGCACTTAATCTTAGAGTTGTTGTGAGAATAACATAAATTAATGTCTGCAATTTACTTAGAAGGGTCTGTGGTAGATGGTAAATAATTGGAACATCCTAGCAGAGATAGTATACAGGCTATGAAAAGGAAAAAGTCAACAGTATCACTTTAATTACTAAGTATTTGCAAACTCTTTATTTTGTTGTCAATTTTAAGTCCTTCTTTTCATTTCGTAGGATAAAACTGTTGTAGCATATTTAGTTTCAAACAATGTATTTTTTATGAAAACAAAATATGAGGGGAAAGTTTGTACTAGTGAACAACTGGGAGAAAGTTTGAAGCAAAAAAACTACGACGGTGCTCAGCAAATAAATGCTGTTTTTTTTTCCCTGTAGTATTTAATAGATAGTGACCATCCGTTAATAATACTTTTCACTGAGATTCAAATAGTAGGAGCTATTATTTAGTTGATAAAGATTGATTTTTTTTGCATTGTAGAGCTTACCTTATATCTAGGGAGCTTGTGTTTAGAATTTTTAATAGTCACTTTTTTCTGGCCCTCATTATTGACAGAGTAAAGGTTAGGGCAGGAGAATAAAGGGAAACTGTTTTGTGCAATTATCTGTTTACAAGAACATTAAATCAAATGAGGAGATTAAGAAAATTGATACTGAATTCAGCTGCTTATTGTAAGTTCTATAAAATCTATGTCTTTAAAAATCCTTCTTTATTTGTTTTAAAATCTAGTGTGAAGACCACATAAATAAATATATTTTTGTGGATATCTGTATTTCTTTGAGGTAAGCTGGAATGTCAATGTGTTATATTTGCTTTTGTAAATAGTATGGTGAATATTAGCCAATTTAATGAACGAAGGATATAAAAGTTGCATAGTTGTGTAATTCTTGGGTACAGGAAACTTATCTGGATAGTGTCAGCTTCTTCATATCAAGAATATGTTCCAAGATGTTCTGGGACAGTATCCAGTTAAGGATGAAGCTTCATATTCCAGAATTGAGAGCTCCAAACTAGATGGATTAAAAAGTTGAAACAAAACATAGACTACTATGAATACAATTGTTTATCTTTTGCTTGATTTCTTTGTATTGTGCATTTAAAATGAATAGCCAACATTTAAAATAAAGCATGTATTTAAAATAAGGTGTAACTATCATGTTTTATACATGCTCTGACAGTGTAAATCATATTCCCAGGTTCAGCTAAAATAATCATCATAAAAAGAATTTATTTAAAAAATTTAAAAAGTAATGATATTCAACGATAGGCATGATACTCATTTAAATTATTTTAAAATTGGTAGAGTGTTCATTTAAATTGAAAGCAAGAGAAAAGACCCCTGCTCACCAGATCTCTTTTTATGTGTTGTGAAGGGAGTATGGGCAGAATTAGAGCTGCTTTCAATGATTTGAAATTAATCTTCGATTTTTCCTGGAGAGGTAAATTGTAAGTTCATCACAAAATGATTCAGAATGCAAATATGTAAGTCCTCCTGAAAGAGACAATGTCATCTGGCTCAAAGAGTCAATTTGTGACTGGTAGTAAATAATGACCTGGGAGATGCAGGATAGTGATACCTCCATAGCCCCTGGTGTGAGAGAAGCAAATCTGGCCTTACCAAGACCTGCTGCTCCCTCTAAGCACAGTTATCCTGTAGTCAAAACATGTAAGAATGCTGAGCTCCAGCCTGGCCTCATAACCATAGATCTTGTTAACGTTTCATCAGTTTAAGCTTCAGAACCCAGGGAACGACTTGATCTCGCTTTGATATTTCTTCTGCATGTGACAGGCTTGGGTTTCAGTATCTATCTAGGCACTGCAGAAATAACTACCCTCAAATGCTCACTCGTAAATTATTCAGATCTTGAAAAGATTTTTCATTTATTCTCTCATGACACTCATATCAAGGTCGTGCCTTTCTTAATAGGGTTAACAAAACACATTATTGCCTTTGGTTACTACTTAAATTTTTATTCTCATTCCTTTATTTCTCAAGGCATTTGAATTGGTCCAGAATTTTTTAATTGCACTATTTTGAACCTATATATGAAAGAAGAACTTAAAATATATCTCTCCTTTCACCCATTTATTAAAAAACAAATATTGTTTCAATATCAGGAAAGACCTGGAATTGTGGCAGAGTTACATACATTTAAGGTTGGCAAAGTGTATATTTAAAAATGTTGGACTTCATTGTGTAGGTAATGAATAGTCCCTGATGGTCCATGAGCAGTGGAATGGCTAGAATACAAAGATTACACAGTTTTCATTGCCAGAGTTGAATTTAAAGTAGAAACTGCAGAAGAGAAATTAATCTCTAGATAGTGGTCTTAATTCTTCATCTTCAATTCAGTCCCTAGCCAACAGAATTCCAGTTTCTAATCTTCCCTTTACAGAATGAATTGTTGTTAAGGTTGTCAGTGAGTTCATAACAGCAAAATAAAATGTATTTTCTTCAGTTTTCATCCCATTTGATACAAGTATAGTGTTTGCCTTCCATGTGATTTTTCCCTCTACCAGTATTCATTTGATCATGTATTTTTGTTTCATTTCCTGTGTCTTTTTATTTTCCCCTTTCTCTCACAGTTGTTTAAATATTTGCCATCATTTTGTACCCTTAATTTTTTAATTTGACTTTATGTTTTAGAGAAGTTTTAAATTTACAGTTTCCATATGACTTCCCTTCCCCCTAGTGTGTACTATTATCAAAATCTTGAAGTAATGTGGTATATTTATTACAAGTGATGAACCAAAATTGATACACTATCATTAAACAAAATTGATAGTTTACATTAAGGGCCACTCTACTTCATATATTCCATGAGTTTGAAAAAATGTGTAATGACATGTACACATCACTGTAGTCCATACAGAATATTTCATTGCCCTAAAAATCTCCTGTGCTCTACCTACTTATCTCTTCCTGCCCCTAAAGCCCTGGAAACCATTGATTTTTTACTGTGTCTGTAGTTTTGCATTTCTATAATGTAATGTAGTTGGAATCTTACAGTATGAAGCCTGTTCAGATTGGCTCCTTTTACTTAGTAAATATGCATCTAAGTTTCCCCCAGGTATTTTTATTTTTATTTTTTTTGAGACAGAGTCTCTCACTCTGTCACCCAGGCTGGAGTCCAGTGTGCCATCTCGGCTCACTGCAACTTCCGCCTCCTGGGTTCAAGTGATTCTCCTGCCTCAGCCTCCCGAGTAGCTGGGATTACAGGGACCCACCACCACATCTGGCTAATTTTTGTATTTTTAGTGGAGATGGGGTTTCACCATGTTGGTCAGGCTGGTCTCGAGCTCCTGACCTCAAAAGATCCTCCCACTTAGGCTTCACAAAGGCATGAGCCACTGTGCCTGGCCTCTTCCAGGTATTTTTCATAGCTTCATAGTTCATTTATTTTTGTTTCTGAATTATAATTCATTGTGTGTCTGTATCACACTTTATCCATTTACTTATTGAAGGTCATCTTGCTTGCTTCCAAATTTTAGTATTTATGAATAAAAATAATATTTGCCCCTCTTTTTTAATCACTATATTTTGATGCTCCTCAGAACTACAGATTCATTGCATCTCTTCTCAATTATTTACTGTCCCTTGATAAAGTAATATATTTACCTTTTATCAAGTTTTGTATTCTTATTATGTTTGCCACAAAGAAGTCATACAAGCATAGCAAAATTAATCTACTTAAGCCAGAATTCATCTTCTTTTAGCTATCCTGATGTCCTCGGTCTCAATTCTCAGATCTACTATGCAACTACCTTATCCCTGGTCACCCAGGATCAAAATTAGACACTCTTTAGCTTTCTTTCCCCATTCTTATACCATCACCAAATCATTTAACAATATCTGCAAAATATTTTGTTTCTACATTCTTTTTTCACCCTCACAACCTCTGACATAAACTCTCATAATATTCTATCTAAAGACTTGGTCTTCCAGGCTTTGTTTCTTAACTCTGTTAACCCAAAGTCTTTATGTAGCCAGATTTAGCTTCTTAAAGTGTAAATCTGTTGTGTTATTGCAACAAATGCAATATTTCAATAATGTCTATTTCAAAATAGCCTGTTAAAATTATTAATTTTTGATATAAAGGGCCCTTTATTATGTGACTCTAACTGATCTTTTCAGACCTAATTCTTACAACCGACTCACAGATACACCAAATTTCTATAAATTTATTTATCAGGCCTATTTCTTCCCACTTGTGTTTTTGCATTTGTTTACTTTTATCCCACCCAACTGGAATGTCCTTTATTTTGCCTCTAGTAAAATCTAACTCTTCCATTAAAATTTTAAAGAGACTACTTTTGAGGATTTCCCCTAAATGTTTTACATAAAATTTGTATTTCTCTCCTGTGTGATACTATAAAGCTTTTAACATATGTCTCTTTTAGTCTTATCATATGCTGTTAAAATATTTTACATGAATATTTTACTACCCTATAGTGTTTACCTCAAGAACTGAAATCATCACATTTGTGTCTTCTGAATTTGACGCACATACAAACTCAGTAAACTGAGTTGCCCACATTAATAAGTGACTGAATTAGGCAATTGAAATGAGTCATTCAAGGGGAAATTCACCAGAGTTTATACTAAGAAGGTTGTAAATAACAGATCTATCTTGCTTCATTTTCCTGGTCTGTGGCCCATAAAGAGACACCTAGGACTCTTAAATATCAGAGGAATGAGGAATTGATATTCAAATATCAGCATGAGCAATAAATAACATTTCCAAATACTCTATTTACCATTTAATGTCAAGTTCCTGAACTATACAGGTCTACAGAAATCTCTAAAATCATGAAACATTTTCAATCAAGTAATGAATTCTATAATCTATTCTTTGAATTTATTAACCTTAATAAAAATGTGATTATGCATGCATCTAGACAAAAAATATTTTTTCATTTTGTTAAAGTAAAAGCTGCTTGATTCAAAATTTAAAAATAAATGATTTTTTAAAGGACACTTTAAAATGCTGACAACAGCTGATTAAGTCTGCGACAGAAACCTTTTCCTTATTTTTATTTGGAAAACTCAGAAATCACTATATTTCATTGGTAAGAATGCTGATGTTAAAGTCTTTTTTTTTAGTGTTTTGTAGAATTACTTTACCTGAGTGACCCCACTCCACAGTGATTTACAGACTCACCAGTTTTATAAATTTATAATAACATACATACACACAGTGATGTTATCGGTCATCCCTTTCTTGGAAAAATATTTATGAAAACTGCAGGTCAATAACGTTAATGAAAATTTCTACATTCATTGAGAAAACTATTTTTGATTTCAAATAATATATACTCTAGTCCATATCTAATTCATCTTTTCTATCTACAACTTACAGATTTATAAAAATAAATAATCTCAAATCATTTAAATGAAAGGCAATGTATGTATGCCCATATCTGTATGTATTCTGGGGCAGATGACTGTCAATAATCCCTTTCTTCTAGAAACATATGTTCAAGATATTTTAAGAAAAGCATATCATGATGAAGTTTTCCCATAGTTTTGTTGAGGCCAACTGGAAGCCCACTTTTGTTTTCCTGACACATTTGTGGGTCAGATAGATGCGTAGGGGCTGGCTACCTAAAACCAACTAATCACTAGGTCTGTTCACAATAAAAAGACATTTCGAGGCACATTTCTGCTATATGAACTCCTGACAATTTTTTCTGTAAGAGTAGCCTCTTTTAAACTACAAATAGTTTCCTTTATTCAGAAAGTGGATATAATGCCAAAGGGAGTATATCATATCTCTCTTTAATTATTACATATAAAAATTTTTATTTACTACTTTCCTTGCTTTCAGTCTCCCAGTCTTGTCTCTAGTTGGATTAAAAAATTTTCAGCTGCAGCCTGGCCAACATAGTGAAGCCCCATCTGAACTAAAAATACAAAAAATTAGCCGGGCATGGTGGTGGGAGCCTGTAATCCCAGCAACTCAGGAGGCTGAGACAGGAGAATTGCTTGAACCTGGGAGGTGGAGCTTGCAGTGAGCCGAGATTGTGCCACTGCACTCCAGCCTGGGCGACAGAGTGAGACTCCATCTCAAAAAAAAAAAAAAAATTCAGCTGTACAAAGAACTGTGAATATGGCAATAATAAGGGTTTAAATAAGCATATATATGTATATATATTTATAGATATTTTATATATGTATATATTTATATATATAATATATATATTTAATTGTCAATTATTGGAAAGTCTCTGGATTCCATATCTCTCTACATTTTAAAAACACAAAAATGATTTTATTCGTGTATCTATTGTTCCATTTTTACTAGAAAACACTTTTTTCTATGCTGTCAGAGATTTTTACTTGAATCTCCTTTCATTTATTTGTTCTTGGTTTAGCGGTGATAGGGGTTGAATATTTTTTATTTATTTTACAATTAAATCTATGTAAAACATAAAGCCTTCAGTGCAGTTGGCTTGTATTAAGACTGTGAGTTATTTTATCAAGTCATAATTTTACTTTCCCCTGAATTGGCCATGCATTAAAATATTGCTTATAAACAAAAAGGCTTTGTTTCTCCTAAACAAATAAAATTCTATTTGTGTTTATATTTTTATATGTGCTGTTATTTCTTGGGTTTTTCAAACGTTCTGAAACTTACTTGGAGACATATTATAATTCTACTCCTTGTTACATTTTGGCATAAAAATTACTCTGTGTTATGGTGATCTTGCCCCTTTAAAGATATTTGCCCTCAAATTGTAGAGACAAGGTCAGTATCTAGATGTATCTTATTAAGATAAAAATAAGAATTGTATCAGAAGTTATCAGGACCTAAAGATGACTGGTGGCAAAATGCATGTGGATAGACGTTTTAGGGAAGCTATCCAGGCAGCAGTGAAACAGTAACTTTGTCACTGTGTATCGTTTAGAAATGCCTGCATTTTCTAATATTTCAAAGTTTAATGGACTTTGTTCATTCATTATTTTACAAAACAGTATCGTCTATGAAACAGACAAAGGTGGTACTTCTATTAAACTTGTGTACTACCATGCATTTACATCTTTTTCTGCCTTCCTTACAGCCTTCCATGACCCTCAACATAGTGGAATTTTGAAATTACTTATTTTGTCCAAACCTTTCATTTTGCCACTGAAGCATAGGAGGATTGAATGACACAGTTCAGTTCTCACACACACAAAAGAATGTCCCTTTCCTCTCTTCTCTGTTTAGACCATACCAAGCACCAAAAACCTACCAACTAGCTAAATAATAACAAAGAATAAAACACACATAATAGTCTAGTTCCTAAGTACACAGGCTATGGAGCCAAACTGCCACTGAAAGACTTTATGACTTTTGATAAATTGTGTCTCAGTTTCATAATCTGTAAACTAGGCTAATAAAAGTACTTTTTTATAGTACAAATTAATGCTATGAAAATTAAAGCTTAATAATCATAAAACTTTTCAGAATATTTTTTAGTTCATTGTAAGTGCTATATGGTGTTTATTAAGTAAATTTATATTGTAAAACATAATATAAAAACGTGCATAGAATAGACACATATAATTTAGTAAACAAGTATAAAATAAACATCCATGTATCTATGTAACCACAAACAAATTCAACAGATAGAAAATTGTCACGACAACAGATACAACCCCACCCCTACCACACATCTTCTCAACGATAAATTCCTTTTTCCTCCTTGTGTATTTCTTGACAAAGAAATGTAGCTATTATTATTATTATCATCATCATGTACTCTTACAGAATCATTTTCTCACTTTCCTTTACATTTTTGCAACTTATGTGTGCAATCCTAAACAATATAGTCCATTGTCACTCTTTCTGAGAGATACATAAAATAAAACTATATTATATCTTCCTGAGGTCTGGAAATTTTATTTCAGGTGTGCATTGCTTATTTTTAATGATAGGTAGAGTCATATTGATATGTAGTATCTATTATAAAATTATATATCATTTTGTTTTTTCAATTTTTCTATTGTTATTAGACATTTGAATTATAACTGATTTTGCTGTTATAACCAAGGCTGGTGCAGATTTTTTTTTCACATGAAACTGTAGTATGTGAGAATAAGTGAATTTGCTAAGCAATATGGTATGCATATTTTCAACTTTACTAAATAATAGCAGGTTTTTCTAAAGTATCTTTACCAATTTATACTTTCAAAGCAGATATGTAAAAGTGGTTATTGTTTCACATATTACTAGAGAAAAATTTCTCTAAAACTTGGTGACTTAAAACAACCATAGTGATTTATCATCCCTCACATTTTCTGTGGGTCAGGAATTAAGGAGCTTCTCATCTGGCCAGTTCTGGCTCAGAGTTGCTCATTAAGTCACAAGCAAACATCACCTGGCACTATAGTCATATGAAAGCCTCACAGGGTTTAGAAGATCTGCTTCAAAGTTGATTAATTCACATGGAAGATGAAAAATGAAAAATGGCAAGCAGTGCATTTGCCAATGGCAGGCAAATTGGTGGTGGCTGTTAACTTGGTGGCCAAGTTCCTGTCCACATGGGCCTCTTCAGTGTCCTCATGAATGGCAGGACAGGCAGCTGGCTTTCCCCAGACTGAACAATCCCAGAAAGCAAAGCAGAAACTGAAATGTCACTTAAAACCTAGTCTCAAAGGGCATAAATTACTTCTGCTGTATTATATTGATATACAGGCTAGCATGATGCAATTCAGAGGGCATTAAACTAAAGTATTAATTCCAGGAAGCAAGGCTCACCAAGAACCGTCTTGGAGGCTGGATATAACATACTTCTAACTTCTTGTAATGTGAGACTTTTAAAATATTGTATAAGTTTTAATTTGGATGTTTATGATTACTAATGAAATTAAGCATTTTCACATGTTTATTGGCATTTACATATTTTTGGGAAGATTCTTTCTTATATTTTATTTTTTTATTTTTGTAGGTACTTAGTAGGTATATATATTTATGAGGTACATGAGATGTTCTGATACAAGCATACAATGTGTAATAAGCACACAATGGAGAATGAGGTATCCCATCACCTCAAGCATTTCTCCTTTGAATTACAAACAATTATACTATTTAATTTATTTTAAAATATACAATTAAGTTATCATTGACTATAGTCACCCTGTTGTGCTACGAAATAGTAAGTCTTATTCATTCTTTCTATTATTTTGTACCCATTAACCAACACCACATTCCCTAACCCTCACACCACTCTTCCCAGATTCTGGTGACCATACTTCTATTTTCCATGTCCATAAGTTAAATTGTTTTGATTTTTAGATCCCACAAATAAGTGAGAACATGGAATTTTTGTCTTTCTGTGCCTGGCTTATTTTATTTAACATAATAATCTTCAGTTGCATCCATGTTGTTGCAAATGACTGAATCTCATTCTTTATCACTGAGTAGTTTTCCATTGTGTATATGTACCACATTTTCTTTATTCATTCATCTCCTGATAGACAGTTATGTTCCAAATCTTAGCTATTGTAAACACAGCTGCAACAAACCTAGGAGTGCAGATATCTCTTCAATACACTGATTACCTTTCTTTTGGGTCTATAACCAGCAGTGAGATTGCTGGATCCTATGGTAGCTCAAATTTTAGTTTCATTTTTTGTTTCTTTTTTTTTTCTTTTTGGAATGCCTAAACTGTTCTCCATAGTGATTGTTCTAATTTACTTTCTCACCGACAGTATAGAACAATTCCCTTGTCTTCATAGCCTCGCCAGCACTTATTACTTCCTGTCTTTTGGGTATAAGCCATTTTAATTGGGTGAGTTGATCTCTCATTGTAGTTTTGATTTGCATTTCTCTGATCTCAATGATGTTGAGCACCTTTTCATATGCGTGCTTGCCATTTGTAGATCTTCTTTTGAGGAATGTCTATTCAAATATTTCACCCTTTTTTATCAGATTATTAGATTTTTTTTCTATAAAGTTGTTTGAGCCCTTGAATATTCTGGTTACTAATTACTTGTCAGATAGATAGTTTGCAAAAATTTTGAACCCATTCTCTGGGTTTTCTCTTCATGTTGTTGATTGTGTCCTGTGATATGCAGAAGTTGTTTACTTCATGTGATCCCATATGTCCATTTTTGCTTTGGTTGCTTGTGCTTGTGGCAAAATTGCTAAAGAAAATTTTGCCCAAACAAATGTTCTGGAGACTTCCAAATGGTTTCTTGCAGTAGTTTCATAGCTTGAGGTCTTCAAGTCTTTAATTCATTTTGATTTGATTTTTGTATATAGCGAGAGACAGGGGTCTAGTTTCATTCTTCTGCATATGGATATCCAGTTTTCCCAGCACTATTTATTAAAGAGGCTGTCTTTTTTCCCCACTGTATATTCTTGTTAGCTTTGTCAAAACCAATATTACTGTAGGTGTGTAGATTTGTTTCTGGGTACTCTATTCTGTTCCATTAGTCTGTGGGTCTGTTTTCATGCCAGTATCATGATGTTTGGGTTACTATAGCTCTGTAGTATAATTTGCAGTCAGGTAAAATGATTCCTCCAGTTTTGTTCATTTTGTTTAGGATAGTTTTGGGTATTCTGAGTCTTTTGTGGTTCCATATAAATTTTAGGATTTCAAAAATATTTTTGTGAGGAACATCATGAGCATTTTGATAGGGATGGCATTAAATCTGTAAAGTGTTTGGGGTAGTATGGACATTTTAAGAATATTGATTCTTCCAATCCATGAACGTGAAATAATTTTTCATTTTTAGGTGATTTCTTTCATTGATGTCTTATAGTTTTTATTATAGAAATCTTTGACTTATTTGGGTTATTTCCTAGGAAGTTGATTTTATGTGTGGCTATTGTAAATGGGACCAATTTTGAAATTTCTTTTTCAAATTGCTCACTGTTGGCATATAGAAATGCTGCTGATTTTTGTATGCTGATTTTGTCTCCTGCAACTTTACTGAATTTATCAATTCTAATAGTTTTCTTGTGATGGACTCTTTACATTTTTCCAAATACAGAATCATATTATCTGCAAACAAAAATAATTTGACTTCTTCCTTTCCAATTCAGATGCCCATTATATCTTTCTCTTTTTTGATTGCTCTATCTACAACTTGCAGTACTGTGTTGAGTAACAGTGGTGACGGTGGGCATCCTTGTCATGTTCCAGATCTCAGAGGAAAGGCTTTCAGTTTTTCCCCATACAGTATGATAGTAACTGTAGCTCTGTCATCTATGGGTTTTAATATATTGAGATATATTCTTTCTGCATGAATTTTGGAATTTTTTTAATCATGAAAGAATGTTGAATTTTATCAAATGCTTCTTCAGCATCAATTGAAATGATTATATGGTTATTTTACATGTTGTTAATATGATGTATCAAATTAATTGATTAACAAATATTGAACCATTCTTGCACCTCGGGGATAAATCCTACTTAGTCATAATGAATAATCTTTCTAATGTATTGTAGAATTTGGTTTGCTAGTATTTTATTGAGAATTTTTGCATAAGTGTATATCAGAGATATTTACCTATAGTTTTCTTGTTTTGATGCATGTTTGTCTAGTTGGGTATCAGGGTAATGCCGGCCATGTAGAATTAGTCTGGAAGCATTCCTTCTTCCTCTATTTTTTTGGAATAGTTTAAATAGAAGTAGTATCAATTCTTTAAACATTTGGTAGAATTCAGCAGGGAAGCTATCAAGTATTGAGCTTTTCTTTACTGGGAGACTTTTTATTATGGCTTCAATGTCATCACTTGTTATTGGTCTGTTGAGTTGTTGGATTTCTTCCTGGTTCAATCTGTGTAGGTTTTATGTGTCTAGGTATTTGTCCATTTGTTTTCTAGATTTTCCAATTTATCAGCATATAGTTGCATATAGTGGCCACTAATGATCCTTTGAATTTCTGCAATATCAGTTGTAATGACCCCGTTTTCATTTTCGATTTTGTTTATTTGGATCTTATGTTTTTTTCTTAGTATGATTAAAGGTTTGTGAATTTTATCTAACTTTTCCAGAAACCAACTTTTTGTTTAATTGATCATTATATTTTTTCATTTCAAATTGACTTATTTCTATTCTGATCTTCTTTTTGATGTCTTCTGATCTTAGTTTTTTTCTTCTATTTAACATTAATGATGGGTTTGGTTTGCTCTTGGTTCTCCAGTTCTTTATAATACATCTTTAGATCGTTCATTTAAAGGTTTTCCTCTTTTTTGATGCAGCAAGTATAGCTATACAATTGCCCTCTTAGTACTGCTTTTTCTGTACCCCATAAGTTTTGGTATGTTATGCTTCCATTATCATTTGTTTCAAGATATTTTTCAATTTTCTTTTTAATTTCTTCATTGATCCACTGGTCATTGAGGTAGATACTGTTTAATTTCCATGTATCTGTATAGTTTTCAAAATTCCTCTTGTTATTAATTTCTAGTTTTATTGCGTTGTTGTCAGAGAAGATGCTTGATATTATTTCCATTTTTCTTAATGGTTTAAGACTTGTTTTGTGACCTAGCATGTGTTCTATCTTTAAAGAATAATCAACGTACTGAGGAAAATGATTGCATTTTGCTGCCATTGGATGAAATGCTCTATAAATATCTATTAGATTCATTTGGTCTAGAGTGCAGATTACATCCACTATTTCTTTGGTGATTTTGTTGTCTGGAATATCTGCCCAATGCTGAAAGTGGGGTGCAGTCTCCAGCTATTTTTGTATTACGGCCTATCTCTCTTTTTAGCTGTAATAATATTTCCTTTATAAATCTGGGTGCTCCAGTGTTAGATGCATATATATTCAAAATGTTATATCCTCTTGGTGAGTTGACCCTTTATCATTATATAGTGACCTTCTTTGCCATTTTTGGTGATTTTTGTCTTGAAAACTGTTTTGACTAATATTAGTATGGCAACTTCTGATCATTTTTGGTTTCTATGTACATGAAATATCTTTTTTCATCCCTTTATTTTCAGCCTACGTGTGTCTTTACAAGTGAAGTGTGTTACTTGTAGAAAACAGATCAATAGGTCTGTTGTTTTTATCCATTTAGCCAATGTATGTCTTTTGATTGGAGAGTTTAGTCCATTTGTGTTCACTGTTGTTATTGATGAGCAATAACTTACTGCTGTCATTTTGTTACTTGTTTTCAGATTGTTTTGTGATTTTCTCTTCCTTCTTTGTTCCCTTCCTATCTTCCTCTAGTGCAGATGTTTTTTTTCCTTTTTTTTCTGGTAATATGATTTAGTTTCTTGCTTTTTATTTTCTGTGTGTCCATTGTATGTCTTATGTTTGAAGTTACCATGAGGATTGTAAATACTATCTTATAAACCATTATTTTTACCTGATAACAATATAACTTTATTTACATAAACAAATAGACAAACAAGCAAAAAGAAAACTAATAAAAACTCTATGCCTTAAATTTGTCTGCCTGTTTTTAATTTTTGTTGCTTCTTTTTATATCTTATTGTACTGACTATGTCTTGAAATTTTGTTGTATTTATTATTTTGATTGGTTCATTGTTTAGTCTTTCTACTTAGGATAAAAGTAGTTTACACTCCAGAGTTACAGTTTTATATAATATTTTGTGTTTTACTGTGTACTTAGTATTACCAGTGAGTTTTGTATCTTCAGATAATTATTTATTACACATCAATGTCCTTTTCTTTCTATTTGAAGTGCAACTTTTAGCGTTTTTTGTAGGACAGGTCTGGTGTTGATAAAATTTCTCAGTTTTTGTTTGTCTGGAAAAAACTTTACTTCTTTCTCATTTTTAAAGGATACTTTCCCTGGATATCCGAGGGTATTTTTTTGGGTATTTTTTTTTCCTTCTGCACTTTAAATATGTAATTCCACTCTCTCCTGGCCTACACAGTTTCCACTGAAGAGTATCTTGCCAAATGTACTGGAGTTCCATTATATGTTATTTTTTTCTTTTTTGTTGCTGCTTTTAGGATCCTTTCTCTATCTTTGACCTTTGAGAGTTTGACTATTAAATGTCATGAGGTAGTCTTCTTTGAGTTAAATCTTCTTGGTGTTCTATAACCTTTTCATACATGGATATTGATATCTTTCTACAGGTTTGAGATGTTCTCATGTATTATCTCTTTGTATAAATTTTGTACTTCTAACTCTTTGTGTCCTCTTTAAGGCCAATAACTCTTAGATTTTCCCTTTTGAGGCTATTTTCTAGATTCTGTAGGTTTGCTTTACTGTTTTTTCTTTTGTTTCCTCTGACTGTGTATTTTAAAATAGCCTGCCTTCCAGCTCACTACATCTTTCTTCTGCTTGATAAATTCTGCTATTAAAGGACTCCAATGCATTCGTATTTTTCAGCTCCAGAATTTATGCTTGATACTTTTTAATTATTTCAATCTCTTTGTTAAATTTATCTGATAGAATTCTGAATTTCTTCTCTGTGTTATTTTGAATTTCTTTGAGTTTCTTCAACAAAGCCATTTTGAATTGTCTGTCTGCAAGATCATATACCTCTGTTTCTCTAGGATTAATCCTCAGTGGCTTATTTAGTTCATTTGGTGAGGTCGTATTTTCCAGGAGAATGTTGATGCTAGTATATGTTTTTCAGGTTTGAGGCATTGAAGAGTTAGGTATCTGTTGTAGACTTTGCTGTCTGGTATTATTTGTAGCTGCTCTTCTTGTGAAGACTGCATATGTATGAACAGACTCGGGTATTGTGATCTAAGCTATATCTACTTTAGGGGGCACCCCACGCCTAGTAATACTGTGGTTCTTGTGGACTTGTGTTCGTACCAGTTTGATGGCCATGGACAAGATTCAGAAGAATTATCTGGATTACCAGGCAGATACTCTTGTTCTCTTCCCTTTCTTTCTCCCAAACATACAGAGTCTCTCTTGCTCTGTTCCGAGCCACCTAAAGCTGGGGGTGGAATTACACAAAAGCCCCCGTAGCCACCTCCACTGTGACTGCTCTGGGGTCACACCTGAAGCAAGCACAGTGTTGGGTCTTGCCCAAGGCTTGCTGTAACCACTACCCGGCTAACGCCTATGTTTTCTCAAGGTCGTGGGGCTCTACAGTCAGCAGCTGTCAAAGTCAGCTAGGCCTGGAGACATTCCTTCAGGGCAATGAGTTCCCTCAAGCCCCAGGTGACTACAGAATTGCTGTCTGGGAGTCAGGTCTAGAGTCAAAAACCTTAGAAGTCTATCTGGTGTTCTATTGTATTGTGACTGAGCTGACATTCAAGCCACAAGATGTAGTCCTTTTCACTCTTCCTTCCCATTTTCAAAGGCAGAGGAGCCTCATCCTTTAGCCACTGCCACCCCAGGCCATGAAGAGTACTGCCAGACTACGCACCAATGTTGTCTTAAGGCCCAAGGGCTCTTAAGTCAGCTGTGATGAATGCTGCCTGGCCTGAGACTCATCCTTCAGGGCAGTGGGCTCCCCTCTGGCCCAGAGCAGGTCTAGGAATGCTGTCCAAGAGTCAAGTCCTAGAATCTAGAACCAGAAGAGCCCACTTGATTCTTTTCCCCACTCCCCAACTATCTCCCATGGCTGTGCAGGTACCTGATTTTTAGTTCTTATGAAAGTGTTTTATCTGTATAGATATTTGTTAACTTGGTGTCCTTCCAGGGGATGGGGGACAATCAGTGGAGTTTCTATTCTGCCACCTTGCTCTACCTCTCAGCATTTACATATGTTGTTTATGTTTCCTAAAGTATGTATTTTTTGCTTATTTTTCTTCTATGCCAATTATATATTTTGATGCATGATAAGGTGGCTCCTTCTAAGATTTCTGAACTGGCTTTTAAAAGTGTCACAAGCTCAAATGCCAATTTACTGGTTGAAAGCATGGACTCAAGTATAACAATTTCTAAACATATAGAAAAATACTATTTACCTCCAGAGCAACAGGAATGAAGTAGCTGACAGTAAAACTCAAAGTTTTTCATTCTGATCACTGAATTAAAATATCATAAATTCATATTTTCTACAGACCTTATATGTAAAAGTTTGGGAATTGTATAGGAAAGAGAGATTCAAAGACCCATAATAAATTAATAAATATAAAAAACTAATTCCATGCAAAACAGCAAGTCTCACTGAGCATTTCTTGAACTTAGAAACAGCATGCTGCCTTATCTCAGGATGCTATAACTCCTTCATCTAAGAAAATTACTTTGCAATTGACTTAGAAAACCAATTCTCCTTGCTCTCTATATTCACAACCCATAATTTCCTACATCTCTATTACTAAAAGTAGATGTCAATGTGGTCATTTGGGAAAAAATCTTAGATGATTATTTTCTTTCCATGTCTCCCCTTACTGGGACTATTAGGCTCAAGTATTTTGATTTTGGTCAGCAATAGCAAAATGCTCACCGTCATCTAATATCCACATACATTTTTCTCGGCTACTACTAATAAAAAAAAGTCCATGGGGCTATACATCTGGTTTAAGAGAGGGCATGTAATGCAGCAGCAGGAGATATACTAGGAAGGAGGATGGCATGCTAATGAGACTTATGTAGGCTTTCAGGACATGAGTAAATCTAGCCCGAGAAATATCACTTATTTTAGATGGTGAAATTTTGATGAGCATGCCCAAGTATATGGACAGAGATAAGTTAATAAAGGGTAACATAGGTTTTATTGTGTCTAACAGCCAGGCAGTTAGTTTTTATCATTACAAAGAGCATAATTGTAGTTTCTTCTCAAAAGAAAATTTTACTTCCTGAGGAAGGAATTGCAATGTTCACAATATCCTAGGAGCCACTACTATGACTCTCACTAAGAAATGGGACAAGATTAAGACATTATACAAATATGCTATTGATATTCCAAGAATATTGGGTACAAAGAAACTGTAGGCCTTAGTGATGGAGATGTGTATGTGTGTTTCTTTTTACATATATGCATATAAACAGCATCTGGTAGAATAATATGTGCACAACAGGGGCTAGGGTCTGTATTTATTTATTCTAACAAGAAGATTACATTTGGTGCAGTGCATAGTAATCCTTTGCTGTTCTACTGGACCCACCTATCCATGGCATTGTCCAACAAGAGAATGACAGTGGTTTCACTCATGCATCTTTCAAGGCTTTTGTGATGAGGTTACTATTGGAAGTATCCTGAGGAATATAGCATTCATTTCATTTATTATTTTGTTAGCCAAGCTCTAATGACTACTGTTTGATGGTTCTTATAATATTTTCAAGGGAAAAATGTGGAATTTCTTTCAATGCAAAGGATATATATTTCCACTATCCACTGAAAAACAGGAAAAATCGTAGACAGATGTTAGAATCCATATACAAGCATGTCTGGATTAAAAACTGTACCACCTGATCCTTAAAACTGATACTCTGTAAGGTAGTCAATGTTAAATACTGTCTTCATGAAAAAGTTGTAGCTCAGGGCTATTGTTGAGTAATTCCTGCAAGGTATGGATAGCTTTCTTTTTTTAGTCCACCATTACCTTGGTAATTAGTAACTAGTCTGTATGGGGAATGCTAAATGGACAAATGCATAGTAAGTATTGAATTACATTTATTTAAGATCATCCAGGCTTCACTTTATTCAAAGGACTCTGGGGATATAAAATAAGCCAAGTACGGGTATTAAATTATTTATTCTACAGGGATCAAATCAAGCCCTATTCTTTAGAGATCAAGTCAACATATCGGAATTGGGGTGTTCATACTACGAAAATTAAGCATGACATTATAGATTTTTGTTTATTTTTGTCCCAAGGATCCCATGATTAATTAAATACTGCCAAAGATCCTGGGAATCAGACAGTTTTGTCTATCATGTAGTCAACTATTTTGTCTCTCAGTTATGTGGCTTTTGTTGACTTCTATTCTTACGAGATACTTCCATACTCAATGAACATTTCCATGTCATGGTACCCCACCAGGAAAGTTTGTTTTAAAATGAGATTATGTTATTTTATGTCTTAAATATGTTGAGCAGTTGTATTCATTTTTAAAATTGTTTGTATCAGTTTTGTGCTTGAAATCTAATTACCAAAAACCTAATAGCTTAAAACACCACAAATTTATTATCTTACAGTTCTGTATTTTAGCATCAAAGATGGGTCTCACTAGGCTAAAATCAAGGTATCTGCAGTGCTGCGTTTCTTTCGGGATGCTCTTGGGGGAGAATCTATTCCACTGTCTTTTACAAAGTCTATAAGCTGAGGCTCATGGCCCTCATGTTCATCTTCAAACCCAGAAGTTGTTTTCCTTCTGACCTTGTTTCCCATCATCGCATCTCCTTGTCTTACTCTGACTTTTTTTGTCTCACACTTTCTCACTAAGGGCCTTAGTGTTTACACTGGTCCTACCTGAATAATTCAGGATAATCTCCTTGATTTAAGGTTATTTTAGTAGCTGCCTTATTTTCATTTGCTACATTAATTCTCCTTTGTCATGTAACTTAATGTAGTCACAGTTTCCAGGGATTAAGACATGGCCATCTTTCTTGAGATTATTATTCTGCCTCCCACAATAGTGTTAATCAAACACTTACCCACTATTAAATAATTACATAACAATATGTATTTTTAGCCAGATGAGTATATTTGTGAAGAGTATCAAAGCATTAAACAATACGTGTTGAAGAAATACAAAGAAAAAATTATTGAAAAAAATGTAATGGGTAGCAGAGAATTTCTAAGGTGGGTACATGGTCTGGGCTAGTAGCAGACAAATCTTAGACTGACACCCCGTTTTTATGTCAAAACCATAACTCACTTGGGGCTGTTATGTTTTATTACATATGGAATACCTCCATGAATATTTCATGTGGCTGAATTGCTATTTGTTTTAAAGAAATATTACCCCAAATGTGGGGTAATTTAATTTATGCTCCCCAAATCTGAGTCAAGGGCCTTCCTTAACCTCTTGCATTTGCTATTAAACTATGAGGATTATAGAGTCTGACTCCTTTACCTCTCCACCTTGGTCTTTCTTTAGTCATTATTAGGCAGAGATCAATAATTCTTATAAGACATACCCAAATTAAATTGCCCATTCTTCTATTATGGCATTAATCCACTGAATCCTATTTTATCCCCTATATTTCTCCTATTAATTAGTTCTTTGATCTCTAGAATGATGATTCATCCTTCTTGTCATATAGCCTAATATCACAGTGTGAAGTTAGCAATGGCATAGCTTCTGCAAAGGAATCAGTTTCTATATATAATTACTTAATAGTCAACACAAAAGCAGTACTTCAAATTGAGATATATGAAAAATAGAATATTAAATATTGGTTAAATTGATGTGTATGTGCTTACTGTGTTTACCGGGGTTCTTTGAAAATAGGTAAAATATTTTAAAGTAATTGAGAATATGAAAGAGAGCTCTTAGCATGAGTTGTTCTCTGATTTCTATATAGCTTCCTAAGGAAATTCTCTGTGACACCTGCCTGCTATTTTCACCCACCTGACATAGGTTAATATCATTTGAGTTGTAGGGTTAATGAATTTGAACCTTTTTTGAGTAAATGTCATTATCCTGCAATATATTTGAACTCTTTTGAGTCAATTTGTATTGTCCTGTAATTTGTATACCGAAGGTTTCACTTACTAATGACAGAGTTGTACTCATTAAAAGGAAAGGAATCACAAAATTGAAATATTATTATTGATTAAATTTACATTGCTATTTCTAACCAATTAACGTTGATTACATCCTGGATCAAATTAACATTTCTCAAATTATTTCACAGTGGCCTCAGAATGCGGTATAATCTATTTAATTGTTGATGGAAAACCACTGATATTTTCTAAATTGTTATCAGTAAGTGATTTGCATTAGCTTTGCATTTCAGACACTTTCTGAGCCCTTAATTATTTAACCTGTCAAATCAATAATTGGTCCTACAAATGGCACTAAGAATTGCTTTTTCCCAAAGGAAAATAAACAATGTTAACCATTTTATGAAAGATTTTAGAAAATGCCTCTAATAACTGAATTCAATTTCCATCTGCATTATATGTAATATGCAATCCTACACATTCACAGAAACACAATAACTTTTATTGACCTAAAATTTACTATTGCACATCTAGGTTCCTCTCCAGAATGTAGAAAGCTAGAAGGAATTCCTGCTTTTACAACAGCAATAAAAAAGCTGAATTAACTTCATGACTTTGTGAGCTCATTAAAAAGCTATGGTCACCAAGTGAACTGATCCAAATTCTAAAGAAAGACACTGCCTGCAGGAAAGAGGAGGTGCTCACGCAGTCAACAGTGTTAGATGCAATCACACACCAGTAAGAAATTGTAGAGACATTGTGGAACTTTTTTGGGCTGTAGAAATGTGGCTAAGTTTGTACCCTCTTATCTGTCATTTCTCCACAAACCCTACCACACCTCACAGAACAGAACCAAAAAGCCCTGAGCTGTGTCGATTGTGGTGCAGACCTGGAGGAGAGGAACAGTGGCCACATAGAAGGGACAAACAACTCCTCCAAGAACCTACCTTTCTAACTACACAAAAAACAATGCGTAGAAGGAAGACTAATGCTGCTAGCAGCTAGACCAAATGCATTGGTGAACCCTCATTTCAGCTGAGGGACAGCAAGGAGGAGGGAGAGATAAAGCTTACATCTGGAAGAGGGTAAGGATTAGGCGCTGAGCTCAGAACTTAAAGCAGTAGAAGAAAGGAGAACTGAGAAAGCTATACACATGCACAAGGCCAGAGACATTGTGCATGCCTGAGGCTGAGTCTTAAAGAGAAGAACAGATACTCCATTACCCTCACACTACAACCAAACCAGATTACTTGAGTTACAATGACAGCAGCACACTGTTAGGAGATGGCCAAAAGGGAAAGAACATAAAACAATACTGTCTCTGAGTTACAGCAGAAAGTAAAACCTAAAATTCTGAATCTTATGTTAATAAATTGTGCCCCTATAAAGTACCAACCACCCTAGATACAAGGTTAAAAATTCCTGAACTAAAGGCTTAAGCAAAAGAAAAGTTGTGATGATTTTGCAGCATGTAATTATTACCTCAGTTTTACTATTATTTATTGCTCTACACAACATGTCAGTTTTTAACAAAAATTTACAAGGGAGCTTAAAAAGGCAAAGAAAAATCCACAGCAAAATAAAAACAAACAAACAAAAAACATCTTCAAGAGAAAGAACAATTATTATAACCAGATTCAGATGTGACACAAATGTTGAAACTATGTGACTATCAAGCAGGAAATTTAAAATAATAATTAACACATGTAAAATTCTAAAACCTTCAAAAATAGAAGGATAGTGTGCATGATCCAATTGGTTATTTTAGCAAGCCATTGGAAATCATAAGAATAATTAAATGAAATTTATAGAAATTAAAATACATAATGGGAAAGAACCCCTTCTCTAAGCTCCTCAATATAATCAACACAGCAAAAGAAAGTATCAGTGAACTTAATGCTTATTCAATGGGAAATACCCAAGCTGAAACATAAAGAAAAAAAAATCTAGTTAGGGAACAAAAGGAGGATATCCAACAGCTGTGAAACAATAGCAAATGTTCTAACATGTGTAATTGTAATTGGAGGAGCAGAAAGAGAGAAAGAGGGAGAATACATATTTGAAAAAATAATGGCTGAGAATTTGTGAAAATTAACGTTGAGAACTTCAATTTTAGTCCAAACTCTATGATTAGTTTTTCAGGTCTGACCACAGGCAATTAATTTTTCAGGTCTGACCACCTGCTTTCCTGGCAGGTGGGAGGGTAGAGGTTGTCTACCCTACATCAGACTTAGTGCACGGCCAGTGCATTTCAGTCTCTGAAGTGAGTTGCCGTCAAAAACTAGTGTTCTCCTACCTGGCCATGCTCCTATGCCTACGTGCCCAGACACTTCTCTTTGGAGATCTGCTTATCAGTGAAAGCTTAAGATACTTTTCACAATTTTAAACTATATATATGTATATATATACATATTTTTTGAGATGGAGTCTCGCTCCATCACACAGCCTGGAGTGCGGTGGCGCAATCTCGGCTCACTGCAAGCTCCACCTACTGGGTTCACACCATTCTCCTGCCTCAGCCTCCCGAGTAACTGGGACTACAGGTGCCCACCACCACGCCTGGCTAATTTTTTGTATTTTTAGGGAGACAGGGTTTCACAGTGTCAGCCAGGATGGTCTCTATCTTCCTGCCTCGTGATCCATCCCCCTCGGCCTCCCAAAGTGCTGGGATTATAGGAGTGAGCCACCACGCCTGGCCAACAATATATATTTTTAATAATATAGTATATATATCCTTCTCTGACATTTTTTTCACTCAGTGTTATATTTGTCAGAATAATACTTGCTTATTAATAAAATTACTTGTCATTGATTTTTACTTCTGTCAGTTATTGCATGAATGAGTGTACAAAAATTGTCCATTATCCTGTTGATGGTTATTTGAGTTGCTTACATTATTAAACTTACATACATTGTTTTTATGGATATAATTTTACATGTCTCCTTGAGCAAATATGCAAGAATGTATTTAGGGTTTAGGCCTAAAAGGGAGATCCCAGGATCACGAAGTAAGCACAAATTCAATTGTTCTGATAATGCCAAACTGCCTTCTAATGAAGTGTGTCATTACACATCTGATGACGTATACTCACATCATCAAAGTCTGAGCATTCCCACTGATGCATTCTTTTCCTTAACAGTAAAGTTTAACATTTACAATTAAATGTTCTTCATTATTAATAAAATTGGGTGTCTTTTGATATGTGTACAGTCATTTGTGTCTTTCCTTCAGTCTTCTGTTTGTCTTTTAATATTTTCTCTATCTTTAGTATACTGAAGGATCTGCAATCTAGTGTGTGCTTGACACTTTTTCATTCATTGCTATTTGAAGATACAGTCATGTGTATAATTTAAAGTTTCCCTGCTCTCATAGAGCATACAATTTGTAACAAGTAAATTAGCAAGCATATAAATAAGACAACTGTAGGTATTTATAAACACTCTCCAGGATTTTTTGTTGTGTGAGAAATTCTGTATCAAGTTTTGTAATAATGTAAGTAGATAAAATATCACATTGTTTTCTATGTAAGTATTATATACAGGAAGTTTCAATACCTAGCATGCATCTCTACCTGGACTCTTCCTTTTTGTCTTTTCATTTCTTTAGTGTCACAGTGGGCTGTATATGCCACAGGTTGTGTTTTTCACAAGTAGACACTGAGATGGAATTTAGCATGCATAATGTTTATAAGTGATAAGTATTTGTGAAAAAGATGGGGATGAAGGTATGTGGTTGGGCAGAGAAAGAAGTTAAACTATGATGCAAGCTCAACAAAGCCTTGGTCAACCTTATATTGTGAGAACTGGAACACAAAAATCCAGTTAGAATAATCCCACATTGGCCAAAATATAAGGATCTTTGTGCCTCCACCTCAATTAGTCATTGAATATGGGCTGCCTTGGTTATCATATGCCATTTTAAGTGGCTCTTTGCAACTAAAGTATGGAACTAAAAACGGGGCTCTTTGCTTGTAGCCCAGCCACTTGACTTCAAAATGCATTTTTTTTTCCTTCTCTTGCATTTAAAGATACAACCTTGAGGCAAAATACAGAACCTTTTTTTTAATGAACCTTAAAATAGACTCCATATCCCTCCCCTTTTCAACATATATACTCCCTTTACATTTATCTAACTGTGTGCTAGTATCTAATTACATGTCTTCTTAAATGTTCCAGGGACTAATCTGGAGACAGGTAGACCAATTCTGCAGACCCAGCTGCAAAGTTCCAGAGATTGCTTCAAGCTGGCTAATTAACAACCCAGCCATTGTTGACATGCTGTCAGCCTGAGGTCCAGGTGGACTGCAACTCAAGATAAGCAGCTGAAGAAGACACACAGCCATTATACTCATCCCCATTCTTACACGCCTTCCTTATCAAGTTTTCCTTTTTAAACCCCTGCCTTTCCTCCCACGCCCCTAAAAAGTCAAAGTAGTTACTTTGGATGGCAATCCAACTGCTTCCCCTTTGCTAGGTTTGGTTAATAAGTTACTTTCTCCCAGACCTCACTCTTGTTAATTGGACTCTGCAAGCAATGAGCATCCGGAACTGATTTGTTCAGTTGGTGACATGCCCTGTGTGCTCCGGGGGCTGAGCCGGAGGGTCTGGTTTCCATCAGACAAACCATGGGGCTGCCTGCTGCCTGTGAAATACAGCTGCTTGTGGCTAGCTGACCCCTTAGCTGGAACGGTGGGGAGTTTCCTTGAGGCTGTCTTAGGGGGATCCTCTCTTTCTTTTCCTGTTGCAGTGTCTGTTGCCTTCAGTGCTTCGTTGGTTCAAACAAAGTGATCTTTAGAGAAGTGGACAAACTTTGAAACTAGAATTTTGGAACTTTGAACTTCAGAACTGAGTGACTCAGTTGGAGTGCACCCGAACACCCTCTGCCCCCTTTGAACTGTTGCTGGGGCTCTGCTCTATTTAGACTTGGCCGCTAGTGAAACCATTTGAGCATTTTATGCGTTTGTATTTGTGGCACCTGTGGGGCTTTTCTCGGTTTGGACTTAGTCGCCCGTGGGTAAGGTGGGGAGGGAAGGCGTTTGAATCTGAGGTGAGGGATTTGACACTCTACCCAGCCTCTTAAACGGGAGTTTCTATGGAGGTACGTCATTTATTTGTACATGTGACTGTGAATATGTGCCTTTTGTATGTGGACCTTAATTCATTCTGTCTCTCTCTGTATCTCTCTCTTTCCCCCTTTTCCAACTTAGCCAAAAGCTCCCTCTGCCTGAAAACAGTTCACCTTGACAGGTGACTTGCAGAGGTGGGAGAGATTTGTCCCACACAAGGTGTAGCAGGTCTGGAGTGCTGAGGCTCTCCCTGGCAGGAGAAAAATGAGAGTGGTGAGGGAATTAACCCTACAAGGTGCAATGGCTGGAAGGCTCCCATGTCTCCCGTCCTGTCCTTCATTTTCCTCTTCTTTTCTGTAAAGCCTGACTTCTTTTCTCCCTTCCATTCCTTTCTTTTCTTCTGGCCCTTTCTTTACTTCTTTGTATTACAAATAGTTATAATGGCAATTCGATATTTTCATATTTTTTGCAAACTTAGCTAATGCGTGCTTTTGATGGTTTCTGTTTTGTTGTTTTGTAATGATGAGAGGTGACAGCGTGCTCGCAGTCCACACAGCCCTCGCTCGCTCTGGGCGCCTCCTCTGCCTGGGCTCCCACTTTGGCGGCACTTGAGGAGCCCTTCAGCCCACCGCTGCACTATGGGAGCCCCTTTCTGGGCTGGCCAAGGCCGGAGCCCACTCCCTCAGCTTGCAGGGAGGTATGGAGGGAGAAGCGCTAGCGGGAACCGGGGCTGCGTGCGGCGCTTGCGGGCCAGCTGGGGTTCCGGGTGGGTATGGGCTTGGCGGGCCCCGCACTCGGAGCAGCCGGCCAGCCCTGCTGGCCCCGGGCAATGAGGGACTTAGCACCCGGGCCAGCGGCTGCGGAAGGTGTACTGGGTCCCCCGGCAGTGCCGGCCCACCGGCGCTGCGCTCGATTTCTCACGGAGCCTTAGCTTCCTTCCTGCGGGGCAGGGCTCCAGACCTGCAGCCCGCCATGCCTGAGCCTCCCACCCACTCCATGGGCTCCTGTGCGGCCCAAGCCTCCCCTACTAGCACCACCCCCTGCTCCAGGGCGCCCAGTCCCACCGACCACCCAAGGACTGAGGAGTGCGAGCGCACGGCGCAGGACTGACAGGAAGCTCCACTTGCAGCCTTGGTGCGGGATCCACTAGGTGAAGCCAGCTGGGCTCCTGAGTCTGGTGGGGACGTGGAGAGTCTTTATGTCTAGCTCAGGGATTGTAAACACACCAATCAGCACCTTGTGTTTAGCTCAAGGTTTGTGAGTGCACCAATGGACACTCTGTATCTAGCTGCTCTGGTGGGGCCTTGGAGAACCTTTGTGTCTAGCTCAGGGATTGTAAACACACCAATCAGCACCTTGTGTTTAGCTCAAGGTTTGTGAGTGCATCAATGGACACTCTGTATCTAGCTGCTCTGGTGGGGCCTTGGAGAACCTTTATGTCTAGCTCAGGGATTGTAAATACACCAATCAGCACTCTGTATCTAGCTCAAGGTTTGTAAACACACCAATCAGCACCCTGTGTCTAGCTCAGGATTTGTGAATGCACCAATCGACACTCTGTATCTAGCTGCTCTGGTGGGGCCTTGGAGAACCTTTGTGTCCATACTCCGTATCTAACTAATCTGATGGGGACCAGGAGAACCTTTGTATCTAGCTCAGGTATTGTAAACGCACCAATCAGCACCCTGTCAAAACAGACCACTCGGCTCTACCAATCAGCAGGATGTGGGTGGGGCCAGATAAGAGAATAAAAGCAGGCTGCCCGAGCCAGCAGTGGCAACCCCCTCGGGTCCCCTTCCACACTGTGGAAGCTTTGTTCTTTCACTCTTTGCAATAAATTTTGCTGCTGCTCACTCTTTGGGTCCACACTGCTTTTATGAGTTGTAACGGTCATGGCAAAAGTCTGCAGCTTCACTCCTGAAGCCAGCGAGACCACGAGCCCACCGGGAGGAACACACAACTCCAGACGTGCCGCCTTAAGAGCTGTAACACCGTGAAGGTCTGCAGCTTCACTCCTGAGCCAGCGAGACCACGAACTCACCAGAAGGAAGAAACTCTGAACACATCGGAACACAAGAAGGAACAAACTCCAGACGCGCCACCTTAAGAGCTGTAACACTCACCGCGAGGGTCCGCGGTTTCATTCTTGAAGTCAGTGAGACCAAGAACCCACCAATTCCGGACACAACGATAACACAAACTAATGTTTTTATATATATTAAAAGTAAATTATTCTGGCTCTTGAAGAAGCATTTTGATGTGTAGACTCGTTTGTCTTCTATCAAATAAGTTTTCTTAATCATTTTCTGAATTATTATTTTTCATTGTTTACTTGGTTTAGTAGTTAAAATGTCTTTATTTTATAGATTTTGCATTTTCTTAAATAATCTTTAGTGCAATGAATGAGGCATGATAGTTGCATCCTTCCATAGTAGGAACTATAGGAGGCTTAAAAGTCTTGTTTCCAAACTGTTACTTTCATTCTCAAAATAACTGGCTTATAATAGAAGAGAATTTACCTCAGTTGTTATTATCACTATAAATGAAATTTAATTTGTTGATTGGAATGGTTAAGAAACAATACTTGTTCTAAAACTGTTGCAATAATTTTTTTAAAAAATAAAAAATCTCAAGAATAACATTTGTGGGAACAAAATTATGTACATATGTGTGTGTGTGTATATATATATACATATATATATATGAGAGTGGTTTCATTGATAATTTCATTACTGATTGCCTTCTTATCTACAGAATTTGCTGATTCAGTTTGGGAACTGGCTTGAAGCCTTCCCACCCCAAATATGCAAATCTAGAATTTTATACCCAACTAAAAATAACCTTCAAAATAAAAGTCATAATAAAGATGTTCTTAGACAAACAACAGCTAATAGTATTAGTCTCTGTAGAGCAACGCTACCAAAATACTGTAGGAAATTCTTCAGGCTGAATAAAAACTATCTCAGGTAGTCTAAAGAAGGTATAAGAAGAATTAAGATCTTCAAAAAGGTAAATAAATGAGTAAATGTAAAAGACACCTGTTTAAACTGGTACATCTCAAATTTTGACATGCATCAGAAACATCTTGTTAAAATAGGGCTTGTTAAAATGCAAATTTCTGAGCTCAATTCCAGAATTTCATAATTTCATGTATGTGTATATATGTCCGTGTGTGTGTGTGTATATATATGTGTGTGTTAATATTATCTATCTAATGTATTGTAAGAAACCGTCTACATTTATTATTGCTGCAAATGATAACTGTAGTATAAAGACAATATTATCATTACCAAATCCATTTCAGTTGTGAAATTTATATATCTAAAAAAAGAGTGATTCTAATTATTATTAGAATTATTAGTCAAAGTCAATAGCCTCACAGGCTAAATATTTTTAGTTCATTTTAAGTAGGTTTACGGAGAGTGGTGTCTAATGTGTGTTCCCTGATCTCTTTGGAGACAACATAATTCTGTTTATAGTTCATAAGTTCTTTTCATACAAGGCGTAGGACATAAACACAGTAAAAAACTATCCAGGAAACATTATTTTTTGATATTATGCTCATCAGTATGGCATGAAATATCTACTTTCAGGACTTAAATCGCTGCCATTTAGAGCCAATATTTAGCTTTACAAGTTATATTTGATCATACATATATTTCCTCTCAGTTTCTACTTTCTTTAATTTTTGTAAAAACAACATGCTTTATGGTTTTTCTGCGAAAGAGGGCTTTAAACAATATTTAGAAAATCAAATGTTTGCAATACATTTATATTAAATTTTATTAATTACTTTTTTAATAGGTGCCAATAAACACATAAGACTTGAACAGTTCTTTCATAATATATTTCTTTATTGCAGTAAAAATAATTCTAATATAGGCACACATATAATCACTGAGGCTCATAATCAAAAGAAACTAATGTTGCGATTGGTAGCACTTATTTAATTTTCAAGTTTTGGAGGAATTTTAAATATATTACCAAATTTAATCATTCTATTAATATTATGATGTTAGTATTATTATTCTAATTCTGTTGATGAAAATTGAACCTTAAAATATTAAGTAAATTCTGTTCGAGCTAGAATTTGGGTGTGTGCTTACACTCATTCTCAAGTAAAAGAAATTATTTACAGTAAATTTCAGGGCCCTCTGAAATGCAGTGTTATCTTTGTGTAATAATTCTTAGAAGTATAAACAGGTCTAATTACTTAAAAACACAAAATGAAACAAAATTAAGGAATAGAGGTGTGCTAATTTTTGTATAACGGTATTACATTTTGTTTTATCGTTTTCAGAGCCAAGGAACTTACAGAAAATTAAATATATTTTACTTGAATATATCATATTTCTTTCAAGAAAATGCGTATATAACTTATTGTAATGTCTTCTGGGATTGGTGGTTCAAAGCCAAACTGCAGTATAGGATAATGAGGCAGTGACTATGAAGTTATACCATCTTTTCCTCTAAGGAAAGTTCATAACTTTCAATACCTTTTGGGATTGTAAGTAAAGATATCACATAAAATTTCACTAGCAATATTTGAGATTAAAATGAAAGAGAAGTAGTTTTTAAATTAACTTTAAAAATAGTTACTGGTATGAATATTTTATGGAAAGCAGTTCCACCAATTAGCTCCTAGGTGTGCAGAGACCTGATAGCTGGATGCTGCCTAAGGCACATATGACATTAGAAAAATAAATCCGTTCTGAAGAATTCAGAGGACAGGCTGGAACGTGAACATAGATTAAGTCACAAGAAAATGAAAAGACTAAAGTTTGAAGTTCTTTAAAAATTTGCAATAAGATTGTAAACTCAATTCTCAGTTGCTCAGTCTGTGTAATTGCTTGGATACATGCACACTAGAAGACTTGAAGCCAGATGTTGATCTTTTATTCTCACCCTATGGATTCTGTCCTCTCTTTGAATTTATTATTGATTCCTTCAAAGTAAATGTTCACTGGGGTTTAGATTAGAGATGAAAACCTGGCACATAATTATGCTTGTGAATCTCACTATCAGAGGATTTGGCAAATGACTGTTTTCTATTTGAGTCTTCTCAAAAATCAGTAGCAGCTTTCACTGGCTTTTGTACCAATTAGCTAGAGAATTGATTTTAAATTAACCCACAGAAGCATTTTATGACTATGGAAATATTTCAGAAGTTTTATGTAACTTGCATTACATTTTAGAAATCATTAGCCCAAGGAAGAGTTGGTTTATGAGATTTGTTTTTGTTTTTTTTCTTCACCATCACTTTGGAAATTAGAGTTAGCCAGTAAATATTTCTGTTTTATACGTAATTTGTTTTGGTCTGTTAGAATCCTTATGTTTTAAAACTACAGAATTATTCCAGCTTTCCTTACATCTCAAATTACTACTTTTTTATGTCAATACAAATTATAATTTAATATTCTTGGTAGTTTACATACTGTTCACTCAGTTGCATTATGCTGCCCAACTCTCAGGAGCAACATTAGTCTATGATCTAATGTCAATAGCATCATAAAGTGTAACTACAATAAAGGAGCCTGGCGTGGTGCCTCACACCTGTAATCCCAGCACTTTGGGAGGTTGAGGCGGCGGATCACCTGACATCAGGAGTTCCTGACCAACCCGGCCAACCTGGTGAAACCCTGGCTTTACTAAAAGTACCAAAATTAGCTGGGCATGGTGGTCATGCGCCTGTAATCCCAGCTACTTCAGAGGCTGAGGCTGGAGAATCGCTTGAACACAGAAGGTGGAGGTTGCCAGTGAGACAAGATTGCTCCACTGCACTCCAGCCTGGGTGACAGAGACAGACTGTGTCTACATAAATAAATAAATAAATAAATAAATAAATAAATAAATAAATAAATAAATAAAAATACAGTGTAACTACAATAATAGTGTCTTTGTTTTTGTGAATATTGTTGGAAAAGGGCATTATAATACAATGGGAAAAACTATGTAAAAATGAAATCTAATTCAATTTATATCATAAATATTTTTGAGAACCATTTATCTATTCAGCAATTATTTACAAAACTCTACCACATAACATTTGTGGTATGGGCTAGAAATTAATTTTGAGAAAATCATACATGATTCTTACTTTCATGGACCTTTATGGAATTAAGTTATAGAATTAAAGAGTTAATTAAATAATCTTAAACATATACAACTTTCTGCTCTAATAATTTCTAAAGAGAAGAATTACAGAAAATGTATGTATAATGGACATTTAAAAAATGATAAATAAATGGAAGCTTCTTTTTATAAAGTGGCAATTGAGCTGAAAATTGAATAAATCAGTTAATGGAAACATGCATATGGGGTCGCTTTTGACAAACATTCCATAAATTGTTTATACTGAAATGAGCTTGGAACAATAAGAAATGAAAGTTCACATGAATGTAGCATAGGGAACA
The DNA here is from genome assembly GCF_000001405.40 of Homo sapiens. Taxonomy (NCBI): domain Eukaryota; kingdom Metazoa; phylum Chordata; class Mammalia; order Primates; family Hominidae; genus Homo; species Homo sapiens. Next base: position 105,625,910 of record NC_000001.11, on the reverse strand, counting down.
AATAAAATTGTAATAACATCATATCACTCTAGAGGTAGAGTAGAACTGAAGTAGGACATACAATCGAATTCAAGATTTAGATAATTACCTGAAGAGTAATGGTAACCAATTGAATTTTTTAACAGAGGGTTGAATAAAGTTTAAAAAGACCAATCTTTCTGGACACTTCATCAGTTTCCTAATATGCCACTTTTTCTTATTTCTCGTGTGACATTTTAGTTTATGTATATTCACTCATCCTGAGCAAGGTCCATATCTGCTAAGATAATTTCTTATTCTGTATCAATTAAAGTTTTTATATTTTCAGAATGAGAGTCACAGCTAACTAGGAGAAGGAGAGCTAATCTTTTAACTGTATTTACAACAAAACATGATTAAATGATAATCTAAAATTTATCATGTTATTTCAAATTCCACATGTTAAAACATTAAATATTAAAATCAACATTTCATGCTTATAAATGAGTTTATAGTATCAAAATTTTGATGGTGGTAATTATGGTAGGAAAGAATTTCACAGTCAGTTATTTTTCACAAAAGTAAAAGTGGAGGTCAATCCAGTATGGGCATATCTTCTCTTGCATGATGAATTTAAAAAATGATGACATTGTGGTTAAAATTTTAGTTTTTAGCTTGAAAATCTGTATCAATAACCGACTTTGCCTGTTTTTTTTTTTTTTTTTTTTTTTTTTTTTTGCAGTGGAGTCTCGCTCTGTCACCCAGGCTGGAGTGCAGTGGCGCGATCTTGGCTCACTGCAACCTCTGCCTCCTGGGTTCAAGCGATTCTCCTGCCTCAGCCTCCCGAGTAGCTGAGGCCATTTTTAGACATGGTATAATTTATATTTTCCACCAACCCTAGAATATACGTATTACCCACATTTTTTAGATGAGAAAACCAGATTTGGAGAGTTTAAGGTGTTTCCGCAAAGCAGTGTTAAATAATCTCCCATTGTGTATACCTAAGAATAGATGATCTTGCCATATATTTCCTCCATGTAGATATAGACTCTGTTAGTATTTGTGTAAAAATGGGCAATTTATCTCCTTTTCTGTGCCTCTGTTTTTACATTTGCAAGTTAATGATGATAATATGATCTAAAAATAGGATTGTTGGGAGGAATAGATAATGTTATACAAAACAGTGTTTAGCACATAATGCTTAATGTCAGTAGTTCTTATCATCATTATTGCTATTATTTAGTGCTAGTAGTGATAACAAGAGTAGTTACAGTATTTATGTAGTGTAAAGCATGAGTGTGAGGTAAGAATAAAAAAACGGATGTGTAAGATGTTGATACCTGATTATCACAGTTTATTTTCCCTTTTGCAGATATATAGATCTGCAAATATATATCTGCAGAATATAGATCTGCAAATATATATCTGCAGAATATAGATCTGCAATATATTGTGCAGATGGAGATAGATTATATTCCAAGTATCCCTTGGGGCTAGGTGACCATAATAATAATGTTATAGTCGATGGGATGTGGGCAGAAGTAATATTTGTCTCTCTCTGGCCTAATTCATAAGTATATCCAACAAAGTGATAATTTGTATTTTCTCCTCTTTCACTAACTGGATGCCAATGACAAAGGTGATTTTGGGATTTGTAGATGTTAGACTCTCGTCTCTTTGAACAGAGATAACCTATATTTGAGCTAAAACAATTTTGGAGTCTAAATTCTTCTGTTTTTTTTCTTTCATAACATAATGGTTCTTTTTTTATGTAAAGTAATTTTCAGCATATCAATGTATATCAAAACCTATAATGATACCAAGAGATTCTTCTGTCATGGCTAGAAAAAAACCCTCATTCAGATAGAACTATGAACACAATGAATATTTATTCAAACAACATATATTAACATTCACTGGAAAAAATTAAAAAAAAAAACTGAATTAAAAATGCATAGTTTTTGTTAAAAAACATTTTTATCATAGGTGGGAATTGAACGATGAGAACACATGGACACAGGAAGGGGAACATCACACTCTGGGGACTGTTGTGGGGTGGGGGGAGGGGGGAGGGATAGCATTGGGAGATATACCTAATGCTAGATGACGAGTTAGTGGGTGCAGCGCACCAGCATGGCACATGTATACATATGTAACTAACCTGCACAATGTGCACATGTACCCTAAAACTTAAAGTATAATAATAAAAAATAAAAATTAAAACATTAAAAAAATGAAAAAATAAAAAAATAAAAAACATTTTTATAAAAAGTTAGTTTTACATTATATATTTTCAAAACAGCATAAAAGTATAGGAGGATTTATTATGATAACTGCCAATTCTATCAATGTAGAAGCACTTGATTTAATAAAGGCTCTTTAGTAAAAGTCTTACACTCTCTCATTGTCTAACTCATTTTTTACAACCCCCAACTATATTAATAAAAATTTTTAAAGTACCTGTTTTACATTCATTGGAAACATAAATTACTAAAGTTAAGTCTGATTTTATCAATTATTAATAGTGCTGTTAATTCTTAATTATAAAGATATGTAAATATGAAAAATAGAATTTAATATCTGAAAAAATGAAATCCAGAAAGATACAAATCATGTTAGCCTAGGTCAGCAAGATGTCAGAACAGAAATTTCCCAGTTCACATTCCCCAATGGCAAGAAAGATTTAGCAGCCATTCACAGTCAAAAGTGCCTTTGCAGGAGCATTGGAGTCCGGATAGGAGATTGTGAATCTCCAGTGGAGTTTAAAACCAAAACATCCACTATAAGAGGGCAGTCTTGTGCCTCAGTGGCAGGCTTACCAACCACAGACCTAGCTTTAGACTAGAGGCAGCCATATACTTCTGGAAGATCAGCTCTTGTCCTGCTTTGCCGTGGTTTTCACACCAGCCTCATTAGCTCAGGAACCTGGGAGGACTCATGCCCATATCTACCCCGGGTAAAACGCCCTCTGACATTGAACCTGACTACAGATCCTGCAGCAGCCCTGTAATTTGGCTCCAGCCCCACACTACCACAGTCCAGGGACAGTCTTGCCTGCTCTGGTACCTAATGAGAGATATGCCTCTTTATGCCCATGTTAACAGGCCCACTGACATTGGACTGGACAGTAGCCCCTTGAAGAAGCTCAATGGCCCACTCTAGCCCCATGCTATCATGGTCTAGAGGCAGTGTTACCCACTCAAAAACCTGGCAGGAGCCATGCAAATTGTCATTCCCAGTAGAAGCCTGCTGACCTCAGACTTGCCTGTAGACCCTGAAATAGCTTAATGCTCTGGATACAGTCTTGCTCTACTGGGTTCCTGAAGGCAGTCCTGCCCACCCAGGGGTCCACGGGGGACCTTATCAATGAGAGTCTTTTTGGCAGGAGCTGTACCTATATAAGACTCTGATTAAAAGGACTGTCATATTCAGACTCAACTGTAGACCCAAAAGTTACCCCACAACCCAACTCTATTCCTGCTCACCTACAGTCACAGAGTTAGTCCCACCAGTCTGGGTATCCAGCAGAAGAAGGTCTATATCTGCCAGAATCAGTCTGTAAACAATGATAAAATTATTTGCTCCTTCAAATGTACGGACACTAATGCAAGTCTACAATGATCACCAAGAATCAGAAAAACATGACACCATCAAAAGAAACTAATAAAGGCCCAGTAATTGACTCTAAAAAAATGGAGTTTCATAAACTGCTTGACAGAGAATTCAAAATAATCATCTTAAGGAAACTCAATGAGCTACAAAAAAAAAACCATGTAGATAATGGAACAAAAATCAGAAAATCAATACACAAGTAATATTAAATGTGTAACAAATAAATGAAACCATACAAAAGAAAGAAATCCTGGAACTAAATAATACAATGACTGGACTTAAAATTTTAACAGGTAGCTTCAACAACAGACTCAATAATTCAGAAGTAAGAATCAGCTAACTATAAAATAGATCATTTGAAATTATCCAATTAGAGAGGGAAAAAAAAGAAAAAAAAAGTAGCAAAAAAAGTATAAAGGACTTATGGGACACCATCAAGAATAACAATGTATTCATTACAAGAATCTGTGAAGGAAAAAAGGGAGAGAAACAGCAGAAAGTATATTTAAAGAAACGACAGGTGAAAACTTTCCAAATCTAGAAGGAGAAATGAACATCTTGATTCATAAAGCCCAAATTTCCAAATAGATATAATTAAACTGACAAAAGTCAAAGACAATGAGATAATTTTATAAGCAGCAAGAGTAAAAAGATTATCAGTGTATTTGTCAGCAGAAATTTTGCAGGCCAGGAATGAAATGATACATCCAAAGTACTAGAAGAACAAAAGGAAAAACACTTGCCAACAAAAAATACTTTACAGGGTGAGACTGTACATTAAGAATAAAGAAAAGATAAGACTTTCCAAGACAAACAAAACATAAGAAAGTTATTTAACCACTAAACCTGTCTTACAAGAAGTGCTAAAGGAAGATTTTCAAGTTTTAAAGTACAGATGTTAAACAACAACATAAAAGTGTATAAAAGTAAAAATATAATTTAAAAGATAAACAAACAGAATATTTTAATACTGTAATAGTAGAACATAAATCATTATTAAAAGCAGTATATAAACTAGAAGACAAAAGTAGTCAGAATAACCATAACCACGGGATTTTTTTAATATCAATACATTGTAGAAAGAAAATGTAACATCATTTACATAAACTGCATATACAAGAAAAAACATAAAGTGTAGAGTATCTGTATGCAATGAAGTTATGTTATCAGCTTAAAGCAGACTTCTTTATCTAGAAAATGTTCAACGTGTACACAGTAGATACACAAAAGCTAAAAGGGAAAGAATCAAAGCACATCATACAAAAAAATTACCAAACTACAAAAAGAAACACAAGAGAAGATTAAAAAATTACAAAGAGACAGGAAACAATTAATGAAATGGCAAAAGTAATTCCTTACCTATCAATAATTATTTTAAATGTATATGTATTAAATGGGTTACACTTAATGTGATCCATTTAATCTATTATAAATCAAATCAATTTAATAAATTTTAAATGTAAATGAATTAAACTTACCAACCAAATGAAACAGAGTGGCTGAATAAATTTTTATATATAAATATTACATATATATGTATGTTATCTACAATATATTTTCTAGATTTATGGGACACACATAGGCTGAAAGAGAAAGGATAAAGATATTTCATAAAAAATAATCACAAAAAGAGAAGAGGGATAGTTATTCTTATATCATACAAAATAGACTTTAAGTGATAACTTGTCTCAAGAAACAAAGCAGGTCATTATATGATGATAAATTGTCACTTGAATAGGCAGATATAGCAATGATAAATACATGTATACTCAATGTCAAATATACCACAAATTGAATATATTCAGCTTTTCATTTGTCAATCATACTTCAATAAATCTGGGAAAAAATAATTATATAAGAAAGAAATAATTTAGTCTCTGTGAGGTCTTTTCTATGGTGATGTGTCATATTCACTTAATGTTTCCTTCACTGAGGTAGTATTCAACTAGGTATTAATAAGAATACTTAACTAGTGTAACTATGTCCTAAGATTACTAATGATAGAGATTTTTAATTATTCTACTCTTTTATCTTTGATCTTTGCTCACACAAACCTAGAAAATAAATATGTATGGCTATATTTTTTATGATTGATGCTGTAGAATTTCTCCAGTTATGCACTATGAATAAGTTCTGGAGATCTAATATACAGAATGTTGACTATAGGTAATCATTCTGTGTTGTATATTTGAAATTGGTTAAGTGTAGATCTTAAGTCTTCTCACCAAAAGTTTAACATGTGAGGTGACAAACATGTTAACTAGGATGATTGTGGTGACTCACAATATATAGTGTATCAAAAAATCAAATTATACACTTTAACTGTATAAAATTTATATTTATCAGTATAACCCCAATAAAGCTGAGAATAAAGGAATCAGCTTTTGGGAAACAAAAATGAATGATGTTAGTCCAAGCATTTATATATGCTCATAAATTTATTTTAAATTACTTTATTTGGGACTTAGTCCTCTATGTAGAACATTTGAAAGCTGGTACTGGTATATTTCTTTCTTTATGTTCAATCCTTTTTGACTTCCTCTACTACTCCAGTCTATATATCTAGCAGTCTCCTCTCAAACATCTCTACTCTATACAAATATATTTGCTTAATCCATTCCCAAAATCCCAAAATTGACTTTTCTCTTATAAATTTATGTACATATTTATTCATATTACATTGTTTCTGGCAGTTACTAGCTCAACAAATGTGTTTAACAATGACTTTCATTCAGCTCAATGTTCTAAATATGTCACAACAATAAAGAAGGTTTTAAAATATTCATAATCCTTTTCCAGCCTATACATAATTAATTTAGTCCACTCTAGACACAATTCTACACAATAATGAAGAAATGCCCCTTTCCCCATTTGCAGTATCTCTCAAGGGCGATAAGAGATAATATTGACTAGACTATACTCTTTATGTGAACTGAATGAAGTCAGAAAAAGTAAAAAGCATATCTTTAAAACAAAACAATGCACTTGGCAAACATTGTAGTAAAAATGGAAAATGTTTTAGCATTTTTCAAGTTATACTCTAGTAGTCAACTGCCTGCATGAAGGTAGGCCCTAGGTACATATATATATATGTATATACTAGTTAATGTTAATCATAAAATTGAGGACTTTGCCCATAAAATATCTTAATTACAAATTTTATTGTCATAATACTTCCTGGTTCCCCACATTTAGTGCTGTGTCATAGGATTTATGTCTTTTTTTACCCATTTATAATCTTTTGAAAAAGAAAGCAGAATAAGATTAAAAGATGGGCTGTTTCAGACAAGAGATCCAGGGCAGGCATCTTTGATATAGGGCCATTTTATTATTACACTGAATGTGACATCATAGGCATTCAGAATCTGGTGAAAAAATCTTCTAGGAGCAGCTAACAAGAATCCTAATACAGGAGTGTTTATGGTTGGGTTGAGACACATTCAGTAGCTGAGTGATTGACAGCAAGAGGAGCAAGACATGAGGTAGATTTGTATTATATTCTCAGTGAAACGGGATAGCTTTAGAAGCTTTTTAATAAAAAGGATATATGATCTAAATTTCCTACTGTAAGTATCATTCTCTGTATAGTAGGGAATGTAAATAGTACAAACAGAGAAATAATGAGAATTCATTTGCTAAATTTTATAATAACTCCATTATTTTAGTTTATACTCTAAAAGTATAAAGGGAACATTGATTATTTTATGATAATTTTGAGTTTTTTATTGTAATGGATAGTTTTAGCAGTATCATTAGAGTTCCTTAAGAGTTCCCCAAGAATCATTATCTGAAATATATTTTATTATGAATATTATAAATTATTTGGCAAGATTGGGGTAATGATATAAAGAATCATAAGTGGAAGTATTCTATTGATATATAGTCTCTAAACAAAATACCTCAAATATAATATAATAAATATATTTCCAATTATACATGTTCTCAAAATATGTTAGACACATTTTAAGCTAATGTTAGTTTTAACATTATTTTATAGTAAATATTTTATATTTATATGTTATTATGCCATTTATGACCCTACTAATAAACCACAAGTAATGTATTCTTGGTTAATTTTAAGATATATATATATAGTTTACTAAATTAACAACTTTTATTTAAAAATAGACTTTGAATCACAACTCAAATGTTTTCCCCCATCAATTTTGTTAATTTTTACAACATTTATTAAGCTCCATTAAAATTATAAATTCAGATGCAGCTTGACTTACAATGGAGTTACAACTCAATAAATCTGTTATAAATTGAAAATATTATAAGTAAAAAAGGCATATAATACACCTAACCTACAGAACATCATAGCTTAGCCTAGCCTAGCTTAAATGTGCTCAGAACACTTACATTAGCCTACAGTTGGGCAAAAGCAAGTAACACATATTCTATTTTGTACTAAAGTGTTAAATATCTCATGTAATTTATTAAACACTGTAGTGAGAATGAAAAACACAATAGTTGTATAGGTTTTCAAAGTTTGATTTTAAATGAATGCATATATTTTTTGCACAGTTATAAAGTCAAAAATATGTTAAATTAAACCATCATTGACGTCAGGGTCCATCTATATATCTTGCAGTATTTACATAAATGGGGCAGAAAAACAGATCCAACTTTTGTATCATTAAAATCAAAGAATAGGGAAGTGAGAATAGAGCTGCAAAATCATTCAATGAAATAATGACTAGAAATGTTCTAAATGTGGTAAAATACATAAATATACAGAGTTAGGAAACTGAGTGAACTGTAAATAGGATAAATTCAAAGAAACCCTACATATAATAAAGACCCCCAAAACCCAACAAGTCATGTCACAGTGAAATTTCTGAACATTGAAGACAAAGCAAAACCTTGAAAATAGCCAGAGAGAAATGATGCATTGCCTACCAATACAAATGACAGCATACTTCTCAACTGACATGATGGTGTCTAGAAAAACATTGCACGATGTTTTTAAGTGCAGAAATAAGATAACTATTAACTATGAAATCTATATCCAGTTAAATTTTTATCATGAATGAAGGGGATGCAAAGACATTCTATATCAAAGAAGTAGTAAAAGAATTTGGGATGCAAAGACATTCTATATCAAAGAAGTAGTAAAAGAATTTGGGTAGCAGATCTTGAGGACATCATTGAAAAATGGCAGAAGGAAGTTCTTCATAAAGCAAAGAAATTATAAAAGAACAACTCATGGATCACCGGGAAGGAAATACAACTGAAAGAATAGATATGTGGACACATACAATTTACTACCTTCACAAGTTGGACAATTCATTCACTGTATAATTCATGCAATAGACTATCTTCATGAGTTGTATAATTCATATTGATGATTGAAAATAATGACACCATCAGATAAAAAAGAAAATCATAATTAAAAGTCAGAAAGTAAAATATTTGAATGAAAGTCAGTCTTCTACACTGCACTTGAAATGTTAAAATGTTGATACCATTAGACTGTTCTAAGACACATACGAATAATGTAATACACAGAGCAACCACTAAGAAAAATATACAAAGACATACACTCAAAGCATTATGAAAAAAATTAAGATAGAATTCTAAAAACATGTTCAAGTATCCTAGAAGAAGACGAAAAAAAAAGAGAAACAATGGAATAAGAAGCAGAGGAAGCAAGCAGAAGATAAATAATAAAATGGGAAATGTTTCTCTGATATAGAATTATTTTTTTAATTGCACATGGTTAAACATGTCAATTTAAAGAAGCAATTGACAGAGAGGATAAAATACACAGCCTACCCATATGCTGTTTACTGGAAAATTTACTTCAAATTCTACAACATGCATAGATTTAAAGGATGGAAAAAATATACCATCAATTATTACTTCAAATGTAAATTACTGGACCATGCCTCCAGAGTCTGTTTCAGTAGTTCCAGGATGGGATCTGAAACACTATATTTTTCTTCATTTTTTTAACTTTGATTTTAGTTTCAGGGGTATATGTACAAGTTTGTTATAAATTGTGTGTCGCAGGGGTTTGGTGTACAGATTATTTTGTCACCCAGATAATAACCATAGTACCCTATAGTTAGTTTTTCTATCCTCTTCCTCCTCTCACCGTCCACCGTCAAGTACTCCCCTGCATCCATTGTTCCCCTCTTTGTGTCCATGTGTATTCAGGGATTAGCTCCCACTTATAAGTGAGAACATGTAATGTTTGGTTTTCTGTTTCGGCATTAATTTGCTTAGGCTAATGGCCTCCAGCTGCATCCACACTGCTGCAAAGGACATGATTTTTTCTCTCACTATGGCTGCATAGTATTCCATAGTGTATATGGACCACATTTGCTTTATCCATTCCACAGTTGATGGGCATATAGGTTGATTCCATGTCTTTGCTGTGTGAATACTGATGTGATATACATACAGGTGCATCTTTCTTTTGGTAGAATATTCATTTTTCTTCTCATATGTATTCAGTAGTGTGATTGCTGGGTTAAATGGTAGTTCAACCCTCAGTTCTTTGAGAAATCTCCAAACTGCACTTCACAGTGGCTGAACTAATTTACATTCCTACCAACGTGTATAAGCCTCCCCTTTTTTCTGCAATCCCCTTTTTTTCTGCAATCCAGCCAACATCTGTTATTTTTTGACTTTTTAACAAAAGCCATTCTGACTGGTGTGAAATGGTATCTCGTGTTTTGATTTTCATTTCTCTGATGATTAGTGATACTGAGCATTTTTCCATATGTTTCTTGGTCGCTTATATGTCTTCTTTTGAGAAGTGTCTGTTCATGGCCTTTGCCTACTTTTTAATGGCATTGTTTGTTTATTGATTGATTTGTTTAAATTCCTTGTAGATTTTGACTATTAGGCCTTTGTCAGATGTATAGTTTGTGAATATTTTCTCTCATTTTGTAACTGGTGTGTTTGCTCTGTTCATAGTTTCTCCTGCCTTGCAGGAGCTCTTTAGTTTAACTAGATTAAAACTTTTCAAGTTTTGTTTTTGTTAGAAGTGTTTTTGAAGACTTAGTCATGAATTCCTTCCTAGAGTTTTTTCTAGGATTTCCCTGTCTTAATTACATTGGGAAAACATAGTTTCAGCATTAAGTACTTATTCAGACGATTACAAATAATAGAAAATAAGAATATGGAAAATTTTGTTCACTTAAATAAATATAATATTGTGTCTCGTAAGTTGACAATTGTCAGGCTATATATTCATACTCTGCCATCATTCAAGTTTATAGTCTTAAATTAAAAACTAGTTAGCAATTTATGCATATATTTAAAAGTGCATTTAATAGGTATTCCTGTGTTGATGTTAGTTTGTGTTATTTTACTTGTATAATTCAAATTTGGACTTCTTTTTCATAAAATCAGAAGCATAGAAAAAAATGTCAATAACTAAAATGGTATACGAATATTCTGCTTTACATGGGAGATGAACTTTACTTATCAAATAGAATCAACATCAATGAAACACTACTATAAAGTGAACATTTGTCCCATAAGACTGCTTTTATAAAATAAAATGTTTAAAAATCAAATATCTATGAGAGCTAGATAATGTTTATACAAAAATTGTTTTAGATATGCTAGGACAACTAATAACAATGTTAAATTAGTGATATAAAGATTTATTAATCCCAGCACTTTGGGAGGCTGAGGCGGGCAGATTACGAGGTCAGGAGATCGAGACTATCCTGGCTAACAGGGTGAAACCCCGTGTCTACTAAAAATACAAAAATTAGCTGGGCGTGGTGGCGGGCGCCTGTGGTCCCAGCTGCTCGGGAGGCTGAGGCAGAAGAATGGTATGAACCCGGGAGGCGGAGCTTGCTGTCAGCCGAGATTATGCCACTGCACTCCAGCCTGGGCAACAGAGCGAGACTCCGTCTCAAAAAAAAAAAATTATTAAAAATATAGGGATTAAGAAAAAATAAATTATACTTACTCTTTCAAAATATATATATATATAGTTATAGAATGAGAGGTTAAAATTGCGTGCATTCATTCATAGAAGGTTGAGAAAGCTACAAAACTTTGTGTTTAAATAATATACATTTAAACATTGTCACAATTTCCAAAATTAGAGTTGATAACATGCCCCTTTTTTTTCAGAAAAAAGCTTTAAACTGATTATCATAGTATAATGTTGTCTAATAATTTAAAGTTAGTAACATTCCTTCAAAGAATAATTGTGCTAATAATTTTTAAGCCATGTGTAATCATCAAGATTCACACAAAAATTGTAATTATTTTACATTCCTAGACAGTGGAATAAAATAATTTTGAACAAAGTTAAAGTATGTTTTCAAATTTCATCCAAGACAAACTAAAGGGCTAAAAATTGAAAATATTTTATAAATCATTCTGAATAATATTACTGAATCATCAAGAGTATGATCAAGACCAAACATTTTTCTATATAAATAGGCAAAATGAATACAAATTGTTTCGCACACTATGAAGAACTCAACACTTATTGCAAATTCTAAATTCACAGCAATTCTCCAGGTAGAGGTTGATGGTTTTGTGCTGATTAGAAAACAAATGTGAAGAAGGCTATTTTAAAATAGGTTGCCTATACTCAACATAAGACCAAATCTAAAGGAGGTCAAATAATTTGTAAATGCAGTCATACAACAAAGCATCCATAGTTCAACTGGCGATAACATCTTCTGCTTAGGTTCCTGTCTATAATTTTTACGAATAAGATTATGTAATTCACAGGTGTTTTGTGATTAAATGTGTGACCACAAAAGACTGTAGAGAAAATCAAAATCAAATAATTTATTGAAATGAATACAATTAAATATTATATTTAAAATGATATATACATAATTTCAAAACAATATCCATGTTTTAAAATATAATTTTACATTTTTTATTTAAATAGAGTTATATGTTTTATTTAAGTAATAAAGTATGTCAAGGAATATATAAGGAAGATAGTTAATGCCTACGAATGTAATAAAAATATTTTTAGTGCTTTCTCAATATGTTTTGATTCATAGTTATTTAAGAAAGTACCTAAGAATGACATAAATTGAAAATGTAGAATAAATCATAAGACATTCATAATTGTAAATCATATAAATTATAATTATTTGTGACAATAAATTATTCATGCTTTTTTAGCTAAATCATTTCTGATATAGCAGTTAATTAACAAAAAGTTACTTCAACCTTTCTGAGGAAAATAATTTGAAACTTTATTATAAATGATATTATTTATCCATAGAAAATAATCCCTTACAACTTCTAAGTGAGCTATAATTTGCAAATTGAAAATGTATGCTGGTATTCATCGAAACCATGTACATTTGTTAATATTTTAATGTCTTGCAATATATGGGATAAAACAAATTATAAAATGAAACATTCTAAATAAAATTCTATGACATTCTGCAGGAGCTGGTGACACAGTTATTATGGAAGGATAACTGATAGTCTTAAGTAAGTTGTTGAATATTTTCCCCTGTAAGTCTGTTGTTTTCAAGAACATAGTGAACTTACAAAATTACTCTAAGCTTCCTTCAATTTTATGAGCTCTTTCTAATAAAGAAATAATCTGATTACCATACACTGACAATGGATAATACATATTATTAGAATTAATACAACTTAGTTAAATTTTCACATCAAAATTCAATTTTTATTTTTCTTCTGTGTTATTCTACACCATTTCTGGTTAAATTACACTAAATGTTATCTCTACACATGAACTTAATAAGGATTATTTTCATAGCAACTAGTACAAGTTTTCAGTAAATAATAGCTTTAAAAGTGCTGTGTTGTTGGGATTATGTTTTGAGTTATTCTATTAACCCTAAGGGACTTTTATATTTATTTTTTCTTGGAAGGACTTAATTTGAAGAACAAAAGTAAAGATCAGATTTAAGTTAGAATAGGTGTTTCTCTTTTTTTTCTCTCTCGGAAATATCGACAGAGACACAGAGACTTGCTTGCACCCTGTGTTACATAATTGATAATTTAAAACTAAATTAAACCAATTATTTCCAGATATAATTGATATTTCAAAGACATTGTTTCCATTGGTAAAATATATTCATTCACATTTGCTTTCACAATTATTTATTCCTTAGGGATTATACCTATTTTGTTTACAGCCAGAAAATCACATGGGATTTACCCTACAGGGGCTATAGATTATTTAATTTTAATACAATTTAATTTTTATTCTTATTTATATATAAATATAATTTGATAATAAATAATGGGCAACAATTATTTTAGTTTTTATTTTCTCAATGAACATTTATTAAGTTTTCTAACGTGGTAATTATCCAGAAAGACATTGAACATAGACTAGTAAGCAAGCAGACATTGGCCCTGATCCCATGAAGGAAACATTTAATTAGGTAACATTACAATTTCATATAAGCGTAATTTTATCTTCTTATATGAATGCAGAAGACTAAGATAAGTGATAAGACAACACAGAGTTACACACATTAAAGTAGTAAACATCCGTGAATCTACCAAGATTTAAAGTGCTTCAAACACGTCATAGGGATAATCCACAGTATATAAAACGAGCATATAAAATGCTACCTTAGTTGAGAGAACAACCTTGAACAACAGAAAATGAACAGTTCTTTTAAGTATTTCTACGTTTCTGGGCCTTTTGATCCCTATTTTCCTGACGCCACCTTGCAGGTCTGGAATAAGCCTTTTAATTCTTCTTTTCCATGTGTTTTAGACATGTGTGGTTATTTTTCCAGCTTCTTCATTGATGGATTACATACTGTCCTTTTTTTTTATTTTCCATTTTGTCTAGAGAGCACAGCATCTATATTTATCTGTGTATAGACTGCACTTTGTCATACAGAACTACATTAATTTGATTTTTTTTTTTAAGATGGAGTCTCATTCTGTCACCTAGGCTGAAGTGCAATGGCAAAATCTCAGCTCACTGCAATCTCCGCCTCCCGAGTTCAAGCTATTCTCCTGCCTCAGCCTCCCGAGCAGCTGGGATTACAGGCGCCCGCCACCACGCCCAGCTAATTTTTGTGTTTTTAGTAGAGATGGGGTTTCACCATGTTGGTCAGGCCGGTCTCAAATTCCTGACCTCATTTATTTCCACAAAGCCCCCAGCTCTGTGTATCTTGTAAACAAATCATTGCCTTTTAAAAAAATGTTTCCTTAACTTGGAAGAACACTGCTACAGAAACCACTAGCATCAACAAAGATGCTCAGCACACAAAATGCTTAATTGCATCCTTGGAAGCCCTTTATAATCCTAATTTTTGAACCCAAATATATCATTTCATATGTATACAAACACACAGAGAAAAAGTGTATAATGCTAGCATAAAAATAGCACATAACTTGTGTTTCTTATTCATGAAGACTTAGAAATCAATTATACAGAGTAAACATGGATTCATTTCATTGGACTGACTTGCAACCTAAACAAGTGGTATAAGATAGAATTACAACAATTAATTAAACAACGTTACTTTTGAAATCTAGCAAGACCCAGGTTTAAAAAATAAATTAAATTCAGGGAGTAGATTACTATTAAATAACAATATGAAAATGTTGAACCTTAATTGTGATAAAGAAAATGCAAAAAATTACTACATAAATATAATTTTATAGCCACTATGTTAATGAAACTTATAGTTTGAAAGTACCAAAAATTAGCAAGTAAAATATAGTGGGAAGTTGTGAAATATTAATATTTAAGAGTTTAAATTTCTTAGCCACATTGGAAAATAATTATGCTTTATCTTGGAAAGTTGGATATGCCTACTCAGTAACTCCTTATTCCAGTTTTATGTATATTCATTAGAGATACTCATATATGCATGCCAAAAATGTTTAAAGTTGCTCATATTAACAATGTTTATAACAGCAAAAACTTAGAAACCTATCAAATATCTATCAATGTGGGAAATGTAAATTTTAGTAATAGAACACTTAGGATCTCAAAGGGAAAGGTAGAAAGAAAGCAAAATTTACAGATATATGTAGCAGTTGTTTGTGGTGAGGAAAAATAAAAAAGTAATTATAACTATGAGATATTTGAATTAAAATCTTATATATTATATTTCTAATTATAGTCACTTGTACGGAGGTTAGATTTTTAGATAAAACATTTGTGCTTGTGAATTTAGATAAATTAGTAAACAAGTTTACCAATGAAATAAATAGCTAATTTATATATTAGTATGAATTGTAAATTTAATATTGGCAATCAATCAATTCCCACTGGATTAAGGGAGACTTAAGTTATTTGTTTATTCTGCTTCTTGGACTTTTATTCTTGATCTGCTTTATACTTCAAGATTATAATAGAGCAATTTAGATAAGGCGTATTCACTCTTTGACAGTTTACTTGATATTCAGTCTTACACATTTTCTGTCCCTCAAAGAAGTGTTGCTATTGCAGAAAAGATTTTATAGGAGTAGGGAGGAGAGGTAGGAATAAGAAAAAGATCATGTTGGATGTAATTACCAGTTTATTACTGGAAGAGTTTTCCAGACAAAGTTGAGAAGTGGGAAATAGGAATAAGATGTGCAATGGCTGCTTTACTTGGTTGCTTATTCATATCTCCAGTTTTTACAATAATCATTAGAGATTCCCAGCATCCCAAAGCTACTGAATTTCTGAACTGCAGATTGATTCTGGTGATTTTTTTTTCTCCATCCTTCTTTTTGTCTAGACTTGAAGATCATTTTGTGAAAAATTTGTGAAGGGTCATTTTTATAAGACTTCATCAAATTTAATATAAATCAGTACTGGTAAATATTAAGCAAGCCTAAAAACCGAACAAAAGGAAAAAATAAGTTTTTAAACTCAGAAAAGGAACCACTATGAAATGTCAGAGCTTTCATCATCATATATATTCTTAATATATTTAGTAAAAGAAAAATAAAATAGTGTTAGTAAATATCTGATAACTCTTCTCAGGATTAAAGTAGACACTGCTATTATGGGGTTAACATAAGCAAACTTTTCTATGAAGTTTTTTACAAATGCTATTTGCAAATCTTCATCAGCCACCCATTCCTTAACACACTTCAAGGGGCTGCCTAAATAATTCTTCCAGAACTTACCTGGAGCAAGTTTATTAAAGACCTCATATCATGAATGCAATGAACATACCTTAATCCTAATTTGCCTTGCCCTGACTTTAGTACCCTATAAGGTTGGCGTTGTTTTTCTCTAAAAATATTATCTTGAATTTTCTATTTCTATTTCCGTAAAATGCCATTTTAACGTTTTCCTGCTATTTTTCTGGACATTCTTTTGTAGTCTCTTGTCAGCTTCTCTTCATGTATACATTCATTAATGATTAAAGTTTTTCTGAAATTTATAGTGGACGTTTAAAAAATTTTAGTGTGCATCTACTCTCATTATTTCAGTTGCAATCTCTTTGTGAGGCTCTCATATTCATATATCCAGTAGGGGTTGCTCTAGGGCCTAAATATGGAGCTTCTTATTGACATCCACTTTGAACTGTCTCAACAGCACTACCTATTTAACACAAATCTCCTCTCCAAACTTATATATTTTCTGTGTTCCCTAAATCAGAAAATTACACCATGGTTTACATAATGGTTTTCCCTCAGCCCCAAATCTGGAATTATTCTTGATTCTCTTATTTGACATCAATTATATTACAAATCCAATTTATTCTATATCATACATACCTCTGAAACCCACCCACCATTTTGTTCCTCATTGTCAAGTGGCCATCATTTCTCCTCTGGATTATTGTAATATTCTCTTAAGTGATGTTTCAAAATTAACTCTTCCTACTTTGTTATTTGTTCTTCATTCTTTAAGATCTCCTTTTGTAAATGTAAAACTGATGGTCATCTGATGTATAGAACAATTCAAGGCCTTCCTAGTGATATTTGAACAGACCCAAAATCTAGCCAATAATACCATCCAGGGGTTTCTTTCTGTCTAACTTTCTAGGATCTTTTCACGTATCTATTCCTGTAACTCTCCATACCTTAGCTATATTGACTTTCATTTGGTTCCCTTATTTGTCATGGTTACTTCAAGCTCTAAGTCAGTTTTTCTGTACCTGAAAAGACATTTAACTCTTACTATTCCTTTATATGGGTATTTGCGTGAGAACACAAACCTATATAGATTCTTCTGTTAATTCTTCACATAGAATGCTGAAATTCAATTCTTTATTATAATTGAAATTTATTACATGATAATAAATTATGTGATAATTTACATGTGATAATTTATGTGATAAATTACATGATAATAAATATATGTTTGATATGATATTGAAGCTTTCCATTAGCACAGCACTTGTGTTAGTCTTGTTCATCATTATAGTCTAAGTATAGAGCTTGATAAATTGTAGGCATTAAACAAAAAGATATTTGAATAAAAATGAATAAATCAGAAACCTCTATATAAAGAGAATAATTAAAAGTATTTCAATAAAGAAAAAACACAGAGGCCACATTTAATTTAAAAATTTACTAAACCTTAAAAGCAAAAAATGCATTATATTTTATTATTCTGAAATTAAATCTAGTGCAGGTGAGCCAGGGCCCACAGCCAGTGAGGTAAGAATTTAAAAAATCTTGAAGAAATTCAAAATGAAGCAATAATGTTCCCTAGAGTTTAGAAGACTAGTGTTTTTCAGGTGTATACATTTTTGAAATTTTATTTTTGTACTTTTAAAATTATTATTCAGATGTTATTGTACCAAATAAGCTGTATTTATATATTTTTAAGTCTATGCATATACGCAAATATCTATAAAATTTCTCTTCTAATAAAAATACTAATATATACACATTTAGATATTTTGTGTGTTTATCCAGTAAGTGTATTAATTCTAATTTTATGTTTAGCAGTTATTAATATTCCTTTTGCACAACATCACAGGTGTCATAGACAAACAGGTCCGGAACTAGGAATCCTATACTGGAAATGCTGTATACTGCCTTACACCGATTATACATTAATATATTTAAGCAATTCGTTGAATTCTTACTCACTAAATGTTCTTTTCCCATCTTCTGGCCTGGATCAGTGGGTCATGCCTATAATCCCAGCACTTTGGGAGGCCAAGGCAGGCAGATCATTTGAGGTCAGGTGTTTGAGACCAGCCTGGCCAACATGGTGAGACTTTGTCTTTAATAAAAATACAAAATTAGTCGGCGTGGTGGCACACACCTGTAATCCCACCTACTCAGGAGGCTGAGACAGGAGAATCGTTTGAACACAGGAGGCGAAGTTTACAGTGAGATAAGATCAGGCCA
Organism: Homo sapiens; assembly: GCF_000001405.40. NCBI lineage: Eukaryota > Metazoa > Chordata > Mammalia > Primates > Hominidae > Homo > Homo sapiens. Next base: position 105,607,082 of record NC_000001.11, on the reverse strand, counting down.
CTGCACTCCAGCCTGCGCGACAGAAAGACTGTCTCAAAATAAATAAATAAAAATATAAAAGTAAATACATTTCCCATCTTCCAGTAGATTCCTGTTTTCAGAATTTATCATAAATCTATACTTTCTCGGCTTTCATCCTTTTAAACATCGTAGCCAATAACTTCTGCACTCCATTTTGTCTAATATAGTCATTGATGAAATGGGGAGTGATTCTCATAATTCTGAATATCTTATTATATTAACCTAGCGTGTTGATCTTACTGCCTGAAATATACTTTTAATCTTCAACTTTCTTGTATGAATTTAAAACATGCTTATTGTATTAGTATGACTCTTTTAGCATTCTAATATTGTTACATTTTACTCCTCTGATTAATACTAAGTAGGCTACAAAATACATTGTACTTTACACTAACATTTTACATACAGAATAAACATTTTATATACTTCTTTAGAACAAGTTACTAACATTTCTAGAAGCAATATAGTTGAAAGAATATAATGAAGTCCTTAAGTGCAAACTAGTTGATTTTAGATGTATTCAATGTTTCATAAAACATTCAATAAAAATAGCATTAATGTATTTTTAAAAGATATTAATACAAAGTCTGGAAATTTACATAGATTAATACATGAGAAGTAACTCACTTTTTGTTTGTAAAAAGAAAAATTATTTTTAAAGAGATAGTTTGGTCCTAAGTTGTGTCTTTTGGCTCATTTCATTGAAATGGTAAGCTTGATTAGCTCTTAAATTAATATTTTTTCAAAGAAGACATTATATAGACACAACAATAACCAAATACTCTTTTATTTATATATGTTAAAAGTCAAGTAAATAAGGTATACTCCAGCTAAACTGTAATACCTTCAGCGAAACATTTGTCCAATAAAACACTTTGGGTAAAAAGTTTGCTATTTTTTCCAAGTGCCATAACCAAGATTCATTTAATTAATGAAACTTTTAATGTAATTTCACCTTCTTTTCCTTTTTAGGTTAATAATTATCAAATATATGGCAATGCTGGACTTTAGCTGATCATCGTGCTTCTGGAAAACAACAAAAATTGAGATATCTGTTCACCACTTTGTGTGTCCAAGGACCACCTACTTTTTACATGTGACAAGAACTACCCACCTCCACTCTTCAGGTAAGACTTACTGTCACTCTGCCCCATGACTCCCCCACATCTTGGGGATGACTCCCTTGTACCTGAAGCTATACTACTCTAAGCCTCCTTTCTTTTTTTAAGATGTTTGCCATTTATGAATGTTTGCTGTATTGCAATAGCCTGAATAAAATCATCTTCTCAATTGTTCAGTACATATTGTGTGTGACAAAAGAAAGACAGGTTGTAATTTGGCATGTACTAATAATTTTAGTCTTTTTATTTATGAATTAGTCTATCTTTCCAAATGCATAATAAAATGTAATTTTTCTTTTTATTTCAAGAGGGAGTCTTGCTCTGTTGCCCAGGCTGGAGTGCAGTGACACGATCTTGGTTCACTGCAACCTCCACCTCTGGAGTTCAAGCAATTCTCCTGCCTCAACCTCCCGAGTAGCTTGGATTACAGGCGCCCACCACCACAACTGGCTAATTTTTGTATTTTTAGTAAAGATGAGGTTTCACCATGTTGGCCAGGCTGGTCTCGAGCTCCTGACCTCGTAACCTGCCCATCTTAGCCTCCCAAAGTGCTGGAATTACAGGCGTGAACCACCGCACCTGGCTGTAAAATGTAATTGTATATAAAATTATAGACATAAGTTTAAATAGTTATATATATATATATGTGTGTGTGTGTATAGACATGCAAATATACTGTATTAGTCTGTTCTCACGCTGCTAATAAAGACATACCCAAGACTGAGTAATTTATAAAGGAAACAGGTTTAATTGACTCACAGTTCCACATGGCTAGGGAAGCTTCACAATCATGGCAGAAGGTAAACGGGAAGAAAGACACATCTTGTACAGCAGCAGGCAAGAAAGCTTGTGTAGGGGAACCCCCTTTGTAAAACCATCAGATGTTGTGAGACTTATTCACTATCACAAGAACTGAATGGGAAAGACCTGCCCGCAGGATTCAATTACTTCCCACCAGGTCCCTCCCACAACACGTGGGAATTATGGGAGCTACAATTCAAGATGAGATTTGGGTGGGGACACAGACAAACCATATCATACACACACATTATTCACCTGAATTAAATAAAAGCAAGTAATAGAAAGAAGAGAAATACTAAAGTAATATGGAATACTTTTCATAAACTTTACATATATGTACACATTTGCAAACATACACAAACATAGTACATGGTGGCTACATAAAAAGATTACGTAGAAATAGGTAATTTAAATTTCTTCAACTAAATATAACTATTTAAAAATCCAAAATAGGTTCTTGAAATCTTTATATGTTTTTATTTGGGTTCAGCAAAATCCTTTGACTTTAAAATGTTAGCACCACAAAGCACCTCAGTAAGAGGATAATGAAAAACTTAAAGGTAATAAGTTCAGAAATCTCTCTCCATTTAAAAAGTTATTTATTTATAAAAATTTTATTTTCCTGCCAATAGAATACAGAAATAAAACTCAAATTTTGCTTAGTGAAATAGTGAATCCATATTCAAGGTATGGATTTTTTACCCTACCAAAGAGGTAATAATGAAGACATGTAGGTTTCCTATTCAGCCTTTGTACTCAAAGTTTAAATTCAAAAAAAGAGAGACCCTGTGTCTTAGAATACCTTCCCCTCTCCGAGCAACCGCATTATTGAAATTCAAACTGCTAACATTCTAAAATCCCCTTTTAAAATAAGGATAGAACATGCTGAAGAAAAGAGTTGCAATGAGAAAATATATGGGAACAAAATACCTATGCAATGCAGAAGTCTGCATAACTGAACCACTCAGAGGAAAAAGGTAAGTTTCCAAAGATCCAATAAAGTCGATTTTTAAAAATGTATAAATCAGTTCCTATGTTTTTGATCAAGTTAAATTTTCTCTGTCCTTAATCATATATTAAGATAATCTAAGATAAATTATCTTATATTTTGCAAAGCAGCCATAAGTAAAAAAAATATTGTAAGAATAATCAGCATATTAAATTCATGAAGAATTTTTAGAACATGAAGAATTTTTAGAAACTATATCTTCAAATAGAGTGTACAAAACATTTTCTAATAATTGTTGCTTGAAACTAAATATTTAAAAATTAATTTTTTAAAATTATAATGGAAGCATACTAAAGAATATACCTAAATAAATGTAGAAAACAGTTCATTGTTTTCTACTATCAAAAATAAACGTGTTTATATATTTATTCTAAAACATTGAAATTATATTAAATATGACAAAAATAATAGCCACAAGAGGCAGTTTTTGTAATTTTTTAAGGTTTAAGTGAGAACAAAATATTAAATAATAAATTTATTTGGTGAAAAATATATTAAATAGTCTATTGCAGCAGGGTGGGGCACCATTAAAGCCTCAAGTTTAATTTTTTTTTTTTTTTTTTTTGAGACAGTTTCCCTCCCAGGCTGGAGTACAATGGCGCGACCTCGGCTCACTGCAACTTCCACCTCCCAGTTCAAGCAATTCTCCCACCTCAGCTTCCTTAGTAGCTGGGATTACAAGTGCCTGACACCAGGCCAAGCTATTTTTGTATTTTTAGTAGAGACGGGGTTTCACCATTTTGACCAGGCTGGTCTCAAACTCCTGACCTCAGTCCATCGGTCCACCTCGGCCTCCCAAAGTGCTGGGATTGCAGGCATGAGCCACCGCTCCTGGCCTCAAGTTTAATTCTTAAGTGAGTCAATCAGTTATAGTTCTGTTCAAAGCTTTCAGTGCACCTAAAATTTCATCCAACATCTATTATCTTTCATCATATGCTAAAACAGCTTGAAGATGTATATGATTTTATAAAAAATAATCTATAAAACAAAACAACCAAATTAAGGGTTTACATTTTAAAGCACCAATATTCACCTATAGTTGGTGAATGTACAGTTAGAATGAAAAAAAATAGAATTTTGGTGAATTCTGAAATGGTTCCACCCTATCCAAACAAGTTGTATTAATGCATGTATACATTTCTTAATAGATAAAGTACTCGAATTGCTACAAATACAGAAGCTTACAAGTTTCCAGTGAGAATAGGCTCTGTCAAAAACTTTGCTGTATATTGATTAATTTTGTTACTATAAAACAAAAAGATATCTTTCAATTGAAAAATATCAAATGCAAAGTTTTGAATTATAAAAGCAGCTTCAAGCAAATAATAATTTTTACCCAGCATCAAAATTTACATATTTAAAGGGCATAAGCAAGCATTGGGCACAGATAAAGCATTCTTTTCCCGGAGGATCCCAAAACCAACAGACGGAGCAACAAAAACTCATTTTCCTCCTATATTAACATGTATTTCAATTTTGGATTAAGAAGTTTTGACAATGTGTGCAGAAACACAATTCACAAAAGGAAACTATTATGGTTTTGGAGACTTTTTCTTTTATATACTGTTGATTGCATTGAGAAAAAAATTATTTATGGGCTTCTCCCTATTTTCAAGCCAGCCAGCTATCCTAAATTCATATGTTTTATTTTAAATTATAACAAATCAAGACCATGATATTATCGTCTGCTCCAGACAACAGCCTTTCCCTAGTTTATACCATTAACATTTTATTAATGGTATTTATATTTGGTATTAGTAGGAGGTCATTATAATTTTACAGGAATGTCTAATTGAGATAATTAATTCACTCTTTTATGTTAATACTTTTCTACCTAGCATCACATAAGATAATGGAGGTGTGATTTTTTTCAGTAATTTTTGCTAGTTTAATAAATGACTTAATCCTCCTCATCCATATTCATTTTGAAATTATACTTAGTATTTTAATATAAAAGAATAAGATAGCATAATACTGAATCTTCTATGCATTACATTTCATGATTCTTTAATATTGTTTTGATCAGAGAATAAAGAAAAATATCTTCGACTAGTTTTGATATCCTGAAAGTTTATCATGTTTTTTTCCTCACCTAGACTGAATAACCTCTGATTTGGGGAAGTCCTTAATACTTTTACTTTAATTATAAAATTAATCGTAGATTATCTCTTCATATATGTATGTGTTTGTGTGTATGCATGTGTGTGTAGTAAATCAAAATAAGTTGAAAAACAATATTCTCTGATAACCTCTAGATATTACAAACTAATTTTTCTCTGGATAATTTATAGAATTTATATTTTCAAGTAAATTGTATTTTTCAATTGGCTATACCACCACTGGCAAGCTCAAAGTCTCCCCATAAACTCTTCATGGGCCTGTGTGCAATGGAAGATGATATAGAGGCCAATATTTTCCCCTTTGACTGTTGGTAATGGATAGGCAAGAGGCTTGCCAAAAAAAAAAATCAGATCTTATCCCTCAGATTCCAAATCCCATAAATACACAGATGCTGTCCCAAATATCAATAGGTTGAAATTGAAATCTGAAAAGCCTTTGTGATAAGATGTCTCTAAATTGGCTCCTACATATCTCTATTTCTGGTATTTGTACCTCGTGAAATGTTCTCTTTTTGAGTGTGTCCTGGACTCTTTGAGATGCTAATAAGTAATAAAATACTGCATATATAATGAGACATTACTTGGAAGACTACTTTACAAAATTGACTGTTGACTTTCATCTAAGGTGCTCTTCCTCACTCTCTGGCTTGCTCACTTTCTGGGAAGACATTTGTCATACAGTGAGATACCCTACGAAAAGTCTAAAATTGCAAGAAGTGAGAGGCTCCAGACAATAGCCAGGTAGAAACTGAGGCTGTTCATCCAACATCTTTGAGGAACTAAATATTGCCACGAACCAAATAAATGAACTTGACATTCCACCCTCCCCAGGTTGCCCTTCAGATAAAACTCCAGCCCTGGACAACAGTGTGATTGAAAAAACAAGAAACTTTAGCCAGAGATATTCAGCTGAGCCACATTCAGCATTCTGTCATTAGAAACTTTTGTTTTAAGGTGATCAATTTGGAGTAAATTGTTATGTAGCAACAGATAACTGATATAATCTTCTACGCATTTTTAGGATATATGGAGCTTAAGGGAAAAAAATGCTATTTTATAGAGATACAGTGAGAAAGTGCAGAATGGCATGCACAGGTGGAAAGTAATTAGGGAATTGGGGCCTGTGAATATAGTTAAACTGTTTGAGTCTTTTAGGTACATATTTGCTTTAATGAGATAAATACATTTTAAAAGTCCAGGATGGCAGAGACATTTATATTTTTTATTCAATTATCTCATATTTTATTTCAGTGTTAACTACCCATCTATGGCAAATTAATTATGCTCATTGGATTATTTTACTTTTATTCAAATTTTGTTATCTGGTACTTATTATATGGAATATGCAAATCGAAGTCCTGTCCTTCAGCAATCAATAAGGTAAAGGAGAAGAAAGACAAAAACGAGTAGAATTTTATGATAATTTAAGATACAAACAGACTTTGCTTTGCATGAGAGTGTGAGACCATAAAAATTTACTATGAAAGCTGAAACTGTGGCAATAAACCTTAATAATCAATGGGGAAAATTATGATTGTTCCATGACCTATAAAATATTTGTTAAAAATTTTAAAATGCTCTTAGTGTGGGTGATAAAATATATAGGGAAATAAAAAAATAGTAAAACTAATATTTATTTAGTACACTGTAATTTTTAAAATTAAAAAATTGTTTTCTTTGTAAAAAAAATCTCATCAAGAATATTTTGAACATTGATTGCCTTGTGGTTGTATAACTTACACCACTAAGCAAGCATCTTTTTGTATGTCTTGGAGAATTGTTATATTCCTTTCTAAATTTGGATCAGCCCCCAATATTTTATTCTTTACACTTTCAACATTAAGAAATATCTCTGAGAGTTATAGGAATGTGAAGTTTTGTGTTGTTTTTACTTTCTGTGTGTCATCTCTAGCCTTTTACCGTAATCAGCTTCTTTATTTACATTGATAAGTTCACCTTCACTAAATTACTCTGGCTGCTTATTTAGAGCCTTTCAAGCAGTGGCAGTGTCATCATTGCCACAATCTGTCATTTCACCTGTAAAATCTATATAGTGTTATACAAATATTATATATTATATAGATATTACATATAATATTATAATATATTATATATGTGAAAGGAAAATAAACCTCAGGACCCGCAAATCACTAAGCCAAAGGAAAAGTCAAGCTGGGAACTATGTCAGACAAACACACTTTCCATTATATTTCTAAATATGATTGCTAAAATATAAAAAGCTACATATCTTTCTCACAATTTGCCCACAAGGAAATTCCTTTTGGGCAAAGGACAGACGGAACTCGAAGTCATCCCTCTGAGGCTCACCTGAGACAAATGCATATCTGATTACTTCCTCTGCCCTATTGTTTATGTAAAAATGCAGATTCACTGAGCCAGACTAAATTGTGTGTTCATTGGAAGGCTGATCAAGAGCTCAAATTATGTATTCAGTGGAAGGCTAATCAAGGACTGAAAATAATGCAACCTTTTGACTCTCATCTACTTCTAACTTGGAAGCCCCCAGTTAGAGTTGTCCCACATTACTGGACCAAAAGAATGTATATCTTACACATATTGATTAATGTCTCTTGTTTCCCTAAAATGTATAAAAGCAAGCTGTATCCCCCCACCTTGGGCACATGTCATCAGGACCTCCTGCAGCTGTGTCACAGGCATGTCCTTAACCTTGGCAAAATATTAAATAAACGTTCTAAATTGATTGAGACTTTTCTCAGATACTTTTTTGTTTACATAGGCAATAGTGTATATAATACAATAATGGTATTATACAACTAATATACACTATACTCTATTAAAATACTATATTATATTAATATATAATGGTATTATGGATATAATATATGGTTTCATTTTTATAAGATGTCATGTAAGCTTATCACTCGGAGAAAAGGGAACAACACTACACATTTGTTATCTGTGTGTAAACTGAATCACAAGAAAAGCCGTGATTAGTCATTGATCAGGACATGACTCTGTTGCATACATGGTAATTTGTGGGCTGCAGAACCAGCAGCAAAGTTTATACTTTGTGCAATTACAGTTTACATTTTGTGGTAGTTAAAAATTGCACTTTGTTGTTTGGGGAATGGTGTTATTTTCTCTAAATCATGGAAACTGAAATTTGCACATATCAGTTCCATGAAGAGTGAGGTTTTATTTATTTAAAACCTGTACTTTGAGAACATCAAAGCCTAAAAAAAATAGTAGCTCCTTCTATTTAAACTTAATTTTCTGGAGGAAATGGTTAAATCAGCATGTGCAGGTTGCTCAAACTCTACATATTCAGAAAAACAGAGTAGTTTGACAGTTTAGGAAAAAGATAATCTCTGAGACCTTAGAATATTTTGTTTGTTTGATAAGTGAGTTTATGTATCCCTAAAGCTTTGGTCCTGAAGGACCAGTGTGATCAGGTAATTTATGCTTACACTGTGATTTATGGTGTCTGAATGTATTCATCCTAAGGGACTGGAACCTGAGTAGCTGAAGTCAGTCATGCAGCGACTAGATGCCTATGTGGTAGGCCCCTATATTAGTCCACTCTTATGCTGCTAATAAAGACATACCCAAAACTGGGTAATTTGTAAAGAAAGGAGCTTTAATTGACTCACAGTTTAGCATGGCTTGAGAAGCCTCAGGAAACTTACAATCATGGCAAAAGGAGAAGCAAACACATCCTTCTTCACATAGCAACAGCAAGGAGAAGTAAAGAGCAAAGAGAAAAAAGCCCTTATAAAACCATTAGATCTCATGAGAACTCACTCACTATCAGAAGAACAGAAGCATGAGGGTAACCATCCCCATGATTCAATTACCTCTCACTGTGTCCCTCCCTCCACACATGGGATTATGGGACTACAATTTAAGATGAGATGTGGGTGAGGATACAGCCAAGCCATACCATTTTATCCCTGGCTCCTCCCAAATCTCATATCCTCATAATTTAAAACACAATTGTGCCTTCCCAACAGTCCCCCAAAGTAATAACTCATTCCAGCATTAACTCAAAAGTCCAAGTCCAAAATGTCATCTGAGACATGGCAAGTCTCTTCGAACTATGAGACTGTAAAACCAAAGCAAGTTCATCACTTCTTAGATACAATGAGTTACAGGCATTGGGTGAATGTACCCATTTCAAATGGAAGAAATTGGCCAAAACAAAGAGGCTACAGGGCCCAAGCAAGTTTGAAATCCAATAGGGCAGTCATTAAACCTTAAAGTTCCAAAATAATCTTCTTTGATTCCACATCTCATACCCAGGTCTGGTGAATGCTAGAGGTGGGCTCCCATGGCCTTGAGCTTTGGCTCCCTTGTGGCTTTGCAGGGTACAGCCCCACTCCCAGTTACTTTCACAAGCTGGCATTGAGTACCTGAGGATTTTCCAGGTGCACAGTTCCAGCTGTTGATGGATCTACTGTTCTGGGTTCTGGAGGATGATGTCTCTCTTCTCACAGCTCCACAAGGCCATGCAAGCAGGGAGTCTGTCAGGGTTTATCACCTAACTCTGTCTGGGGTTATGACCCCACATTTTCTTTCTCCACTGCTGTCACAGAGGTTCTCCATGAGGGCTTCATCCTGTAGCAAACATCTGCATTGGCTTCCAGGCATTTCCATACATCCTCTGAAATCTAGGTAGACGTTCCCAAACATCAATTCTTGACTTCTGTGTATCTGCATGCTCAACATCATGTGGAAGCTGCCAAGGCTTGGTTTTTGAACCCTCTAAAGCCACAGCCTGAGTTGTACCTCTACCCCTTTTAGCCATGGCTGGAGTGGCTGGGACATGGGGCACCAAGTCTCTAGGTTGCACACAGCAGATGGTCCCTGGGCCCAGCCCAGGAAACCATTTTTTCCTCATAGGCCTCTGAGCCTATGATGGAAGGGGCTACTGTGAAGGTATCTGATATGCCCTGGGGACATTTTTCCCATTGTCTTGGTGATTAACATTCAGCTCCTTGTTACTTATGCAAATTTCTGCAGCAGCCTTGAATTTCTCCCCAGGAAGTGGGTTTTCTTTTCTATCCCATTGTCAGGCTGCAAATTTTTCAAACTTTTATGCTACCCTTGAATGCTTTGCCACTTAGAAATTTCTTCTGCCAAGTCCCCTAAATTATCTCAAGTTCAAAGTGCCACAGATAGCTAGGGCAGGAATACAATGCCACCAGTCTCTTCACACAGTAAAAATGACCTTTACTTCAATTCCCAACAAATTCCTCCTATCTGTCTGAGACCACCTCAGCTTGGACTTCATTGTCCATATCAGTATCAGCATTGTGGTCCAAGCTATTCACTAAGCTTCTAGGAATTTCCAAACTTTTCCACATTTTTCTGTCTTCTTCTGAGCCCTCTAAACTCTTCCAACCTCTGCCTGTTACCCAAGTCCAAAGTTGCTTCCAAATTTTGGGGTAACCTTATAAAAGCACCCCACTCTCTATCACAAGAAGAGCAGCATGGAGGTAACTGCCCCCACGATTCAATTACCTCAGACTGGATCCCTCCCACGATATGTGGGGATTATGGGAATTACAATTCAAGATGAGATTTGGGTGGGAACACAGTCAAAACATGTCAGCCTCCAATTTAGACTTTGGACACCCAAAGCTTCATGAGTTTCTTTGATTGATAACACTTTAGCTTTCCATGTGTTGTCACAAGTTGTTGCTGGGAGATCTAAACAGGTCATTGAAACTCTACCAACAGAAGACACCTAGAAGCTTGAGTCTGGTTTTACTTGGACCTTGTCCCACAGACCTCTTCCTTTTGCTGATTGTAATCTGTATTCTTTCACTCTTAAAAATGTAAGCATGAGGCCAGGCGCGGTGGCTCACGCCTGTAATCCCAGCACTTTGGGAGGCCGAGGCGGGCGGATCACGAGGTCAGGAGATCGAGACCATCCCGGCTAAAACGGTGAAACCCCGTCTCTACTAAAAATACAAAAAATTAGCCGGGCGTAGTGGCGGGCACCTGTAGTCCCAGCTACTTGGGAGGCTGAGGCAGGAGAATGGCGTGAACCCGGGAGGCAGAGCTTGCAGTGAGCCGAGATCCCGCCACTGCACTCCAGCCTGGGCGACAGAGCGAGACTCCGTCTCAAAAAAAAAAAAAAAAAAAAAAAAAAAAAATGTAAGCATGAGTATAACAACTTTCCTGAGTGCCTCTAGTGAATCACTGAGCCTGAAGGTGATCTTGGAGACCCTTGAAATACCTGTTTATCTTCTGTCTTATGGCATTCCATCCTCTTCTTAAGCATTCTTTATTTTATATGAGAATAAATATATATATACACACTTTATGTATATATATAAAAGTATATATGTATATATAATAAAATATATATATAAGACTTAAGACATATATATACATAAATATATACATAAATACACATATACACATATATATACATAAAATATATATATACACATAAGACTTAAGAAATATATATACATAAATATATACATAAATACACATATATACATATATACATAGAATATATATATACATAAGACTTATATATACATAAGACTTAAGACATAAAATATATATACATAAGACTTAAGACTATATATGTAGTCATATATATTTTATGTATATATAAATATATATACATAAGACAAGACTATATATAGTCATATATATTTTATGTATATATAAATATATATATGACTTAAGAAGACTAAATATATATTGTATGTATATATATACATACATAAAATATATATATATATGTTTTCTTTTTCAACTTTTATTGTAGGTTCTAAGGGTATATACGCAGGTATGCACGTTTGTTACATGGGTAAATTGCATTTCTCTGGGCTTTGGTGCACAAATGACTTCATCACCCATGTAGTGAGCATTGTACCTGATAGGAGAGTTTTTAACTCTCACTCTCTTCCTACCCTGCAAACTCAAGTAGGTTCTGGCATCTATTGTTCTTCTCTTTCTCTTTGTGTCCAAACATATACAAGTTTAGCTGTCACTTATAAGAAAAGAAAACCAAATACTGCATGTTCTCTCTTGTAAGTGAATTAGGATAATGGCCACCAATTCTTTTTTTCTTTTTTTTTTTTTTGAGACGGAGTTTTGTTCTTGTTGCCCAGGCAGGAGTGCAATGGTGCAATCTCGGCTCACCACAACCTCTGCCTCCTGGGTTTGAGCGATTCTCCTGCCTCAGCCTACCGAGTAGCTGGGATTGCAGGCATGAGCAACCACACCCGACTAATTTTTGTATTTTTAGTAGAGACCGAGTTTCTCCATATTGGTCACGGTGGCCTCGAACTCCCGACCTCAGGTGATCCGCCCGCCTCGGCCTCCCAAAGTGCTGGGATTACAGGCATAAGCCACCATGCCCGGCCTCTACCAAAATTTTTTTATAGAAAAATGCAACAGTCATGATCCTTACCCACATGAAGCCTGATGAGAAAATAGAAAATTGGAGTAAACAATCACATTAACAAAAATGTGGTATTATTTTCAACTGGGTTAGTGCTGGCTGAGAAAAATAGAAGTTGATGCAATTTTAGGTAGGGAGGAAACATTTAGGAAAGTATCATGTGAACAGGTACTAGGATAAATTATGGGGACAGTAGGACGTAAGAACAATAACTGAAACAACTCTGAGATGAGGATATTGAAAAAGCCATTGTGGCTTAAGCAGATTTAGTAAGAATCAGATTTGTAGAAAATATGTTTAGAGAGGTAGGTGTAGGCCAATCATGGAGGACTTAGCTGAGTATAAAAGCCATTCTTTGTTTTATATGTATGATGAAAGTAACAAAAGTTAATTTACATGTTAAATATATGATTATGGCTTCTCTGTATAGGATAAAATAAGAGAACTGGTTAGCAGTATGGAGATTAAAAAGACAACAAAATTTAAGTGAAGATATCCAGCTACAGTTACAGCTACAACTTGCAAGACTCTGTAATTTCACATATGTCAATAGAGATGTATATGTGGGAATACTTACCATATAATTATATTAAAATGCATAAGATTATTTTTAAAAAGCATCCAGAATAATTGTGGAGCATGTTCAGTAATAAGAAGTGAAGTTCTTCAACATTTTAAAGGCAAGAAACATATTTAAGTGGAGTTTCCAAAGTGGTAGGAAAGAAACCTTGATTATATGGAGAAATATTTCCAAGTAGAAGGCAAGGCTAACTGTGTCAAAAGCTCTGTGGTGAAAAACATGTCGAAGATTGAAAAGCAGCCATTAAATCACTCTCTGCGGATAACCTTCCCTCTCAGGTTCATATTCATTCACCTATTCAACGATTATTTCCTGAGCTCCTGTCCTGTGTAGAACCCTGTTCTAGGCACTTAGGCTATATCACTGAATAAAGTATCTTGTTATAAAAGATAACTATATAAGTAAAAGAAAGAAGTACAACTACATGAATAAAAGAAAGAAAGAGTAATATAAATCAGAAGTATAAGTAAAGAGTAATATCCCTAGTGTGATTAGTTATAACCTTCAATGAAAGAGTAACATGTGAGTAAAGACTTGAAAGAGATGAAGAAGTTATTCATGACAATATAAAATCTAAGTGTGTTCCAGGAATATTTCTAGTGCATGCATCATAAGGTGAAAGTGTGCCTAGAGTATTGCAGGAGGAGTAAGGATACCAATGTGCTCAGAACAGAGTGAAAGGGGAAATTACCAAGATAGGTCTCAGAGAAGACAATTACAAGATCTGGTATTTACTCTGCATGACACGAAAAAACATTGCAACATTTTGAGCGGAATGACAGTATCACATTTATTTTTCAAAGACTATCTGCAATAGAATCAATTTTTCTGGGGTAAGAATTAAAACAAAGAGCATTAATTAATTGGCAGCTTATTACAGTAATCCAAGTAATAACTCATGGTGGGTTGTTCCAGGATTATAGCAGTGGAAGAGATAAAGAAGGGTCATATTTTGTTTATATTCTTAAAAACAGACTCAATACAATTTCCTGATGGACTGAACATGGATTGCAAAGGGAGTCAAGAATGACTCCATTGTTCTTAATCTATACAACTGTAAAGGCAGTTTTAGTAAACTGAAGTGGGGGCTGTGGATGGAGCAGGTTTGGGGGTGATGGTCAAAAAGTCAGCTTTTGATTTATTAATATTTAGGTAATAAAACAGCCATTCAAATAGCAAAGTTAATAATGTAGTTGAATATAACAGTCTAGATTTTGGTAGAGAGATTTGAGTTTTAGAAAATAGCATGAATAAGCAGGAATAATATAATTCCATGTTGTCATCATTTACTGGCAGTAACATCCATCCTTTTCTTTTCTTCTGTAATGAATGGCATGACCCTTCCCTGAATATAGCCTATTCTTTCCCCAGCATTTCCTCTACCTCCTGGGTTCGAGCGATTCTCCTGCCTCAGCCTACCAAGTAGCTGGGATTGCAGGCATAAGCAACCACGCCCGGCTAATTTTTGTATTTTTAGTAGAGATGGAGTTTCTCCATATTGGTCAGGGTAGCCTCGAACTCCCGACCTCAGGTGATCCACCTATGTTTCTTGAGTTTAAAATGTTGAAGAACTTCACTTCTTATTACTGAACATGCTCCACAATTATTCTGGATGCTTTTTAAAAATAATCTTATGCATTTTAATATAATTATATGGTAAGTATTCCCACACATACATCTCTATTGACATATGTGAAATTACATTCTTTCCCCAGAATATACCCAGCATTCTATCCCCAATCTTCAGAATAATTATTGCGCCATTTTTTCCACTTACTTTTTCTCATGTATTAAAAGGATTTCTCTGGTAGAGATTAAAGCTTCTGGTTAAAAAAAAAAAAAATCAGTTGTTTTACGTCTGTTCCTTGAATCCACTGACAACATCAAAGCCAAAAAGAAAATGGAGGAGAAATGTTTCTCCTTCTTTGCAGTTAGGAAAAATGTCATAACTCCAATCATGATCAATGAAGCATAGCTGAGAAATAATTTGAAACACCATGCAAAAGAGGAAAGATACTTAGAGCCAACA
The DNA here is from genome assembly GCF_000001405.40 of Homo sapiens. Classification (NCBI taxonomy): domain Eukaryota; kingdom Metazoa; phylum Chordata; class Mammalia; order Primates; family Hominidae; genus Homo; species Homo sapiens. Next base: position 105,591,993 of record NC_000001.11, on the reverse strand, counting down.
TATATTTTCCTGGGAATACATTCTTGTATCTTGAGCAAGGCAAATTTTTTTTTTTTGTTTTTAAGTAAAAACATTTGTTCTTAAATGCCCATCTGTGTCTCAATGTTAGCAGTATGTCTTTTTGGTAGGAAATAACCAGAACATTGCAGGATGTGTAGCTCCTTTGAGTTCACATCCTAAATGTCAATAGTATCAACTTACATTGTCACAAACAAATCTGGCTCTAAGTATTGCTAAACTCATTTGGAGAGCTGTACTCTGTACTGTTCTAAATGTTAAATGGTATTATTTACAGTTACTTGTTTTAGGCTCGTAATTGGCATATCAAAATGGAAAATGAGCTCAGGTTCAAGTTCAATAAGTGGCAGGCTTACTGATAGCAGAGGAAAAACTGTGTAGAAATACCACCCTTATTGTCTATGACATAGGCTTCTAATTATAAGACACTAGAGACATTGACATCTACTTAAAAAAAGGAAGATATGATCACAGAAAAGCTATCACATAAAAGGTCTACAGTATAAAATACATCAACAGTTACGAAAAAACAATGACAGAAAACATGCAAATATTTATGTTAGTTATTTATAAATAAATGGCATTATAGGACAGTTTAATTTCTCTCTTTATACTTTTACATTTACAAAATTTCACAGTGTGTGTGTATGTATATGTATTATAAAAAAATAAATTTAGCAAAGTATCTTGTAAATTTAGTGATGAGAATATGTTATTAGAGTCTTTCAGAAGCAACTAATGTTAGTATAATTTATATTGTTTAAAATACATTGGTAGATTAAATATATTTGTAATTATAAAATAGAAACATAATGCACACCTTAACCTTAATAACTATAATGTCATCTAAAGAGAAGATCAAGTAAATGTGTTATTGGAATAAATTATTTGATAATTTAGTGAATAAAATGATAGAATTTGCATTTGCAGTTTTTTTGGAACTTAAAACAGTTTAATTAACAGGCTAGCCTTGACACAAGAGTATATAGAAAAATAAGTCAAGTGACATTGTAGTAATTAAAGCCAAAAACATTTAAAAAATTAAGTTAATATTAATCACAATATTTTTATTATAAATATGGTACAACCGTGCACTATATAAGAATGTTTCAGTCAATGATGGACTGCATATATGACTGTGGTTTCATAAAGTTATAATATTATGTTTTTATTGGACGTTTTCTATGCTTATATACACAATGGTAAGTACCACTGTCTTACTACAACTGCCCACAGTAGTCAGTACAGTAATGTAATGTACAGGGTTACAAACTAGGAGAAGTAGGCTATTCATATACCTTAGGAGTGCAGTAGGCTACACCACCTAGGTTTGTGTAAGTACATCCTATGATGTTCATACAGTGACAAAAATCTCTTAACAATGAATTTCTTAGAACATATTCCTATCCTCAAGCACAGGATTTTAAAATGACTGCATTTTAAAAATTTTCTAAGTAGTATTTCAACACCAGAAATTATGATCAGGAATGTTGATAAGGAATAAGAAAACAGGTAATAGATTTAAGCAGTCTAATTTTTAATCTCAATCAATACATATGTTGTATAAATCATCTAAGTCACAGAGGTAATCAAATATTCATATTTCATGGGAAGTATGAATAATAACTATTGTTTTATATATTCTTGTTTATGCTCTAAATTTATTTGTAAGGAATAAAGATATTGTCAGAATAAAAACATCATTTCAATATGCTTAAAATTCAATTAACTCTCTTTTGGCAGAATCAATGAGACAATAATTATAAGACACGAGCATACAATAAGCCAATTCTTGAGAAGTGGATTTTATTCTTCTTCAGTCAATATGGAATCAGGATGATTGACAGTGTATTGAAATTTCATTTTTATGACACTTTTAAAACTGTCATTTCTGGAATAGTAGAGTTAAAGATCTGCAATAAAATAAAAAACTACTGTTTACAGCAATCAGAGAAGTAGCATGTATTTTAATCTTAGCACTGTGAAATGCTCTGAGAGCTCATTCACCCATTGACATTTACAGTTTGTGAATCAATTTGTAAACAATAGTGCCTGCCTATATAGTTAGTTGGTTCTGTGAAATTTTACTTCAAGAACATTTTATGGGGTATTTAGGAGATCATACATCCCTTTATTAATTTTGGTCACCATTTTCAAACTTCTGTGTTTTTACCCTTCCATTTTCTGCAGATTGCCATTTCAGGACACCTCCTACATCTGAGGAAATATGCATTGATCTTGCAGTACTTTTCTCCTCCAAATAAAAGTCAGTATGATAACAACTACACTATCAGAAGTGAGTTTATGGGTAGCGTTAACCACCTTGTTTATCATCCAAACTGGGACACTTATGGTACTTCATTGCAGCAGGCATAAATTGAGACTTTTCCGGGGAAACTGAAGTGTTTGTTCACTACATTTATAGCACATTTTAAAAACTGAAAAACAATTACACTGCTTTTTGCCTCCATGTGTCATAAGAGACAATTGACTTGAATCCCAAGGGTTGAGCCACAGCCGACAAATTTGACTTATATTTAGTTATAAAGTTTATGTAACAGGTCATTGGATATCCAAACACGTATTCTAGAACTGGAGAAGAAACTCCACCTTCGTAGATGACATTGAATGCAGCTACTAATTATGGTATCTCTAGTTTGGTTTTAAGAGAATAGTTGGGACTATAAATTGCTTCTCATGGAACATATAGCGAACATATTATATCAACTTATCCTGAAAAAAGGTGTTGTTCAATATCGACGTATTAAGCAATATTGTCCCTTTGTGTTAAACATGTGAAAGGCACCTCAAATTCACATTATTCTGATTATGTCTACACAGTGCTTATGGGCGCTGAGATTCTTCATGTGAAAAATAGTAATAACTTTTAAGGCAACTACTAGGCGGTAAAATAAGGCAAATACTGATAATTACTACTAAAGCAGCTACTAAGCAGTAAGATAAGGTACATGTGCAGCTATGCACATTTTATAGTGCCATATGTGAAGATTAAACAAATTTCAAGCATGTAGAATGTTGAGTGAGAAGTAGTAACAATTGAACTATGGTATGTTAAAATTCTTATGTGAAAAATATTATATCCATAATTTAAATATTTGTTTTGCTTTCATCAAATGACACAAATTGGCCTTTTCTTTATATGCTACAGTTATGAGTGTAACAGTTCTTAGAGATAAAAAATTGTTTAAATTATGGCATAAAGGGGCCATTCACATTAGACACACATGGGTAGATATTTTCTAAATTTGGGATCATTTATTACAAAGTTGTTACTAAGCTTGTTTTAAGTCAATCTCCAGTGACAATTGAAAATGAGGAGATACACAAAAATTTAAACATTTTTTGCCTAGAAATTAAAATAAATTTAATTAACATTTTGGATTATTTCCAAGTCCACATTTCTAATAAGTAAGAAAACATTAGGCTGGGCGCTGTGACTCACACCTGTAATCCCAGCCCTCTGGGAGGCCGAGGTGGGCAGATCACGAGGTCAGGAGATAGAGACCATCTTGGCTAACATGGTGAAACCCCGTCTCTACTAAAAACACAAAAAATTAGCCGGGCGTGGTGGCAGGTACCTGTAGTCCCAGCTACTTGGGAGGCTGAGGCAGGAAAATGGTGTGAACCTGGGAGGCGGAGCTTGCAGTGAGCTGAGATCGCACCACTGCACTCCAGCCTGGGTGACAGAGCGAGACTCTGCCTTAAAAAAAAAAAAAAAAGAAAACATTTAATGCAGTGACCTTCTAAGTGTTTTTCCAGTATCTTTTAAAGTGTGGACCCAAAAAAGCAAACGCATATAGTGTTTTTCATATATAACACACTGTTTGACTTTATTTTTTAAGTATTATAAGATTATGTTTACACAGAAAGAAAGTTTTCTATACACTTAATATTAAGCATTTGTGACTAATTCTCAAAGGATATTATTGACTTTTCTTATGCTTAAGAAATAGTAAATGTAAAATGGAGGAGCAATTTTAAATAACTATTAGGTTTCATATAATAGGAATACATTTTAGTGGTCTTATAATTTATTTACTGATTTATCTTTGAAGAATTGAAAATAGTAATGTTTTTATTTTACATATTTATCTTTCATTTCTCAGGTCTAAGCCAAAGGACACTTCAGTTATCCAATCTTGCAACAAATACATTTAAGCACTTAATATGGGCTACTGTTGGTACTAGGGGCATTGAGAACTTCAGATTTGATTAACACCCAAGAGCTGCTACCATAAAATAAACTAGGCAGCTACTAGGCAATAAGATGAGGCACATGTGTAAAACTTCTGCTTTTAGCTTGGTGAAGAGTGGTTACACAGCCATTATTACAAAAATTACATTTTTCCACAAATAAAGACATCACTTTTCTAGAGAGTATATGCTGCCATTTGCTTTTGTCATTTAAGAAGTGCTCAGTAGAGAATTTAATATAAACTTTTATTAAACAGCAACTGTGATTTACTATCAAAGGCAATACAGACACGTCATTGAAAAAAAGGAAGATTCTTAAACCTCCTTAGGGACTGTCCAGATGCATTATAGTCTTTCATAGTTGATTCTTTCTTTTCCAGGCCTTTCTTCATTTACCACCCTTCCCCTACTGGTAGGAGAGAGATTAGAGGCATTATTTTTTTCCTCCACAGTCAGATAATGTTATTGTTGCAGTAACTTTTATTTGTCTTCTCAAATCTCACTAAGATTTTTTTCAACCTTTTTCAAAGATAAATCAATTATCTGCAACCTCCCAAATATTTTATTTAAACCTATCACATTTATTCATTTGTTTGTTTCTAGCTATTCTGAAACACAGATTATGTTAGTATTTCCGTAACAATTTCTTATACAAAATGTAATACAAAAAAATACATATTTAACACATAAAAGGAACTTCTTAATAACTATTAAGACTTCAGTTAATTCTAAACTTTATGTAAACGTTAAAATGAGCTCAAGATGTGTAGACGTATTATGTTTTCTTAGGCTATTGTTTTTTTGCAACATTTAGCAAATGAATAGGATAGTACAGGGCTTTTTCATACTTCTTAAGAACTCTATGTCATTGGCCTTACTTTTCTGGTAACTTGTTTTCTAGTATATTCATTAGCAACCTCCTGGTACAACATATCTGAAAACGCTTGACAATTAAAATAACAATAACAACTTTTTATATGAATTCATAAACAGAAAAGTACGAAGAAAAGTCAGAGTCCAGAAACTATGGGAAATCATAAATTAAAAATGATTTTCAAACATTAGACTTGATGCTGCCTCCGGGTCATCTGTCGGTCTCTAAATTACCTACAGCTTACAAATAGAAGACAAAATTTGAGACCATGCAGAATAGTAGATCTTATCAGAGAGTATGTATAAAACCAGGATTAACAAATATAAGGAAAATATACTTCTTCTACAGAAGAAAATAAAATTTCTACTCATTTTTTCTTTAAATTCTAAGTGTGTGTGTCATACACACACACACTCACACACACAAAATTCTAATAGCAATCTTACCTTCATGTGAATTTGAGAACCTAATTTACACTATCACCATGTTCTAAACAGCTCCACAATGGCTATATAATTTAAAATTTAAAATTACTGCTTTGTCATCATTCAGAAAACTAGCAAACAAAAAATTTAAAAATGTTTTAGAGAAAATTATTTTTAAAAATTTAATAATTTTATTTAGAATTAAATTTCCTAAACATCAGTCTCTGAAGCATAAAGAAACAAAGTACCATGAATGATAGTAAAAATGAACATAGCAGAATCAGACCCACACGAACATCAGATACAAAAATAAAATAAAAGCAACATGTCTTCAGGTTCCCAGGAGAAATGGATCTATATTTATACACACATATATACAGAAAGAAATGTATTGTAGGAAATTAGCTCATGTAGTTATGGAGGCTGAGAAGTCTCAAGATGTGGAGTCAGAAAGCTGCAGAGCCAAAAAAAACAAACAGCATAGTTTTATCTGGGTCTGATGCCCTGAGATTAAGGAGCACTGAAGGCTTAAGTTCCAGTCTGAGTCTTAGTCCAAAGGCAAGAGAAGACTCTTATCTCAAGGACAGTCAGGCAAAGGAGCGAATTCTTCCTTACTCAACCTATTGTTGAGGCCATCAGTAGATTAAATGAGGCCTACCCATGTTGGGAAGGCAATCTGCTTTACTGTCTTTTGATTCAAATATTATTCTCACTAAGAAACACCTTCACAGATACAGCCAGAATAATGTCTCATCACATCTCTGGGCACCCCATGTCCCAGTCCAATTTACACATAAAATTAAATATCACACAATATTTAATAGAAATAAAGAAATAAAGTAGGAATTGAAAAATATGATAGGAAAAAATTAGGGTATAAAATATAAAAATGAGGCTATAGGGTAGATTCGATTGAAAATTCAAATCAATAAATAAGAGAAATTTGTAAATTCTGTAGGGAGCATGTGAGATCAATGTGATCACACATCTTGATAAAGTATTTTACATGTGAAAAGAAAAACACTCATTCAACATAATGTAAATTTGTAAAATAGAAACAATAGATAAAATAACTTGGAACTAATATTCTAGGTAATATCAACATAAGGGAAGATGAAGGGCAATGATACAAGACTGAAACATATATTTGCTTTTTCTATGAGCAGTTAATTAGAAATATGTCCTTTTTCAAAAGTGAAGAAGAGAAAAATTGAAACATTGAAAAAACTTAGAGATCTAAAACATACATATAGTTAAGAAAATGATTATATTCTGAACAGTATAAACATAAAGGACTACAAATTAGACCAATAAAATTAAAATCATGTTATCTAAAAATGAGAACAACTTAAAAGCATCAAAAAGATGAGATAGATCACTTAAAGAATAATAAATAGACTTACAGAATACTTCACAAAAGCAGCAATGAAAGTTTAAAAAAGGGAAGGAATATTCTCAACATGCTTTGAGAAATACATGTTAACATTGAATTCTATATCCATCAAAACTATCAATTCAAGGGGGAGACAAAAAATTATATTACTTTCCAACTGAGAGTCACTAGGGGAATTTTTAAAAGGTATAGTTTTGAGATTAAAGAATGGATTGTGAAAAATATGTTTCTGGTTACAATGAGATAACGGGGACAATATTTGGCCTCCCATTTGAAACAACCAAATATGGAAAAAAGAAAATAAATGTCAGTTCTCAAGAAATAGAATTTGAGACAACAAAGGAGAGAAATCTTTAAAGTATGGGAGCAAAGGACTTGAGCCTTATCAACTCACTACATTGACCCAGTTTCCAAGCCATGATGGTAGATTCAGGCAAGTCTGCCAAACTGCCTGAGTTAAAGAGAGAGAGCTGAGCATCCAGGTAGACCAAGACTGCTAGTATTTACTAGCTGGAAAATGCCAGAATATTTTAAAAGAATGATATATCAGGTGATACATGGGTTTATCTGAACAGTGTGAGATTGGTTTATCATTACAAAATTACGATGTGCTTCATTATATAAAAATCTAAAAAAAAACCCTATTTATCTTAATGTATATAATTATTACATAGTATCCAGAACACATTTCTAATAAAAATCTTGGCAAATTAATAGTAGAAGAGCATGTCTTGATCTGATGATGAACATGTAAGAAAGGCCTACAGATAAAAATATGCTTAAGAATAAAAAATAAAATATTTTCTTCCTAACATCAGAATTAAGACAAGGATTCTAGCTTCTCAGCATTTCTATTCAGCTTTGTAGTAGAGTACTAGCTAGTGTAATAATCAAGAAAATAAGTAGCAGGCATCAAGTGTAAAAGATAGAAATAACATTGTTTTTATTTGTGGATTGAAAAAATGTGATATAGCATCAAAAACCAAGAAAACTAACAACTGTGTTTATCAAGGTTACAATATTCAAGAACAATAGACAATAATCAATTGTATCTTTACATATTGTATATACTACCAAAAAGACTAGAAATTGAAACTTAAAAGTAATACTAATTAAATTACCATCAACAATATAAAATACTTAAGAATAAATCTCTTTCAAATGTGAAAGACCACATCTACTCATGGTTTAAAAAAGAAAAAAAAAAAACTCTTAATGAACTAGGAACTAAAAGGAAGTTCCTTAACTTGATAAAGAAATCTGTCAATAAAATAGAAAAATTCAAACATTAAACTAATATTAACCTCATACTTAATTGTGAGAAACTAGAAGTTTTTGCACTAAGACCAGAAAAAAGGCAAGAATGCCCTCTCTCACCACTCCTTTTCAACACTGTACTTAAAGAAATACCTAATGCAATGCAAGAAAAATAAACAAAAGCCATACATTGGGAATGAAGAAATAAAGCTGCCTTCATTCATAGATGACATGATCATCTATGTAGAATATAAAAGAATCAACAAAAAACTCAAAAAATTATAAAATGATTATAGTGAGATTGCAGGATGCAAAGTTTGTCGCTTTCTTACACGACATCACTCTCTCTTATGTACTAGTGATGACCAATTGGAATTTACAAGTAGAAGCACAATACCCTTTATATTAGCACCCCAAAGATGAAATCCTTAGGTATAAATTTAATAAGCCAAAAGGCTCTTGCAATCGATAAATGATTTCAGTAATGTTTCAGAATACAAAGTAGATATACATAAATATTCATGCTGAGAACAAAATTAAAAACATAATCCCATTTATGATATCAACAAAACACTAAAATACCTAGGAATACATCTAACCAAGGTGGTGAAAGATCTCTACAGGTATGACAAAACTCTACTAAAGGAAATCATAGATGATAGAAACAAATGGAAAAATATTTCATGCTCATGGATTGGAAGAATCAATAATGTTAAAATGGCCATATATCCCAAAGCAATCTGTAGAATCAACACTATTTTTATCACTTTCCACAGAATTAGAAAAAACTATAGTAAAATTCATATCAAAGTCCAAAATAGCCAGAATAGCTACAAAAAAAATTGAAGCATCACATTACACAACTTCAAACTCTACTATAAGGCTACAGTAGCAAAAAACACCATGGTACTTGTGGTACGAGAACAGATACATAGACCAATGGAACAGAATAGAGAACCCATAAATAAAGCTACACACCTATAGCCATCTGATCTTTGACCAAGTCAACAAAAGTAGGGAATGGAGAAATGACTACCTATTCAATAATTGAGGCTGAGATAGCAGCTAGCCACATGGAGAATAAAAATAGACCCCCACTTTTCATTACATACAAAAATCAACTCAAGATGGATTAAAGATTTAAATGTAAGACTCCAAACTATAAAAATCCTAGAAGAAAACCTAGGAAACATCATTATATACATTGGCCATGGGAAAGCATATATGACTAAGGCCTCAAAAGCAATTCGAAGGAAAACAAAAATTGACAAGTAGGACCTAGTTAAACCAAAAATCTTCGGCACAGCAACGCAAACTATCAAAAGAGAAAACATACAGCCTACAGTATAGGGAAACTATTTGCAAACTAGGCCTTCAGGAAAGATTTAATATTCAGAATCGATGAGGAAATTAAACAATTGAACAGGTAAAAAAAACCAAATAACTCCATTAAATAATGGGAAAGAGACATGAACAAACACTTCTTAAAAGAATGCATACGCGCTGCCAACAAATCTATCAATAAGTGCTCCACATCTCTATTCATCAGAGAAATGCAAATAGAAACCACAATGAGATACTAAATGGCTATTATTAAATGTCAAAAAATAACAGATGCTGGCATGTTATTGGTGGGAATGAAAATAAGTTCAGCCACTGAGGAAAGAAATTCGGAGATTGTTCAAAGAACTTAGTATTACTATATGACTCAGCAATCCATTACCAGGTATATACTCCACCCAAAATATATATATATATCATACCGAAAGATTGTTCTTTTCTTTTTAAATTGTTGAATATTTTGTTTTATGGGTGTTCAACAATAGACTCATTAATGGGTCAATAGTTGAATTTATGGACTATGGATTTATTATCATGGATTGATAATTTATAATTTATTATTATGGATTTATCCAGATTTTGGCAATAATGAGCAATGCTGATATAATTATTCATACGCAAGTTTTTGCATGAATATTACTTACCTCTCTAGGATTAATGTCCACAACGTGCACTGGCATGTTCATCACAGCAGTATTCTCAATAGTAAAGACAAAGAATTGGCCAGGCGCGGTGGCTCACACCTGTAATCCCAGCACTTTGGAAGGCCGATGCAAGCAGATCACCTGAGGTCAGGAGTTCAAGACCAGCCTGGCCAACATGTCAAAACCCTGTCTCTACTGAAAATACAAAAACGTAGCTGGGCATGGTGGCACACACCTGTATTCCCAGCTACTCAGGAGGCTGAGGAAGGAAAATTGCTTAAACCCAGGGTTTAGAGCCTGGTTTAGAGGTTGCAGTGAACAGAGATCTCACCACTGTATTCCAGCCTGGGTGACACAGTGAGATGCCGTCTCAAAAAAAAAATAATAATAAATATATAAAAAATAATACAGGGAATCAACCTAGATGTCCATCAGTGATGGATTGGATAAAGAAAATTTGGTACGTATGCACCATGGACTAATATGCAGACATGAAAAAGAACAAACTCATGTTCATTTGTAGCAACATGGTTGCATCTGGATGACATAATCCTAAACAATTTAACACAGAAAACTAAGTATAAATTAACATAGCGAACCATATATTACATGTTCTCACTTATAAGTGGGAGTTAAACATTGGGTACTCCTGAACATAAAGATAGCAACAATAGAAACTGGACACTACTAGAATGAGAAGGGAGGGAGGGGGGCAAGGGTAGAAAAACTATCTATCTGGGTGACGGGATCATTCATATTCCAAACCTGTAATGTAATATACACAGGTAAGAAACCTGCATATGTAGTGCCTGAATCCAAAATAAAAGTTGAAGAAAATACAAAATAAATAAATACAAGAAATAAACAGATTCCTCCAAAAGTTAAACTTTTTAACATAAAAACAGAGATTCACATGCAGTTTTAAAAATAAAAAAAAAATAAAAAAAATAAAAAAAGAATTGTCATATACTCAATACTTATATTTCCCCAATGGTTACCTCTTGAAATGTATAATACAACATCATAAACAAGATAATGACATTGATACTGTCAAGAGCTGAGCCAGCACCACAGGATCCCTCATGATGTCTTTTTATAGTAACATCTATTCCTCCACTCTAAAATGCTAGAAACCACTGATTTGTTCTTTATTTCTGTAATTTTGCCATTTCAACTTGTGAATGGATTTATGTAGTATGTAACTTTTCAGAATTAACTTTTATGATTCTGTATAATTCCCCAAGATTCATCCAGATTGTTGTGTGTGTCAATAGATTATTATTTTCTTTTCTTTTTAAATTGCTGAGTAGTTTTGTGTTTGTTTGAGACAGAGTATTGCTCTGTCTCCCAGGCTGGAGTGCAGTGGTGCGATCTTGGCTCACTGCAAGCTCCACCTCCCGGGTTCACGCCATTCTCCTGCCTCAGCCTCCCGAGTAGCTGGGACTACAGGCTCCCGCCACCGTGCCCGGCTAATTTTTTGTATTTTTAGTAGAGACGGGGTTTCACCATGTTAGCCAGGATGGTCTCGATCTCCTGACCTCGTGATCTGCCCACCTCGGCCTCCTGAAGTGCTGGGATTTACAGGGGTGAGCCATCGCGCCCGGCCCTAGTAGTATTTTGTTTTATGTTTGACCACAGACCTATTAAGGAACATCTGGACTTATCCAGATTTTGGCAATAATGAGTAATGCTGTTATAATTATTCATACACAAGTTTTTCATGAACATTACTTATTACTTCTGATATTAATGTTCAGGAGTACAGTTGCTGGGTTGTATAGTGGTTGCATATACACTTAACATACACTTAAAAGTGGTTTACTTTTAAGACTCTGCCATCCAAACTGTTTTCAATAAAAGTTGTAGCATTTTACATTCCTATTAGCAATATATGAGTGATCCGGTTTCTCCACATCTTTCCTAGCATTTGATATTGGCACTTGTTCTCATTTTAGCCAGTGTGATACGTAGGTAATGACATGCCATTGTGATTTTAATTTGCATTTCCCTAAGGACTAATAATAAAGAACATATTTTTGTGAGCTTATTTGCTAACTATAGATTATCTGGTGAAATAGCTATTTTTTTATTTTTGCCTATTTTCTGATGAGACTGTTTTCTTACTGTTATCAGTATTCTTTATATATTCTAGACATTGGTTCTTTACTGAATACTTTTAAAATACTTTCTCTCTTTAGCTTGTCTTTTCATTCTCTCTTAAAAATGTCCTTGGTGGAACAAATTTTTAAAATTTTGATGAATTTCACTGTAAACATTTCTTTGTTGTGCTTCGTTGTTTAGTGTAAGAACTCTCTGCCAAACTGTAGAGTCCAAACTTTGCCTAACCATAGATCCCCCAAATTTTCTTTTTCTTTTTTATTTTATTTTATTATTATTATACTTTAAGTTTTAGGGTACATGTGCACAATGTGTAGGTTAGTTACATATGTATACATGTGCCATGCTGGTGTGCTGCACGCATTAACTCCTCATTTAGCATTAGGTATATCTCCTAAAGTTATCCCTCCCCCCTCCCCCCAACCCACAACAGTCCCCAGAGTGTGATATTCCCCTTCCTGTGTCCATGTGTTCTCATTGTTCAATTCCCACCTATGAGTGAGAATATGCGGTGTTTGGTTTTTTGTTCTTGCGATAGTTTACTGAGAATGATGATTTCCAATTTCATCAATGTCCCTACAAAGGACATGAACTCATCATTTTTTATGGCTGCATAGTATTCCATGGTGTATATGTGCCACATTTTCTTAATCCAGTCTATCATTGATGGACATTTGGGTTGGTTCCAACTCTTTGCTATTGTGAATAGCGCCAAAATAAACATACATGTGCATGTGTCTTTAGAGCAGCATGATTTATAGTCCTTTGGGTATATACCCAGTAATGGGATGGCTGGGTCAAATGGTATTTCTAGTTCTAGATCCCTGAGGAATCGCCACACTGACTTCCACAATGGTTGAACTAGTTTACAGTCCCACCAACAGTGTAAAAGTGTTCCTATTTCTCCCCATCCTCTCCAGCACCTGTTGTTTCCTGACTTTTTAATGATTGCCATTCTAACTGGTGTGAGATGGTATCTCATTGTGGTTTTGATTTGCATTTCTCTGATGGCCAGTGATGGTGAGCATTTTTTCATGTGTTTTTTGGCTGCATAAATGTCTTCTTTTGAGAAGCATCTGTTCATGTCCTTCACCCACTTTTTGATAGGGTTGTTTGTTTTTTTCTTGTAAATTTGTTTGAGTTCATTGTAGATTCTGGATATTAGCCCTTTGTCGGATGAGTAGGTTGCGAAAATTTTCTCCCATTTTGTAGGTTGCCTGTTCACTCTGATGGTAGTTTCTTTTGCTGTGCAGAAGCTCTTTAGTTTAATTAGATCCCATTTGTCAATTTTGGCTTTTGTTGCCATTGCTTTTGGTGCTTTTGGTGTTTTAGACATGAAGTCCTTGCCCATGCCTATGTCCTGAATGGTAATGCCTAGGTTTTCTTCTAGGGTTTTTATGGTTTTAGGTCTAACGTTTAAGTCTTTAATCCATCTTGAATTAATTTTTGTATAAGGTGCAAGGAAGGGATCCAGTTTCAGCTTTCTACATATGGCTAGCCAGTTTTCCCAGCACCATTTATTAAATAGGGAATCCTTTCCCCATTGCTTGTTTTTCTCAGGTTTGTCAAAGATCAGATAGTTGTAGATATGCGGCATTACTTCTGAGGGCTCTGTTCTGTTCCATTGATCTATATCTCTGTTTTGGTACCAGTACCATGCTGTTTTGGTTACTGTAGCCTTGTAGTATAGTTTGAAGTCAGGTAGCGTGATGCCTCCAGCTTTGTTCTTTTGGCTTAAGATTGACTTGGCGATGCGGGCTCTTTTTTGGTGCCATATTAACTTTAAAGCAGTTTTTTCCAATTCTGTGAAGAAAGTCATTGGTAGTTTGATGGGAATGGCATTGAATCTATAAATTACCATGGGCAGTATGGCCATTTTCATGGTATTGATTCTTCCTACCCATGAGCATGGAATGTTCCTCCATTTGTTTGTATCCTCTTTTATTTCCTTGAGCAGTGGTTTGTAGTTCTCCTTGAACAGGTCCTTCATATCCCTTGTAAGTTGGATTCCTAGGTATTTTATTCTCTTCGAAGCAATTGTGAATGGGAGTTCACTCATGATTTGGCTCTCTGTTTGTCTGTTATTGGTGTATAAGAATGCTTGTGATTTTTGTACATTGATTTTGTATCCTGAGACTTTGCTGAAGTTGCTTATCAGCTTAAGGAGATTTTGGGCTGAGACAACGGAGTTTTCTAGATATACAATCATGTCATCTGCAAACAGGGACAATTTGACTTCCTCTTTTCCTAATTGAATACCCTTTATTTCCTTCTCCTGCCTAATTTCCCTGGCCAGAACTTCCAACACTATGTTGAATACGAGTGGTGAGAGAGGGCATCCATGTCTTGTGCCAGTTTTCAAAGGGAATGCTTCCAGTTTTTGCCCATTCAGTATGATATTGGCTGTGGGTTTGTCAAATATAGCTCTTATTATTTTGAGATACATCCCATCAATACCTAATTTATTGAGAGTATTTAGCATGAAGGGTTGTTAATTTTGTCAAAGGCCTTTTCTGCATCTATTGAGATGATCATGTGGTTTTTGTCTTTGGTTCTGTTTATATGCTGGATTACATTTATTGATTTGCATATATTGAACCAGCCTTGCATCCCAGGGATGAAGCCCACTTGATCATGGTGGATAAGCTTTTTGATGTGCTGCTGGATTTGGTTTGCCAGTATTTTATTGAGGATTTTTGCATCAATGGTCATCAAGGATATTGGTCTAAAATTCTCTTTTTTGGTTGTGTCTCTGCCAGGCTTTGGTATCAGGATGATGCTGGCCTCATAAAATGAGTTGGGGAGGATTCCCTCTTTTTCTATTGATTGGAATAGTTTCAGAAGGAATGGTACCAGTTCCTCCTTGTACCTTTGGTAGAATTCGGCTGTGAATCCATCTGGGCCTGGACTCTTTTTGGTTGGTAAGCTATTGATTATTGCCAGAATTTCAGAGCCTGTTATTGGTCTATTCAGAGATTCAACTTCTTCCTGGTTTAGTCTTGGGAGGGTGTATGTGTCCAGGAATTTATCCATTTTTTCTAGATTTTCTAGTTTATTTGCGTAGAAGTATTTGTAGTATTCTGTGATGGTAGTTTGTATTTCTGTGGAATTGGTGGTGATCTCCCCTTTATCATTTTTTATTGCGTCTATTTGATTCTTCTCTCTTTTTTTCTTTATTAGTCTTGCTAGCGGTTTATCAATTTTGTTGATCCTTTCAAAAAACCAGCTCCTGGATTCATTAATTTTTTGAAGGGTTTTTTGTGTCTCTATTTCCTTCAGTTCTGCTCTGATTTTAGTTATTTCTTGCCTTCTGCTAGCTTTTGAATGTGTTTGCTCTTGCTTTTCCAGTTCTTTTAATTGTGATGTTGGGGTGTCAATTTTGGATCTTTCCTGCTTTCTCTTGTGGGCATTTAGTGCTATAAATTTCCCTCTACACACTGCTTTGAATGTGTCCCAGAGATTCTGGTATGTTGTGTCTTTGTTCTCATTGGTTTCAAAGAACATCTTCATTTCTGCCTTCATTTCATTATGTACCCAGTAGTCATTCAGGAGCAGGTTGTCCAGTTTCCATGTAGTTGAGCAGTATTGAGTGAGTTTCTTAATCCTGAGTTCTAGTTTGATTGCACTGTGGTCTGATAAACAGTTTGTTATAATTTGTGTTCTTTTACATTTGCTGAGGAGTGTTTTACTTCCAAGTACGTGGTCAATTTTGGAATAGGTGTGGTGCGGTGCTGAAAAAAATGTATATTCTGTTGATTTGGGGTGGAGAATTCTGTAGATGTCTATTAGGTCCGCTTGGTGCAGAGCAGAGTTCAATTCCTGGGTATCCTTGTTAACTTTCTGTCTCGTTGATCTGTCTAATGTTGACAGTGGGGTGTTAAAGTCTCCCATTATTAATGTGTGGGAGTCTAAGTCTCTTTGTAGGTCACTCAGGACTTGCTTTATGAATCTGGGTGCTCCTGTATTGGGTGCGTATATATTTAGGATAGTTAGCTCTTCTTGTTGAATTGATCCCTTTACCATTATGTAATGGCCTTCTTTGTCTCTTTTGATCTTTGTTGGTTTAAAGTCTGTTTTATCAGAGACTAGGATTGCAACCCCTGCCTTTTTTTGTTTTCCATTGGCTTGGTAGATCTTCCTCCATCCTTTTATTTTGAGCCTATGTGTGTCTCTGCACGTGAGATGGGTTTCCTGAATACAGCACACTGATGGGTCTTGACTCTTTATCCAATTTGCCAGTCTGTGTCTTTTAATTGGAGCATTTAGTCCATTTACATTTAAAGTTAATATTGTTATGTGTGAATTTGATCCTGTCATTATGATGTTAGCTGGTTATTTTGCTTGTTAGTTGATGCAGTTTCTTCCTAGTCTCGATGGTCTTTACATTTTGGCATGATTTTGCAGTGGTTGGTACTGGTTGTTCCTTTCCATGTTTAGTGCTTCCTTCAGGAGCTCTTTTAGGGTGGACCTGGTGGTGACAAAATCTCTCCGCATTTGCTTTTCTGAAAAGTATTTTATTTCTCCTTCACTTATGAAGCTTAGTTTGGCTGGATATGAAATTCTGGGTTGAAAATTCTTTTCTTTAAGAATGTTGAATATTGGCCCCCACTCTCTTTTGGCTTGTAGAGTTTCTGCCAAGAGATCCGCTGTTAGTCTGATGGGCTTCCCTTTGTGGGTAATCCGACCTTTCTCTCTGGCTGCCCTTAACATTTTTTCCTTCATTTCAACTTTGGTGAATCTGACAATTATTTGTTTTGGAGTTGCTAATTTTCTATCTTCTTAAAGGTTTTATAGTTTTATGTCTTACATTTAAGCCCATGAACCATTTTGAGTTAATTTTTGTGTAAGACATGAAGCTTGGGTTATATGAATTATATTCCATGCTCGCCATTAAAAGTATTTGTAACAAGGTGTATAACTCCCAAATCTGATGAGAATAATCACAGATTAAGGTTTAAAAAATCATTACATTAAGTAAGGCAAGAGAAAGAGAAATTGTTGAAAAGAATATATAACAAAACAAAATGTTTAAAAAGTAAATTAAAATAATTCCAATTATAACTAATCACAATAACATAACATAAAAAACTTGCTAAACACTAGCAATGTGCCACACACATGGTTTCCATTAGAATTCTAATTAAACCACATTAATAGATTAAAATGTATGATATATATTATTAGAGATAAAAATGGTCACAACCTATTCATAAAGTTTTAATTCAAAGAAAACTATAGAAATTAAATTTTCATACTCCCACTCATGGATTAATGGGTTATTGGATTAATAGCTTATCAAGGGAACTAAACAGGTGGCTTTACAAGAAGAGTAAGAGAGACCAGACCTAGCAGACAGCCTTGTTACCATGTGATGCCCTGTGTCGACTCAGGACTCTGTGAAGATTCCCTGCTACCAAGAAGGCCCTCATAAGATGCATCCCCTTGTACTTAGACTTCCCAGTCTACATAATTATAGCAAATAAATTCATTTTCTGTATAAATTATCCAGTTTTGGGTACTCTTTTGAAGATTGTTGTAAGAATAGGCTGTTTAGGGGCATGATGCACCTTATTTAAGTACAAGATGATTTGTGGTAGCACTATATAAATTTATTGTTGCTGCAAGGCAGTATTTAGGTGGAAATATTCTATACTAAGCAACAGAAAACAGAGTAAGACAAGGTTATTCTTGAATCTTCACCATGAGAACCTGATAGGATTCTTGAAGGTAAGTCACAAAAGTGAAGGGACCCCTATAATATTATGAATTCCAGCTGTTTCCTTAGCCTTTAGCTACTCATCAAAATTAGTATTTAAGTGTTCATATCAGTTTATGACTTGGTGGCCTGGGCTGCAAGTAAGCAAAGTTCAGCTAGAACTCATATGAACCTGTCGCTCCAAATTTCTGAATTACAATTTACTCTGAAACCGCAGTTCTCTGATGGGTACAATAAAATTAATTAATTTTAAAGTTGTCCAAACTTTTCTGGTGGTATGATACTGTGTGCTTATTTGGAAGTTTTGTACATGCCAGAAATGAACTGAAAGCCCAAGATAAGCCTTTCACCCAACAAAGGAAGATATTATCTAAGGTCTTATTCTCTAGATCTAACTCATTTCCTAGGGAAAACATGTTAAACAAAGGCCAAGAGAGAATACTCAGGCTCTCAGTAACTTACAATTGTTGACAAAAAATAGACTTTTCCTTTATTTAGACTATTTTAATATCAGGAATTTCAGGTGAATGAATTGTTTACTCAGAGGCTCTATATTCTTCAACGAGACTACATAACTTTGTAATTTTCATATAATTTTGTCTTAAGATGCAATTACTTTATGTTAACATTCATGATTAGCAATTATTGCAAGATTCTGAAAGAATATGACACGTTTCAAAAAATTTACATACCATATCATGAAATACAAGATATTTAATGGCATTTGTCTTTTACATGTTAGTACAAGAGTCTTGCCCTGCCAGTAAATTCTATTCATTTTATTATAGTCATCCTAGCTGTCATATTTATTACTATATCCACCTGGCATGTGAATCGACATTCTTAACATTCTCCTTTTATTGAACAGAATTTATGATCACTTTCAAAGCTCAATGAAACAAAATAAACAATTTCCAACACGATGCACCAGCAGAGTAGGTGATAAATTTGTTGATACTGTGCACAGGAGTTTGAGCTTAAAATCACTTTTGAAGATTGTTGTAAGAACAGGCTGTTTAGGGGCATGATGCACCTAATTTAAGTACAAGATGACATGTGGTAGCACTATATAAATTTACTGTTGCTGCAAGGCAGTATTTAGGTGGAAATATTCTATACTAAGCTTATAATTTTAGGATAAATTTTAGTCAATGTTTGATGTCAAGTGACATTATTCAGCATTGTTAGATTATTGTTTGGAATTATATACAATTTTAGATTGCTACTGCCACTTGAACCTAATGAACTTTAAATGTGTATATAGTGACAGTCCATTGAAATGTCTACAATAATTATGATTGAACTCTGTGTTCCATTCTTCCCATGCCTCTAATTGAAGAAACTTTGCCATTATCTAGATACAGTAGTCATCTCTTTACACAAATGACTGAATCTGAAAATAGGCCCATATCTACATCACTTTATACAGTGTAAGTGTTACTTAAAAGTGTGTGTACAAGTATGCAAATGAATGCTTTTTGCATGGGTAAGTTTCATTTTAAAGCAAACCAAGACCAACTCGTATTGTTAATCAGAGACTCATTATGTAAAGAAATCTATCATTTAGCTATACTGGTTTGCACTATTAAAAATCACTAAACTATCCAGTGACAGTGACAATGTCTTTTCTTCTTGCTTTAGGCACTGCCATTCACATTGCTAGGTTAAAAATCAAAGAAGTTAACATTGTTTAACAAATACACTGGGCCGGGCGTGGTGGCTCACGCCTGTAACCCCAGCACTTTGGGAAGCTGAGGTGGGCAGATCACCTGAGGTCAGGAGTTCGAGACCAGCTTGACCAATATGATGAAACCTCGTCTCTGCTAAAAATACAAAAATTAGCCGGGCATGAGGGTGCACTCCTGTAATCCCAGCTACTTGGGAGGCTGTGGCAGGAGAATAGCTTGAACCCGAGAGGCGGAGGTTGCAGTGAGCTGAGATCGCTCCACTTCACTTCAGCCTGGGCAACAAGAGCAAAACTCCATCTCAAAACAAAAAACAAAAACACTCAGCACATTAAATGGACTGTGAATACTGATATACTGTACTGGTTTACCATCAGATGAAAAGATAATGTATACACTTATGAAATATTTATTGAATAAACTAGTTCTATATGTATAAAATAAACATATTTAGTATTATAAACAAAATGGAATAACTGATGTAATAACTAAATAAATTATTTTTATTAAAAGTGTATAAGATTTGTCTTTGGTGAAGTTTTATTCAACAAGCTATTTAAAAGTAAGAACACCTATAGAAATATCTCTCATCTTTCTGACGTCCAGTATATATCGTTCTGCAGGGTAAAGAAGGAATAATGACTCTCCTTCCAGGTCATTTGATGAGGTGGAAATAAATTTACCTCTGATTAGTTTGTGGAGAAATTTCTATTCCAACGCACACACAAAAAAACACAATGTTTTGTGTTCACATACCTACATATTTTCTAATTTATTTCTATTACTAACATTCTAGGCCTAAATGCAATGTTGCATATTTTATCTACTTTATATTGCTTTCTTGCTGTAAAATTAGAAATTCTAATCACCAAATGGATACATAAAGTTATTTAGTAATTATAGAAATGTGGCAGGTAGAGCCCTATGGATTTTGTTTTCGTTGTTGAATATAACAATGAGGTAGGTAAGTTAGTTATGAGAGAAAGGATTTCACACATACTAAACTAGATGCTTCTATCTCCTTATATTTTCATTTTTCTCCAATTTATTGAGATGTAATTAACAAATTGAAATTGTATATGTTTATGATATATTCTATGATATTTTGGTATATGTATATGTTCTAAGATGATTACCACAATCGAGCTAATTAATATGTCCATCTCTCACATAATTACCATTTTGCCTGTGTGTGGTGAAAACATTTAAGATTTTTACTTTCTTAGCAAAGTACAAGCATGCAATTTAGTCACCAAGCTGTACATTAGATCTTTAGAACTATTCATTCTGCCTAACTGAAACTTTGTATCATTTGACCAACATCTCCCTATTTCCACTACATCCCAGACCCTGACAATGATCGTTCAACTCTTTGCTTCTGTGAGAAAGATTTTTTTAGATGATTCCACACACAGTGAGATTACGCAGTGTTTGGTATCTGTGCCTGGCTTATTTCACTTAGTATACTGTTCTCCATTCATCCAATTTGTAACAAATAACAGGATTTCCTTCTTTTTTAAGGTTAAATAGTATTCCATGAAATAGTCCGTTAAATATGTGTGATATACAAACACATACATATTTTCTTTTCTTTTTTCCTTTTTTTTTTTTTTTTTGACGGAGTCTTGCTGTTTCGCAGTCTGGCGTGCAGTGGTGCGATCTCAGTTCACTGCAACCTCCGCCTCCTGGGTTCAAGCGATTCTCCTGCCTCGCCTCCCAGGTAACTGGGATTACAGGTGCCCACTACCACGCCTGGCTAATTTTCTTTTCTTTTTTTTTTGAGACAGAGTCTCTCTCTGTCGCCCAGGCTGGAGTGCCGTGGTGCGATCTCGGCTCACTGCAACCACCGCCTCCTGGGTTCACACCATTCTCAAGCCCCAGCCTCCTGAGTAGCTGGGACTGCAGGCGCCTGCCACCATGCCCGGCTAATTTTTTTTTTGTATTTTTAGTAGAGACAGTGTTTCACCGTGTTAGCCAGGATGGTTTCAATCTCCTGACCTTGTGATCCGCCAGTCTCGGCCTCCCAATGTACTGGGATTACAGGCGGGAGCCACCGCGCCTGGCCTAATTTTTGTGTTTTTAGTAGAAACGGAGTTTCACCATCTTGGCCAGGCTGGTCTTGAACTCCTGACACATGATCCACCCTCCTTGGCCTCCCAAAGTGCTGTGATTAAAGGCGTGAGCCACCACACCCAGCCACATTTTCTTAATTTACCTCTACATGGACATTTATGTTAACTTTGTATCTTTGCTGTGACAAATAATGCTTCAATGTGTTTGAAACTCCAGATATCTCTTTGAGATACTGACTGCAGTTCTTTTGGATATACACCAAAAAATGGAACTCTTAGATTATATAACTTTATTTTTAATTTTTGAGGAACTTCCATAAATTTCTGTAATGCCTGTACCAATTTACACTATGATCAAAACAGTATACAAAAGTTCCATTTTCTTCACAGTGTTACCAACAATGTTTATCTTTTGACTTTTTATAAGTACTCTGACATATAAGAGGTGATAATTCATTATAATTTTAATTTTCCTGTTGATTAGTGACATTGTATATTATACCCTATACCTGTTGGTCATTTGTATGTCTTTTTTTGAGAAATGTCTATTCAGTTCTTCCACCCATTTTATAACTGGTTCTTTTTTTATATTGATTTATTTGAGTTTCTTGTACAGTTTGCATATTAACTTCTGATTACATGCATGGTTACGAAGATTTTCCTCATCTTTGTAGGTTGCCTTTTTACTCTGTTAATTTGTCCCTTTGCTGAGTGGGAGATTTTTAGTCTGACATAGTTCTATTTGTCTTTTTTTGCTTTTGTTGCCTGTGCTTTTGGGGTTATAACCAAAAAAGAATTCATTGCCAAAAACAATGTCCAAAAGGTTTCCCTTTGTTTTCTTCTAGTAGCTCTGCAGTTTCAGGTCTTCTATTTAAGTTTTTAATGCATTTTGAGTTGACTTTTAGATATGGTGTAAGAGATGGGTCTCATTTCAATCTTCTGCATGTAAATATCCAGTTTATTCAATACCATTTGTTGAAAAGACTTCCCTTCCTCTATTATGCTTTCTTGGCAACTTTGACAAATATTAATTGATTGCAAATGAATTATGAATTCTGCTAAAATTGAAGTAAGAACAAATCTTAAATTTACAGTGAACTTTGGGTGGAAGAATGGTGAAATCATCAATGCTTTACCAAAAGTTTATGTGGGAAATGCCCCAAAGAAATCATCAGTTTACAAATACCAACCTCGTTTTAAGAAGAAACAAGATAATGTTAAAGATGGGGTCTGCAGTGGCAAACCATTCACATCAATTTTCAAAGAAAAATTTTATTTTGTACATGTTCTAATTGAAAAGCACCAATGATTAACAGCAGAAACAATAACCTACACCATAGATGATCTCGATTGGTTCAGCTTACGTAATTCTGACTGAAAAATTAAAGTTGAACAAATTTTCCACTTAACGGGTGCCAAAACTATTGCTCCCAGGTCAGCTGCAGACAAGAGCAGAGCTTTCAATGGAAATCCTAAACAATGAGATAAAGATCCTGAAGTATTTCTTTGAAGAATGATAATGGTGGATGAAACATGGCTTTACCAGTAATATCCTGGTGACAAAGCATAATCAAAGCAATAGCTACCAAGAGATGGTAGTGGTCCAGTCAAAGCAAAAGTGGACTGGCCAGGAGTAAAATCATGGCAAAACTCCCTTGGAGATGCTTAAGGCAATTTGCTTGTTGACTTTCTGGAAGGCCAAAGAACAATAACATTTGACTATTATGAAAGTGTTTTGAGAAAGTTGGTTGAAGCTTTAGCAGAAAAAAAAATTGCCTGGGAAATCTTCACCTAAGAGCCCTTTTCCATTATGATAGTCTTGTGCTCATTCCTTTCATCAAATAACGGCAATTTTATGAGTTTTGAGAACTATTAGGCATCTACCATATAGTCCTGATTTGGCTCCTTCTGAGTTATTTTTGTTTTTTAATCTTAAAAACATATTTAAATATTTTTTTCCAGTTAATAGTATAAAAAAGACTACATTGACATGGTTAAATTCCCAAGAACCTCGGTTCTTTAGGGATGGACTAAATGGCTGGTGTCATTACTTACAAAGGTGTCATGAAATTGATGGAGATTATGTTGAGAAATCATGTTTATATTTTATTTTTTTCTGGTTTAATTCCATTTTTCCACAAACTTTTTGATGTCCCCATGTGTGTGTGTGTGTGTGTACACAATCTTCTATTGGTTCTGCTTTACTAGAGAACCCTGATGAATGCACACCATTAGATTCCTCAAAAAGGAAGTAATCATGTGATACTTTGATTCTAATTCAGCAATACTAATTGTCTGGTAAGTTTTTATAGCAGCAATTGGAAAGTAATATAGCTTTTGTACCAGGAAACAAAGTGTTGCTGAAGCAATTACCTATAAATATGTAACAATATGTGGCAGGGCACAGTGGCTCACACCTGTAAACCTAGCACTCTGGGAAGCCAAGGCAGGCAGATCACTTGAGGTCAGGAGTTCAAGACCAGCCTGGCAGACATGGTGAAACCCCATCTCTACTAAAAATACAAAAATTAGCTGGGAGTGGTGTTGTGCATCTGTAGTCCCAGTGACTCAGGAAGCTGAGGCAGGAGAATCGCTTGAACCTGGGAGGCGGAGATTGCAGTGAGCCAAGATCCTGCCATTGCACTCCAGCCTGGGTGACAGAGCAAGACTGCATCTCAATAAATAAATAAATAAAAATAAGAATATGTAACAAATACCTGTGAATTTGTTACCTTACCTGGGGGGAAGAACTTTCTTGATGTGATTAGGTTAAGGATATTATAATGAAAGGTAATCCTGGATTACCTGAGCAGCCCTAATGTAATCACAAGAGTCCTTTAAAAGTGGAAGAGAAAACCAGGTAGAGATTCAGAGACATGATGGTGTGGAAAGGACTCACTTTGAAGTGACTGGCTTTGAAGATGAATGAAAGGGACTTCAGTCAAAGAAAGTGGGTGGTTTCTAGAAATTGGGAAAAACAGGAAATTAATTATCTTCTAGAGCTTCCAAAAGGAGCACAACCATGTCAACACCTAACCTTAGCCCAGCTACATTCAGGACAAGACTTCTAACCTCCAGAACTACAATAGATTAAATCTGTGGTGTTTTAAGCCATCAAATTTGTAACAACATTAATAGGGAACAAATATAATTCCTTAATACTATAAAATATAATGAAAAACCATAAGCTATTATAAAATGTATTTAAAATTCTAAGATATACACTGTCACTAACAAAAATTATTTCTAATATTTTGTCATTTTATCACACAGTGTTTTTAACAGACATAGGTTTTCAATTAAGGAATTTTTAAATAGACTTATAATACCTTCTATATTCATTAATTTTAGACAATTCTATTTTATATCATAGTAACAATATAAATGACATTTCCATTTTGACATTTTTAGATTTCTTGTAATAGATACAATAGTATCAAATTTTTATGTGTATTCTCTCACATAATATGCTTCTGTTCTTTTTCAGAGTCATAACTTAGGAAATTTCTCCTAAATTTACTCTGTCCTGTAGTTGAATTTGTTTGTTCTTCCTGTAGAAACATAGTTTTGATTTTATTTAATAGTAAAATATATTTCCACCAATGATTCTGTTTTATCCTGATAAAGGAAGCAGCTTTCAGTAATAGAATTTAAACATGTGAATGAATGTTCCCATATTGATTCTTGTTGAGAAAGGTTCACATAAAGAGGCTGGTGTTTCATACAGCCAAAATGGTATTTAAAACATATATTATCTATTTGTTTTATACAGACACATACTATTAAATTGAGTATGTTGTAAACAAATATGTTGTTATGCTGAATATGTTAATATTTATGAAAAGTTAAAGGGGTGCCTTACATTTGAGAAAAACATGAAATCTATGATACAGTATACATGGTGATCTTCATGCTTAATGAGACATACCACATGCAAGCTGCTGATATATTGGCCAGTGATCTTTTTGTAAGATAAATAAAGATAAAGAATCATCTATTTTCATTTTAATTATTTTAAATAATATATTAGGTGTATTTAATATATTTTAATTATATACAAAATAATTTGTTTACTTAATTAAAATTTTAATTTATTGTCATGCATAGTTTATTAAAACCTGTAACTACAAATAACTTCCACATTACTTTGCCATATTAACCAACAGATCTGGGTTATGGTATTATAATATAGGAGGCTATCAAATTAATAACTGTGTAATGGCATAGATCATGCCTATAGAGTAGTAATAGATCAAATACTATATGGCATAGATCATGCATATAGTACTTTCTCTTGATATCTCTTAAACGTTTCAAAATGTTTTATACATAGTGGTGTGTGGGAGGATACTGATTGTGTGGGACAACAACCAATCTCCTATGATAGTAAGTAGAAGCCGAGAATTTAGGTTAATGCAAGGAAATTATAAGGTACTTGGATGCTCTATCAAGGCATGAGTAAAATACTTCCAAGTCTATTAAGATTGAAAAATAAAAGTAGAAAAGGATAGAGACAGACCTCTTCCACTTCTGCACTCAAAACAAAATTTCCTGATAAGGTACTAAATTAATATGTGACATAAGCTAAGTTGATGCTCTTTTTATAATTTATATTGATACTTAGTGGTATGAGATGGAAAAAAATATGACAACATAGTTGAGGAATGGGAACGACCAGACGTTAGAAATCTAGTTAATGCATCCTGCAAGCATGAGTGGAACAAGCACCATAAGATTATGAAATGGAAACATAGTGAACTGTATCGATTGGATGTCATTGTTGAGATTTTTATTAATGCATACATGTAGAACAAACTTCACTAAAATTTTCTTGGGAAACAATTTCTTATCATTTGTCTTAGTTATTATTTTATAGATAAGAAAGTAATTTCATGTATATATATACGGTCTTATTTTGACACTCATGAGCCATTTTGTATTTATTTAACTAGTGGTAGGTTTGAAATCTTCACTTCATAAATGTCACACATGAATGTGTATTTAGCATACATACATGGCTTAGATTGTAGCATGACAAAGCATCTCCATCTACAGGTTATCTGCATCTCAAATTTCTATCAGTACTTGACAGGCAATTTTAACGAAAAAGAGCCAAGATTATGCACAGTGAGCTGGCCTTTCTTGGATCATTTTACTCACTCATGCTTATGAGGATTAATTTTCTTATAAGGTTTCAATATAATATGAATATATAGCTGTTAGACTTCTTGGTAAAGTAGAGTAAAAATATTATTAAGTCCAGAGAAGTTAAGAGCCTGACTAGGCAGTTGTGTATATTTTGTAACGACAATATATATTGTTGTACTTCAATTTTTCAAGTTTGACATGAAATGATGGGAATTTTATCCTAAAGGCAATCATCTTCCGAACAGTGTAACAGTGTAAACCAAAATACTGAAAATGTCAACATTTCACACATCATTGATTCTTAATGTTTCTGAAGCTGTTTTTTAGTGTCCTGTGGCCACTGTTAAAAAAATTGACATCTTTTTTGTAGTACTTTTCAATTTCTTAACATCTTTTGAATCAGAGCTAGCAATGTTGTGTTATCTTTGTGTTATTTTTTTATTTTGTTATAAATTTCATTCCATACCTGTTAGAATTTGTCACTTGTGTTTTGACAAGCTCCATATACAAAAGATGTTTAACACTGAATCTTCTAGAGCTTAAAGTAAAATTCTCTGTCAAATTATAAATATAAAATTATTTCTTCCTCATCTTAGAGGAAAAGGTTTTAACTTTTCATCATTGTGTATGATGTTTGCTGTGGGCTTGTTTATATATAGTCTTTATTGTGTTGCAGTGTGTCCTTTTTATACATAATTTTTGAGTTTTTATCATAAATGATGTTGAATTTTGTCAAATGTTTATTCTGCATCTATTGATATTATTGTATGGTTTTTGTTCCTCATCACTAATGTGATATCTTATTTAGTGCTTAGTATATCTTGAGCCATCCTTGCATCCTAGGGATAAATCTCACTGGCTTAAAGTGATAGACTGCTGAGGATTTTTGAATCTATGATCATCAGGTATACTGAGCTGTAATTTTCTTTTCTTGTGATTTCTTTGTCTGGCTTTACTTATCAGGATAATTCTTTCCTCATAGAGTGAGTTTGGAAGTAGTCTCCTCTTCTCAATTTTTTGGTAGTTTGGGAAGAATTGGAATTAGCTCTTTAAATATTTGGTAGTGTTCCACACTAAAGCTACCAAATCCTGGCCTTTTCTCTGATGGGAGATTTTTTATTACTGATTCAATTTTCTTACTCATTATGAGTCTGTTCAGATTATCTATTTCATTATTTAGTCTTAGTAGGTTATATCATCCTAGGAATTTATACTTCTATTTACTATACTACTGGAAGTCTTAGCCAGAGCAATTAAGTAAGAAAATAAAATAAAAGCCATCTGAATCAGAATGAAAAAGTTAAATTGTCTCTGTTTGCTGGTGATATCATATTATATATAGAAAACTATAAAGACTCCACCAAAAATAGGACTAATAAATTCAGTAAAGCTGCAGGATAAAAACAACACATAAAACTCAGTAGCATTTCTATACACTAACAATAAATTGTGCAAAAAAGAAATTATGAAACTGATCTTATTCACTGTAGTTTCCAAAAAAAATACTTATGAATAAAGCTAACAAATGAGATGAAAGATGTATATACTGAAAAAAGAAAACATTCAGAAAGAAATCAAAAAAGGCACAGAAAAATTAAAAGATCCTCTGTGTTCCTGAATTGTAAAAATTAATATTGTTGAAATGTTTATATTGACCAAAGCAATCTACAGATTTTATGCAATCCTTATCAAATTTCCATTAAAATGTTTTGTAAAAATAGGAAATAAATCATGTTTTTACAAAACCACTGAAAATCCTGAATAGTGAAAGCAAGCTTGAACAAAAATGAAGTCAGAGGCATCACACCACTTGTACCTGGACTAAAATATATTACAAAGCTATAGTAATGAAAACAGCTTGGTACCAGCATAAAAACAGATACACAAACCAGTGGAAGAGAATAGGGAGCCCAGAAATAAATCCACACATTTACAGTCAATTGTTCTTTTTAAGTTTTCCTCATTTATACATATTAAATATATATTTACACACACACATATATATATTATTTTTAATGTGCTAGGAATATATATGTATATCAATAATATATATTGTAGGTGTACCTATAGATATATATACACATATATATCTATATCTCTCTGTCTTACATATCAATATAGGAGATTATATATAGGAGATAACTATATATAGGAGATATAACTCATATATATATATATATATATATATATATATATATATATATATATGCAACAAGGTCTCACTGTGTCACTCAGGCTAGGATGCTGTGGCATTATCATAACTCACTGCATCCTCAAACTCTGAGCTCAATTGAGCTTCCTGAATCAGTCTCCCAGGAAGCTGGGGCTACAGGCATGACTGGCTAATTTTATTTTTAGTCTGTGGTCGGCCTATTTATATTTTTAATTGGTAAAAATCATGCCTATTTATCATGAAGTATGAATAAGTTGTGGAATGGCTAAATTAAACTAATTAACATTTGTATTACTTCACAAACATCTTTTTTTGTGTGTCAATAACACAAAATCCACTCTCTTAGTAGTTTTCAAGAAACAATACATTATTATTAATCATCCCAGAACTTCTTCTCTTGTCTAACTAAAATTTTGTGTCCTTGACCAAAACCTTCCCAATTTTACTCCCACATCCAGCTCCTGGCAACCACCATTCTACTCTGCATCTGTGAGTTCAACTTTTTTATATTCCTTATATAAGCAAGATAATGCACTATTTGTCTTACTATGCCTGATTTATTTGGTTAATTGATTTTTTTAAAAAAATGTGTGAAAAATACACAATGGAGGAAAGAGTCTCTTTGATAAATTGTGTGGAGAAAATGGAATATATACATGCAGAAGAAAATTAGACTCTTGACTCACATCCTATACAAAAATAAATCTAAAATGGATTAAAATGTAAACTTAAGATAGAAACTGTAAAACTGTTATAAGAAAACATAGGGAAAGGTATTTTGACATTAATCTGGACAATAATGCTTTAGAAATGACTTCAAAAGCAGAGACAACAAAAGCAAAAATAGGCAAATGGGACTGTGCAAAAATCTTCTGCACTACAAATGAAAAAATCAACAGAATAAAGAGACAACCTACAGAAGGAAAGAACATATTTGCAAGTCACACTCCTGATAAGAGGTTAATATTCAAAGTATATAAGGAAATCAAATATCTCAATATTAAGAAGACAAACATTTAAAAACATGGTTTAAGGACTTGAATCAACATGCCTTCAAGGATGGCATACAAATGACCAACAGGTATATGAAGAAATGTTCAACATTACTAATGATCAGGAAAATGCAAAATCAAAACCACAATGAGATATCACCTCACATTTATTATTACGGCTTTCATTAAAGAGACAAAGATAGCATGTTGATGAAGGTGTGGAGAACAGGGAACACTTGTGCATTGTTGTTATGAGTGTATATTGGTTCAGGATTTGTGTAAAAGAGTATGAAAATTTCTCAAAAAATTAAAATAAAATGGCAATATGATCCAACAATTCCATTACTGTGTATATCAGAATTCCTATCATTTGTGAAAACAAAGATGAATGTGGAGGACATGAATTTAAGTGAAATAAACCAGGTACAAACAGTTAAACACCATATGATCTCACTTTTTTGTGGGACCTTAAAAAATTTGTACTCATAGACTCAGAGTAGAATGGTGTTTTCCAGTGGCTGGAGGTGGGAGTGGGATTGGGAAGATGTTAATCAAAGGATACAAACTTCAGTTATAATGAAGAAACAAGATACAGAGAACTATTGTCAACATGGTGACTATAATTAATAATGAAGTAACATATGAGTAAGGATTGCTAAGAGAGTCAATTGTAAGTGTTCTTACAACAAAAAATGATAAGTATATCAGGTAATGGATATTTTAATTAGCTTGATTTAACAATTTTATTTTGTACACAATAAATGTATACAATTTTTCTCATTAAAAATAATTTAAAAATAAAATGAAAATTGTTAGCTAAAGAATGTTTCCTGCCCTTTATCTTAAGAAAAAATCAAGATAATAAACCTTTGTGCAAATATATTTTATCAATGAAGACAATATTCCATGCCTGCCTACATAGTCACTTTGTGGGTGAGTCCCCTTCTTCATTATGAAGTATGTGCTTGGTCCTGTGACTTGCTTTTGTCAATTAGCTAGTAACTAATTTGGTTCAAGTAGAGGTCCAAAAAAGAAGCTGCATATTTATACTGTCACTCTTGATTCTCTACTTTCTCCTTCAAAACTTGATTAAGATGGTTCTCTCTTTTGGTTATCTGTTACTATTATGAGAACAAGTCTTGTGTAAGTCGGAGAATTAGAGACCGCATGGTGGGGAAAAACTCATATTTAAACTGAGGCTATTCTAGATTATCCAGTCAAGAGCCAACCACACAGATAACCACAGATACAAGAGTAAGCCCACCCAAGGTGAGCCTACCCTGGTCCAAATTAGAAAAACCATCTCACTTATCAATCTATACCAAATAGTAAATTGGGTATTTAAGGCACTAAACTTGTGGTATGTTTGTTATTCACCAAAGCTAACTGATACAAGCCTAAATCTTAAAAAAAGTTAATACACTAAAGTAAATCCCCACCATTGAATACTGTGCAGCTATTAAATATAATGTGCATATCTATATGTATATATATTATGTATGCATAAGAGCTTGTATTAAAATAGAATGAAAGATAGAGAAGAAGTTGATAGCAGTGTTATCTGGGTGGAAAAATTAAGTATTACAATGACTGTCTCAATTTTGTTTTTCTGACACTTATCAAATTATTTAAACCTGCAATACGTTTGAGTTCTACAACTCTGATTATGAAAATATCTTTGGTTTAAAATGTTTGCTATTGTTTGATTTACCCATGTAATATATTGAAAGAGTAAGAGATAATTTACATGATACAAACATTGGAACAGGCTTATACAAAAACTAATCCCTTATCAGAATTCTATTGTATTAGAAGTTTTTTTAATATATTTCTTTGATTTAATGCACTGTCCCTAAAACATTTCAAACAAAGTGTAGTTTTAAAGGAATTGAAAATTTTAGCTGGTTTCACATATGTCATGTATATGCTCCAGTTTTCATCTCTAAAGGAGGTAAAAATAGATACAATTCTTTTGAGGGCTAAATGAGTTAAAATATAAAAGTTCTTAGGGCAGATTGAGTGTGCAGTGGTTACTTAATAAAAATTAGCTTTTATTATGTAGTATTGAGTAGTGCAGTTTGAAGGAAATAATTTGAGAGTCAACACCAAAAATAACATTTTTAACCTATAGAGCTGGTGAGATAAGATCACGAAGGAAGCATATTTAGATTGCTAAGAGAGATGGTCAAGTGTTAGAATTTTGAAGGATATCAAATGTAAGAGTATGCAAAAGTTATTTTCTGAAGTCCTGAAATCAACCTGATCTTTACTTACTGCTGATCCTTAATGATGATGATAGCTAGTAAGCTTGGCTGATTTATTTATTTGCGAATACTAGTTGTTCTCTGAATGGACTTGGAAGATCTTCTCTTGCATATGCACACACACACACACACACACACGCTACCCAACAGCATGAATCCAAGATACTATGATCCTGGCTATGAGGCTAGAGAGCCAGTCAGGCTGGAATCGTTTGTCTTGGCATGTGGTGTCAATAAATGGAAATAGGGGAGTCATTAGAGAGGTCACAGCTTGAGAAAAAGCCAAACTGGGTGTTATGGGTTCAAAGGTCGGTACATATAGCAGTTCCTTTGGAGCAGACAAGGAAGAACAAATTAGAGAGAAGGTTTTATACATAAGTCGAAGTGCCAGATTTGGAAAAATTTTGTGTGCAAAAAAAAGGTATTGTTGAATAGAATGCTCCTCGCTGTAGGTTTGGGCAGAATATTGGCCTTTAAAAATCAAGTTCAACATGAATATATGTTCACAGTAATTTCATATCCCTGAAGAAACAAAGCAAGACAAAAAAGTCACTTTCTAAAGAAATATCTCTCTACCACCCTAGCCAAATATGTTTGCTTTTTTATACTGCTTAAACAAACATGACAAAATCATATTTAAATATATTCATAAAATATTAATATGTCTAATACTGTAAAGGCTATTTCTCAAGGACAGACATAATTACCTATTCTTGTTCTTACTGTGTGCTTCCAAAACTTATTGATCCACGTGATGAATTCAGAACAAAGCAGTACACAAGGAGAACTTTCTGGGTTTGAAAGAGCAAAGGAAAAGATGGATGAACTGTGACATGAACTATGAATTTTATTAAAAGTAGAACACAGGAACATCAACTGTGCAGTCGTGCCTAAGAAAAGACAACATTAAGAAAAATTAAATAGATTTCCCAAAGGAAAACATTATTGATGAAAGAAAGAAGTAACATTGAAAGCATATTATAAGTGGTTAGGTAGCTAATGTCTTGTGGTAGGTTGTATATACACATATATACACACATATACACATGTATACATATATTCTGATAACTTTCGATATATATTATTCTGTGTATACCTGGGATTGTGAGAAGAAGATAGTTGGCCCTCCTGAAACAATGTTTGTGTAAATGGAAGCAGCCTGGATTTGGCCTGTGGAAAAAAGGTGATGAAAGAAAAAGAAAACAATGTCTTCTTCCTCAAAGACATCATAGTTTGACAGCTAAGACTGACATAATGACAGTAGTCTTATTGTAATCTTTGACTAATCAGAACAGGATTACAACTTCCTCAGGTTACTTAGCTAAGAGTTACATAAATGTACTGAGGTAAAAAAAAAATTGAGCAAAACAATTTAAAAATGTTTTGCTCAGTTATAATAGTGGCTAATATGTAGTGTGATACAAATGGCCTTCTTTTGTAGAGAGAAAACATTTGAAAGCACTGCTTGACACTGTTTTGTCAGATATGAATGCTAGACATTTTGTTCATGTATTCTTTTCACAGCAGGAAGTCAAGAAACTGGAAAAATGACTGATTGACACAGAGGTCTGTGTGCAGAAAATAACTGAGTTATTTTAGTTAATTGTGGGAGAAATCTTAAATGGGGCAGCAATGCAGCAATGCATTGTTATTAATCTTTTCTCACTCCAAATACAGAACTGGAAACTGGCACATATATGTGCGCGCGCGCACACACACACACACACACACACACACACACATATATATATACTATCCTTAAAAGATATATAATTTTCAATGTAAATATTTTATATATAATAATATATATAATAAAACTATATTAGTAGGTAACATGGATTTCAAACTTCTTTCTTTTCAATTTGGATAGACTCTGAATATATAGGTTTTATGTAGTTTCCACATCCTTAGCATAAGATAAAGAGAAAAGAATCTCATAAGCTTTCGTTGAGCTGCTGGTAGGTTTATAATCTAATTTCTTTGGAGGGATAGGAGCATGATATATGGCTATCTCTTTTGGAAATTAGTTTACATGAGAAAGCAAAGTTGATTTTTCATGGAATATAATAACCACTGGATTCCAAAGTGCTGACAATAAAAGATTTAAAAACTATATGCAAACATTTTCTGTCAACTTCAATGGCTTTTCTTTTTTATTCTGTCTGATAATCATATACTTATTTCTCTTAGGATATAAAAACAATGATAACTATATCTATTTAGGTTATATTGTAGTGTTTTTTATTTGTATTGAAATAGCTGTTATAGTATTAAGAATAATAAAATATGACTATTTTGTTAGGCTCCATTTTATTTAGTGTACTTCGAAAAATACTTGAATATATTCAGACAAAAAAAAACTGAGTTT
This sequence comes from Homo sapiens, assembly GCF_000001405.40. Classification (NCBI taxonomy): domain Eukaryota; kingdom Metazoa; phylum Chordata; class Mammalia; order Primates; family Hominidae; genus Homo; species Homo sapiens. Next base: position 105,557,290 of record NC_000001.11, on the reverse strand, counting down.
TTCTATTTTATTTGTTTTATTACAATCATATAATACAATTGTCATAATTGTTTTATAATCAATGAGTCAAAATATGGTTATTTTGCTTGTACAATATATTATCAGTGACACAAAGGTCAATAAAATAAAATCCTAGCAATTTATAGTCACATTCCTATTGTGTAGTCACCTTGATTCTATTATAGTAATCACCTAAAGCTTTCCCAACAATATTTTTCACATACTGTATGCTTACTAGACACTGGGTTAAACATCTTTTTTTATACATTATAATAGTCGACTCTCACAACACAGCTATGAAATGGGAGATTTGAATCTGAGAGGACTCAGCATTCTTGAGCAAGATTACAGAATAATAGATTACAGAATAATAACTCTCGGCTGATTCATTCCCAAAGGCCAGCTTTCTTGCCAATAACATGGATTGTCATTACATGTTAAGAGAATTATTAACTAAAGTAAATGTTATTTGTAATTTTACTGGCATTGGTTATGAGTAGTGTCTATGTATACCAACTTTTTCTTAATATAATAATATTTTAAGGTTATTGTCTATTTATATAACATGCCAATATAATATAGTGATTGTGTATAAGTACACTTGTTATGAAGACATAGCTATTCCTGAACTTTGGTTTTACTATTCACTAGCTAGTAGACTTAATGGGCTACTATATTAGTTTTAAGAGGAATACATGTGTTTAGATACACAGTTGGAAACGTCAGCATGCACAATTCTTACTTCTAATCCCCTGTTCTCAAGGGTTTTCAGCTAACACAGCTCGAGTCTATTTAACTGGCATTGTTTTCCAATCTTTACTGCTTTCTGCCCCATTAAGCAGAAATCTTGCATTATGGAATAGTTAAAATTCTCAGTATGCATCACCAGTAGGGTTATTTCTGTAAAAAGCTTTACTCACTGTTCAGAATTGCACACTTTTTCAATACATTCTTAGCAATCAGTTCCTCAAACTTTAATGTCTCTCAAAGTTTTCCCAAGATTCAGTTTGGAGAGAGAAGAAAGGCTGTAGGGAGGTAGTGAAAAAAGTAAACAAAATTCATTCACATGAATGCTGAAAATATACCATCTGCTGAATGTGTGTAGTAAAGTCTCAACTAAATTCCAAACACTTTATAACTTTTGTCTCATTAGGAGTTGTGTTGACTTCCATATTCAGAATTCTTCCCCAGTTTTGCTATGCATAAGTCTGCTGTGGTAATTTCTCCAGTGTTCAACCAATAGATGAATTTGATTCTTGAGATAAGCTATATCATCTGATTTATCTGTATTAGTAATGAAGATGTCATTTTTGCTATGCTATTTACTTTTTTCACGCTCGAATTTTTAGAATTGGAGTGAAGGATTAAGGAAAATATTTTTGGGGAGTCCTCAGACCTCAATATACGTTATATAATTGGAAGGTATGTGTGTAGATTATGGTATTAATATATTGAAGCTACATAAAGAAACCAAAGCAATAAATGGAAACATAATGAGTCCTCAACTATTTAAAGAGCAGCCACATGTATGACTGAGCTAAACTAAATTTTGTAAGAGAGGACATGACCAAGTAAAGGGGAAATGTTCATGGCTGTTATTTCCACACAATATAAGATTGAATTTAAATACTAATTTAAATTTAAATTCTAACCTTTAATATGTATTGCCCTGGCAAGAAAATTAGGACTTATATTATTTAAATAAAGAACTATTGACCAATTGCTAGATATTTGGTGGAATTAAAATAAATATAACTTACTGAGATCACTGAAAGAGATAAATAAACAATAATGTTTTATCTATTGATCCACTTGTGTGTAAAAGTAATAAAAACTGGTATAGATGTTTTTATGCCACCAGACTGAAAGATCTTTAATTGTAGGGACCGAATTGTATTTATCTCTGTATCTTTAGCACTGCAAATAAATCAAGTAAATACTTTAAAATATTTGATAAAGTCAATTGCACTTCAGTGCAAACTGGTAGCTTATATTATATTTGTAAAAGAAGTTACTGCTAGAAAGCTTTAATCCACCCAAATTCAGAAATTCAGCCAGCTGTTCCTCAATAGTTTTGAAACCATTACTTTTTCAAATGTAAGGTCTCAAATGAATATCTTTCTAAATAACACTTTGACTTTGATTAACTAAACAAAGAACAAAATTTAATATTTAAGCCAAATACCATGTGGTTTATAAGGTAAAAATACACAGATATCATTTGCACATAAAAAGGTTTTAAACATGGCAAAACAGTTTTTCAAATAACAGAAATATTTAAAAGTAGGCAAAATTGAAATGTTTGTTTCTAACCTATAACAGGAGTATCTGATGTAGAGTGAGCATCACAAAAAACATTCATTTACAGAATTAAAATACTTGAAAAGGTAGTTTATCTAATCACTTTAAATTTTGATTTTCTGTACATTTTATGTATATAATATTTCAGAACAGAATTATATACATGCATTTATAAATATAGTTGTTGAGAGTTTGTTACCAATTTATTTAGTCGTGTCAAGAGACATCACTGATCTAGAAATTATGTACATAAATGTAAATAAGAATATTTTATTTTTTCTTCTTTAAATAAAATTTTTAATCTGCATCCATGGATTCTTAGAAGAGATTTATGAATGGGATAAATGCCTTTATGGATTTCTGATATTATATTAAAAATTATCTATATATATTCTTGTTAATTTTGTGAAAGGAGTGTCTATAGTTTTAGTGTAACCTCAAAATAAATAAATACATAATCTGTGAGTAAACAAAAATTGGCAACCCCTATTACAGAGTACTTTTGTTTGGCAGTGGCATCTGGGTACCAATTTATTGCTTCTGCTGCACAATTAAATAGTAACATACAGTGAGAATGTAACTTGTTAAACAGCTAACTGCTCAAAATAGCTCTCTGGGTTTGAGAATGAACTGGAAAATTTACAGTTAGCACTCATTGTTTTAGTAGTTATCTGGGTATTTCCTAAAGGAATAGGTAAAATTAAAGAAAATATGCCAATAACCAAAATTTTAACTTTAGCATTTTCTCTAGTATTTTAACATTCAGTGGCTTCAGTGAGTAGTATTTAAATATTGAAACATTAATCAATCTTATGTTAATTAATTGAACATTATTATAACTGAACATTTCATTCTGCCATCACTCAGCCAGAGTGTTGTAGACTGAGAATATTACCACTGAGTACAGAGGAACTTTGCCATGCAAAAAGATTTATCTCTATCTTGAGTTTCCCCAAGTTTTTATCAAATATAAAATTCATAGTCAAGGAGATAGTGACAGCCCAACTACATTTTCTCTTTGGTGAACACATTTTAAAATTCTCAAAGTATGTGTGAGACTCTCATATCATTATGTGCTTTTCTGTACTTAATCTCCATTTTATTTTTCCTCCTGCTTACACCTAGGCCAAAGATTTATACTCATGTTAGTTTGCTGCAACCTTCAAACCCCTCTCACTTAAGAGTTCTGTTTTAAAGTAAAACATGTTTCCTTTTAAGCATAACCTTTATATATATATATATATATATATATATATATATATATATATATATATCCTCTATTAACTATTCCTGAAATATTTTTGAAGACAGCGAGTAGTTAAATCCACATTTTTCTATCATAATATATTATTATATTTTGTAGAATGGTCATCATAATATTTACTTAGTTGTAAATATGTACATATGAGTGTTACTAATCTCTTTGAATAAAAACAGTTTTGAGCAACCTACCCACCATTAAAAATTCCTCCTGGCCGGGTGCAGTGGCTCACTCTTGTAATCCCAGCACTTTGGGAGGCCGAAGCTGGTGGATCACGAGGTCAGGAGATCGAGACCATCCTAGCTAACATGGTGAAACCGCGTCTCTACTAAAAATACAAAAATTTAGCCCAGCGTGGTGGCGGGCGCCTGCAGTCCCAGCTACTCGGGATGCTGAGGCAGGAGAATGGCGTGAACCCGGGAGGCGGAGGTTGCAGTGAGCCAAGATGGCGCCACTGCCCTCCAGCCTGGGCGATAGAGCCAGACTCTGTCTCAAAAAAAAAAGAAAAAAAGAAAACAAAAATCCTCCGGATGCAGTGTGTACAATATTGTGTGTCATTTTGGAAGATGTTAAAGAGAAATTTGGAAGTTTATTGAAGGAATCTTTAGCAGAACCCATTTTACATCACCCTCATCATTCTAGAGCAGCAACTAGGCACAGGCATTGCAACAGACTGTCAGACAAAAATTAGCATTGCATAGCCATGTTTCTAAAATTTTACAGCTGATCAAATCTCATTTTTTATACTTCATCATCTCAAGTGAAAAGTAAAATTTATTATTCCATTATTAAAATAGTGCTTTTAATATATTTTGCATATCTCATTTTTTTTAATATCATGACATTTATTTACTTCTTAGCTATTTTAAATTATGCCCTTTGCTTCAAAGCCTCAGAATACAAGCTGGATAAAGCCTCTCATTAAATATTTAAATAATGAGCAGAAACAATCAAACAGCAACATAATAACCCAACAATAATTCCTAGCATAAAACCACAATTCTCATTTATTGAAACAAACTCCTCATTGAGAGGAAAATAATTGTGTGTGGTTTCCTTAGTATTATGCATTACTAATGGAAAAATTGAGAGCAAAGAAATCTGAATTTTGTATAGGGATACCTATCTTCAATAATTAAAAAAGTCAATCAGTTTACCACTTCTTGCCTTCCATCTTACCCAACTTGTTAAATAATTTAGGTATTTTATTAACAAGAGACGATTTATGATTAGATAATTTATACAATTCATTATGATATGCTGAAAACTGGTAGAGCAATCAATCCCTTGAGATAGAGTTTTATATGTATATAGTAAATAATCTTTAGGAGAATTATTTTTTGGTATACTTACCAAAAGGTAGAACTTGTCCTATGACAAACAAGTACAAGAGTAAAAATTATACATTACTAAAGCATGATTCTCCTCGAATGCGATTTAGACTAACACGATCCACTGTTATGTTAGAAGATAATCACATGTTTCCCTAAAGACTTTCTAGTATTTTTAAGAGTCTTTAGAACACAGCCTGATATGTAGTAAGTAGATCCACAATGAGTTGACTCTTTTGCATTGATTCAGGAAGGTATTTTTTTGTAAAATAAGGTGTTTTTATCTTAGTACCTTGTGCGTACTCATTTCCACTGACTCATTTGATTTATGTCTTAGTCATCTGCATAAACATAGAAACTATATTTAGTTTTATAATTCGAGTTTTCATTAAAAAGTTTTATAATGAATTTATTTTTAATTATTTATCTATTGGTAAAAGTAAGTCATTTGACACAATAATGGGTGGTTTTGTTTTTGATTTTAGCTCAGGAGCACACTTCAAGTGGCCAAATATACAGATTATTTATGAAAATTTGCTCAATACTGGTTTTGAAAGTGACAAATGTTCAATTATTCCTCCTCTGACAGAAGATCTCTGGTTTTGAACATAAGAGCTCTATTCACACTCAAACTAATTTAGAGGCAACATGCAATGTATAGCTTAGGGAAGGTTCTCCACTTCATGAAGGACGTTTGGGTACCTGGTATTAGGGCCAAGTGTTCTGAATTCCTTTCAAGAATTCTTATGATTTGTGGAGAAGTAAATAAATGTAATGTTGTTTTATGAAGTACTTTTACATTTTTACTCCTTGAAGCTGTTGAAATAAAGAATCTTGAACTGTGATTTGAAAATTTAGACCATTTTTCCCTAGCTTCATATTGTCAATGAATCTAACAGGGTATCATTTGTAACAACCTCAATTAAAATCAATTTCATTTCATAGTTTATACATATTTTTCTTTCCTTCAGAAAAGCTTTATAATAGACATATATTTCCTATTTATCTCTAATTATAAAATTTTATCTTATAAAGTATTCCCAAACCAAGATAATTATGGAAAAAATCATTATTTAATTTCACTTTATGTTCTACACCAAAACATCATTCTTTTAATTTCCAATAAAACCTAAGTTGTATTTCAAAACAATTTTTTCCAACACAAATCAGAATTCTATGTGAATCTATTTAGAAGCAAATGAGACCAATTTTTTTCTCAAAGGAGAAGGAATGGAAGTGCTTTTTAATTTGTCTTTCTCTTGTTTTGCTTTACAATGTAGAGTTCATGCTTTTTCTTACAATTCTATGGGAAATAATAATCAGGCAAACACAAAAGCTCAACTAATCTCTTCTTGGACAAAGATGTCTGACCAACTCCCAAATTTTAGTTCCATTTGCAAAGGTATGGTATCAATACTCACTTTAAGTATATTTTAGTATTTATTTTTTCAAATGATTCAAGTGCTACTTTAATTTTCTAGAAATACAATTCTTACTTCTCTTCCTGAAGCTTATATTTTCAATTTTTACATGATAATCTCAGTATTTGGAGGCATGAGTCTGTGGAAAATTTATCTGCTATCACTTCTCCTTCTACCCTCCCTGCCTGTCTTTAAGCCTTTCTGTCCATAACTAACACTAGGAAAGAGGGAGGTGATGGTTTTTTACATAGACAGTTTCCTCCATTATTAGGTTTTCCTGAAAAGGGGGATGAGGTCATAACTTTTTCAGCCAGTATGAATTGCCTGCTTTATTTAATGACACAGATTTCTGTGCTTTCTGGCCAGCCTAGATTCCACTTCCAAGAGTCCCTTCTAATCCATACAGCATGAAGCTAGGAAGGTAGACATGACAAAGAAACTTGATCTGGGAATCACTGAAAATGTTGATAAAAGACTGTGCCCCATATGAAGGCAACAGGATGGAGAGAAGCTGCATTAGTCCCTCAGGAAAAGACAAAAAAAAAATTAATTTGGAAAAGATCAACACAGAAAGAGAAACCAAAGTGCTATCTAATTCATATTTTTCTTGTCTCAGTGCAAGGAAAACAAACTTTTCCTGTATGGATCAAGAGTGAAGCTAATACTGTTAAGCTACCTAGGCCTCCTGAGTAATCTACATGTCTTTCTGGCCAGCTGATATTATTCATTTAAAGGCTTTTAATCCCTGTGTCACAGAAATTTGTGGAAATATTCTGCAGTATGTTTTTAGCTTATAGCCCATGTATGGGGTATGCACTGGCTACTGTATGAAATTCTGCAACTAGAAGAATTTGCTCATTTGGTGGACCAAGCACATCACGGCCCAAAACACCGCAACGTCGTGAAGTATTTTGGTTAAGGGGACCCAATTATCCACCACCTCCCTCAGCTATGAAAAAACTAAAGGTGTTAGAGATCCTCAGGAGGGGATGTTAATGGCATTACTTAAAGCCTCTTCATTAAAGATGAGCTGGAAGAAGTTGCAGTTGTGTACTCAAAAGATTGGAGGACTCTGTCAATTTCCATCAGCAAATTGCTGAAGCTTTTTCAAAATTCACCAGACAGATCAAGCTCATGCTCTCATCTTAGAAAACTTGTCTTGGCTTTCTTGCCAACTGTATAAACTCAAGTTAGAAAAAAGGTGGTAAATGGCAAAGAAAGATTATTATTCAATCTTAGCACCAGCTGGTCAGTTTGAGATAATTTAAAGAAAGACGAAGACAAAAAAGGAATTAAAGACTGCTGTATTGGCTGCTCAGTTAAAACTCTTCACTAAAGGGAATTATCCCGACTTCAGCCACCCTTTCTATAAAGAAAATAAAGAAATAATAACTGTTGCAAAAGACCAGTCATTGTTGCAAAAAGCCAGTATGTTGGGAGAGGGATTGTAAAAAGACATTCTGAAGGGTAAAGAAATTGTAGAAACACGAGAATCAGGAAAGCCCAAAAGCCTAAGGAATAACTGACAGGTGTCTTAAAATGGACACATTTAGTGTGGCACATATACACCATGGAATACTATGCAGCCATAAAAAATGATGAGTTCATGTCCTTTGTAGAGACATGGATGGAGCTGGAAATCATCATTCTCAGCAAACTATCCTAAGGACAAAAAACCAAACACTGCATGTTCTCACTCATATGTGGGAATTGAACAATGAGAACACATGGACACAGGAAAGGGAACATCACACACCGGGGCCTGTTGTGAGGTATGGGGAGGGGGGAGGGATAGCATTAGGAGATATACCTAATGCTAAATGACGAGTTAATGGGTGCAGCACACCAACATGGCACATGTATACGTATGTAACAAATCTGCACGTTGTGCACATATACCCTAAAACTTAAAGTATAAAAAAAAAAAGACAAAGAGAACACATGGACATGGGGAGGGGAACATTACACACTGGGGCCTGTCATGGGGTAGGGGATTAGAGGAGGGATAGCATTAGGAGAAATACCTAATGTAGATGACGTGGTGATGGGTGCAGCAAACCACCATGGCACATGTATACCTATGTAAAAAACCTGCACGTTCTGCACATGTATCCTAGAACTTAAAGTATAATAAAAAAATGCAGCTGAATCACTGAAAAAAAATGGACACATTTAGGAAGTCTCAGAGGCGGGAATTGAAGCTACTGCTGCTACTTAGTCTGCAATTTCTCAGATAATTTTGGCTTTTCATTTGGTGAAAGAGCACTACAAATTATTGATATTTTGAGTAAGCCTTCTACTTTTTCCTTTTTCTCTACTATTCCCATACAGATAGGTTATCTTGCTGAGGAACATACATTCTTACTTTCTCCTGTTTCTCTTATAAAGCTGTTTGGGAGAGACCCGCTTTAAATTGCTGTGCAATTTAAAGGTTACCATATTCTGTACACCAGTGAGTGTCTGTAGAATTCCTTGGGGAAAATGCATCTCCTTTGGTTACCATGCACCTTGTGAATGTAAAGGGTTATAGCAGAGAGTTGCAGGCTCATACTGTACTAGAAAATCACCCCAAGCTACATTGTTTTGGGGAATGGCAGAGAGTGGTAATTTCACACCATGTTGGAAAAACACTCCTATCTGGACAAATCTATCTAACACTTTCAGAGCTAGGGACTCTTGATACTGGTGTACTTTGAGATATAGAGCCAATAAAAATATTTCACCAAAAGCAAAGTGCATGCCATATGCAAAATGATATCTGATTTCAAGAGCTCAATCAGAAGAAACAAAGCCTGTTATATAATGGTAAGAAAAGATAAATAATGTAAATAAGCCACCCACCTATAATATTACATTGTTCTTCTAGTAAATTAAAAAGGTATTTTTTCCAGACTTACTGAGGTATAATTGACCAATAAAAATTGTATGTGTGCAAGGTGTGCAATCTGTTTATTTGCTATACCTTTACATTGTGAAATGATTACTCCAATCAAATTAACACATTGATTCCCTCACACAGTTACCATTGTGTGTGTGTGCAGGTTTGTCTGAGTGTGTGTGTGATGAAGATACTTAAGATCTACTCTTTTAGCAAATTTCAAGTAAACAATACAGTAAAACTGTGGTCGCTATACTTACATTAGATCCTCAGAACTTACTCATCCTGTAACTGAAAATTTGTATTATTTGGTCAATATCCTCAGCCCCTGTCAACTATTATTCTGTCTGCTTATATAAATTCATATGTTTTATATTCCACATATAAGTGGGATCACACAGTATTTGTCTTTCTGTGTTTAGCTTAGTTCACTTAGCATAATGTCCTCTAGGTTTATCCATGTCATTGCAAATGACAGGATTTTCTTATTTTTCACTACTGAATATATTCCATTGTGTATAATAAATATGATATTTTTAATCCATTTATTCATTCAGCAACACTTAATTTCCATATCTTGCCTATTCTAAATAACATCACAACAAATATGAGGATTCATATATCGCATATCTCATATATCTCGCTTTAAGACACTGATTTAATTTCCTTTGGATACTCAATAGTGAAATTACTAAATCATATGGTAATTCTGTTTTTAAGTTTTTGAGGAAACTCTAAACCTGATTGTCATAATTGTTGTTCTAATTTACATTCCCATGAATAGTGCACAAGAGTTCCCTTTTGTCCATACCCTCAGCAATATTTGTTATCTCTTGTCTTTTTAATAACCACTAAGTGTGAGGTAATACTTCATTGTGAGTTTTATTTGCATTTTCTTGATAATTAGTGATGTTGAACATTTATTTATAAATATGCTGCCCTTTTTTACATCTGAGGAATATAAATTTGATAAAGATGGTTGACCACTATATAGATTTGTACAAAAGCTTAACATTAATTCCTGTATTTCCTAATTATGTATCCTGACTTTTGAACTTGGTATCATTTTCTGGAAGTATTTATCTATAATTTGTCTATGTTTTAATTTTTGATACTTTATATTCCTCTAGAGAATGGAACTAGATTCTTATTTGCTTTCACTTATGGAAGAACCCAATATTTATCACAATTGTTTCCTCAAGGGTTTTGGGATTTTCCTACAATATTTTCTAGTCATTTATAGAACTTAGAGAAATGTTTCCAACCAGAGGGATTTATAATTATTCAAACTATAGATGATTTGCTGGTATCCTCAGAAACTACAGAGCATTGCAAATTGATACTTTAGCTTTGTTACAGTTCTTGGCTTAACAGGAACATAAGGGTTCACCAAGCAAATTGCAGTATTGCACAACTAAGCTCTAATATTTCAGTGCTATGATCCAGGAGTCAACTAATTTTATAATAAAATGACCTATTACAAAAAAGTAAAAAATAAAGAACATAGACAATTTTGGGGACTACTACAATATTGTAGATAGCAGATTTCAGCTTTTGCAAAGAAAACAAATTCTCTGATGGAACAATTGCATAATAATTATCTAGATCTTCTGGTTTGGTCCCTAAAATCTGAATTAATTTTTAAATAAGTTAAACTAGTCATAGCTTCTTCCTAACTTCAAAAAATACATAATATTTTAAATAGAAATCTTTGTCCTTCAACAAAAACTAAACTACCTTATGCAAAATTGATAGCTGATTTTTGAGATATAAAACTTTATAACTGCCTGCTTAAATATTAGTAATTCATTGTAGAGTTCCTTAAAGGCAAAAGGACATTTCCAAAGGTAATAATTTTGCTGATAGGTCTGTAAAAGCTGTTGTTAAAAACATGATATAGTTCAACCTTGTACGCTCCACTTTTAAAACAATAAAAAGTTGTTCATTTTAAAACTATGTAGAGATAAATAAATGGACATATGGATTTAAAAATGGGCTAAAATAAATGTGGTTGATTGTGGGAATTACCTAACAAAATAATTCCAATATCACAGCCTCCTATTGGCTTAGGGTTGTTATGCCACCAATAAAACAATTTGAATGAGAGAGGGATTTTAAGGGCACTAGAATCTTAATGACACCTAATAATAAGATAAAATTGTTCAAAACATAAAAGAGATATGCTATTTGTGAGCAGAATTATTTTCATGCCACACCCAAACTAACTATAGGAAGTTTTCATTTAACAATTTTACTAGAAATATTATGGCAGTTGGATTTCATAGAACGAAAGCTTATAGAAGGTAAGGTGAGATTTTTTGTCTAGTTGTGGTGTGTATAATATCTGGGTGGTCTGATGTTTTCCCCAATTCATGAAACTAATGTTTGGGCAGTGGTAAACGCTCTCTTGATAAATGTAATTTCTGCTCTTGGGATGCCATAGTATTTAAGTCAGACAGAAAAAAAATATTTTATTTCTATGGTTATCTAGGAATTATGCAAATATTACAGATTCCTGTAAGGCTGAGTCCTCTGGAAAATAGAGCAAACAAATCAAACAAAAAACTCAATTGTCTAAAATTCTGCCACTTCCTATATTAAGATGACCTAGAGCTTTGCTACCACCTTAAAGTTAGAGCAACCTTTACAAGCAAATATGAACTCTTTTCTTTGAATTTCTGTTTGGCAGACTTATGAATTTTGGTACAACTTTTTTTGTGTGCCTGATTTAACTGAATCCTCTCATAATGATGTTTATCACCTCAAATGGCTTCTCTCTTCCCTGGTAAGTCTGAGCTAAAAAGTCATAAGAACCTGGTAGGACCCACCAGAAGCCTGCCAAGCCTATTGACCAAAAGATTTCACAAATTAAGGTGTTCCGATGGGACGAAAGGCTTTTATCTCCTTGAGAAAGACATTTTTAAATGCTCCCAGTTACCTATAGAGCTATCAAAGTAAAAACAAACTAAGTAAAAATAAAACAAAAGTAAAAAACAAGATTCATACTTTCCATGTGAAGCAAACATCTTAGGAAAACTGGACTGGGGGTCCTACAAAGACTAGAAACTTTACGTTTTCTAAAGTAGCCAATTGTTGTACTGAACACAGCTGAAAGGAGATATTCTAGCAAATTTATTACTATTCTTACAGATTGCCTCCCATCTTAGTCACAGTAGGGTTATTTCAATTTCTTCTTTAAGAATCACATTTTGAACTGGGCACGGTGGCTCATGCCTGTGATCCCAGCACTTTGGGAGTCTGAGGTAGACTGATCACTTCAGTCCAGGAGTTTGAGAACACCCTGGCAATATAGCAAAACTCTATCTCTAAAAAAAACACAAAAATTAACTGGGCATGGTAGCATGTGCCTGTAGTCCCAGATACTTGGGAGGCTGAGGTGGGTGGATCACTTGAACTCAGGAAGCAGAGGTTGCCATGAGTCAAGGTTATGTCATTGCATTGCAGCCTGGATGACAAAGCAAACGCCTGTCAAAAAAAAGAAAAAAAGAAAAAGGAAAAAAATCATATTTTACTGGAAAGCCAACATGTTGTCTATTGTACTTCTTTTTTTCTGCAATCCAAGTGTTATGGGTTAAATTGAGTCCCCCAGTATTTATATGTTGAAGTCTTAACCCCTAGTACTCCAGAATATAACTTTATTTGGAAAAACAGCTAATATCAATTTAATTACTTAAGATAATACTGGAATAGGGTAGACCCCAATTCATTATGAAAGGTGTTGTTACAAAAAAGGAGAAATTTGTACTCATATCACACAAGGAAACAAGGTTAAAGCCATGAGGAGATGAAGGAAGAAGTTGGGCTGATGTTTTTCCAAGCCAGGGAACACCAAAGATTGTCAGGAAACCACCAGAAGTTAGGTGAGAGGGATTGAACAGAACTACTCTAACTGTCCTCAGAAGAAACCAGCCCTGCTGACACCTTGATCTTGGGTTTCTATCCTCTAGAACTGTAAGACAATAAATTCCTGTTGTTTAAGCCACTCAGTCTGGGGTACTCTATTACAGCAGCTCTAGCAAACTAATACACCAAGTAACAATTCTCACCATCTCATTTCTACCAGTTCTAAATTTTACTTCCAATAAAAACAAGGTCTAGACTCATAAATACAACAGTCTGATTACTGATAGAACAAAAATGACATCATTTTCATTAGTAATGTTTGAAAACAACAAAGTAAAATTAATTAATATGCATCCAGACACTCAAGCTCTAATTTGATACTAAAAAATATGTTAGAAAGATAATGTAGAAACAAATAACATGTAATAAGTAGACAAACATATATCTGGCATTTACAGATAGAGACTGCAAAAGACATGTCTAGTGTCACTAGGATAAATTGGGATTAAGGGTCTCTCCAATCTTAATATATACAGATAAACAAAAGTGAATACCTATTATTCACAAAGATTTATTTAATTATTATAACAGGATAACTATTGATTCTTTTCTCATGCCAAATGAAAGCAAACCAACAGACCAAAAAGGCTCTTAGAGTTTGTCCATAAGATTTAAAATAGTTACAGCTGTATACATTAACAATAGAAACTTAATCTGTACCTTTCAATAGTGTCTCATAATAAAATTTTGATACTAAAAGATGGCCATGAATATCTTTGCATTTCACATCGACAAAAAAAATTGGAGAAAATGGAAAAATTGTTAAAAGGCCTAATTGTCATATGATTGTTATGATATTTATGTGATGAACTAAAACTCAAATGTTATTTGTTATCACTTGCAAGGAAAACTTCTCATTAAAAAGTTACATTACCTGGCTCCAGAATCAAGCTATTCCTTGGGTTTGGATGAGACAGGACTTTATAAAGAACTACTAAATGGTTATTTGGTTAATCATTTGAAAAACACTAAAGACAATAACAATTTGTATAATTAATATATGGCAAAGAAGCATTTTTGTGGCTTGCTAATCAATAATCTGATTTAACCATTCATCATTAGTATGGTATATTCAAAGGTTATCTCCGATATCGTTTGCTGTGTCTCCGCATGAATCTCATCTTGAACTGTTGTTTGTATAATCCCCACCTGCCGTGAGAGGGACTTGATGGGAGGTAATTGAATCATGGAAGCCGTTACTCTTATGCTGTTTTCGTGATAGCTAGCGAGTTTGCATGAGACCTGATGGTTGTATAAGAAGCTTTTTCCTCTTTTGCTTGGCACTCATTCCCTCTCCTGCCTCCCTGTGAAGAGGTGCCTTTAGCCATGATGGTAAGGTTCCTTAGGCCACCCCAGCCATGCAGAATTCTGAGTCAATTAAACTTCTTTCCTTTATAAATTACCCTTATTAACAGCATGAGAAACGATGATTACATTAAATTGGTACAAGTAGAATGGGGTGCTGCTATAAGAACACCAAAAATGTGGAAGCAACTTTGGTACTGGGTAACAGGCAAAGGTTGAAACAGTTTGGAGGGCTCAGAAGAAAACAGGAAGACGTGGGAAAGTTTGGAACTTCCTAAAGACTTATTAAATGGTTTTGACCAAAATGCTGATAGTGATATGGACAATTAAATTCAGGTTGAGATGGTATCAGATGGAGATGAGGAACTTGTTGGAAACTGCAGTAGAGGTCACCCTTGCTATGTTTTAGCAAAGGGAGTGGTGGCATTTCACTCCTGCCCTAGAGATCTGTGGAACATTGAACTTGAGAGAGATAATTTAGGTTATCTGGTGAAAGAAATTTCTAAGTAGCAAAATGTTCAAATGGAAGCAGAGTATAAGAGTTTGGAAAATTTGCTGCCTGATGATGCAACAACAACAAAAAAGCCCATTCTCTGGGGAGAAATTTGAGAGGACTGCAGAAATTTGCATAAGTAATGAGGTGCCAAATGTTAACCACCAAGACAATGTGAAAAATGTCTCCAGGACATTTCAAAGACCTTCATGGCAGTCCCTCTCATCACAGGCCCAGAGGCCTAGAAGGGAAAAATGATTTCCTGGGCCAGCCCCAGGGCCCTCCTGCTCTGTGCAGCCTTGGGACTTGGTTCCATGCATCCCAGCCTCTCCAGCCATGGCTAAAAGGAACCAGTGTACAGCTCAGATCATTGCTTCAGAGACTGCAAGCCCCAAGTCTTGGCAGCTTCCACATGTTGTTGGGCCTGCAGATGTGCAGAAGTCAAGAATTGAGGTTTGGGGACATCCACCTAGATTTCAGAAGATGTATGGAAATTCCTGGATGTTCATGCAGAAGTTTGCTGCAGAGGTGGAGTCCACTGGAGAAACTCTGCTAGGGCAGTGTGGAAGGGAAATGTGGGACTGAAGCCCCCACACGGAGTCGCCACTGGAGCACTGCCTAGTGGAGCTGTGAGAAGAAGGCCACTGTCCTCCAGATCCCAGAATCGTGGATCCACCAACAGCTTGCACCCTGTGCCTGGAAAAGCCACTGACACTCAATGCCAGCCCTTGAAAGCAGCCAGGAGGGAGGCTGTACCCTGCAAAGCCACAGGGGAGGAGCTGCCCAAGGCTGTGGGAGCCCACCTCTTGCATCAGCCTGCCCTGGAGGTGAGACATGGAATCAAAGGAGATCATTTTGGAACTTTAAGGTTTGATGACTGCCCTATTGGATTTTGGACTTGCCTGGGGCCTGTGGCTGCTTTGTTTTGGCCAATTTCTCCCATTCAGGACAGGTGTATTTGCCAAATGCCTGTACCCTTATTGTATCTAGAAAGTAATTAACTTGTTTTTGATTTTACAGGCTCAAAGGTGGAAGGGACATGCTTCGTCTCAGATGTGACTTTGAACTGTAGACTTTTGAGTGAATGCTGAAATGAGTTAACACTTTGGGGGACTGTTGAAAAGGCATAATTCTGTTTTGAAATGTGAGGACATGAGATTTGGGAGAGGCCGGGGTAGAATGGGATGGTTTGGCTGTGTCCCCACCCAAATCTCATCTTGAATTGTAGTTGCCATAATACCCACGTGTCATGGGAGGGACCTGGCGGAAGGTAATTGAATCATGAGGGCGGTTACTCTCATGCTGTTCTAGTGATAGTGAGTGACTTCTCATGAGATCTGATGGTTTTATAAGGGGCTTTCCCCCCTTCTACTCAGCATTCATTCCATCTTCTGCCACCCTGTGAAGAGGTTCCATCCGCCATGAATATAAGTTTCCTTAGGCCTCTCCAGCCATGTGGAACTATGAGTCAATTAAACCTCTTTCCTTTATAAATTACTCAGTCTCGGGTATGTCTTTATTAGCAGTGTGAGAATGGACTAATACATTCCCCAATGCAAATAAAGTACTGATTTTTTACAAAATCAGTAATTATATTATCATAATTTTGATGTTGATTTTTTTTCCTATTTTACTATGGACTTGCTAGATATTTGGATGACTGCAATTTGCTGAGAAAGGTAGAGGCAACAATAAAAATAATTAGAAAATAGTAATATTACTATTGTTTAGTAACACAGATAAGAGATTGTAATAGCAAATTCAAATTTAAAATAAAAGGCTTAATTCTCCATGATCAACATAAAGATAACTCACCCTTTTGTAAGAAGATTAACTTGTTAATTATTTTTTCTTTGAAATGTATATACATCTTTTTAAAAGCTAAATAAGACTCTTGCCAGCTTTGTGACCTGAGAATGTTTTTCTCAAGGACTTGAGAAACATCTCTTTGAAATATACATACCACAGAAGAGAGCTTTCTACCTTCCAGTTTTTTTGAGAAAATAGAAACCTAACTTGGGCAGAAGAGCCTCCCTTTAAATTTCAAAACTGCCTTTTATCATAAAGAAACCTGAAGTGTATTTTTCGTTTAAATAATGACAAATAGCTAAAACAGATGGTTATCCCAATTACCAAGTGAGTTTAAGATGAACTATGTGTGACAAATGGTGTTATCAAGTTATCTTTTTTCTATTCTTTTTTGAGAACCTGTATTTAATGAATTGTACCTGCTTGGCTATATGAAAGGGTGAAATTTTTTCTGTCTTTGCAAACCTTTAACAGATTGCCTTTCATGCACATCACATTCGGGTTTTATGCTCATTCAAAAATAAAACGTTTTTCTCTTTTCTATCTTTGAGAAGAGATTTTCTGGGTTGGGAGAAGACTTTTTTATATTTTATTTTCCTAACACATTATAGCAAAACTTAACAGAATTATTCCAGAAAAGCAAAGAACAGACCAATCTAACTTATAGACATGTCCACAAAATTCTTCAATAAATGGTTAAACATGAGTGGTAAAATATATACATGGATATGTACTCTTTCACTATTTACAATAACAAAGCCTGCAAAAAATTTAGTCTTCAACTCTCTCGAGGAAACATTACAATATAAACATCTATTTTATTAAGTATGCAGCCAACTAAAAAACATTTTAAAGAAAGATGTGGAGTATCAAAGTTAGCATTCAATTTTTAATTTGTGATTTGATTTTGCCTTTTTGTTTATCCTCATATACTACTGCCTCTGGCCTGAGTCCACTTGATTTTTTTTTTTTTTTTTTTGAGTCTTCCTCTGTCACCCATGCTGGAGTGCAGTGGCGTGATCTCGGCTCACTGAAACTTCCACCTCCTGGGTTCAAGCAATTCTTCTGCCTCAGCCTCCAGAGTAGCTGAGATTACAGGCGCTCACTAACACACCCAGCTAATTTTTGTTTTTTCAGTAGAGACAGGGTTTCATCATGTAGGCCAAGCTGCTTTCAAACTCCTGACCTTGTGATCTGCCCGCCTCAGCCTCCCAAAGTGCTGGAATTACAGACGTGAGCCACCATGCCTGGCCCCACTTGATTTTTATATCATACTTTCAATTGCGCATAAACATTTAAGTGACTGACACTCAGCCTTTTGTTGTGCTGTGTCCTCTACCAAGGCAGAGATGATCTGACTTCAATAAGCCTCTTCTACAGTGTTTTTAATGAAAACTTTTTAAAAATAAAACAGGATCAATATTGAGATTATTAGATAATCTACTTGTGACGGAAAAGAAAGTCTAGCAAGATATTTTCACAAAATATAATCACCACACATAATTTGAAATTTGGTTGGCATTTCTGGATAGAATATCTGGACAAAAATACCTGAAAAATACCTGAACCATACCTTACCTCCAACCCTTCCAGGATTGAACATGGTCAATACTAATGTCCATTGAAATAAATAGAGACACTGGTAACTGAGTCTTCTACTTTGCTTAGGAAAGATACGTTACCAAGCTGATACTTCCTTTCTTCAACCAGAATACTTTTTATGTAAAACTTTTGCATTTTTCCCTTATTGCCCATGTTATCATATGCAATAGAGTCCCATTTCAAACTGTCTTCATTTCACATTCACTTATTTAAATACCCAGCATCCCAACCAGAGCCTGATTAACTTGTTCTCCACAGCCAGTCATAAAAATTGAGCACCCCATATTATCTCTCAAAATGCAAATCACATGGAAGGTCTTTATTATTTGTACAATGACACTATAAAGTAAGGGAACTTTTGCAGTTCTTTGTTTTTAATCAAATTTACCATTCTATTAAATTCTTGTATTAATACCGATAATTTAAGTACTCATTTTTCATGTCAAACTGAATAGAGTATTATTTGTTGACATTTACTCAATTATTAAATAATTATGTTAAATAAATGTAAAAACTTTGATGATTTTTTAAAATAATATGAATGCTCAAATAAAATACATGAAATGCAAACTATTTCTAAGCAATTGGTTTCTGATAAGTTGTCATCAAAACAAATTTTAGAGATTCATTCCGCTTTCTTTTCTTTTCTGAATTCTACTTTTAATGTCATTATATTTAATGAGCAGGATTTATTATGTGATATTATTAAATATAGATGTAACACTCAAAACAACAATGTGAAACCCTTGTATATCTTCTGTTTCAGGCTACTCCAATTTTCAATGATTTCCTCCTGCAAAGAAAAATTATTAATGCATATTTCTCATTTTAATAATATATGAATAAATTAATTAAAATTTTGTAATAAAAAGTCTTGTCCTAAGGAATTCAAAAATTAGTTCATGTAACAAATAGTTATTTAACATATCTGACAGGAAGCACAACATGATATTTAAGAACTTGAATGCTGGATATTCAGATAACCTGAGTGCAAAACAGCCATGTGGTCTCCCCATGATAAATGGGATCATCTCTGCACCCTAACTGGGTATGATGTCAAGACTGTTTATGTCACAGCCGCACACACATCAAAAGAATATGGCATTTTGTAACTGAAATCATGAGGTTTTCTTAGGTAAGAAAAGTAGGCATCCAAGCCTGTCTAATGCCTTGAGCTGAAGAGGCCAGTGGCTTTGGTTTATACTGGACTCAGGGTGTGGGCCTGGGTGAGGGTTTCAACAGGCAGGAAGAGAATTGTGCTTTGAATATCCTTCCATTGACAAGAGAGAGAGTACCTGGGTTTTCTTATTGGTTGTCCAGATGCGACACAAGAAGGAATGAAAGACAGCTGGGGATTGAACACTGTCACTGGTCAAGCATCCAAATGTTGTCAGACTCTTAATTATAATAACCTAAATCTATAACTTCCTAGCTGTGGCATCTCAAGTAAATCACTTATTTTTACTATATAATTGGCATAGTAGTAATCTCTACTGCATAGATTTGTCTCACGTAACTTCATATATAAAATTGTCATGATATAAATTTTTATTACATAGAATAGTTACAGAGATTAGAGGAATTATGAATATATGTATCTTTTAGAAACTTCTCTGGAACGTAGAATCCAGCTCAGAGATGGTTGTTCTGCTTGCAGAACCATTACAAACTAGTCTCTATGCTAAGCAGAGTATGCGCCAATTGCCTGTCATCAAGAACTGTCATTGTCATTGGAAAGGAAGCTAAAAATAGCTATAAGGTTAGTGCTATAAATTTCATATATAATAAATTTATATGTAACATAAATTATTTATGCTATATATATATATTTATACATTGTTTTTTAAATATTTAAATATATGCATATATATATATACACACACACATGGGGAGAGAGAAAAGGGAGACCTTAACTCTAACTATGGAGCAGTTAAAATTTGAGGTTAACTTTGAAAGCTGAGTAGTGATTCGCACGGAGAGAAATAGATAAACTATTTTAGACAAATAAAATAGCATGAATAAAAGCATTGAGGTATGTAACTGTAAGTATTGAATGAAATGGAAATTAGAGTGCAGGCTTTGGGGGATAACTGGATATTCACAGGGCAACCAGTGATGTATAAAATATATATAATTGCCAAATTGTTCATAATAAATTATAAAACTATAAGAGGTTTCAAAAATAGAAGTGAATTACAATGATAACTAAAGAGTCATTCATGGAGGTGATGCAATTTAATATCTCTCCAAGTTAGTGGAATTTGCCTAAATCCAGAAAGTTAGTTAAGTGTATTTTATGTAGCAAAGAATACAAAGACAATCTGTCTCTGGGAATGGAAAAGACCTGCCTGATCCAGTTAAAATATATATGTGGAGAAATTGTTATGAATAAATTTTGCTAAACCTTATGGTACCGTATTATAACATTTAAGTGTGATAAGCAAAATGTATTAAAAGTTTAAGGCAACCACACATAAAAGAATGAAAGACACAGAAAAGTTCTGCCTATAAATATAGTCAGAAAGTCAACTACCCATAGATAGAAGCTCTACTTGCTCCTCTATTGTAGGAATAGTTTTATCTGCTGAGTCTACAGTGGTGATCAAGGGAGAAGAGGCCCTGGGTCTCATGAAGTCTGTATTTTAATAATGGAGACAGGGCCGGGTGTGGTGGCTCACACCTGTAATCCCAGCACTTTGGGAGGCCGAGGCGGGCAGATCACGAAGTCAGGAGATCGAGACCATCCTGGCTAACACGGCGAAACCCCGTCTCTACTGAAAAATACAAAAAATTAGCTGGGTGTGGTGGCGGGCACCTGTGGTCCCAGCTACTTGGGAGGCTGAAGCAGGAGAATGGTGTGAACCCGGGAAGCGGAGCTTGCAGTGAGCTGAGATCGCGCCACTGCACTACAGCCTGGGTGACAGAGCAAGACTCCATCTCAAAAAATAAATAAGTAAGTAAGTAAATAAATAAATAAATAAATAAATAAAGGAGACAGAAGATAAATGAATAAATACAATGATTCTAGTCAAAAATTTTACAAAGTAAACAAAACAAGGTAAACTGATAGAAAATGAACTGAGACATGGCGTAACTTTGGAAAAGTTCTGCTGAAAGTTGACCATTGATCTGAAACTTAACAAGATAAGTTTATTTATGCAAAAATCTAGAGGAAGAATATTCAGACATAACATAGTTATGGAAAAAATTTGGGCAGTAAATTACAGTTAATTTCTGTCAATACCATCTCTTAGCTCAGAGACAATTACCATTCTCACTCTCCAGCCCTGTAGCAGACAGCAAGGTATTTGTTCCTGGAGCAGCTATCACACAGCTTGCAGGAACCAGAGTGGGCAATAAAGAGCCTGTCTTCAAAATATTGTTGACCTGTGTTCTGATTGTTGATTGCTCTTTCTGACCACAGAGGTGCAAGCACAGTGGCAAGCAGCCATTTTTGCACTCCCTCCTCAGTTCTTGCAAGCCCCTGTCTCTTGTTCTGAAACAAATTCCAGGGGATCCTAAACAGCCAGCACCTTTATCCTCCCTTACATTTTTCTCTCCTTTTATTTTCTTTTTGAGAGCAATACTTTAAACACTAAGGCATTCAAAAGTAACTGCATATACAGGAGAATTAGAAATTTACCACAAATGCACAGGGAATGGCATGGGCTCAGAAAAGATAAGACAAAATTTTTGTTTTACACTTCACACTTCTCTTGGGCACAGAAACAGTCTTTAACAATAAAAGAAAAATAACAGAAAATTCTAGGGAAGGAAAGAATTCTGATTACCAGAAATAAATGTTCAGCTTTGAACAAAAATTGATAAAACGTACAAAGAAAGGAGAAAGTATGACTCAAAGAAGCAAAACAAAACAAAACATAAACAAAACAGAAATTCTCTCTGAGAATGATTGGATGATAGACATACATACTAGACAAAGTCCTAAAACAACCATCTGAAAAATGCTTAAAAACTAAAGAAACATGAAGAAAGTGAAAAAAACAAGTATGAGGAAAATAAAAATATCAATAAATAGACAGAAAAGCTGAAATAATACAAAAATTCTAGAGCTGAAAAGTAAAATAACTAAAATGAAAAACTATGTGCAAAGTTTAAAAGGCAGATTTGAACAGAAGGTGGAAGAATCCATGAATTTAAAGATAGAACAATGGAATATACCGAGTCTGAGAAACAGAAAGAATAATGATTGAAGAAAGTGAATGGAGGCTAAGGAACATATGGAACACATCAAGCAGATCAAAATATACACAGCGATGGTTCCGCTAGGAGAAGAGAGAAGAAAGGAGAAGAATTATTTGAAGATCTTTGGCTGAAAATTGTCTAAGTTTGATAAAAGACAGGAATATAAACAGCCAAGAAGCTCAATCAACTCCAAACAGGATGAATTCAGAATGATCCACACCAAGATATTGTACTCAAACTGTCAAAAGTCAAAGACAAAAATAATTGTGAAAACAGTAAGACCAAGTACAAGGGTCCACCAGTAATATTATCAGCAGAATTGTCATCAGAAACTTTGGAGTCTAAAAGGAGGCTGATATAGCTTAAAGTAATTATAAAAAAAAACTTGTCAAACAAGAATCTTATATCTGGCAAAACATTTATCTTCAAAAGGAGGGAAAAACTAAAACATGCCAAAATTAATGAAAGCTCAGGAAGTTTGTTTCCACCAGACCATCCTTGAAAGAAATGCTAAAGGAAGTCATATATGTCGAAATGAAAACAAGACAGTAAATCAAAGCCATATAAACCAATTAATATCTCAGTAAAGGCAAATGCATTGACAAATTTAAAATCTGCATAGCAAATTTGTAAAAATAACCACACTGCCAAAAGCAATCTACAGATTTAATGCAATTTCCGTTGAAATACCATCATCATTCTTCACCGAACTAGCAAAAAAAAGACAGTTGTAAAATTTATATAGAACCAAAAAAGAGCCTGAATGGCCAAGGCAAGACTAAGCAAAAAGATCCAATCTGGAGGCATCGCATTACCTGACTTCAAACGATACTACAAGTCTATAGTCAACAAAACAACATAGTACTGGTATAAATAGGCATATAGACCAATGAAACAGACTAGAGGACCCAGAGAAAAAGCCAAATACTTACAGCCAACTGATCTTTCACAAATCAAACAAAAACATATAGTGGGGAAGGACATCCTATTCAATAAATGGTCCTGAGATAATTGGCAAGCCACATATAGGAGAATAAAACTGGGTCCTCATCTCTCACCTTGTACAAAAAACAACTCAAGGCGAATCAAAGACTTAAATGTAAGACATGAATCCATGAAAATTCTAGAAGGTAACTTCAGAAAAACTTTTCCAGACATTGGCTTACACAAAAAGTTCATGACCAAGAACTCAAAAGCAAACACAAAAATAAAACAAAATAAAATAAAATAACATAAAATAACAGATGGGACCTCATTAAACTTAAAAGCTTCCAGACCTCATAAAAAAAATAAGCAGAGTAAACAGACAAACCACAGAGTGGAAGAAAATACTTGCAAACCATGCATTTGACAAAGGACTAATATCCAGAATCTACAAGTAACTTAAACTAATCAGCAAACAAACAAAAAACAAATAATCTCATCAAAAAGTGGGCAAACAATATGAATAGACAGTTCTCAAAAATATACAAGTGACAAACAAACATATTAAAAAATGCTCAACATCAGTAATTATCAGGAAATTACTGCCTTACTCCTGTATGAATGATCATAATAAGGAAATCAAAAAGTAATATGTTGGCATGGATGAGGTGAAAAGGGAGCAATTTTTCACTGCTGGTGGGAATGTAAACTAGTAAAACCACTGTAGAAAACAGTATTCCTTAAAGGACTAAATGTAGAACAACCATTTGATCCAACAATCCCATTACTGGGTATCAAAGGAGAAGAAGTCATTACGTGAAAAAGACACTTGCACAAACATGTTTATAGCAACACAATTAACAATTGAAGATATATTGAACCAGACTAAAAACCCATCAACCAATGAATGGATAAACAAAATGTGGAATACACACACATACACACATATATATATATATACACATATACCATGGAATACTATTCAGTCATAAAAAGGAATGAAATAATGACATTCAAAGCAACCTGGATGGCATTGTAAAACTAACGCAACTGACCCATAGACTGCTCTTTTTGATAAACATAGACATTGACCCTTCTGGTCTTGAAAAGCTTTAAACTTGTATTTATTTTTTCTGAGTTTCTTCCTCGGGAAATGTTTAGGTCTCTTACAAAAAGTATCAAAGAATTGAAAGCAGATCACTTCACCAGATGCTGGAACCCTTATTCATCATGATTGCTTCCTTGCCCCCCTAAGTTTCTGTTTTCTTACACATTGTTACATTTCTTGCCTTTTATATAAACCTTTGGTTTAATCAGGGAGATGGTTTTGAGACTGAGCTCTCATGTCCTCAGCTGCAGCACCCAATTAAAGTTTTCTTCCTTGACAATACTTGTTGTCTCAGTGATTGGCTTTCTGTGCAGGCAGCAGCAGGACCTAGACCAAACTCTTGATGTTTTAGTAAGGGATGGACACCATTATTTCAAATGATGTAACTCAGAAATGGAAAAACAAATATCACATGTTCTCACTTATAAGTGTGAGCTAAGCTATGAGGACACAAAAACATAAGAATGATATAATGAACTTTGGGGACTCAGGGGGTAGGTCGAGAGAAGGATGAGTGATAAAAGACTACACATTGGGTACAGTGCACACTGCTTAGGTGATGGGTGCACAAAATTTCAGAGATTACCACTAAAGAAATTGTTCTTGTAACCTAAACCACCTGTTCTCCCAAAAGTATTGAAATGAAATAAAAAATTTAAAAAAGAAATATTAAAAAATACACAATTAAATAAAAAAAGACTAATATTTTGTATGAACATTGATGAAAAAATTTTAACAAAATACTTGAAAACCAAATTCAGCAGCATATAAAAAGAATTATACTCCATGACAAAATGGGATTTATTTCCGAAATCCACAGATGGTTCAACATACAAAAATTAATCTATATAATACACTGCATTAACATAACAAATTAAAAAAACACACGATTATCTGAGTTGATGCAAAATAACATTTGACAAAATTGCATAATCTTTTACAATAAAAAGTACACAATAAACTAGGAAAGGAAGGAAACTATCTCTACATAATAAAATCCATATTAGAAATCCACAGCATAGGCCATATGTGATGGTGAGAGATTGAAAGATTTTTCTCCGAGACGAAAAACAATGCAACAAATCCAGCCTTCTCCACTTCTATTTGACATAGTATGGGAAGTCCTCGCCAGAACAGTTAAGCAAAAACATAGAAATAGAAGGCATCAAAATTGGAAAGAAAGGAAAATTTTCTCTGCTTTTAAATGATTTGTTCTCATACGTAGAAACTCTAAAGAGCACACACATACACATACACACACACACACACACACACACACACAACTTTTAGAACCAATAAACAAATTCAGCAAAGTGGATACAAAGTTGACACAAAAATCAGTTCTATTTTTATACATTATTAATGAGGAAATGAATTTACCAATACAACTTCATTTACTATAGCATCAAAGTGAATTCAATACTTAGGGATTAACTTAACCAAGCAGTCAAAAAACTTGTACAATGAAACATTGTTGAAAAAAATTTAAAAAGACCTAAATAAATGGAAAGACATCTCATTTTTAGAGATTAAAAGACTTAATATTACTAAAATGTCAATATACCTAACCTACAGATTTAATGTAAACCTTATCAAAATTCCATTTTTTTGCAGAAATAATAAAACTTTTCTTAAAATTTATATGGCATCTGAATAAACCCCAAATAATTCAAACAATCTTGAAAAATAACAAAGTCGGAAGACTCACACTTTCTGATTTCAAAATTTACTACAAAGCTACAGTAATCAATACAATGCAGTAGTAACACGAGGACAGACGTACAGCTCAATAGAATAAAGAAACAGCTCAGAAATAAACCCTTACATACATGGTCAAATAAATATCAACAAGAAAGCCAAGGCCTTTTCATGGAGAGCAAATAGTCTTTTCAACAGATGATGTTGGGAAAACTAATTATCGGCATACAAAAGTTAGAACCTAACCAAATGTTACGTCCAGAAACAAACTCAAAATAAATTAAATATGTCCACTTAAGAGCTAAAAGTATATAAGTTATAGAAAAAATAATGCAAAGCTCCTTGACATTGGATTTAGCAATGATATCTAAGATATGAAACCTAAGTCACAGGCAATAAAAGAAAAAAAAACAAACTAATGGGACTTAAAAACTAAAAATTTTTGTGTGATTGGATAAAAAGGCAACATGTGGAATGGGAGAAAATACTTGTATATCATGGATTTTGATATGATTTTTGCCAAGGGATTAATATTTAGTATATATAGAGAAAACCTGAAACCCAACAATCAAAAGCACTTAGCCCAAATAAAAAATAGTCAAAGTAATTGAATAGACATGACTCCAAAGAGCATGTAAAAGGCTGGGAACAGTTGCTGAAGCCTATAATCCTAGCAATTTGGAAGGCCGAAGTGGGTAAATCAGTTGGGGCCAGGAGTTCGAGACCAGCCTGGCCAACATGGCTGAATTAACATATGATCAAGAATTCTACTTCTGAGTATAAAACAGAATTAACATATGATCAAGAATTCTACTTCAGTGTATACACCCAAAACAACTGAAAGCAGATTTTCAAAGATATATTTGTATACTCATGTTTATAGCAGCCTTATTAATAGCCAAAATATGAAAGTAACCCAAATGCCCATCACTAGATGAATGAATAAGTGAAATATGCAATGAAATATTATTCAACCTTAAAAAGAAAGGAAATTCTGACATACACTACAACATAGATGAAGCTTGAGCACATTATCCTAAGTACAAGTTGGTCACAAAAAGATAAGTGATTCCACCTATATGAGGTACTTATAGTAGTCAAAATTATAGAGACAGAAAGAAGAGTGTTTTTCAGGAACTAGGGGAGGGGAACTGGGGAATTATTATTGAATGTATGTAGAGTTGCAATAGTGCAAAAGAAGAGTTCTGAAGATTGATGGTTGTGATGGCTGTTTCACAATATGAATGTACTTAACACTAACAAAATAGTTAAGATTGTAAATATTATGCTTTATATATATATATATATATATATATTTAACCAATGTTTTTCTGAAATTGAAAGAAATAAGGAGTATAATTATTAAAATGATTCCTAATATAGGCATTTTCATTTTTCAAAAATGTATTATTTCAATAAAACTTTAAGATAATTACATAGAGAAAATAATTTAATAGTATTACTTGGTAATATTATTTACCAAAACGTTTTCCACTTTCCTTGACAGTATAAATGGATCCCAATATTCTCCTGTACCATGTGATTTTTACATTTCTTAAGGGGTGTGAATGATTCTAAGGGTTTTTGTTTTGTTCTTAGAATAGAGATAAGTCCCCAAATCTATCATAGTATACATTGGAAATTGTGTGAACTGAATATTTGTGTCCTCCAAAAATTCATATGTTGAAATCCTAACCCCCAGTGTGATGGTATTTGCACATGGGGCCTTTGAAAGGAAAGTCAGTCATGCAAGTGAAACCTTCATGAATGAAATTAGTGTCATTATAAACAAGACCCCAGAGAGCTCTCTAGCCTCCTTTCTAGTATTTGAGGACAGCAAGAAGACCAATGTTTGTAAACTAGGAAGCACACCCTCACCAGACATTTTATCTGCTAGTGGCTTTATATTAGAATTCCCAGTCTCCACAACTGTTAGAAATAAATGTTTTTTAATCTATTTAGTATATAAAAATTTGTTATAGCACCCTGAAAAAACTAATATAGAAATTGGTAATGAGAAGTGTGAGTTCTGGTATAATACATACCCAAAATTGCGCAAGCATTTTTAAATGAAGATAATGGAAAAAAGGTGCAAAACATTTGAGGTGCATGCTATAAAAATAATAGATTGTAGTGAAAAAAATTGTAAGATAATTCTGTTGAAGGTTCAGAAATAAAAGAATATAGATATAAAGAAAGCTTTGTCTTCTTATAGAAATCTAAGTAATCATGAACAGAATGTTGGCATAAACACAGACAGAGTAAAGGCTATTCTGAGGAGGTCTCAGGTGGAAATGAGAAAGATGGTATTTAGCAATGGATAAAAGGTGATTCTTCTAAAAAAAAAAAGGGGGGGGAGCTGGGATGGTTAATAATGAGTGTCAACTTGATTGGATTGAAAGATGCAATGTAGTGATCCTGGGTGTGTCTGTGAGAGTGTTGCCATGGGAAATTAACATTTGAGTCAGTGGGCCAGTAAGGCAGACCCACCCTTAATCTGGGTGGGCACTATCTAATAAGCTGCCAGCACAGCTAGAGTATAAAGCAGGCAGAAAAGCGTGAAAAGACTAGAAAACTTAGCCTCCCAATCTACATCAATCTCCCATGCTGGATGTTTCCTTCTCTCTAGTATCAGACTCCAAGTTCTTCAGCTTTGGGACTCAAACTGGCTTCCTTGCTCATCGGCTTGCAGACAGCCTATTGTGAGACCTTGTGATCATGTGAGTTAATACTACCTAATAAACTCCTCATATATGTGTATACATATATATATATATACACAAAAACACATATAAACATATATATGTGTGTATTGTGTGTGTGTGTGTGTGTATATATATATATGTAATAGGATATATATATATATCCTATTAGTTCTGTCTCTCTAGAGAACCCTGATTAATACAGATTTGGTACCAGGAGTGTTTCTAGAGGAACAGATTATTATTAATGGAACTCCATTAAGAATGGAGTTCTCTCATTGGTTCTGGGGTTTCTGGAGTTGTCTGCTCAACATGATTAGACCCAAAAATACTAAGGACTGTACCTGTAATAGTATGGAGAACACTGATAGTCCTTGGCATGAACTGTTTAGAGAGTTATGCAAAATAAAGGCATAAGACACTCCTGATCCACCGCTCGTGAGAGGCGATGAGTTTAATGACTCTATACATAATACCTTTGACTCTAGGTGGAAAACCAAGAAACATAAGAGTGCCCTGAGTCAGAGTCTTATCTCCTGTAGAAAAAGAGCTGAAATTCTGGGAAAATGAACACAAGCGCTTACCATGAGAGTGGCTGACCTGCAATGAAAGGTGCATGCACAGCCTCACAAGGTGTCTACTGTTACAAAGTGAGAGAATTGGTTGAAAAAGAATGGGAGCCTGAAACTTGGAATGGGGATGTGTGGGATGACCTTGTTGAAGCTGGGGACACTGAGCTTGTAAGTTCTGATGAACCTTTTTCGCCAAAAGAAACAGCTTTTCATCCCCAGTAATGGCAACATCCTCTCCCAGACCCATGCTGCCATCAGCCTTTCCACCTTCCTCTGAAGATATAAACCTACCCAGCCTGAGGCAAGAGTGATGGCCTCCCCTGAGGCAGTTGCCAGAGGCAAGATAATGTTGGTTCTTCCCAGGAGCCATCCCCAACACCCCTGTTTGTTTCTAGACCTATAACTAGGCTAAAGTCATGGCAGGCTCCTAGAGGTAAAATTCAGAGTGTGACCCATGAGGAGGTGTGCTACACTTGAAAAGAACTGCTTGAGCTTTCTAATTTATATGAGCAGAAATCTGGAGAACAGGCATGGGGATGGATATTCAGTGTGTGGGATAATGGTGGGAGGAACATAGAGTTGGTCCAGCCGAATTTGTTGACTTGGGCCCACTAAGTAAGGATTCTGCATTTAATGCTGCAGCTCAAGGAGTTAAAAAAGGTTCTAACCACTCATCTGCTTGGTTAGCTGGAATATGGATTAAAAGATGGTCTGCTGTGAATAAGCTGGAAATGCCTGATCTTTCTTGGTTTAATGTAGAGGAGGGGATCCAAAGGCTTAGGAATTTTGGAATGGTGGAGTAGATTAGTTACTTTAGACGAACTCATCTCAGCTGGGAGCATCCAGAATATACCCTTGACCAATGCCTTGTGAAATAGATTCGTGAGGGCAGCACCTGTACCTTTGAAGAGCCCTATAATTGCCCTTCTCTGTATGTCAGATCTGACCATGGAAAGCTCAGTCATTCAACTACAAAATTTAAATATAATGGAAATAATTGGATCCCAAGGTGCCAGGGGCAAGTAGCAGCACTCAAACATTAAAGACAAGGTGGGCATAGCTACCATAATGGACAGAAAAGGCAAAGCAGCAATCAGAATAGTCTGACACATGGAGAGATCTGGCATTTGCTAATTAATTATGGTGTTCCTAGAAGTGAAATTGATAGGAAGCCTACTGCATTCCTACTTAATTTGTATAATCAGAAAACTTCCAGGTCGAATGGACAAAATTCGAATTTGAATCATAGAAATAGAGAATCATGGCCACTCAATCAATATCCTGACTTGAGCCAGTTTACACACCCAGAACCCCTTGAACGAAGGGGATGCCAGGTCCCCTTGAGGAGGGAACCCACTACATTATTGACAGTTTATTCAGTGAATATTTCTCCCATCCTATCCAAGGAGACCTCTGGCCTTTTACCAGGGTAACTGTGCACTGGGGAAAGGGAAATGATCAGACATTTCAGGGACTACTGGACACTGGTGATGAGCTGATGTTGATTCCAGGGGACCCAAAACGTCATTGTTGTCCTCCAGATAAAGTAGGGGCTTACGAATGTCAGGCAACTAATGGAGTTTTAGCTCAGGCCCAACTTACACTGGGTCTAGTGAGTCCCTGGACTCATCCTGTGGTCATTTCCCCAGTGTTAGGATCCATAATTGGCATAGACATACTTAGCAGCTGGCAGAAACCCTGCATTGGCTCCTTGACTGGTAAGGTGAGAGCTATTATTTTGTTAAAGGCCAAATGGGAGCCATCAGAGCTGCCTCTAACTAGAAAAATAGTAAACCAAATACAATATTACATCCCTAGAGGGACTGAATAGATTAGTTCCACCATGAAGGACTTGAAAGAGGCAGGGGCAGTGATTCCCTCCACATCCTCATTCAACTTTCCTATTTGCCCCATGCAGAAGACAGATGGATCTTGGAGAATGATAGTGTATTATCATAAGCTTAACCAAGTGGTGACTCCAATTGCAGCTGCTGTACCAGATGTGGTTTCATTGCTTGAGCAAATTAACACATCTCCTGGTACCTGGTATGCAGCCATTGACTTGGCAAATGACTTTTTCTCCATTCGTTTCCATAAGGCCCACCAGAAACAATTTACCTTCAGCTGACAAGGCCAGCAATATGCCTTTACTGTCCTACCTCAGGGGTATATCAACTCTCCAGTTTTGTGTCATAATCTTATTCAGAGAGACCTTAATCACATTTTGCTTCCACAAGATACCACACTGGTCCATTACATTAATGATATTATGCTGATGGCATCCAGTGAGCAAGAAGTAGAAAACACACTGAACTTATTGGTGAGACATTTTCATGCAAGAAAATTGGAAATAAATCTGATTAAAATTTAGGGACATTCTATCTCAGTAAAATTTCCAGGGATGTAGTGGTGTGGGACCTGTCGAGATATTCCTTCTAGGGTGAAGGATAAGTTGCTGCATTTGGCCCCTCCTACAACCAAGAAGCACAATGCCTAGTGGGCCTATTTGGAATTTGGAGACAATGCATTTCTCATTTTGGTGTGCTACTTTGGCCCACTTATCAAGTGACCCAAAAGACTGCCAGTTTTGTGTGGAGTCCAGAACAGGAGAAGGCTCTACAACAGGTTCAGGCTGCTGTGTAACCTGCTCTTCCATTGGGCCATATGACCCAGCAGATCCAATGGTGCTTGAGGTGTCAGTGGGAGATAGGAATGCTGTTTGGAGCCTTTGGCAGGCCCCTATAGATGAATCACAGTGGAGGCCTCTAGGGTTTGGGGCAAGGCTCTGCCATCATCTGCAGATAACTACTTTCTTTTTGAAAGATAACTCTTGGCCTATTACTGGCTTTGGAGGAAACTGAACGTGTGACTATGGGTAATTAAGTCATCATGAGTCCTGAACTGCCTATCATGACTTGGGTGCTTTCTAACCCATCTAGCCATAAAGTGGGTTGTGCGCAGCAGCATTCCATCATCAAATGAAAGTAGTATATACATGATTGGTCGCAAGCAGGTGCTGAAGGCACAAGTAAGTTACATGAGAAAGTGGCTTATGTAGTCTACACTTCTGCCACCCTGCCTTTTTTCCCCCCAGCCTACACCAAAGTCCTCACTGGGAGTTCTCTATGGTCAGTGGACAGAGGAAGAGAAGACTAGGGCCTGGATCACAGATAGTTCTGTACGATATGCAGACACTACCCAATAGTAGACAGCTGCAGCACTACAGCCCCTTTCTAGAACATCCCTGAAAGACAGCAGTGAAAGAAAATCTTTCCAGTGGGCAGAACTTCGAGAAGTGCACCTTTTTTGTGCATTTTGCATGGAAGGAGAAATGGCCAGATGTGTGATTATATACTGATTTATGGGCTGTAGCCAATGCTTTGGCTGGATGGTCAGGGACTTGAAAGAAGCATGATTGGAAAATTGGTGACACAGAAATCTTGGGAAGAGGAATGCAGATGGACTTCTCTGAGTGGTCAAAAACTGTGAAGATATTTGTATCCCAAGTGAGGACTCACCAACAGGTGACCTCAGCAGAGGAGGATTTTAATAATCAATTGAATATTATGACCCATTGTGTGGACACCACTCAGCCTCTTTTTCCAACCACCCTTGTCACCGTTCAATGGGCCCAAGAACAAAGTGGTCATAGTGGCAGGGATGGAGGTTATGCATGGAGTTAGCAACACAAATTCCCACTCACCAAGGCTGACCTTGCTACGACCACATCTGAGTGTCCAATTTTCCAGTAGCAGAGACCAACACTAAGCACTCAATACGGCACCATTCCTTGGGGTGATTAGCCAGCTACCTGGTGGTAGATTGATTATATTGGTCCATTGGACCTCTTTCACCATGGAAAGGCCAGAGATTTGTCCTCACTGGAATAGACACTTACTTCAGATATGAGTATCTATCCTGTACGTAATGCTTCTGCCAAGCCTACCATCTGTGGACTCACAGAATGCCTTATCCACCGTCATGGTATTCCACATGGCATTACCTCTGATCAAGGAACTCATTTTACAACTGAAGAAGTGTGGCAATGGGCTTATGTTCATGGAATTCACTGGTCTTACCATTTTTCCTATTATCCTGAAGCAGCTAGATTGATAGAATGGTAGAATGGCCTTTTGAAGTAGCAATTACAATGCCACCTAGGTAACAATACTTTACAGGGCTGGGGCAAAGCTCTTCAGAATGCCATGTATGGTCTGAGTTAGCATCCAATATATGGTATTTTTTTTTCCCATAGCCAGAATTCATGAGTCCAGGAATCGAGGGGTGGAAGTAGAAGTGGCACCACTCACCATAACCCCTAGTGGTCCACTAGCAAAATTTTTGCTTCCTGTTCCCATGACGTTACATTCTGATGGCCTAGAGGTCTTAATTCTAGAGGGAGGAATGCTACCACCAGGAGACACAACAACAATTCCATTAAACTGGAAGTTAAGATTGCCACCTGGACACTTTGGGCTCCTCCCACCTTTAAGCCAACAGGCTAAGAAGGGAGTTACAGTGTTGGCTAGGGTGATTGACCCGGACTAGCAAGACGAAATTAGTCTACTACTTCAAAAAGAATGTAAGGAAGAGTATGCATGGAATACAGGAGATCCATTAGGGTGTCTGTTAGTATTACCATGCCCTGTGATTAAGGTAAATGGGAAACTACAACAGTCTAATCCAGGATGGACTACAAATGGCCCAGACCCTTCAGGAATGAAGGTCTGGGTCACTCTACCAGGAACAAAACACGACCTGGAAAGATGCTTGCTGAAGGCAAAGGTAATACAGAATGGGTAGTAGAAGAAGGTAGTAGTCATCAATACCAGCTACAACCACGTGACTGGTTGCAGAAACGAGGACTGCAATTGTCATGAGTATTTTCTCCTTTTTTTGTTAAAAACATGTTTGTGTATGTATACACTTGTACTAAGAAAACATCTGCATTTTATTTCCTTTTTCCTTTATCATTTGATATAACATTTATTGACTTCATATCAATATCAGCATTTAAGTATTATTAACTTTACATAGCATTTAGGTTGGGGTTGGTGTGTTTCCAGTTGGAAGAAGGATAGTTCTATTATGTTAGATGTAATCGTGACCTCATTATTGCTTTATTTGAAGATTATGTATGATCTCAGGAGATGTGTATGGGTTCAAGTTGACAAGGGATGGACTTGTGATGGTTTATACTGAGTCTCAACTTGATTGGATTGAAGGATGCAAAATATTGATCCTGGGTGAGTCTGTGAGGGTGTTGCCAAAGGAGATTAACATCTGAGTCAATGGCATGGGAAAGGCAGACTCACCCTCAATCTGGGTGGGCACCACTTATTCAGCTGCCAGCGTGGCTAGAATATTAAGCAGGAAAAAAAAAAAAAAAAAACCATGAAAAGGCTAGACTGGCTTAGCCTCCCAGTCTACATCTTTCTCTCATGCTGGATGCTTCCTGCCCTCAAACATTGGACTCCAAGTTCTTCAGCTTTGGGATTCAGACTGGCTTCCTTACTCCTCAGCATGCAGATGGTCTATTGTGGGACCTTATAATTGTGTGAGTTAATACTACTTAATAAATTTTCCAAATATATATAATATATATATTATATGTATAATATATATTTTGTATATATAATATAATATAATATAATATATAGATATAGATATACGATTAGTTCTGTCCCTCTAGGGAACCCTGAGTAATACAGGGACAAATAACTTGGTTGAAATGCTTATGTTCACAGGGTTTTGTGAAAGGTAGAACTTGTAAGTCATGAAATTGCATGTTTACCTGAAGACATTTGCAAACAAAATGTTGGAGGTATGGTTTGGTTCCTCCTGACTGCTTATACTAAATTCAAGAAGTGAGAAGTGACTTAAAGATGTAATTGTTATGCAAAAAATGACACAAAATTTAAGATTGGAAAATTATCATCTTAACCATATTGCAAAACATAAGAAAACATTTTTGCAGGAGAGCACTAAGTGTGAAGCTAAGAAATTGTTTGATAAGGAGATCATATGGATGTATAGACTTAAAATATAGACTTAATCAACTATCTAAACAAAAGTTAGAAATGAAGCTATACTGTCAAACACACCCCCAGGTGGGACAAAGGAAATAGAGAAAATAGTAGAAAATGAAAAGCATTTTGGGCCTCTTAGACCATATAAAATTAGGCCATAAAACTATTTGTCTGTGAACATATGCTATTCTTCAAGATAAGGAAAGAAGGAACTTCAAAGACAATTCAGAACCACTATTTTCAACACCTGCCCAGAGTTCCCCCTCTTGGGGCATGGCTGCTTCCCCTTTAATTTCAAAAGGCAGAACCAATACCTAGTGGAGCTTTGGGTGTAAGGCAAACAAGCAAAGCAATGGGGCATGACCCGCCCTACCTTGACAAAAAAAAATGTGGCATGTACAGTGCCCTGGCACAGAGACAGAACATGGCTGAAGACACCCAAGAGAGCTAAAGACTGTGCAGTACCCTACCAAGATTTGGGCAGAAAACTGCAACCTCAGTCGGTCTAAAGGTGAGACTACCATCTCTGTGGGCCTGGAGTGCAAAGAATGGAGTCAAAGAGGATTATTCTTGAGCATTATTATCTTACTCATTTCACAAATTTTTTTTTTTTTTTGCCAGGTTTTAGTCTTGCTTGGGAGTGCAAAGAATGGAGTCAAAGAGGATTATTCTTGAGCATTATTATCTTACTCATTTCACAATTTTTTTTTTTTTGCCAGATTTTAGTCTTGCTTGGGACCTGCCACTCTTTACTTCTTTCTCTTTTCTGAAACGAGGTAATGGGGTTTTCTATGCTATGCCTGTACCCCCATTGAATTTTGGAAGCATCTAACCTGTTTGGTTTTCACAAGTTCATAACTTTTAAAAAAATTGCCACAGTAGGAATTTGAGCTTTAATCTCTCCCATATATGATTTACATGATATATAGAGAAGACTAAGGACTTTAGAACAAATCTTCAACTTCTTTCTGTAGAGGATTGTTTTACATTAGCCTTTGAACAAACGTATTCCCATTTTTAAGGAGATAGATTGATAACAAAAGTCAAAGAACAATACAGGATAAACAGATAATAACGTATGTTCACTTTCATATCTCAATTCTCTTCTCTCTTACTTTCTTACTTGCCGTTAAACTACTTAAGTATTGCTACTGTTTTTTAATATTTTTAGTATTAAACTTCCAACTTTAAGTCTTAAAGTTCACCTAAAATTTTCTTCTTCCTCTATTTGATGGACTCCAACATGACTCAATATATAATGTACACTCTAAGAGAGCACCATGTATTTCTTAAAATATGTTAGTGTCTTTTTTATTTTCTATATGTTTTATGCTTTTATGGTTGTTGATTTTCAATGACTTTACTAATGTCTTTAATGTTTAACTTTATGTGGTGACCTGGGTAGTCTTTGTGCTGAGTTTGTTGGCAAAACTCTAGTCTTCATATTGCTATGAAGGCTTTTTGTAGATATGGTCTTTGTATGGGTACACTAAACATAGATTATAAATTTAATGTTGTAGATCTAGGGACTAGAAAGGTCTCTAATTGTTTGATTGTTTGGCTAAAACCTAAACCAAAAGTTGAAATATACTAAATGAAGTTGAAGTGCCAGATGTGCTTATATATGCAGAGAGATCAAAGGAATTTTAGTTCAGAACTGTCTCACCATGGGTCTATCAGGTTCCTGTATACATTCTGCAGTCATTTCCCCAGTTCTGGAAAGCATAATTAATTAAGGACATACTCAAAAACTGGGATCCAGAATAGGTCCCTGAGTTTAAAGGATTTGAGGCTACTACAATAAGAAAGGTCAAGCTGAAACCATTAGAACTGTCTCTACCTAAGAAAATAGTAAGCCACAGTCAATCCCACATTCCTGAAGGAAATACAGAGATGAGTAAATCATCAAGAACTTGAAAATACTGGGGTGAGGATTCGCAGCATGACCCCATTCGATTCAACTATTTGGCCTGTGAGGGGAAAAAATCTAACATGGGCCTTGACGAATGACAAGTAATTATTTTAAGCTTCACCAGGGGATGACTCCAATTCCAGCTACTGCTTCAAATGTGGTTTTATTGCTTGAGCAAATTAACACATCCTTTGGTACTTAGTGTGCAGCTATTGATCTTGCAGATAATTTTTTTTCTCAATACCTGTTAAAAAAGACCACCAGGAACAGTTTTCTTTAGCTGGTAAGGCCAGCAATATACATGTATTTTGCTACTTCAGGAGTTTATCAGCTATTCAGATCTTTCCCGTGATTTAGTTCATGGGGATCTCAATTACCTTTCTCTTCCATAAGACATCATGTTAGTTCATTATCTTAATAGGATTACGTTGATAGGACATAGTGAGCAGCCAGTAGCAACTATCCTTGATTTATTGCTAACACGTTTGCATAACAGAGTGCGAAACACAAATCTGACAAAAAAATTAGGAGACTTCAACCTCAGCGAAACTTCTTTGGGGCCAGAGGTGTGGGACATATCAAGACTTCTCATGCATATGAAGGATAAGTTGTTACATATGATGTTTTCTACAACCAAAATAGAGATACAACCCCCAGTAGACAACCCCTAATGGGCTTCCTTAGATGAAACGTATTCCTCATTTGGATGTGCTACTGTAGTCCATTTAGTCCATTCGGTGAGTGATGCAAAAGCTGCTAGTTTTATGTGGGGTCTAGAATAGAAGAAGGCCCTGCAACAAAACCAGGCAGTCATGCAAGCTGCTCTACCACTTGTGCCATATGATCCGGCAGATACAAGAGTTATTGACATTTCAGTGCACATAAAGATGCTACTCAAACTAATAAATGAGTAAAATATTTCTATGTATTAGACAGACACAATTAAAAATAATCAAAATATTCTTTAGCAAAGTGCAAATTAAACCACAATGAGACACCATTTCACGCTTATGAGATTGTTTATAAATTAAAACAATGTAGTGATTCATAAGTCTTGGTGATGAAACCTTGTATATTGCTGGTGGGAGTATAAAATGCTACAAACATTTTGGAAAAAAGTTTAGCTTTCTCTTATAAATAAAAAAAATCTTCTCAATGTTTCAGAATTTACTTAGCTTACATTCTAAGGAGTTGTGTGGTTTTTTGTTCTTGTTTATTTGTTTTAGAGTTCAAACCCTTGGCCGGGCGCGGTGGCTCACGCCTGTAATCCCAGCACTTTGGGAGGCCGAGGCAGGCAGATCACGAGGTCAGGAGATCGAGATCATCCTGGCTAACACGGTGAAACCCCATCTCTACTAAAAATATAAAAAATTAGCCGGGCGTTGTGGCGGGTGCCTGCAGTCCCAGCTGCTCAGGAGGCTGAGGCAGGAGAATGGCAGGAACCTGGGAGGCGGAGGTTGCAGTGAGCCGAAATCACGCCACTGCACTCCACTCCAGCCTGGGCAACAGAGTAAGACTCCGTCTCAAAAAAAAAAAAAAAAGTTCAAACCCTTAACATCCCTTATAGTGGACACTGTAATTCTCAATTATCTTTGGTGAAATTATGTCATTTAGACTCTTAATTCAATGAATGACAGTTTTAGCTTAAATAGTCTGGGTTGGAGAGGGCCCAGAGTTCTGTCTAAATTGAGAACACTCTTAAAAGTTGAACAGAAGTCACTCTAAAAGTTTCTTGTGCAATTTGTATCTCGAACCTTCAATTCTAGCTTCACAATCAGGAACTCCTAGGATATGGAAAATTTGGAAAGGAGGTTTCATACAGAAAAAGAATCTTACAGATAAAGCAAGACAACTGAATAAAATTCTAAGGATTTTAAAATGAGCTTAGGCAATATTTTTCCAAAAGTTGCTATTGTGAAAAATTAGTTTCTGAACTCCTCAGTCTCAAGAAACAAATTTATCAAGGCTTATGACCATCCCCTTCTCTATGAATTTCTTATGAGTGCACACTAAAAACTTGATGAAGACTGACCGATAGTAGTGCTGACAGTAACAAGATTGCTTTCCACCTAGAATAAAGTTTTTCTAGTAAGATCAGATATTCAAATAATTTCTAGAAGAGATCTAACTTCCTTGGAGTTCTGATATCCACTTGCCCCTCTGATGTCATTTAATGTATTTTGTAGATTAATTAGTTTATAGCTTAGATTTACTGCTTTAATTATTTCAGTTTGTCTAAATATTTCTATTTTTTTTGAAGTATCCACTCACATGCCTATTGACTCAGATTTAATGAAGTTTTAAAATTAGCAGATGCTTTCTAGAATTGATGGTGAATAAAGGTACTATTTTAGGAGAAATGGTGAGGTACATATTGCCTTTTCTGACTTAAAAGTGTTTCATTCCCTAATTTTGGTACAATAGGAAGAAGTTTGGATTTGGAATCAGATCTAGATTTGAGTCCTTGTTCCTTACGTATAACTCTATCAGATGACTGGGCATTAAACAATATTTTAACATAAGTTTAGTCTTGATTTCCTTATTTGTAAAATCTGGAAAAGGTTTACCTGTCAATCAAAACTCTACTGATACTGCACACCGAAAAATAATGTATGTGAAAATTATGGTTTTTAAAACATGAAAATACAAGGTTATACTTCATTTAGAAATATTGTTATCCAAAAATAATAATGATAGCTATCATTATAAATAAAATTAACTAAATACTTCTAGCGTGAAACACAATCTTTAAATATTTTATAAAATATTATCTTCTACATATAACTCTATGAGGAAAGTAAAATTATTATACCATTTTCACAGATGAAAAACATGAGACTTGTCCAAGATCATATAACTGACAAGTAATAGAATTACTCCCTAATAATTTTAAGGTAGAAGAAAGTTATTTTTCAACCAAATATAAGTTCCTCATTCGGGCAATATATATTTCTTCATTCTTCAATATATTTATTGATTAAGATATATTTATCAATGTATATTTCTTCATTGCATATATCACAAAGAAGATGCCTAAAATACATATTACATTTTTGCTTTTTATCTTTACCAAGTAAATTTAGAGACAGAATAACCTGAAAAAATTGGTATTGCCTATATACCTAGAATCCGTATTCATAATTCTTAGTTATTTATCCATGTTAGATTATTAGAACATTTCTAAGAATGTTAGTGACATTCATAGTTCTCAATATAGTATACGTAGCAATTGTTACCTTGATAAAAATCACTTGAAACGGAGCATTTTTATTTCTGACTCATTTCTATATGCTAGAGATCACAGGGCTTGTGTAATAAAACATCACTTCTAGAGCTGTCACAAATGTAACCAATCAGTGCTATAAACCCCAAATACTATCTACATTATTGAGTCAATCTAAATTAAAAAAAATAGATACTTTTTAAAACTTCAAAATCTGGAAGGAAAGGCTTAAAATAATTCATATTTTTAATCATATTTACTGTAAATGATGTGAGGAAGGTAGAAACCTCACTTATCAATTTTAACAGTATGAGTGACATAATCAATCCTGATAATGGTGCAAATTATACGTAAGTAGAGGCAATTTTTGTCTATCAAAGTTCATAAATGACAGAGCAAAGCATATGCAACAGCTTTATAGAATAACTTAGATTCTAATATATCCTGTTGATTAACATTCAGCAATATATAATTACCAGAGACCCAAGTAAACAATATTATCTATGGATATAATGCAAAATAACTCTGAAGCTTGACCAAAGACATGATGGGAATTTTTAAAATTTAAAAATTCGTGATTATTGGTACATAAATATAAATTATCAAACAAAGGAGCACATTTGAGAATTTGAAATGGAATCATAATTATGTATTAAAGTTTTTAATATTTTGTATTCCCACGGAGATACATGTTTTAATATAATCATGGAAAACACACACTCCAGAAGTCTGAGAATGCTTTGTCAGGAGATATGCAGATATGGCTGACATCTTGAGGTTTAATATGCAAATAAGCTACTAGGATAGGGAATACATCAGCGGGAGGAGAGTACTGGCCTATACAACATAATCACATTTAGATTAATGAATTATCACATTTAGGTAGCCAATCTTCTATGGGAATATCATTTTCTCTAAAATATGCCAAATTCTTTTCTATTCCATCTCTCATACATGTAACAACAAAATTAAAGGTTTTGAAAAGATTGTTTCCAGAAAGATAAATAAGCTCTTTTAAGCTTTTGATAGCCTATATACATACCTGCCTTGAAGCTGCAAAGATCTAGTATAATTCTTGGCTTTCTAAACATATTTCAAAAGTAGAATTCTAAAACATAAGTGAAGGGCTTTATAGGGGATCAAACACATTAAAGTGCTAAAGGAAATTCACATCATTTGTGATTTACAAAGGGATCTTTGTGATTATAAAAATTTGTTAGGATTTGTGAACATTTAAGGATGCATTAGAATTAGGAATGGCAGTTGTAGTTAGGGAGAAAAGTATAAACTGACCTCATACCCTTCCCCCACTTCATAGAATTGTTGGAGGGATAAAATAAAATTTAATACTCTGTGAAGTGTTCAATAACATTCACAAAGCAAATGTCTTACTATCTTATTTCTTTTAAAAAGAAAACTAATGCTAATATTTCACACGTGTTATTTTCTAAACATTTTACTAATTAGAGGGTCTTCATCTGATGTTGATTTTATTGTTATCCTTTATTTACAGTAGAAGAAACAAAAGTGCATCTCATTTAAGTTAAATAATACACACATTGGAAGTGTTCAAAATAAAAATGTCACTTAAATATAATGCAGAGTTTTTTATTCCATTACACTACAACTGCCTCCCAATAAAAGCAGACCTGAGTAAATAGATGAAAACCTA
This sequence comes from Homo sapiens, assembly GCF_000001405.40. Taxonomy (NCBI): domain Eukaryota; kingdom Metazoa; phylum Chordata; class Mammalia; order Primates; family Hominidae; genus Homo; species Homo sapiens. The sequence goes on along the minus strand of NC_000001.11, from coordinate 105,514,919 downwards.
GTTTATAAATTGCCTACATCAAATAGAAAATAAATCAAAGGACTGAGACTTTAACCTGTGGGGTACTAGACAAAGTTTAATTTCATGTATTCTGACATTAAGTTCATGATTATTCCAATGAAACTTACACTTATTACATTATTATTTCACAGACCACACTATAGTGATCACTTCTTCACAGTGGGCTTGACTTTTTCTATCCTGAGGGTTTAAGAGTCCACAATAGGCAGGCACTGATCCCGAGTGTAATCTCTATAGATATTCTTATTCTAACAAGGGGCATGGATGCATGAAACTTAGAAATGTATAACATCTATTATTCTGGTTGATATTTTTGAAGCATTAACTGTAACATTAAGAAACAGTTAGCTTTAACCACTTATGAAACCACTGCTCCCAAAAGCTAAAGACTGGATCTGAAATGTACTTTTAATACTTCTGAATTTCAGATACAAGAGGTAGTTACAACTACTATTTGGTATTAGTTTGCTAAAGAAAATTGGCTAAGTAGATCACTCAGCATAAATATCTTTGGGCAATGAAAATTTTGATTTTGTTCAACTTAAGTGAGCACCGTGGTAATAATAAAATCAACCTCCAGAAGGAATCTAAAAAAAACCCCATCAAACTCAGCCTTGTGTCATTATCTAGTAAAGATTGGTATTAAAATAAAAGTTGCCAGACACAGATTTCCTATTTATCAAAATGAGCGAATCACTCTATGCAGCATTTATCAAATACTATTTTCAAAATTTAAGAGCATTACCCTCATACAAATAAATAATAAATATATGTCAAAGATATTTGTTCAAAAAATTCTTTAATTGAGGAACCAATAAGACCCTACAGCTAGCTCAAAAAATAATTTGAGAAATGTAAATATATATAATTACTCAGTAAAAGGAATTCTAAGTTAAATATGTTAATAAAACAAGTTAATTTCTTACAGAGTATTAAAACCATAACATTGAAATTATGTTTTCTACTAGACAGAAATCCACAAGTTAGCATGTGACTCCATAGTGTCTGAGTGCTAATCGCATAGTACATAGAAAAGATGAACACAAGTATGTTTTCTTACATAATTAATAATAGTGAGTCTGTTAAACAGTGTCGTTTTATGACACTGGAAAAAGAATACAATTATCATTTTGCTTTATTTACAAATGGTGTACACACAGACACACAAAATCACAAGCACACATATTCTTCTGAATTGCCCATATAGTAGGTGTTATATGGGGATGACAGAAAACCATTTTTGTAGACACATTTAAAGCATCCTATTATGAAACTCTAAATAAAATTGCAAACACTTTAAGAAGCCATGAACATCATTGTAATTTATCATAAGTATAAAAATTGCCTTGTTTACACTCACTGTGTACCTAACTATAGAATACACTAATAAAGTTTAAATTAAATATAGAAAGATTAATGTTGAAATTCATTTACTTTATGCAAAAGTACATGGAAGAACTGTTTCATCAAAACACTAACATTGAATGTGATTATTCTACATTAGTGATAAATTTCAGAAGTAAATATTTAGAATAATAAACAACCTTGAATAATTTTCAAACCGTATATTAGATTATGGGTTAAATAGTATGGGTTGAATTTCTTACCCATATTTAAATGTACTCAATCCAAATATTGGCTAATAAATATAATTGCAAGAAAATTTGCGGTATAAGTAGTTAATTATGCTTAATTGATATTCTAATAAAAATATGGAATTAGCCAATATTTTTGTATTTCCCTTAATTAATGGATTGAATATTTTTCCATTTTAGTTGGTTGACCCATGTTAGAATATTTTCTAATTTTTCTTGAAAATTTAAAATCAAGTCAACATCACAAAACATTTGAATAACTTATACTTAAAAACATATCAAATTTGCATATTAAAATTTAAACCATGGGAGAAAAAGTAGGATAAACATATGATTATCTGCAGAAAATTATCTTGCATTTGACTTATGATATTTGAAATCCATGAAGAAATATTAATAGCTATTAACTTATCCTTTACAATGCTTTTTGTTCATAAATTTATGGAATTGCCAAATAAATAATACCAAATTTCTTTGCCAAAGTATTTATTATAAAATACAGGAAATTTCATCTGTCTGGTATACTAAATTAATTATTTCAAATAAATGTTGGGAACAATTAAACTCGATATTCTATAACATTTGTTGCATTGCCATCTTGAAATTATCTATACCTTGTTCTATTTTGCATTACACAGTGGATGAGTCTTTTACAACAAATACAATTAAAAAGATCATTTTACTCACATAAATTATTCCTGACATAAGAGCTTAGAAGTGGCTACAGTCACTTTTTTATAGAATAATTGTCATTTGTCCTATATTGGCAAGAAAATGAAATATATGCTTGAAAATATAGAATAAAAACAAAAAGAAGTCTTCAGTAGAATTATACATAACTGTTAAGAAAATTATTGAATAGTTGTAAGTATGGATACATTTTGTCAGTTCAGTATTATTCTATATGTAGTTAATAAGATCATTTTCTAGCTAGTTAGAAGGTGATGATCAACACTTAATAGTTTTTTGCATTGCTTTTTCTAATGATAAATAGTTTGGTTACCTTCTTTTATCTTGAGTGGATGGGGAAACCAAATGAAATACATATTGTTTAATCTACTTTTGTCTTCATTAGCAAAATGATACTTCATCTCATCTATATTTTTAAAGATGTTTTCCAATGATAATCAAATTTTTGTTATATTTTATTTCTGCAGATTTTCCCTTCAAATAATTTAATTAAATTATAATAGATCAATTTTATGTTTTCAAAATTGAGTTAGATGCATTTCATTTTATTTAATATTTTCCTTAGAACAAAACTGTTTTCAAAATAGGGGTGTCATAGATGTTACACATGTTTATGAACATTTTATTATTATACTATCCTCCTTTGCATGTCTCAGTACATTTCTTCTTAAGCTGCAATAATAGCCAATATACATGTGGGCTCATAAAAATTGTGCATTATGGCCAAAAGGACATGGTGCTTTTAAAAATGAACTCTCAAACACAACTGACTTCTCTCTTTTAGCTTTATATAAATGTTTTTGGTGGCTAAGTAACTTTTATTCCTGCATTCCAAGGATAAGTGAATTAAAAAATTTGTTTTCACACAAAGTAGGCTTAATTTTATGTATTTAAGCTGTTTACTGCTTCACAATACCACTTGAGCCAGAATAAAAGTTGCATTTTAAAACTTTATGGAACTAATTTATAGTGCAGGGCAGGCAGAGACTTGATCTCATGACAGCAAAATTTTATGTTTCCTTTTCAGCAATATTGCCTAACACAATAATATCAGGCCAGCAAATCTTAAATATAAGTTAAGCTAACATGATCCATTGCCTTATAAAGCTGGAGTACCCTGTGGAGTCCTGCTGAATATGCCAAGTGACTTTTCAAAATTTAATCAGTCTAAATGTCAGATAAAGATGCTTTTGCTGTCATTCTTTAAAACTGGGGCAAAAATCCCAAATGTGCCTACAAGTTATAGAGAAAGCCTCTTCTTAATACTTGCATTAAATAAACAACATCCTTTCTAATCACCGTTTATTTTGCTAGCCACAGTAAATAAAACATATAATAATACCATAAGGTAAATTTAAGACAAATAGTTATTTTTTAAAGATAAAAATGTAGGCATCTCCCTAGCAAAACCCAAATTTCTTATAACCATCAGGTCAATTTGAATTTCTCTTTTAGTCATTCCTTGCTAAACAGGCAGATATTTGGCAGCTTTAGAAATACATACTTTATTATTATCAGAACAATTATTATTTTAAAAATGTTTTTTCTAGTTACGCCAAAGTTGTTTTTCTTAATTGTCAAGTTGCTTGGATAAACAATATTATCGTACAAGCAAATATGCATGTAATGGTAGTCGTGTTCTGAAAACACTAAATTATTTGTTAAATCATCTGCAGATAATTTAAATCTTTGCTTCTCATAAATATCAGCTACATTTTACATATAGAGTTCTAAAGGCAAATTATGCTTTCAGAATTTTTCATGTAATTTGTGTTTTAAAAACTATTATCAGAGAACTTATGAGCATAAATAATAAAAACCCAACCATCACATCAAAAATAATAATAATTGACCAATTTGAAAAGCATAATTATTTCATTCAATAACCATGTATAACAGTGTAAAATTGGTTGCTTAAATTATTTGCCAGTAATTATGCATGTATATCAACTATTTATTACCTAAGCTAATAATGTAGACTATTAAAGTTTTCATATATATGACCACTTTTTAGAAGTAACATATGTAATCGACTTTATTGAAGTATAATTTGTATGCAATAATAAAACATCTACTTCAAATGTAAAGTTTAATGAGTTTTCACAAATGTATATATCCATGTATTTACCAGTCTGATCAAAATATATAATAATTCCTTGGATAAGGAAAAATATATTTTGACCTATATTCTAATTATTGAGATTAGTCTCCATTGTAAATTTGACAACATTGAAGAGGAGACTTGTTTGTCTTTCACCTAGATTCTATTTGTATAGTATTGTAGAACACTAATAATGGATCTGTAATAAAGGGGTTTGATTCTATTTCCTTTGACCTGGCTTATGAACTAGATGGCCCAGGACAATTCCTTGAACCTCTGTGAACCTCAGTGTTTATATTCATTATGTTATGATAATAATACCCTATCTGTAAAGGGTTTTCATGAGAAATAAGATATTTTTAAATAACTAAAAATATACATCAGTACACAAATATATATTGTTTAGTATAATTATTAATTCAGCAACAATACATCCCTATCTCCTCACACAATTTTCTTACAATAAGCTTTTGCCTTCTGCTTTTCTATTTACTTCTGGAAATATAGGACAAGTATATAATAGGTCAGTAAGACCCAGAAGTGGCATACTAGTTTCAAATAAACACAGCAATAAATGTGACCTAAGAGCCTTTCTGGAATCAAAATAGTGGTAGATAAGTCCTTGTTTCTGCCCTCTGGACAAAGGCTAAGAAAAGCTTGTTAATTACAGCTATTCTAGAGCCTGACCCTCAGTTGACTAATTCTATAAGTTAAGCTGACCTTTTGAAGGAGATGTACATAATGGTTCCTATTTGAAAATGTCTCTGAAATAATAATTATATGGAGTGGTGAAAATCATGGTGACTTACTTAGAATGAAGTAAGAAAATCATGACAAATTAGACAGAAAACTTTACTTCAGTTTAGACATTTACTAGAAAATACACAGAAAGAACACTAGAAGTGGTTAGGAATACCTTCCACCAGGTAAGTGAGCATAGTGGGAGGTCATTAAGTCTGCTCCCCATTATGCCCAGGTGTTAGAGAATGCAGAATATTCTTGCTCACCCACAGTATTATAATGCTATTTTCTGACATGGTGCAATTTTAGAGAGCTGGTACTACTCAAAATGGTACAGCATGGATCCAACACTCACTTCATAATTGCTAAATCATTTTTTTCAACTGGCACTCCAAATGTTTTGATGCTACTGAAAAGAAGGGTGATTACATTGGGCAGTAACATGCCTTTCCTGCTCAGTTGTTATTTGGCAAAGTAACTTTAATATTTGCAGCAGGCTTTGAAAGGCCAGGAAATTTTCCATTGTGTCAAAATTGTAAAGCACAGGAAAAAAATTGAGACATGAAAATATTTATTTCCAAAATATAAAATGTATTACCAATTAGGGACTGTTTTTTAATATATATTTCAGCCCCACATTACTTAAATCCCAGTTAAAAACTGATATTGTGAAAGAGAGTGAAAATACTATTATTTTTATTAGGTCCTTTGAAAATGAGGCCAAAATTTCTCAGAGCTTGGGCTTTTGATGTCATTCTGGGCTTGTAAGAAACTCTGCTTTTACTACTTCATAGCCTCTATTTCTGTTCACTGATTTGCCTACTCATCAGGTCCTTTACACAGGTTTTCATTTGGTGCTCACTAGGTAAGAATGGAGATGGAGCCTCTCCATAGAGAAGAAAAAGGAGGGAGAAAGGCTAGATTTTCAGTAAAGCCAATTTTTTTTCTACAAGTTTTTATTTTGAGATATAGTAATGATATAAAATAGAAACTTTAAAAAAATTGAGATTGAAGTTTCTTTTATGGGAAAAATTGAATCTGCTATTATAGCACTGGGAATTATCCAGTATAGAAGGAGAAGGTGAAAGAAATAAAGAAAATAAAATGGGTACTAACATAAACAAAGTCTTGGAGTAGGTGATAACAGAAGTCAGAGTATTATAAAAATACCCATTTATTCACAGAAGGATTATCTCTTAAAGAAAGATTGCTAATGATTTAAAGTTATAGTCCAGAGATTCTAGTATAGAAAATTTATATGTAGCTAAAATATATTCATTCTAGGCAGTTCTGAAGTCATTCATCTCAAGATTATATGTAGGCTTGGAGGTAATGAAGAACTTCTTCAAGGGCACTTTTAGTCGGCAGCTCAATCAAATATGGCAATTTTGGAAAAGCAGTAATTCACGAGAAGCGTTAAGAGTTAATGGGCAGGAGATAAGAACCCTGAGGTAACTGGCTTCTACAGAGACTGAATTGATTGTGGTAAGCAGCATGAAGTTATGGGAGTCTTCTTATTTTCTTGTGCTACAGTATATAGAAAGTTTGGTCTATTAGTTATAGATATTTATTCCACTCTCCCAGCAAGTTTTTCAATTGCCCTTTACCCATGCCGTTCCTTATATGCTCTAAAAACCCTTGCAACTCATCTGAAATAATCAGTTCGAGAAGACTGTAAAATTACCTGTTAAAGAACGTCAAACACGGGTCTATGAGAGCAACTATAGAAATTATGGTGCTGTCTCATGTTAACCACATCTCAGAATTTAAATTGTCTGGTGTCTATGACCTAAACAATGATCTATTCTCTGTAGGAAACTACTTGACTGCCATTTGATGAGCAATCCTAAAATTGGCTTTTTATTCCTATAATTACACAGGAAACACTCTACCCACTTTATATGTCAAAGTCTTGACCTAATGTAATTAAGGATAAGGACAAGAAGCTTTTATACGAGAGAAAAGGTAGTGAAATACAGAATGTCTTCCATAGCATATGTTTACTAAATTTTGGCTTTTTCAGAAGTATGAGTGGAGTACAGATGGGTATATAGAATTGTAAATCTCTCTCTATCATGCACAAACACACAAACACATATGGACACCAAAATACGATTTACACATCTGTTTAGAACAAGACATTCTTTATTGAGAGATCACAACTTCATTGAAAACTTCAAAAATATTTCATCCACCTTTGCATTACCAGGCCATGGGTAGTTCTTGGTATTTACTAAGGTGGTTATCAATAAGTGTTTATTCTTTAAAATAAAATAGTTACCATTTCAAAATTCCAATCCAAACGTAAAATATTTAAGGCCATGGAATAAAATAAGGTCTTTCAAAATAGCTTTTCAGCATTGATTTTATCAAAATTTGAATCTCTTGATTTCACAATGCCCTTTCATGTTGAGGTTTAAATAAATTTACACATATAAATAATTTATATAAAGAAATTAGTATAAAACTTGACATGTAATAGACATTGAAAGAAAGTTACTTTTTCTTGTTTCTTCTCTATTTTGGATTATATAACCAGAAATTTACATGAAAACCCTAAAATATTAGGATTTTTTTGCCATGAAAAAGAAGAAGCTTAGTCATAGAATGTGTAGTTTGTGAAGTAACCAGTAGAAAATAACATCAACCTATGAAAACACAATAGCCTCATTTTCTAGTAATCTTAGTGTGGTTATTCAGTGAATCAAGTTAAAAACACCATTAATCTCACAAAATAGATATTTCAATCTAGCTTTAGCTGTGGGAATACTGCAAGCAAAACAAATAGGAAACAATTAAAGAACATTTGTATGTTAACTGATCATCTTGAATGGCTTTTTCAAAGTCAGTTTAATTGACTATTGCAGTGCTTAAAGGGAGTAATTAAAATAAAGAGTGAGAATTGCAAATCTTTAATTATCTTCTGATAATAATGATTTCAGTCTCGTGTAATCTTGAGTACGTAACATTTTATTTAGATTGATTTCCTTTAAACAATCTTCACCACGTCTGCCTTTAAAAAATACTGAAGCAGCTTTTCTTTTTTCTCAAAGGCGCACTATGCAGAATTCACTTATCAATGCAAGATTTTAACCTATAAAGCACTATGATTAAAAATACTAATAATTATATAAATGTGTGAGGTTTTCTTCACATGTGATAAACCATACAAATTACTTGGACAATTTTCTTCCTTTGATAGTTACATAAAATAAAAACCTTAAAATTTTTAAATTGTATAAATTTAATGTGCACAACATGATGTTTTGATATATTAATACCTATGTGTAGTAAGTGATTACTACAACCAAATTAACATATCCATCATTTCACAGTTGTCCTTCTGTCTCTTTCTTTTCTTTTTTTATTTGATGAACATAACTGAAATATACTTTATTAGGAAATATTCCTTATACTTCTCACGATGAACACTTAGCTTTCTTCCATATCTTGCCTATTGTGAATAATGCTACAATAAACATAGAAGTACAGATATCTTTGCCGGGTAATGATTTTATTTCCTTTGGATATAAGCAAAGAGAAATTACTGGAAATTTCCATAGTATCTGCACCAATTTCCATTTTCACACACCAGGTACAAGAGTTCCTACTTTCTCACATCCTTGCCAACACTCTCTTGCCTTTTTGGTAATAGCCATCCTAACAGGTGTGAGGGGATATCTTCTTGTGGTTTTGATTTGCATTTTCCTGATGATTAGTGATGGTGAGCATCTGTTCATATACCTGTGGGCTATTTACATATTTGGGAGGTCCTATGTCTCTTTGAGTCCTCAGCCTATTTTTTCACTGGGTCATTTAAAAAAGGGTCATTTAAAAAAAATTTGACTATCAAATTGTGGGAGTTCCTTATAGACTTTGAATATTAATCCCTTATCTTATATGTGGTTCACAAATACTTTTTTTTCCAATCCACAGTCTGCCTTCTAGTTTTGCTGGTTGGTTCCTGTGCTGTGCTGAGCATTTTAATTTTATGTATTCCCACTTGTTTATTTTTGTGTTTGTGGTTTATCATTGTGGTGTTCTATCAAAAAAAATCATTGCCAAGTTGAATGTCAAGGAGTTTTCCTCTATATTTTCTTTTGGAGTTTTATGATTTCAGATTTTACATTTAGGTCTTTAACACATTAGTTTGTTTTTGAATATAGTGTAATGTAACAGCCTAATTTCATTATTTTGCATGTGGATATTCTGTTTTCCATACACCATTTATTGAAGAGACTATCCTTTTCCCACTGTGCATTATTGAGGCACTTGTCAAAAATAAATTAAATGCGTATGCTTAGATTTATTTTTTGGTTTTTCTCTATTCCACTGAACTATGTATCTGTTCTTATGCCAGCATCATACTGTCTGAATTACTATAGCTTTGAGGTAGATTTTTAAATCAGGTAATATGATGTCTCCAGTTTTGTTTATTTTGTTCAAGAATGTTTTGGCTGCTCAGGGTCTTCTGTGTTTTCAAAAAATGTTTAGAATTTTTTTCTATTTCTATTAATAATATCATTGAAATTTTGATGGGGATTGTGTTGAATCTGCAGATTGCTTTAGGGAGTATAGATATTTCAACAAGATTGGTTCTTCCAATTCATGAATATGGGATATCTTTCCATTTTTTTGTGTTTAATTTCTTTCATCAATCTCAGTGTATAGATCTTTCACCTCTTTGGTTAAAATGTATTCTGAAGTATTTTATTTTATTGTGTAGTTATTGCCAATAAGATTGTATTATTGATTTATTTTTTGAATAGTCCATTGTTGGAGTATTCTACTGGTTTCTGTGTGTTGATATTGTATCCTGAAATTTTACTGAATTTATTTATTCGTTCTACAGTTTTTGGTGGGGTCTTCAGGGTTTCTATATGTACAATCATGCCATCTGCAAACAGAGACAATTCCACTTCTTCCTTTTCAATGTGGATGCCTTCTATTTCTTTCTGTTGCATAACTATTCTGACTAGGACTTCCAGTACTATGACGAATAGAAGTCGTGAGAGTGGGTATGATTATTTTGTTCTTCATCTTAGAAGAAAAGCTCTCAACTTTTCACCATTCAGTATAATGTTAGTGGTGGGCTTTTGTTCTGTTGAGGTATATTCCTTCTCTTCCTAATTTGTTGAGAGTTTTTAATTATGAAAGTATGTTGGGTTTTGTAAAATGCTTTCTCTGCATCCATGGTGGTGATCATATGCTTTATTTCCTCACTTCATTCTGTAAAAGCTTTTCTTTGATGGAATTTTTAAATTATTATTATTATTAATTATTTATTATTTTTTATTTTTATTTTTTTGAGACGGAGTCTCGCTCTGTGGCCCAGGCTGGAGTGCAGTGGCACGATCTCAGCTCACTGCAAGCTCCGCCTCCCGGGTTCACGCCATTCTCCAGCCTCAGCCTCCCAAGTCGCTGGGACTACAGGCGCCCGCCAGCATGCCTGGCTAATTTTTTTGTGTTTTTAGTAGAGATGGGGTTTCACTGTGTTAGTCAGGATGGTCTCGATCTCCTGACCTTGTGATCCGCCCACCTCGGCCTCCCAAAGTGCTGGGATTACAGGCGTGAGCCACCATGCCCGGCCAATATTTTTAATATTAATTCAATTTCTTTACTCATTATTGGTGTGTTCATTCTTTTATTTCTTCATGATGTGATAATGGCAGATTGTTTCTAGAATGCTTTTTTTTAAATTTTGTCTAGATTATCTAATTTGTTGCTGTGTAGTTGTTCATTGTTCCTTTTAATTCTTTTTATTTCTGTGGTCTCAGTTGTAATATGTCTTCTTCCGTTTCTGATTTTATTTGAATCTTTTCTCTTTTTTCTTAGTCTAGCTAAATGTTTGTTGATTTTGTTTATCTGTCCAAAATAACAATTATTCTATTCATCTTTTCTATTGTCTATTGTTTTCTAGTCTATTTCTAGTATGGAAATATACTTCTTAGGAACAGTTTTTTGCTGTTTAGTAAAAGAAAACACCTAGAAAAAATTAGCTTATTAGATACAGAATTAATACCAAATTGTACTACTTGTCAACAATATCCTGACATCAAATATGATTCTGTCTTATGTAGCATGTGTAAACACAAAACCTAGCAACACAAGCAGCTACTATTTTCTTAAGTTATTGCAATTTATGCGTGGTCAATAATTATAACATGAACTTAGAAATCCTCTTACTTATAAGTATTAGAAAATAACAATTTGACAAGGCAGGAATCTTATAGAAATAATTCTTAGTTCAGATTACAGGCATAAAATATAACTAAGAAAGGAAAGAAAAATAAAAATTTGTAAGTCATTATTATGGAAGATATTCAGCTAAACAATAATAATTAAAAAAGAGGTTATTGCATATTATCTTCTGCAAAGGCATTTTATATTGAGTAGCTTTTGTTAAGTATGCAATAATGAAAACCTACAATTTATATGCAGAAGTGACAAAATAGAAGGTGATATAGCTGTAGCAAATAAATATGAATATTTTTCTGTGCTCTGCAAAATAAAAGAGCAAAGAAAAGCCTGAGGATAATATGCCTTGTCGTTTATAGTTTTCAGCTCTCTACATTAGTTCTAGAGAAATGATGATACAAAATATAGATAATTCTGCTATTTTTTAAAAAGTAAAGGCCATTATAATACATATTAAGTCTTCACTAGGTAGGCAACTGTATTAGAGCAAATAGCTAAGATGTTTTGTAAGCTATTGTTTTGTAACATCCAACCAAAAATTTTTAATCTCAGAAATGATGTTTTTGGCAAATAAATAAAAATAGCCCTATTTCAATAAACTCTTTAAAATAAATAACTTAAAGTTTAAAAGTATTCAAAATAGCTAATAAGTTTGCCTATTAATGGATTATCCTGTTCATAGCACATATAATAAGACAGATTTCTAAATTCTTAGCATTATTAGATTAGAATAAATAAAATTTTGCTGATTATATCAATTATATACCATTTAAAAAGTTAACATGTATATTTAATTGTTCTTTCATCATATTAAATCTATGACTGCATGAATTTAATGAATATGTAAGTATAATTTAATCTTTCATCATATTTAAAATATTTGTATTATAAAAATTATACTTAAAATTGATTGTATAATATTAGATGGGCACAATTATATGTCAAATTAAAAACACTAAATCCAATACTTAAGACCTACGTTGTCTAATTAAAAGTTAAAATCGCAATGAGATAACACTACATACCAATTAGAATGACTTAAGTTAAAAAGAATGACCATGTGAAGTGTTGCCAAAGATGTGGATAAACTGGAACTCTCACATGCCACCAAGAACAGTAAAATGATATAATCACTTTGGTTAACAGTTTAGCATGTTTCTTAAAACATTAAACATATACCTACAATATGGTACAACCATTCATCCCAGTGGTATTTATCCAAACAATAAATGCATATGCCCACATAAGTCTTGTACATGAATGTTCATAGCAGTTTTGTTTAGTTCCAAACTGCAAATTACTCCAACGTCCATTGACAGATGAATGGACAAACTGTGGCATATCCAAATAATTGAATTCAAGTCGCCAATAAAAATTAACTATTAATGAACTATTTATACATGTTACAATGTAGATTTATTTCAAAATTGTTTTTTTTGAATGACAATAATCAGAAAAAACACACAGGTCGGAAACAGTGCCTCATACCTATAATTCCAGCACTATGAGAGGCCCACATGGACAGATTACTGGGGAGGGGTCATGGGTTCAAGACCAACCTGGGCAACACAGCGAAACACCTTCTCTACAAAAAAAAAAAAAAAAAAAATAGCAGGGCATGGTGTTGTTTGGCTGTAGTCCCAGACACTCTAGAGGCTGACATGAGAGGAACATTGAGCCTGATAGGTTGAGGGTGCAGTAAGCCATTATGGTGTCACGAGTCATTATGGTGCCACTGCACTCCAGCCTGTGTGACACATATATACTGTGCTTTTTTATTTGTTAAAAATTCTAATAAATACAAATTAATATATAGCAATAGAAAGCATATCTACAGTTTCCTGGAGATGAGGGTTGGAAAGAGCTGGGTAAGGAAGGGTTAATTAAAAAGAGGAACAAGAAATCGTTCAGGTAGATGACCATTTTCTTAATTGACATGATGGTTTGTTTCATGGGTAGATATGTATATCAAGACATATTAAATTATAAACTCTAAATACGTACAGTTTACTGTATATTAATTATAGCTCAATAAAACTGTTAAAAATCCCTTCTTTTCCACATTAATTTTACCTATTGTAGTTGTTATAGAGTTTACATCTACAAAGAGATCTTTTTCAAATTCTTTTTTATGTAATTGCCAATTCTGTAAATTAAATATATCTCAATATAACATTTGTTTTATTATGTTACAGTAGGTGGCTAAGATATGTTATAGTAGATGACTAAGATATCTTGGGCTTCAGAGAATACAGTTTTCTAACAGGGTAATTTCCCTAATCAGAGATATTTATTATGACATTATGGCTGTAGATATTCCTAGAACCCATGACCCATAAATATACAGAATAATATCATCCCATGGCCATCCTCTACTGAGACCATTGCCATATTGCATGTAGACTATGCTCATTCTAAGCAATGAGATAAACAGAATTTAAGGGATTGTGATGGGATCACTATTTTTGTCTACTTTTAAGTTTCACAAAATAATTTCACCTTTACATCTGCAAAAAATAGAGCTAGTAGTGTTTGTTGGAATCTAATATCACGATAGTTTGTGAGATTCATTTATATTGTTTTTTGTATTGATAGTTCATTCATTTGCACTGTTGTATAATACTTCATGTATACTATTAATCTTTTCTTTTTATTGTGAATGGAATTCACATTTCATGTAATTGATCTTTATAAATAGTGCTACTTTAAAATCACTTTACCTGTATTTTAATAAACATATGTACACATTTCTGTTAGAAATGGAATTGCTCATGTTCAATTCCTTTCTTTTTAGAAAATACAAAAACTTTTGCTCATTCTCATTGTGCCTCTATGTCTATAATTCTTTTTCTCACATTGTTTATCTTCTCTTTCTTTCTCTGCCTCCTTGAAGATATATCTACTGGCAAGTTTTCCAGTTTACTCATTTCTTCCTTCTACGTATTTACGATCTAAAAACCATTTATGGAAATTTAATTTCATTATTAAAATGAAATGCAATGAAAAATTAAATACCAACATTTCTATTTGAATATTTTAAAATCAATTTTTGTTTTCTGGCAATATTCTTGCTTTTTTTACTTTTTATTTCTGTATATATCAATGGTGTTTCCTTTTCATACTTAATTTTTTTTTAATTGAAGGCCAAGAAGAGTGTATTGACATTTTTTTTTTTTTTTTTCTGAGACGGAATCTCGTTCCGTCGCTCAGGCTGGAGTGCAGTGGCGCGATCTCAGCTCACTGCAACTCCGCCTCCCGGATTCACGCCTTTCTCCTGCCTCAGCCTCTTGAGTAGCTGGGACTACAGGCGCTCGCCACCATGCCTGGCTAATTTTTTTGTATTTTTAGTAGAGACGGGGTTTCACCATGTTAGCCAGGATGGTCTCGATCTGCTGACCTCATGATCCGCCTGTATCGGCCTCCTAAAGTGCTGGGATTACAGGCATGAGCCACGGTGCCCAGTCTGCTAGATCATTTAAATGCTAAATAGTTTACTGGCAAATCATTTTGATCCATTGAATACGGTGGGGTGGGCTTTATTGGTCTTTAATTCTGTTTGTCCTTACCCATAGGTTATAATTCTTATTCCCAGAGCATATGTCTCAATTTGAGAGTGTAGCCCTTTGATCTGAATATAAACTAGAATGATTTCAGAGACAATTCAACTTGTAACGCCTTGTAATACAACCTATTTTTCCTCAACATCGGACAGTTGCTGAAAGCATATGTGTTTGGGTCATTTTAAATCTTTTCTTATGAGTTATCTACTCATGTTTTTGCCCAGTTTTCCTATCCAGTTTTAATCATCCTTCTCACTTTATTTGTGATAGTTTTTTTTAATAAATTAGAGATATTAACAATTTATTAGTGATGTAGGTTACAAATACTTTATTTCTGTGCTGTCTTTCAGTTCTATTTGGCTTTGCAGTATTCTATTTGTACAATGCGGAACCTTTTTTCAATGTTATACTGTTAATCAACCTTTGAATTATCTCTGTGTTTTTACTTTCTTTACTGCCTTTTGTAATAAAAAGAATCCTTCTTGTTGTAATATAGTCCAACTTATCAGAAAATTATATGGTTAATTATGTTTTCCATTTAAAGACTGTAGCTTACCCCATGAAATTTGTTTATGCATTCCTCTAGCATCATCACACTTTTAATTTCACATTTACATCTTCAATCCATTGTCAAAGAACACCAGAGCCAGGCAATAGTTAAAAGCAGTAACAATAGATTTGACTCAGAAAATATTGTAAGAGTTTATGGCACTATGAAACTGAGCTCAGTTCTGAATACAATAAGGAGAAGCTGGAATTTATAGTCAAGGAGCATGGTGAGGAGATTGTTGGATGAAAAATTGCTGAGAGGTGACATCAATGTTAGGGGGATTATTGCTAAACTGACTGAACAGGAGGACTCTTATTGAAGTCAGGACAAGGTGATCAGATATCAAAGGAGGAATTTGTTCTGATACTAAGAGTGCTCACATATCAAGAATGAAGAGGTTGACTTAGCAGAATTCTTTGCTAAGACTGGGCCAGGCATGTAAAAGGAAGGACAAAGAATATGTTTAGGCTGTTTCTTCAGAAGAATCTTACTGAAGTTTGGTCAACTATAGAGAGTCTTTGTCGCCATCTGAAATATTTTTCTATATGATGCATATTAAAGGTCAAAATGTACTTTTTTTCCCCAAAGGATATCCACTTTCCCAGAATCATTTATTTAAAAAACTATTAATTTTTTAATGCACTGATTGTCACCCTTGTCACAAATCAAATTACTCTACCTGTTGGACTATTTCTGGACATTGTTTTCAATTCTATATTTTCCTATAGTTAAATAATTGTACCTTTAAATTAAGTGTTAATATAGTTAGCAAAAATCTTCTGGAGTTCATTTTTTAAGGGTTACTTAGCTTTTCTTTCTGCTTTGCATTTTACTCTAAATTTTAAAATATGCTTAAAAATTTTGACCTGAAACTCTCTTATAATTTGTGTTGGAATTACCTTGAATTCTTAGATAAATTAGAGAAACTATGTACATGGTCTAGTTTTTTTTTAATTCATGGATAATTTACATTCTCTATTTACTTAGCTTTTAAAAATTTGTTTCAGTAATTAATTATAGTTTTCAGTGTTAAAAATGTTTTGTTATATTTTCCCCAGTAAGTTTTGTCTTTGATGGCTTCCAAGATTGTAGAATTATTTAAATTTTATATTAATTTATTTGTATTATATTGAAATTTTATTGATTTTTTTCAATGCCTCACAATTAAATAATAGTTACTGGAAGATTTCAAATTTTCCTATTTCCACAAAAACCAAATCTGCAAATAATGTAAGTTTTTATTTATTTTTTACATCCTTTATACCTTTTATTTCCTTCACTTGACTTGTTGTACCTGCATGGAAACCAAGTGTAATATTGAAAAGAAAGGCAAACTTTTCTCAGTGCCAAATTTAGAAGGAAACTTTTAAGTGCCTCTCCATTTTATAGTAATGAATTATACAATGTCCAGCCACATTAAACTTTGAACCATGTTTCTATCTCCTTTTCTCTATAGTTTCAGTCTAGAGTTGGCCAAAATATTAATTTATTTGAGATTAGGAGAGTAGAAGTGAAGCAGCAGCCATTTAATTTGAAATGTTGTCATAGTTAAATGTGGTAACATAAAGACACAAATATGTCTGATGTTCCAGCTTGTCATCTCTCCTCTGTTTTGCACCTAGCTCCTCTTTCTGACAGCTTTATCTGTTGACCAATAAGAGGACCAGTAAGAGTCCTAAGCTCATCATTAAACAACATGTTGTGGCCTCACAGTAGCAAAACTTTTGTATACACTTTTCTGCAGTCCCCTCTCCATGGCCCTTTGGTGGCTGGATGTATTTGACTTCTCATTTGGATTGTTTGTTGATCTCTCGCTCTCTAATCTTCCAAATTCCTCTTTTAGTTAACCACTCCTCACCTTTCTCCATGATTGTTTAAGGTCTAGTTTCTTGTAGTAAATTACTTGTTCATAAATCATGGTGGTTTTGCCTCCTTGATTGAATTTTGGTTGATACAGTTATTCCTTTCAGGAGTGAGGTGCTGGTGTTTCACAAATCTAAAATATGTCCATTAACTTTCGGACCAGGCAGTGTTTGCAGGCTGGAAGCATAGCAAAGATACTATGAATAGAAGCTGAAATTATGAGTGAAGTATAGGAGGCTGCCAAATAAATTGCTAATGGAGGCTGGAGAAAAGATGCCATATCATATGAAATTGTGAAGTCTACTGTTACCTTGTGGAAGACTGAAAATGTACCCAATAAATTTGTTAATGTTGCTAAGGAGATTCTCAGACTGAGAGTTGAAAAGTTGTTTACTTATTTTAGCCACCTGTAGTAAGGTATACACAGAAAGAGTGAACTAAAAAGCAAATATTTTTGTTTCTAAATAGATTTTAGAGGAACTATAGAAGACACATGGATTATGTTCATCTAGCCAAATAATTTCAAAGTTAAAAATGGCCTCAGGACAATAACAAAATCCAGGGCATTGTCAGTATCTCCCATAACATAGTGGTGAAAATTAAATATATAATATACATGCATAAATATATAAGTTAAATATATATTCATGACAACATGTTCTCTAGCCAAGACTATAGAGAAGCAGACAATATGAGACACTGTTGCTAAGTATGCAAACTGATACAAGCCTTCTGGAAGTAAATTTGACATAATCTTACAAAATTACATTTTTACTTAATTTTGACTGAGCAGTCCCATATCTATGTATTATCTGGAATGTTTTTCAGCAATATGAACATATATCTACCCCAGTTATTCATTATAGCGTTGTACTATTGCAAAAATATTTGAAACAACACAAATACTCATACGTGGAAGAGTAGTCAAATCAAGTATGATAGAAACATACAATAGAATTATTTGCAACTATAAAATACAGTGAAAAAGCTCCCTACAAACTAACATGAAGTAAAGCCCACAATATATGTTTCAGTGAGAAAAGAAAAAGCAAATAGAAGAGTACCAAAAGTGTATTCCCTTTCATGCAAGAAAGAGGATATAGGAGCAACTGCATATATTTACTCATTTAGGAAATGAACAAAAAAGCAAACAAACAAATCCGAAGGAATTAGCAAAAGCTAATGCATTTGCCTATCTGCAGGGTGTGGGTGAGAATAAGTAAATGTCAATAGTAGAGAAAGCATTAGGGAGGAGTGATGCTCTTCTGAATAAACCTTCCTATAAAGTCCTGACTTTCAGATCCATACTGATTCTTCACATACTGAAAAATATATAAATAATTTAAAATTATCAAACTGTGAATAAAACTGAAAATAGAGCTCAGGGAATAATTAATAAGACTTACTGTATTACAAGTGAAAACAAGTTACACTTTAGCAGAAGGCTAATGTAAAGAATAATATTAATTAATTACAATTAAAATGTTGATTATATATTGAGATTCACTGTGGATAAAATAAATCATTGAAAAATATAGACATCAAACCATCAGTTATACAATTTGAATGTATATACAATTTTTATTTGTCAATTATACCTCAATAAACCTGGAGAAAAATCATTCCACACATATGAATTGATTAGCAAAACATATATTTTGAATGAAAACTAAAATGCCGTCCCTTAAATATTTTTGTCTCAATCTCAGCAGTACTTATCACAATACTTGAGTTTTTAAAGGATAACTATAAGAAAAAAAAATTCATTATAAGAAAAAAGAATAAAAATGTAAAACAACGTTTTATTGGCTCAAATTAAAAATAATTTATAACCCTGAAGAGAAGTTTTCTCGACTATTACAATACTGGAAACTCTGGTAGGATTACCAAGTTCAAACTACAGGCAGTGGCTTTAGTAAACATGGCACTTATAAAGATTGCAATTACCAGTTACAACTAGTAGGTAGCCAAATGGACAGGTATATTGAACTTCTACAGCTTTAGAAGGCGTGAACCACCTGAGACCTTGCTGGAGAAGCGATAAAACTGGATTTTACTACATAGAGATCTAGCTCACCAATTAATTTAATTACCATTTTGATTATTACACATACCTTTGATTATTCTTGCCCAAGCTGGGGACACTGAAGAAGCAAGGATTTCAAATCATGAGACAACATTGTGGCTATTTTCTAATAAATACAACTGCGTTTGGAGTGGAAAATGTTTTGTTTTGTTTTGTTTTCTTTTGTTTTTTTTGAGGCAGGGTCTCATTTTGTTGCCCTAGCTGGAGTACCAGCCTTGACTTTCCAGATCAAGTGACTCTCCTACTTCAACCTCCCTACTACAGGTGTGCACAGCTACACCAAATTAATTTTTTTTAAATGTTTATTAGAGACAGAGTCTCACTATGTTGCCCAGGCTAGCAGTGTTCTCTTTACCTGATTAGACTTTATTATTTAATTTAAATATGAGAGTCCAAAATTAAAATATATATATTTTTAAATACTGAAACCCGCTTTTTTTTAATTACAGTCAGATCACACCTCTCCTTTTACAGATAACATTGCTTGAAGGAAGACAGAACTATGCTACTCAGGAATAATGATGGACAAATCATATGGGTACATTAGAGTTGAACATTCCCAACTTGTTTCACTCTGACTAAACAGATCCAAGTTTCTAACTCAGATTTTGTTTCTCTCCTTTTTAACCTTTGCCTTAGGATATGACTAAACACAATACAAACTGACTTTTCTTCCCGGAAAAATGTTCTAATATGGAGTCAGTAAAACTAACGGTTTTCACCATTGGCTCATTTGCTGTTTTGAATGTTAGTGTAGGGAATGAAAGAATGTTAGGA
This sequence comes from Homo sapiens, assembly GCF_000001405.40. Taxonomy (NCBI): domain Eukaryota; kingdom Metazoa; phylum Chordata; class Mammalia; order Primates; family Hominidae; genus Homo; species Homo sapiens. The sequence continues at coordinate 105,494,737 of NC_000001.11, read as the reverse complement.
CTTGAATTCCAAATGGAAAATTTACATAAAGTTACTTATATATCATGCATAGATAACTAAGTTAGTTTTCCAAGAATCCAAACACTACAAAACGTAATGTAATGTAATATTCTTTTTTGAAATTTTATTGTATCTAAATTGTAAAATCATTGTAATTCTCAGTCAATTCATTAAAAAGCACTTTACCTCCTCTCTGGCCGGAGCACTGGGTCTTCCCTATTTGTATGCAGTATCATATATACTGTGTTTTGAATGAAATGTACTGACATAGTTTAAATGCTGACTATTTTCTCATTGTATCATTTTCTTTTTGGTGGATCCTTTGAGAAGTAAATTTAGCATTTTGATCTATTATTTGACAACAAGCTTGATTCTTTTATTCAGTCGTATTGAAAACGATTACCTACATAAATTATAAACCTTCTATTACTCTTTTGTTAACATCTTACATTTTTTTGTTTTGATTTAAACTCATGAGTTACTTTTTTTTAGGCAACTAATCTTCAAACCAAAAAAGGAAGCATTCACCAGAAGATATGCCTTGAAGTAACTATTTGTTCTCTTATATCCAAGAAACCATTTGCCTCCTTTTGTGCAAGCAGATGTACCAGTTTCAATCCACCAGTCTTTAGTTCTACAGCAGATCTCCCTAGATGGCATCACCAATACACAAAAATTAGTTATTATCCTCCAAAGCCTTCAGCTATACAATTTTTGACTTGTTCCCTTTATCATTAATACATTACTTTAAATGTTTTGAGGACAGAGACCCTTTCTCTTTGTTCATTTTATTCCAAGGGTCTAGAGTGTTCCATGTACATGATAAATACTAATTCAAGATGTATGAAATGCCTGGAAATAATTATAATTACATACGTCAAAATTTAGTTACTATATATTTAAAATATAGAAAATACTATCTTGGCTAACCCGGTGAAACCCTGTCTCTACTAAAAATACAAAAAATTAGCCAGGTGTGGTGGCAAGCGCCTGTAGTCCCAGCTACTCGGGAGGCTGAGGCAGGAGAATCACTTGAACCCGGGAGGCAGAGGTTGCAGTGAGCCAAGACTGCACCATTGCACTCCAGCCTGGGAGACAGAGAGAGACCCCATCTCAAAAAATAGTAATAATAATTAATTTTAAAAAATATAGAAAATAAATTATTCTAATTATTCTTAGTTAAATAATTTTGAATAATTTCTGCAATAAAGTTTTTCTAATAATGGAAGAAAAAAAAACACAAGCATTAAATGATTCGAGACATGCTTATAATTTTATCTATTCAGCTGGGAATGTTTTCCTTAAAGAATTACACAATTTTGTTTAATTTTACTATTATCCAGGAATAATAGGAGAATTTTTAGGCATTTTATACATCTTTAATTACTACTAATTGTATACCTTAAACATCTTAGTCTCTTGGATTATATATAGTATTTCTGCTCTACCAAAACTTTCCAACCCAATTTTTTTTTTTTTTTTTTTTTTTTTTTTTTTGCTTTTCACACAGGGCCTTGCTCTGTCACACAGATGGGAGTGCAGTGGCGTGATCTCAGCTCACAATCTCCGCCTCCCAAGTTCCAGCAATTCTTGTTCCTCAGCCTCTAGAGCAGCTGGGATTACAAGGTATGCAACCACATGAAGCTAATTTTTGTACTTTTAGCACAGACGGGGTTTCATCATTTTGACTAGGCTGGGCTTGAACTCCTGACCTCAAGTGATCCACACGCCTTGGCCTCCCAAAGTGCTGAGATTACAGGCCTGAGTCTCTGCACTTGGCTCCAACCCAGATTTTTCAGGCTCCCCCAAGGATAATTCCTTTAAAGCACAAACTATTTTATGTCTGTTGATTAAAATTATTTGATGGATTTCTCCATTTTTCAGAATAAAATACTATATTTTAATTTTATTTTCAGAACAAGCAAGATTCTTATTGTAATTGTGCATGTTTAGGCTTTACTTTTATTTTGCTACTCAACTCAATATGCCTGTATGTTTTGGTCAATCTGGAAATTCCCTCACACCTTTTCATACTGTATTGCCCTCTACTTGTAATACACTCCTGCTGAAGTACACCCTCCTCTCCTACTATATATCGCTCATTTATAACTCTCCTACTTTATGTCACAGAATATTTCACTTTTCTAGGCTTCCTTCACAACATAATCTTATGGTTATTATAGGATTTATCAAATTGAATTGAATTTGTGTTTCTTTTTATGTGTCCACTGTAATGTGGTGAATGGAAGAAATTGAATGAATATTCATATTTTTACTTTTGTTCATTCCTGTGTTTCTGCTCCTAGGACAAGTCAATTAGATTAAATTTACCATTTACCTACTAATGTACTTAAGCATTAACATAGATTTTGACTTTGCCTTACAATTCACTTTTTTTTAAAATTGTTCCACACTCAAATGAATTTCATAATTCTCTCAACAATTCTCACATTTAAGTACTACTCATCCTAGGCTTCAGTAGATCGGCATGCATTTCAGATGAAATACATGTAATATGATTCTTTTTCCTATGCATAAGATGATTGAATCTTGCAATCACTTTTGAAAAAGGAAAAAAATAAGTTAAGTGAATAAAAGTATGTTATTTGAATATTAATAAGCAGAAATAATTTTCTCTTTTAGTCTCTTTTCTTTATAAGATTTTATTGCATTGAATATTAAAAATCATTTTTACAGTCAAAATTTAAATACAAATCAATTGTGTCTTAAGAAAAATGTTTATAACACACATATTCAACAGACGTTTTTACATAAAACTCTTCCTGTAAAGTATTGATTAATTGAAACTATGCTCTTAGATTTTTTACAATATTATACACTATAAATTCAAGCACACCTAACTGGTTTTAAGGTGTACAATGGTCATTCAATTTAAAATGCCATATCTAAAGTTTTCATTATCCTTGTAGTAGCAGAAGTTTTGTTTCTGCTCCATGCCAATTCTTTAGATTCTGTCAATCGAATTTATCACAGTAGATCACAAAGCATAATCTCCTCAATTATTGTCTCTATTTCTGAGGCTAAGGACAGGGTGTTTCATGTCCCATTTATCCTCTTGTTGAACATTTGTTTCAGGTGGTTTATATTCATGTTTCATGTATTGCTAATTCATTCTCATATTTATTTTTGACACTTAAGCTATGGACATTAATCTTTTCATGGTAATGCTTTGTTTCCATTTTTTTAACACATAAAAAAGACATACAAAATTTATTTTAGTGTGCATAGCATGGGGAAACCACAGGAGAATGATTATCCAATAACCCAATGGGAAACAGAAGCTTATATACCCCCTTTCAAAGGCAAGAGGGAGATGGGAATGGAGGCAATTATTTTAAGGGCCAGCAAATGATTATTAGGATAAGTGAAGAGACAGAAATTAACTTGTAAATGATTCTTACTGGAACTTGAATGAGAGACAGGTATTGTTTTGTTTAAAGGCACTTCCAGGTGTGGTTGCATTCGTCATTATACTTTGTTTCTTTTTTGAGACAGAGTCTCACTCTGTCATCCAGACTGGAGTGCAATGGCACAATCATTTCTCACTCCAGCCTTTACCTCCAGGCTCAAGCAATCCTCTTGCCTCAGCCTCCTGAGTACCTGAAACTGCAGGTGCACACCATCATGCCCAGGTGTTTTTGTTTGTTTTATTTTGTTTTGTAGAAATAGAGTTTCATCGTGTTGCCCAGGCTAGTCTGAAACTCCTGGGCTCAAGTGATCTGCTCACCTCAATCCTCCCAAAGTGCTGAGATTATCAGAGGCGTTTGAACCAGGGCAACTTTTCTTAAATAGGGGATGGATAAAATAAGGCTGAGATCTACTAGGCTGCATTCCTAGGAAGTTAGGCATTGCTAGTCACATTATAAATAGGCGGTCAGCACAAGATATAATCATAAAGACCCTGGTGATAAAACAGAATGCAATCAAGAAGCTAATCAAAACCCACCAAAACCAAGATGGTGATGAAAGTGACCTCTGCTCATCACTCTCACCGCTCATTGTTTACTAGTTATAATACATTAATATGCTAAAAGACAGTGCCTCCAGTGACATGACAGTTTACAAATGCCCTGGCAATGTCCAGAAGTTATGCTATATGGTCTAATATGGGGAAGAATCCTCAGTTCTGGGAATTGCCCACGCCTTTTCCAGAAAACTCATAAATAATCTACCACTTGTTCAGCACATAATTAAGAAACAACCATTAAAAATAGCCAACCAGCAGCCGTCATTGCTGCTCTATGTAGTAGCCATTCCTTGGGGTTTTTACTTTATAAACTTGCCCTCACTTCATACTTTGGACTGGGCCCAATTTCTTTGTTGTGCCAAATCCAAGAACCCTCTCTTGGGATCTGGATCTGGACCCCTTTTGGGTAATAAGGTTACAGGCATGAGCCACCACGCCTGGCCCCTCAGTCTTTTTTTCTGTGATAGAAGATGAGATTTGAGGGAGGTGATGAACAGTAATTGTGTTGTTTTTGAAAAGAAGCTTCCATGGTCAGATAAGCAAATGCCAGAGTGATTCCTCCTCTGTGTGATTGCCTCCCTGGCCGCAAGAGAAGGTTAGAGGCACCTTGAGTGTTCGGCAGCTTTTAAAGCCTCTACTCATATCAAAGAGCCAGTCTTTGTGGTGTTGCTTTCTGACCCCCAACATTTTTCATTTCTAAAACTTTCCTAGAAATTTCATTTGTGAAAGAATGCCCCAAGGTGACAGACAAAATATACTCACTGTGGTGCTCAAACTTAAAACAGAACGAAACATCCATGGCTGGGCGAGAGAGGGGTCATACACTGTGTTCTCAGAAGAATGTTGTGAAAGTGTCATTGAACCCCCTTTTCTACAACCAAATCAAACCAGTTCCTGTTGTTGGTGCCAAGATCAACTGTGGCCCGAGCCTCCTCAACCACCCACTGGCCATTTGCAAGAAACATCTGATGGAGACTTCTCCTTTGGGTATGGAAACCATATAATCAGGGCTCAAAATTTATTGACCAGTCAGAACTGAACAAGTTTGTTTCTTTCATTTGCATAAATAGACCTGATTAAGAACCTGGGCAAGAACTTTCCTTATTTAAGCCACACTCTACCTTTGTTCATCAGAGAGTAGACTTTCACTTATACTGAAGTTGTGCCTTTCCAATCGGCAGATTTTTTTTTTAATAGGAAATAAGCTTCTCCTTGTTCCTCTGTGGATTTCAATGATACTTTTTAATACATTAAAAGCTGAATTAGTGTCCGTGGGGAGAAAAATTAAGTAAATATCTGAATGACAAAGGATGTGATTAAATGACTCTCCCATTTCTGGGAATAAGCCAGTCCAATTAAACAATTGTGTCTCATCAGGAAATAAAATGGCAGATAAGATCTCAAAAGTAGGACCCTATATATAACCCAGAAAAACAGATTTTTAATAAAAAGCATTTCTATGGAAATAGAAGAAAAACAAAGCTAATGTTTGGAGTAGTCTATAAATCGGTTTTTTGGGGGAGTCTTTGAGGCATCTTCACTTAGAGTGAGCAGGAAGTGGTAATCTGACAGACTTCTGGATTCTGGTTCAAATCAGGTATTCTGGCGCACTTTCTAAGTAGTTCATACATCAACAGGCTCTTCATATAGAAGTTGCTATAGTGATTTCTCTCCATGTTTATATCAAGTTTTCTAGCTTCAGTTTGTAGAATCTTAAGAAAAGCACATTTAATTTCTAATAATTTTAAATGAAAAGAGTGGGAAAAATAATTGGAGATGTGAGTCTGGAGAGTCATAGTCATATATTTTAGGGAATTAAAAGTTTAAGATTCAGTCCAGATAATAAAAAAATCTCAAAAACAAATGGGCAGTGCCAGAATCTAGTAACAGTCATACTACAGGTTTTCTTCATGAAATATTTTTTTTTCTCTTCAGTTCCCTATCTCTATTGAAGATAAATCATGGTGAGAGCAATTTATTTGCAAAATATATTTTAATCTTATTATACTTGGGCTTATTATTTGCATAAAGTTCAGTAAAAATAGTGATTGGCCATATAGGTACTTTTTAAGTTGAATTTACTGAGATTTTTTCATAAGAAATTTCAGATTCGATTTTTAAAATTCTCCTGAGGCTTAAGAGCCAAGGCAAAGTCTGTATCTATGACACTTGTGTATATTGGGTGAGTTCCTCTCTTCTCGAGGCCCCCAAAATATCTTGAGATATGTGAGAAATTGACATCGTTTACTTACTGCAAAGTCAGGAACCTGGTAAGGGAACCACATTAACAAGGTACCAGACAAGTTTTTCCAAGAGTCTTTGTATTGGCTCCATGAAAGGTCAACTTCAATTACTCAAAAAAACGTGGTCATATCAGAAAATGTGTCATTTCAGTCAAAGCCTCAGTAAAGTAACGCGTGATTTCAATTGTGTCTTGCCACAAAAGTGTACAGATTCTTACTGAACTTATGCAAATAACTATATTGCTATAAAATAAGAACACTCAGGAATAATTGCTAAATTCTGGGGGATTACGTAAAGAGAAAGATAAATGTTTCAATTATGCTCACAAAAGCATACTTTACCCAACTGCTGTAAGCTATAAGTAGCTTTTTAAGAAACAGTTTTCTTTACTGAGAAACAAACAAATCAGCAATGTTTCAAATCAAAGTAAAATAAGAAATTATTTCAGTCCTCTACCAATTCACTCACATGTAATTAATATTTGTTCTGCTTGATGTTACGTGACCAAATTTATGAGTCCAGTTTTTACTCTCCATTGGAATTTTTGAAATTCTTACATAGTCTAATTGAATAATCCCAAAATCATCAACAGAGGTCTGTATTTCAGAGTAACTGTCAGTCTTTTTATTATTTAAAGGAATCTCTTTGAAGATACAATATTTAGGATTACAGTTTATTGCAAAGATGCTTTAGATGAAGCTTAAAAAGAAGGCAATGAACTGTGGACAGCAACACTTAGATGGTCACAGTGAAAGAGCTCATAAGAGTTTATAATAATGATGTGATTGATAACAGAATTTGGTTATCTTCTGTGGTCTATAGCAATTTTACGGAATTGCCATAACTTTTTACCTATGTCACATTTCTGAACGTATCAGCTACTTAAGACTCTCATATAAATTTGTAACATATGTTAATACATTTATACAAATATGACTCAAAAAACATTTAAACATAATTCCCTTTTTGAATATTCTTTCTGTATAATTTAACATGTCAGATTAGCCTAAAATACTTTTCCTGGACTTCCAAGGTCCCTTTTGGAAGGTCCAAAAGTTAGTTTGATGTCAATAGACTTAATTTATAATGTGAAATTTGATATTGGGCAGTATGTCAAATACATCAAAGGTGTAAAACACTTGATCAAAATAAAATAATTATAAAATAATAGTATTTTAGCCAAGGTAATAATGAAAATATTTCAAAAACTTTACTCTTTGATAAGGAGGAGATAGTTGCCTAAATAATTATAGACCTAACAAGAGTAGCATTACTAATATAAAATCTATATTTCCTTTTCTCCTTTTTTCTCTTTCTTTTTATTTGCAGTTTACTCAAAAGTTAAATAAGAAATCTTTACTATTGTGTTAATATTTACACAAAAATCTGGTTCAAAAGAGAAAATCAAATTCTAACTTTGCATTAGTGTATGTTAAGGTTCAATTTTAAAATCTATATGATAAATTTATTAAATTTTGGTCAGTTTAACAACACTAAACTTTGAAATACTCTTTTCCTTTTACTTTCTGGACCTATTTAGTTCTATCTACATTATTTTTATTTCTCTGAAACAGCAATTTGAAACCTCTAATCTGGACAAAATTAATTTTCCTTTAACAAAAGCCAAAACTTTATATCTTTTGTATAACCTTCCTTATAAAAAATATATCCTTTTTAATATACCCTGTATACAAAATTGTTTGTTTATATCTATTAGTTTTAATAACATCTGTTGATTATAATTTTAACTCTATTTTAATCATAATTTTCGGTGAAAAACCTAGGAAGTAATCAGTTTTAATTGTTACATACTAGATGCAGAGCCAAAGATAGAGGAAAGAACTTGAAGACAATGCCTGAAGAATCAACACCTCCCAGCATGGCCAGGAGGCAGAGCTGGACCAGGGAGGATTGGTAAATGTTGAGCTTGGGCCTGCCCTGCATCTCTTGGTGCAGATACTATAAACACATGTATGTGTGGAGGCCTTGTCATGGCCATTCTAGAAATCAGAATCTACAGGCTCAAAATAAGACATATCCTCAAAGATAAGTCAAGGAAGTATCAAAAATATCAGAGAAGGAACAGTTTTATGACAGAAAAACATAGAGTAGAGATAGTATAAATTTTGTCTGACCAGTATACCTAGGCAAAAATGTCTAAAATTCTGAAGACATTTTTAATTTATTTTACCAACAATTTTAAAACTAGTTTATTTATCAAATATTACTAAAGTCATGTGAACTTGAAAAGCATTTGGGTTAGTTATTCAATTTATGAGTACTCATTTATTTATAAGTTAATTTGTTACCACAAACACAAAATACAAAGACATGTACACATATATACATAGAAGTAAAGACAAGCATAAATAGTATATAACTTTGATTTAATTTTTTTTTCCATGAGACAGGTAAAATTCACAAGTTTAAAAGGGTAGTTGGATTAAACCGTGTCTCCGTAAATGAAAAAGTTAGTCTATCTGTCCCCCATGGCCAAAACCTTTATCAAGTTTCAGATAAAAGAGGGTAACAAATTACATCTCAGAGCACAGAGAGAATATTTAAGCTATTTCAAGGATAAATTTGAGCATGTTAGAGAAAGACTAAAAATTGATGTCAAGGTAATTCAGAAATAATAGAGATTAAACACAGGATTCCATAAAGAGACCAATTTTTAGTTACGTAAATAGTTTCCAATTTAGTCTTCATTTTCAACTAGACCACTGAGGTCAGGGCAAAGCCCATCAATGAATAATGCCAACAAAGCATTTGTAGTTTCCAGGGCCTACTCTTTATATATATGAAAAGCGGGTGCAGCTGGAAGGCAGAGCACCTAGATCCACAGAAATCAAGAATCTAATTTTTGCACTAACTCCTGTATTAACCAGAGTTGAAACAAATGCTCAAGAGAAATGTCGCTCAGCTAGGCTGTGCAATGCTTCCACAGTGCCCTTCTCTGTACGAACATTCTCCCAAGGCTAGGAAGCAATCTGATTTCAATCAGCCTGCTTTGTGATTAGCCCATCAACCATAGAAGTCTCATACTTCAGTGGTGAGTTTTCTCATAGCCCCCACATATCCAAACTGTGCTTTTAGTATCTAAATGTACAAAAAATGAATACCATCCTGTGGTAATAATCATTCATTGCAACTGCTATCAGTCATCTCCAAAATTACAGTCCTCTCTCCAGTGACTCACCAACCATTACACACCAACAGGTCAAGTTCTCTCTCACAGTATGTAGTAATTCCTGTTAACCCCCAAAAGCCCAAGAAATCAGGGAACTCAATGCAAAACAGATCAGAGCTTTAGGCCTCAGGAGAACCTGCCCCTGAATCTTGGGGCTTCATGAGGAAGACAGAAACGTCCCTCAAAAGAGAGTGTGTGACACCTTTACTTTGTGTTCCTCAAGGGGTTTCAGTGCTTCTAGAAGTCCCTTTTAGATTTCTTCATGAGATATCAAAGGTAGCAAAAAAGGAAGGCATAGTAGAAGTAAATTGTAGAATAAGTATTAGAGAAGACAATTTGAGGAGATTTTAAACTTCCCAATAAGGTCAATGAGGTTTTACATTTTTCTCAACAAAAGTTATGCCAACAAGGAAGGAAGCAACAAAGAAATGGAACATCAATGCTTAAAAAAGGGATTCATTTGACTGAAAAAAAAATACTCAGGGAAGAAATAAGATCCAAAAGAGAAAAAGCAAATAGGTCTTTAAAAATATATTTAGCTTAAATATCAGCTTTTAATTAAGCCAAATTTTGCACATAAAGCTCATTAAAAAAAACAAGCAACCACAAAAGCTTCTCAAATAAAAACAGAAACCAATAAGCTTTTTTTTGACTTAACCAACAATTCATAAGTTGTCCTTAAAGAGGTATAAAGAAGCTGTCCTCACAAAATCTAGACCCACTCCCCAAAGACAACTAAGAGAAAAAGGAGACTTAGATTAACTTCTTAAGACTGGCAATAGTCAGTATGCTAGCTGCAAATGAGGTCCAACTAATGTTTTGTCAGGCCATCTTGATTTTTTTTTAATGATGTCTTCAAGCTTTTGGTTGTGTTTCTACACAAGCAAACATGATAACTTGCATTCCCCCAACAGGAAGTAAGCCAAACCAAGTTCTCAGTTCACAAAGAAGTATGACAAAAAAACAGTAGCTGTCCATGAAAGGGAAAAGGATCAATAACAAATAGGTTCACAAAAAAAAACAAGTCACACAAATATCAAACTAATTTTTATACACTTCCACCCACCCCCCGAGTTAAAGGATTTGCATCTCTAAAGGACTGGTTTCTTCACCAAAAATCAAACATAGTCTTCAGTAGTAAAACTGTGGAATCCTAACCACTAGACTGCATGCTGGAGTATATTCTTTGTAAATCATTCAGGGGTTCCAAAGCAAGAAGTTCGAGATTTAGGTTTAAATCTGATTTCTTTTTTCTCTTTCAAAAGTCTTGCCAAGTGAATTTCTAAGGCTATTTCCCTTTTGTATCTATTCATAGGTACCAATAAGATAGCTGTTTAGAACAAGAGCTCTTTTAAAAATGTTCTTTATTAAAACACAATTTATTCCTTATGTAGGTGACCTAAGCCAATAAGACTTTTTCATGGGAAGTCCCAAAGGTAACGTTCCAGATTCAGAATACAATGGACAAAAGGAACATTTTTTAAATGGGCACAAAAGATGCAGCCTCCCATACCCCAAAAAATTCACTTCCACAAGTAGATTAAGATAGCAAAATACTCTTGTAGCCACAAATAGTTAAGAGTGGTGTTTGCACATAGAAAGAGTTCTGCATTCCACAAAGGAATGCTGGCTCCCAATCACAGACCCATGAATCCAGAACACTGAATAGGTCCTCCTGGGATATAGTTATCCTAAGATTAACCAGGCAACAAGACTTAAGACAACAAAAGCCCTTTATGGAGAGAAATTATTAAGACAAATACCCCTGAGGGCTTTGCACATTTGAAACAGAGTGAGATGCTTAAGATCTTAGGTGTTTCAGAGTTTCCAATCTTTTCAGACTAGTCACCAGAAGTGACCAAAAATTATATCCCCCAGATAGTGAGTCCAAGAGTGTTCTTACTTTGTCACAAGTCAAGCTCTCCAGGACATAAACAAGACTAGAGAGGAATCTCATCTAGCTTTCATATTAGGGTCTATGGTATCCCTTTTTATGACAAAATGACACAGGAAGACAGTCACGAAGGAACAAAAAAAGACTGTTTCTGGGAGGAATAGGGTCAGACATTATAAACATTTATACTGCTGCACCTGAAGATAGCCTGTGTAAATGTTTTTCTCCCATTAATCAACATTTTAGAGAGGAAAAGAAGACAAACAGAGATTTTTTTTTACCATTCACTCAACCAGATTCCACAGAAACAGACCAGGATCCTGACTGGTAAGAGATTCTTTCTCTTCTATTAATTTGTCAGGTCCTTGATTTCCTTAATTTTGACTTGCAGCAGACTAGAGCAGTTTTGATTATCCTGCTCACAGCAACAAAACTGCAGGGGTCAAAGAAAAATACCCGCTTTCCCTTTGATGGTTTGCTGAAAATCAACTAACAAAAAGCAAATTAATAGAAGAAAAGTCATATAAAATTTAATTTAACATGAATAGCATGGAGGAGTTGCAGGAGAATGATTATTTCTGTTGTTTCCATTTTTAAAATGTATATATTGCCTTCAGATATTGGCTTTTATTTCATTTATTCTTTATTTTCTTCTCTTTTTTTTTAGCTTCCAGTTAGAAATTGTTTTTGCTCAACCTGAAGATTTATTAAAATCCTTATAAAATTTAATTTAATATTTAACATTATTAACAGATAACTATATCTGCTCTCATTTTTATGAGGCCTAGATACTATGTATTTCAAATTTATGCAAATTCCTTACATCCAAATTGGTAGATTTTGAAACATTTAAAAAAACTTTTCTAATAATTTTTTGAAATGATGAAAAGGCCAACAATAAATAAAAGTAACTTAATTTTGCTTAATTTACTAGTAGTAATGCACAGAAAATATGCCAAATTTAGTAAAGCATTGTTTTGTGATATTTTCTCCCCTCAAGATATTTTATAAGCATTGTTTTCTGCAAAATTTATCAAAATATTGTATACATACAAGAATGTGTAAAACTCATAATTGTAAAGCATAAGTTTTTACAAAGTGAACATATCTGTTTGACAATCTCCTAGATCAGAAATTTTACCAGAACCCTGAAAGCTCCTTTATAACCATTTCCTGCTGCAATAATTCTCCCCAAGGGTAATCACTATCCTGATTTCTAAATCCATACGGATTCATTTTTTCTAGTTCTTAAACTGTGTCCCAATTGAATCAATGTGTTTGAATTCTTAAACTTAATGCTATGTTTCTGAGGGTAATATGATTTAATGATTACTAATAATATGATTTAATGATTATTAATAATCATTAAGTTTCATTAGTCACTTGGTCTGTATGCCAGGAGTTTATGTGTCATTGAGATATCCTGAGGGAGCACAGGGAGTTGCAAATGTTAATTAATTAAAAATCACTTATTTGTTTCGTGTGAAATATTGTAGTTTACTTGTGCTCCATTAAATATATCTGTGTATTTTATAACAGTGTTAATTAAACTAATTATCACAAAATGTTTAGGTAAATTTTAAAAAGTATAAAAACTCCATGCAAAAAATAAAGTATTAAAGATAATATTGACCATGCAATTCTTCCTTGATAATGTTACTTGCTTTAATATTTTTCTTATGATATTAATACTGCCACATTTTCTTTCTTTCTTGGTTATTTGAAAGATACATCCCTTTTCATACTTTCATTTTATCTTAACTTTTTCAACCAAAATTATTTTCCATCTGACTGAAGAATTCATTTTTACCATTTCTTGTAATGAAACTTTGCTAGTGACTAATCTCTCAGGTTTTGTTTACTAAAACATGTAATTATTTGCCTTGAATTTAAGGCATAGAATCTCAAGTTGGCCGTTATTCTTTTTAAACACTTTAAATGCAATGATGTGTTTTCAGTTTTCCAACGTTTCTGTTGAGAAGTCAGTTGTCAATCTTAATGTTACTGTGTTGATAGTAATGTGTTTTATTTATTATTGCTACTTTTACTTTTTATTTTTATTTATTTATTTTTAAATTTTTTGAATTTATTTATTTTATTTTGAGATGGAGTCTCACTCTGTCGCCCAGGCTAGAGTGCAGCGGCGTGATCTCTGCTCACTACAACCACCACCTCCCAGGTTCAAGTGATTCTCCCGCCTCAGCCTCCTGAGTAGCTGGGACTACAGGCACATGCCACCACACCTGGCTCATTTTTGTATTAGTAGAGACAGGATTTCACCATGTTGGCCAGGATGGTTTCAATCTCCTGACCTCGTGATCCATCCACCTTGGCCTCCCAAAGTGCTGGGATTACAGGCATGAGCCACTGCGCCCAGCCTATTCTTGCTACTTTTAAGGTTTTGTTTTTATCTTTGGTTTTGTACAATTTCATGATGACATTTTTATTTATCCTGTTTGTAGTATTGATATGCCTCCAATGAGTGGAGTAACACCAGGTTCTCCGTTTCAAGTTGAACTGGAAGAAACGACATGGACACACGTAGAGTGGTTTTAAGGAGTGGAGAGTTTAATTGGCAAGAAAGAAGGAAGAAGGCAGAAGGAAGAAGCTCCCCTGTACAGAGACAGAGGGAGGGGGGCTCCAAAACCATAAGAGAAGGCCTGACATTTGGGGGATACCAGTCAGTTTTATGGATGGCTGGAGGAAGAGGTGTCTGATTTGCATAGGGCTCAGGGGATTGGTTTGGCCAGGCACGTCATTCATGTAGCCCACAAAATAGCTGGCCATTCCGCCCCAGTCTTTTAATATGCAAATGAAGGGCACCATGATGTCCTACACACGTTGGATATATGGGGCAGCCATGCTGCTAGGCGTATATGCGGGCAAGGGCAAGAAGACAATGGTGGGACTCACCATGTTGGGGAGACCCAGTTTCTAATGGCGTGCATTTGCATATCAAAGGTTGCTGGCCTGGCCTAAGGGCCAGGGCTTTCATGCTAGACGAGAAACATTTCTAGAGCTGTTTTAAAAATGAAAACTCTCCAAGGACCCCTTTTCCTCTCTATCTGCTTAAAATAACTTTAATAACTCCTACCACAGTATACTAAGATATTTGAAACTCTGAATGCAGTCTCTGAATTGCACTTTTAGATATTTATCAAAAACATTGCTGTTCCTTCACTTTCTCCTGTCCTCCTAAGTTTCCAATTATACACAGGTTATTAATAGAAGTTGTGAGCATGTCCTCTTTTATATTCTGTTAATGTATCAATTCTTTTTTTTCTCTTTGTCCTTCAGTTTCATTGTTTTCCATTCACCTGTCTTCCAGATCACAAATTCTGTGTTTTGATGTATGTCCAATTAGCTGTTAACCCTATTTTCTGGATTCTTAATTTTAATTTTAGTATACCCATTTAATTTATGTACTTAGGTTCCACTTTAAAACATGAAATTCTCCGTCTTTTCTGTTTCTCCCATCCTTTCCTTATGTCCATAAATTTTTGAGTCATACTTAAATTCTTTCTGTGATAAAATGAATAGCAATATTCCCTGTTTCTACTGTATTTTTTTGTTATAGGACATTTAATCTACACAAATATCAAATCTTTTAAATGACTTACTATGAATAAAATAAACTGAGAAGCTCCAGTTGATGTTGTCTTTAACCAGAGGAGGTATCCATTTCCTTGATCAGGCCAATACAATGAATAGCTGATTTTTGAAATCATTCGGGGATTTAGCTGATTTAGGACTTTTTTTTGTAGTTTTTGTATCACTCAGTCTACCTCTGAGCCATACTTAATCCCCAGGTATAGTTCATTCAGTTTATTGATTAAAAACTTAGTATGTCTGGGTCACCAAAGCCCTAAAACATTACAGGAGGTAAGGCCCTGTACTTTAGTAGTTGTGGCTTACTTTTTTGTTTTTCTCATACCAACTTCACACTTTAGTAAACCTCCTGATGGGGAATATGGTCATGTGTTTTGGGTAAACACCGCCCCTCAACATGTTTTCTAAGACAGAGATTTCATTCTACATTTCAGAAGTTTTCATTTTGTTTTTGTTTGTTTGTTTTTGCCTAGCTTCCTGCATTAGCTTCAGAACTTGGCAAGTATTCTGTAGGGAAAATCATGCTCATATTTGGAGTATTTCAGGATACAACTTTATTACTTCAGCAACATGTGTCTGCTAAAAGCTGCTTTCTGCTGCTTTCTGTGTTCTCAGCAAAGGTGACCGAGAGTTGGGGGGAAAAGACAAATGGAAATAAGCAGCTAATCATGAACAGATTCTCCACTCTCTGGAAGGTTAGATTATCTACAGTTGCTCTCCTTCATTAGTAGCATCAGTTATAATAATTACAAATAATATTATTGTATCTCAGCAAAGTAACTCTGATTGTGTGAGTCTACTGTAGGGTCCTAGAATCCACATTTTTAAAACAAATCCCTGGTGATTCTGATGCATTGAATCTTATATCACATATTATAGAACACAAGTCTAGTTATTACTCCAACTTATTTATTTTGCCTTAAAAAATGTATCCATTTAAATAATGAATAAATAATATCAGTTAAGTAAATAATAATATGAAAGTTTCAGTAACTAAATTAGTGAAAATAAAAATCTATGGCTATCTTATCCATCTTTCCCTGGTACAGCTGTCCTCTTTGGAAAGTTTAATATAATGAAACATTCAATATGTCCTTAGATAGTTATTAGTTGTTTGTAAACTGTAAGTTATGTGTAGATCCAGGATTTTCCTATTTTTTCATCTGTGAAAATTACCATGATGTTTGTCCTCTGCATCATTTATCTAGTTTGGTAGCACAGAGGGTATGAGATGTCCTGTGCAATTTTCTCTATTGGACTATTTAGTATTAAATCTGTTAGGATTCAAAAGTTCAGAAAAAATCTTTAGTTGTATTTTTTCGAGGTTTTTTTGTACCTATACCATATGCATAATATAAGAATTTATAATCTCGTTTATTAAACAGAAAAGAAATATTTGAGATAGTGAAAAATAAAATAAAATACTCTTTGATCATTGTTTCGTAAAATGAGAGATCTTGTTGATGATTGTGTCCCTGATAGGCCATGTAATTCCTCATTTAGAAACTCAGGAAATGGAGAAAATATAACATGCATTTTTTAAATTTGAGGCAATTAAAAGACTAACTTTTTAGAAAATATAGAGGTAGTCACAAAAGCATAGTATTAGTCTTATCAGTAACAAGAGAATAAAGAATCAAGATAGAATGAAAGCCATGCTGCTTTGTGTATTATTCAACATTTGCTATGGCAACATCAAATCCCAAGTTGATTGTGGATAATAGCAACAAATATTTATTTAGTGTTTAGATTTAGGAGGTCGGGTACAGCTCCTCTAACCTTTCTATATATTATCTTATTTTGGACTCCAGATGAAGAAGTAGCACAACCACTCAAATGCATTTAAAATGTTTTCTTGGATGTAATATACAACATGTCTGTTCACATTCCATTAATCAAACCAGGTTGTATGGCCAAGATCAGATTTAACACCACTGGAAAGCCAGCATACTCTATTTACAGAAATGGCAATGAGGAAGAATATAGTTATGAACAAATAACACACTTTACCAAATTTGAATTAGGTTTATGTCAAATACAGAATAAATAGTGTGAAAAATCCTTTTTCTGAAGAACTAAAAATTAAAAATAGTGTAAATACTTGGGTCCAATCAGCCAGGACAGAGAATTGCAACTCAGACTCCCATATAAAAGTAGGGTACTTCAAGTACTACACAGTGAGAAAAGTTGTCTAGAAAATATTCTAGTGACCAGGAAAAGAAGAAAGAAAATATATTATCTTAGTTTGGGCTCTTGGTTAATAATAATAATAATAATACTAATAAAATAATAAAATTATCTTCTGAGAATTTAAAATCACTGCTCTAGCCACAAATTATTGTGTACTCTCTCTCTCTCTCTCTCTCTCTCTCTCTCTCTCTCTCTATATATATATATATATATATCACCTACTTTATTTGGACATTTACATAAATTGATTCTATTAGAATAAGGTGGCCCAATGTATATCTATACGGTACTCAGCAGAAGGGGAACACCTTAAGACACTTTTGTCCTCCTTTTCAGTAGAGCTTAAAATAAACACTGACTTTCAAAAATTATGCTACTGACAAGAAATCTAGCCATTAAGAAAGTCAACAAAAACATAAAATGTGACAAGTAGGTATCTAAGGCCTTCAAAATTAGAATGATCAGAAAGATAAAATAAGTTAAAAAATGACTTGCAATTAAAAGAAAGACATAGAAAATCTGTTAATAAGATACCATAGAAAATAAAACTTTAAAATTAAATAAAATATTACTTCTAACATTTAAAAACAATTACATTTAAAACATAATTTATGCATTTTAAGCTATTATAAGAAACACTCCCATAAATATTCTTATATCTATATATGTAGATTTGTAAAATATAGTCTCATATATATAATATATATATATACACACACAGGTGCATGTTTTTATATTGCTTGGTTAAATACCTAGAAGTAGCATATCCTTGGTTATGTGGTAGTTTTACACTTAATTTCATAAGAAATTGGCTAACGTTTCTTCAAAATGATTGTGCAATTTTGCATTCTTACTACTAATATATGAGTTTCAGTACTGCACAGCTGCATCATCATTTGCTAATATTAGCCTTTTTAATGTTGGTCATTCTCATGGGTATGTCTTGATACTTTTTTTTTTATATGTCATTGTTTACTAGCAAGTGACTAAATAAATTCTGAAGCATCAGCAATAAAAAGTCAAAAACTATTCATACTTACTGTGGCATAGGTAAATAAAAAAAACAACATATTAATGAACGAAGACAAACACAAAGAGTGAATGTAGTTTGATTCTACATACATGAAACTCTAGGAAATGCAAAAGGGGCTGGGTGTGGTGGCTCCAGCCTGTAATCCTAAAAATACAAAAAATTTGTCAGATGTGATAGTGCATGCCTGTAATCCCAGCTACTCGGGAGGCTGAGGCAGGAGAATCCCTTAAATCTGGGAGGTGGAGGTTGTGGTGAGCCGAGATCGTGCCATTGCACTCCAGCCTGGGCAACAAGAGTGAAACTCTGTCTCAAAAAAAAAAAAAAAAAAAAGCAAAAGGACAGATCAATGGTTTTCTGAATTGAAGAGTAGATGGCAAACTGAATGGAAAGAATTCTGAATAAAATTTCGATAATATAAATATTCTTTTTTCTTTTGTGTGTGTGTGTGTGTGTGTGTGTGTGTGTGTGTGTGATGGAGTTTCACTCCTGTTGCCCAGGCTGGAGTGCAATGGCAAAATCTTGGCTCACTGCAACCTCTGCCTCCCGGGTCCAGGGGATTCTCCTGCCTCAGCCTCCCAAGTAGCAGGGATTACTGGCATGAGCTACTATGCCTGGCTAATTTTGTATTTTGTTTAGTATAAATGGGGTTTCACTCTGTTGGTCAGGCTGGTCTCGAACTCCTGAACTCAGGTGGTCCACCTGCCTCTGCCTCCTAAAGTGCTGGGATTACAGATGTGAGCCACCACACCTGGCCGATAATATAAATATTGTACGTGGTGTTTGTTGTGTTGCTGACTTAGGGTCAAGCGTCAACAACGTATATAATCTAAATAGCCAGCATATTTTGTACATAAATCATGTTTCAATAAAGATTATTTAAAATATTTTGAAAAATTAAATGAGATGATAGTTAAAAGAAAATGAGTAGAGTAGAAGGTAGATTTTTAGAAAATATTCAAACAACAAATGTACAGGATTAAAAGATATAAAGGAGAAATAATAAAGATACAAGAGGCTAAACTGAGGTGAACTAATATATGTATATTCATATTTTTAGGAGAAAATGGAATAATAGAGAGGAAATACTATTTAAATAAATAATTGATATTTTTAGAAAAATAGAATTACAATTCTTAGAAATAGATAACAGCACAGATCAAAAGTAGGATAAAGATAATTCAGTTTGCACAAGATACTATTCAACATATAGTTATTAATCCAAAGAATTCAAAATATAATAAAACTTTCTTAAACGAAAGTTTATCATTTAAGATATTTTAAATGAAAGATAATCAAGGACAATATCACTGATAGCATTCTCTTCAAAGTTTTTAAAAAAATATATAAACATATAGTTCAATCTGTGATTACATTGATTGGATAAAAAAGAATGATATCAAATTTACTTTATCAAATATATGTAATATTATCTAGGTAAAAATGACAGGCAAAGGCCAGGCTTGGTGGCTCACGCCTGTAATCCCAGCACTTTAGGAGGCCGAGGCGGGCAGGTTACCTGAGGTCAGGAATTCGACACCAGCCTGGCTAACATGGTGAAACCCCGTCTCTACTAAAAATACAAAAATTAGCCAGGTGTCATGGTGGGTGTCCCAGCTACTAGGGAGGCTGAGGCAGGAGAACAGCTTGAACCCACGAGACAGAGGTTGCAGTGAGCTGAGATCGCACCACTGCACTCCAGTCTGGACGACAGAGAAAGACTCCGTCTTAAAAAAAAAAAAAATTAAAATTAAAAAGTAAAAATAAAAATAAAACAGGCAAATCAGTTATGGTAGGGATAAATGGTACCTTCTACAACTATATTTATACATGGTAATCAAGTTAAACGAGGTCATTAGGGTGGGCCTCAGTATAATATGCCTGGTATTCTTAGAAGAGGAGAAAATTAAGGCAGAGACACAAAGGGAAGATGATGTGTAGCTGCAGGGAGAGATGGTTATCTGTAAGTCAAGGAGAGAGGCCTGGAAGAGATTTTTCTTTTATAACTCTCAGAAGGAACAAACCCTGGTGACATGTTGATCTTAATATTCTATCCCTCAGCAGTATGGAAAAATAAATGTGTGTTGTTTAAGCCACCCAGTATGTGGTACCTCGTTCTTGCAGCCCTAGCAAATGCAGATGATAATCAGAATTAAAGTATTATACAGCATTTGTACAGTTAATGAGAGATCTATAAATGTGTGATTAATTTTATCTTTCTTTTAACATTTATCTTTAACTTTTAAGGATGAGCACTCAAATACTAAAAATACAGTGTATATTTTACACGACTGTGTACAAAAAATATACATAATACTTAAGTCAAAACGAAGCAAGAAAAGAGAAATAACTGTAAATGAATCATGACAGAAAGTTCAAAATGCTACGAATCATCACAAATTTAACAGTAATCATAATAAATTTATGTGAAATAGTTTTCTGTATTCATGTGAAATTACATGAACATTTTCAAAATATATAAATCAAACTAAAATATATACAGCAAGTGGGTATTGGAAACTTCATAATTATTTTGACTTATTAGAACACATTTAAGATTTAATAGATCGGGCAAGCAAAAATCAATATAAATATATAATTTTCAATACCTAATTTAAAAGTTCAATTTGATAATTAAAGAATGCATGGTTGACTATTATCCAAGTATGAGGTAAGTTTCAATTACTTTAAAAATAAAACAACGGAGAAGGCATCTTCTGACTATAATTAAATTTAATTATGAAACTATAGAAATAGACCAGAATTTAAAGTAGTATGTAATTTAGATATTTTCCTTGTTCTTTCTAGAAATCACAGAAAACAAGAAAGAAAAATAAAACCACCACAAATTCCTAATTTAATCTTGACATGGAAGTACTTTAAAACACAAACAAGATTCAAGAGTAAACAAAGGCTCCAGCAAGGTGGCTCACACCTCTAATCCCAGCCGTTTGGGAGACTGAGGTGGACGGATCACTTAAAGACAAAAATTCAAGACCAGCCTGTGCAACATGGCAAAACCCTGTAATAATACAAAAATTAGCCGGGCATGGTGGCACGTGCCTCGTGGCACGTGCCTGTAGTCCCAGCTACTTGGGAGGCTGAGGCAGAAGAATCACCTGAACCTGGGAGGCAGAGGTTGCAGTTCACACCACTGTTCTCCAGCCTGTGCAACAGAGCAAGATTCTATCTTAACAACAACAACAACAAAAAGCAAACAAAGGGCAGGTACCTTGAAAAACATGAAGAGCAAATGCCATGGGTGCAGCATTCAGAAAGCTGGAGAAATAAACCTTCAAAGGATATGGTACATATTATAATGAGGTACAATTTCCAAAATATGTATTTGCACTAGTAAGGATGGGGTATAAAAATATTTCTGCCCCATATTCTTTGGATCCAGTTGGTTCCAAATACAAGAAAAGGATAGGCTCTTGGTATTTAAAGTGTGATCTGATGGCTATTATGTCTTCTTTTGAGAAATGTCTGTTTAGATCTTTTGTCTATTTTTTAATGTGCATATTTGTTTTCTTGCTATTGAGTTGTTTGAGTTCCTTATATGTTTGGATATTAGCCCTTTATCAGATATCTGCTTTGCAAATATTTTCTCCCAATCTGTGGGTTTTCCCTTCCCTCTGTTGTTTCCTTTGCTGTGCAGAAGATTTTTAGTTAAATACAATCCCATTTGTCTATTTTTGCTTTTGTTATATGAAATAAATGCTCAACATCTCTAATTAGCAGGGAAATGCAAATTAAAACCACAATGAAGCATCACCTCAGACTTGTCAGAATGTCTATTAAAAGGACAAATGATAACATATTGGTGAGGATGTAGAGGAAAGGGAACATGTTCACACTGTTGGTGGAAATGTAAATTGGCATGTCCATTTTGGAAAATAGTATGGATATTCATCAAAAAGCTAAAAATAAAATTATGATACTATCCAGCAATCCCACTACTGGGTATAGATTCAAAGGAATTGAAATTGGTATGTTGAAGGGATATCTGAACATCCATGTTTATTTCAGCATTATTCATGACAGCCAAGAAATAGAAACAACCTAAGTGCTCGTGGACAGATGAGTGAATAAAGAAAATTTGGTATATTTTCACAAGGAAATACTATAGTGCCTTAAAAAAGAAAGAAATTCTATCCTGTAAAACAACATGGATGGACCTGGAGGACATTGTGCTAAGTGAAATAAGCCAGGGACAGAAACACAAATACTGTATAATGTCACTTATATTTGGAATCTACAAGAGTCAGCCTCATAGAATCAGAGTGGAAAGGTGGTTACCAGAGGCTAGGGGAGGAGGCATCGTGGGAAAAGGGAGATGTTGATCTAAGGATAAAGTTTCAAAAGTGCTGAAAGAATAGACCTTTAACCCTCTTACCACAAAAAAAAGTTAGTGAGGTGCTGGATATGTAAATTAGCTTGATCTAACTTTCTGCAACGTTTATATAGATTAAAACATCAGTGTATATCCCATAAATATACATAATTATTATTTGTAAATATTAAAATAAGTAAATAAATACAATAAAGAGTGTTCTGAGTAGTAAAGCATCAGCATCACTATGGAAATTGTTAGAAATTCAGAGTCACAAGCTCTGAGCTATACGTGCTGATTCCAGATCTACATTGCTGCAGATCATTGAGTGATGTGTATTCCCATTAAATTAGAGAAGCACTGGGGTAGACCAAATAAGAATATTCAGAGGCAATCCATATTTTGGGGAAGCAGACAGTTTTCATGCATTGCATTTGGAGTGGGGATGGGAGACGAAGAGAGAAGGAAGGAAGGAAAGAAGGTGGGAAGAAGGGAGAGAAAAAGAAAAGGAAGAGAGACTTTTCACAGTACAATGCTTAGCTCCTTTCTCAGTTATTTGGGGAGAAATAAAGTATAAACACACTCAGAAACAAAACTATAGGACAAAAGGAAAATACTAGCCTTTCTAAAATCCAATTTTTACTTTACTCTGACTGAAGTAGGCTGTGATTACACAATCTGTGTAAACCTTTCCTGCTTCAAGGATAAATAATTTAAAAAGAGAAAAAAATAGAATCTATATAAAGATACTATTTTAAAGTGCAAAACCAACACGCAAAATAAACAACAGCTGAGGAGTACTCAGAATAAATGGATAAAAACTGTGACAATATTACAATATGAACAAAACAAGTATTGGAATATTTACCACTGTGAAAATAAGCACAAAGACCAACAACAAGAGCATAAAAAAAGATAAAGGATGTGAAAACAAATAGAAGGTGGTGAAATGTAAGGCAGTTGAAATCAGAAAACACATAGAATTAAAGAAGAAAATAGAGAAATAAATTCAAGAAAAAAATTAGCAGGCAGGGCATGGTGGCTCCCACCTGAAATCCCAGCACTTTGGGAGGCCGAGGGCAGGGGGGATCACAAAGTCAGGAGTTCGAGACCAGCCTGGCCAACATGTGAAACTCCGCCTCTACTAAAAATACAAAAATTAGCCAGGCGTGGTGGTGCATGCCTGGAATCTCAGCTACTTGGAATGAGGTGGGAAATTAAAGAAAAATAAAATTTAAAAAAAAGAGAAATAAGTTTTCCTGTGTTAGGCTAACTTGTCCCAGAGGCAGCAACAGGCACAGCCCAGACCCAGGAAAAGTCTTGATAATATTATTTAATGTGCTCTGGAGACTCTCCCAGCACTCCCTCAACATAGGGAGAAGAAAAACAAATTTTCCTTTGTTTTACGGAATGAGTTTATATTTCCTGTTCTCTGTAATTGGTGACCTCAAGTATTCTGTTTTATCTAAGCAGTAGAGTGAAGGTCATGAGCCTCTGAGTAGGCCTGAGTTACGGACACGTGGGTGCCACAGTGAAGGTTATAGGAGAAGCCCGTGCCTAGGCAAACCTAGATAATGGACATCTGGGTTGCATAGCAATGGTTATGTGCAATCCTGAGTTATGAACCTGTTACAATTTGATTAACTGTCTTTGTCCTGCCTCTGTATCCGTGCTTTCACGCCACTGTAAGCTTGCTTCAAGCTGGCGCACCCCATTTTGTGAAGTGTGTATAAAAGTCAAGTGCTGTCTTTGTTCCGGGCCCAGTCTTTTGGACATTGAGTCAGCTGGGCCTGAGTGTACTCAATAAAAGATTCTCCTGTTTTAATCCGAGGTCTCTATCTCATCTTCCTGAATCCTGCAACAGGGAGGCTGAAGCAGGAGAATAGCTACTAGAACCCGGGAGGCGGAGGTTGCAGTGAGCTGAGAACACGTCATTGCACTCCAGCCTGGGACACAGGAAAACTCCGTCTCAAAAAAAAAAAAAAAAAAAAAAAAAAAAAAAAAAAAAAAAAAAAAAAAAAGCAAACATAACAATATGGGACACTGAAGACACACTTGTGAGAAGAGTAATGAAATAAATATAAAAGTTAGTAATGGAAGAAAGACAATGTTCAACATGCATTGGGAATTAGCGAATAAGAAAATTCAAATAATAGAATAATTTTCCTAATATTATAACAGATTTGGAAGTAAACAATGGGCTGGGCGCAGTGGCTCACGCCTGTAATCCCAGCACTTTGGGAGGCCGAGGCCGGCGGATCACGAGCTCAGGAGATCGAGACCATCCTGGGTAACACCGTGAAACCCCGTCTCTACCAAAAATACAAAAAAAATTAGCTGGGCGCAGTGGCGGGCGCCTGTACTTGGGAGGCTGAGGCAGGAGAATGGCGTGAACCCGGGAGGGGGAGCTTGCTGTGAGCTGAGATCGCGCCACTACGCTCCAGCCTGGGCGACAGAGGGAGACTCCTTCTCAAAAATAAAAAAGAAAAAGAAAAAAAGAAGTAAACAATGAATGTTTACACTGTATTACAGGAAAACTTCACTCAGGACAGTCAACAACAAAATGATCCTCTTACACTTTAAATAATATTAATGATTCTAATAAGTATCCAGACCACAATATCCATCTGTTTATAAGCATGTGTAGGATTATTACCTGCAAATCCCCAGTGGATTCTTTCAAGTCTACCTCTCAATTGGCTACCTCTGTCTAGGAACGATAGCCCCCACTAAGAAAGTATCTATGTACAATTCCTGTAGAAAGAGTGGCTACCTTTCTCTCCAGTAGGAAGAGTTACATACAATATTAACTTTCCCCAGTGTAGGGCATGTGGAGCTCCTGTAAACTCCCATGAGCTCAAATTGCTTGATGATGAAGTAATTGAACTACCACTAACTCTCAAAGTTATGCCCACGATCTCTCCACACGAAAAGGAGAGGTGGTGGAGATGAGAAAATGCAGTGAAAATGAACTAAAACTCTGCACAACATCAAAAATATATTAACCTAAACAATATTTGAAGGTATTTTCCTCAATTACAGTATCAAATAAGAACAGAACATCAAGTGGCATTATGATACCCTTTTAATAGAGTTTAAAATATGCAAAGCAGTAAAATGTATAGTTTATTGATAATAGTGTGCATAACAAAATAAATATATAAGATGTATTACTCTGCTAGGGCTGCCATGACAAAGTACCGCAGACTGAGTGGCTTAAACAACAGAAATGTATTTATGGGTTTTTTTTTTTTTCCCACAATTCTGTAGGATAGAAGTTCAAGATCAGGGTGTCACTAAGGTCTCTTTCTTCTGAGGACTGTGAGGCAAGAATGTGTCCCAGGTCTCTTTCTTCTCGGCTTTTAGAGTGCTGTCTTCTCCCTGTGTCCCTGGACATAGTCTCCCCTCTATGAAACCCTCTGTGTCCACATTTTCTCTTTTTATAAAAGACATCATTCATATTGGATGCCCACCCTAATGACTTTAACTTGCTTACCTCTGTGAAGACCTTATTTCCAAATAAAGATAAGGTCACATTGAGAGGAGCTGAGGGTTACAGGTCACATTGAGAGGAGCTGAGGGTGACAACTCAAATGTATAAATTTTGAGGGAACACGATTCAGCCTCTTAACACAATAATAATAAATGCCAAATTCAGGTTAGTTATCACTTTTAGATTTGGAGAGTTTGAGCAAGGAGGTAATAGGGTGCTTCTAGCTATGTTTAATGTCTTAAGCTGAGTGCTGATTTTTTTAAACTCTTCATAATTCTATGTATACCCCAGTTCTTTCAGAACAAATTAAAATTAAATAACACAAAAGTTTAGACAAAATATTAAGGCATGAGTGGAGTTCTTTGTTTTAAACCAATAAAAATATTTTTAAAATTAAAAAGGCCAGGAAACTCTACGTTCCATAAGAAAGTTCATGTCTAAAACAGAGTGGCAAATTTTAGGACCATTAAGTCTGAATGACAATGCCATACAGAAATTGAGTCAATTATTTTAGGATGCTGGACTTTTGGGGAACTAGATCTTCATTTCCTGCTTAAAAGGTGGTGTACTACAAATATCCTGCCCACCAACTAAATCATACTGGTGCCTGAACATTCCCTGTGCTTTCTTCTCCTAGCATATTTCAAAAGAGAATTCTCCTAGTTTTTATGTATTTTACCTAGCATTCAAGTTACACTTTAGAAAAAATTACTTACCCTGTGAAATAGTAACCACACTATGTTTCACTTCAACCTTCCCAACTCTCTCCAAAATAAAAGATTCATTTTTTTACTTGATAAACCTATATAATTTTTACTATGCTATAGAAACTGTTCTTATTAGATAGTATTATGATGGATAGTTCATGTATCTGGCTCCCAAAATACACTGTACTCTCTTTGTGTGCAACAAGAAAATTTTCATCTTCATCTTCTTATCAAAAAGGTTAGTACCTGTCATTTATACAGAAATTAATACAGGATTGTATTGTGAGTGACTGAAAGTGTCATCCCATTTGACATGAATAATAGATTTTATTCTAAATGATCATTTTTCCTGTATGCAATTTCTTGATACAATTGTAATGACATTGATATGGCAAATCTCTAGGTGTATGATTTTAATTGATTTTACTTTCATTTCTTGAAATATTTGGAAAGTTGGCTGTCAAATGTACAGCCACAGAGAGTAGCTATATTGAACTAATTTTAGATCAGTATCTTAGAACTCAGAATTAATCTAAGCAAGAATGTTATACTTAATGTTAGGATTTCTGACTATTTGCAAAAGCTATTCTTCATGTGTGACTGACACTGTGCTCAGTAGCAACCATTGTGTGGATCTTTAGAACAATATACAATAACATATGTATAAGGAAATAAATTTTAAGACCCTGCTTTGTAAGGTCCAAGATGTACTTCTTTCTTTGCAGGATTGAATGAGAGCCTGAATCACCACCTGGTAGGCTCTGGTCACATGAGGACCTCTATGGTGTGGACACATTTAACAACATGGGTGACCTTAGCTATGGGTATTAGCAGTGACAGAACTAATAGGCCAGCAAGAGGGGCAAATTTAGCAATGAAAACTTTGATATTTGTGGTAACGGTAAATTGTTCTAAGATGAGAAGCTGACGGTGGGACTTCATGTAAAAACAGGGCTGGGAATGAGGATGCCAAAAGTTAGAGAAAAAATTTATTGGCTATGACCTTTGTCATACTCTCTTGGTTTTGTCTCGAAGTTTAAACATGTCTCTAGGACCCCTACAGCTTAGACTAATTACACCATAATTGTAATTCATTGACTTACCATTCTAAATGACATAATTTCACCAAAAATACTTTAGAATTACGGTGACTACTTTGGAAAACTTTTTAGGTGAATTTAATTAATTAATTTATTTATTTTTTATGTATCCTGCCAGTCAGACCAACAGGTGAGAGATTCCTTCAGTTTTTGTTTGTCTGAAACGCTCTATTTCTCATTCACTTTTAAAGAATAATTTTTTTGGACACAGGATACACAGGATTCTAGACTGCTGTGTGTGAGAGTGTGTGTGTTTGTGTGTGTGTGTGTGTGTGTGTGTGTTTTCCTTTTAACATTTAAAATACTCCATTCTCTTCTAGTTAGCATGGTTTGGGATGTTAGCATGGTTGAGATGGTTAGCGTGAAGTAATTCTTATTTTTGTTTGTCTATAGGTAAGTCTCCACTCCCTCTCTGCCTGGTTTTCTGCCATTTGAATATTATATGCCTAGGTGTAAACTTTTGATATTTGTACTGTTTGGCTTCCCGTGAGATTTCTGGATTTGTGGTTTGGTGTTTCTTAAGAATTCTGGACAATTTTAGCCACTATTATTCAAATCCTTCTGCCTTTTTTTTTCTCTCTCTCTCTCTCTCTCTCTCTTGCTTCTTCCTTTAGTATTCCAATGACACATAATTTAGACTTTTTATAATTGTCCAACTGGTTTTGAATATTTGTTTCTATTATTTTATTTTATTTGTCTCTTTGCATTTCAGATTAGGGGAATTTATTTTATTTTATTTTATTTTGAGACAGGGTCTTGCTCTGTCACCCAGGCTGGAGTGCAGTGGTGCGATCCTGGCTTACTGCAACCTTCACCTCCTGGGTTCAAGCAATTCTCCTGCCTCAGCCTTCCGAGTAGTGGGATTATAGGCGTGTGCCACCACTCTCGCCTAATTTTTGTATTTTTAGTAGAGGTGGGGTTTCACCATGTTGGCCAGGCTCTTCTCGAACTTCTGGTCTCAAGTGATCCACCCACCTCAGCCTCCCAAAGTGCTGGGATTACAGGTGTGAGCCACCGTGTCCATTTGGGATATCTATTGATATACTTCCAAAATCACTGAATTTTTCCTAAGCTGTGCCTAGTACACTGATAGAGTACCTAAAAGGACATCTTCATTTCTGTTACACTGGGTTTTTTTGTTTTGTTTTGTTTCAGAATGTATAGTATTTCCTTTTGCTTACTTCTAGGGTTTTTATCTCATTATCTTCTTGCTTATATTACCCATCTGCTTTTGCATCTTTTTCATTTTTTACAGTAGAATCCTTAATTTATTAATAGTAATTATTTTCAATTGACAGTCTTATAATTCTAAAATCTGTATCACATAAGAGTCTGGTTTTGATGTTTGCTTTGTCTCTTCAGATTATGTGTTTGCCTTTTAGCATGTCTTGCAATTTTTTTTTTTTTTTTGGATGGAGTTTCCCACTGTCGCCCAGGCTGGAGTGCAGTGGCACGATCTGGACTCACTGCAACCTCTGCCTCCTGGGTTAAAGCGATTCTCATGCCTCAGCCTCCAAAGCAGCTGGGATTACAGGCACCTGCCACCAAGCCCAGGTAATTTATTGTGTTTTTAGTAGAGATGGTGTTTCACTATGTTACCCTGGCTGGTCTCAAACTCCTGACTTCGTGATCCACCCGCCTCGGCATCCTGAAGTGCTGGGATTACAGGAGTGAGCCACTGCGCCTGGCCTCTTACAATTTTTTGAAAGCCAGACACCGTGTATCATGTAGTAGAAGGAGAGACAAACAGGCCTTTATCTGGCTAAAATTTAGGCTTCATTTAATCTTTGCTGTAGTCGTATGTAGCTGTAGGTATCAATAGTTTTTATTTCCTTTGGCTCACTTGTTTTTGTTTCCCCTACTGTCTTTGGGCTTCCCTAGAAACTCATTATGTAAATTATGTGTCTTGTAGCTCTCTCAATTATAATCCACTCTTATACAGGAACCCTGTTGATATGCTATTAGGTGTTAGGGAGAAGAAGTATTCATCTTAAGATTAAATCACTCTCTTTCTCTCCCTCTCTCTCTGTAAGTGTGCCAGAATCCCTGAGCCGGTGGTCTTCTGATTATGTGAGACGGGAATGCTATAAGAGGCTCCAACTGTCTAATGATCCTCCTTCTAGGCCCGATAAGGCCCTCATAAAGTAACTTTTCTTAATAGAAAGCCTTTAGTAAGGATAACAAACATTCTGGGAGTACTTATTTTTTCCAAGGTGGAAATAACTCCTACTACCCAAAGGTAGAGAATGTTTTCCTCCATTCTTCATTGTGGGTACCTGGTGAAACTCTTGGGGATAAAACTCACAAAAGTATTTCCTCCTCAACTCTTCTAAGACAGGGCTTTCAGCAGTTTTTAACTAAAGCTTGTCCACATACAGCAATTTGTGGATTAAGTGTTCCTACTTTTTTTCTGGTTTCTGCTGTTTCTGCTCCTGATAAGTTGTGATTTTCTGCATCTGTCTGACACTAGTTTTCAAGGGAATGGTTTGCTTCATACCTCAATTCTCTAATGGACCTAAGAAAAAATTTTGAATTTTAGTTTGTTCACCTTTTTCTCATCAGGTAGACAGGAGTGACAACTTCCAGATTCATTAAATGATGTAGTGGAAAACAGAAGTCAAGCTTGTCTATTTCTATAAGAATTTCTGCATCTGTATTCAGGAAGAATATTGGTAATAAGACTGACTCAATCAATATTCCTATTCTTTTATCTTGAAAAGACAAAGCTTCCAGAAAAGTTATAATTTTGTGAGAACAAATAGGTCATTTGTACATTATTTATCAAAAACTGTAAATACTTCCAACAGATTACAGTCTATTCAAAATATTCATTAAGCATTATTCACAGTAGCCACATTATGGAAACGACCTAAGTGTTAATAAATCAGGCACAGAAAAAAAATACATGATCTCATATGTAGAATTTATTTTTCATGTTCATATATAAAGAAATAGAGAATGAAACTGTGGTTGTCAGGGGAAGGGCAGGGCCTGGAGGGAAGAAGTGGAGATGTATATCAAAACAAATCAATTAAAAGATATGTAGGATGAACAGTTCCAGAGATCTAATGTACGACATGAGGACTATATTTAATGAAACTCGTATTTGAGATTTTTGTTAAATAAGTAGATTTTAGCTGTTCTTGCTATGCAAAATTAATTATATAAAGAGATGTTAATTTTTTAATATAATATTTTATTATCTCTATATATTACAAAACATCACGTTGAAAACCTCAAATATACACAATAAAATTTATTTTTTAAAAAAAGAAAGTACCCATCTAAGACTGAATATTTAAATTGATTGGAAAATATTTATAAATTGAAGTGTTCTTACTGAGTTTATACTGTTGTCTTGATAAATGAAATCTTTACCTAATAAGATTAAACCAGATTATTTTTGCAAGTTTTGATTCATTTTCAAGTATTGATTTTAATTAATATTAGTGATCTGTGCTGGGCGCAGTGGCTTACGCCTGTAATCCCAGCACTTTGGGAGGCCGAGGCGGGCAGATCACCTGAGGTTGGGAGTTCGAGACCACACTGACCAACATGGAGAAACCCCTCTCTACTAAAAAAATACAAAATTAGCTGGGTGTGGTGGCCTGTAATACCAGCTGCTCAGGAGGCTGAGGCAGGAGAATAGCTTGAACCCAGGAGGCAGAGTTTGTGGTGAGCCAGAGATCGTGCCATTGCACTCCAGCCTGGGCAACAAGAGCGAAACTCTGTCTCAAAAAAAAAAAAAAAAAAAAAATTAGTAATCTGAAAGGAAACAAAAAGTCTATGACTATGAAAAGTCCAGCTTCTTTATGACTCACACTAAACCTACTACTTAATGTACTCAAATAATTGAATATGCTCACATTTCTCATTGACCATCTTTAAGAAAGTTGAAACAGGATAATTTCCAAGAAGGCATTCATATTGAAAGGCTTCAATAGAAATCAGATCCAGGTTGGGAATTTTCATACCAACTAGCTGAAATGGCAATATTTGAAATAATGAGAAATCTTAAACTGTTCAATGTGGCAGGTACAAAAATAATTCATAGAAATCATAATTCAGCCTCTAAAAGATGACCGTTTTCCTTACATATCTCCAGTAGGTTCCACTGACTGAGAAAAACGGCAAGTTGCAGCTTTGTTTTTTTTTCCCCCTCTCTGGTAGTGTTAGAAATTGTGAATTTGGGCACTTTTAAGTAAAGCACTAATTTTCCATATCTCTGTCAGGTAATGGATTAACAGATTGTACCTTTCAAAGTCAATGGATTAAACAGAATACCACTCGGCTATACAAGAAAACAAGCTATCAACAGACATAACTTCAAGGATGAATCTCAAAATTATTATGCTAAGTCTTAGAAAAACAAAGAAAACAAAATGGAGTACTACTATATGATTCCCTCTATATAAAAGCGTGTACATTTATTATTAATAAAATTGACAAAAAAGAAGATTAGTAGTTGCCTTGACCCCTGGTGGAGAATGTGGAAGGTGACAGGGAAAATGAGAGTTTGATTTATAAAGGGACTTGACAAAAGGATTGGAGGTGATGGATATCTTCATTATCTTCATTAAATTTTTTTCATAAATATATGCACATTCAAAACTCAACAAACTGTACACTTTATAGAAGTGAAGTTGACTGTAAATCCTTATTGTTCAATAAAGCAATATAAAGACAAAAAGTTTTTAAGAGTGTCAGTGTGAATTCTAGGCAATGGAATTCCAATTTTTATGAAACCTCATAACTGAAATTTCCCTGTGACACTAAAGAGAAACAGTAACTGTGTGATTTAATTAAAGTTTTGATTTCTACTCTGCATCTTCTTAGTTATCATAAACCCATAATACCTACTTATATGTGAGTGCTCTGGGCAAGACCTTGGAGGTTAGACTCAATCTCATTTGAATGATCTCAGACCAATTTCTTATTAAAGGTGTTCCAGAAACCCAGTGGCAGATATCTACCCATATTTTCTATGAGCAATAGCAGCATCAAATAAGCAAGGAGATTTTTCAATTTTGAATTTAAAATGTGCCTTATATTTGATGGTATTTCATGCTTTCAATTATTGTTAATTATTGAAAATAGGAAACGTTTATTAGCAAGTAAGCTCACCTCTTACAAAATTTCATGTTTGCCCCTGAAACATTTCTATTCATTGCTATAAATTATATCCTGTTGTTCTTTCATTACTTAAAGCAGGGGAAATCCATGACTTTTTATCCTTTCTGTTGTGAACTAAACATGGTTTTAAACAATTTATTAGAACTCTCTGTTTAAAAATTCAAACATTCTTAGTTTGTTGGTGGATCATAACTTAAGGCTGAAATAAGTAAATAGTAGGCAAAATAAGACCTCTCAATGTAACATTAAAGTGAGATATTTTACTAAAAGTAAAATCAGCTCAGATATTAGAACAAATTACATTTACCAGATATTGCTTAATTTGTGAAATGTATAAGATTTAATCTATACCTGCTGTCCGTTATATTTTGGAATATGACTGCAGAATACAATACATTGTGGAAACAGTAAATGTTTTTACCCATAGTCTACAATGAAAATAAAACTTTTAAGGATTATCTAACGAGAGAATCATAGATGGAAAAAATAATATGGAAGCTGTTGAAATGTGTTAGTTGAATATTATGCCAAAAAAGGATCCCTCCCTAAGATCATGACCTCTGTAATATTCCAAAGAGTCAATTCACTGGATTTGTGAAAAGATACTGTCATAGAATGTCACTGATGAGCTCTGGAATTTGCAAAAATTACTGGAAAAATTTTGGTTGAAGATTATTTCTAGTACATTCATAAGAGTTGCATGAGGTGACAGAAACTTCAGGTAGAAACTTTCAAAATATTTGCCATTATGCCTCATCAATATTGGTGAAGAGATTTTACTAATCTTACTGTCTGTATTTTTATAGTGAACTCATTTATCACAAGCATCATTCTGCAAAAAGTGTCAAAATGGAACATGGACAATAATCCAAGCCTCATTGTCCAATATTCCCAAAAAAATCTTCAAATAGATTTCAAGAAACCACCCACCTGCTACAGCTTTTCTCAATATATTTGCATTTTTTCCTGACTTTTTTTTGATGAATTAAAGCTTTCCATTCCCAAAGAACTATGACTGATGGTAGCATAATTTTCCATTTGATTTTGTGTCTCAGGCTGGGGAATTCCAGCTTATCTGTCCAATGATAGAGACCTTGACTTTACTTGGATTCTTAACAGAGAAATTTGAAAAGTCTTACCACTTACTAAGAAATTTTACTGCTTCTGTCATCCTTAATACTCAGTAAAAGTAAAGAGAAACAATGACATTTTAAAACTACATTAGCAAATATATTTGGCATTCTTGAACTTCCTTGATCAACAGTGTAACCTCTGGCCCTCCTGCTCACGATGCCCATACCTTGCAGGTCTCATGACTTTCACTAGCAAGTTTGACTCTGTGAGGTTGAATATGTCATGACTGATTTTAAACTCTAGCTTATCTCATCAATACATCACAAATTATTCATATGATTTATGCAATGTATACAGTCTTTTTAATAATAGGTAAAAACTTCCTTTCTTCACATTCTTGCAACAGGCACTAAATGATCCAAAAGTAAAGACTATCTTAAGGAAAATATACCAGAAAGAGAAATGCCTTAGAATAATTTTGAAAAGACCCAGTTAAGTACTTTTGAACATGAAAGCAGCAGTTAATCTCCAGCGTATTGATCCATGGCTAAATGTGTTCTAGTTTAAAAGATATAAGACATGGACTGCCAATATATCAGGAAATGTAAAACACAAAGAGTCTTAATAATCCTCCAGAAATAGATGGCTTTGGTTGGTCTATCAGTCACAGTGTAGTCAACAGAAAGAAAACCACATAGTAATTCAAACAAGAAAAGGTCAATATGAAAAGTTATTAACTATAGCAAGGGATTGGAGTAATGTGATGTTGGCTAATGATTAAAAAAAAAGACTCCAAAGAATGTAGTACAAAGCCAAGATCCAGAAACTGTTGGAGAGGGAAAGGTAGTGGCTCACAGAGTGGCAGATAAGTTGTTGGGGTGCTCACTGACTGGACTTCTGAAAATCTGCCCTCTAGAGCTTACTATAAATCCTTAGGGTTCCAGAAAAAGGCAGAGTTAATGTACTATAGAACTACTGTGGCAAGAGTGGTCAGGAGGAGAAGTAGTTTCCAGGGGAAGCTGTCCACCATATACTGCATGTACTGGATTGTGTAGATGCTACCCACGCTGCAGGAGCTCGCTGGTAAGGAAGATGTGTGTGCTTCAGGAGCCAGCCAAGTGAGCACACTGGAAAGAGAAAGAAATACCCTTCCTCCTGCAAGGTCTCTTTAGTAACCTCCACTGATGAAAGTTACCATCAGGCCAGCTGGTAAAACATAGTTAAAGGACCTAGATCACATTTTGCATAGCAGGGAGTGAAAGATGAATTTGAAACTGAGAGGCAATAAATAGATAACTGGCACAGAAAGAGACAAGGCTTCCCCTAATACTTTTGAACCAAAATAATTGCATGACATGAGCATCTAATTGTAGGCACAAATTTTATATTTTAATTGGCATGCTGTTATCTAGCTATTGTATTTTCTCCTTTCTGGAATTAAGTTCCAGATTGTTCGCATTTTTAAAAATCTCAGCCTTGATATTAACAAGGTCTCTATCCTTAAATTTTTCTTTTGTGTATTTAGTCTCTCTTTGGTATTAGAATCCAGCCATTGGCTTCAGTTTTTTTTTTTTTAATTACAAATCAAAAATCTAAACATCAAGCCAAACAGTAGTGATTTGGACACTTTTTTTTCTGAGTGCCAAACCTCTCCCTTTGGAACCAATGAATTATTTTAAAAATGGTCTTACAAGTAATGTACTCTACTGATTTTTTAAAGATGTAATATAGCAAAAAACAAGAAAAAAAGGCAACCGAAATGCTAAAACCTTTTGTATGTCACATCTATGAAGGGAACAACAATGAAACAATACCCAGAGAATATTTGTAAGAGATACCTTCTGTAACCAAACTTTCATACAGGTAAGTTTCAAGAAGCAAACAGATAATGACAACATGTATTTCATAACAATCATAAAAGTTTTACTATGCATGAAAGTTTTCTGGATTCATTTTTTCCTAATTCTTTATTTATTTTCTTTTTATATTCTGCCTATCTAATTATGCTCCTATCTCAGAATGTTACCAAAATTATACAGTAAATTATACCTAGCTTAGTGGGGAAATTTTGCCTGGCAACAAGTTATTGGATCACCTCCTAAAATATGGTATTAAATGTATGGCACAAAAGCCTATTGGCTACTAAAAGCAAATTAGATATGAACTTATTATCTTTGTTAACTGCCACAAGTCTCAAAAATGTCATACACAGTTCAGTTTTGTTCAATTGTTTTTACCAAAATAAAAATAAAAACAAGAAAAATATAGAAAATAGGGATTGCTCCATAACTTGAATCAAGAGGAGAAATTGAGTTCTGAGATCCCAAACTTTAACTCAAGATGAATTATTTGTTATGTTTTCAAATCTCTTCATATTATGCTATAAAAAAGACATGAGAAATTGGAAAAATTTTGCATGCAATAGTTCAGAGATTGGCCAGGGCTAGAAAATGCTATTGGGGTGTTATGACTTCTCACCAACAAATAAATAAATAAATAAAATAAAAGGAAGAGCAGACATAGACATGATATTATGTTTTTGAAAGATACACGTTTTATTTTAGGAGAATTGTGTACGCAAACCTCTAGTGAACCCTCTGAGGTCTTTAATATTATTATCAAAGTCCAGGAAACAAAGGAAAAACTTAAGAAATTATTGAGTTTTGCTAATACTCTCATACCTGAAAGTACTAGTATTGAATATTAGTATTGAGTTCTCAATCCCTGAGAACCAAGGATTGCTTTTCTTGGTTCAGTTTATGCACTATTGGCTTCTAGTTTAGAAGTGGACTAAAAACTCTGAACACAAACCGCCTCTTAATATTTATCTTGGTTGTAGTATCCAAATGTGTGATCTCTAGAGTCCCAAACTCTGTTATTCAGACACTCCCATCAAATGATTCAACAAATAATCATTCGTCTAAAAGACCAGATAAACCCAACATATGTAATGGCTCAAATAACTGCCACTCTACAGTCATGAATATTCAAAGAGTGCAGTAGATCTGAAATTATTATTTCATCAGTTGGTAATGCTCTATCTTCCAACTCGTACTAAATAATGAATATAAAAAGACTGTGAGAATTAAAACCAACCCTGTCACCACAACTTAGATATGACACGGACCACATACGTCAATATTACTTAGTTTGCTCCAGGTAAATTTTGCTGCAGAGTTAGGACTGTAAAACAATAAATTATTTTAATGTGTGCTTGAGGAAATCCCTATAAGTCAATTTAATGAAGTCAGTATTTTGGTCATGGCAGCATGCAGTTCATATGTAAAATAAAGACTTACTTCTTTAACGCACATCAAGATCCTCAGTCCTCTAATCCTAAGATACTGTGTCACAAATTTTGCCTACCGCATTTTTAATCCTGGAAAGGCCCGTTGAATTATGTGAGCTCAGACCCCAAAGCCCTATAAATATCTTACTTGTAACTTACCTTTTCTGAGAAACTGATCAGGTGGGATTCTTTGCTTTGTTAACAGATTTTGTAGTACTTTGGGGAGTTCAATAATCCTAACCTTTATAATTCCAAACTCTCATTTATAAATTAAATTATTTAAGCTAAAAAAGTATTTTGCTAAATGTGTTGTTCAAAAATGTTATGAATTAAAATGCTGATAAATATATTTTTAAAAGTTTTACTCCAAATGTTTACCAAGAATTTTTAAACATCCTTGATATGTTATTATGCATTCTATAATATTAAGAATGACATTAATAAGTAGAAATTTCATAATTTATTGTATTTTTAAATACAAACTTCCTACAAGATGAAATAGAATAAAATTTACTGGAGACAGGTTGAGAAATATCTAGAATCCTAAGGGTATTTTTGGTTTTAAAATATTAATTTTTCCAGTTTAACAATTGGGAGATTAGTCTTCATTTAGGTGATATTTTTACCTGCTAATATTTTATACAACATATTTGTCAATGCATTTTTTGAATTACTGGGTTTTTTTTAGTTATTTGCTTTTCTTCATGAGGGAGCTGGCTACTCATCATGAATTGTATTGGTCGTGGTACTAGTGAGAGGTGAGAGAAGAGAAGAAAATGATACTGGAAATGTCATACATGCATACCCACCAACTTTTCACTGCATAATTCCTTTCATAGTGTCAGAATGCAGATACATATGATATGATATATGAAAGGTATTTTTTCATGTACACAAAATTTATCTTTTATGTCTTTCATGTAAGATGTATACATTCAATTTTCCATATCAATATATAAATAAAACAATATTTCATTGTTTTAATAAAATATTGATGATTTTCACTTATAAATTAGATATGATCTCTTAGTTGGCAGCTCACTATAAATTTACTTTCTTAATGTCAGTGAGAGTATGGCTGAATTGTTCATATACTTTTTATTTTGTTTCACTTGTGAGACTGTTGCCTGAATCTAGGATAGCATAGAGTTCAAATATTATATCACTATTTATTGGTTATTTGTTTTTCTTCATTAAGTAGCTGCCTACACTTAATAAAGAATATTGAATAGAGTTTATCTTTGGAATAAAAAACCACTAAGATGAGATCGAATGCTTGAATCCTTAGTAATTTTAACACTATAATTTCCATAGCTGAAGTAGATGAACTTCTTTCTTAATCAATAAAAATGTCTTATGTGTAGCTCTCAAACCACCTCTCTTAAGCTGCATCTCAAGCACAGATACAGCCAGAATTCAAGCCCAAACATCTACCTTGATCTATTCTGCTAGACCTGAAAACTAAGCTCCAAATGCAAACGTATGTTGTAGAATACAAAATGCTTCGGAAGGCCAAATAACAATAATAATTGATCTCCTAGGAAGAAATTTGCATTTTTAAAAAAATCTTTAGATATTAACATTTCATTTGAGGATTCCAAAATAGAAGCTATGTTTGATCTTTAATAGAGTGATTTTATATTTAGTAGGACATCATCAAGTGTGACCTACTAATCATAATCCTTTATATTGCTCTCTTATCAGGCTTGTTTCAGCTTGTGTTGTTTCTTTTTCTATTTATTATTATTGCTAATACATTAATGAGATCAACTCATTATAAAGCACATTACACAACCTTACAACTTTCATCAAGGTGTACAGTCTTTGATAATGGTATTTTTAATAAAATTATTTTTTAAAAGACTTCTTATTTTATATGCAGCTTTACTTGTTGTTAGTGCCATGTAGATTTATATAATGTAATGTACATTTGTTTCTTTTTATAGCAAATTTGTTATCAGCATGACAGATGCTCTTTAAATGAGTGGGTTTTTCTATCTCGTCTTAGCAAACAACTAATGTAATGTATTCTTTATTACTCATGCTGTTCGATAGGCCTTTCTGTGATGGTTGAAATGTGCTAAAACTCCACTGTCTGATATGGTAGCCATTAGCCACACGAGGCTACTGAGTATTTGAAATGCAGCTAGCGTAATTGATGAATTGACTTTTACATTTTATTTAAGTTTACCTACTTAAATTTAAATTGGTATGTGTGGCTATTGGTTACCATGTTGGACAGCAGAGCTGTAAACTGTTTTTGAAATATGTCGTCACCAATGCCATTTAATTTTAATTTTAAATTTAATTACATTTAATACATTTACTTTTAAATTTTCAACCATAAGACGTATTGTTTAATACTATTATATAGCATGTACCTTACCATTCATTTGTTAAATGGTCATAGGTTTAAAGGGATTAATAGGTTATTTTCAATCTAGCACACTAACTTTATATAGGTCCTCTTTCTCCAACTCACTTTCACATTGTTTATCTTGCTATGAAATATAAGAAATATGGAAAGTCATCTTAAATATATATTATTAAATATATATCATTTTATTTATAACCATTGAAGTTCATCTGTTCTATTTTAAGGCAAATAATATATATGTTTTATCAAAATTAGTCATTCTAGATATAGCCGTAAATTGCTTTTTGAGAGTTACTGCAGAAACAATGACAGGGACTTAACCTTGTATGTTAACATAGACATTTGGATGAGGGGATGACACTCAGAACTCAGTAACTGGCTGAAAGAGTCATGTTTTTCTTCAACAAATATTCGAGTTAAATATTTTGAAGTTTTATTTGACATATCCAGACAGTCACAGTCCATATCTTTCTCTCTGGATAATATTTGGATAACGATTCTAAGCATGACTTTTAATTTGGTATACAACATGCTTTTGAAAACTGATATCTGAATGAAAATTGAGTCTTAAATGTCAATATTTTGTACCTACCAGAAAGCTGGCAGACTTTATGAAACTCTCTATGAGTGTCTCTAAAGTAAGAACTTTTCGTGAATTTCATTTGTATTGTTTAAATTTTTATTGTGACACTATCAGAATTATCACTTTACTGATTTCAATAATATTAGAAGATAGTAATTCATTCCCAGAGTTTCTAGAGTCAAGAAAATGTATAAAAACACTATTTTTATTGTCTCATATCCATTTTGTCAATGTAAATCTTACAAAAGTTGAATTT
This sequence comes from Homo sapiens, assembly GCF_000001405.40. Taxonomy (NCBI): domain Eukaryota; kingdom Metazoa; phylum Chordata; class Mammalia; order Primates; family Hominidae; genus Homo; species Homo sapiens. The sequence goes on along the minus strand of NC_000001.11, from coordinate 105,454,247 downwards.
ATAATGAGAATTAAGAAATACCATCTCTTTAAGTTTCTTTAGAGGTGACTAAATAAAAAGAGATTTATTATCAATTAATAAAGGTGAAAAAGCTTTGTAAACAGTAGATGATAGATGTCTCCTTTTCAATCCATAAAAAGATGTCCTACATGCATTTAAATAATTTTCTATAATTAAAAAAGAAAGAACCATATATTTAGTGGCCACTACATATTTTATTTTGTTTACTTGATTATTTAGCTCAGGAGCAAACATTTGCTTTAATTATTCTTTTGTATTCATAGCAGTGAGTTGACATCAACTCTCATGAAGGCCCACTCCTATTTTATTTGCATATTTGTTTATTTACTTTATTCCTCAAACCCTGTTTCCAAATTTCTCCATGATAATCCATACCCTTTTACTGATACATGTCCTTGTTAAATGTTAATACATAAGGTTTATTTTTAATTTGTTTTAGGTGCATGCATTTTTGTTCTGAAATGATATTATGCTATAGATATATTTTTTCTTTACCTCACAGCATTATACTTTTAAGATGTAAACATCAATTGTATAGTCTTCTCATATATTGCTTTTAACAAGTGAATATTATTTCATTGGGTAAATCTATCTACTTTTTTTTTTATCAATTTCCCTACTACCGGAAACCAGTTTTCCCCAACTGCCAGTTACCACAAACAATGAACATTTTTTTAATGGACATCGGGGAGAATTTTTCTCAGAAATAGGCCATAAGTTTACATGGTTGTAAAAGTCTATATGTTTACAACTATGCATACAAATTTATGTGCTGTCATATCCCACTTGTTGGCCTTATCTGACTTTTTAATTATTGCCAGTCCGAAGGCTGAGCCAACTGAGTTAGTATTTGAGCAGCATTTAGGTTTTCTTGTTGCTATTACAACCCTCACAGCACTACAGACTTTAAATATTTCTAGAGTTATCTTGTAATGCGTATAGGGGCTAATTTACAAGTAAGTTGTTCTTAATGTTTGATCCAACCTCAGCTTTAGAGTCTTTTCTTTGCCATTCTTCCTTAGAGAATATTTTTCTCCTTTCTAACTTCCCCAAGAATAGATTGCTGTTACTTGTTATTTTACTCTGTGGTAGCCTGGAATTGGTATTGAGTGGGGGAGTAGGACATATTCCTCTTGTTTTACCTTCAGTCTCTTACATTTCCCCTCCTCCTCTTGCTGTAGGAGACTTTTGATGTTCTGAGACAAGAGCCTTCCCACGTCCTACTGGGTCTTCATTTGTGCCCTATGGGTGAGGAGTTTGTTGCCCTTTCCCAAATGGCTTAAATATTTTGTTTCATAGGGAATATGGGAGACAAGAGTCCAAGTGGGTCTTCATGCCTTTTCTCATATAGCTGCTGATCTGCTTCCCCAGGACTACTCCATGAGAGAGATCTGTCTGAGGACTTCAACCCAACTTCTAGTCTATCTTGTGAAAGAAAGCCTGGTGAGGTTCACGAAGAAAAGACTATAAATGGGAACAAATTTCTCTTGTTTCTGTGAATTCCAGGAGTACCAGATCAGTTTACCTTTTAGAAATTCATTACATATTTTAGCTTCATTCTTCTCACTGCCCTCCATAATATATGGTGTTTGACATCTGCCCCAGGCGATAGTCATGTCATCTCTCCTTTGAAGAGATCTGTTTTTTCAGGTTTCTTAGTTTCATAGTAATCTTAGCTTTCTATTGAGTTTTTTTTTTTTAAAGGCTTTGTATTTTGTGCATTATCTGGCTTATTTTGTTGTAAATGTGGAAGCTACACTATTTTAAGCTTCCTGCAACCTAAGCAGAAGCTGAAAGTTTATCAAGGTTAACTTTTTTTTTTCACATTCTGTGAGTAATTTTTCCAAGTATTGCACAAAACACATTTCACCTCTTCCCCATTCATTAGGCATTCTAAATTTACCAAACATCATGTCCTCATATATTCATATATCTCTGAGTCTTCTATTTTAATTTTGTGACATATGTCACATGTGTTCTTAAACAATACCAAAATATTTTTATTACTATAACTTCAGAGAATGCTTTTATACGTAACAGTGAAAATACCTTTCTTTGCTCTTAAATTTGACATAAATTGAAATAAAGATGAGATTTTCAAAATTCTGACCTCTTAATTTCTTGATCTATTTCCTTTCTGCATGCTTCCTGCTAATTCACCCCTATGGTCCTAATTCAGAAATTAGATGGTCTGGCAATGGTAACATTGCCAGTAAATATAACCCCTCAAATAACTTATTTCAAATATCCATCTCTGTGGCCATTACCTCTTACCTTTTCTTCTCACTTCTTCTAGTAACCCAGTTCTAACTACTCCTTGACCCCACTGAGATATATAATTAGCTAATACTACCAAACTGTCATTCTCATTCATTAAATGATTTATTCATCAACAAATATTTAGTATGCATTTACTTTGTGTGAGGTATTTTCTAGTCAGTGAAGATAAAATAGTAAACAAAACAGATACAAATATATACCACTCACAAGTAAGTTGAAATAATTGGATGTTTTATACAGTGAAAAAAATTAAAGTAAAAAATAAATAAAATAAAGAAGGGGAAATAGAAAAGTCAAGAAGATAAGTGAAATTTTATATATAGTGATATAAGAAGGCCTCACTGAAGAAAAAAACTGTTTAACAGCTTTACTGATATATAATTGCCACACAATAATCAACACATATTTAATATACACTATTTTTTGTCATATGAATATACCCATAAAATCACATGGGTATCACACTCTAGATAATAAGGACATTTCACATCCCTAATTATTTATTCATGACTCTTTGTAATTTATCCCTCCCATTTTCTACCCCTCATCCCCAATAACTCACTGAGCTCTTGATCTCCTTTCTTTCTGTATTTGTTTTCTATTTCTAGAATTTGTATAAATTGGTTTATGTGGTATTGATTGATTATCTGACATTTTAAACAGCATAATTATGTTGAAGTTGATTCATGTTATTGAATGTATCATCAGTTCATTTATATTTAAGGGTGAATAATATTCCATGGCATAGAATGGTGTATAGTTTGTTAAACTTTATCTTTTGAAGAGTACTTTTTTCCTCTCAGATTGTGGCTTCTAAAACTAAATCTACTATGAAAATTCATGGACAAGTCATGCACATACACTCTCATTTCCTTTTGGTAATTGCCCAGGAGTGTAATGGCTGGGTCATATGATAGATACGTATTTAACTTTTTGAAAAGTAATATTTTTCCAGAAACGATTATATCATGTGTTTCCAACAGCAGTTGTTTCTTATCAGTTGCAGAACTTGTATGGCCAGTCTCTAAAATTTAACCATTCTATTGGATGAGTAGTGGTATTTCACTGTGATTTCAATTTCATTTCCTCAAATATTAATAATGTTAAATGTATTCCCATGTGCTTATTTTCTATCTCTGTAAATGCCTTTGCAGAATGCCAGTTAAAAATCTTGGCAAATTTGGCTGGGCACAGTGGCTCATGCCTGTAATCCTAGCATTTTGGGAGGTCGAAGAGAGCAGATCTCTTGAGTTCAGGAGTTCGAAACCAGCCTGGGTAAAATAGCAAAACCTCACCTCTACAAAAATTACAAAATTTAGCTGGGCACTGAAGCACATGCTTGTCATCTCAGCTATTCAGGAGGCTGAGATGGGAGGATTGCTGGAACCTGAGAAGTAGAAGTTGCAGTGAGCCGAGATCTTACCACTGCACTCCAGCCTGGGTGACAGTGAAACTCTAAAAAAAAACTTGGCCAATTTTAAAACATTTTGTCTACTTATTAAATTATAGAAGTTATATATTCTAGGTATAAGTACATGTAAAGACATATGTGCTGTATATATTTTATCCCAGTACATAGCTTGAGTTTTATTTTTATACAAATATAAGAAATAAAACTGTCCTTTGAAAATACAAAATTAAAAAAAATTTAACTTATTGATGTTTTATAGATTGCATTTTTTGTGTATATTTAAGAAATCTTTTCTTATACTGAGGTCATTCAGATTTTTGTTTATGCTTTCTTCTTGTATAGGAATAGTCAAACATTTTATTAAAGGACTAGATAGTAAATACGTTAGGCCTGCAGGCCATATGATTTTTGCTCCAACTACTCAAATCTGTTGTGATAGAATAAGAACAATTATAAATAATACACCAATGAATGGAAATGATTATGTTAGAATAAATATGTAGAAAAGTAGGCAGCTAGACTATATATCATAATTTGCTGACCCTTGCTCTGAAAGGAGTTTTGTAATGTTAGCTCTTATACTTATGACTAATTTTGAATTAATTTTGTATTTGTTGTGAAGTAGGTCCAATTTTTTGTTGTGTTTGTGAATGTGTGTATTTTGGAATATTTGTATCCAATTTTTTCATTGCTATATTTGAAAAGATTATTCTTTTCCTGTTAAATTGACATATTTGTCAAAAATCAATTGACTATATATTTGGAACTATTTCTAGATTCTTTATTTTATTTCACTCGTGATATATCTGTCTCCATGTTAATAACACAATACAGAGCATAGATTTATATTGTTGAAATAAGGTGGTTATAAATTCTCTAACTTTTTAAGGAATTTTTTTCACATTGGTTTTGTTGTTCTAGATTGTTCATTTTTCATATGAAATTTAAAATTACCTTTTCTTTAATATGTTGTGAAAATTTTGACTTGTTAAGAATAGACATATTAACAATATTGAGATTTTTCTCACTTTAAGAGAAATGAGAAATATTTAAGAATAGATATACTAACAGTTGAATTTAAAAAGAATAGTTATATTTAAGAATAGATATATTAACAATATTAACTTTTTTCTCATTTCACTTTTGATTTTCTCTTTGATCAATCAATGACCTATTAGCAGTGTGTTGTTTTATTTCCAAATAGTAATTTTATGTATATGGCTGTTTATTTATATATCTTTTTATCTTTTAAAATATAAATTTGACTTTATATTCTTTTAAATAATGGGTGTGCTACTGTAGTTACATATTTAAACATTCACAATCTAGTTATATGTAAAATATAGAAATCTTGCAACCATATAGGTCTTTATAGGTACACACTCCCCATTTTTTGTTGTAGTTATCATATGAACTTTATTTATATACACTGAAACCTTCTTGAGACAATATTTTAATGTTTGCTTTACACCGCCATATGCCTATTGTAAAGAACTTAAGAGAAAAAAATGATTCTGTTAGATTTTCCCCAATATTTGTTATATTCAATGTTCTTCATTCATTACTGAACACCCAATTGTACCTTTGGTATTATTTCCATTTAACCTGAGGAAACCCTTTGTAACATTTATTTTAGTATTGGTCTGCTGGCCACACATTTCTTTTATGTAAAATAAGTTCTGATTTTGTTTTTCTTCTTTAAGATTATTTTTGCTAACTGTAGAAATTGGAGATTCTTATTTTTCCTTGTAATACTTTAAAGATCCTGCTTCACCCTTTTCTGGTCTTCATGTTTTTTATTAGAAATTTTCAGTCATTCAAATAATTGTCTTCATTTTCTCAATATGTTGATTTACTCTGGCTGATTGCAAGCTATTTTATTCATCTTTGGTGTTCAGCAATTTGATAATTTTGTAACAAGGTAAGGTTTCCATTATATTTATCCTGCCTTATTTTTCTGAAATTCTTGAGTGTGTAAATTTATATATTTCACCAAATGTGAAAAACTTTTGATGCATACACAAGTATCAATAGCCGAATCGACCAAACAGAAGAAAGGATATCAGAGTTTGACGACCACCTTGCTGAAATAAGGCGTGTAGTCAAGACTAAAGAAAAAAACAATTAAAAGGAATGAACAAAGCTTCCAAAAAAATACGGGACTTCGTAAAAAAAACCGAACCTACAACTGATTGGAGTACCAGAAGTAGATGGGGAGAATGGAAATGAGCTGGAAAACACGCTTCAGGATATTATCCAGAAGAACTTCCCCAACCTACAAAGACAGGCCAACATGCAAATTCAGGAAATACAGAGAACACCATGAAGATACTCCACAAGAAGATCAACCCCAAGACAAATAAAAATCACTTTCTCCAAGGTTGAAGTGAAGGAAAAACTGTTAAGTACAGCCAGAGACAAAGGCCGGGTCACCTACAAAGGGAAGCCCATCAGGCTAACAGCAGACTTTTCAGCAGAAACTCTACAAGCCAGAAGAGATTGGGGACCAATATTCAACATTCTTAAAGAAAACATTTTTCAACCTAGAATTTCATATACAGCCAAACTAAGCTTCATAAGCAAAAGAGAAATAAAATCTTTTTCAGACAAGCAAATGCTGAGGATTTTATTACCATCAGGCCTGCTCTGCAAGAGCTCCTGAAAGAAGCACTGAATATGGAAAGGAAAAGTGGGTACCACCCATTGCAAAAACACACCAAAATATAAAGACCAATGACACTGTGAAGAAACCGCATAAACTAGTGTGCAAAATAAACAAATAGCAGTATGATGAACATGATGACAGGATTAAATTCACACACAACAATACTAACCTTAAATGTAAATTGGCTAAATGCCCCAGTTAAAAGACACAGACTGGCAAATTGAATAAAGAGTCAAGACTCATTGGTGTGCTATATTTAGGAGACCCATTTCAGGTGCGAAGACACACATAAGCTCAAAATAAAGGGATGAAGAAAAATTTACCAATCAAATGGAAAGCAAAAAAAAGCAGGGGTTGCAATTCTAGTCTCTGACATACAGACTTTAAACCTACAGATATCGAAAAAGACAAAGAAGGGCATTACATAATGGTAAAGGGAACAATTCAACAAGAAGAGCTAGCTATTCTAAATATATATGCACCCAATACAGGAGCACCCAGATTCACAAAACAAGTTCTTAGAGACCTACGAAGAGACTTAGGCTCCAACACAATAATAGTGGGAGATTTTAACACCCCACTGTTAGTATTAGGCAGATCAATGAGACCAAAAATTAACAAGAATATTCAGGACTTGAACTCAGCTCTGGATCAAGTAGACCTAGTAGATGTCTACAAAACTCACTACCCCAAATCAACAGAATGTACATTCTTCTCAGTGCCATATGGCACTTATTCTAAAATCGACCACATAATTGGAAGTAAAACACTCCTCAGCAAATGCAAAAGAACTGAAATCATAACAAATAGTCTATCAGACTATGGTGCAATCAAATTAGAAATCAAGATTAAGAAACTCACTCAAAACCAAACAATTACATGGAAATTGAACAATGCTCCTGAATGACTCATGGATAAATAATGAAACTAAGGCAGGAATCAAGAAAGTTCTATGAAACCAATGAGAACAAAGAGACAATGTACCAGATTCTCTGGGACATAGCTAAAGCAGTGATAAGAGGGAAATTTATAGCAACTAATGGCCACGTCGGAAACTTTGAAAGAGCTCAAATCAACACCCTAACATCACAATTATAGGAACTAGAGAAGCAATAACAAACTAATCTAAAAGCTAGCAGAAGACAAGAAATAACTAAGATCAGAGAAGAACTGAAGAAGATAGAGACACACACACAAAAAATCCCAAAAATGTTAATGAATCCAAGAGCTGTGTTTTTGAAAAAATATCAACCAAATATATAGACTGCTAGCTAGATTAATAAAGAAGAAAAGAGAGAAGAATCAAATAGACACAATAAAACATGATAAAGGAGATATCACCACTGACCCCACAGAAATACAAACTGCCACCAGAAAACACTGTAAACACCTATATGCAAATAAACTAGAAAATCTAGAAGAAATGAATAAATTCCTGGAAATATACACCCTCCCAAACTAAACCAGGAAGAAGTCGAATCTCTGAATAGACCAATAACAAGTTCTGAAATTGAGGGAGTAATTAATAGCAAACCAACCAAAAAAAGCCCAAGACCGGATGGATTCACAGCTAAATTCTACTAGAAATACAAAGGATAGCTGGTACTATTTCTCTGAAACTATTCCAAAGAGTTGAAAAGAAGGGACTCCTGCCTAACTCATGTGATGAAGCCAGCATCGTCTTGACACCAAAACCAGGAAGAGACAGAACAAAGAAAAAAATTTCAGGCCAATATCCCTGATGAACATCGATGTGAAAATCTTCAGTAAAATACTGGCAAACCGAATCCAGAAGCACATCAAAAAACTTATACACCACGATCAAGTCAGCTTCATCCCTGGGATGCAAGTCTGGTTCAACATATGCAAATCAAGAAATGTAATCCATCACATAAACAGAATGAAAGACAAAAACCACATGATTACCTCAGTAGATGCAAAAAAGCCTTTTGACAATATTCAACATTCCTCATGTTAAAAACTCTCAATAAACTAGCAATTGATGGAACATATCTCAAAATAATAAGAGCTATTTATGACAAACTCACAGTCAATATCATATTGAATGAGCAAAAGTTGGAAGCGTTCCTTTTGAAAACCAGTACAAGATGAGGATGTCTTCTCTCACCACTTCAAATCGACACAGTATTGGAAGTTCTGGCCAGGGCAATTAGGCAAAAGAAAGAAATAAAGAGTATTCAGAGAGGAGGAGAGGAAGTCAAATTGTCTCTGTTTGCAGAAGACGTTACTGTATATTTAGGAAACCCCATCGTCTCAGCCCAAAAACTCCTTTAACTGATAAGCAACTTCAGCAAAGTCTCAGGATACAAAATCAATATGCAAAAATCACAAGCATTCCTTCACACCAACAATAGACAATAAGGGAGGCAAATTATAAATGAACTCCCACTCACAATTGCTACAAAGAGAATAAAATACCTAGGAATATGGCTAATGAGACATGACAGAACTCTTCAAGGAGAACTACAAACCACTGCTCAAGGAAATAAGAGAGGACAGACACAAACGGAAGAACATTCCATCCTTATAGATAGGAAGAATCAATATAGCGAAAATGGCCATATGGCCCAAAGTAATGTATAGATTCAGTGCTATTCCATAAAACTACCATTGACATTTTTAACAGAATTAGAAAAAAACTATTTTAAATTTCATTTGTAATCAAAGACGACCCTTTATAGCCAAGACAATTCCAAGTAAAAAGAACAAAGCTGAAGACATCACGCTACCTGACTTCAAATTATACTGCAAGGCTACAGTAACCAAAAACAGCATGGTACTGGTTCTTTGCCTGATGGGATTACCCATTTTATTTCTCAATGGTTAGTTAATTAATAGTCAGTTTTCCTTAATCTGAATCATGAGAATGGTAATACTAAGTGATACCCTAAGGGATCTTCTGTATTCCAACACAGTCTTCTTTACCTTTATTGTTGAATTCCTTACCTTTATTGTGGAATTTCGCCTTAGTAGTCAGTATTAATTACCCCAGCCACTACAGTAACTCCCTTCTTAGCCCATTGATTCAGAGATACGAGGGGTCCAAAGTGACCGGGCAGCAATCTTAACTTTCAGTTCAATGGAATAATTGTGTTGTCTCCTTAAGGAAGTACTTCTCCCTTTGGAAAAAGATCTCTAGGCCAACAAAGCATAAAGTCACAGGAACAGACAGCAAAAATGTTGCTAGCATGTTACTAGAGTTAACAGTGTGTGGTGAGGGTGCCATGCACATAAATCCTAGTCATGGGGGAAACAGCACTCTATATTAGGGGCTGCCTCAGAGCATGTACAGCCTTCTGGAGAACCTTGTTCCAGTCCTGTAAGATATTGACATTAGATGATATTGTAACTGTGTCTTCAAAAGGTCATTTTACCATTGTATTGTCATATGCTTCAGGATGCTATGGAACATTCTAAAAACCAGTGAATTCTATAAACATGAGGCCATTGCTGCACTCTATTTGCTGTAAAATGAGTTCCTTGGTCAGAAGCAATGCAGTGGGGAATAGCACAATGGTGGACATGACATTCTCTAAGTCCATGACTGATAGTGTTGACAGAAACATAGTGTGCAAGGCAGATAAATCTGTGCCAAGGTATATATTCCAGTAAAAAAAAAATACTTTCTATGATGGAAGCAGTCCAGTATGATGGAAGCAACCCACCACTAGGCACCTGGCTGATTACCCCATGTAATTGCATCATATCAGGGCTCAGTGTTGCTCTCTGCTGCTGGCAGATTGAGCACTTAGAAGTAGCTGTGGCAAGCTCAACCTTGGTGAGTAAAAATCCATGTTGCTGAGCCCATATATAACCTTCATACCTGCCAACATTGCCTGTTTGTTCATGAACTCACTGGGAAATTACAAGAGAGCCTAGGGAAAGAGACTGACTGGTATTCATATAACAGGTCATCCTATCTACCTGATTATTAAAGTCTCCCTCTGCTACGGTCACTCTTTCCTGAACATTCATGTGGGAATTCACATGGGTGAGGGATTCCCATGAAATGTGAATTTTTTTTATTATAGCTTTTGCCCATTTATATCTCTTCCCTGAATTTGCTTGTCAACAATTTTTCCATCATGTCCCTTCCAAGTCCAACTATTCAGCCAACTATTGCCAGTCACAGACCATGAATTGGCATATAATTACATTTGGCCGGGCTCTTTACAAACAAAGTCAACAACCAGGTGCCATGCTGAAAGTTCTGCCCACTCAGAGGATTTTAGCTCATCATTATTTTTCAGGAATATCCCAAAAAAGAGCTGCAGTGGTGCAACTGATTATTTTTATGTAGTGCTTGAATATCATGCAGAGCCATCTGTAAACCAGGCCTAAATCTTCTTTTCTTCTGTCATCCAACTGTAAAGCATTCTCCATGAGCCCATAGGTGCAGACTGGGGAGAAAAGTGTAACATAGCAGGAGGGTGTGGCTATGGATGTTTGGATCACTTTTTTATGTAGCTTACATATTTACACCTTCAAGGCCTGCTGAGCCTAATTACATATATACCACTTCTATCTGATGATGAAATGTCAGTGTGCACCCCGAATTTTATGGCTTTATGGGTCATAATACCTAGTTCAAGAAGGGCAGCTCAGGTTGCATAGGAACGTGGTGGCCTATGGATAAGTGTTCAGCCTCTGTTAAGTCCCAGGAGCAGACCCAGAACTCTTTCACAAAAGCAGAATAGTTGCCCACAGAGGACTTCATGGCTTTACTCCAAAATCCTGAGTACCTTCAGTATGATTCACTTATAGGGGCTGCCAAAGTCTTTATACTGTATTTCTCTCTGCAACTGAACACTTCAAGCATGGTTGGATCTGCAGGATCATATGGCCCAAATGGCAGCGCAGTTTGCACAGCCTCCTGACCTGTTACAGAGCCTTCTTTTGTTCTGGGTTCTATTCAAAATTAGCAGCTTTTCGGTCCATTCAATAAATGAGCCAGAGTAACATACTGAAATGAGGAGTTTGTTGACTCCAAAATCCAAATAGGCCCACTAGATGCTGTGTGTATTTTTTGTTTGTTGGAAGGGCCAGATGCAAACTCCATAAAAGAAAATAATATTTTGACATGCTTCCCACATCTGGTCTGGAAATTTCAGTGAGATAGAAGGCCACTAAATTTTCATAGGATTGATTTTCCATCCTCTGCTACAAATGTCTTATCAATAACTCTAGAGTAGTTGCCTATTAGGATCAATCAGCTTAATGCTATCAATGTGTTGGGCCAGTATGATATCTTCTGGAAGGGAAAAGTGAGAATCACCCCTCCTGCATTTTTCAAGTCCTTTTATGGTGACAATAATTTCTAAAATCCCCCTAGGAATGTGTTATTTCTTTTGTGTTACTATTTTCCTAGGTATAAGCTTTCAAGTATATTCCATTTGGCCTTTCTCATCATTATAGAGCCCACATACAGGTTAAGAATTAATGTTTGAATCCTATCAGGTACTGAGAATATCTAATGCAATTGTGCATTCCAGAAAGTGGAAAATAACCACAGAATGGGTTCAGGGACCCACCGGACCTGCTGTAAGACAGATCTGAGCTAAAACTTCGTTGATGACCTGAATTCCTTAAGACCCTACTCTGACTAGTGGGCTACACTGATGTTTTGTGTCTCCTGGAATTAGTATCAGCTTAGAGCTATTGTCCAGTAGTCCCTGAAAGATCTGATGATTTTCTTTTACCCAATGAAGAATTAACCTGATAAAAGGGCATTGGCCCTTTTGGCGAAAGCTGGGAGAAAGACTAACAGTATGAAATTTTTGGTGGTGTACCGGGACCCTTCCTTATGGGTTTCTAGTTCGCAGACTCTCCTTCATTTAGGTGGCTCTATGTCTGAAAACTCACATAAGTCTTAGAATTGGTTTAGAGTCTCTGATTCTCTAATTTTATGCTTCAAGTTAGAATTTGTTCATTTGACATAGAACTTTTCTGCTTATGTAGATCAAGTGAGCGTTCAGGAGGCTTTCTAACTATTTTACTTCTAAAAACACCATGATTAACTAGCCATACATCTACATGAGTCACACTACACTGTTTGCTGCTTTGACTCTGCTGTCCGTTGCAGCAACCATGCCACCTGAGATCCAGTTATTCCCATGGCCCTTAGGTTTCTCAATACAGTTACTACAGTCCTAACTGTTGATCTGACTTAGAAAGAAGAGTGATCATGGAGTTTTTTAAAGAATGCCAGTGCTCTCACAAATGTATTTCTATAGTAGAGGTGAAAGGTATGTCTTCAGGACCCTCCCAGTCTGAGAGAATAGATTGTATACATTAAATGCACTCTCACACACTCGTCTCCCTAACCCTTTGAATTCCTTCCTCAACATTAAAACAAGGCGGGTCCAGATTTTGTAATTCACTCACTGTGGGCCATATTTTGATCTATCATTCAGCGAACCAAACAAAAGAAACTGATAGAGCCCTTTCTTACTTCCTGAGCTGCAACATTAAATGAAGAATCACTGCTTCATGAGCCCATATTAAAAAGCTTATCTAATCCAACTTAATGTTTCTTTCAGTATTCCACATGTTTGGTATCTCTGTTCCTACACAAGTTCCCTGGATTTTTGACTATATATGTTAGAAAACTCAAATGATTATTTTGGAGGGTAGCACACCTCTGCAAAAGTCACACTTTGTACCACACCTTAGGGGGCTGCTAGGACTTGAGTCCAGTTACTGGTCTAGAAGCAAAGAGAGGAAGTAGAAGTGGGTTCTGAGAAGAATCAGCAATGTCTGGTTAAAATCGCCCTCAGAAGCAACCATTATATTTCCCCCAAGCAATGAAGGGTTAATCCCCTCAAATGAGAATGGAGAAGCCACTATCCCTGGGGGTGAAGAGGTCTCTTCTACTGGCAAACAAGACTCATTGAATTAGGGATTCAATGTCTGCAGCTTCACCAGTGTCTTTCCAAACATTTCCTTTCTAACTTGGAGGACACTATTCTTTACCAATCAATGCACTCACTTGTGAATCTGAGAACTCAACTTGTTATGTATTTTAGCCAGTTGCAGAAGGAAAACTTGTGTTTTATTTTCAGCGTCTTAGCCTTCAGCTACAGGCAATAATAGTTTCCTTCACAACACACATAGAAGCTTTCCAGTTATTTATGCATCACTTGAGCTAAAAATTCAAATTCCTGAGCTCATCTTTATCTTTTACCACTTTTTCCAGTGACATTAGGAGAAACCAGCCAACCTCATTATATTCACTAGTTTTCCAAAAATGTTGACAGCAACCCAGCTCCCAGCTTTTTATAAGTGGTTTACTAGGAGTATCCAATAAAATTATTTTGTATATCTCTATTGCCAGATTACACCATGGACTATCAGTGCTCTCTTTTGTACTGGAAATAATTATTAGCATATTTAAGTCTAATCATATTAAGAAGCCAATTCCATGAAACCAAAGCAAATTTGGAAAACTCATACTTAAAATTCTTTTCCTCTGGGAGCTCTCTTGGTACCAAAATCTATATCCGTTTGGATTCTCCAAAGAAACCAAACTAAAAGGAGATATATTGATATAGATAGATATATATAGATATATATATAATTTATTACAAGTAATTGACTCATGTGATAGTCTAAGAATTCCCAAGATCTAATTTGGTAATCTGGGACCAAGAAGAGCCAGTATTTATAGCTCCAGTCTGAGTTTGAAGATCTGGGAACTAGGAGAGTTGACAGTGTAAGTTGTAGTCCAAGTCCATAGGTAGGAGAAGACCAATATTCTAGTTCAAGACCATCTAGCAGAGAAAGTGAATTCTCTCTCAACTTTTTTTTTCTAGTCCTTTATTAAATTAAACAAGGGTCACACACATTGGGTAGGGCAATTTGCTTTACTCATTCTACAAAATCAAATGTTAATCTCAACCAGAAACACCCTCACAAACACACTCAGCATAATGTTTAATATTAATCCTTGACAGTTACCAAGGAATTTTGTGTTTTGAATATGATTAATAAATTACTTAGTATTCTTGCTAGTAAGGAAGATAGTAAATTATTGGAACAATGTTAATTGCAGTGAATAATGTAGATTAGATTGCAACTTTTAATTAGACATTTCAAAATACTCCTATTTTGGAAATCTTTAAGCTAATAATTGCAAGGCAATATGATAAATAAGAGCTGATTCTAGGGAACTGTTTTGGTAAATTATTTGTATTCAATTAAAAGGCTATTTTGTAATGACTTCAGATATGTGGTTCATATGCCAACAATATTGTGAAACATCTTAAATTTTTCTCACTACATATTTCTATGATTAAAAGTACTAAATGTTGAGACAACATTATAAGTAGTGAGAACTTTAAACCTATAAATTATTACTAGTTTGTTTTGATCACAGTTAACTTAAATACTTTTTAATTTACTAAAATGTATTGGTAGATATCAATAGAATTCAGGAAAGCTGCAGATACTATTAAGAAACAGGGGGCTATTTTATACACTGATACATTTGTATACAAGAAGAAATATCTATTTTACATTCTAATTGTAAAAAGTTAATACATTTACAACAGACACAATGTTATTAAACATTTTAGTGACTCATGTAAAACACATAAAATTATTATTTGTTATAAATACAATGTTTATGAACAAATTTCCCTTACTCTCATATTTATAAATTGTTATTCATGCAGTTCAGAACTTCAGATAATTAAACACATATTCTGAAAGTGAAAACATTTCCTCTTATACAAATCATTTAACATAAAGCTAGTTATAGAACGGCCATTGTTTTAAAATATGAAATCAAAACTGAAGTTCTCTTAACATTTGTTAAAATGTTGTAGTGTCAGGAAAATAAATCCTCAAGCTAATATTTTCTCCATAATCTATTCTGTAGTCTGATAGCTATTAAAAGTATTTGCTTCAAGTATACAGAATACAGAGGAATTGCTATCACATTAGGAATCAGAGACTCACATTAAAATCTCTAAATCTTCAGTGATGTTAAATAAATATAAAAAATAATAAAAAAAACACCAAACTGTCATCTCCTATTAATATAATTTTAGAGATAGTAAGAAACTATTACTCATTTTCTTTTTTTTTCTTTTTTTTTTTTTTTGAGATGGAGTCTCACTCTGTAGCCAAGGCTGGAGTGCAGTGGTGCAATCTTGGCTCACTGCAACCTCCGCCTCCTGGATTCAAGCAACTCTCATGCCTCAGCCTCCTGAGAAGCTGGAACTACAGGCACATGCCACCACACCCAGCTAGTTTTTTTTATTTTTCATAGAGATGGTGTTTCACCATGTTGGCCAGGCTGATCTCGAACTCCTGACCTCATGTGATCCACCTGCCTCTGCCTCCCAAAATGCTGGGATTACAGGCATGAGCCATCACCCCAGGTCACTCATTTTCTCTTATTCTTCATCTTTCCTGCCTATTGATAATGGGGAAACACATTACTACTTAAAACATTTGTACCATCTTGGCTCTCTGAATTTTCTTCTGTATCTTTGTTTCTTTTTAATCTCAGTCTCCTTTCTGTTTTCTCAGGTTCCATCTATTTGATAATTCCTAGGATTCCTTGTGTTTTCTTCACAAACAAAGCCTCTCTATATACTCAGTCTTGTGAAACAGTGATTGTCACAGGATCCTTGGTGTGTCACTTTTCCAGCCAGAAACCTCTGTGGCACCTTTTCCTGAGTTTTACTTGGGCCCACTGGGCTCATTTCGCCAACTTGACCTGGCAGGCTGTGCTCTGCACATGCTGCCAGTCTGGATCCAATGCCTGCCAAGGGTAAGCCAGGTGAGCAGCAGTGAGGGGTGTATGAGCAAGTGAGCAAGTGGGGGGTCTGGCCACTGCACACAGTCAGGAACACTGGATGTGGCAGAGCAGGCAGCTCAAGGCACTGGCATGGGCAACTCCAGGTGCCAGTATGGGTGCCAGCTCCCTGTGAGGCTTCAGCTGGACTAGGTGTATTGCTAGTGGTTTCCACAGCTGGCACTAGGGAATGTGGTGGCACCTGGAAACTTGGAGGTACCAGGAACTGCAGAGCCCCAGAGAGGGTGTTACAGCCCTGGCTCAGAGAGTTTCCAGGTCGGGGCTCCCTGAAGGGCCATAGCTCTTCTATCTTTCTCTCTTCTCTCCTTCTTGTTGCCACAATATGGCGAGCAAGGGGCTTGTTTCAGCCCTGTTTGTGTTACAGCTCTTTCAGCCCTGTCATTCAGCAGGCTCCAAGCTCTTGTCCCATGTCCAGGAATAATTAGGTGCTTTATTGAGTGACAGAACAGGGCAGAGGAGACCCACAAGGTGAAGAGGTGCTTTATTCAACAACAGAACCGGGCAGAGGAGAACTGCAGTGAGTAGCTCCTTTCTGCATGCAGGTCATTCTGACAAGTGTCCAGCTCTCAGCAGAGAGGAGACCAGTGACCAAGGAGTGGGTAGCTCCTATCCACAGGCAGGTCATCCCATTTTCTGCCCAAGTCTGGCTGAGTCTGGGCTTTTATGGGCTTCACAGGGGAGGAAGTGCATGCTGATTGGATCATGGACACCCAGAAAAAGCACGATATTTTCTCACTCTGGTCCATGGAGCTGGCAGCCCAGCCCCAAGGCCTCAGGCTGTTCCTGGCCTGAAGGTGGAGTTTCACTGGAGACCTGACCCTTTCTACCCAGGAGCCTGTCTGCCTTCTGACATCATTATCCTGCCATCCACAGTGCCCACTGCACCCAGGCTGTTTCTGCTGAGAGGTGCCTGCAGGCCTGCACAGAGCTGCCCTTAGCGCCCCCTTGGCCTCCCTCCCATGCTTGCCGGTGCCCAAAGTCCAGAGGAGACTGAGGCAGCAGGGGACTGGTGTGTCAGTGCTGCCCCAAGCATGTGCACACCTGGCCAGGTCATGACAGCACTCTGGGTCAGTAACAACTTTGCTCTAAAATTGGAGCTGGCCCTGGGAACAGGGAGAGGCCAGGCAGTGGAAGGAGGCACTTCCAAGCCTGTGGGGGTTAGAGGCGTTCCCAGGCCCTCAAGAGTGCAGAGATGCCAGGGTCTGCAGCTGCGGCTTGGTGGCTGCACTGTGCCCGAGAGGATGTGGCTTCTGGCTTTACAACTTGAAAGACGGCAGGGCTTCTACCTGTTCTTGGCTCCTGCCTTCTCTGTGGAGTGCACAGCCCAAGCCATGCCTCTCCCACTGCAGCCCGCCTCATGGCACTCCAGATAGGCTGCTATTGCCATCATGATAACATCAAAGTTTATATATAAAACCCAGATCATATGTCTGCTGTATTATCTAAACATTAAAAATCATAAATAACTGATTAAAGGGGTATGCCACAAGTACCTGAAAATCAACAGGTTTAAACTCGTCATTTTGGTGTCTTCAAAAATTATCCTCCTTCATTCTCCATTCTGATTCACTTGTTGAGAATCGTCTATAACTTTCTATTTATCCATAATATTTAAACATTCCTAGATGCTACAATTCTAATTTCTTAAAATATTCTTATCAACATACTTCTTTTTTTTCCCACTGCTTAAGTTAGGCCCTATTACTTTTTGCAGGATTTTTGTTAAGTAACTATACTAAACTCACAATTTCAGCTTTGTAACAATTAGCCCAATTGGTATTCTCCAGGTATAATTATCTTTCTGCAAATAAACACCAAATATATTCTCTTTAATACTTACATGAAAACTTTTCATTTGATATGAGATTAATGTTGTAAGTTATAGTGATAATAAATGAATTATTATCATGCCCTATGATATCTAAAGCAATTTACAATAAGTCATCTCACAGTTATTTTGTAATAAAAACATTATTTTAATTTAAAACTTTGAAAATACAATCTCAAATTCTAGAAATAACATTACCTAGGTTATTGCTGCAGCTTTGCCACCATTTAGGCATGAGACTGTGTGAAAGTCAATTAATCTTATAAATGTTAATGACTCCTTCTGAAAAACAATCATTTTAGATGACCTTACATATGTCTTTCAGCTCTAAGCTTTTGTGGTTCTGCTTATGAAGAGATGGGAGTCTAATCACTTGCATTAGAAAAGAAACATCTATTAAATATCCCAGAAAAGTCACACTTAAACTCAATAATCAAATTACATTTATTTAAATGTTCAAGTATTTTTAATTGATTTAATGTGAATGTAGACTAAGAAAGAAATTCACCTTTTTTTCTCATAATTGAACCACTGCAGCTTTTTTATTGGTACTGCTTGGGTAGATGAATCTCATCTTTTCTCTACATCTATCCAGTAGAGCCCTGCTTCAGCATTAGCAAACTAAATAAATTCAGTACTTTACTGTCTTTACTACCTAATATTTTAAATTCAACATGTCTCCAATGGAATTAAACTGGATCACATATAAAATCAATCCTATTTGAACAATTTTACACTGTCATGCTTGAGAGTACAAGAAATAACCGGAAAATGAATGTTATAATTCATTTTTCCCCTAGAAGATAATTTTAACACAATCACTTATGAATATCATTAAAAAAACTTTCATTTAATCCTCAAGTTCTGTGGGTTGACTTCTGCTTTCTATGTGCATATGCAAAGTGCAATACCATAATCATAGGAACTATAAACTGAAAATTTGCAAATTCAAACACCAGGGATTCACAAATTATACCAGAATCAAAATGCAGTTTTTGCAAGGACTACTAGCACTTTAAACCTATTAGCAGGAGAAATAAAAATGGTTAAATTGATTTTTTCTTTGTTTTGTTTGATTTTTCCCTTATAAGAAAAGACCCTAATATCAAGGTACAGAAGGGGACAAGAGGGGACATATCCTCTAGTCTAAGGTAACAGGGTGGCAGGAGAAGGAGAAGCCTCAAATGGAAGGGTAGAAGGATAACACTATTAAGGCAGCAAAATATTCTCTGTAAAAAGTTTCAGGAGGTGTCTCCAGAGCCTCAGATATGATGGCAGTGATTGCCTTTTCAGTGGGGTTCTCACCACTCAGGTGTGCAGAATAAGGGAAATGGCAGCTTCTATTCCTTCTGTGGCAGCCACTCCATTGCGCACTCTGAGTCTTATCTAAATAAAAGTGCTGCAGAGCTGGGAAGGCATAGATTTGCTTATGTAGGACAAAATAACATTTCCAGCAGTAGTTGTGCTCCCTCTCAGGCACCACCGACTGCACTGGGTGAGGCCCTCTGTGGAGAAATGTTACATGGGGTAGAGACACATCTTAGGGCCAGTCATCCTATAGAGGCAGCCCAATCAGGTTAAAGATTTTGCCCAACTAGTTGGCTTTAGAGCTTCCACAGAAGAGAGGCTTTTGAGGAAACATCTCTGCAAAGACACACTTCACATGTCCACAGATGTTGCCTGTGTAGATTGCAGAAGAACCTCGTGAGCACAGTACAAGAGTGTAACAACCACAGGTGTCAACGCCATCTGGTAGCTATAGATGCTGGCCAGACCAATTCAGCCAGCTTGACTGTCCCACCACTTGTCACTAGAATGTTCTCTGGCCTCAGATATCAGTGAACAATGCAATGGGCATGAAGAAAATCTAGGCCTCTTCGAAACTTGTGCATCAGATCCTTGATGGCCTCAGCTGATGATATGATTTGGCTCTGTGTCCCCACCCAAATCTCATGTCAAATTTTAATCCCCATGTGTTGAAGGAGGGACCTGGTGGGAGGTGATTGTATTATGGGAGTGATTTCTAATGGGAACTCTAATGAGAGCAGAGGTGATCGTATTATGGGAGTGGAACTCTTTTGAGAGTTTCCATTAGGAACTTGAGGGCCACAAAGTGACCACTGTGGGGATCACAGTCCTTGTACACCGACCCATGGGCACTCACACCAATTTCAGCCACTGGCTCATATTGAGAGATGGCCATTCTCAGTTCAGGGTAGATCCTGTCACCAGGCTGGGAGCTGTGAGGGCAGCCAGCATAAGGGCCCTGGAGCCAGTTCTTGCAGCACCATATGCCCAAGCTTAAATTATTTTTAATGGAAAAAGACAAAATGTAAGTGGAGATAGAGTAAGAGAAAGAGAAAAATTAATTAGAATAGAAGAAAAAGGAAAGAAAAATTCCTGGTTTGAAATAAAATATGAAAGCCCCATATGCCCTGCAAATAAAATAGCTTAACAGCAATCTGGAAGATTAAATTCATTATAATGAGAATCAAAATGGCATTGGGTGGTGGAAATACTTCTTCATAGTGGTTCAATGAACCACAATAACTCTAGATGAGAAAGATGACCTGAAGTGCCAAGATGTAAAGAAAAAAAGAAAAGTAAACCCAACAGAAAATCAGTTAAGGGCAGTTCATAGCTAAGAATGCTTGTTGTAAACTGGCATGCATAGAACTGAGTTAGCCTCGGTTGACTATTTCTTAACCTGTTTGCTAAGTGATTATCGCTAGTTCTATGGTCTTGGTGTATCTGTATTAATGCATCTGTGCCTAATGAATAATGAAGCTTTTATGTGATGTTCTACTACATATATACCAGAGATTGACACACAATTATTTCATTCAACTTGTTTTATATGATTGAAGAATTATATTAGTTTAAGCATTATAGCTTGGTTTCTTAATTGAGATTATGCCCTATGGTCATATATTTAGAAATAGAGAGGCTATTTTCATTTCTAATTCCTGTCTGTGTTAATTTATCTATACAGTCCATAGATTTAAGTAAATAGTGGCAAATCTCATAAAAAAGTAGAGTGATATTAACTAAGGCATGCTACTCCTAAACCTTTCCTAATGATATCTATTTCTAGAATCATGAAGAAAATTTCAATGAAAAAGTCAACAGAAGTAACTTCTCTGTGGTTGATTTAAAAAGTCACTCACAAAGTCCTCATATTCAAAATTTCACTCGATTAGTCTTCAGTAAAATTTTCCAAAAGTGAATTTTCTATTATTTATTGTGTAAAATGAAGAATGACTATGGATTTTTACATTATGAGAAATAGTGGAAACCTATTACATTTTATTCAGACTTTTTTCCTTTGTATGCCCAACTAAAAACAATCCCCAAATGTATCTTATTAAAAATATACTGTTTATTATATAGATGTTCAGGATATATATTTCCTAGCATTGAATTTTATTCTGCAATAGATCACTGCTGAACAAAAGTGTTAGCCCCATTTTCCTAATTTTTTTGCTGAAGGAATGTGGATATGTTTGGTCAACACCAGGCTCATAATAGTGATCACATCATGATTGACCTATGCCAATTAAGATTCTGATGTTTTTTTCTTTTTGTTACTTGCTGCTAAAAGTAACTATAAAATCTGCAATCATTTTTAACCAATGACATGTAAAAGGAAGTCTTCTAGAAAGACGAGGGTTATCTTGGAAAACTTTTGCTGTACCAGTCAAATAAATTGATATAGTGGCAAAACTAAATACATTTCACTCCCAACTTAAATTTTACGAGGCTCGAAATTTTAACAAACATTTTACAAACACGAGTAATACAAACTGAAGTCATTTGCAGAGATATCGTTGATTTACTAAAACACTGTAAGCAGTCACCTACATATAGACTTCTTGATATTAAAAAATAAGCTTTAATTAAGCATTGTCAATTAAGTTTATTGTTTTAGTTGTCCAAAGAACTGCTTTCTAATTTAATCACCAAAACTTGGCAGAAGTATTAATACTACAACACTGGCATTCAAATTTTTATATATAAAAATATGTCACATATCTAATACATACAAACCAAATACCTGGCTCCAAATTGTGATTTAGGCTGTAGCTTCTGTGAATCTCTCAGGGAGATCTCTACTGTTCTCAGGCTCTATTAATCTCGTATGCTCAATAAATTTACCATCTAAACAATTAATTTTCTATTTTTTTTAGTTAGCTGACATGCAACTAAACTAAAGAATTCATTTTTCAGATGTGTTTTCTGTACTAAGAAATGTCGTATTTATTTTTATAGGTAAATGAAGAGAGAATGCCAAATGAATTGATAAGCCAGACGTGCTCAATTCCACATATCCCGACTCCTTTTACAATTGTTTATTTTATGTAGTTTGAAGATGCCACCTGCTCTGAGGAAAGTGGTAGATAATGAACACTAGAATTACCAGTGAATCAAATTGGCCAACCATCCTGCATTGTCTATGATGCTTGGAGAATATCCCCAGTTTACAATAAATACACTGAATTAAACTGCTACTTTAAACATCAAAACAAATTTATGAACAAGCAGTTTGGGTTCACAGAAGCTTAGGCTATAAAGTTGGGAAAAAGCTGTATGAATCAGTGTTCATAAGTGGCATTTGATGTGTACGTGTTGTGTGCTCCTGTGTACAAATATGTGTACATGCTCCTAGTTGTGTGTTATCCAGTTAGTAAATATTTTGCTTATTGTCCATTTGTTACTATTATTTCTGACATGACTATATTCTAGCTTAATTGAAAAAATTCAATATCTGGTTTAAATACTATGTTTCACTTGATTCAATTTTCTTTTAAAGATTGCCATTATTTGAATTAAACTGTCAATTGAATAGTCAGTTATACCAATTTTAATCTGAATATCTTTAATTTTTCAACTCCACAAGAGAATGCTTTTTGTAGGTAAATATGTAAAATATATGTATTTAATATTTGACAATTTCACATGATTTTATACACGTTATATTGTTGAGAAGAAATAATGTAAAAATGTTAATAGATCACATCAATATTCTGAATCTCATGACATTTTAATCTGAATTAAAATAATAAATATAAATTAAACACTAGATCAGATGAGATTGGGTGAGTTCAGGGTGATATGGCAGTAGATTGGAAGAATTTAGCATTTTAAATATTTAATTTTGACAAGTACTCTCAAACACAAAAAGGCTTTGGATAACCAGAGACAAATTTAGTTAAAATACTTCAAATTTTATTAAGTATATGTATTAATACTATAACATTTTATTCAATAAGCTTATATTTCTCATGGGAAA
Source organism: Homo sapiens (assembly GCF_000001405.40). Taxonomy (NCBI): domain Eukaryota; kingdom Metazoa; phylum Chordata; class Mammalia; order Primates; family Hominidae; genus Homo; species Homo sapiens. The sequence goes on along the minus strand of NC_000001.11, from coordinate 105,430,908 downwards.
TGAAAAACACATTTATGTTACCTGAATAAACCTTGATTTCCAGTGGGCAGATTATCAAAAATAAGTTTTAGGAAACCTTTTGTCATTGCACTTAGTCAAGACCTAGTGGCTTCTGTTTGCTCCACTAACTTTAGAGTAATTATAAAATAATAAGCTTGTATTGGTAATCTATATCTATCAAGAAGCTTGTTGATTTTAACTGAACAATAATGACAAAAAAACAATATTTATTTCACTGGACTAAGCATTTATAATTAAATCACAGGACTGAAAAAAAGATTAAACACTAATTAGGTGTAAATTATGGATCATAGAATCTCCATTTTACTGAGTTAACATCAAATTCTAGCAGTATTTAGAAAGAATATTTGATAAAGATATTTATTAATGAGTGGTCATATGCAGTGCACATCTTTTGCTGATTGCTTTACTTCAGGAAGACTTAGAGCCTCATTAGTATTTGAATACGAATTCTGAAATTCTTTTCAAAGAACATATAAAAACGTATTTCCATGCTCTTATCCCATGTAGAAAAATATCTTGCAAATGTTAAGATCCTGTGATAGTTGTTGTGGTTTCCTAAGGACAAACCTAGAATATATTTTATTCTTAAATCCTCTTATTAACATATATAATCATTGGGTCTATCCTCTATATTTTCTAAACGTCAGTGCAACAGAGGAACTACTCATCTTCATCACTGTGTTCTTAACTTTACCAAGTTCTCAACATTATGCTCATAAAATTAAGCAAGAGCCCCACAAATGGTTTTGCTTCCAGGATTTTCCTCTTCTAAAATGTCACTCTTACGAATCCCTTATTGCTGCTTCTAAATTACAAATATAATAATGTTAGACTCATGTTTAGATTATGTCAGCAGAACCTTATCCTAAATAAAATTCTTGTATGCTAGGTCTTCAGTGATTTGGACCCTGCTTCTACCTCCATCCTTATCACCTAGTGTGATATGTGATGCTTTTCAGTTGGAGAACTCATTCATGTTTCTTGGATTTATGACATTGTTCAGGAAAAGGCGTTCTGAGAAGTGACATAAGCATGAGTTAATTCATAGGAAATATATATAAGCTGGTGGACATTCATCAATTTTACCAAGATACACGTTAATAACTTGCACTTTCTTACACTTCAAAACATGCCATTCCCATGCCTTGCATTGCTCTTTATCTACCTCTTTAACTATCAGGCTTTTTGGTTTTTTGTAGTTCATGAGCCAGTTTTTCAAAAAACGAGTTTGTAATGTTCCCAGTGTGGTTTGGCTGTCCCTAGATCATTAAACTATATTAACTTTATACTGTTATCTGTGTGTGTGTGATCCTTCAAATGTTTTAATCCACATATTTCTTTTCTACATTATATAGCTAGGGCCAAAATGAATTATTCTATTAATTATTATTGATGGTATTTAATCTATGCCCCAATGTATCTCAAGTATCAAAGTTAATCAGTGTGTATTTTTCATTTTTTAAACATTGACAAATCTTGAATTTGAATTCCAGTATATTGTCACAAGTATTTGTGTAAGTTTATTTATGCCATCTTTTTAGTATTCTTTACAGATTTTTAACTCTGTTTCAATGTTCCTTTTCCATTATCTAATGTAGACAGCTTGCTTTTTCCCTTTTTTTTCTAATTATTGCTAGGGTGGTCCACTAATTTCTTCACAAAGCTGAATCTGTTGGGTTTTTTTTTTTGTATTTTAGGATGTTTTTCTCATTCTATTGACTTTGCTCTCATATTTAATATTTTTTTCTATTTTACATTTCTTGTTTGTTTCTTACAGTTATTTTTAAACTTAATAAGATTGAAATTAAATAACATATTTTTACCTTTTTTAGTATATGAATTCAAGACTGCACTGATTTGGCCACATTAACCAAATTTTGCTGTGCTGTTCAGTCATTAGTTTTCAGTTTCAAACACCTCTATAATTTTGGTTTCTTCCTTCATCAGTGAATTATATGGAAGTACTCTAGTTGATTTAGGAATAAGGCTTTTTAAGTTACTTTTTCCTGTATTATTTCCATTGTGGTCAAAGAACATATTCCAAATGAATTAAGAATTTTGAAATTTTCTGAGGCTCTCGTTTATTCAACACATTTCCGTACTTACATTACACTTTAACATGTAAGTTTTCATCGTTTGGTGCAATGTACTGTTTATGCCAATTAGATTATGTTTATTAACTTTGTTGTCCATGTTATCAATCTCAGTAGACATTTTTCCTGTACCTTTTATATTAAAATCTTTTATTAAAACCCCCAAAATGATAGTAACTTTTTATATTTCTTCTCTTTGTGATGTTAATTTTTGTTTATATATTTTGAAGCCATGCTAGGTACAATTAGGATTGTAATATCTACATATCAAATTGACCCACTTTTAACTATAAAATACTCCTATTTACCTCTGGAAATGCTTCTTGCTTTAAAGTACAATTTGTCTGATATTAAAACACTCCTTAGGTAGAATTTTTGATAATATTTTAAAATCATGTTTTTTAAAATCATTTTAGAGTAAATTCTTCTGTGTTGTATATTTAAAGTGTCTCATAAGAAATATTTGAGGGTTTTTAAAAGTAGTTTTGACAATCTTAGATTTTTAATTGTATTATTCAGTGTATTGATATTTAAATTAGTTACTGGCATATTTGTGTTTGTATTTATTCTTTCAATATTTATTTTATGACTGTCCAATATATTTTTACATATCTGCCTTCATTTTTACTTACTTTTCAATTAAGAAAAAAATTTGGTATTCTAATTTTTATTCCATTAACATATTAGTTGTAAAATATTTTACAATTTTTAATGGTTACACGGCAGATTAGAAAAAAAGCACATCTGTCACTTAACAACAGGATAATTAAAAATAGTATTATTTGTGACATAGCAGACTGACAGGACTCATTTTCTGGTCACAACCCTGCTGACCAAAACAAGGTCTCGATCTGGTCCAGACAGGATGAATTATCACTCTTTTCTTAGAATGTTCTAAACAACCCATCCCTCAATTTTCACTGACCCAGCCCTGATTTTGCATGTAATTGAAAGTAGGTATAAGGGAGTATAAATACAACTGGCAAGAGCCTATGCATTGTCAGTTTTGGGCATATTGCCTATGAGTTAGGGCTGCTCCAAAAGAGGAAGTACTGTCCAATAAAAGACTGCTCTCTAAAACCACTGACTCACCCTTGAATTCTTTCCCGGGTAAAGCCAAGAACCCTTCTGGGCTAAGCCTCAATTTGGTAGTTCAATTGTCCTGCATCATTTATACCGGATGGTTGGAGACTTTTAATTTTAAGAACTCTGTGCCTGTCTTTCCTGCCATTTATATTTTACTGCAATGCTTTTAATTACATATATGCTTTAAAATGCACAAATTTGTGTGCATGTATTTATAAATGCACACATACTGTTTTCAGCGCTTGTTATTCCCTTATACATCTTCATATTTTTGTTTAGAATATTTTTTCAGCCTAAAAAACTTACTTTTATTTTTTAATGTCACTCTACGAGACACACTTTTTTTTTTTCAATTTCTATATCCCTAAATTCATTTCTATGTTTATTTCTGCAGAGTATTTTCACTGGGTACAGAATTCTACACTGGTATGTTTTGTTATTAATTTCAACACATTAAACATGCCAGAAAAATATCAAATTGATAATATTTATTTGGTTTAGAGAGCTGCTGTTGTATAGTTAATCTTTAAAGATAATTATTAATTTTTCTTTCTGTATGATTTTAAGATATTTTTATTTTATTTTTTACAATTTAATTTCTATCTGTTTTAGTGTAGATTTCTTAATGTTTATCTTAGTTTTCTGAGCTTTTTGTAAACAAAAGATACCTTTTATCAGTTTTGGAGTGGTCTTGGTCATCATATTATCATATGGATATGTATCATATGTTTGAATATTTCTTATTCTTTATATTGTGACTTTTAGATTTTGATGTGTTTATGCGTGGTGGTGTGTATGTATACCCAAACCTGAATAAAGTGAGGCAATAAGCCACACAGATATCTTAGGACAACATGTCCATCACAAGAAATAGCAAGCATAAAGCTCTGAATAGGAGCATGTGTTACATACGGAAATTCTGTCCTTAAAACTTCTAGAATGTTTCCTCTGTTCTCCATTTTAATTAATGCAGAATCTACTCAGTCTGGATTTGTATTTTTCATCTTAGATCAAGATATGCTAGGCGAGGATCGGTGGCTAAAGCCTGTAATCCCAGCACTTTGGGAGTCCGATGGCCGCAGATCACGAGGTCAGGAGATCGAGACCAGCCTGGCCAATATGGTGAAACCCCGTCTCTACTAAAATACAAAAAATTAGCCAGGCGCGGTGGTGCACGACTGTAGTCCCAGCTACTTGGGAGGCTGAGGCAGTGGAATCGCTTGAACCCAGAAGGCGGACGTTGCAGTGAGCCGAGATCACACCACTGCACTCCACCCTGGCAACAGAGCAAGACTCTGTCTGAAAAAAAAAAAAAAAAAAAAAGATATGCTATACTTTTTTATTTTTAATTTGTATCATATTCTTATAATTCCTTATTCTCTGACATTAGTATAATTCTTATTATTAATACTTAATGAAAGTTAAGTAAAATAATATAACTAATGTTTATTCAATAGTTATTACATGTTTCCAGAAAGAAAAGTGGTTATTTTGCATATGAAGTTTAATTTTTTAAAAAACAAGTCATTTTGTGAAAGAAAATAAAGTTAGGCTCATATTTTACCTAAAGAAGAGCCTCAGAAAAGATTAGAAATCGTCCCAATTTTGTACAAATAGAAAATGGAGAAAATATAATTTATATGTGTTCCGGATTGTGCTAACGTTGGCCGATTTAAATATGAATAAGGGTTTTGCCCTGATCTTGAGAGATTCATGATCCATTAAGACAGACACATAAACAGACAAGTAAAATATGGTGTAATATATGCAGGACACAAATTGAGCATAGAGATGACAGTAGTTTGATAGACAAGCCTCTTAGGCTTTTCATGTAGCTCTTCTGGTTAAGAGAAAGGCAATGAAGTTTTGGTCCAAATCAGAGAACAAGAATAGACAGGAGATGTAGCCAAAACACAAAACAATCATGAAAGGACTGCAGAATATCAAGAGAATGAAGATATTCTTACCACTCTGGAGCAGAGAATTGTAGGATGACAATGATGAGCTATCCAGAGACTGTGAGCAAAGCAGTGATATTCTTTGGATTTTTGTTTTGGAAAGACAAGTCCATTGTTTTTCTAGAGAATAGATTAGAAAAGGAACACGGTGATCTAAAAATAGCTATTGAAGTATATTTTACACCAATATAGGTGAGAAGCAGGTCACAGCAAGGTATGCCTCTTATGTATGAACATTTATTAAGTGTATTAATTTTTATGTGTATAGTTTTTGTCTTATTTTTATTTTTAATGAATGTTCCCTCATTGGGAACATTTTCTATGTTTTTTTTTTTACATTAAAATGACATAAAATATTCGTGTTAGCTTATGGCTGAGTTTTTAATTAAAATGTAATTTATGACGTTGATTATTTTTATGAAGATTAATTTCTTTGGTTGGCAATGTTTTGCCTGAAGAATTTTTTTTCCACTAAGCAATGAGTATAGTCATAGAAATATAATGAAGAATTAATGAACGTATGCCATGTATTAGACTTATCAACAACATTGAGGAATAAATAAATTTTTAAGATGGCTTTTTCCTATGTTATCAGCTAGTTTCTAGCAGATTCAATTAGCGCGCAAAAGATGAGTCATGCTATGATTCTATTTAATTTACAAATATAATATTAAATACATCCCTATGCTAATCAAATAAATTTATCATATTAATATATTTAATGAGGGAAATTTTTGAAATGTCCTTTTGATCAAATCATGCAATTATTTAATTTAAACTTTAGCTTGAACTACTAATTGGAATAGAGCATCACAATGTTTGTTTGACTGAAAGTATAATTTTCAGCATATTTATTCACAAAAGAACAAATGTTAGCCCTAATTGGATAGATATTTTAGACTCTGCAAAGCATATAATTGTTTAAGATAAATTTTACTATACTAACATTACTTGATTTCATGGCATAACTGTGATTACTATAAATAATTGTAACATATTTGAAAATTATTATCCTATAGGCTTGTCTCTATTTAATTTCAACCCTTTCTGTTGAGATGATCTTAAGATAATAGAGATAACTTTTGAAGAATAGCAATAATGAATTTGATCTATATAACAAAATTTCCCCTCATCAAGATTAGTATAGTTAAAAAAGCAGAATCAGGTTTTTATGGAAATGTTTTACTAATTAGCTATTTGTTCCTGAATCACATCTCATTTTAGCATTTTATGTGATCTGTGTGCAATGAAAAAATATATTAAAATGTTCTATAATTAATTATTTTAATTAAATTTTTTTACTGTATTTAATGACCAACCACAGAATAAATCCCTATCTTTTTAGGTTAAAAATTAAGAAACATATACTTGTATAATTATTTATTATAAAATATGAATTGAATATTTGTTACATGTTATATAGTATGTAAGCATTGGAGTGTAACAATAGAAAAGATCCAATCTCTGCTTTTTTTGAGTTCACATTCAGAGGAATAATTAAGAGACTATTTCAGTATAGTTAAAGCTATTTAAGATGTAAATATTAGAGTAAAATCCTCTGTAACAGACCTGCATGTTCTGCACATGTATCTCAGAACTTAAAAAGTATAATTTTAAAACAATTTAAAAATTACATTTGATTTGAGCACAAACTAATCAAAATACAGTCTACATTCTACAGATATCACATTACTTAATGTCTGAATGTCAGCCATTATACAAGTGTACTCCTCCCCCAAATAATAATAGCTAGTATTTTTCAAGCATTTACACTTGATACACTTTTACAAAAGACTTACACATTTTAAACATTTATTGCTTACAATATTCTAATAAGACAAGTGCTACTGTTATGCCTATTTTGCAAGGAAGGACATTGAGGCCCAGAGATGTCAGATGTCATCTTTCAAATAAGGAAGCTAGTGGCGGTAGTGACCCCTTTCACCAGTTCTGGTCAAGATTATATGTGCACAATTGTTCAATTCTGCTGCAAAAGACAAAAAATGTATTACATTTGCGGACTGAATGTTTTGGGTTAAAAGGCATTGAAGGCTTGATTTAATAAAGCCAACTGTTTGACATATATGATTTTACTTAATAACCTATCCTAAAAGACAACAAAGAGTGCTTTCTCTTTTTATCAAGAAGATACTTTAGATCACAAATAACTTAATGAAAAAATTAAGATTTAAAAATTGAATAACAAAGTTTTCAGTATTTTTTAATTTTTTAATATTAAGAAAACTGTCTATGGCCTTCTTTTTAAAAAATAAAAAAGCAAAATCTAAAAAGTCTTTAAATAGTCTCTGTGTGCATATCATTTTTTATAATTTATTCAACTCACAATTCAACACCTATTGATAATTTGTTCATTGTAAAAAAGAGAAGAAAGTGTTTGGGAATTATTCTGATCCCTATGGAACTGAAAATCAAAAAAGCATAACTTTCTTCAGAAAGGTGTAAAAGAAAAAGCTCTAGGTAAATATAGCAGGAGCTAATTAATTCAGCCTGCTGCAATAATGTTACATTCACATTATAAGGCTTCTTTCTGAAAATTAGATGTTAGTTTTGAAGTCTTAATATATTAAAATGAATGTAAATTATCCCAAATAGTCACTAACTAGTGTGGATTCTCATTTAGTTATAACAGTTATAGATTTTGGAGAATCAGATACACAAAAGCTGGGTGATCTAAGGAAAAATTTTTTAGCCATAATTAATTGCCAAATTCTTTTATCTTTAAGAATCTAGCTGGAACTAGTTTCATTAAAATTATTTGTGCTCATTTAAATTTGTGCATTGGTATAACTGAAAATTAAACTGTGCTAAAGCATAGCAATGTTTAATGAGATTGAAGTGTTTGCTACAGTTACTCAAGATAAAGTAATCACCTCTAAAGTATGCTACTAATTAAAAAATGGAACATACCTTAAGAGGATTCATCACAGTGTAATGTCAAATTATTCACATCATTTAGCCTATACATTAAATACTTAGAAAGCAATGAAAATGGCAAAAATTTTTACTATCACTATTTTATAACTTGGTGTCAATAAAATGTGAAAGATAAAACTCTGCTTTTAGACACAGGCAAAATTGACTTTTTAAAAATTATATATAAAAGATGTATAACATGATGTTTTAATATGCATGTATATAGTGAAATGACTGCTAGAGTCAAATAAATAATCCCATCCATCTCCTCACATAATTAATTGCCTTTTTTGTCTGTGTGATGGGAGCACTTGAAACCTATTCTCAGTAGATTTCCAATAAAACATATAATATTATTAACGAAAATCATCATGCAGTGCTTTCCACCTCTACATTTATTTATTCTACATAATTGCAACTTTGTAAACTATTACCTACATTTCCTCATTTTCACCTCCACCCTCAGTGTCCTCACCCCCTGCCCCTGGTAAACACCATTCTAATCTCAGTTTCTATGTTTCCAGCTTTTTTAGATTGCATGTTATAAGTGAAATCACAGCTATTCTATTTTCTGTGTCTGGCTTATTTCACTTAGTATAATGTCTTCTAGGTTTATTCAGCTTGTCACACGTGGCAGGAGTTCCTTTTATTTGAAGGCTGAAAAATATTCCATTGCATGTAACATATATACACATATTTTTTTATATATTATATATACATATATTTTGTATATTTATTATATATATATATATATATATATATATATATATATTTCAACACAATTTCTTATTCCAGTCATTCATCTATAGATACTTAGGTTGTTTTTATTTCTTGGCTGTTGTGAATAATGCTGCAATGAATATGAGAATGCAGTATCTTTACCAGTGGTGATTTCATTTCCTTTAGGTACTTACCCAGAGGATGGATGGTTGGATCATACAGTAGTTCTATTTTTAATTTTTGAGGAAACAATACTATTTTCCCTAATGATTCTAACATTTTACATTCCCATCAACATCATAGAAGGGTTCCATTTTCTTCACACTCTCACCAACACTTATTACCTTTCATCTTTTTGATAGTGGCCCTTATAGCAGTGTGAGATAATATTTCATTGTGATTTTGATTTACATTCCTGTGATGATTAGTGATGTTGAGCACCTTTTCACTTACTTGTTGGCCAGTTTTACATCTTCTTTGAAATAAGGTCTGTTTAGAACCTTTCCTCATTTTTAATTGGGTTGTCTATTTATTTATTTGCTTAGTATTGAGATTTGTGACTTCCTTACATATTTTGAATATTAATCCCTTATCAGATATATGCTTTGCAAATATTTTTTCTTAACATGTAGCTTGCCTTTATGTTTTGTTGATTGTTGCTTTTGCTGTACAGAAGCAATTCAGTATGATACAGTCCCAATTGCTTATTTGTTGTTGTTGTTGCTTGAGGCTTTAGTGTGAGATATATATATATATATATATAAAAATCATTGTCGAGGTCAATTCCAAAAAGTTTTCCTTCTAAGAGATTTATAATTTTGCATCTTGTGTTTAGATCTTTAATCTATTTGGTTGTTTTACAATACTGTAAGATAAGGGCCCAATTTCATTCTTTTGCATATAGATATTCATTTTATCAATTCCCTTTATTGGAAAAAAAACATTTTTTCCCAATTATGTATTCTTGGTTCCCCTGTTAAAACTTAATTGACTTCGTATGCTTGGGTTTATTTTCTCTGATATCTCTGTTGTGTTCCATTGGTCTTTGTGTCTGGTTTTGTGCCTGTACTACACTTTTGTGATTGTGAGAGCATTGTAATATAGATTAAACTCAGGAAGTGTGATGTCTCCAACTTTGTCTTTCTTTCTTATGATTTATTGGCAATTAAAGACATTTTGTTGTTACATATACATTTTAGGTTTTTTCTATTTCTGTGAAAAATACCATTGGGATTTTGATAGAAATTGTATTAAATCAGTATATCACATTGGGTAGTATGGACATGTTAACACTATTATAATAATGTGCCTTGGTGTGGATCTTTTTGGATTTCTAATATGAGAAATTAAAGAACACCAAATATGTGGTATCCTTTAGGCTTACTGTATAGGTATTTCTATGTACTTCCCCGTGTTTGAAAATTTTCCAGCCATTATTTCTTTTAATACACTTTCTGTCCCTTTCTCTTTCTCTTTCTTTTCTTGAACTCCCATAAAATGCATAAATTAGACAGCTTGATGGCATCCCATATGTCCCTTAAGCTATCCTCACTGCTTTTCCTTGTTTGTTTGTTTGTTTGTTCCTCTGACTAGATGAATTTCAATAATGTCTTCAAGTTTACTAATCCTTTCTTTTCCTTGATCTAGTCTCTTATCGAACCACTCTATTGAATTTTTCAATTCAGTTATTGTGTTCTTCAGCTTTATAATTTTCAGTTTTCACTTTAAAAATATTTTCTATCTCATAGTTAAAATCCTTTGTTCACACTTTGCTGTACTCTCATCAATATCTTCATGATTGTTATTTTATAGTCTCTCTCAGGTAAATATTTGTCTCCATTTCATTAAAATTGATTTCTGGAGATTAATCTCGTTATTTCATTTGGAATGTGTTCCTTTGTTTCTTAACTTTTCTGGACTCCCTGTGTTGATTTCCATACCTTAGGTAAGATAGTTTCCTCTTCTCTCCGAGTGTTAACAGACTGGCCTTATGTAAAAAATAAACCGGCCAGGCACGGTGGCTCACACCTGTAATCCTAGCACTTGGGGAGGCCGAAGCTGGCGGATCACCTGAGGTCAGGAGTTTGAGACCAGCCTGGCCAATATAATGAAACCCTGTCTATTCTAGAAATGCAAAAATTAGCCAGGCGTGGTGGTGCATGCCTGTAATCCCAGCTACCTGGGAGGCTGAGGCAGGAGAATTGCTTGAACCTGGGAGGCGAAGGTTGCAGTGACCTGAGATTGTGCCACTGCACTGCAGCCTGGGTGGCAGAGCAAGAGTCCATTTCAAAAATAAATAAATAAACAAAATAAACCTTGCCAGAAATTCTAGGTGCCTTTTAATTACTTGTGCTTACCAAATGTACTATCTTTGTTCTTAGTGGCCTCCAGGAAACTAGGCTGTGCTCAGACCCATCTGTGCCTGAGACAGGAGAAATAGAAGTCATTCCCTCAAGTTGTAGATGGAAAAGCTGGGTGTTAGATGTGTGTTCCAATTACTTCTATCCTCAGGGAAAAGGTGGAATCTGGAGTTTACCTCCCACTTGCTCTAAATCAGGGAGAGGATCTGTGAAAAATGTCTTCATTCCAATTCAGACTGCAGACTCAACTCATTACTTTGTTCTTTGTCACCCCCAAGGGCATAGTAAATGCTAGCTCCTAACTGCTTTTATTAGAGACAGGCAGGTTAGCTGTAGGATAAGGTCTATCTCTGGTGTAAACCTGAGGGAAGAGTGATAGGAAATACACACAAACCTGTTCAGCATCCTTGCCAACTACCAATTGCCTCCTCTGTCAGCTCCTATAAGTGGGCCAATTCATGGCCTAAACCATAAGCAGCATCTGGGAAAATTAGAACATTAGACAAAAACACTCAGCTTTCAGTTTCTCTCTGAAAGAGTAGTCTGTTTGTTCTGTGCCAAACTGGGGGAAGCAGCTGTTGGAGCTACTCTTATCCCCATTTAAAACCATTTTTTTTGTTCTCTGTTGTCTGAGGGGACTCGTGAATGCTGAACTCAATCTGCTCCCAGAAATAGGTGATTTAAAAGTCAAATTTTTCACATCTCAGGGAGAACTTGGAAGTTTTGGATTCTCTCCTGATTGCAAGGCACTTTGCCCCATGTTGGGGTTATTGTGGTCTGTTCTGTCTCAGCTATATTCTCAGTGGTTTAGCGAGTAAGAGTCTCTCAATTCATAGCTGGATTTCTCCCAGAGGGAATTGATCCCTATGTTGATGTTTATTTGGTGCATCAGTGGGAGGAGAAAAAAGCAAAAACCTCCTATTCTTCTACCTTGTTGATGTCTTCTCTACAAAACTGACTTTAATTCTTGATTCTTACTCAATGTACAGAAAGAAAAGTAACAGTCATTATGACTATCATATTGATTTCTTAGTATGTTTTAGATATTGTCCTAAGTGCTTTGAATATAATTTACATACATAAGAAAAAATATTTTAATCACCCTCAAACAAAATTTGGGAAAATAAACACCACTTAAAGGTAAAAAATCTGTATAGCAAGGACTTATAAAAAAAGAGCCTTATTTTAATGGAAATGACCTAGAACACTAAATAAAAGTACTTATAAGTAACATGAAAATCATTAACTAAAACAGGGAATCACCTGAAGTCATGATTGCTTCTATATGTCAGAGAGATCCATCTTGTATAATGTACATTTACAAGGGATTATTCCAGAACAATTGAGAGAAATTTGCTACCTATACCATTTCTTAAATGGTAGGAATTATCTGAAATGTGTATTGCTTAAAAGTCAGCTATTGGTATAAACATGTGACCTAATTGTTATAGGGAGACACAAGAAATTTGACAAACAGTTCAGAGAATATAGTTTGGGAATGAAGTTATCACTTTGAATGTAGAGGTGGCAAAAAAAAAAAAAAAAAAAAAGAGAGAGAGAGAAAGGGTAAAAGACACTGGATTACTAGCATGGTCTGAGATAGCCAATAAGAATCAAGCTGCTTGGAGGTTGTTCATATCATTGAACAATTTGACACAGTCAACCCTGGAGGATATTTCTGCGCACTTACAAACATGGTATGGTGGAATATTAAGTTACGTGGAATATTAAGTTATACAATGAGAAAATAAATTGACTTCTTCATAACATTCTTAAAGAGTAAGCTATAAGTCCTGGGTAATGAAAAACTGTCTACATGTAAATGGGAGAATGATAAAAGGTGTTGGGGGACAGTGAAATGAAGATATGCCTTCCACCATAAACAACGGCAATAATGACAATAACAGAACAATAAATAAACCAACCTTAGGTTTGTAACAAGACATATCACCTATATAATTAATAATCTAAAAGCCCTCAACATATTGCCATAAAAACAAAGAGTTGAATTGTATTAGTCTGCTTTCACTCTGCTGATAAAGACATACCCAAGACTGGGCAATTTACAAAAGAAAGATTTAGAGCATTTCTTGTGGACTTACAGTTCCACATAGCTGGTGAGGCTTCACAATCATGGTGGAAGACAAGGAGAACCAAGTCACTTCTTACATGAAAAGACCAGGAAAATAACCTGCCCCCATGATTCAATTACCTCCCACTAGGTTCCTCCCACAACACTTGGGAATTGTGGGAGTTACAATTCAAGATGAGACTTGGGTGGGGACATAGCCAAATAATACCATTTTGCGCTTCCCCCACCCCTCCCAAATCTCATGTACTAACATTTCAAAATCAATCTTGCCTTTCTAACAGTTCCGTAACAAATTAACTCATGTCATCATTAACTCAAAAGTCCACTGTTCAAAGCCTCATCTAATACAAGGCAAGTGCCTTTCACTTATGAGCCTGTAAAATCAAAAGCAAGGTAGTTACATCCTAGATACAATGGAGGTACAGGCATTGGTTTAATACAGCCATTCCAAATGTGAGAAATTGGCCAAAACAAAGGGGCTGTAGGCCCCATGCAAGTCCAAATCCAGAAGAGCAGTCAAATCTTAAAGCTCCAAAATTATCTCCTTTGACTCCATTTCTCACATCCAGGTCCCACTGATACAAGAGGTGGGCTCCCATGGCCTTGAGCAGCTCCACCCCTGTGGCTTTGCAGGGTATAGCCCTCCTCTTGGCTGCTCTCATGTGCTAGTGTTGAGTGTCTGTGGCTTTTCCAGGCACATGATGCAAGTCGTCAGTTAATCTACCATTCTGGGGTCTGGAGGATGGTAGCCCTCTTCTCACAGCTTCACTAAGTGGTGTCCCAGTAGGGACTCTATGTGGGGGCTCTGACCCCACATTTCTCTTCTTCACTGCCCTAGCAGAAGTTCTCCATGAGGGCCCCACCCCTACAGCAAACTTCTGCCTAGGTATCCAGGTGTTTCCATACATCTTCTGAAATCTAGGCAGAGGTTCCCAAACGTCAATTCTTGACTTCTGTGCACCTGCAGGCTCAACACCATGTGGAAGCTGCCAAGGCTTGGGGCTTTTACCCTCTGAAGCAACAGACTGAGCTGTACCTTGGCCCCATTTAGTCACGGCAGGAGTGGCTGGCATGCAGGGCACCAAGTTCCTAGGCTACACAGAGCAGGGCAGCCCTAGTCTTTGTCGATAAAACCATTTTTCTTTCTAAACCTCTGGGCCTGTGATGGGAGTGGCTGCCACAAAGGTCTCTGACATGCTCTGGAGAAATTTCCCCATTGTCTTGGTGATGCACTTTCAGGTCCTCCTTACTTATGCAAATTTCTACAGTCAGCTTGAATTTCCCCTCAGAAAATGGGATTGATTTTCTTTACTATCACGTTGTCAGGCTGCAAATTTTCAAAACTTTTATGCTCTGTTTCTCTTTTAAAACTGAATGTCTTTAACCACATTCAGGTCACCTTTTGAATATTTTGCTACTTAGTAATTTTTTTTTTCTGCCAGATACCCTAAATCATCTCTCTCAATTACAAAGTTCCACAAATCTCTAGGGCAGAGGAAAAATGCTGTTCAGTCTCCTTGCTAAAACATAGGAAGAGTCACTTTTGTTCCAGTTCCCAAGTTCCTAATCTCCATCAGAGACCACCTGCCTAGATTTCGTTGTCCATATCATTATCAACATTTTGGTCAAAGCCATTCAACAATCTCTAGAAAGTTCCAAACTTTCCCAAATTTTTCTGTCTTCTTCTAAGCCCTCCAAACTCTTCCAACCTCTGCCTATTACCCAATTCCAATGTCACTTCTACATTTTTGGGTATTTTTTCAGCAACACCCCACTCTACTGGTATCAATTTACTGTGTTAGTCTGTCTTCATGCAGCTGATAAAGACTTACTTGAGACTGGGCAATTTACAAAAGAAAGAAGTTTAATCACTTACAATCCCACATGGCTGGGGAGGTCTCACAATCACTGTGGAAAGCAAGGAGGAGCAAGTCACGTCTTACATGGATGGCAGTGGGCAGAGAGAGAGCTTGTGCAGATAAACTCCTATTTTTAAAACCATCAGATCTCATGAGACTTATTCACTGTCATAAGAACAGCATGGGAAAGACCTGCCCCCATGATTCATTACATTCTACTAGTTTCCTCCCATAACATGTGGGAATTGTGGGAGTCACAATTCAAGATGAGATTTGGGTGGCGATGCAGCCAACCATATAATAAAGCATTCAAATTGCACAAAATGCATGGAAAAAATAAGGAATATATTTGTGGATACAATTGCTCACATTCTCACTGACTAGACTAGAAATAATGAATAAAACAAGGAGACTTGTTATGAGGTAAAAACAAATGTTTACTTCATATGTAGATCATTACATCAGTTATTATTGCTGTATTTTATTACATTTTGAAAATAATTCATGACCAATACTTTAGGATTTGTGCAAATATATTATTTTCTATATTAACAGTAAAAAATGTAATATTCCATGGTTTGAGAATTTTGTGACTTGTGATTACTAAGTAAAAAGTGAACACCTCTTATTAGTAAATTGAAGAGTTTCTTGTGACTGGTAACTCTAATTTATTGAAGATAACTTATTTTAATGATCTTTTGATTACATAGTTATCATAAAAAGAGACTTCGTAAGTATACACAGCATGATTTACTCAATGAAGATGTTTTTTGCATTATAATTAAAATTATCTAAGTTTTATGGCAAAATTTTTGCAATTCTATTAGTTTTATAAAAATAAGACTTAAAATATACCAATGAGAATAGTTGTGAGAGAATTTAAAAATTAATTATAAAATAAAACTGATTGTAAAATAAGTTACAATTTAAGTGTTCTGTTACTGTTTGTTTTCTACAGGTCTAAAAAATACTGTAGAAATCATATGTATCTATATAAATATTTCTTTCAGACTATCAAGATATTCTCTCATAATTATTGATATTCATATATTGGTAATTTTTACATTCACTATGAAATTCATTAAAACTTTAAACCAAAATAATCCTGAGAATGTGAATATAATTATTTCTCTATGAGCTTAGGTAATGAATCAGATGGTGAAATTAGACGCACATGAATCTGAGATCTTAACCAGAATCAAGCTTTATGAATTATTTCAAGTATATAGTCAATCAAGTGGCTCAGAAAAATCAGGAACATGTCTGAAACATCAGGGACACTGTCATTCTTCCTGCTTAAGCTCAGATATGGACTCTGATAAAGAATAGAGAAGATTTTAATGAGAAACACTGGTTATTATAAAACACAGAAGAGTGATTTAGTCTAGAAAATATTTAATAGGTGATTTTCCAGGTATTCATGATAAATGCACAGATTCTGGGATTATTTACCATATTGGCAGTTTCAGCTTCACATAGACTATACAATTCTGAGCTTTTCATTCCTCAAACTGTTCATGTTCATCAATTTACTCACAGCTCCTCAACAATTCACTCACATGATTTGATCCTGTAGTTTCTAATTAAAAATAACTGTAGTACATCTACAACTTTGAATTCAATTTTAAACATCAACTCTTAATGATTACCCTCTCCCAACTTTATTTTTTCCAAAAGGTATACCTGACTGCTTTCTCAAGATTTTTTTTACCTTAATAGAATCCTCTAATAAATGTATCTCACCGTTTTTTGACTGTTTAACACCCTTACTATGACCTCACTACCTACTTTATTCTCAGATGTTCATTGTTATCTTCACCTCCTTATCTTTATCCTCAATTTCCTGTGTATTTACTTTATTTACTTAGGAAACAACCTCCAAATCTAGCTAAACTTACTTAAAAAAAAATGAAACTCTCTCGAATAAATTCTTTTGAAATGAAAGCAAACCATAGTAATCGGTTTTATTTTCATTTATGACAACAAAACTCAAGAAGCCCTAAAGCTGAAATCTCTCTTCTGTTTTCTTAATAAACTTAATCTTTCAACCTCTGACATGATTATTTTACAGATTGTTCACTACACTCAAATCTCCATTTGCCCTTCCTACATAAACAGTTTCATAATATCATCACTGAATTATTTATTGACAACGATAAAAACAGTTGTAAAATAACTACCTAATCTTACAATCTTTGAAGTACAAATCTATTAGTATAATTATTTATATGTAATAATCCCTTTGGTCCTATTAAATATATAAACTGTCTTGTCTCCTTTTTAAGGTCAAATTTTGCATTTGTTTACTTAACGTCAATATCTCCTATCACAGGCTTTGTTCTAGAAGCTATCACATCTCATATATTATGCAATTTTACTTCTCTGCTGCTTTTTGATATCAGCATAGAAACATTTTCTAATATGTTGCTGTTACATCAGGAAATAAAATGAAACCTTTAAAAATATCACCCATTTCAGATACCATTCTATTCCTCTTTCTTTTATAACCAACTTATAAGAAATTATTGTCAATACTACTGCATTTCTTAATACCCAGTTCTCTTTTAATCTCTTCAAACAAGACTCATAATGATGTCCTGTTTAAGTTTCTAATGACTGACTTCTTCTTAAATAAACTGATCAATTATTTCTCATTTTTCTCTATTTCTCAGCAGCATGCAATCCTGTGACTCTTCCTGCATCGCATTTTCTTCATATATCTCATTATTATGTTTAGTTGCTATACTTCCAAGTCTTACCATCAATGCTAATATATATTTAATCCAAGACAACTTTATCTATTATCAGAAATATTTCAATAGCTTCCAAACCACCCTCCATGATTTCTCTCCCATGGAGGAGTGCCTCCACTCAGTATTCAGTATCACCTGGAAACATATCAGTCTGGAAACATATCAGTCAGAAAACATCACACCTATGTATAAAATCATCTAATGGGTCTCTTTAACATTCACAATAAAAGACAAAGGTCTTAGAAATAATTATAAACTCTGTGTAATATGGATTTCATTTACATCTATTCTAAAAGGAAAGACGTTAGGCAGATATAAAATATAAATAAATGATATTATAAAATAATGACAGGTAGTGGGAAATGTCATATACATATAGAATTGTATTACTCTTTTTTTATGTTGCAGATAAAAACATACCAGAGACTAGGGAAAACAGATGTTTAATAGACTTACAGTTCTACATGGCTGTGGAGGCCTCACAATCATGGCAGAAAGCAAGGAGGAGCAAGTCACACCTTACATGGATGGCAGCAGGCAAAAAGAGAGCTTGTGAAGGGAAATTCCCATTTTTAAAACCACCAGATCTCATAAGAGTCATTCACTATCATGGGAGCAGCACAGAAAAGACACACCCCCGTAATAAAATCACCTCCTAGCAGGTCCCTCCCACGACATGTAGAAATTGTGGGATTATAATTTAAGATGAGATTTGGGTGGGGACACAGCCAAATAATATCGTTCTGCTCCTGGCCTCTCCCAAATCTTATGTCCTCACATTTCAAAATCAGTGATGTCTTCCCAACATTCTCCTAAAGTCTTAATGCATTTCAGCATTAACTCAATAGTCCATAGTCCAAAGTCTCATCTGAGACAAGGCAATTCCCTTCCACTTATGAGCCTGTAAAATCAAAAGCAAGTTAGTTACTTCCTACACACAATGGGGGGCACAGGCATTGGGGAAATACCATTGTTCCTAATGGGAGAAATTGGCTGAAACAAAGGGGCTAAAGGCCCCATGCAAATCCAAAATCCAGCGGGGCACTCAAATCTTAAAGCTCCAAAATAATCTCTTTTGACTGCATTTCTCATATCCAGGTAATGCTGATGCAAAAGATGTGCTCCCATGGCCTTGAACAACTCTGCCCCTGTGGCTTGGTGGGACATAGCCCTCCTCCTGGCTGCTTTCCCAGGCTGGTGTTGAGTGTCTGCAGGTTTTCCAGGCATACGGTGAAAGCTGTCAATGAATCTACCATTCCGGGGTCTTCAGGTTGGTGACCCTCTTCTCACAGCTTTACTAGGTGGTGCTACAGTAAGGACTCTTTGTGGGTACTTTGACCCCGCCTTTCCCTTCTGCACTGCCCTAGGAGAGGCTTGCCATGAGGGCCCTGCCCCTTCAGCAAACTTCTGCCTTGGCATCTAGGGGTTTCCATAAATTCTCTGAAATCTAGGCAGAGATTTGCTAACCCCAGTTCTTGACTTCTGTGCACTCGCAGGCTCAACACCACGTGAAAGCTGCCAAGGCTTGGGGCTTGCACCTTATGAAGCCACGGCCCAAACTCTACATTGCCCCCTTTCAGTCACAGCTGGAGTTGCTGGGACTCATGGCACCAAATTCATAGGCTGCACATAGCACAGGGACTCTGGCCCTGGACCGTGAAACCATTTTTTTCTAGGTCTCCTGACCTGTGATGGAATGATAAGAGAGCTGCCACAAAGATCTCTGAGATGCCCTGGACATTTTTCCCATTGTCCTGATGGTTAACATTCAGCTCTTCATTGCTTATGCAAATTTCTGCAGCTGGCTTAAATTTCTCCTCAGAAAATGGGATTTTCTTTTCTATCACATTGTCAGGCTACAGATTTTCCAAACTTTTATGCTCTGCTTCCCTTTTAAAACTGAATGCCTTTAACAGCACCTAAGTCACTCCTTGAACACTTTGTCACTTAGAAATTTCTTCTGCCTGATACCCTAAATTATCTCTGTCAAGTTTAAACAAATCTCTAGGGCAGGGGCAAAATGCCACCAGACTCTTTGCTCAAATATAACAAGACTCACCTTTGTTCTAGTTCCCAATGAGTTCCTCATTTCCATCTGAGACCACCTCAGCATGGACTTTATTGTCCATATCACTATCAGCAATTTGGGCAAGCCCATTCAACAAGTCTGTAGGAAGTTCCACACTTTCCCACATTTTTCTTTCTTCTTCTGAGTCATCCGAACTGTTCCAACCTCTGCCTGTTACCCAGTTCCAGAGTCACTTCCACATTTTCAGGTATCTTTTCAGCAGCATCCCACTCTACTGCTACCTGTTTACTGTATTAGTCTGTTTTCATGCTGCTGATAAAGACACACCAAAGACTGGGAAGAAAAACATGTTTAACAAACTTACAATAATACATAGCTGAGGAGGCCTCACAATCATGGCAGAAGGCAAAAAGTAGGAAATCACGTGCTACATGGATGGCAGCAGGCAAAAGGAGAGAATATGCACTGAAACTCCCATTTTTAAAAACATCAGGTTTTGTGAGACTCACTCACTATCACAAAAACAGCACAGGAAAGACCTGCTCCCATAATTCAGTCACCTCCCACATGGTTCCTCCCATGACTCATGGGAATTATGGGAGTTACAATTAAAGATGAGATTTGGGTTGGGACGCAGTCAAACCATATCAAGAATACAAGAAAATAGGCCCTATGTGTTGAGATAAACAGTTATTTTTTTCAGTGTACTAAGAAGTGGTTGCTAAAGACTTGATGATTGACCAAATAGGCAAGTGATACAAAAAATAAAAAAAGAAATTAGCAAATGCTAAAGCCTAAGGTCATAATAGTATTTGAAGAACAGCGAGATATCAAGGAAGTTGCAAGAGATTACGTGAGATGAGATGAGATGAGACTAAATCATTTATTGGTTTGTTAAATTCAACTTTCTATCTTCATCATGTCAACAATCTTTCGACTTCAGTTATCTGGGGAATAAAACAACATACTAACACTGACTGCTTCACTTCGAAGTCATTATCACTAACTGAGAATGCACTCCAAATGATACCTGTCGATCTTACTATATTGTCCTAGGCCATTCATTCTGTCATTTCTTAGACAATATTTTCATAGTCTTTTATCTCCTCAAATTCCCAACACCTCTTTCTCTCTCTCTTTCTCTCTCTCTCTCTTTTTGAGACAGGATCTCCCTCTGTCACCCAGGCTGGAGTGTAGTGGCATGATCTGGGCTCGCTGTGGCCTCGACATCCTGGACTCAATCGATCCTCCCACCTCAGCCCCTTGAGTGGCTGGGGCTACAGGCACACACAACCACATCTGGCTAATTTTGTATTTTCTGTAAAGACCAGGTCTCATCATTTTGCCCAGGCTGGTCTCGAACTTTTGGGCTCAAGTGATCCACCTGCCTATGCCTCTCAAAGGGTTGGAATTACAGGCATGAGCCACTGCATTGGGCCCTTCCTCCTGGCCATGATTTTTATTTCAGTGAGAAAATTGAAACTCTCCAAAGAGAACTTTAATATGCTCCTACAGCATTGTTTACCTAACCACTTGCATCTATGCTCATATTCTTTGTAGGTACTCTTGTTACTATAGATGGGTAATACTTTTTTGCAACAGAAGCCAACTTCCCCAGTACTACACTAGCTCCAATCACCTCCTCACTCCACTTCCACCTCACCATCTAATCATAGAAAACTGTATAAAAATTATCTTGCCTTACTCTGAATTAGCCAGTGTTTTTCTCTTGACTGGATCTTTCACATCCTCCTACAAACACATTTAATAAAATTACTTATCCACTCTTCTCTTCTAACTACAACCACATTTCTTTCAATTAATTCTATTCCACAACAGTCATTGCTACTACTCTGGAAAAAAACACCATACGATCTTCCTTAAAATACTTTAGTTTTCTAAATATTTACCCTGCTTTTAATTGTGTCTTTTTCCAGAGAATTCTCACTGTAATATATAGAGTAAAGCAATTAAAACATAGTTTAATCATATCACCCTTTTTTCAAAATCCAGTGGCTTTCCCTCTTGTTCATGATAAAGCCAAAATCTAAGCATTAAGGTGGAAAGGCCTGAATAGTTTGTTTCCCCTGAAACCACCCCCAACGCACACACTGAATGCATGGAATTTATTGGCCTCTAACCTCTTTCTCTAATCACTCTGCTCCAGCCACATAGGAGTTACCCTTTAGCCTCAGAAACTAAACTTGCATTTTCCTCTGCCTGGAATCTCTTCCACTGATTTTCATATGGAATCTCTTCAAGAGACAATCTTTGTCTCTTTTGGGTCTATACTGAGAGATCACCTTTTATGTGAGGTTTTCTTGGCTGTATTTATTTCCCAGGGCTACTATTTAAAAAGTGCCACAAACTTTTGGTACTTCTGGGTGGCTTAAAATAACAGAAATTTATTTTCTCACAGTTGTAGAGGCAAGAAGTCTGAATTCTAGGAACTAGTCAGGGTGAGTTCCTTTAGAGAGCACGGAGGGAGTATCTCTTCCATGTTTCTCTTTTAGCTTATGATGACAACCAGCAACCCTTACTTTTCCTTTGCTTGTGGATATATCACCCCATCCTCTACCTCTGTTTTCATATGGCATTCTCCCTGTGTCTCTGTGTCTTTTACATAGCTGTATTCCCTCTGTGTCTCTCTTATCTTCTTATAAGGACACCTGTCCAATTGGATGAAGGCCTCACCCTACTCATATATCACCTAATTTTAACTAATTCCATCTAACATCTACAACAACCTAACAACCTTATTTCCAAATAAGGTTACATTCTGAGGTTGTAGGGATTAGACAATTTCATATCTTTTTTTTTTTTTGGATGGAGTCTCACTCTGTCACCCAGGCTGGAGTGCAATTGTGCGATCTTGGCTCACTGCAACCTCTGCCTCCTGGGTTGGAGCAATTCTCCTGCCTCAGCCTCTTGAGAAGCTAGATTACAGGTGTGCACCACCACAACCAGCTAATTTTTGTATTTTTAGTAGAGCTGGGGTTTCGCCATGTTGGCCAGGCTGGTCTTGAACTCCTGACCTCAGGTGACCCACGCACCTAGGCCTCCCAAAGTGCTGAAATTACAGGTGTGAGCTACCGCGCCCAGCCAAATTTCGTATTTTTTTTATGGACACAATTCAACCCCTAATACTGACAATCCAATCTAAAATTGTAGCTGACATCTCTATTCCTTTATCTAATTCATTTTCCTCCATGGTATGTATCACTGTTTTACATTCTATTTTAGTAATTAATTTTTTTGTTAATTTAATAAAATGAGGAAAGACATTTCAGTTTATTTTTGCTCCACGTTCTATTCTCAGTGCAAAAAAAGAAACACAATGTAGTTGTTGTGCATTCATGATAAATACATGTTTAATGAATCAATATGAATGACATCTAAAAGGATCAATGAAGGAATGTATGCCTAGACTATATCAAGCTTTTAAAATATAGTATCATACAAGTCATATGCAGTTTTTGCATTTTTTCTAACACTGAAATTTATGAAATATATATACATAAATTCTTCTTAAGCACCAGTTGATATATCAATGTTTTTTCACCAACAACATGATTAATCACATAAAATCCAGAAATTTCCCCCATGATGTGATATTTTTTATTTGCAATTGAGAAGACACTTTCCTGAAGAAAGCTCCTGCTTAAGAAATAAGTGTTTATTAAGTATTAAACCACAATCTATATTCATTTCTGTGATATGTTTTATGGCAACGTGAATTGATCAATCCCAATGAAGACTCACTTGGCATTAATGTTCTCTCCACAATCTTCCAAATCCCATGCCAGTAACAGAAGCACTGAAATTAAAGTAACATCTAATATAATTTTATTTTTACTTTATTGTCCATTTTTTGCTAGTTTTTTCTTGTACAGACATTCATGATGTTAATGTATTTTTTATTGCTATATACTTTGTAGGCATGTTGAATTCTGAACAGTACTTGTAACAATATATTGTTTACTCAAAAGCAAAAACCATGTTTGAGTTAATGATGAATTTCATCATTTATCAAAGTCATCTGAAAATTATTCATAAATACTCAATTTTTATTCCCTACCATTTTTATAGCTACCACACAGTAAGAGATATTAAACTTTGAGGATTTTTTAAAGGTAGAAACTGAAACTATGTGAAATACAATGAAAGAAAATAGAAAAGAGAAAAAAACATAAATAATTTAAAATTTATTAGACATCCTCTTCTGAATATGTACTTTCCCACTTTTTAAATGATAACAATGTGACAGACTTAGATGAAGAAATGACTTTGGAATATTTTGGTTTCATTCTTGATTATCTTACTGGACACAGATAGGTACATTAGGATGTGTGTCTTAATGTAAATAAGCCAGGTAAAAAGTAGCACAATGAAGGTAATGCTTTCAGTAGGAGCTTTGATGTGAAAGATTTTTATTCCTTCTACATCCCTGTGTATTTGAACATATCACTTAAACTTTCCAGAAGTTAGTTCCCTCATCAATTAAAATGGCAGAATTAACATTAGTTTAACTCTTATCATATGCCCTTTAGATTTTACTTTAGAAATTTTACAGACATATATAATTTCATTTGCATAGCACTCCTAAGTAGTGTATAGTATTATCCCATTCTACAGACAAATCAAACCTCTCAATGGTAAAACTAATGATAGATAAGTGGGTGTGATGCTATGAAGTTAATTATTACTGAGTTATAAATAAGTGCTACATTCTGAAGTCCATATAATCCGCTTAATTTTCATTTTTACCAGAGTAATAAATGTATGTACCTTAAAAAGCCAGACTCCTAAAATGCATTTAAAGAAAATGTCATGGGATGTTGTTGTACTCCTTACCATTGCTTACCATTCCCAATTCCTGTCTCCAGAAATGCTCACTTTTTTTTTAATTGTTTCTTTTGGTATCTATCTCCACATCTCTAGGTAGCGTACTTATATCTCAATTTCTTAAGTTTTCAATTTGATGTACCTATTGGTTTTTTTGGAGGAATCAATAGTTTATCTGCTTTATACTTTCCCAGTCTCCCTACATTCCCACCCACAACACAAGTACTCATGTCTTTTTTCATAACCTACCTAAATTCGTTTCATTGTTGAGTTTTAAGATAATTATATTTATACAATAAAGTCTGTGTAATATTACTCACTGCTAAACCACATAATGCTTAATAAACATATGTGTTACTTTGTATCATTTTTGTTTGTCACTGACTTAGTGATTGACTCAATTAAACAGAATGTATTCTGTTTAATTTTCTATATATGCATTATGTATTCATTCATAACTATCGTTTAGAATTTTAAATCTCTTATTAATACATTCATACACATCAGAGATCTCTCTTTTATTTGCAGGAGGGACTTTTTTGGGAGACTTCCATTCTTCTCCTCAAATATAGACTAATTCCTGTACTATCTTCACCATAACACTTCTCAAATATAGCATTTTTAAAAAGTTTATGCCTCCTGTTTATTTTTTTACTTTGTTTATTTCTTCTGCAAAGCATCTTTTATTAGCATTCTGTGAAAAGAACTATGGGAGTATTGCCTATATAAATGCGTTATAGTCTGAAATTATATCTGATTCTCATTTTGCATATTGAAAGTTTCCAGTGTTGTTTCAAAGAAAACAGGAGTCATTCTTGTTATCAATCAATTTTGTATGAGCTTTACATTTCTTTACAGATATTCTTTTTTTTCTTTTTTCTTTTTCTTTTTTCAGATCTTTCTATCAGAAAGTGTCTAAAAGCATATCATTTTAATTTGGAAATATACACCCTTTCGTTAAGTAGAATTTCAGTGTTTTTATCTTCTAAAATTCTCTCATTTTATTTCTTTCTTGAGCCTTCCTAGTACTTATATTATTTGCACATTTTTATTTTGATCTATTAATTTTATTTGGTTTATTTTACACACTTTCTGGAAAGTATTCTCAACTTTGTTTTCAAATTTTGTGTTTTTTTTTTCCTACTGTGTTAGCTTTCAATATTTTTTCCTAACCTTTAAATTTCTATATTTATCTATTTATCTATCTAAATTAATGTTTCATATATTTATATTTTTGTTTATAGATAGGTGCATATCTGCAATAGAAATCAAAAGACTAGTTGTCAAAGGCCTATTATTGGTTCCATCCTAGAGCAACCTTCCAGCAAAGCATGGGCTACATAAGCCATGCACACAAGCTCTGTGATACAATATTCTGTAGTGCTCACTTGGAATATGACCACATAGTTTAATAGGAAGAGAATAATTTTCAATAAGGAAAGTGTGGATGGCACAGCACAGAGAATATTTTAAAGTCAATTTCTTATAAATAATATAAACAGTCTTAAAACAAGTATTTTATTTCACTTTCAGAATACTCACACTTGGAAATCTGGCTCAGTAAGATTTTATTATTGTAACGTACAAATCACCACTGAGTTTTCCCGTTTTTTATTTTCATTTTCTAAATGAAAGTTTTTTGATTACTCTCTTCCCTTTCACTACTCTGTATTGATTAGGAGTGTATGTGGGGCTTGCATTGATGTCTATTTATTAATATTCATAAGTTGTTTTAATAATGAACCATGTCCACAGCTATTGGAAAATATTGTGCAGACCCCAGAGTTCCCAAACATTGAGCTAGACATTAAGCTGGATGCATGCATTGTATGGGACTTTTGAAAGGTCTTCCTTGATGAGGATGGAGTGTGTTTCATGTACAAAAGGAGCAGGCACATGAATACTTGAGTGGCCAGAGAGAGACTATTGCCAAATTAGTGACTGGTTTTCCTAGCCTTCCTTTAAGATTCATATGGACATGTGAGTAAATGGGTGTTAACAAGATCTGAACGGAAAGATGAGTGTAACTTCAGGATCATTTTATTGGAAACAATACACTTGTCCTATACTTTTGTTTTACTTTTTCCCTCCATAGAAATATGGATATAAAATTGAGCCCTAACACAATGTAAATGAAGACAAAAACCCTTGGAGTTTGGAGAGAGAAAAGGTAAAGAAACCTGGCCTCGAATAAAGTCAGAAGTAGAACTATTCTTTTCGCTCAGCACTGTCCAACTCTGTAATGTTTTGTGGAAAAAAAATCCAAACCACTATACTTTTTGACTTTTTGTAATGGCAGTTTGGTTGATATGCCAATTAACAGAGAGTACAATTCTAAAAATCCTTTGGAAAACAGTTTGCATTTTTCTCCTAAAAATGAACCTGAATATAACCTATTAGAAAATCAGCACAAGGAGGCACATACCATAATATTTTTGGCAGTTTATTCATTTTTGTAAAACACAAACCAACATATCCATTAGCAATAAAGTTGTATAATGAAATAATGAATTACATAAAAATGCATCAACATTTTGCAGGATTTCATTTCTACAAATTCAGAAAGGAAGCATAAACTTAATATTAGGTTGGAATATATACAGATATGATATAATAGTTATATTTAAGAGGTATAACGTGCTGATCACAAAAATCAAAGTAAATTAGTGATTGGCACTAGAGTAGAGAGAGATGCACACGATGGAGAAGAGAACATGAAGAAGGATTCTAAAGAACAGTGATCTATTGATTAATGAGGTTGAGATAAAATAAGTGCTTTCTTTTTAACTACATTGTAAACTGTTTTAAACACATATTAAACACGTATTTTCATTCTCTTTTGTATATCATTAAATAATTTTCTATAAAAAATTTAACTTTTGTCATGTGTTATACAGCACACACACTACACTAATCTATTGTAGGATTCATATGAATATGACATATTTATGTGTATATGGCACAGATTTTACTGTGCCAGTTAGAAATGATAAATGATTCCATGAAGGAACAGACATTAAGTGGAAAAGTTCTGAAAAGGCAGTTTCATTACTTAAAAAATTCAATAGTCTAAAGCTTCAATTAACTTTGTATAAAATTAGTTTGAATCTTACAAAGAGGGCTCCTACTGCGAGTCACGGTGGTCTCTCCTGTAACACAGGTAGGGAAGTACCCAAGGGAATAAAAAAGGCACTGTGATTAGAGATTTCTTTTAACCTGGGGAAAAATGCAATTATAAAAAACCGTATTGAAAAGCTTTCCAAAACTCTGTGAAAGCTACAGCATTCTCTGAAAGCATGGAGAGATATTTTGCTTGCTTTTACTTAAAGTGCATGACAGTCAGAGTCTGATTCTGGGAGAGACCTGATTTTTGTTTGGCTCAGCAGGCAATTCAATTAAAGCACACTGTTTAATTTAAAAGGGACTGTTTATATACAGCGGTGGCCTTCTCTCATTTATGTGTATTAAACTGTAGTACTTATTTTTTACCTGTCTATTCAAAAAATACATCGTTTTTTAAGGAGCTACATTTTATTGTGTTTTATAAGATTTCCTTTTCTAAAAATGGCAACTTACTACAATTTACAAGACCGCATCAAAAATGTTGCTTCTTTTGTTCATAAGATTATCTCATTGGTCAGATTGTTTTATGATTTTCTATTATTATTCCAGCTCAAAATATTTCTACATGGAAGGTATAAGACAGTTTACAAAAGAAAAGACTGAAAAGAAGCAAATCAGTATTTACCTTATATCACTAATATCTCATTCAAAATAGCTGTTTAATTCTTACCCAATCCAGAGGAGAGTGATCACTGGTTACATTATGCTAATTCTTTTCTGGGAAAACATAAATTAATTAATTTGCCTGGATAACACCTGGAATCTAGATTAGACTAAAGTAATAGAAAAGCAAACATGAAATCTTGATAAAGTCCCACATTGATATTGTAAACAAGTGGGTAAAGTTAGATTATTTTTATTATTTCCAGGTTAAATAATTTTTTAGGTAGCATGTGAAAACTTGAGTTAAACAAGTTATTGAATGTGTTCTGTATCTTTCTGAAAAGGTAAAGTAATACATTTTTATAGATTTACACATAATATTGTACATTGAGTACAAAGACCATACAATTTCACCTCTATCTACTCATTCTCTGCTTGCCCTGTATATCCTAGGAAATGAATAAAGTTATTACAAATCAAATGACAGAAACCTCCAACATCACTAAAAATTAGGGAAGGTTATTATTCAACAGCCAGAAACATTGACTGAATTCATTATATATAATGCAGATGGGACAAGTTTGATGGAAGACACGAGTAATAGATTTGTAATTATCCCCTCTTAGAAGCAGTAATATCATTATATGGGAAAAAAGAAAATGCCATTAGAAATGAAATAATATCCATAACTTAGAAAGGGCTGGAAATGAGGTTATTTGAGGCCCTTTGAAATAACACAAGTAAACATAAAATCCACTGGAATACTATTTTACTACTAGGAATCAGCCACAATTGAAATACTGGAATTGGGAACATTTGGGGATTAAAGAATCCACAGAGTTGACTCCACCTACTTCTTTCAGGCCACTCTATCAAAGATACATTAATATAAATTTAGAGCAATTAGCAGAGCATTACACATTTTAGAGAAGAATTTCTAGAATTATCAAACTAAAAAATAATGAAAATTTTTAAAATGTCTACTCATCCCATTGATCTGTTTAGCATCAGGTCATCATTGTGTTTTATTTTTATAATTAAAGGAATTGTATACAAATAGCAAAGTAATAGAGCCAACAAGCTGAGACTGATGAGAAGTAACCAACAACAAAAACAAATAAAAAGAAAGGTAAGAATGTACAATTTCCTTCAAAATAACGTTTCCTTGGAAACCCAGAGTGAGATAAAAGAAGGTAAAATATTTTGCCTAGAAGAATTATTGGCATTACCTTGATCACATAAAGCCTCTATACATAGGTAATACTCAATTTTTTCCTCCATATGAAGAGAAATTATTTCATATGAATTTATTAACTTTGGTAGCAGAATTCTACTTTTTTCAATTCACCTACTCATCATGAGGGCTTACAAATGTGATAGGAGGAGAATTTCTATGTCCTCATTTGTCAAAGA
The DNA here is from genome assembly GCF_000001405.40 of Homo sapiens. Taxonomy (NCBI): domain Eukaryota; kingdom Metazoa; phylum Chordata; class Mammalia; order Primates; family Hominidae; genus Homo; species Homo sapiens. The sequence goes on along the minus strand of NC_000001.11, from coordinate 105,401,016 downwards.
CCATGTCTTCATCAACCATGACTTATAAATAGAACATAATATCATCAGTTTCAGAAAAAAATAAAATAAAAAATAGCATATACTAATGATAATAATAACTCTTCACAAGGCCAAGCATGGTGGCTCATTTCTGTAATCCCATAACTTTGGGAGGCCAAGGCAGGAGGACAGCTTGAACCCCAGAGTTTAAGACCATCCCAGGTAACATAGGAGGACCCTATCTATACAAAATAAAAGACAATAATAATAATAACCCTAGCCGGGCGTGGTGGCATGAGTCTGTGGTCCTAGCTATTTGGGAGGTTGAGGTAGGAGGATTGTTTGGGCTCAGGAGGTCAAGGCTGCAGTGAGCTGTGATAGCACCACTGCAATCCAGCTTGGGTGACAGAGCAAGACCTTGTCTCAGAAAGAAATAAATAAAAATAAAAACAAAACAAACAAAAAAAACTCTTCACAAAACAGAACTCTGTGTGTATTTGATTGTCTTAAAATTTATCTACTGGAAACCTAAAGTAAACATCAAACTTAATATTGAAACGTAAGACTCAGAGGACCTGGGGCTTTCCCTAAGGATCAGCATCATATTGGATAGTGGAGGAATGAATAAACTAAGTAAGATATGTTCAATAACCATATACAATTCTGAAAGTTCTCTGCCCTAATTTTCACCCCATTACTGAATGTTCTCATAAAGTAGCACAAAGCAAGGTTTAGTAACTCTTTCCTCAGATATGAGTTACTAAGTAATTATGTAATATGTAAACCAACATGATAATCTTGCAAGAAGAAAACAGATATCTGAGGACCACAGCACCATAAAAAAGTAACAAACTAAACAATTAAATTTATATACAGGCAAAACTACAATTTTTAGAAAACATAATAAGTCTGCCCAGAAAAATAAGAGATGAGATTACAAACTTGCGTCAGGAACAGGCATTATGAGACATGGCCAATTTAAGTACTGTGTAAAAAATTTTAATCCCTCAAGTAAAGATCTCAGTAAATACCTTACAAAGAAATATGAATATGATCAACACATGAAGTTAATAAACTAGATGATAACATAAGGAAGCTATCAAAATGGTAGCATAAATTTGATGAGTCATCAAATAGAACATATAAAAAAGATCAAAATATTTTATGATATAATAAATAGAATGTTCAGGAATCAATCATAAAAATGACAAGCAAGGCAAATAAAGGCAAAACAAATGCACACATATTATAAATATTGGTTTTAAACTGAAGAATCTCAAAGAAAACATGACCATTTCATATCCACTAGATAAGAAAAAGTTCACTGATGAGAGAGGAATAATACTAACTTCAAATTTCTCCCTAGGTGACATTCAAAAGCAGGTAAATATATTAATAGTTTTTTAAATTGTTGAACATAATATTTCATATATAAGTAGAATTATAATTTGAGTATCTTGGCCAATTCAATAGGCTCTCCGAAACAAGTTTTAGGAAAGTTTATTATCCAATGATATTTTTTCAAAACATTCACAGAAATGCTTCAGCAAGAATATAAATAACTATAAGCAGAAAACTATAATATAGAAAATGATGGTGAGTAAATAACTCAGTAAATTTCTTATTTAAATAAGCAGTATCAAAAATAATGGTGATAGGCTTTAAGTGAACATTGGCTGTTGCCTGGCAAAACCATGTGAACTGGTGCTGGTGATGACCACAGGGAGAGGCTTCTCAGCCTTTGAAAAGGAGATAGAAGAGCAGGGAGGACTTTGTATTGTGGTTTGAGTGACAACTTAACTGCAGTAGAACAGAACATCAGACAAATTGCTAAGGTCTTTGACTCCAATTTCTGGCTCTCAGATAGTATCTCTGGACATGCCCAAGGCCTAGGGGGACACCTTGTCCTGAAGAGAAGGGCCTTGTGCAAGGCCCAGAGCAGTGCTGCCTTCAGGTCTGACACAGCACAGTCCTAGTGGTGGTGGCCATAGGGATACATGCATCACCACACCCTCAGTTCCAGGTGTCTCAGCACAGAGAGACTCTGTTTCAGAGAAAGAAATACAGAATGGCTAAACTTCACTTTAAACCTGGAGCAAAGGCCCTAAGTGAAAATAGCTAACCCTGTTTTTCTGCCCAAATGTTGCTTTTTTGGGGCTGCCATGTCCCTGTCCTGTGCCCATAAAAAGACTTCAGCTGGCAGAACAACACAAGCAGCTGACCAGCAGTGATACAAGTGTCTGAGCATCAAGAGACTATACATAGATGTGTCTAGCTTCAGATGGTGAGCCTTCAGGAAAGGATCACCTTCTTCCTGCACCATCCCCTTTCCAATTCCCCACCCTGCTGAGAGCCACCTTTATCACCCAGTGGAATTCTCCACATGCACTACTCTTCAATCCTTTGTTCCTGTGACCTTTTACTTCCTAGACACTGAACAAGAACCCAGGTGCCCAGAGGCCAGGGGCTTGGATGCTGCTGCAGGGCCCTCACAAAACCTGCTCCTGCCAGAGAGAAGCAACCAGCTGGTTTCCGTGTTCATTCCTTCTGGTTCCAGTGCTTGCTTGCATGCTCTGTTTCATGAGGAGTGGCCAGTGGCAGGCTGAGTGAAAGGAGCTACTCCAATTCCATCCCACAAAGGCGGTCAAGGGAACAATCCTGTCTCATCTGAGGGCTCATCCAGGATACAAAAAATTGTGAGTTAAAATGAGGAACTGTTGGATCTGTCTTTTTTCCAAGACCCTGCCACCTCTCTCTTTCCTTTAGGTAATAGGAATATGTTGGCTCTGTTTCCCTTCACAGGCGTCTAGCCAGTTTGAACTAGGGAAAGGATACAGTGATTAAAGGGAACCCATTCCTACAGAGCAAATGGCTATTTCCTCAGCTCCCCAAACCCCCACGTTATGCACTTTAAGTTGTTTTTCTTCTTTTCTAAGTGACAGAGTTCTCTTTGTACCTCAGCATTCTGCTTATGGTAGGGAAGCAACAGAGGGGCAACCCTTGCTGACTGATAACAGTAAATTTGGCAAAGCCTATCTGGGACTTAATCTAAATAAATCTATGCAGACCCTGAAACATCTTTTTTTCTTGTCTCAAACTCTATTCCAAGCTTCAGGTTGAGGCCCTAGAAAGGAAAACCATATCTGAGGGATCCAAAGCCAGGCAACAGGCATAGTGTAAATGGGCAAGCAAGTTCCTGCCAATTAAATCCCCATTTCACGAAAGGAGGCCACATTCTGTAGCATAAATGAGGCCCAGGTAGGGTGTACTTCAGCAAGAGTAGATATTCCCATCCCTAGACCCCCTGTTAACATGGGTGAAAGCCACTTTGGTTCCCATGGGTGGCACCTGCCAAGGTTGCTGGGACTTAGGAATAAGGATGAAAATAAAGGGAAGACACCTACTTTCTTTCTCCCTCACACTCCAACTTTTCACTGAAAAAAAAAAAAAAAAAAAAGAATGACGGATTCTGAATTCCTTATCTTTCAGAATAGGCAACCAACAAATTCTACTGCCTTCAGTTTATACTCAGAACCAGACCCTGGAACCAGATAGTACTTTAGAGGATCTCCTGAAGTTTGCAAGCCCACAAACCTGAGATTTCCTTAGGGTCACCTGTTGATTGCTACAGATATGGTAAGAACAGTTATATCTCTCATAAAGTTTAACCACTCCCATATAAGATTTAATTCTTTCACCAGGGTGAGACAGTTTGGGGTACAATGTTGTTAGTATATTTTACTTCTTATTTCTGTAATCACTGGCATGAGATTCTTTCCTTGTATAATACACGTGTTTGATCCATGCATATTTAACCTTTTAAAGCTTGTTGTTTGTCTCACCGAGAGGCCATCAAGGCTCCAAACGGGCAGGTAGCTGGAACCTGGGACAATGGCTCCCTTTTGCCAGGGACATTTGTGTAGACCTCAGGAGGAATCTGACTTCTATTTTCCCAAACAGTACTCCCTTTCAGCAGGAAGTTGCTGAGGTCAGTCACCATCCATATTCTAATGGCAGTTAAATGTGCTTCTTCAGAGGGGGAATATGATACAGAATCGGTGGGTTCCCAGCTAAACTCCACCCTTAAGCCTGGAGTGGCCTAAGTGAAAGTAGCTGACCCCATTTTTCTGTGGCTTTTTGACCTGAAACACCCCTATTCTTTGCCCATGAAAAGACTTCAGCTGGCAGAGCAACACAAATAGCTAACTGGCAGGAATACAAGCTGCTGAACATTGGAGATACAAACAGCTGAGTGTCAGACTATGGATAGACACAGCTAATTTCAGATAGTGTGGCTTCATGGAAGGATCACCTCCTTCCTGCACCATCCCCTTTCCAATTCCCCATTCTGCAGAGAGCCACTTTTATCACCCACGGGAATCTTTCCCATGCACTACTCTTGAATCCATTCATGTGACCTGATGCTTCCTGGATGCTGGACAAGAACATGGGTGCTGAGAGGGCAGGGGCTTGAATGCTGCTGTGGGGCTCACACAGAGCCTACTTCTGCCAGAGAGGAGTGACCAGCCAGTTCCAGCAGGCCTTTCCCTCCAGTTCCCATGCTTGCTTGCTTGCCCACATTGTTTCAGGAGCAGTGGCCAGCGACAGGCTGAGTGAAAAGAGCCACTTCAGCTCCTGCCCACAAAGGGTGTCAAGGGAAAAATCTTGTTTGAAAAGTAAGGCGGAAAACAACAGTCTCTTCCTGGTAATCCAGATAATTCTTCTGAATCTTATTCAAGACCATTAAAACTATACCTCTATCAGTCTGCAAAAAACATAGCCTTATTGGACTTGGACCCAAAGTCCTTTGTTTACCAGGGAAGTCTTCTCAAGAACGAAAGCACAAACAAGCTCAGACTGTGAAAACAATAGTAAATTCCTAAGTCTACAATACCAAACATTGAAGAACATCTGCAAGCATTAACACCATCCAGGGAAACATGATCCACCAAATGAACTAAACAAGGCATCAGGAACCAATCCCACAACAGAGATATTATGACCTTTCAGAATGAGAATTCAAAATACCTGTATTGAGGAAACTCAAAAGATAACACAGAGAGGGAATTCAGCATTCTATCAGAGATAAATCTAACAAGGAGATTGAAATAATTAAAAAGAACCAAGGAGAAATTCTAGAGCTGAAAAATTCAATTGACCTGCTGAAGAATGCCATCAGAGTTCTTTAATAGCAGAAGGGTTCATGCAGAAGAAATAATTAGTGAGCTTGAAGATAGGCTATTGGAACAATACACAGTCAGAGGAGACAAAAGAAAGAATTAAAAACAATGAAGCACACATACAAGACCTAGAAAGTAGCCTCAAAAGGGCAAATCTGAGTTATCAGCCTTAAAGAGGAGGTACAGAAAGATATAGGGGTAGAAAGTTAATTTAAAGGGATAATATCCAAGAACATTTCAAACGTAGAGACTGATACCAACATTCAATTACAATAAGGTTATAGAATATCAAGCAGATTTATCCCAAGGAATATTACATCAAGTCATTTAAAAATAAAACTCCCAAGGTCAAGGACAAGAGAAATGAAACAAATGACATACAATGGAGCTCCAATATGTCTGGCAACAGACTTTTTAGTGGAAAACTCACAGGGCAGGAGAGCATGGTACAGCATATTTAAAGGCTGAAGAAAAAAACACTCTTACCGTAGAATAGTATATCCAGCAAAAATATCTTTCAAACATGAAAGAGAGGTAAAGACCTTCCCAGACCAAAAAAAAAAAAAAAAAAAAAAAAAAGTGATTTCACCAATGCCAGATCTGTTTTACGAGAAAAGGATGTTAAGAAATAAGACAAAAATTATCTGAAGATAAAACACTCACTGGCAATAAGAAGCACACAGAGAAACAAAATAGTACAACACTATAATTATGGTGTGTAAACTATTCTTGACTTATGTAGGAACACTAAACAATAAAAAGTAATTACTACAACAACTTTTCAAGACATAGTAGAATGAGACATAAAGAGAAACCTCATGAAGTAAAACTGTGGGGGGATGAAGTTAACATATAAAGTTTCTATTGGTTTGTGTGTGTGTGTTTGTTAATGAGATGAGTGTTAAGTTGTCATTAGTTTAAAATATTGGTTTATAAGATAGAATTTAGAAGGCTCATGGTAACCTCAAATTGTATGAAAAACATGCAACAGACACACAAAAAAAATAAAAACAAGAGATTAAAGCATACCACCAGAGAAAGTCAATCACTTTCACTAAAAGGAAGACAGGAAGGAAGAAAAGAAGAAAGAGGACAATGCAAAACAGCCAGAAAACAAATAACAAAATGACAGAAGTCAATCCCTATCTATCCATAATAACATTGAACGTGAATGAACTAAATTTCCCAATCAAACAACACAGAGTGCCTGAATGGATGAAAAAACAAGACCTAATGATTTGTTGCCTACAAGAAATATACCTCACCTATAAACATACACATAGACTTAAAATGAAGGGATAAAAAAAATTTAGTTCATGCCAATGGAAACCAAATAAGAGCAGGAGTAACTATATTTATATCACACAAAATTGATTTCAAGACAAAACCTGTAAGAATAGACAAAGAAGGTCATTACATAATAATAAAGGGGTCAATTCAGCAAGACAATATAACAATTGTAAATCTATATGCACCCAACACTGGAACACCAGATATATAAAGAAATATTAATGATACTAAAGAGTGAGATAGACTTCAATACAAAAAAAAATAGCCAGAGAACAACCAACTTCCAGTATTGAAAGGAACTCCCAGGAGGAAAATAAACAATGAACCACTGGACTTAATCTGCATTATAGAATAAATATACCTAACAGATATTCGCAGAATATTTTATTCAATGGCTGCAGAATACATATTTTTCTCCTCCACACATAGATCATTCTTAAGGAAAGACATGTTAGGCTGCTAAACAAGTCTTAAAACCTTCAAGAAATTGAGATAATATCAGCATGTTCTCTGACCACAATGGAATAAAATTAGAAATCAATAAAAAGAGGAATTTTGGAAATTATACAAACACATGGGAATTAAACAATAAGTCCCTGCATGACCAGTGGCTCAACGAAAAAGTTAAGAAGAAAATTTTAAAGTTCTAGAAACAAATGATAATGAAAACATAATATATCAAAACCTGTGGGATACAGTGAAAGCAATACTAAGAAGGAAGTTTATAGCTATAAGTGCTTGCATAAAAAATAATAAAAACTTTACATAAATAACCTAATGGTGCATGTTATAGAACTAAAAGAACAACAACAAAGCAATCCCCAAATTAGTAGAAGAATAGAAATAATAAAGATAAGAGCATACATAAATCAATTTAAAATAAAAAAAAGATAAATGAAACAAACCTTGGTCTTTTAAAAAGTTAAAAAAAAATGGACAAATCCTTAGCCAGACTAAGAAATACCAAGAGAAGACCTAATTAAAAAATCAGAGATGAAAAATGAGACACTACAACTGATATCCCAGAAATTCAAAGGATCATTAGTGGCTACTATGATTAACTGTATGCCAATTAACTGGAAAATCTAGAAGAAATTGATAAATTCTGAGACACATACAATCTAACAAGATTGAACCATGAAGAAATCCAAAACCTGAACAGAACCATAACGAGTAACAAGATCTAAGCTGTAACAAAAATCTTCCAGTAAGGAAAAGCCTAGGACCCAATCATCACTACTGAAATCTACCAGAATAACAAATGCCAATTCTACCCAAACTGTTCCAAAAACTAGAGGAGAAAGGAATACTACTAAACTAATTATATGAGACCAGTATTATCCTGGTACCCAAACCAGAAACAGACACATCAAAAAAGAAAATTACAGGCCAATGTCTCTGCTGAATATTGATGCAAAAGTCCTCAAGAAAAATATTAACCAATTGAATTAAACAAGACATTAAAAAGATCATTCATCATGACCCAGTGGGATTTATCTCTGGGATAGAAGGATGGTTCAACATATGCAAATTGATTTATGTAATACATAATATCAACAAAATAAAGGAAAAAAGGTGCTAATTTTAATTGATGCTGAAAAAGCCTTTGATAAATTTCAACATCCCTTTATGATAAAAACCCTCTAAAAACTGGATATAGAAGGGACATACTTCAACATAACAAAAGCCATATAAAACAGACCCACAGCTACTATCCTACTGAATGGGGGAAAAGTTGTCCACTTTCACTACTGTTATTCAACATAATATTAGAAGTATTAGGTAGAGCAGTTACACAAAACAAAGAAATAAAAGGCGTTCAAATTGGAACAAACACAGTCTAATTACCTTTGTTTGCAGAAGATATGATCTTACATTTGAAAAAACATAAAGACTCCACCAAAAAACTATTAGAACTGATAAACAAATTCAGGAAAGCTTCAGGATACAAAATCAACATACAAAAATCAACTGCATTTCCATATGCCAAAAATGAACAATCTGAAAAAGAAATAAAAGAAGTAATCCTATGTACAATAGCCACACATAAAATAGAGAACACCAAAACAAAAAAAGGAAAGATATTCCATTTTCATGTGTTGGAATAACCTATATTGTTAAAATGTCCATACTACCCAAATCAATCTAAAGATTCAATGCAGTTCCTAGCAAAATACCAATGACATTATTTGCAGAAATAGAAAAAAAAAATTCTAAAATTTATATAAAATAACAAAAGGCTTAGAATAGCCAAAGATATCATGAGCAAAAATAACAAAACTGGAGGAATCACATTACCTGATGTCATATTATACTGTTGTGGGATTGTTAAGAATCAGAGAGACCGATGGGGTTCAGGAGGATATTTATTATTTAGGTGCACTGGCCCAGTGGGATTAACATCCAAAGGACTGAGCCCTGAACAAAGAGTTAAGTTACCTTTTAAGCATTTTGTGGGGCGGGGGGAGATCTATGCAGGGGGAAGCATATTACATAAGTGAGAAACAAAGACAGTTATTTAATTGAGACATGCATTACATCATTTCTTACTTTTCAAGGAAAAACATGTTTTACGACTTGAAACATGTTTAGGTATCTGTCTAGTGACCTTGAAGCTGCACAGCTAGAGAAACAGGGTCTTCACAATGCCTGGGAAAGGAGGAGAGATAAGGCTCACTAGCCACAGAAAAACAGGCAGTTAATTTGAAAAGGACCCCAGCTCTTTCTCTTTCTCAGGGGGAGTTGGGTTTTCTTACATACAACTGAGTTTCTGCTTACACATTCTTTAATTTCTTTTAATTCCTGTTCCAATACTACAGGGCTATAGTAACCAAAACAGTATGGTACTGCCGTAAAAACAGACACAGAGACCAATGGAACAGAATAGAGACCGTAGAATCACATTCATACACCTACAGTAAATTTATTTCCCACAGAGGTGTCAAGAACATACATTGGGGAAAAGACAGTGTCATCAACAAATGATGCGAGGAAAACTAGATATCCATATGGTAAAAGAATGAAACTATTCCTATCTCTCACCTAATACACAAATAAAATCAAAATTGACTAAATAGTTAAGTCTTAAGACCTCAAACTATGAAACCACTACAAGAAAACATTGGGAAAATTTTCCAGGACATTGATCTGAGCAAAAAATTTCTTGACAAATACCCTGCAAGTATAGGCAACCAAAACAAAAATGGACAAATGAGATCACATCAGGTTAGAAAGCTTCTGCAGAGCAAAGAATACAATCAACAAAGTGAAGAGACAACCTACAGGATGGGAAAAAAAAAAAAATTTGCAAACTACCCATCTGATGAGGGATTAATAACTGGAATATATAAGAAGCTCAAACAATTATAGAAAAAAATCTAATAATCCAACTAAAAAAATGGCTAAAATCCTTAACAAACATTTCTCAAAAGAAGACATATGAATGGCAAACAGGCATATAAAAACTTGCTGAATGTCATGGATAATCAAAGAAATACAAATTAAAACCACAATGAGATATCATCTGACTTCAGATAAAATGGCTTTTATCCAAATGTCAGGCAATAACAAATGCTGACAAGGATGAAGAGAAAAGGAACCCTCATACTATTGCTGGAAATATAAATTAATATAACTGCCTTGGAGAACAGTTTGGAGGTTCTTCAGAAAAACTAAAAATAGACTTACCCTATGTTCCATCAATCCCTCTGTGGGTATCAGCCTATCTAAGAGGTATCTGCACTCTCATGCTTATTGCAGCCGTGTTCCCAATAGCTAAGATTTGGAAGCAACCTAAGTGTCCATCAACAGATGAATGGATAAAGAAAATGTGGTACTTACACACAATGGAGTACTACTCAGCCATAAAAAAAATGAGATTCTTTCATTTGCAATAACATGGAAAAAACTGGAGGTCATTATGTTAAGTGAAATAAGCCAGGCACAGAAAGGCAAACATCACACATTCTCACATATTTGTGTGATCTAAAAATTTAAAAAAAAAAAATGAGCTCTTGGAGGTAGAGAATAGAAGGATTGTTAACAGGGGTTGGGAACAGTGATGGAAGGAGTAATGGGAGGGTGGGGATAGTTAATGGATACAAAAAAATTAGAAAGAATAAATAAACCTATTACTTGATACCAAAACAGGGGGACTATAGTCAATAAAAATTTAATTACACATTTTTAAATAACTTAAAAAATATAATTGGATTGTTTGTAATATAAAGGATAAATGCTTGAGGGCATGGAAACCCAATTTTCCATAATGTGATTATTATGTATTGCATATCGGTATCAAAATATCTCATGTAGCCCATAAATATATGCATTTATTATATACCCCCAAAATTTAAAATAATATTAATAATGGCGATATTAAGAGGGTAGCTGTCAAAATCATTGGTGCATATTAAGTACATCACCTTTTTTGGGATAAGGACTTAGTTATTTATAAGTTTTAGAAATCTACCATAAAATAAAAATATAAATAATAGTAATAAAATAGTGACAACCAACAGGAGAACAAAAGTAAATGTATGAATAGTAGAGAAAATGTAAGACATCCGAAAATAGTGAAGAAAGAAAAAATAAAGTCAAAGAGAACATATAAGTATAAAACAAAATAATAAGTTGATAGAGAATACTTCTAAAAACTAATCATAATATACACAAATAATTTATTATTAAAATACAAATACCAAATTGCATTCAATATAAACCATGATTAAGCAATTTTTTGCCTTTTAACCATGATTAAGCAATATAAACCATGATAAAGCAACCTTTATTTCTGCAAAGATACAGAAAAGTTAAATATGTAAGTATGAATGGAAACAATAGCAGAATAAGTGGAAGTTAAATGTAATTTCAAAGCTGTAAATATAGAAAAAGTTACGAAGAGTTGTGTTATACCTTGTTAAAAGGCAGACTTGATGGAGAAGAAATAATAATTACTTTAGAGCCAATTACCCAAATATTTCTCTGCATCTCCTTTTAATATTTACCTCTTGTGCAGGATATTTTAGTTATATTATGCCTAGGGTTTTTTACTACACCCATTGAAAAGTTCAGAGAAACACAGGGGAACAAGATAAATCAACATCACTATTGGATTAAAGGGAAGGACATTCTCAGTGGAAGAGATCTTGGAGGATACTCTTGCTGGGGTAAAGTTGACCCTCCTTGTGGTAACAAGGAGAGGTCCATTAGGAATAAATTTTTTAAATAAACTCAAGGAAAACAGCCAGAACAGTTGTGATTAGGAATACTCAGAAATGACAATTCTCTGTCTTCTAAATCTTATAAAAACTGAAAAATGTCAATTGGCTTACAAACAAAATATATTCTATGAATACAATGTATTACAAATCTAAGCCACTAACCATGAAGATGAAAGAACTTTACAAAGTCATTACAGGGACATTCTGAAAAACAATCAGCAGGTTACATAATTTGCTCATAGCAAGTGTCATAATCACGGAAAGAAAAGTCTCTCTCTGTTTCTCTCTCTCTCTCTCTCTCTCTCTCTCTGTGTGTGTGTGTGTGTGTGTGTGTGTGTCTTGGAGTGGTCTAATACAGGGTTTTTAGAAAAGCCAAAGAAAAGATGGGTATGTCTTTATAAATCTAGTTTAAAAGCACAGATTAGGAAGTGGTTCTAAAGGGGAAGTCATATAAACAAGGTAGGGACAAATTAGATAATGTACATTCTCAAGGATTCTCACATGTGCTATCTCTGTGGTGTGTGGGTGAGGAAAATGCTTATACTGAATTTCAGTCAATAATAGAGACTTTTTAGTAAAACAATTGATGATGAATTCCTTTTATTATAAAATAAGAATTATGATTAAAGATGAGAATATAAATATTAATCTTGAATATATACAAATAGTATAAGAAAAAAACCTGGAGAAGTATGCTGAGAGAGTTAAGGTGAAGAGCCATATACAGATGCTAAGTTTGTTACCTTTATTAGTGGACAATAGAGCTTTAAATGACTTCAACCTTATAAGCTAGAAATGTCAACTTTAAAGAAATGATTTTAGAACAAACATCTATAGTAATGAAACTTATTGAAAGGCTAGCAACTTTCTAATTTTTATTTCAAATTGACTTTTCTTCAAGAAAATTCAACTAAAGTATTTCATTTAAAATATTTGTATATATATAGCTGTTAAAAGTTATTCAACAAATATTTATTGAACACCTTTATGAGCCCATGACTTTTATTGGTACTGGGGACATGGGATTGAATAGAACAAATAAAAATTCTTCCCTTCACTCAGGTACGTTTAAAGTGACAAGAGAAAAGCTATGTACCAGAATAATGTAATGCATTTAGCAGTATATTAGAAGGTGGAGAGTATTATGGGGATAAAGGGGAGGTGTGGGCCAGGAAAAATTTAAAAGTTAAGTTTAATCATTAGGATAGGCCAGATTGAGCAGTTGTCACCTGTGTAAAGAAGACAGTTAAAAGAAGAAACCACAGTGAAGATATTTCTGGGCAGGGCAAAAAGGTGGAATCTGGAAGCTGCCATTGGGACTGGAACAAATAAAAGACAGACAGGGATAAGAAATGACATCTGTGAGGGGTCGAGAGTTGTGGACTGTAGATTATTTAAGGATTGTTAGGATTCAGAGCATTGCAGTTTCATATTCTGAGTGAAAAGGGGATCTACTGGGGAATTTCGAACACATAACTCACATATCTCTACTTATAACAATCCATCTATCTGTCTTTATATGTATCTAACTATGCCTGTATCTATCTATGCATGTATCCTGTATTGAGCAACCTTACCGGACGCACATGACTATGGTGTCCTAATATTTTGGCTGGGATTATTTCATTAATATGCTTATCCGTGTTCGTGGACTATAGTTTTATTGTATCACTAACTTTTATTGGACACATCCAGTAAGTTTGAGGGAGGTAAGTATTGCTATCAGTAGAAAAAAAAAATGCCCCTCAGAGGGGCTGTAAAGTTAACTGAACAGTCAAAAGCAGCTTCTATCCATAGAGAAAAAGTGGAAACAACAGTGGGAGACAGGTAAAAGGGACAAATGTTAGGCTCTCTTAACCTACCCTGAGTCTCTAACATGGATCTCTGACCATCAGGAGCAGCAGCATAATCTGGAAATGCGGTAGAAATGTAAATTCTCAAGCCTCATTTCAAACCCAAAAAATCAGTGAGTGTAGGGCATAGCAATCTGTTTTAGGAAGCTCTCCAGGTGATTCTGACACTCACTAATGCTTGACAACTAATAGCCTATGCAAATAGAATTTCTGATGCTAATCTCTAGCCTAACTTAGTTCACCAAGAATGATATTTTGTAAGTATTTGTGTTAAAAGTATTCGTATTAAGAAAGTATGATTTCAATGGCTTATACTCAGTGCCTCTATATTCCAGTAGTAGAGAGAAAGGCTGTAGAGAAAGGAAGTGGTTTTTTTTTAAAAGATTTTGCATTCAGATTTCTGGTCTTCTCCTCTAGAGAGACTCTTAAAACCGAACACCAGTCTAACACTTACACATACATGGACACTATGCAATGGGGTGGAATGTCTAGAATTTAAATATAACATACTAACCGGATAATGGTGAGAATGAAAGATACAGAGAACCTAAATTATTGCTTGAAGCAAAAATGACAACAAATAAATATTTTTAAAAAGTAATGATTAAGAAATAATAGATATTGGATGTTCATTGCCCACACAGAGCTGAAAAATAAGTTAAAAAAACCTGGTTATAACTATTTCTGACACTCTATATGGAGGAGGTAAGATCCAAGCTGAGCCACTTCAACTTCATAGATTGTTTCCATGAGCACAGCTGGGAGCTTTTCTCCTCCTTACATAACATGCCAAAGGCTGGCAACTACCGCTGCCTAATTATAGAACTCCACTAAGGGTATAAAGAAAACTGTTAGTCATAAACAGGCTAATGTGTATCCAAGTACTGGAGAGCTGCTGGTATATGCCATAGAAAAAATACCAGAGGGATATATATGTTATTTGGGTGATGAAATTTCTATCTTATTTTCTTTATATTTTTATATATTCCATATTTTCTAAAGAAATAATATATATTTTGTCACTTTAAGAAATAGATTTTATTGAAGTAAAATGTGCATTTTGAGAAGTGTGCACAGAAGTATACATAATAGCTCAATAAGTGTGCAGAAAGTGAACATTCTGGGTAACCGTAATATAGATTTGGCCATAAAATCTCACCCTACTAAAATAGCTTCATTGTGTTCTATCTCAGTAACTGGCCTTGCAAAGAAAACCATTATGTTGATTTTATCATCATAGATTAGTTTTTGCCTATTTTTAAATTTCATTGGATAGATTCATGTGATCTATGCTCTTTTCTGTATGGTTTATTTTGCTAAGTATACTTTAGTATATAATTGTAGTTTGTTCTTATTCATCACTATATAGATAATCATTATATGAATAATCCACAATGATGCACATTTGTGCATTTGAGTGATTTCCTATAACTAATCGCACTGCTATGAATGTGTGTATACATATATTTTGGTACCCATATGCTTGCACTCATGTGGACCTGTAGTGTCATAGGGTATAATAGACACCATCAAAGCATTTTAGATAGTGACTGTGTCCATTTACACTCCTACCAGAAGATTATTTATAAAAGTTTTAGCAGTTCTGCATCTTATCCAAGATGTAATTTAAATTTTCGTGACCAAAAGATGTTGAACAGACTTTTATAATTTGCTTATATGTTAAACTCCTTTTTGTCCCACCTCACATAACATGAGCCCATTTTTTATTCCCGTCATTGTTGTGGAAAACAGAAGTTTGCTGAATTAATCTGATAGCACATTACCTCAATTTTATCCTCCATCTTTTGTTTTTTACAATGGGACCTGGAGTACTGGGGCAGATGCCTACCAGAAGCTTATCAGTCATTCTGATAGATATGCAAAAGAGTAAATAATACATGGGCTAAGAATTGGTCATAGGGGATAAAAGTTGGTGGATAAATATTTCTCTCCTCTTTTACTTGGACAGACAATGTCACGGTGTAATTTACATGGCTTCTCAGAAAGTCCCCTGAGAATTGTCCCCAAATTGGCCATTACCAATCACAGACACAGTCATATATTTACTTTTTTTCTTTCCTGTTTCACACTGTTCAGGACACAGGTAGTCATATTATTTTTAATTCCTACCTAAATTACTTGCATATCTGTTATTTTTGATGGGATAACCCAGGCAAAGTGAATTGGTCTTTTGAATGTATATGTTCAAGAATATGTTAGTATTTATTGTTTTATTTTTCTTGTTGACTCACAGATGTTTGTAATAGGCTGAATATGGTCCTCTAAAAGATATCCAAGTCAAATTCTTGAAATATTTGAATGTTACTGAAAGGATCTTTATAGATGGGATAAATTAAGGATTTTTATATGAGGAAGTAATTCTAAGATAATTCAGGTGTGTCCTAAATCCAATGACAAGGGTTCTTGTAAAAGAAACGCAGAAGGAGAATTGAAACAGACAGAAGAGGAGAAGACACAGAAGAGAAGACAAGGTGAAGACGGAGGCAGAGATGGGAGTGATGTGGCCACACGCCAAGAAATCCCAAGAATGCCATGAACCGTCAGATGCTGGAAGAGGTGAGGAATAATTCTCTGATTAAGCATTGAAGTGGGCATAGGGTCTTGAAGAGATTTTAATTTTTGAGTTATTTTCTGTTTTTAGACACAATTTTGTTTCACTCATTGATTCATATGCCACTGATCAGTACCACAGTATATGAAAATCTGTAACTTTAATTAATCTGATTTAATCATTACATAATGTATAAATGTGTCATAACATCACATTTTACTCCACGAATATATACAATTATTACTTGTCAATTAAAAATAAAATAAAGCTCTTAAGGGCTATCTTAGTTAGGCACACCCTCAACTTGTATTGCCTGTTCACAGATCAACCAGATATAGGTTTAGTGAATTTTAAATTAAATACAATTCTTCCTTAGAGAAAATTACTGTTATCATTCTCTGTGAAAATCATTCAATTTTTTGTTGTTTTATTTTTTAATTTTTTACAAAACCTTCAATTAGAGGCATCTAGTGTGCCTTAGACACTTGAAAATAGCAAGATAGTACATGAAGATCAACTTCGGGAGCCTTAATTTAAGAAGGAAAACCGGAATTCACTGAAAACATGAAGGACACCCCAGATCAGGGGAAGAGAATGCCAGCAAACAGCCCTGTGATGGTGTCTGGCTGATAAAAATGAGTGAAGCACCAGTACGTGAGAGAGATAGAGCCTCCCTCTGTGACTCACCTTTCCACTGGGGGATCAAAGCAACCCAGGCTGAGAGAGAACTAAGGCTTCTCCCAAGCCTTAGAGGTAACTTGGGGAGAGGTTTGGAGGCAAAGTTAGGAAAAGGCACTGGGAAAAGCTGCAGACATGTTCCCGGACTCAGAACTGAGAGAGAGCATGGCATCATTTTTAATCCAGGTGCATACAAAGTCAGCTATTTTTAGGTGAGCTGACAGTGTGGCCACACAGGCATTTTATCCTTGGGCCACGGATTGGAGCACCTGATCTGGAGCTGGATAGGGGCCTCCACAGCCAGAACTGTGGAAGGCACTAAAACAGTAGGGACTAGAATTGTGCTTTTCCCCTTTGCAAGTCTGGAGTGAAAGCTATAGCTAAAGTTTCTCCTGACTGGTGAAACTTGCACCAGGAGCCACCTTGGCTGGGCAACCTGGAACTAATCTGCATGTGCCATTGCTGGGTTCCCCAGACTGTTCCCCTGAGATCATGGTGAAACAAGGCTCTCTCTACTCCATCACAACAAAGATATCCAGGCAGTTGGAGCACTCGCTTATCTGGACCAGCAGCCTGAGCCACCCTCACCCTTCATGAATCATAGAGCGTAGTGCAGCAGAACCCTCTCCACTCCACGTCCGGGCAGATTACCAGACATTCAGAGCAACCACTCATCTGGTTCAGCAGCCTGAGCCACCCTACCTTTCCTGGACATAGATCATGGTGCAGCAACATCTGCATGCCATGCCCAGATGGATATCCAGAAATTCAGAACACCTGCTTGCCTGGTTGAGCAGCCATAGTTGCCCCACTCCTTCTATGCATAGATCCTGGTCCATGGGGGCCCTCTCTACTCCATGCCCAGGCAGATCTCCAGGCAACTGGATCACCCACTCTTTTGGATTAAGAGTTTAGGTTGACGCCCACCACTGGGTAGAGAAATTGGGGCTGAGGAGGTTTCCAGGCTCCATGCCTAGGCACACCTTTGTGTGCTTGGTGGTTGCACCCTGGATTCTCCCTTGGTACTGGTGCTTGTGTCTGCCATCTGGGGACCTATAGGTGGACATGTCTGCACTGGCTCTACCTATTGTGGCCCCTTCCCCACTGAGGCTGAGTAGGAAGATAGGACCATTGTGCATTCCACAAATTAGCGCATTGCCTGAGGCAACAGAGAGCTTCTTCCAGTAAACAAGAATCAAATACGTACCCAACTGTGTTGGCCACAGCTTACTCTTACCTATGATCGCTGTCTATTGGCTTGTAGGTTGAACTGCACACCTCAATAAAAAACCTGCTTACATATGTACATAGGGGTATAGAAGCAATGCCAAAAGACCATACCCAGCACTCATTAGAGTTGCACTTCATATGGAGAGGGAGAAAGAAAAAGGGAAAGAAAAAAAATATTAACAGCAATATAGGGAGAGACAGGAAAAGAAAAAAAATCCTTCCTGCACAAAAATAATTACAAAAATTAGAAGTGCCAGTGTCTCTAGATGAGAAGAAACTAGTGCAAGTATTCTGGCAACATGAAAAATCTAAATGTAGTGATACCACCAAAAGAGTGCATTAGCTCTCCAACAATGGTCCATAACTGAAAAGGAAACTAAGAAATGAAACATAAAGAATTCAAAGCATGGATTACAAGGAAGCCCAGTGTGATTCAAAACAAGGTTAAAAACCTACACAAAGAAACATTAAAGGAATCTGGGAAATAAATGAAGAGATAAACATCTTAAAAATAAATTAAATACATCTTCTGTAATTTAAAAATTTACTTAAGGAAAATTTAAAATATAATTGAAAGCTTTATCCTTAGCCTGGACCAAGCAGAAGAAAGAATTTCAGAATTTGGAGACCAGACTTTTAAACTAACCCAGTCAGAAAAAAAATAAAGTAAAAATAAATTTTAAAAATGAACAAAGTTTCTGAGAAATATAGGATTATGTAAAATGACCATATTGGCACTCCTGAGAGAGAATGAAAAAAAATAAACAACCTGGAACATGTGTTTGAGAGAATAATTTAAGAAAACTTGTCTAATTTTTCTGGAGTAATAGACATCCAGATACAAAAATCCAGAACATCTGTGAGATGTTATACAAGATGAACATCACCGAGGCATATAGTCACCAGACTGGCCAAAGTCAATGCTAAAATTATTTTACAGAGACCTAGAGAAAAAGTTCCTATCACATACAAAAGAAACCCCATCAGGGTAACAGTGGACTTCTCAGCAGAAAGCTTACAAGCCAGGAACCTATTTTCAATATTCTTAAAGAATAGAATTCCAACCAAGAATTTTATATTCCACCAAACTAAGTTTTATTAGCAAAGGAGAAATGAAAACTTTTCCAGAAAATCAAGCTCTAATGGAATTATTTACCACTAGGCAAGTCTTAGAAGAGATTCTTAAGAGAGTTCTAAACGTGGAAAAGAAAGAATGATACCTGCTGCTGAAAAAACACACTTAAGTAAATAACCTGCAAACTCTATAAAGCAGCCACACATAGAAACTACAAAGCAACGAGCTAACAGCTTCACTGTAGGATCAAAACCTCACATATCAATTTTAACATTGAATGTAAAGGGTCTAAATGCCTCAATTAAAAGGCACTGAGTGGCAAGTTGCATCGAAAAGCAAGATCCATCCATCTGTTGTCTTCAAGCAACCCATGCCCCATACAACACTCACAGGCTCAAAGTAAATGGTTGGAGGAAGATCTACCACACATATGGAAACCAAAAGAAGCAGGGGTCACTAATTTTATATCAGATGAAACAGTCTTTAAACCAACAACAGTAAAAAAAGACCAAGAAGGGCACTGCGTAATGATTTAGGAACAAGTCTTTTAGGAACAAGTTGTTTGTATGGAGAGGGAGAAAGAAAGGGAAAGAAAAAATAATAACAGCATTATAAGGAAAGACAGAAAAAGAAAAAAAAAAATCCTTCCTGCACAAATTCAATTCATTTCACTTCAATAAGAAGACTTAACTACCTTAAATATATGTGTATCCAACATCAGAGCACCCAGATTCATAAAAAATGTATCCCTAGACCTACAAAAAGACTTAGACAGCCACACAGTAATAGTGGGGGACTTCAACTATACCAATGACAGCATTAAGCAAATCATTGAGGCAGAAAATTAACAAAGAAATTCTGGATTTAAATTCAACACTTGATCAATTGGACACAATAGAAATCTACCGAATTCTCCGCCCATCAATCACAGAATATACTTTCTTTTCATCTTCACAGAAAACATACTCCAAGGCTGACTACATGCTTAGCCCTAAAGCAAGTCTTAATAATTCAAAATTCAAAAGTAATAATTCAAAAGAAATAAAATTATACCAACCAAACTCTCAGACCACAGTGGAATAAAAATAGAAGTCAATATCGGTGAAGATCTCTTAAAACCACACAAGAACATGGAAATTAAACAACTTGTTCTTACATGACTTTTGGGTAAACAACAAAATTAAAGTAGAAATCTAAAAAAATTCTTTGAAATAAATGAAAACAGAGACACAACATACCAAAATCTCTGACTGCAGCAAATGTAGTATTGGGAGGAATGTTTATAGTGCTAAATGCCTACCTCAAATATCTACTAGAAATATCTCAAAATAACAATCTAATATTATTCCAATAGAAATTAGAAAAACAAGAACTTCCTAACCCCAAAGCTAGCAGAAGAAAAGAAATTAATATTAGAGAGGAACTGACCAAAATTAGAACACCAAAATCCATACCAAAAATCATGGAAACCAAAAGTTTGTTCTTTGAAAGGGTAAACCATGTCAGTAGACCACTAGCTAGATTAACAAAGAGAAAAAAAGAGATCCAAACAAGCACAATCGGAAATGACAAACGTGACATTATAACCAATTTCACAGTAACACAAGACATCTTCAGAGACTATTATAAACAATACTATGTACAATAACTCCAAAATCTAGAGGAAATGGATAAATTCCTGAAAACATCCAATCTCCCAAGATTGAATGAAGAAATTGAAACACCGAATAAACCAGTATCAAGTTACAAAACTGAATCATTAATAAAAGATCGGTGAACAAAAAAAAATCTTCAGACCAGATGAATTCACAACCAAATTCTACCAGATGTACAAACAAAAGCTGGTACCAACTCTACTGAAACTATTCCAAAAAATCGAGGAAGAGGAACTCCTCCCTCACTCATTCAATGAAGCCAGCATCACCCTGATATCAGAACCTAGCAAAGACACAATGGAAAAAGAAAACTACAGGCCAATATTTCTGATGAGCATAGACACAAAAATCCTCAACAAAATACTAGCAAAGCAAATTCAACTGCATATTAAAATTAATTCACCATGTTCAAGCATGCTTTATTCCTGGGATGCAAGGTTGGTTCAACAAACACAAAAGTGTGATTCACCATATAAACACAATTAAAGACAAAAGCCATATAATCATCTAGAGAACAATATATTGATAAAACTCAATATCCCTTCATGATTAAAAAAAAAAACTCAAGAAACTAGGCATTGAAAGAATATACTTCAAAACAATGGGTCATCTGTGACAAATCCACAACCAACATCATACTAATTGGGCAAAAAATGGAAGCATTTCCCTTGAACACCAAAACAAGGCAAGAGTGCCCACTTACATCACTCCTATTCAACATAGTACTAGAAGTCCTAGCCAGAGCAATCAGACAAGAGAAATAAATAAATGGCATCTAAATAGGAAAAGAAGTCAAACTCTATCTATTTGCTGACAACATGATTGTATACCTAGAAAACCCTAAAGACTCCATCAAAAGGCTCTTGGAACTGATAAATGACTTTAGTAAAGTCTCAGTATTCAAAATCAATATACAAAAATCAGTATCATTACTATACACCAATAACATTCAAGCTGATAGTCAGATCAAGAATGAAATTCCATTTCAATAGCCACACACACACAAATAAAGTACCTAGAAATACATCTAAACAAGAAGGTGAAAGATGTCTACGAGGAGAACTACAAAGCACTATTAAAAGAAATCACAGATGAGGCCGGGTGCGGTGGCTCACACCTGTAATCCCAGCAATTTGGGAGGCCGAGGCAGGCGAATCACGAGGTCAGGAGATCGAGACCATCCTGGCTAACACAGTGAAACCCCGCCTCTACTAAAAATACAAAAAAAAACAGTTGGGCGTGGTGGCAGGCGCCTGTGGTCCCAGCTACTCGGGAGGCTGAGGCAGGAGAATGGCGTGGAACTGGGAGGCAGAACTTGCAGTGAGCCGAGGTAGCACCACTGCACTTCAGCCTGGGCAACAGAGCAAGACTCCGTATCAAAAAAAAAAAAAAGAAGAAATCATAGATGAACAAACAAATGGGAAATATTCTATGCTCATGAATTGGAAGAATCAATATCTTTCAAATGACCACACTATCCATAGCCATCTACAGATTCAGTGTTATTCCTATCAACTTACCAACATAGTTTTCACAGAACTAGAAAAAAAATTCTAAAATTCATATGGAACCCAGAAAGAGCCCAAATAGCCAAAGCAGTTCTAGAACACAAAAAAGAGCAAAGCCAGAGGCAACACATTACCCAACTTCAACCTATGTCCTAAGGCTACAGTAACTACAACAGTATGGTACTGGTAGGAAAACAGACAGAGACAAATGGAACAGAATAGAGACAGAGAAATAAAACTGCACACCTACAGCCATCTGATCTTTGACAAAGTTAACAAAACTAAGTAATGGAGAGAAAACTCTCTATTCAATAAATGATCCTGGAATAGCTTGCTAGACATAAGCAGAAGAATGAAACCAGACTCCTACTCTTCACCTTACACAAAATTTAACTCAAGATGAATTAAAGATTTAAATGTAAGACACCAAACTTTAAGAATCTTAGAAAAAAACCTTAAAAATACTTCCGTAGACATTGGCCTTAAAATAAATTACCATTAAGTCCCCAGAAGCAATTGCAACAAAACAATAATTGACAAGTGGGACTTATCAAGAAGAAACAGATAACCTATAGAATGGGAGAAAATATTCACAAACTAGCCATCCAACAAAGGTCTAATATCCAAAATCTACAAGAAATTTAAACAACTGATCAAGCAAAAAACAACCCCCATAAAAAAAAAAAGACAAAAGACATGAACGCTATGCTTGGTACTTGAGTTATGGGATCATTTGTATTTCAAACCTCAGCATTGCACAATATACCCAGGAAACACAACTGCGCATGTATTTCCTATACCTAAAATATAGGCTGAAGAAAAGGAAAAAGAAGAAGTAAATAGTGTAACTTATAAAGTTTTGATATCAATTAGCATAAATCTTTAATATTTATTTATTTATTTATTTATTTATTTATTTATTTATTTATTTATTTATTTCTGAAGGAGTGTCACTCTGCCGCCCAGGCTGGAGTGCAGTGGCAGAATCTTGGCTCACTGCAACCTCTGCCTCCTGGGTTCAAGGGATTCTCCTGCCTCAGCCTCCTGAGTAGCTGGGATTACAGATGCATGCCACCACACCTGGCTAATTTTTGTATTTTTAGTAGAGACAGCGTTTCACCATGTTGACCAGGCTGGTCTCGAACTCCTGACCTCAGGCGATCCACCAGCCTTGGCCTCCCAAAGTCCTGGGATTACAGGTGTGAGTCACTGCTCCTGGCCTAATATTTATTTTTCTTTTCAGGATGATTTTGGTTATTCTTGGCCCCCTGTGTTTTTCATATATAGTATATAGTCAGCTTGCCAACTTAATCCAATTGTATTAAATATGTAGATCAGTTTGGACAGAACTGTTGGGTCTTTAATTCCCTGAATATGGTATATTCTTCACCTATTCTGGTCTTCTTTAATATTTACTGGAAATGTTTTTGTTGTTTTCTTTTCCTTACATATCTTTCATTATAATTACTATTAGGAATTAAGTTTATTACCATTATAAGGTAACATGCATAATAGAAAATGTATCATTTTAACACATTTTAAGTGTACAGCTTTGTGGCATTAAATACATTCACATTGCTGTGGAGCTATCACCACCATTAATCTCTAGAACTTTTCAAATTGAAACTTCTTACCCATTAAATAATTATTCCTCATTTCCTCTGTCCCTAGCTCCTGGCGCCCAGCATGCTACTTTCTGTCTCTATGAATTTGAACACACTAAGTACTTCATATAAATGAAATCACAATATTTGTTCTTTAGTGTCTGGTTTATTTTACATAGTATAATGTTGACAAGATTTATTCATGTTGTACCACGTGTCACTATTCCCCAGTATTTTAATACTGAATAATATTTTATTGTATGTTTTTATCACATTTTGTTTATCCATTCATCCATCCATGGAAACGGGTTGCTTACATCATTTGGCTATTGAGAATAATGCTCCTATGAATATGGGTATACAAATATCTTTTTGAATCTCTACTTTCAATTATTTTTGGCTTATACCCATAAGTGGAATTTTTGGATTCTGTGGTAATACTATTTTCAGTTTTGTGGAGAACTGCCAAACTCTTTTCTAAGGTAGCTGCAGCACTTTACCTTTGAACCAGCAATACACAAGGGTTCTAATTTTTCTACATCCTTACTAACACTTTTCATTATCTAGTTTTAAAAATACATTTTGTTATGTTTTGCTTTTCTGATAATGGCCATTTTAATATATGTGAAGTAGTATTGTATTGTGGTATTTCATTTTTCTAATGAATATTGATATTGAGCTTCATTTCAATCTTTTCATGTGCTTATTGGCCACTTGTGTGCATATACATATATACATGTACATATGTGTACATATACATATATGTACATATGTCATCTTTGGAGAAATACCTATTCAATACTTCGCCTATTTTTAAATTTTTTTTTGTTATTGTGGTGTAGAAGTTTTTATATTTTCCTAATACTAATTTCTTATCAAATACATGATTTAGAAAAATTTTCTCCTTTTCTCTGGGTTGCCTTTTCACTCTGTCGATAGTACCCTTACCTGCACAAAAGTTTCTAATTTTGATGTAGTCCAGTTTACATTTCTTTTGTTCCCTGTGCTATTGTTGTTATATCTAAGAAATTATTGCCATATCATGAATTTCTCCCATGTTTATTCTTTTTTTTTTTTTTGAGATGGAGTCTTGCTCTGTCGCCCAGGCTGGAGTGCAGTGGCGTGATCTCGGCACACTGCAAGCTCCACCTCCCAGGTGCACACCGTTCTTTTGCCTCAGCCTCCCGAGTAGCTGGGACTACAGGCGCCCTGCTACCACGCCTGGCTAATTTTTTTTGTATTTTTTAGTGGAGATGGGGTTTCACCATGTTAGCCAGTATGGTCTCGATCTCCTGACCTCGTGATCCGCCCGCCTCAGCCTCCCAAAGGCCTTGGGATTACAGGTGTGAGCCACCGTGCCCGACCTCCATGTTTATTCTTAACAATTTTGTAGTTTTAGCTCCTATGTTTAGACTTTTTATCAATTTTCAGTTAATTTTTGTCTATGCTGTAAAGATCCAACTTCATATTTTTGCATGTGTATATCTAGTTTTCCCAACACTATTTCTTGTAAAGTCCTCTTTTCTTTCAGTGGTTTTAGCGTGATTATCAAAAGTAATTTGGTCATACATGAGACAGTTTATTTCTGGGCTCTCTATCCTATTCTATTGTACCTCACTGTGTGGTATACCAGTAACACACTGTTTTGAGTATTTTAGCTTTGTAGTATATTTTGAAATCAGAAAATTTGAGACATCTGACTTTGTTTTTCATTTATAATATTTATTTTACAAGAATATTTAGGCTGTTTGGTGTCCTTTAGTATTCTACATTAATTTTAGAATAGATTTTTCTATTTCTGCAAATAGAATGCTTTGGGTAGTACTGACATCTCAAAAATATCAAATTTTCAAACCCCAGAAGACAGACTATCTTTCTATTTATCTGCATCTTCTTTAATTTTCTCAGCAACATATTGTAGTTTTCAGTGCATGTCTTTTGCCTCTGTAGTCAAATGTATACTTTTTTTTTTTTTTTCGAGACAGAGTCTCACTCTGTTGCCCAGGCTGGAGTGCAGTGGCAGGATCTTGACTCACTGCAAGCTCTGCCTCCCGGGTTCACGCCATTCTCCTGCCTCAGCCTCCTGAGTAGCTGGGACTACAGGCGCCCACCACCATGCCTGGCTAATTTTTGTATTTTTAGTAGAGATGGGTTTTCACTGTGTTAGCCAGGATGGTCTCGATCTCCTGACCTCGTGATCCACCTGCCTCGGCTTCCCAAAGTGCTGGGGTTAAAGGCATGAGCCACCGTGCCTGGCCAGTCAAATGTATTCTTATGTATTTTGTTTGATTTTAATGCTATTGTAAATATTGTGGGCATGCATATGCATACAAACACATTTATACATATGTAATATAATATATGAATATATTATAGTATAATATATAATATATAATAAAATATATACTATAATTATAATATATATTACAAATTATATTATATAAATTATGTTATGATCACAACAGTTAATATCCAATTATATTTATCCGTGTATTTTTTCTTTTTTCTTGCTCCTTATTTTTTCCTTTGTTTACCTCTATCTTAGATCGTTTTTCTTTTTCTTAAAGATCCCACTTGAGATCTTTTGTATCTGTCTAAAAATATCTTTATTACAACTTATGTTTTGAATATTTTATATTATAAAATTATATATAATATGATTAAGTTGTATTATAATCATAATTATATGTGTTATAATTTTATATAACATATAATATATCTTATATGTGATATATGGTATATATAATATATAATATAAATATATATAAATTATACATACATATATTTATATATAAATTATATACACATATATAAATATATAATTATATATTATAATTATATAAATATATAATTATATATTATAATTATATAAATATATAATTATATATTATAATTATATAAATATATAATTATATATTATATTTTATATATAATTATAGGATATAAATATATTATATTATATATGTACGTAAATATACAGAGATATTTACTCATGAATTATATCAATATTTTCTTTGTTTTATATATTTTAAATCTATATTATAAGGTATAGTTAAGTTTTTTATGTTATTTTATTCTCATAGATTAATCCTTTGCCATAGTAAAATATTCTACTTAGTGTATGCTATATGCTTCTTGTCTTAAAATCCGTTTTTCCTCCTTTCAGATTTTAGAGTAATGATTTAGCTTTTTTTTTTCTTTTCTTGGGATAGGTTTTGTTCTGTCTCAGTCACCCAGGCAATCTGGAGTGCTGTGGCACATGATCATATGATCATAGCTCACTGCAATCTCAAACTCCCATGCTAAAGTGATCCTTCTGCCTCAGTCTCCTAATAGCCTGGATTACTGAAGCATGCCACCACACCCAGCTGAGCTTGTTTTCAGTTACTCTGCATGCTACCTTTTCTTTTATCTTTTGCTTTCAAGTTTTTCCCACAGTTATATTTAAGATGTTTTTCTGGTTATCAGCATATAATTTTTTAAAAATTTAGTCAGTTGCTGGTATTAATTTTGATATTTAATTATATTACATTTAGTGTAATTTCTTTTTTATGTAGCTAGTATATCTATTTATTTCATGTTTCATCCACTATTCTATTTGTTTTACATTTTATCATTGTCTGTACTTTTTCTTGCCTCCTTTGGGTTAAACCCTACTAATTTTTTAGATGTTGATTATTTTACTATTTCTTTATTGTTTACCATAGTTTACATTATACTTCAAATTATTAAATTGTCATGTAAATCAGGACTGTTAGCACTTTGCAGACACTTTATTTCTCTAATATCTTTTTACATATTGTTATTGTTGTCATTTAAATCTACTTATATTTAAACACCATGCAACATCATCGTTATCGTCACAACAGTTAATATCCAATTATATTTATCCAAGTATTTTTTTCTTTTTTCTTGATCCTTATTCTTTCCTTTGTTTACCTCTATCTTAGATCGTTTTTCTTTTTCCTAAAGATCCTATTTGAGGTCTTTTGTATCTGTCTAAAAATATCTTCATTTCAACTTATTTTTTTTGAAGCACATTATTTTTGGTTTGTTATAGTAAAATAATTGTTAGGAGTTTTTTTATTGCTCTGTAAAGCATTTTTACAATTGACATTGGGCTTTCTTCTCTCTCTCCTCTCTCTGTCTCTCTCTGTGTGTGTGTATGTGTGTGTTTGAATTTGCTATTAGTATTATAGATAGCACTTTATAAGCAGTGCTCCTTTTTTCTTTGGTTGATTTTTAAAGATTTTGTATTTGTTTTTGACAATCAAGATTTTTACATAATTTGTCTAAATTTTTTGGGTTTTTTTTTTGCTCTGTTTTATTTTGCCCCATATTTATATCACTTTTTGAATCTGTGGCATGTTTTAAGTCAGTTTTGGAAAACATGCATATCTCTTCAAGTTTTCTGTTCTCCTTCCTATTTCTTCTCCTCCTTCAAAAATGAGGGTACTTTAATTTTTTTTTAACTTTATCTCATGTTCTCTTTGGTGGTTTCTTGTATTTTCTGTTTGGATTATTTACATAACAGCTTTGTGAAGTTTACAAGTTGCCAAATAACTTGAAAGAAATATCAGTACAGGTATGTAAACTTCTCTTTCTTTTTTTTATTTGAGATGATGGTATTTTGCTTTTTGCCCAAAATGCTCTCAAATAATTGTATCCATTTTTTTTGGTTATACTTAGTGGGAAGATTGGTTTAAACCATTAAAGTCTAAAGCTAAATTTCTACTTGCTAAATTCATGCCATATAACCAACCCACATAAAAAATACAACAACAACAACAACAAAAAATCATTTTCAACAAATAAAAATACTCTTATGCCCCCTCCCATGGAGCTACCACCAAAGAGTCATCTGTATACTGGCTTGTAAATTACGTAGTTATTTTGTCTGTTTTTTAATTGAGGTCATATGCAACCATATATTAAAATGGCTGAGGTTGATGTATTTACTCAATATTATATTTGTCATTCGTTCATATTTTTATATGTGATTCTAGATAATTCTCAGTGTTGTAGTCTCTTTTATTATTTAAATGTAGCACAATTTGTTTTTCATTCCCCTGTTGGTGGACAGCTGGGTGGTTTTTCGTATATTTTGACTATTTTGTATAATGTTGCTATAAAAATTATTATATGTGTCTTTTGATGAGTATAAGTATATAATTTTCTTGGTTATATTCCACTTAGTGGTAGAATTACTGAGTCATAGAATATATAAATAATTGAATTTAATAATTAATAATACCACCAGAGAGGTTTCTAGTGCTTTTACCAATTTACCTTAACAGTTTAGTATTGTTATAAAGTTTTACAAGGATGCTTCAGATCTTTGCCAACATTTGGTTTTGTTGGTCACTTTATTATTGGTCATTCTGGTGTGTTTCTAGTAGTATTTTTTGTGACTGACATTGCATTTTCCTGAGGACTAATGAAGGTAAAAAAATCATATGTTTATGTACAATTCGGATACATATTTAGAGTGTCATGTCTCAGTCTAATATATTTTTACCTTTTATTCTCCTCCAAAATTCATAATCTTCAACAATTGATTCTTCTAGTATCAATGTTTGTTGGTATTTTGTGAAGGGAGAAAGGAAGATTAATTTTCCCCCTCTGTTGATATACATTTGATCCATAAGCACTTGTTGGAAAAAGATCTTTTCTTTACTGCACTATAGTAATAGTTTTGTCATAACTTAGGAGACCATATGCTTTGGTCTATTTTTAGACCTTATAGTTTTTCCAATAATTTATTCTTGTGTTATTGCATC
Source organism: Homo sapiens (assembly GCF_000001405.40). Taxonomy (NCBI): domain Eukaryota; kingdom Metazoa; phylum Chordata; class Mammalia; order Primates; family Hominidae; genus Homo; species Homo sapiens. The sequence goes on along the minus strand of NC_000001.11, from coordinate 105,371,390 downwards.
ATTTATTCTCTATATTAATTGATAGAGTTTCATAAAAGTTTTGATCTCTGATAGAGCGAATTCTCTAAACTTGTTATTCTTATTATATATTGGCTGGAATATCTTAGCCCCTGGTTATTTTAGCTTTAGTAGTAAAATCACCTTTTCAACTTACATAAAACTATCCTTCTGGGATTTTAATTGTTGTTTTATTGAACCTATGAATAAATTTGAAGATAATTGAATATTTATAATATTGAGTCTTCTCAACATGCTATATATAGTTCTCCTTTTACTTATCCCCGTTTATTTTTTCTTGAAGATGCTTTTCGGTTTTAGTGTAGAAGAATCAGTAATAACATTCACAGCTTTTTGGTATTTTTATTTAATTGTAAATGATATTACCTTTATAATGTTATGTTTTTCCATTTGGCTAATGTATTGAAGTGTAATAAATTTTTGCGTATTCACCTTGCGTCTGTTGGCCTTTATACACATGTAATAATGCTAATATTTTGTTCATAAATTCTTTTAGATTTTCTTCTCTGTTTACCAGTCTATTCATGAAAATGGAGACCACATCTCTTATTTAAAAAAATTGATTATAGGTTTTTACTTAAATAAATATGGGAAGTCAGAAGACTCTAGAGATACTAGATGATACAGTTTGGCTCTGCGTCCCCACCCAAATCTCATTTCAAATTGTAATACCCACATGTTGAGGGAGGGACCTGGTAGGCGGTGATTGGATAGTGGGAGCAGTTTCCTCCAGGCTGTTCTCATGATAGTGAGTGAGTTCTCATGAGATTTGATGGTTTAAAAGTGTGGCACTTCCCCCAACATTCCCCCTTCACTGCAGCATTGCAAAGAAGGTGCTTGCCGCTTCTTAAACTTCCGCCATGATTGTTAAGTTTCCTGTAGCCTCCCAAGCCATGCAGAAGTGACAGTCAATTAAACCTCTTTCTTTATAAATTACCCAGTCTCAGGTAGTTGTTGTAGCAGTGTAAGAATGGGCTAATACACGAAGATAGTAACTGCAAAACACAACAAAAATACATAAGATAGTGGGAACAAAGAAAATAGATTGTTTAAATATAAATTATTATTTTTAAAAAATTTAGCTTTATGGATTCTTATATGTGATTTTTCTAGTTATATTTTAATTTTTGAAATTTTATGGCCTCTTTTTACTGCATTCGCTTTTATTTTTTCCAAGTTTTTGAGATATTAAAGTGTCCTTGATTTATTTTCTAATTTTCTAACTTAGAGTTTTATATAATTCATATTACAAAGTGTAATTGTATCTCCAAGCATGACTTTAGTTTTATTCCCTGATGTTTTGTCATTTATTTATTTATTTTTGACATAAAATCTCCCTCTGATGCCCAGACTGGAGTGAATTGGTGGGATCACAGCTCACTGTATCCTTGACCTCCTGGGCTCAGGAAATCCTCTTACCTCAACCACTCCTGGCTAATGTGTGTGTGTGTGTGTGTGTGTGTGTGTGTGTGTGTGTGTGTGTGTGTGTGTGTGTAAAGACAGGATTTCACCATGTTGCCCAGGCTGGTCTCAAACTCCTGCGCTCGAGTGATCTGCCCTCATCGGCCTCCCAAAGTGCTGGAATTACAAGCCTGAGCTATCAGGCCTAGCCCTGATGTTTTGACATTTAGTTTTTATATTAACATCAAGTTAGTATTTACTGACTTTGATCATTTTTATTTCTTAATTTCTAAAACATTGTGACTTTCTAGGTTGTTTGTTTTAAATTTTTAAGCTTAATTCAATTTTGGCTATTGAAATTCATCTAAATTATTTCAATACTTTGACATTTTTTGAGGCAATTAAATTTGGAAAATATACCATGTGCATTTTCAGATAATATATAGTCTGTGGCTTCAGTGTTCTATATGCAAAAGGAGGACAAACTTGTTAATCATTCTTTTCAGATCATCCATTCACTTGCTAATTTTTATTGGCTTATTTTTTAATTATTAAAGAGGTATGTTAAAATTTTTACTATAATTGTTGGTTTGACTGCTTTATTTGTTTTGTCAGAGTTTGATTCGTACCTTTCAAGGCTATACTGACAGCTATGTACACATTTAAAATAGCTTTATTTCCCCATTTAATTGATTATTTTATTACTTTACCACTAATTATCTCTAATATTGCCACTTAAAAGGTACTTTCTCTGGTATTGAATTTCCCCAATCCTACTTTTTCTTTTCTCTACTTTTTCTCTACTTTTTAAAACAAATAAATCATAGTTATTTTAATGTCTCTCATTACTAAATCTAATGTCTAGATCACCCATGGCTCTATTATTATTTTCATTTAATTTTTTAAATCCTGGTTTTAAATAATACTTTCTTGTCTCTTGATATACCTAGTAATTTTCTTTGGAATTCTAATTAGCTAACAAATTGTAGAGATTGCCATGCTGTCTTTTTCTAGAGAGGTTTACCCAGCCAGGCAGCTAGAGGAGGGGATATTAACTTTCATTCAGTTAGGGACTGAGGTGAATTGAGACTGGTTTGCAAATTTACTAAATCTCTGCCTACCTAAATTGTAGCTCTCCAGTGATTAAAAGCTGAAAGCCTAATTTGTGGACATTGGCCATTCGTTTGGCAAGTACTGATCTATAATCCTTGCCTCTGTGGCATGTGAGCCTGCCAACAATAATGCTCTGCTCTTCAGAAGCAGTTTGCTGTTTTTTTTTTTTTTTTTTTTTTTTGTCTTCCAGAAGCAGCCCTTTCCCAGACTAAAGCTGTACTATGGTTCCATCCCCATAACTGTCAAATATACTTAGGGAAAACACAGCTGCAGTCTGCTCATGTGCCTGCAATTACCCGCTCTCCAGAATCTTAGGTTCCAAAGCTTGATGCTTCAATATCATCGTAGGATTGTTCTTAAATCGTATGGCTTTTTAAGTAGTTCTAAGATGGCCTATCCATCAGAATTAAAAATCAACATCCTCTTTCCAGGATTCGTTTTTATGTAACAAAAATATACATACTTTAAAAATATTGTCTGATAACAATTTTAATACAAAAGTATAAGACAAAATATGTTTTCCACTGTCATCAATTAGCAATGAAGATCATTTGCAATAATATAAATTAGTTTTCTCTGATTTTTTTTCTCTATGGATGAATATTATCACAGATAGACTTGAATTCAAATGCTCTTGCAAGTGAAAATGGTCAAATTAAAATGGCTTATGCAAACCAGGAATATGTTAGCTCTTCTATATATACGGTGAAAGAGGTTATCTGTTTATTGCCTGGCTAGGGCCAGGCAATACATGGTTGAAAAGATTCTGTATTTCTCCGTCCACCTCTGGACTTTGTTCACTGTTTTTCTCTTTCAGTGCTAACATCATGTTATTTATTTATTTTTTTACTTCAGCTGGCTTATAAAAGTAAGTTGGTTTTATTCTTTTAATTGACAATAATTTTCCATATTCATGGGGTACATAGTGATGTTTGGATACATAAAATGTATAATGATCAGATCAGAATAATTAGCATATCCATTACCTCAAACATTTATCATTGCTTTGTGTTGGGAACCGTCAATATCCTCTTTCTAGTTATTTGAAACTATATATTATTGTTAACTAGAGTCATGCTACTGGGGTATAGAACACTGGAACTTATTCTTCCAATCTAGCTGTAATTTGTATGCTTTAAAAAAGCTCTCCCTATCCCACTCTTTACCTATTCTTCTAGTCTCTAATATCCTCTCTTCTACTTTTTACTGTTATAAGATCAACTTTTTTAGCTTTCACATATGAGTGAGAATATGCCCTTTTTAACATTGTTTCTGGGTTATTTCACTTAACAGAATATCCTCCAGTTTCATTCATCTCTCTGTAAATTACAGAATTTTATTCTTTTTTTATGTCTGAATAGTGTCTCATTGTATATATATCCCACATTTTCTTTACCCATTTATCTGCTATTTGACGCTTAGTCTGATTCCATATTTAACTATTATGAAATAGTACTGCATTTCCTAGATAGTTTATTGTCCTTCTTACTAGTTAAATACAACTATGGTACTTCTAGCCTTAAAGCTTTTGACCCAGAAAGAATGACAGTACTACATACGTCTATCTACCACACAAACCTCATAGGACAAAAAAACTAATTTTCTCTAAGTCACAGGGAGTTGGGCAATATGTTTGGCTATTCTTTGCACCCTTCATTCTTTCGAGCATACAGTTGGCATGACAATGTAATTAAAGCTTCCAATTTAATCACATGGAAGAGGGTAAAAGAAGTTTCTCATTTGAGAGTGTTGGGTAGGGATATAAAACAGATGGCCACGGTATCTGTTCAGAATTCTTTGTTATTTGCAACTATTCAATATATGCTTATCCCTGATCATTAAATTCTAACTACTCTTTATGTTATAGAAACATTTTTTTAACTTTAAAACTCATTTTCTCTGATTCCTCCACGCATAGTGTTTAGTCACTCACGATCAACCCACTAGCACTTTTCAAAAAGCGTCATGATAGTCAACAAATCTGTGAGTCTGCACAAGTTCTAGAACACCTAATAGTTCTGTCCATATGAAAAATACATGCATCTACTCATCTGTGAATTTCTTCCTTAGCCTACTGAGGATATTTAAGTACTTTCATGTAACTTTGTTTAAATCTTTAAGCCTTTGTACACTTGCCTTCATACTTGTTAGACTATAATCTATGTATTAAACATTGTGTTAGATTCTGGCAATGGTTAAGAAAATACAAATGATTTACTTTAAAAGAATCATGTCAGATAGAGAGATTAATATTTTTAAGCAACCATTATATAGTACTGTGAATATATAGTGACATAAATATGAAGAATAAATTATGTGAGAACAAATAAGAGACATTAAGCCTTATTTCAGAGAAGGTGGCTAGAAAGAGATTAATCTCAAAGAATGTGAGATGAGACAGAGTTTAGTCTTAAGCTCCATAGGAAGGCAAAAAAAATAGTACATTGTGCACTTTTCGTAGAGGCAAAGGAAAAAAGTAATATGCAATTAATAAACACATTCACAGTTTCTTAAATTTTGTGTTTTCAACAGAGAATAATGAATAATGTCATAGGCAGGAGCATATAAACAGCTAGTGTGATGGTTCTTCGGAGTATAGAATTCCAGTACAGAAATCATTTACTCTTATTATTTGAATAACGTTGTTTCAGTGCTTTATTTTTGCTATTCATATATAGTGCTCTTCTGATTACTGATGTTTTGTATGTGATACTTGTTTCTTCTCATATAAATTTTTTGATTGTCAATTATTTCCAAGTTTTCTATAATATCACAAAGATGCCCTTGGTGTGATTTATTTGTTTATAAGACAAGTCACACGTAAGTGTCCTGGACTGCTCTTCTCATTTTACTCACTAACCTCTACTATTTTATAACACAGCTTTTCTATCTACTTTCTCCAAAAAGTCGTAGGCTTTATTTTGAAATATTTCTTTCAAATTTGTATGGACTAATAGTATTCTTAATTTCCAATAGTTCTTTCTGTGGGTTGGAATGTTCACTTTTTTGAGGTGTATCTTATCTTTGATTCAAAAATGTAAATTTGTATTTATCTCTGTATGTTAACTGTGGTAATTATATTTTTTAAATGTTCTTCTGCTTCTTGAATTTATTTGTCTTTTTCCCAAAATCTTTATTTTTCTTTCTTATATACTTTTTTCTCTTTTATAATGGAACCCCCTTTTAATGGTTAAATACATGATTTTTTGGTTATTCCCCGTAGTTAATAATAAATGAATTTAATGCTGGAAAGATTTTCTGTATAAATTGATAGACCTAGGAAATTATTAGAACTTTGAAATGATATTTAGGCAAGAATCAGGCTGCTTCTTTAAGGACTTCCAGGAATCAAAAGGAATTTATTTGAATCAGGAACCTACCCAGAGAAAATTATCCAATATCTCCCTAGGGCAAGGTATGAGCTGATAGGGAAAAGTGAGGATAAATATAGTAGCTTACCATCTCATCCTATAATATCCAGGTATCCACTGCATTTCTCAGTGAGCAAGGGTCATATCAGCATGCAGCTGATTTTAGAGATATTCTGTATTAACATTTCCAAATAGTAAGACCTGTGTCTCCTGCTGAGGTGTTAGTCAGTTGCTGGCTCTGCAGATAGAGGAAAAGATTCAAGGAGTCTCACTAGGCATTTTGTAGATTTCTGTTTTCAGCTTCACCAAAACTTTAGCCTTCAGAGGTAACTGATGTTATCAATTCCTGAATCTTTGTGAAAAACTGTATTGCCAGTTTCTTTGTTTCTTGTTTTCTTCCTTTGAGGGTATTTAATCAAATAAAGTAAAAATGCAATTATTGAGAATTTCTTACCTAATTTTTCATCACATTGCTATGAGCAATATAGTTGATCTGTAGAAATCTTGATGCTGAATTAATATACCACTCCTTCTACTTCAAAATATATTTCATATAATTTTAAAAGTTTACAATATAAATTGATCGTTTTAAATTTGCTGGTTTGCTCTATGAATACTTTGTAGAAGATTATTAGGTAAGTATAGTATCTTGAATCATTGGCAAAAATAATTGAAGTGGTTATTTCATTTAAAGTATGTTTGAGATCCTATAACTCATTTGGGAGTTCAAGCTTATGAGAGACCCTGTAGCACTGTGTTTGGGAGCTAGACATGTTTAATTGACATTGGCCTATTGTTTATTTAAAATAGGTTTAAAAATATTTTAAATTTGCTCTATATATTGTTTTAAAAATTTGCAAAAAATAAGATTGTATTTTAGTTTTGTTGGTCTTTTTCTTTCTTTCTGAGTGAGGACCACATGTTTGCCACAGAAAGTCAGAAAATAATATTCAAAATAAAATTTGCACTCCAAGTGTGAAACCTGCGAGGTGGAGTTTTAAAAACTATCTATAACATATCTAATTCATTTATATTTTAATTTTAATCTATCAATGTCAAATAAAATAAATTATTTCAGTTTCAATTTCTAATGGTCTTAACAAGCTTCTGAGTGCTGAACTAAGAATTGTGTCATGCTGTGTGGTGATGGTCTCCAGAATTAACACAGCTGCCAGTATTTCATTATTCTTAAAAAAAAAATTACTATATTACACAAACTAAATATCTGTAGTTTAGGCATTGAAGCAAGTTCGTCAAAATAAATATATTTATTATTAGAAAAAAATCACATATAACTGAATATATTATAGAAATAATATTTTCAGTCAAGTAAAATCCATACTTAAAAATGAATTAGATCAGATGATTATGTATATAAACACTGGTAGAAAACTAAACATGTTTACTCAATAATCAGAAACAGTTTATGTATGGAGTAACAGACAGCGAAAGTCACTACACTTGCAAAACATTTGAAACTGTTTAGCACCCATCTTTAAATTTCATATTTGAGGGATAGAAGGAGAGCAATTACGGAAAGGCTATGTGCGGTGCAAATACCAAACAATGAAGTATACGATGTGCTATAGAGTGTGAGTTCTGAATTTTGGGGGAATGTATTATAGTTCAATTCATGACAATTATGTTACTGACAGTGAAATTAACATAGGGTTTAGGAACATATGGCCATTGAAATGTTACTTTAATGACTCTTTCAATGTAAATACAAGTAGTGGTCAAATCTTCAAGTCCTTGAATGTTAGCAGAACACCAACAAGTTAAAAAGAGAAATAGTAAAATAAAATTTAAAATGAAGGCCTATTCTTTGATATGGAATCTCTGGCTGGTTAGCTGAATTAGAATAGCATACCAGTCAGTTTAAAATTCAGTATGCATACCACCAACAGTGGTAGTTGGCTTCACTTTGTTTTGTGACTATGAATGCATCTGTTACATGAGAAAAGGGCAATTTCTACCTTATTTACCATTAGGTCTCTAGCACCTATATTGTGTGGACACATGGTGACTGTCCAGTGTCATGTGGATCAGTAAAAGACTGGGTGGATTAATTCATATCCTCAGACAAAAGAGAACAGATGATGTGCACAACTCAAACCTATTGACGACTACTTTGCATAAATTGAGCAGAACCTAAATCAGAGCAACATCTTTTTTATTCAAAAGACAATGCTTCATGCCATTGTATAAGACAGAAGAATTCATAATAAAAAGTGTTCTAATGAAGAAAAGAGTGAATGCACATTTCCCAGAATTCATTGATATAAATAAGAAAACAATGTATGTTTCACTTTTAAAAGAGTTCATAAAAATTTTTATTTATAACAGTATTTTGGAGAATAAAACAATTATTGATGTTTTAAAGGACAGTGGAATTTTGTCCCAAAATTTAATTATGAATAAATAGCAAAGGATATTATCTTAGCAGGCTGGCTAAACAGCCAAGACTATGCACTGTCTGATCTATCCCGGCATCTAGAGAAAATGAGCTTGACAGATTGTCAATATGGTAATTATATAGAATATTCTCATAGACCGTCTATTTTTTATTTGAATAATTTTATACCTCAGCAATAAAGCTTCTGCATATATAGGATATACTAGTCCATTCTGCATTTCTATAAAGGAATTACCAAGTCTGGATAACTTATAAAGAAAAGAGATTTATTTTGTCTCAGGGTTCTGCAAGCTGTACAAGAAGCATGGTGTCAGCACCTGCTTGGCTTCTGGTGAGGCCTCAGGAAGCTTTTAGTCATGACTCATGGGACGGGGAGCTGGCATGTTACATAGCAAGAGAGGAAGCAAGGGAGATGCCAGTCTCCTTTAAACAACCAGCTCTTGAATGAACTAACAGAGTGAGAATGCACTCATTACCATAATAATAACACCAAGCCATTCCTGAGGGATCCACATCCTTCACCTCCCACTAGGCTCCACCTCCAACACTGGGGATCACATTTTAACACTGAAATTTGGAGAAGACAAATATTCAAACTATATAATGGGGTTAATTATAATATGTGTCATTTAAGTTATTACAATTATGAATATTCATATATAAATTATAACAAATTAAGTCTTAACTAGAATATTTATATAAATACTGTATAACAAAGTGCTATAATTTGATAAGTCATATACACATACATATATACTTACATACATATAAGCATATGTATATACATATATACATATCTTATATACATATAAGCATATATGTATACATATATACATATACTTATATACATAAAAGCATATATGTATAAACAAGAGAAACTTGTATAAACAAGAGAAACTAAATGAAGAAGAAAAGTATGAAGTATAAAAGTTTTTAAAAAACAATTTTTTTGGCCGGGCGCGGTGTCTCACGCCTGTAATCCCAGCACTTTGGGAGGCCGAGGCGGGCGGATCACGAGGTCAGGAGATCGAGACCATCCCGGCTAAAATGGTGAAACCCCGTCTCTACTAAAAATACAAAAAATTAGCCGGGCGTAGTGGCGGGCGCCTGTAGTCCCAGCTACTTGGGAGGCTGAGGCAGGAGAATGGCGTGAACCCGGGAGGCGGAGCTTGCAGTGAGCCGAGATCCCGCCACTGCACTCCAGCCTGGGCGACAGAGCGAGACTCCGTCTCAAAAAAAAAAAAAAAAAAAAAAAAAACCAATTTTTTTTTACTTTGTTTTTTTTCAATAGGCTGGCTTGTAACATATCTTATATACATATAAGCATATATATGTATACATATATACATATACTTATATACATAAAAGTATATATGTATAAACAAGAGAAACTTGTATAAACAAGAGAAACTAAATGAAGAAGAAAAGTATGAAGTATAATAGTTTTTAAAAAACAATTTTTTTTTTACTTTGTTTTTTTTCAATAGGCTGGCTTGTAATAGTAAAAACGTATTCGTTAACACATATTTTTCCTTTTACTCTAAAATAAAAATAAATATAATTAAATGGCTACCATGTTGCAATTAATATGTAAATAAGTAACAAATAAACTGAATCTAGGAGCAGAATTTAAAGTGGTAATTTACATTAGGAAACACTAAAAGTGAAATAAATATCAGAGTGATTAGTACTGGAAGTAAAACTAGTGTCAAGACCAGGATTATAAAATTAGAAACGGAATAGTAGTTTTTGTGTTTTTTAACTTTTCAAATGGAAATAAATTGATGAGATTTTCTTCTAAGCTTCATATGCCAAATATTACACATTTCAGATTTTTATTCCTCACACTCACCTCTTTACACTTTTAACAGTGATCCAAAAGAAGCACTATGAGCACAGAGAGTTTCACTTTGAAATAACATAAAGTAAAATAATTTTACTTATTTCTGCCTAATATAAACCTCATATGAACGATGATGAAGAATGTTTATAATAAGAACAAAGAAAACCCTTCTTTGCCTTATGCCATTTTAAAAGTCTATTATTGGGAAAATAAAATCATATTGAGGAATCGCATCATTACATCAGAAGAGCAAATTGTTGCTTTTTATGTCACCTGTACTGTAGAACATTTTGATTAACTACTGTAATTTGTTATACATTTACAATGTAAATGCTGAAACACTATTTAAAACCAGTTTTGTATATCTCTAATTGTCTAGGTTGGCTGTTTGAGCTTGACTTAGGTTCTTCAGAGTGGTTATGACAATCCAGAAGCTTGAGAATCATTGTCATACATATTTTGAATTTCTAATTTAAACATCAGACGGGTATGTTGACAAGATAATATTTCACATATAAATGTTTAGTATTATCTTATATAATTAGCAAAATGCAGAAATTAATATTTAGTCATTGGCATTTCTAAAGACTAAAGTTGTACTTTCAAAACATTTAAATTAAATGTCACCTTAACCTTCTATAAAAAGTTAATGACTAATTATTTTGTTAGGCAATAATATAATGTCTGCCGCACTTACATTATTGTTATTATTTTCTTTGAAAGCCTGGATCGATCATATTTGATATTGCAACACTCTCCATCAATGCATAAATTTCCTATGTGGTTTTCCTCTTAAAACATAATTCAATTTTCACTTAAATTTTCATACTATTGGGAACTTAAGTTATCCTGAATCACCCTCAGTTCTCTTTATGACAGGCAAAATTGTAGAAAGTTCTGTTTTATCTTATGGTATGTTATTTTATTTTATTTTTGAGCCAAGATGTATATAATGCTACACAAATCGCAGCAACTAGAAAATTCTACTTTTCCAATAAATATTTTTATATTATTGAGATAATCTTAGATCAAATTCAGCTTTCAAACAGCTTCATCAGTGTTTACTTGTTCTGAATTTAAAGTTCAACTAAAATCTCTCCATTGAAATTGAGGAAATTTATTCAATTGAAGTTGTCTCCCCATTCATTTCTTAAAGAAAACATATTATATTTTTATTACTTCGACTTTTATTCACTGTAAACTTTTTAAAGCCAAAGTAATAATGAGATGAGATATTGATACTTATTCTAGCTGAATATGTTTATTTTAGGTCTAAGTTATTGTGCTGTTTAATATTACTTTTCATAGCTGATGGAAGAATTTGTTTGAATTTTTAAAGCATTCAGTTCAATTTATACGTTATTTCAATGAAAAACATCATAACTATTCATTTTTGGAGAGAATGTGTAGATATATCAACTACGAATTGTAGTGTATACAAGTAGAACTTGTTGCCAAGTAACAAATACCTATTATCAGGGGGATGATACTATATCTTGAACACAGACAGAGCCAGGAAATGATCTCTGAGGAAAGGGATCAGTCACAAGTCTATCACAAAACTCCCATTACAAATGGTACAGGAAAATTAATGGCCTAGGTTTTCTGGCTTAATAGGTTTCAGTCCCTGTCTTCTGGAAAACATGCATTTCAATTTTATCTACTCTGAATCACTATGGCACTTAAAAAGATTAAGTATTATGGGGTCTACAGAATAGTAATTTAGAAATAAAAATTCCTTTTCCAGGAGCAGCCTGTCAAGTTGCTAACATTTAGTTAAGCTTTCACAGTTCTCAGAAAAGCTTTATGAGAAAATGAAGCTTGTAATTGTGGTAGTCACCTTAAACCATGCTTTGAATAATCTTCAGAGGCATTACCAGCTTCCCTCTAGATCAGGTAACTGGTGCTCAGATACATACACTATCATATATGCACAAATAAAATAAGTAATTAAGACATGTTGAGGTCATTTTTCATGAGAATTATTTTATGGGAGTAAATTCAAGTATAATTAAAATGTGCTTAATGTTATCTCCTGCCTATGAACAAGTATGAAATTTATATGAAAAAGATATAATACCTTACTCTAGCAATGTGGCCTCTGCATTATTTGAATTCCTTGCGTCATTTGCCCCTTTAATTTATCCATTCCAAAGATATTTATTGAGTGCCAAATGTCTGCCTTTCCAGTTTTAAACATGAGGAGTCACAATCATATATGCCAACAATTAAGCAATTATTATTCTTAATGTGGAAATGGTAGAAATATTTTCTTAAAAATCATAGCAAGATGATGATACACCTTTTTTAATTATACTTAACAATATAGTGGATTTTCTATTTTTAGCCAGTGAAAATAATGCCAGAAAATATATAAAATAATATAAGGAGGAAAAAGAAATAATCAAAATTCGCAAGCGATCATACTTTAATACTTTCAACTTATCTCAGAACATTTATTAGAATTGACAGAATCTACCAATAATGTTTGCTGTAAGTCCAAAGTACAAAAAACAGCAATTTAACACAGCACCAGTAAATATTCAGAAACTCAAATTCAATATAATTTTACAGTAATGAAACACTAAGCTATCTAGAAAAAAGATACTATAATGTATATAGGATTTTATAGAGAAAACATAAAACATTATTGAAGCCCATTAAGGTTTCCTAAATAAATTTTCTGATAAACTATGTTCATGATTGAATAGGCTTAGTATTGTAAATATGTAATTATCCTCAAATTTGTCAGTAAAATAATTGCAATTTGAATTAGCTTTTTAAAGTATTTTATGAGGATATTGATGCTAACATATTTTTGTGATAGAGGAAATGGAAATGAAAAACCAACATATTCTGGAATAAAAAACATAAACTGAGATCCTACCATGAGAGAGAGATCTGATATACCTACTTGATATTATAATAAAACTATTCTTAGAGACAGAGTGTGGTATTAAGGAAGAGATAAAAAAAATTTCTCAAGAGAATTTAGATCTAAAGAAACATTCTCAGCAAACTATCGCAAGGACAAAAAATTAAACACTGCATGTTCTCACTCATAGGTGGGAATTGAACAATGAGAACACATGGACACAGGAAGGGGAACATCACACAACGGGGCCTGTTGTGGGGTGGGGTGAGGGGGGAGGGATAGCATTAGAAGATATACCTAATGTTAAATGATGAGTTAATGAGTGCAGCACACCAACATGGCACATATATACATGTGTAACTAACCTGCACGTTGTGCACATGTACCCTAAAACTTAAAGTATAATTTAAAAAAAAGAAAATTTATATCTTAGAAATAAATCTCTTACATCCTAGATACAGAGAAAGCAGCTTTAAACATTTCTGGGGAAGAAAAGGCTATGCTAAAAATGATGGTGGGATAGTGTATTATTTTTATTGGAGGAAAAGAAAAAGAATGAAATAATCTCTTATGCTATATACATAAGTTAATTTCTGATAGATTAAATGTAAATGTTTTTTGTAAAGCTGCACAAATTTTAGCTATAGTAGTAATTATGTTTGTCTTTAGGTTATAATAAATAGGATTTCTCAAGATACAGAAAGTATGCATATTGCAGTAAATAATTGATAAATTTTACCACATAAATGTGAAAATATTTTGTTTATGAAAAGATATACCCAAGAGATATTTAAGCTGAAATTGGAAACTTTGCAATTTTTATGCCTAATAAAGGATTACTACCTAAAGTGTATAAATTACTTTATATACTTTAAGAGGAAAACCACATAGGAAATTTATGCATTGCTGGAGAGTGTTGCAATATCAAATATGATTGATCCAGGCTTTCAAAGAAAATAATAACAATAATGTAAGTGCTGCAGACATTATATTATTGCCTAACAAAATAATTAGTCATTAACTTTTTATAGAAGGTTAAGGTGGCATTTAATTTAAATGTTTTAAAAGTACAACTTTAGTTTTTAGAAATGCCAATGACTAAATATTAATTTCTGCACTTTAGGTAGTAATCCTTTATTAGGCATATATATATATATGTTTCTGAACATAAGAAAAAAATTAAAAATAACACAACTACAAAAAAATCTGATGAACAGATAGTTCAGAAAGTGAACCACAAATGATGAGAAATATATGAAAATGCATAAACCTAAGTAGGGAGCAGAAGTATGAAAATTAAGAGTAAACCTTAAATATCCCTAATCTGAAAATCCAAAATCCAAAATTTTCCAAAATCGTAATTTTTTGAGCACTGATATGATGCTCAAAGGAAGTTCTCGTTGAGTCGTTTCAACTTTCGGGCTTTTAGATGAAGGATGCTTAACTGGTATAATGCAAATATTACAGAATTTGAAAAAAAATTGAAATCCGAAACACTTCAGGTTCTAAGTATTTCCAACATGGGGTACTCAAATTTATACATTGAGATACTACTACATCACAAACAGTAGACGGCCCCAAATAAAGAAGTTTGTAAACATAATATAATGGAAAGGATATAGAAATTTTACACACTACTGAAGTCTAACTTGGATAATATTTTAGGAAACTAGTTGACATCGTCTAAAGTTAGAAGTAAACCACAAACTTTTTTTTTTTTTTGGAGACGGTGTCTTGCTTTGTCTTCCAGGCTGGAGTGCAGTGGCGTGATCACGGCTCACTGCAAGCTCCGCCTCCTGGGTTCACTCCATTCTCCTGCCTCAGCCTCCCGAGTAGCTGGGACTACAGGTGCCCCCCACCATGCCCGGCTATTTTTTTATATATTTTCAGTAGAGACGGGGTTTCACTGTGTTAGCCAGGATGGTCTCGATCTCCTGAGCTCCTGATCCACCTGCCTCCACCTCCCATAGTGCTGGGATTACAGGCGTGAGCCACTGAGCCCAGCCAACACCAAACTTTAATGAGTTTTTTTTGGAGAAACTCATTTATCTATTAAACATATTCATTGCAGAATTTTTTGCAGTGAAAACTCTTCAAACAAATGGAAGATTATCAACAAACTATAATAGATTACCACAAGGAAATAGAGCACAGCATTAGAAGTAAAAGAACTGCAAGTACACCAGTGACATGGCTGAATTCCTAAAAAATAAGGTTCAGCAAACTATATTTTTAAAGATTATTAGTGCATTATATTATTTGACAAACTGAAAAACAAGCAAAACTAAATAATACAGGATTTAAGACATACATACTCATGTAGCAAAAATGTGTTTACAAAGGAAAGAAAAGGAGTGAGGCAGGGAGGTGGAAAGAGATTTAAGCACATACATTGTTAGGCTGAGGTTATTGGGATGGGTAGGTAAGATTATAATTACGTTGGATAGTAGTTTGGCGATTATTGTCTTATTTCAATGCCTTACTGTTTCTATGTCCTATTTATTATTTTTATGTACCAAATATCAAATGTCAATTTTTTAAAAAAGGTATCATTATCACATAAGCTGTACATAGATACATTCTGGGATTGGACAGGTTGCAATTAAAGCAAAGAAATTTCAGGTTTTTTTTTTTTTTTTTTGACACGGTCTCACTGTCTCCCAGGCTGGAGT
This sequence comes from Homo sapiens, assembly GCF_000001405.40. Lineage (NCBI taxonomy): Eukaryota > Metazoa > Chordata > Mammalia > Primates > Hominidae > Homo > Homo sapiens. The sequence continues at coordinate 105,355,681 of NC_000001.11, read as the reverse complement.
GCAGTGGGGTGATCTTGGTTCACTGCAACCTCTGTCTCTCAGGTTCAAATGATTCTCCTGTCTCAGTCTCCTGAGTATCTGGGAGCACACCACCACATCTGCCTAATTTTTACATTTTTAGTAGAGACAGGATTTCATCACATTGGCCACACTGGTCTCGAACTCCTAACCTCAAGTGATCTACCTGCCTCAGCCTCCCAAAGTGCTGAGATTACAGGTGTGAACCACCTCGCCCGGCCAATTTCAGGTTTATATAATCTGTGTGATTGTAAAAAACTGATATAATTGGAAAACAGAAGATACTCTCAATTTTAATAGCCTAACTATACTTTTTATATTCCTTCACAACACTATTTATTAAAAATTCTAAACCTGGCCAATAAAATAAACAAAATTATATATATGGCATGAATTATACTTACTTTTAAAAATCTTCAAATAATAAAAGCTTCCATAAATTATAAAATGTGATAATTCCTGTATATTATCTACTAAAACCATCATTCTTTTGGCCTTCATTCAAAGTCAATGTGACTTTGTTATAATACAGTGCATAGATTTGTAATGCTTGAAAGCAACAGAATCAACATATTTTTGACCAGAAGTCCCATAATCTTAATCATGACGCTTTATTATAGCCTAATTTAAAACACAACACACTGTTTTTGTTTAAGTGCAAATTGTTATCAAATTCTAGCACTGACAGCATCAACTCTTTCCAGTTTGTATTTGTTTGTTTTTAGTAGTTAGTTGTTTTCCTCAGTTTTTGTTGTCACAGGTAGCTTACATGTGCCAAAAAAAAAAAAAAAAAGCCAGAATATTACAATAGAATTTTAACGATAGTAACAAAAGGGAGGAAATGTTTGAATTGGGCTTTAGTCACCAATCAGTGTTGCTTTTGGAAACAAACAAACAAACACATATTAATTATAAAAGATGTGAACAGATGTTCAAAGCTGATCCATTGAAATCTCCTTAAAATGATACAGACCTTCCCTCTTACACAATGGATGCTGTCCAGAATTCTCTCGGAGACCCTGAAAAATGCATCTATTCGTATTGCTTATTATTTAGACTTCATCATTGTTTACAACCATTCAGTAATTCAATACTAGTCTCTAACTTGTCAAATTTCCTAACTAAATTTTAAGCCTGCTTTTAAAGTTGTCTCTGTGGGGACCTGCTTTGAACTGCAGAATTGGTATAAAGATTATTTTAAGCTGAACACATTTGGGATTCAACAGATGGAGAAAGAAGCCTTCTCAGAGCTTCCCTTATCTGACTAAATGCAGAAACTTCTGGGAAATGAGGCTGCCATCAATTTTCTTTTTGTGAGGGCTTTTACTCTCAGGAAAGAGAACACAGTAAATGTAACATAAAATCCCTTTCAAGGGTAGTTCTATGGCCTTGGAGAAAAGGGAAAGACGCTCACACTTGCATAAACAAGCATTATCAAAAACTTACTTATCTCCCAATTGTTCTAGAAACCGCTTTGTCTTTGCTAAAGAAATCTGTTAGTTCTCCACACGAAGGCCTGGTCTGCTGTCTCCCTTGTCTAAGTTGGCTCTCCCTACTAAGTTGGCTATATAAGCCACTAACTTCAACCACGTATCAAGCTACTGCTTTTCTAAACTCCTGTACACGTACCAATATTTTTCCTGTTAATCTTTTGTCGTTGTAGTTGGCAGCCACAATCACTAAGCCTAAGATATTAGAAGTTTTCTCTCCCCAATACCTCCTAACATTTATATTTCCTCATGTTTCCCTCCTTCCATTTCTACTTCAAAAGCATCAATTCACCATTTAATTGCCACTCATTTTAAATTCATTTTACTCCTTATTTATTGGATACTATTTTTATCAAATTTGAGGTAAACTAATGTAGAGTTAGAAACATATTTATGCTTCTTAACTTCCTAATACGAAATCATGCATTGGAAAAAAGAAATGGAATATAATTTCCTTCCATCTTATTTTTCTTTCTTTTTAAAATTTCCCTATATGATATTATTTCTACCTCATGTACTTTATGTATTGTCCACATAGAGGAGTTTATATATAATTTATATATAGGAGTTTATATACAGTTGTCTCAGTTAACATTTATTAAGATTTATCCATGCAGATAATGGTGTGTAAAAGACAATAAGACATAGTCCCTATCTTGCCAAACTCAATATTTAATCTTAGTAGACATATGCAGTAAATTAAATACATTATATGAGTATAATGTAATATACTATATATTACAGTGTTTAAGACTAGAAGATAAATAGTTCTGTTTCCAAAAACAATAAGATTTCTTCAAGCAGGTATTATTGAAATGGACCATTGAAAGATGAATAGGCATTGTAAGGAGACAAGATTAATTTGTCTCTCACCAGTGGCTACTATGAATCTGATTCACGTGACAAAGCAGTCAGTTCTGTATATTTTAATCTCCTTAACAGCAGAGTTATGTAATGCCTGCTATTAACTAGAGAACTAATAAGCCATTGCAACAGCATCTTCTTAAATTTTTACCTTAAATTTCCTTATATCCAAGATTGGGGTAGTAAAATTTACCTGGGTGATACTTAGGAAAACATTAGAAGTAAATATAATCATGATATCTTACATGATTACCCTATTTATCATTTTTGTACGTTATTACCAAATCAGATTTTTAATTGAAAATAATTGTTATGTAGATGTGTAAATAGGCTATATATTACAGGTTAGATTATCCTGACTAAATAAAGTTTATTTTCTTGAATTTACTTTTTATTTTAGTGATGCATTTTCATTTCCAAACAGTGAAGCAGGCTAATTCAGACTCTCCTGACTGGTACGCAAATTTAGAAATTATTCCATTTGAGTTCTTTATTTATTAGAATGATGCTATTCCTTAAATATTTTGCATATTGGCATTGAACAACTATAAGCCTAAGTAAACTTATAGTCTAAAAGTAAAATTATATTATTTTCAAAGAATATTTGACACATTTCACAGAAAAAGCTTAATAAAAAATATAAAATGATCCATGGGATTAAAAATTAATTTCTGAAGCCAAGAAATCATAAATCAATTGCAAAATATCAGTCTCTATGCCTAAACATATATATAGAATATAGGTATAACATAATAAATACCTGTACATGAAATGCATGAAAGAATAAATGCTTTCTGATTTTTCTCCTTTCACCAAAAGTTTTTAACAGAGATATGTGAACACTTATACAATTATTCAAATTTTGTTACTTTATGCCTTAACAACACGTTCCCAATTTTAAAATGTGTAGGAATTATAACTCAAAAATATAGTACTATATTTACCAGAAATATATACATCTATTATATTCTTTTAAAGTGAATATATATGTCTATGTGTGTGTCACTATAGTTTTCCTTACAGTTTAGTTTGACATATAATAAAAGATGATTATAAAAGTGAAAGATGATCTTATGTTTATTGGGGGAACCCCACCCCCAATACTTCAACATAGGTTCTCTCAATTTTCCGTACGTGTAGGCCAGCTGAGAAATAAAGAGAGACAGTACAAAGAGAGAAATTTTATAGCTGGACCGCCAGGGGTGACATCACATATTGGTAGGACAGTGAGGCCTACCTGAGTCTCAGACCAGCAAGTTTTTACTAAGAGTTCAAAAAGGGGAAGGGGTGTAAGAACAGGGAATAGGTACAAAGATCACATGCTTCAAAGGGCAAAAAGCAGAACTACTAGTAAGGGTCTAACAAAGATCACATGGTTCTGAGGGAACAGGACAAAGGGCAAAAGCAGAACTACTGATAAGGGTCCAACAAAGATCACAAGGCAAAGGGCAAAAGCAGAACCACTGATAAGGGTCTATGTTCAGCGGTGCACATATTGTCTTGATAAACATCTTAAACAATAGAAAACAGGGTTCCAGAGTAGAGAACCTGTCTGACCACAAATTTACCAGGGCGGAGTTTTTCCCCAGCCTAGTAAGCCTGAGGGTTCTGCAGGAGACCAGGGCGTATCTCAGTCCTTATCTCAACTGCATAAATAGACATTCCCAGAGTGGCCGTTTATAGACCTCCCCACAGGAATGCATTCCTTTCCCAGGGTATTCATATTAATATTCCTTGCTAGGAAAAGAATTGAGTGGTATCTTCCCTACTTGCACATCCGTTTATAGGCTCTGTGCAAGGAGAAAAATATGGCTCTTTTTGCCCAACCCTGCAAGCAGTCAGACCTTATGGTTGTCTTCCCTTGTTCCCTAAAAATTGCTGTTATTCTGTTCTTTTTCGAGGTGCACTGATTTCATATTGTTCAAACACACATGTTTTACAATCAATTTGTACAGTTAACACAATTATCACAGTGGTCCTGAGGTGATGTACATCCTCAGCTTATGAAGATAACAGGATTAAGAGATTAAAGTAAAGACAGGCATAAGAAATTAAAAATGTGTTATTTGGGAACTCATAAATGTCCATGAAATCTTTACAATTTATGTTCCTCTGACGTGGCTCCAGCTGGCCTCTCCATTCAGGGTCTCTGACTTCCTGCAACATATGTTTAAAAAGTATTGCCTAACTTCCACTTTAGGTCATCTCCATCTTTGAGAAATTGTGTTACTATTTAGCAAATATTTACTCCTTTTCACTCTCTGTCAGGACAGAAGATACTACTCTGACTCACTTTTAACTAACAAGATGTTAATAAACTGGTAAAAGCAGAGCAGTTTGATAAGCTCCTGAGCATGTGTGATATATCAGGAGCAGATTATTTTCTTTTTTTAATTTTAATTATTTTAACTTTTATTTTAGCTTTGGGGCTGCATGTGGAGGTTTGTTACATAGATAAACATGTGTCATGAGGTTTCTTGTAAATATTACTTTATCACCCACTTATTAAGCACAGTATCCAAGCATTATCTTTTCTGTATTTCTGTCTCCTCTCAACCACCCCCCATTGAGAAGACCTTAGTGTCTGTTGTTTTCTTTTTTGTGTCTGTTGTTTTCTTTTTTGTGTTCATAAGTTCTTATTATTTAGCTCCCACTTATAAGTGAGAACATGCAGTATTTGGTTTTCTCTTCCTGTGATAGTTTGCTAAGGATAATAGCCTCCAGCTCCATCCATGTTCTTGCAAAAGACATGATCTCATTATTTTGTGTGGCTGCAGAGTATTCCATGGTGTATATGTACCACATTCTCTTTAACCAATCTGCCTTTGATGGGCATTTAGATTAATTCCATGTCTTTGCTATTGTGAAGAGTGCTGCAATGAACATTCACATGCACATGTCTTTATGGTAGGATAATGTATATTTATCTGGTTATGTACCCAGTAATATGTACTGTGTCTAATTGTATTTCTTCTTTTAGCTTTTTGAGAAATTGCCACACTGCTTTCCACAATGGTTGAAATAATTTAGGTTCCCATCAATGGTGTACAAGTGTTTCCTTTTCTCTGCAACCTCACCAGCATCTGGTACTTTTTTGCTTTTTAATAATAGCCATTCTGACTGGTGTGAGATGGTACCTCACTGTGGTTTTGATTTGCATTTCTCTAATGATCACTGATATTGAGCTTTTCTTCACATGCATGTTGGCCACATTTGTGTCTTCTTTTGAGCAGTGTCTATTCATGTTATTTGCCCACTTTTTAATGGGTTGTTTTTCTCTTGTAAATTTAAGTTCCTTATAGATGTTGGATATTAGACATTTCTCAGATGCATAGTTTGCAAATATTTTTCCCATTTTGTAGGTTGTTTACTCTATTAATAGTTTATTTGACCATGCAGAATCTCTTAAGTTTAATTACATTCCACTTGTCAATTTGTGCTTTTGTTGTGATTGCTTTTGGTGTCTTAGTCATGAAATCTTTGTTCATTCCTGTTTCCAGGATGATATTGCCTCCCAGCGTTTTTGTAGTTTTGGGTTTTTCATTTAAGTCTTTAATCCATCTTGTGTTGATTTTTTTATATGGTGTAAGGAAGGTGTCCAGATTCAATCTTCTGCATATGGCTAACCAGTTATCCCAGTAAATGCTGGCACCATTTATTGAATAGGGAGTCTTTTCCTCATTGCCCGTTTTTGTCAGCTATGTTAAAGATCAGGTGATCGTAGATGTGTGTCCTTATTTCTGGTCTCTCTACTGTGTTCCCAATGTGGGACCTTATTTCTGGTCTCTCTACTGTGTTCCCAATGTGGTTTAGCTGTGTGTCCCTACCCAAATCTCATCTAAAATTGTAACCTTCCACGTGTAGAAGGAAGGACCTGGTGGAAGGTGATTGGATTATGGGGGGCAGTGTCTCTCATGCTGTTTTCATGATAGTGAGTGAGTTCTCATGTGATCTGATGGTTTAAAAGTGTGGCATTTCCCCTTCACCTTAGTCTCTCTCTCCCTCTCTCTCTCTCTCTCACTACCTTGTGAATAAAGCGCTTGCTTCCTCTTTGTCTTCTGGGATGATTATAAGTTTCCTGAGGCCTCCCCAGCCATGAAGAACTGTGGATCATTTAAACCTCTTCTCTTTGTAAATTACACAGTCTCTGGTAGTTCTTTATAGCAGTGTGAAAATGGACTAATACAATTCCATTGGCCTGTGTGCCTGTTTTTGTACCAGTACCATGCTGCTTTGGTTACTGTAGCATTGTAGTTTAGTTTGAAGTCAGGTAACATGATGCCTCCAGCATTGTTCATTTTGCTTAGGATTACTTTGGCTGTTAGGGCTCCTTTTTTGGTTCCATATGAATTTCAAAATAGATTTTCTAGTTCTGTGAAGAATGTCATTGGTAGTTTGATAGTAATAACATTGAATCTATAAATTGCTGCAGGTAGTATGGCCATTTTAATAATATTGATTCTTCCTATCCATGAGCATGGAGTGTTTTTCCACTTGTTTGTGTCTTCTCTGATCTCTATGAGGAGTGTTTTATAACTCTCATTGTAGAGATCTTTTACCTTCCTGGTGAGCTGTATCCTTAGGTATTTTATTCTTTTTGTGACAATTGTGAATGAGATTGTCTGTCTCATTTGGCTCTTGGTTTGGCTGTTTTTGACGTATAGGAATGCTAGCAATTTTTGCATCCTGCAAAAAAAATTGCTGAAGTTGTATTTCAGCAAGAGGTGCTTTGGGGCCAAGAAAGTGGGGTTTTATAGATGTAGAATCATGTCATCTGCAAACAGAGATAGTTGACTTCCTCTCTTTCTATCTGAATGCCTTAAGTTCTTTCTTTTACCTGATGGCTTTAGCATGGAATTCCAATACTACATTGAATAAAAGTGGTGATAGAGGTCATCCTTGTCTTGTGTTGGTTTTCAAGGGGAATGCGTCCAGCTTTTCCTCATTCCATATAATGTTGGCTATGGGATTGTCATAGATGGCTCTTATTCTTTTGAAGTATGATCATTCAAAACCTAGTTTATTGAGAGTTTTTAATATGAAGGGGTGTTGAATTTTATTGCATTTTATGTATCTATTGAGATAATCATGTATTATTTGTCTTACGTTCTGTTTATGTGATGAATCACATTTATTCATTTGTGTATGTTGAACCAGCCTTGCATGTCAAAGATGAAGCCTACTTGCTTGTGGTGGATTAGCTTTTTGATGTCCTGCTAGATTCAGTTTGTAAGTATTTTATTAGGAATTTTTGCATTTGTGTTAATCAAATATATTGGTCTGAATTTGTGTGTGTGTGTGTGTGTGTGTGTGGTGTGTGTGTGTGTGTGTGTGCATGCCAGGTTTTTGTATCAAGATAATGGTGGCTTCAAAGAATGATTGGGGAGGAATCACTTCTTCACTTCTCAAGTTTTTGGAATATTTTTGGTAGGAATGATATCAGCTCTTTTTGTACATCTGATAGAATTTGTCTGTGAATCCATCAGGTCGTAGATATTTTTTGATTGGTAGATTATTTATTACTAATTCACTTTTTGAGCTTGTTATTTGTTTGTTCAGGGAATCCATTTCTTCCTGGCTCAGTCTTCAGAGGGAGTATGTGTCCAGGAATTTATCCATCTCTTCTAGATTTTCTAGTTTATGTGGATAGAAAAGAACACTAAATATAGAATAGAAAGATCACTACCAGCTAAAACAAAAACACACTTAAACACACAGACCAGTGTCACTGTAAAGCAACCACACAAACAAACCAACATAATAACCAGCTAACAGCACAATGACAGGATCAAATCCACACATATCAATACTAACCTTGAATGTAAATGGGCTAAATGCCCAAATTGAAAGGTACAGAGTGGCAAGCTGGATAAAAAAAACAAGGCCCAATGGTATGCTGTCTTCAACAGACTCATCACATGCATGATATTCATAGGCTCAAATAAAGGATGAAGGAAAATCTACCAAGCAAATGGAAAACAGGAAAAAGCAGAAGTTGCAATCCTAATTTCAGACAAACAGATTTCAAACCAACAAATACAAAAAAAAATACAAAGTAATGTGTTACCTAATGATACAATGTTCAATTCAACAAAAATACCTAACTATTTTAAATATATATGCATCCAATCCAGGGGCACCCAGATTCATAAAGCAACTTCTTAGAGACTTACAAAGAGACATAGGCTCCCACACAATAATAGTGGGAGACTTCCACATGCCACTGACAGTATTAGACAGATTATCAAGGCAGACAATTTAAAAAGATATTATGGACCTAAACTCAACATTTGACCAAATTGATCTGATAGACCATTGCAGAACTCTCCACTCAAAAACAACAGAATATTCATTCTTCTCATTGCTATATGGCACATAGTCTAAAATTAACCACATAAATAGACATAAAACAATCCTTGACAAATGTGAAAGAATTGAAATCATACCAAAACACTCTTGGAACAAAGCACAATAAAAATAGAAGACTATGAAAAACACTCAAAACCATGCAATTACATGAAAATTAAGCATGTCCCTGAATGACTTTTGGGTAATTAATAAAATTAAGGCAGAAATTAAAAAACGGTCTTTGAAAATAATAAGACAAAGATACAACACCCCAGATTCTCTGTGACACAGCTAAGGCAGTGTTGAGAGGGAAATTCATAGCACTAAATGCTCAGATTCAAAAATTAGGAAGATCTTAAATTAACAACCTGACTTCACAACTGAAAGAATCAGAGAAGCAAGAACAAATCAACCCCAAAGCTAGCAGATGAGAAATAACCAAAATCAGAGCTGAACTAAAGGAAATTGAGATACAGATATTCAAAAGATCAACAAATTCAGGATTTTTTTGAAGAAATTAATAAAATAGATGGGCCACTAGTTAGATTAATAAATAAGACAGGAAAAAATTCAAATAAACACAGTTAGAAATGATGAAGGGAATGTCACTATGGACCCCACAGAAATACAAATAAAAGCAACCATCAGAAACTACTGTGAATACCTTTATACACAAAAACTAGATTATTGGTCAGGCATGATGGCTCAAGCCTGTAATCCCAGCACTTTGAAAGGCTGAAACAGGCAGATATCTTGAAGTTGGGAGTTGAAGACAAGCCTGGTCAACATGGCAAAACCCTATCTCTACTGAAAATACAGAAATTTGTCAGGTGTGATGGTGGGCATCTATAATCCCAGCCACTCAGTAGGCTGAGGCAGAAGAATCGCTTAACCCAGGAGGCAGAGGTTGCAGTGAGTCAAGATAGTGCTATTGCACTCAAGCCTGGGTGACAGAGAGAGACTCAAAACAAAACAAAAAAAAACAAAACAAACAAAACTGGATTATTTTCTAGTTGGAGTGTAATCAAAGGAGAATTTTGAGGCATGGATGTAGGATCCACATAAGAATCCAACTCATAACTGGGATCCACTGCTTCAAAAGAAAGCTGTGAAATCTGATCTGCATACTAATGAATAGATATGTATACCTAAGCAGGTTCTAATTCCTTATGGGTGCCAAATTTTAGGAATGTTGGAACTCCCTTTAGAACCAAAAAAATCTTGCTTATTCTACATGCAGTGACTCACTTTTCATCCTTTAACTTTATGATCTTCAGGGAAGTAGAAAAATGCACATAGTGTATCTGGTAGGGATTTATTTTACTATTATGTATTGTGTATGCGGATGTATGTGGCATACATTAAAACTGTAGCATAAAGTTTAAAGCAACTATACCTCTATATAACACCATTGGCTAGAAACTGTCTATTGTCAATAATCTTTGTGATTCAAAATATCACATCTCTCTACTTCCTCTTGGAATGAAGCCCTAATTCAAATTTGGTAACAAACCCTTGATGTTTTATAATATTATTGCGTATGTCTGTACCCTAAAAATTATCTTAATATTTCACATTTCTACTAGTGATATAAAATATACTGTGTCCTCACATGCATCTGGTATTACAAGTGTTATATACTTTTAGCCATCCTAGTGGCTGTATAGAAGAATTTCATTGTTATCTTCATATGTATTTTTTAAATGAACAGTTATAACTAGTACATTTTTATGACCTTACATATATATTTGTATATTATGTATACATATTTTACTTACACAAATATATACAGTTAAATATGCATACATACTATGGGTATTGTATATAACATATCCTTATGGGCATATGTAATAAATATACTCATACAGTGAATATGTATACATATACTTATGTAGGCATAATATATATGAAATCTATTCATATGCATATTTATCTATATATTATATATAACAAACACTTATGTACATATTTCTAATACACATATACACACACGTACAGTGATTCTCACATATAAATACAGTCCTATCTTACTTAACGATGGGAATACATTCTGAGATATGCATTGTTAGGTGATTTTGTGGTGGGACTATCATAGAGGGTACTTACACAAAACAAATGGGATAGCCTACTACACACATAGATTATATGGTATAATCTATTGCTCTTTGGCTGCAAACTTGTACAGCGTGTTACTGTTCTTAGTAGATTAGGCAATTGTAGCACAATGGTATTTGAATATCTAAATATCTAAACACAGAAAAAGTACAGTGCAAATGCAATATAAAAGATGCAAAATGGCATGCTATGTCCTTACCATAAATAGAACGTGCACGCTTGGAAGTTAGTCTGGATGAGTCACTGAGTGAATGGAGAGTGAATGTGAAGGCCTAGAACATTATTATACACAACTGTAGGCTTTATAAATGCTGTACACCTAGGTTACAATATATTTATTTTAAAAATTCTGTCTTAAATAATAACTTTAGTTTAATGGATTTTTTTTATTATTATTATACTTTAAGTTTTAGGGTATATGTGCACAATGTGCAGGTTTGTTACATATGTATACATGTGCAATGTTGGTGTACTGCACCCATTAACTCGTCATTCAGCATTAGTTATATCTCCTAATGCTATCCCTCCCCGCTTCCGCCACCCCACAACAGTCCTCGGGGTGTGATGTTCCCCTTCCTGTGTCCATGTGTTCTCGTTGTTCAATTCCCACCTATGAGTGAGAACATGCGGTGTTTGGTTTTTTGTCCTTGCGATAGTTTGCTGAGACTGATGATTTCCAGTTTCACCCATGTCCCTACAAAGGACATGAACTCATCATTTTTTATGGCTGCATATATTCCATGGTGTATATGTGCCACATTTTCTTAATCCAGTCTATCATTTTTGGACATTTGGGTTAGTTCCAAGTCTTTGCTATTGTGAATAGTGCCTCAATAAACATACGTGTATGTGTATCTTTATAGCAGCATGATTTATAATCCTTTGGGTATATACCCAGTAATGGGATGGCTGGGTCAAATGGTATTTCTAGTTCTAGATTCCTGAGGAATCGCCACACTGACTTCCACAATGGTTGAACTAGTTTACAGTCCCACCAACAGTGTAAAAGTGTTCCTATTTCTCCACATCCTCTCCAGCACCTGTTGTTTCCTGACTCAAAACCACAATGAGATACCATCTCACACCAGTTAGAATGGAATTTTTTACTTAATAAGATTTTTAACTTTTTGACTTTTGTAATAACGTGTAGCTTAAAACACAAACACATCACGTAACTGTATAAAAACATTCTTTATATCCTAATTCTCTTTCTTCTATTTTTAAATCTTTAATTCTTTGAAAATTTGTTGTTAAAAACAAAGACACAAACATACACATTAGGGTAGGCCTACACAGGGTCAGGAGCATCAATATCACTGTTCCACATCCTGTCCCACTGAGAAGTCTTCAAGGGAAATAAGACATATGGGGCTGTCATCTCCTGTGAAAAGACTACCTTCTTTTGGAAGGCCTTGGCAAAGACCTGCCTGAAGCTGCTCTAGAGTTAACATTTTCTTTTTTTATATAAATAAGTAGAATTTTACACTGAAATAAAGCTAAAAATAGAGTATGATAAATACATACATCAATGACATAGTTTATTATTATTATCAAGTATTGCAATATACTATACATAAATATATGTGCTCTACTTTTCTATAACTGGCAGTGGAGTAGCCTTGTTACACCAGCATCAACAGAAACACATGAATAATGCTTTGGGCTATGATGTTAGCAATGGTTATGATGTAACCAGGCAATACAAATTTTTCATCTTTATTATGATCTTAAGAGACCACCATTATACATTCATTCTATCATTGACTAAATATTATGCAGCATATCGCTGTACATACATATATATATACATTTGACCCTCATTATTCAATAATTCATATTTGTGAATTTGCCTACATAGTAAACGTATTTGTAACTTCACAATCAATACTCATAGCTATTCATAGAGCAATGAAAAATTCGAGCCCCTGGTATGCATGTTCCCAGCTAAAGGAGAACAAGGCAAAACTCTACCATCTTGTTTCAGCTCTCATACTGTAAATGTCCATTTCATGACCTATCTAATGCCATGTTTTTTCCTTATTGTGTTCTCTGTTGATGATTTTTCTGTTTAAAATAATCCCCAGGCATAGTACAGAAGTACCATCTAGTGTTACTAGGAACAAAAAGACTGTGATCATCTCATTTACAGAGAAAATACATGTTAGATAAGCTTCATTTACACACAAGGGTAGGTGCTGTTGCTTGTGAGTTCAGTGTTAATGAATCAACAATATATATTAAACAATCATATTTAAATATAAACACTCATAAAACAAGGTTATATCTTAATCAGTTTATCAAAATATTGTGACCAGAGGCTTACAGAAATCTAACGTTAAATTTTGTGTGCTGTCAATTGTTCATTATTTGCTAAATCTACCTTTGTGGAGATTTTACAGAACGTAAATAGTACAGGGAGTGAGAATAAATGGTAAGTGTGTGTCTAAATTTTTTACAAATGTTTTTCAAATACACACACACACACACACATACACACAAACTCCCTGTAAGATACATGTATTGTAAATATTTTCTCCCAGTCGGTGACTTTTCTTTTTTATTTTCATAACAATGACTAATGTAGGCAAGATGTTTTAATTTTGATTATGTTTAGTTTATTATTTTGCCCTTTACAGTTTCTATTTCTGTTTCTTAGGTTTTAATATGAAGCCTTTTGCCTATCAGCAGTTTATCAACAATGAAAAGTGAAAGACATTAGCAGATGTTTTGAATTAATTAATGATGGTATGTTGCTTTTGATATAGCAAAATCAGATCCTACAGGAAATACTATAAATTATATGCTTGACAAAAAAAAGCTAGAAATAAATGCTTTCATCTTTTGTCTTAAGAGACTAGAGAAAAAGGCAAAAATTCCTGGGATGAAAGAGGATGAAAATATTCATAAAAGCAGAAACCTATAAAATAATAAATTAGTATAAAATAGAAAAATCACTGAAGCATACAATTGCTTCTTTCGAAAGATAAATTGAATATATAATCTTTTAATAAGTTTGATTAGAAGAAAAAACAAAACAAGTATAATTCTAGCTATATCAGAAATAAAATAAAGACAGAACTAGAGAGCATGCAAATATTCAGACAGATAAGAATAAAATAATATAAATGATTTGTGCCAATTAAAAATTTGGATGAAAATTTTTTTAAAAAATAAAATTTCCTATAATGAAAAACAGAAGAAATAAAATTAATTTTATATAAAAATACTGAAATTATTGCATATGCTTTAGAAAATCATGCATATTTTCTCATCCCAAGATGTAATCTCCTAAAAGAGGATTAAGGATGGGTAATTTTAAGATTGTATTTTAAGATAGCCTATATCCTCAGTTATTTTTGCTTTTTTATTTCATAAATTATTGAGACAATTATGTTAAAATTGTTGTTGTTGTTGTTGTTTTCCCAGACAATATTAACCTGTCCCACCTATTTACCAAGTCTTTTATTCTTTCTTGCATGATTTTCAAATAGTACATTAACACTATTTTTGGTATTTCTTTTGGAGTAGGTTTCATAGCAAAACACTATTTCAGTTTTGACTGAAATTATAATTATTTTACCTTTGTTCTTGTTATCATTTTTTTCCCCTCGGAATAGAATTCTAATTTTCCAGTTATCTTTCAGTGCTGTAAAGACATTGCATTGTCTTCTACTGTCCATAATTTCTAATAAGATCAACTGTCTTAGTCCATTTGTGCTGATTGAACAAAATACCTAAGACTGAGCAATTTATAAAGAATAGAAATTCATTTATCACAGTTCTGGAGGTCAGGAAGTCCAAGATCGAGTTGCTGGTGGATTCAGTGTCTGGTGAAGGCTGCTCTCTCTTCTTACAAAATAGCAACATGAATGCTGTGTTCTCAGGAGGGAAGGAACACAGTGTCCCCACATGATGAAAAGGATAAAGGGCAAAGAAAGGGCCTAAGCTAGTTTCCTATTAGCCCTTTTATAGGATACTAATTCATTTATGAGGGCATATCTCGCATGACCTAATAACTTCCCAAAAGGCCTCACCTGTTAATACTACTAAACATCAACATAAATTCTGGAGAAGGTATGCATTCAAACCACAGCATCAATGTTCAATCTTATTTACTTTTTTAAATGGAATGTATCTCTGTTCTTTTGGTTGACGAGATTTTCTCTGTCTTTAGTTTACAGTAATTTAACTATAAGATGCACAGGTGTGGTTTCTTTGTATTTATCTTCCCTTGTGTTTAGAACACTTTGAATATGTAGTTGATGTCTTTCATCACTTTGGGGATATTATTACAGTTTCTCTCTTCAGATAATCCTTTACTTTTATTCTCTTTTTTGGGAGGATTCCAAGTACACATATTGTAAAAATGTTCAATGTACCCAAATGTCTATTATACTTTAAAAAATATTTTTATTAGTTTTTTCACACATTTCTTTAGTCTGTATAATTCTCATCTGTGGTCCAGTTCACTAATCCTCTACTCTGTCATGTCCATTCAGCTGCTATACCTTTATATTAATTTTTAAACTTCATTTTCTGATTTGATACATTCTAAAATATATACTTAAGTCCTGAATACTTATTTCTATGAGTATATAGATAAATTATTAAAATTGTTCTCATTTCAATACTGATAAGCAAAAATTTCTACAACAGATATGTACAATGAAGACAAAAATAAAATTGAGACAGTACACACACATACACACACTTTCCTTCTTCCTCTACTGAGTAAAGACATATGTATTTTTTACTTTATAATTTTATGTTTTGCTTAATTATAATTTTGACACAATAATTTTACATGTTTTGGGGTACAGTTTGATATTTCAATACATGTATACAATGTGTGATGATCAAAATAGGGAAATTAGTATATTCATCACCTCAAACATTTAGCATATCTTTGTCTTGGAAAGAAATAAAATTCACTCTTTCAGCTATTTGAAAATATACAATGAGGTGTTGTTAATTATAGTCACCCTACAGTGCTATAGAACACCAGAATGTATATGACCTATCTAGCTGGAATTTTATACTCGTTAACCAACCTCTGGCAATCCCCACCTCCACACTTCCAGCCTTTTATATTATGTGTGTTACTTCCATTTTTGTTTTTGTTAAATGCTTTTCACAAATTAATCTATTGTAGTTTATGTGCTAATGTAATCCCTTTAATAGTCATCTCAACGCTAATGGTTTTAAATTAAAAACAACCAACCAATAAAAATAAGTGATTTATACCATTTTTTTCTATAACCGCGTTTCTAATTCTAAAAGAGAATTACTTAAAAATACAGCTGATTTTATTATTGTAATATATAATGAGCTTTTATTGATCCTCTAAATCATTGATTAGATATAAAACAAACACATTAAAGAACTGTTTTGAGTAATCAGATTAAAACCACAAAAAAGCTTTTAATTAAAATTTAAGCTATTTTCATACTGAGAAAATATAGTTTTATACAGAAATTTTGAACAACATTAATAAAGTAAATACATACTAGTAAATAAATAAGTAAAATCATTTTACTTAACAATAAAACCCCAAATCTTTAGTTTATTACTTGTTGTCCTTTTATTTAAAAAATCCAAATTAAAACTCTCATTTAAGTCACATTTTCCACCAGGCTATAAATACATTGCACCTCATCCAAAATGTATTACTGTCTTTTTGCCAACTATTCCACGCAATTTCTTAAAACTCTATTTTTAATGATATTGCTTTCTTATAAAGATTCGTCATTCTTACTGTATTTGTTTTCATGTTACTATCTTCTTTGATGCTCCTAGGTAGAAATTATCTTTTCCTTCTTATAATTTTTATAATTATGTTCATTGTTCCCTCATTATTTTATTCATACTGTCTTATAGCTGTTTGTGAAAATCCAAGAAAGTATGTTGTAAAGTATAAATATATATGCAAATAGAGCTCAATAATACCCTATATATTAGTACTACTCATCACTGTGCCTTAGACAGTGCAGACACATAGTGGGTCCATGTAACACTTCATAAATGGATATAATTAATTGTTACTGTTAACACTGTTGATTAATATTTTTGACATGTTTATTGATCTATCAGATGTTGGTTTGTGGTCACCTAGAACTACTGTCATTTCTTACTTAGTTATAGATTAAGTAACATTTTAAAAAAATTTAACGTCCAATAATATTTGCTTCTTTTTAAAATAAAACTAATGACAATAGAATAAAATTTTCTGCAATCGTATAGTACTATGAATTCAATGAATGGGTACTAGATACTAAAATAATAAAATGAAAAAGACAAATATAAAAAATACAAAGGAACACATTCATCTTCAGTTATGAAGGTTAATTATGACACTGCGTTAATAATTTTCAATATACTTTAAGAGCTTTGGTGCACATAGGAGTATGGTCATTCTTCTACATTTTGTGTCCTTCATTTTGTTATTATTGGTTCCTTTCAGCTAAATTTAATTATCTAGAGTATAGATCCATTGAAACCACAGTGTGCAATTTATAGATCTCTTATTTCTCCAATAAAGTATTAATTACAACTTTTTTGAACATTTTAGAACTTAGTGATTGATACTTTTCATTGCAATATTTATTTATTGTTTTTAAATATTTTCAAAATCCTCTTTTCTAGATCGTAAAGAATTTCATACTTTCCTTAACAGGAAGCAGGTAGTTCATTTGTTGCTACTGATCAGTGTTATTATCAATTTTGTTGAAACTATAAAAATATGTCATCCAAAGAGATTTGAAATTTTTAAAATTATATGCATATACCAATCATTTTTTGGAAATTGTCTAAAATGTTATCAGTAATTTATTCACTCAGTTTACTAGCTTCAATGTTTTTATTTCTCAGATTGAGAAAGACGTATTACCAACATTCTTTCATGAGATAGTAAAGTTATTCAATCTTTCGTGTAAAATTATGTAGAAATTCACCCACAGACATTGAGATTTTTATTTTGATATCAAAAGTTTGTAGGATGTATTAACCAATAAATTTTTCTGTGGCCTATAATATTATTGGTCATTAAAAACCATCATATTTACTTTAATTAAATAAAACAAATGGATATAAAATAGTAAAGTTTATCTCAACAAAAACCCCAATGTAGTAGAATATATTTTTAACTGAATATGGGCAGCCAGAGCCTCTGAGGAGTCAAAGGACAGCTGGCATGACAACACTTGACATCCTGTGTGTAATTGGTTTTGAATGCTTGACAGATTTTTATAATGGTATGGAGCACTCAGACTAGCAGGTAACTGTTGGGAACAGATTGACTGGTGATGAGGCCATTTTAATACAGCACTTACATAAGAATCCTTTAGATTCACTTCACATTAAAGATGCATTCTTTTTAGTTCAAAAGCTTTCCCAGCAGTATAACCTTTTCCATCAAATTCAAGCATTGAATAACTTAACGATCAATAATTGTTTAATTAATTTTTTTTCTTTTCTTCCATATTCAACATGTAGGTCAATTTTAGATTGAGAGAAAGACTGTATTAGCTAGAAACAGGGGAAATAAGACCTTTTGGGGCCTAAATTCTATTTATTGTTCAAATATCAGTTGGGTGTCTTTTCATACAGGTACCAGACTCAGTCCAATTGCCAGAAAACAATTTAGATAGTTATAATCATCCCAAAAACACATAAGGAAGTAATAATCAAATTATGACAATAGCTGTGGTACAGAAGGAATAAATCTACATACAGAAACAAAAAGCCAAGGTTTATGCTTTCAATCCACTATTCACATCATAAATTCAAATGTTTCTTCTTCCATCTATAAAGTATGATACTTCCTAGAGTTGTATGAAAATTAAATCAGAGGATACATTTGTGCATATTGTCATTATGTACATGTACATTGCTTGTCATACAATCTACTCTCATCTTCATAATTTATTAAAATTTTTCAAAATTTTATAATATTACTTTATTGTATAGCCTCCTATGTTTTGCTATTATTTTCTTTTGTTTTTTGAGGGGAGGCAAGGTTTGTAGCTGTAACATAATCAATACCTGAAGTTATCAATGGCTTATCAGTTTTTTCCATCCTAAAAACATTAGTAATTTGCAACCTTTCCTTTTACAATTGTTATGCTATCATGAACTGTTTAAATTGATTATTAGGTGGCTACAATTTAAAAGAAAACAACCACTAAGTTTAAAGAGTTACTAACATCAGTATAATACAATTATAGAATGTGAAACCCACTAGAAGTTAGGATAAAAGAAGAAAGATATTGACTATACTGTAAAACAGACAATTTAGCATCCTAATATGTAGAAATAAGATATTCTAGGTGTTAAGAGGAATGAGGAATAATTATTCACTATCAAAATTGTTCATTGTTTTATAGACTAGGAGATTTTTAAGATAAGAACCAAATGGGTAGAATATAGTCAGAGGTGAGAACTGAGAGCAGTAGCAGAAGTAAAGTCACAGGAGAGCAAATATATATATATATATATATAATTTATATAATATATAAAAATTATATATAAAAATATAAAATTTTTATATATTTTTATATTTATATAAAATATTTATATATTTTATTTTATATTAATTTAATTTTAAATTAATTTATATTAATATTAATTTTAATGTCATTTTAAAAAAATAATATTTGTATATTTATATAAAATGTAAAAATTATATATATATAAATTTATATATAAATATGTCACTGTGGTATATGAAGATGAGTGACGAAATATTCCTTTAAGGGTGTTCTTTGCACCCACTCATGCTTCATTTCTATTTGCTTTAGAACCATTCAGACTGAGTCCTAATTTTCTCATACTTGGATTGTTAGCAAAGCCTCCTTTGCTCTTAGATACTGTTAACTTGAATGTCCTCAAAAGCGAGTTTCAGATGTATCTTTCAAAATCATAGTATCAATATGTTTTGTACCCATTTGAAATAGTATTTTTATTTTTATAAAGTTCACCAAAGTTGAATCAAATTGACTTCCCCAAATTATTACTCACTCATTTGGTATAAGTAATCTATATTCTTTACACGAGAATGCTCAGCATTCCCAGAATATTCCATTTTGTCATGCCCTACCAATTCCCAATTCCCCCAGCTACTTTATACATAAACCTAAAATGATTATAATTTTCCTCAAAAGTATATCAGTTTTCATCACCAAAATTAAACAAGTTTTTCTCACCCCAGATGCTATTTATTTATTCATTCATTTATACAATTAGATGTAATAGTATTTGTTAAATAATTATTATATGTCAGGATTCTTAATATGCATGGAGAATTTAAATTTTCTTTTAGCCTTCATAAAAGTCCTCCTGTTTACATCAGTGGGAAAAAAATAAACAATGAAACTTTTTCTTTTTTTTTTTTTTTTTTCTAGGCTTACAGTGTCTACTGCCCATTCCATGCATTTAGGCTTTTCTTACATATGACCTTTCTGAATTTTGGTATGAAGTCAACACATAAACATGCTATAATATCTGACAACTTTTGAAGAGATAATATTAGAACCCACATCACCCTCCCACTACCGCCCCCATACTCTTCTTCTCTTTATGCACTTGATTATAAAAAGCTGTCTCTACTCATTCTAATTATATGTTGTCTTAAGCTTACTACAGTCAGGTTTTCTGCCTGACTCTTTCTCCCAGCTAGTCTTGTCAAGGTTAGCAATGGCTTATATATTTCAATGTAGAGTAGAAAATTATCTTCTTTAACTGCTTCCTTTATCTAAATAGCACCATGGAGCTTAATCCTAGGGTCTCTTTTTGTCTCTATGCTCATTTCCTAGGTGATCTCACTGAAATCTGTAGTTTATAGTGATACTTGAACATTTGTAGTTCCATCATCAATCTTCTCCTCCAATTTTATTTTACATATCCAAATGTCAATGAAGTAGGCCAAGCGTGGTGGCTCACAACTGTAATCCTAACGCTTTGGGAGGCCTAGGCAGGCTGATTGTCTGAGGTCAGGAGTTCGAGACAAGCCTGGCCAACATGGTGAAATCCTGTCTCTACTACAAATACAAAAATTAGCTGGGTGTGGTGGCAGGCACCTGTAATCCCAGCTACTTGGGAGGCTTAGACAGAAGAATCGCTTGAACTCAGGAGATGGAGGTTGCAGTAAGCCAAGATTGCACTACGGCACTCCAGCCTGAGCAACAGAGTGAGACTGCATCTCAAAAAAAAAAAAAAAAAAAAAAAAAAAATTAGCCAGTCGTAGTGGTGCACACCTATAGTTCCAGCTACTCGGAATGCTGAGGCATGAGAATCTCTTGAATCTGGGAAGCAGAGGTTGCAGTTAGCTAAGACTGAGCCACAGCACACCAGCCTGGGTGACAGAACAAGACTCTATCTCAAAAAAAAAAAAAAAAAAAAAGTCAATGAAGTTATCCCCACATGGATATCGTAGTGGGTTGATAGGGTCTCCACAAAAACATGTCCACCTAGGCCTTCAGTAGATGAACCCCTTTGGCTATTGAATCTTTGCAAATGTAATGAAAAATTAGGTTACACTGGATTATAGTGAGTCATAAATCCTATAACTGATGTCCTCATAAATAAAGGAGATGAGCAAGAGACACACAGTGAAGATAATGTGAAGATAGAAGCAGACACTGGCATGATGTGTCTGCAAGCCAAGGACTATCAGGAAACACCAAAAGCGGAAATAAGCACAGAAGGATTCTCCTCTAGAGCCTTGGCTGTTTTAGGCCATTGAGTTTGAGATAATTTGTTAAAGCAATCCTAAGTAGTTAATACACATGTCTATTAATTATTGCTAATCTAATCTATCCATAGCCCAATTCTTAATTTTACATCATATGCTCTCCCAATAACTCCTAATCCAAATCATCCTGGGTTAAAAAAAAAAAGGCACTCCAAAGCTCCCATTTGCTTAGACCAAAAGTTCAAACTCATGAATGGTACTTCCCTTTCTCCACTTGCCTCAGTTTTTTTTTTTTTTTCCCTCAAGTTCTGCTGCCTCCACCCTCATAATAGTATTCCAAATGTAACCACTTATTAACAATTTTACTACTATCAGCCCTATTAAAACCATGATCATTTTTCACCGCAATCATCGACTGGTGTCTGTGCTTCTTCCTTTACCTTGCTATATAGTCCCTATTACATAAAATAGCGTAATGACTCTTTAAAAATGCATGACAAGTGTTACTCTCCTAATCAAAACTCCTCTAATGTTTTTTCACTTGAACCAAACAAAATCTAAAATTACTGTAATATATACCCAGATGTATTTAGACTTAATTTCCTACCACTTCCATACTCCTTTCTATTAGTGCTAAGGTGATCTTGCTCTTTGAAAATGCACAGAACTGTATCTTTTCAATAGCTGTTCCCTATGTAGATAATGTTATTTCTCCAGATAGCAACATGGGCTGTTAACCCAGCCACTTCAAGTGTAAACCTATGTAATAATGCTCTCCTGGCCACTTGTGGAAAATAGCAACAAACCTAGCATACTTAGAAATTCCTTTTTTTTTCTTATCCTGACATTTCATTTATCACTATACGATATAATGTATTTATTTGTTTATGTAGTAGTATTCTGTCTCTCACACTGAAATATAAACCATTTTGGCAGGGTATTTTCTTCAATTTGCAATTTTTTTCAATGTTCAATCTGCTTCATTGGAGATTTCCTTGCATAAAGTAGTTTCTAATAAGTATTTTCTAAATAAATTAATAATTCATGTTCTTCCATCAGTACATTAGTGTTGTGGAATGAATGCAGCAGTAGCCTTAATGTGATCATCTTTCTCTATCCTCACACCCTTTAATTTTTTTTTATTTTCAACGCAGAATCTGAGCTTGGCTATCTGACTTACTTTGGCTGATGTGATGCAAGCAATTGTGATCTAAGCACAGACATAAAAAGGACTTTCACATTAAGGCTCACCTTCTTGCTAATCTTAGAACACTCCCACCATAATCTAGGCTACTCTGCTGGAGAATTGATGATACGGAGTCCAGTTAACCTCATTATTTCAACTAACAGTCATTCTAATTATATAAGATATATGAATGAAGCCATCCTAGACTAGGAAGCTCCTAACTTTCCTACTAGCAGAGCACAGAAAAATGGCCAAACCCAACAACAATCAACAGAGGTAAACTAAAGCTGGTTCAGGTTGGCAGAATGCCAGTATGACACATTGTTATGTGAATAATAATAAATATTGTTTTAAGAAATTAACTTTGTGTTTTGTTTGCTTCTGTTATCCACCAAAAATTGATAAAGGAAAAGAATAATGGTATCCTAAACTGACAATATTTTCCCCTGGCAAGGTTTACAATTATATTCAGTGTTTAATAACTATTTATTGCTTGAATTTATTAATATATGCATCATCCAGTTCTTTTAATGATGCTCAAGGTTTAAGTTGATTAAAATTTAACAGATAGCTAACCAAATACCTTACTATGTAAAGATTAATTTTGTAACTACTTAATATTTTATGATCTGTAAATTCCAATTGATCATATGATAGGTAGATATAAAATTAAAAACAAAAATAACATAATTAGCCCAATTTTAGCTCAATAAGATATTATCTATGATAAGAAAAAATAGGAACCAAAGCTTTAAGAATCAAATGTGAGAAATATACAGAAAATATAATATCTGTCTTCTTTCAGTTTTTCAAGCAAACTAAATATTAGCTGCTCATTGTAATATCAGTTCCCTTTTCCCCTTTTAAATAAAAATATTAAACAAGCAAAAATAAAAATAATATAATGGAGTGAATGATAAACTGAACACTATTGTAACCACCATTCATATTTATCAACTGTCAATGGTTTTTTTTTTGTTTTGTTTTGTTTTGTTTTTGTTTGTTTGTTTTTGAGATGGTGTCTCACTGTGTCACCCAGGCTGGAGTGCAGTTGTGCAATTTTGGTTCACTGCAACCTCTGCCTCCTGGGCTCAAGCAATTCTCCTGCCTCAGCCTCCCGAGTATCTGGGATTACAGGCATGTGCCACCACATCTGGCTAATTTTTGTATTTTTGTAGCAATGGGGTTTCACTATGTTGGCCAGGCTGGTATTGAACTCCTGACCTCAGGTTATTCGACCTCCTTGGTCTCCTAAAATGTTGGGATTACAGGCCTGAGCCACCACCACCCCCCAACCCTGGCCACAAATGTTACTTTTTTAATATTTGCCTCAGATATTCTCTGAAACAATTAATAATTATAGTTATAGATGAGATACAGAATAGAAACCTCTACAGATTCCTTTTCTTCCCATCCTAACCAGAGGTAACCATTTTTTAGAAAGCCTTCCATTCTACTTTTAAATACATTTTTACTTCATATATTAATAATACTAAAAAATTTTAATATAATTTTATATTTCTTTGTTTATATTATCAATTAAATGCATCATGCACAAATATATATCTCTATTTTACTAGCATTTAAGTTACTTCCAAATTTTATCTGGTCTACATATATAAGAGCATACATCTCAGAGTTTCTCCCTTCTAGATTGAGAATATACCTGAAATTGAAATTGTTAAATCATAGACACACAAGTAATATTGTGTTCGGCTATGCAGGTTGTCTACTGCACAATTTTGCATCATTATTGTCTATGTGAAGGGCACTGCTCTGCGACATCAATGAAGTTCACAACCCTCTTTGCTCTACTTAGCTTTTCTTCTCAGAGTTTCTAGATTGCAAATTTTCCTTTCAAAATAGTTTCAAGTAAATATGCCTTCACTAGCTGTATGAGTTTTCATTCCTTGTGCCTTCCCCCACTCCTGATATTGACTCCTGATTAGAAAACAGTTTCATCATTCTAAAGGTTATAAAATGTTACGTGATTTATTCAATGTGTATTTAATTCATAACTAGTGAATTAAATATTTTTTATGTATTTGTATTCAGATTTTTCTTCTCTGAAAATTTCTATTCCTATCATTTCCTCTATTTCAATTAAGTTTAATTTAAAAATGAAGTTTTTGAGGGAATCTATATATTTGAGATAGAAATAGCTTGATAGGTACAGTTTGAATAATCATTAATGTAATTATTTTATAAAATGAATATAAGAAATTTGGGCTTGCAAACTAATATTTATGCAGATTTTTTCTGTTACAGAATATATAAATCACTTGCTGATATTTATCCCACTGCATTAATCCAATTTTGGTTTGAGTAAACATTATATGTTTCTGACAAACATTTTATATGATTCTATATTTTCATACATTTAAATAAAAACACATCAACTAGTTCATGTTTAAAAATTATTGTTTGTCCTTTGTGAAGGACTTCCAAATTCTTTATAGACTTGAGATTTAGAAACATGAAATAAACAATTCTGAAAGAAAGGCAGATGAGGTTGAGAAAAAGTGACCTGCATCATTGCCTCTGGGTACTGTAAATTGATGCCCAATTATAAATAAAGGGTGTAATATTTTGTGGTATATGGTAAATGAGAATTCAAAAGAAAATGGCTATAATAACAAGACCCTGTATTGAGCAAAAAAGTTGGTGTATTGCCTAGCTAGCAGATTTTTCTCAAGAGCACTGCAACCTTGCTTGAAAAACATGTCCTTCATTTATGTTTTCTTTAAATGGACACTTTTAAATTTGTTTTCTATTCATAGTCCTTTAACAATGTCTTAATAGTTACCAAAGGAATAAAAATAATGATTTTCAACTGGATTTCTTTATGCAAATTTTGGATACATTCCTGTCCAATATTATTCACACAGATATACTCTATCTTCTTTGACTCAAAGAAAACAATAGTTGATATATTAAGTCATTAAATATTCAGGTATATTTTTAGTTTATGAATACTCCATATATTAAGAACTAATAACAATAGCTAACACTTTGATGCTTACATTTATGCTAGGCATGTTCTAAGTGCTTCGTAAGTAATTTGATGTTTCTGCAAATCCTATGAGGCAAAAGCTATTTTTCCAACTATTATTATTACTATAGCCATTTTTCAGATGAGGTTTGTGAGAAATGCAGAGATAACTACTTTGACAAATAAATAACAGTAGGTTGCAGAGCCGGTATTTAAACCCCGGCAGTTTTGCTCCAGAGTTGTTTATTTACCTCTGCAACAGTGCCACTAAAAGTGCATTTTATGAACATATGTGATCCAAGAATTGTTTGCCCCACTTTATTGGTAGATTCAAATAGACATTGAAATTTATCAACATAATAGCTGTGTGACATTGGTGTGTTATTTAAATGCATGGTTATTTTCTAATAATACATTTTTATTATATTTAGAAAATTATTGGTCTGCAATGAATTAAGAATTAAATACAAAACCCAATTTTTGGTGTTAAAACCAGAATAGGCAAATATTTTCTACAAAGCTTCAGATTGTAAATATCTTAGAATTTTGGAGTCCTATAGTGTCTGTTACAACTATGCAACTCTGGATCTAGCAGTTATAGACAAGAGTAAACTAATGGGCTTGGCTCTGTTCCAGTAAAATTTAATTTACAAAAGCAGGGGCGGGGACAAATTTGCTACATGGTCCAAAGTTTTCTGACTCTGTTCTAAACTATATTGCCTCTCTAATTAATTTTTGGTAGACATGCCAATAAAATAAAATTATTATATTTATATTATATTACATCATATTATATCATGGCAAAGAGTGAAACTGTAGTCTAGTCAAAAGCACAGCAAACTGGAAGTCTATAGTCCAGAGTCATACTCCTTGCTACTAAATTTTATGCAGCCTGGGCATGTCAACCAATCTTTTAAGTTAAATCCCCCATGTTGAAAAATCAGGAATGTAAAAAAATAGTAATAGAATGTTTCAACTTAAAACTACATGAAATTGTTTTTTAAAAATTTTGTTAACTTACCTGTCAACATACACTTGCTGTTTTTCTAAAATATATACAATTGCCCCATTCATATATAAACTGATTCCTCCTCCTCTCTTCATAAGTAATCTCACTTATAAATTTTCCACATATTTCTAATAAGCTCATTGTCCTCTATATGTTCTTAGAGAGCTAATCTCTTATTGTGTTAAGTAGTTATCAAAAAATTATTTAACACTGTTGCCCCTGCCAGTGAGTTTATGTATAAGGCAGTGGTTCTGTGGTCATGTTATAAATCCAAGCTGTCAGATGTTTGAATTTGTAGCGAAATTGTTTATCAGCTTAAGAAACTTTTGGGCTGAGACGATGGAGTTCTCTAGATATAGGATTATGTCATCTGAAAACAAAGATACTTTGATTTCCTCTCTTCCTATGTTCAATACGCTTTATTGATTTCTCTCGCCTGACTGCCCTGGCCAGAACTTCCAATATTATGTTGAATAAGAGTAATAAGAGAGGGCATCCTGGTCTTGTGCCAGTTTTCAAGAAAAATGCTTCCAGCTTTTGCCCATTCAAAAATTGTTAATTATAGGTTCTGCAAAATATGTACGGAAAATACAAGTTAAGTACAATATGTAGATGGCAGTCTGAATACTCATACTCTGAGGCTTCAGTAACTTGTGATAGACTGTAAGTCTGTCATTACTTTTATTTCAAAATGTGCAACGTATTTTATTACACTTTTCATCCACCATCGCAGGTGTAGTGTGTTCTCAAACTTATGAAACAAAATCTACCGAAGAAATACTGGCATATTTTTAAAAAGAAATTACTGTTTTTTCAGAGTACTCTGTCAAAATGTTATTTAAAGCATGTGGCTTAAAAAGGTGCATAGACAAATGTCTCTGTAGACATTTTTTATCATTTAGATCAAATTTTTTTTTAGATTTCTTTATTCTTTTGTCCAGGTTTTCTTGCCACTTATGAAAATGAAGCAATCATTATTAAAGTGTTTACACATTAAGAATATAAAATCCATTAAAAGATGAATCATTCAAGTTTATAACAGTGTTATCTGGTATTCAAGTAGAAATTAGATTCTTATAATAATTTGATTTTTAAAAATCTATTTTGTGGAATTAAATCTTTAGAGAAAAAATCTCTAGAGATGTAACTTTTTAGACAAGAAAGAAATTTTTGATGTTATTTATGCTACTGTTGTAAATTCAGTTAACATATTCAACATTGAAGATAAAACAATTTGCAATCTATGATAAACAGTAAAAATTTTATAGAGCATTGTGTTGTGGGAAAAATAATAATTTTGCTATATTCTGAAATGTATGGAGCAGAAAGTTTTTGGAATTGGTTAATATTTACATGATTAATAATGACACTTAAGCAGAAGACCTCTATTATACAAGGGGGGGATATGATTGCCAATTTCACAAATTTTCAAACATATACAGCTAGTGTGACTAAACTAAAATATTATTGAGAATAAGTTGATATTTTATAAAATGAAATAAGTGCTTCATCACGCCATGAGATGTTCAATCACTTAACTGCAGACAGCCACTCTCTGTGGTGGTGTAACTAATCAAAGCAAGCAATTAAGTCATCATTTCTTTTTTCAGTCTAAACCATATCACCACTGCTCCCACTTCCATACTCGTCCACCCAAGCCATAAACACATTTTTTTACATCTTGAGTATTGATATCAATGTCTAATCTGGGCTTATTTTGTGCTTTATGTCATGATTACTCAATCCCTAGAACGGTGACACTGTTTCTTCTTCCCCTGTTTATTTTGTGCTTTCAAAAAATGTTTCTCTTACACCCAACTATACCCTTTAAACTAGACACAAAGACCTCTCTTTGAATTTCAGACTAATTTATAAAACTGCTCAGTCAGCATGTCTACTTCAGTATCTAATGGGCCTGGCCCAAATGAACACTTGAGGCTTGTCTTTCAGTAAATAGCAACTTCATTAATCCAGTTAAAAACTTTTGAGTCATTACTAACAACTGTCTTACTCTTTTAAAACTGACACCCAGTATATCAGAAATTTTTATAAGGTCTACTTCAAAATATTTTCATTATTTGTTTAATTTTCTATACATCCACTGCTGTCACCCTGTTCCAAGACACTATCATTTTTCACATAGATTAACTCAATAGGATCCCTTCAAATTTTCACCTTACAAAGAAATATCCTCCCATGGTATGTCAGGCTTTAAACATGGAATACTCTGCTTCGTCTAGCCTCACATGCTACTATTTTCTCTCTTTCTTACTTTTCTATAGCTACAATTGCCTACTTCCTTACGCAAACATGTAATGCATAGTTAAGCCTCAGGGCCTTTATTGTTAAAGTATTTCCTCTTTATGAGAGCTTCTTTCCCTGGATACTTACAGTGCTCATCTGTTGTTATCCTTTAAGTCTTAATATAAGTGCTACCTCCCCAGAGAGACCTTTTCTTCCTCTATCTGAAACTGTAAATCCTACATCACATTTCATTACACTTCTGCCTGTATTTTTCTCCACAGCACTTACATAGCATTCTATAGGCTTACTTATTTTTCTTAATTTTGCATTTTCCTATTTACTATCATATAAGCTCCATGATGGCCAATTATTTTTGTAATTTTAAAATTTATTGTAGTATCTACCATAAACATCTGTTGCATAAATGAATGAATGAGTATTCCAGAAACTCTAGAGTTCTAGAGGGTTCCTTTATTCTCCACTGCCTCCCTGAGAATGTCACACCCATAAGTTATACAGAGAATATGGCACCACTACATTTAAACTATGAGTTATTGTTTACAGCAAAATTTCCTCATAAAGTATTCTATTTAAAGCATGAATTGTTAGTACCAGTAAGCTGTTATTTTCTGTTAGTTTTTTATACATATTTAGAAACAGAGTGGCCTATATTTTATATACAAGTTCTACTGTGATGATTTAAAACTGGCTAGAATATTTAGCTAAAAGGATTGTTTGTGATGCTGTTAGAGTAGTATACATTGTTCAAATTATGAAAGATTCGAACATTAAGAAAACACACGGTTTGGGAAAGTATATGTGACTAAAGACATGCTGACATACAAGGGGTCACAGAGTTGGAAGATACCAAAAGCATAGTCCCAGATAAGATGTCACTGGAAGAGGATTTATAGTCATATTAAACTTATATAAACAAAGTAATGGTGCAAAGTGGGGTGGTGCAAAGAACATCTTTGGGTGGTGGGAGAAGCACAACAACTGTGAGTCAATTAACCCAGTGTTGTCCTGTTAGAGCAGAAAGAAAAACCAAGACAGACTCTACTGACCCCCGCCAACAGAGAGAGCATTTAAACCAGCCCAAGCCAGATGGGAATCCCCAATCCCAGGGGTCAGAACTTGAGTTCCTGCAAACCTAGACACCAATGGCTAATGTGCTCTGATTCTCTAAGTAAACTTGAAAGACAGTCTAGGCCATAAGGACTGCAACTCTTAGGTGCATCCTACTGCAGAAATCGGCCTACAGACAGTGAAATAAGGAGGCATGCAACCTACTGAGACACCAGCTGGAGAGGTTAAGGGAATGCTGGCATCAGCCCTCCCCTAAACTCAGGCTGCACAGTTTGTGGCTCCAGAAGAGACTCCTTTCTGCTTGAGGAGAGGAGACAGAAGAGTGGGAAATACTTTGTCTTACATCTAGTATACCAGCTCAGCTACAGTCGAAGAGAGCACAGTTCAGCGTCATGAGACCCATGTTGCAGGCCCTAACAACATTTATTTTTCTTTCTTCTTCTTTTTTTTTTTTTTTTTTTTTTTTTTTTTTTTTTTTTTTAATAGAGGGAGTCTCGCTCTGTCGCCCAGGCTGCAGCGTGCAGTGGCGCGATCTTGGCTCACTGCAAGCTCCGCCTCCTGGGTTCACGCCATTCTCTTGCCTCAGCCTCCCTCCAGACAACATTTCTAAACACACCCTGGGTCATAAGAGAACCCACTGCCTGGAGGGGAAGGACCTAGTCCTGGCAGCATTCATCACTTGCTAGCTGAAGAGCCCTTGGGTGCTGAATAAACAGCAGTGATACCCATGTACAACGTCAAGGGCCTTGGATGAGCCTTGAGATTTCCTGGCTTCAGGTGAGACTGTATATTACCAGCTGTGGGGGCAGTGGAGTGAAAGTCTTTATGCTTGGGAAAAGCAGAGGGGAAAGTTAAGGGGACATTGCCTTGCACCTTAGGTACCAGCATGGCCACAGAGTGGCAGAGCACCAAATAGGCTCTTGGGGTACCAGACTCCAGGACTTGACTCTTGGGTGGCATTTTTGGACCTTCCCTGGGCCATAGAGGAGCCCACTGCTCTGAAGGGTGAGTCCTAACACAGACAGCATTCCCCACAGGCTGATTTAAGAGTCCTTGGGCCTTAAGGAAAAAATGGCATAGTCTGGCAATACTCTTTGTGACTTGTGTTGGTGGTGGCTATGGGTGAGGCTCCTCTGTCTTTGCAAAGGAGAGGGTAGAGTGGGGCATACTGCACACTGTGGCTTGAACCCCAGCACAGCCAAAGAACAATGAAATACACTTTGGGAGGCCGAGGCGGGTGGATCATGAGGTCAGGAGATCGAGACCATCCTGGCTAACAAGGTGAAACCCCGTCTCTACTAAAAATACAAAAAATTAGCCGGGCGCGGTGGTGGGTGCCTGTAGTCCCAGCTACTGGGGAGGCTGAGGCAGGAGAATGGCGTGAACCCGGGAAGCGGAGCTTGCAGTGAGCCGAGATTGCGCCACTGCAGTCCTCAGTCCGGCCTGGGCGACAGAGCGAGACTCCGTCTCAAAAAAAAAACAATGAAATACCAGGTAGACTTCTAAGGTTTTTGACTCTAGTACCTGAATCCTGTATGGTACCTCTAGACCTACCTGGGGTCTGGGAGAAGTCGCCACCCTGAAAAAAGAGCACAAACTTGGCTAGACTTGCCACCAGCTGATTGTAGAACCCCATGGCCTTGAGAAAACATAGGCAGTAGCCACAAGTGCCTACAGCAGGCCTTGGGTGAGACTCAGCGCTGTGCTAGCTTCAGCTCTGATTCAGTGCAGTCATAGTGGTGGTGGCCACTATGTTGACCTCCAGTCCACTGCACCTCCAGTTCCACAGGTCTTAGAACAGAGAGAGAATTTGTTTGCTTGGGAGAAAGTAAAGGAAGAGAACAAGAATCTCTCCCTGGTAATCCAGATAATTCTCCCAGATCTTGTCTAAGATCATCAAGGCATTACCTCTATGAGTCTGCAAGAACAACAGCATCACTGGGCTTGACGTGTCTCTTAAAGCAGATACAATTTAGATCACAATACCTAAGTCCCTTCAAGTATCTGGAAAGCCTTCCCTAGAAGAATGGGTACAAATAATCTCAGACTATGCAGGCTACAATAAATACCTACCTAACTCTTCAGGACCCAGGGAACATCTACTAGCTTCTACACCATCACAGAAAGCATGACCTTAGCAAATGAACTAAATAATGCACTGTGGACCAATCCTGGAAAAATAGAGGTAAGTGAACTTTCAGACAGAGAATTCAAAATCTGTGTTAAGAAAACTAAAAGAAATTCAAGATAACACAGAAGAAATTCAGAATTCTATTAGATTAATTTAACAAAGAGATTGAAATAATTGAAAAGAAGCAAGTAGAAATTCTGGAGCTATACAATTCAGTTGACATGCTGAAGAATGCAACAGAGTCTCATAATAGCAGAAGAAAGAATTAGTGAACTTAAAGACAGGATATTTGAAAATATACAATAACAGGGGACAAAAGAAGAAATAATAAAAACAATAAAGCATGCCTATAGCATATAGAAAATAGCCTCAAAAAGGCAAATCTAAGTGTTAAAGGACAGATAAAGAAAGAGATTGGGGTAGAAAGTTTATTCAAAGTGGGCAGTAACAGAGAATTTACCAAACATAGAGAAAGATAGCAATATCCACATAAAAGAAGGTTACAGAATACCAAACAAAAGACTACCTTGAGGTGTTTGATAATTAAACTCCCCCCAAAAAATCAAGGATAAATAAAAGATCCTGAAGCAGGAAAAGAAAAAAAAATAATATACAATGGAGGCCCAACATGTCTGGCAGCAGACTTTTCAGTGGAAACCTTATAGGCCAGGAGAGAGTGACGTGACACATTTAAAGTGCTGAAGGAACAAAACTTTTTCTCCTAGAATAGAATACCTGACCAAAAAAAAGAAATCTTTCAATCATGAAGAATAAATGAAGACTTTCCAAGACAAACAAAAGCTGAGGGATTTCATCAACACTAGACCTGTCCTATAAGAAATGCTAAAGTGAGTACTGAAGTAAAAGGACAGAAAGAAAAGGACATTAATGGGCGACTAAGTAATCATGTAAAGGTACAAAAATCACAGGTAAGCACACGGAAAAACATAGAATATCATAACACTGTAACTGTGGAGTGTAAACTACTCTTATAATAATTACAAAGACCAAATGATGAACTCATCAAAAATAATACTACAGGAACTTTTCAAGACATGGACACTACAATAAGATATAAACAGAAACAACAAAAAGTTAAAAAGCAAGAAGGCAAACTTAAGTGTTATTGTTTTTATTAGTTTTCTTTTCATTTGTTTGTTTGTTTATGCAAATAGTGTTATGTTGTCATCGGGTCAAAATAATGTGCTACACGATAGTATTTTCAATCCCTCATGGTAATTTCAAAGCAAAAGACATACAATGAGACACAAAAGGTGAAAAGCAAGAAAGTAAATCACATCACCAGAGAAAATCGCCTTCACTGAAAGGGCGACAGGAAGGAAAGAAAAAAGGAAGAAAACACTACAAAACAACCAGAAAGCAAATAACGAAATAACCAGAGTAAGTCCTTACTTATCAATAATAACATTGAATATAAGTGGACTGAATTCACCAATAAAAATATAGAATGGCTGTATGGATGAAAAAATAAGACCTATTAATCTATTCACTAGAAAAACATGCACCCACACACACACTTCACTTATAAAGACATACATAGACTAAAAATAATGGGATGAGAGAATACATTCCATGCCAATGAAAACCAAAACAGAATATCAATAGCTATACTTATATCAGAAAAATTAGACTTCAAGATAACTATAAGAGACAAAGAAGATAATTATCTAATGATAAAGGAGTCAACTCAGCAAGAGGTTATAACAATTTTAAATAGATATGCACCCAACACTGGAACACTCAGATGTATAAAGCAAATATTATTAGAGCTGCAGAGAGAGATAGGCCTTATCTCTTGATAGCTCAAGACTTCAACACCCCACTTGCAACATTAGACAGATATTCCAGACAAAGACCAACAAAGAAATATTGGACTTATTCTGCACTATTGACCAAATAGATCTAATAGATATTTACAGTACATTTCATCCAACAGCTGCAGAATATACATTCTTTTCTTTAGCATATGGATCATTCTCAAGGATAGACTATATGTTAGGTCACAAAACAAGTCTTAAAACATTCAAAAAATTGAAATACTGTTAAGCATCTTCTCTGACAACAATGAATAAAACTAGCAATCAGTAACAAGAGAAATGTTGGGAAAAATACAAACAAACACATGGAAATTAAACATTATTCTTCTGAATGACCAGTGGGTCAATGAAGAGATTAAGAAAACAAAAAATTATTGAAACAAATGATAATGAAAACACAACACACCAAAACTTATGGAATACAGCAAAAGCAGTACTCAGAAAAAGTTTATGGTACTAAATGCCTACATCAAAAAAGTGAAAGAACTTCAAATAAATAATATAACAACACAACTTAAATGGAAAAACAAGAGCAAATCAAACTCAAAATTAATAGAAGAAAGGAAATAAAAAATTCAGAGCGGAAATAAATGAAATTGAAATGAAGAATACAATACAAATGGTCAATGAAACAAAAAGTTTTTTTGAAAAGTTAAACAAAATTAACATTCATTTAGCCAGACTAAGAAAATGACAGAGAAAATACAAATAAATAAAATCAGAAATGAAAAAGGAGACATTGCAACTGATACTGCAGAAATTCAAATGATCATTATTAGTGGCTACTATATGTTAATAAATTGGAAAATCTAGAAGAAATTGAAAAATTCCTAGATACATATAACCTATACAGATTAAACTAAGAAGAAATGAAAAACCTGAAGAGACCAATAAGAAGTAACAAGATTGAAGCTATAATAAAAAGTTTCCTAGTAAAAATAGAAAAAAAAAAAGTCTGGGAGCTGATAGTTTCCCTGGAATTCTACCAAACATTTAAAGTAGAACTAATACCAATGCTACTCAAACTATTCTAAAACATAGAGGAGGAAGGCATGTTTTCAACCTCATTCTACAAGGCCCTGATACAAAAATAAATAAATAAATAAAGACAAAAACACATCAAAAAAAAAAAAAAAAAGAAAGAAACAAAGAACTACAGGTCTATAACTCTGAGGAATATTGATGCAAAAGTGCTCAACAAAATACCAGCAAACTGAATGCAACAAAAAATACTTTAGAAAGATCATTCATCATGACCAAGTGAGATTTATTACTGGGATGCAAGGATGATTCAACGTATGCAAATCAATTAATGTGATACATCATATCAACAGAATGAGGACAAAAACCATAAGATAATTTAAATTGATGCTGAAAAAGCACTTAATAAAATTCAGAATTATTTTATGATACAATTCCTCAAAAACTTGGAGATAGAATGAGCATACCTCAACATAATAAAAGCCATATTCAACAAATACACAGTTATTATCTCACTGAATGGGGAAAAAAAGGCTTTCCTTTAAGATCTGCACCATGACAATAATGCACAGTGTCACAACTGTTATTCAACATAGTACTGGAAGTTCTAGCTAGAGCTATCAGACATAAGAAAGAAATAAAAGGCATCAAAATTGGAAAGGAAGAAGTCAAATAATCCTTGTATGCAGATGATATGATCTTATATTTGGAAAAACTTAAGGTCTCCACTAGAAAACTGTTAGAATAGATAGACAAATTCACTAAAGCTGCAGAATACAAAATCAACATACAAAAGTCAGTAGCATTTTTGTATGCTAACAGTGAATAATCTAAAAAAGAAGTCAAAATGTAATCTTATTTACAATAGCCACAAATAAAATAAATACCTATGAATTAACAAAATAAGTAAAAGATCTATACAATGAAAGCTATAAAAAAAACTAATGAAAGAAATGGAAAAAGATCCTTAAAATCAAAAAAAAATTCTATGTTCTTGGATTAGAGAAATTGGTATTATTAAAATGTCCATACTACCCAAAGCAATGCAAAGATTCAATTTACTCCCTATCAAAATACCAATGGCTTTCTTCACAGAAATATAAAAAAAACCCACTAAATTTATATAGAACTACAAAAGATCCAAAATAGCTAAAGTTATCCTAAGCAAAAAGAGAAAAACTGGAGGAATCACATTACCAGATTTCAAATTATAGTACAGAGCTATAGTAACCAAAACAGTATGGCACTGGCATAAAAACAGACACACAGAAAGAAATCCATACAGTAAACTCTTTATTTTTTTTTTGTGATGGAGTTTTACTTTTGTTGCCCAAGCTAGAGTGCAATGGTGCGATCTTGGCTCACTGCAACCTCTGCCTTCCCAGTTCAAGTGATTCTCCTGCCTCAGCCTCCTGAGTAGCTGGGAGTGCAGACACCCACCACCATGCCCAGCTAATTTTCTATGTTTAGTAGAGATGGGGTTTCGCCATATTGGCCAGGCTGGTCTCGAAGTCCTGACCTCAGGTGATTCCTCTTGGCCTTCCAAATTGTTGGGACTACAGGCATGAGCCACTATCCCTGGCCCGGTGAACTCATTTTTAACAAAGGTACCACAAGCATACATTGGTGAAAATGTAATCTTTTCAATAAATGATACTGGGAAAACTAGATATTCACATGCAGAACACTGAAACAGACCTGTATCTCTTACCATATACCAAAGTCAAATAAAAATGGATTAGAGGCTTAAAACTAAGTTCTCAAAGTCTGAAAGTACCACAAGAAAATGGGAAAAATCTCTAGGACATTGGTCTGGAAAAAAAGAATTATTGTGAAGTAACCCACAAGCACAGGCAAACACAGCAAAAATGGACAAATGAGATCACATCAAATTAAAAATCTGCACAGCAAAGAAAACTGTCAACAATGTGAACAGACAGTCCCCAAAACGGGAGAAAATATTGGCAAACTACCCAACAGACAAGGGATTAATCACCAGAATATGTAAAGAGTTCAAACAACTTTATAGGGAAAAAATCTGAAAAATTGATTACAAATGTGCAAAAGACTTTAATAGACATCGTCCAAAGGAAGACATACAATGGCAAACAGGTATATGAAAAGGTGCTCACCATCATTAATCATCAAATTAATACAGATCAAAACTACAATGAGCTATCCTCTCATCCCAGCTAAAATGGCTTATATCCAAAAGACAGGCATTAACAAATGGTGGTGAGGATGTGAAGAAAAGGGAATCCTGTACACTCTTGGTGGGAATGTAACTTAGTATTAGCACTATGGAGAACAGTCTGGATGTTCTTTAAAAAACTAAAAATAGAGCTAACATATAATCCAGGAATCCCACTGCTGCATATATTTACAAAATAAAGGAACTCAGTATATCTTAGATATATCTACACTTTTTTATGTTTGTTGCAGCATATTTCACAATAGTAAGATTTGCAAACAACATAATTGTCCATCTGGAGATGAGTAGATAAAGAAAATGTGGTACTTATACACAATGGAGTGCTATTTGGCCATCGTAAATAGTAAGATTTTGTCATTTGCAGCAACATGAATGGATATGGAGATCATTATGATAAGTGAAATAAGCCAGGCGCAAAAAGACAAACATTATGTGCTATAACATTTTGTGGGATTTAAAAATCAAAACAATCTAATATCAAACCGTAAATAATAAAATAAACAATGAACAATAAAATATCGAAGCAATATTAGGATAGTGGAAAAGTAATTGCGTTTTTTGCCATTAAAACTAATAAAACTCTTGAAAATAGACAGTAGAGGGATGGTTAACAGATGCTGGGAAATGTAGTAGGGGTTTTGTTGGGGATGGGGAGGTGGAGATTTTTAATGGGTCCAAAAAATAATTAGAAAGAATGAATAAGACCTGCTATTTGATAGCACAACAGGGTCACTATAATCAATAATAACTTGATTGTACATTTTAAAATTATTAAAAGATTGTAATTGGATAGTTTATATCACAAAGGATAAATGCTTCAGGGGATTTCTAACCCATCCTCCACGATATGATAGTTTCACATTGTATGCCTGTTTCAAAACGTCTCATGTACCCTATAAATATAGACACCTACTAAGTACCCACAAAATTAAAAATTTAAAAATTTAAAAAATACAAGTTAGCATGATAGAGGAGTACATTGACAATAGATCTTATATTGATTAACTAAGTTATCTTCAGTAATGATATTATGGCTGCAAGAAATACATCTTGTCCTAAATGTGAAAGGACATTTTAACAACAACAAAAAAAGTAGGATCATAGAAGCATTGTAAAGATAAAACAGAGTACCTAAATTTCTGTCACTCTGCTTTCTTTAATGTTAATATACATAAACATGGTGTAGCAAATAACGTTTTTTAAATTGTTACTTTGAGCATTCTCAACATCTAAAAGTAATTTACCATTAGGAAAATTATATATCTCAACAAGAAAATAAATGTGTAAACTCTACTCATTTCAATGGTAAGCATTTGGTAATATTTAACATTAATTCCTAGTTATAATTCTTTTTAAAATTTCAGAATAGAAGAATCATTTTGCTACCTGATAAGAATATATGTTAATAAAACAACAAACTTAATTCTCAAAGAGAAAAATGCTTGATTTCCCCAAGATTATCAGGTTAAATATTGACAAATTATATATACATAGCATAATACAGTATATAATACATAATTATTATCTGAGTCTTCTGTATGAGTAGGGAAGTTATATTAATGGTGCATCCAATTTTTCAGGACTTCTTCAATGACACTTATATTGCCTATGATATGAACATTCAATAAAATTCTGTAATCATCAATTATAGCATCTGAGATATTAGACAATTTGCTAATAGAAAGGTATTACTTTCAGAAAGTTGCAATAATATATTTTTAGTACTGGAAACAATGGCAGTGTGATGGTAGCATGTAATATGGACTTCTGGGGAATAAAATTACAGAGATTTAAATTGGAATGTCAGGAAATCGGTATAATAATTTCAAGCAATTATGTTATTTTTCTCTAGAATTAAAAAAAGGTCATAGTCATTATTTAAAAATGATAGTCTTAGTTACAATGAACACTTTTAACCATAAATTAGAAGAGTAGGGTTTTTATGAAAACCACATGTGAAAGGACAACTATTCTATATACATAATTCTTTTCATCCCTACTCGTGCAGAGGAACATTGCCACACAAACATTATACCAACAAATTCACAATCAGTTTAGTGATCATTCTTAGTTTTCTAAATTGTCAAATAAATAAAAATACTGCCTACTTTAATGGGTTGTTTAGAGGACAAAATTAATTTAATCCTTGATACATCGGTATGCAAAGAGCCTGGAGGTAAATGGAGTATATATTATGCTCTTGATAAATATTAGGTAGTATTACTCTATAACAAATATACCAGATTTTGACATACTCATTAAACTTCTGGGTACTTATACAAATTACATATATTTTTTCTATTTTAAAGTAATACCCTGCTACTAATTTATTCAAACATCTGAAAAAATTAGTCAGATAAATAATAAAAATTGCTTAGATAATAGTAGAAATTGAGCAGAATAATCTTATTGTTCACAATTTTTCTGTGTAATTTCTCATTTTATATTTGGAGTTTAGGCTTCACAGGTGAATTTAATTTTTATCTTAACCATTTGGTCTTGGAGCAATTAAGATTTTTAATTTGTAATACAAGAATACTTTTGAGACATTAATGGTACTTCTTCTATTTATTGTGGTTCATAAGAAAAGTGATTTTGAGGCAGTACTTGGATAAAAGCTAAGACAAATGATACCTTTTGCCTTTAAATTAATTATTGTAATTACTTTTACATGTAAATACTAACTATTTTTGCACCTTTAATTTATTATCATGGGTTGCTGGTGTAGAATCACAACACCTACAGAGGCTAATTTATTTTTCAAGAAACTAAGGAACACTTTATTTTTAAATATATAAGCAAGCTCATGTGGGACAAAACAGTAAAAATAAAATAAAATAATTTTTTTTTTCAATAACAGAAGTCCAATATGTGCACTTAATTTTAGGAATATGCTTTGTATTTAGTGTTTGAATGAGAACAATATTATACATGATCATAAATAAAAATAGTTTTCTATGATAAATACATGATATCCCATACTTATTATTGAATAATTCACGTTGTGTTTGGCTAAATAGCTGTAACTACAACATTATTTAATCATATATTTATTTTATACAAAAAGTAACATTTTGTTAATTCTTTATAGGATATATTTTTATGAAATCCTTATATCAAAGAATGTAGCAAATATTCTGGCAATGTTGCATGACAACTGATAACTATCAGTTTATTTTCAGTATGTAATAGAGAAAAAAGAAAGTCTTTAGAAAATTGTCTTGTCTTTGAATGTTATATTAAAATTACACACTCTCAGATAAAGTATCCATTTTGAACCATCTTAACCAAAATGCCTTAAGAAAGCACATAGAAAAAAATGCAAAAGCAATGGGCAATTCTCAAGTCAAAGATGCCAACTTATAATATCATTTTTATTTCACTGTTTATTATTTTAAATGTTAGTTGCCAGGGTATTGAAATTGTGGCACATTTTGCAGATATTCTGAATGGGCTTTAGCTGTCTAGAAATATCCATGATAGGTATGCATTTGTCAATATGTGAATATAATTTAGTATGTGTTTCACTAATATAGTTTGTATATACTTATTTTTATATTTAATTATTATTTTATTATCCAATATGTATTTAATAAATAGCTATCAAATCTGTTAATTAGATATGCATTATACCACATTTAAATAATCATAAACTTCCAGTACTTTAAACTTAAGATATAGCAAAATCAGTGTTATTTCTTTAACTCATAAGTATGAAACATTATTATTAAGCTATGATATTTTACTGAAATATTTCACTGTGAATCTATTTTACAATGATAAATTTCTGATATAAGTACATGAGATGACACTGCAAAATATGGCATATTCTTTCTCTGACCATCACAGTTTTTTTTTTTTTGAGGGGAAAAATGTGTTTTATCGACTAAGAGAAAATAGTATTAGTAGAGAAGAGTTAATGAACATGTTTGCAGCAAAAAGTCTTCTTGGCTATAACATATATACAAAGATAATACTTTTTTATCTATACACTCAAGTGTGCAGGAGTATCAACTGTCTTTGTTTTGCTGTAATTTATATCGTGACTTTCCAGTCCACCAGTGACTATAACTTAATGCTGGCCAACGCTATAAAATTTTGAGCAAGAAATTCAGACATTCATTTTCTCTGAAAATTAAAGGTTTATTTTGTCAATTAATGGTTTATTTTTTCTTAACTGGCATACATTTAAATCTTAACTGGCCACCTTTCATTATCGTCCCTGT
This sequence comes from Homo sapiens, assembly GCF_000001405.40. Lineage (NCBI taxonomy): Eukaryota > Metazoa > Chordata > Mammalia > Primates > Hominidae > Homo > Homo sapiens. Next base: position 105,314,251 of record NC_000001.11, on the reverse strand, counting down.
CTGGCATTCCCTGAGGTGAAGATGACATTGTTTCTTAGTTGTAATCACACTCCACATTTGCATTTGATCAAATGTTGATGCTACTATTTGATTTCTGGTCAAACAATTAATGATGATTACAGCTACACTCCTTATCCTAGTCAATACTTGCTTCCAAGTACATTAATCAAGATGAATCTATTCATGCCACTATTTGACTCGTGCAAACACATTTGACTCCTCTCTTACTATTCTATGCTGTATAAGGATCTTGTTAGTTGTTTGAAAGAGATATGCCAAAATACCATGAATATAGATACAGAAAACAAGAAGTTAAAAAAATTGATATAAAATATTCCAATATTATAGTTCAGAAAATTAGAGAGGTTACTGGAAGTTTGTGGAAGGGTAGAAATAGGTACTAATTACCCAGAAGGGTGGGCAAGCTAATGAGTACATGTGCTAGGGGAGTGCAGTATGATTGGTAGGCAGCATTAAAGCTTTACTTAACATTATTCTTTATTTATGATAAGTTCAGTCAGCATGGTTGTGAGGTATTTCCTTCCTCGTTGCACTGTTTAAGTGCGGAGCTAGAATAAAGTTAATTTTTAATATAACTATTGTTTATACATAATTCTTTTATGTATTTTATTGATTACATTTTGCCAAGCAATTACACCAGAGAAAGTGAGAGAAAAAAGTTGACCTCTGAAGAAAGAAGGCCTTATAATGATTGCTTCTGGAGTTCACATGACTGAGGTTCTTACGGTAGAGGCTACTTTGCTCAATTCTGTAATCTCCAGATATATAATAAAAGAGACTACAGAGTCATGGTTCTTTCTTTATTTGTAGTATTAACATGTCTTCAAATCACTACTTCACTGAAAAATTCAGTAGGCCATACTCATATCCACGTCTCAGAGAGTTGAAGTTACATTTCCATTCTATACAACCACATGCAATTATTATAACATCTTGACTGTGAGTGGATTGTTCCAATACTTTTCCCAATTTCTTTTTCTTTCTTTCTTTGGAGATGGGGGTCTCTGTTTGTTGCCTAGACTAGTCTTGAACTCCCAGGCTTAAGCAATCCTCCTGCCTCAGCCTCCCCACCTGCTGGGATTACAGGCATGAGCCAGCACACCTGGCCAACAATTTCTGATAAATATAATTAGTATATAAGCAAAATGAGAAATTCACATGATCTTCTGTGTTCTATATTTAGTGTTTTAGAAAATAAGGTAAAACAGTAATCAGAATGCTTACTTTTAAATAGTATAATTACATTAATGTAAATTTTAGATTGATTTGATCATCCTTTCCAATTAGATAGATTTGAGTAGGTAATTTGTATTCCATTTCATTTCTCCAATCGACACCCACATTTTAAATGTAGTTTTATTTGATCCTGTACAATGGATCCTCTACTCCTATAGAGTTAGTGAGTTTGACACTTTTCTATGTAATAATAAATAAAATGTATCATAACTGATTTAATCACTACCATAGTTCTTTGACATTATTTCTCTCATCCTATCATTTGCTGATACTGTCTAAAGCCTTGTGACTCTCCCTCTCTGTATTGAGTTATTCTCCTCTATTCTTTCACTCCCCCAACGTAAGAAAATTGGGTCTTTAAGTATGTCTATAACTCCTCTAAACTAAATTTGGAAGTTTTTATTAAATTTATATAGAATTAAAAATTAGTAAATTGTATCCACTATACACTTCCAAATACCTTCTGGAATGTTGTCTTTATAGAAAAAGAACTAGAAATTAAACACATATATCATTCTATGCAAAAAGAGAAGATTAACACTAAACTGAATACTTTATTGACCAAAAAACAAAGTTTACTTGTCAGTTGAAAATGAGGCCAGTGTGGCATCCACATTACCACATACCCACCTTTAACATCTTAAGCACCAGTTCTATAGGAAGAGCCTGCAAATTTAAAAGTAGAAATAGGCAAATGAGACATCATTTAATTCCTGATCTTTGCAATCTTTAACATGGACCCCTATTCCCATTAGGGACCTTTGATGATTGAACAACACTATTGTACCATCATGTTCTGCATGGCCTATGATGCACATGATACTATAAAAATGAGATTTTTAAGTACTATAAATGGGCAATCGGATAAAAAGTAAAGCAAAATGCATAGTTTTTATTTACTTATCACGTTTTAGGCATCTTCTTATGTATATTATGCTTTATTTAAATATTTTAAAGTTAATCAGAATGTTTTATCCATTTTCACTAGATTTAAAATAGTGTTATAGACATAGCAACAATACAGATATATATCAAAATGATAATCCAATGATGAAGTATTTAAATAAAACATGGCGATCTTAACTAAACTTCTTACTGAAATACTAAAGTGTATAGATCAAAATAATGTGTTTACTTACTGTGAATGGAAACATGTTCTAACAGCTCCATTCCACAAAGCACCAATGTAACTGTTTCTAATAAATTTACCCTTCTTTACCTTCCTGACACTTAATGTATTATTCTTTGTCAGGGTCCAAAGAGATACATATAAATTAAGTATAAAGACATTGATACTTTCTTTAATATTCTCTATTTCTCTTTCTCTTCACAGCAATGTAACCACTGTATAAGTAAGAACTTGGTCTAGGTAAGAACTTTCCCTTTCTTGTTGAAAATAGTGTCTGACACATTGGAGGCAATACATTTATTTTAAATATAAAAGAAGTGAGAAGAAATAAATCATTATCTAATAGCAAATATTTACTTTACTATATGCTAGGAGATATACTAGTGTATTTACACAAAATTCCATTTAATTTTTACAGTAACTCTGATAGCTAGAGACTATGATTATAATTTTCATTCTATAAATATGGAAACTGAGGTTAGAAAATAAGTGCCAGAATTGTGGAATTTCATAAGCTTTGTGTTTTATAAGGTTTATAATTCATCTAACTTCTAGTTATATCTGAAATCAATAATTTATTACTATTAAATTTGCCTATCTAGTTAAATAATACACATTCAAAAATTGGTGTTATATTCTACTTCCTTTTTAACTCTTGGAGAAATTTAAACAAGGATATATACTTCATAAAATTCTAAAATATTTATTATTTTTGGTTATGCACATGAGACACCCAATGCCAAAATAATAAGCAAGATCATATAGATATGTATAGCTTTCTGATATTAAAAATGTGAAGTTTTTTTGGAGTAACGATCTACCTTACATAAAAAAGGTAATAATAATCTGTAATTTATCAAAAGTAAATATGCCCTTTATTCAACAATTAAATTTTTATATATAAGATAAATCTACATGGATAAATAGTGTGTGTATGTGATCAGGTCTGGTGACTCACGCTTGTAATCCTAGCACATTGGAAGGCCAAGGCAGGTGGATCAACTTAGGTCAGGAATTCGAGACCAGCCTGGCCAACATGGTGAAAAACCCGTCTCTACTAAAAAAATGAAAATTAACCAGGCTTGGTGGCAGGCACTTATAATCCCAGCTCTGCGGAGGCTGAGACAGTAGAATCACTTGAACCCGAGAGGTGGAGGTTGCAGTGAGCCAAGATCGGGCCATTGAACCCCAGCATGGGTGATGAGATGTAAATCTTCATCTAAAAAAAAAAGTATGTACATGTTAATTTTTATTATGTTTTTCAATAAAATATTCTATCTTTATATTTTATTCTTATAATATTTCTGTTGTTTTAATCAATTCCCCTGAATATCAGTTTTGCATAATGTGTTATATATTTAAGCTTAAAAGAGCTAAGTAACAAAAGGCAACCTCCATGGTAAAATTTTTAAATGTTAAAAGCCCATCACTTTGAAATCAGTTCAGATTTATCATCATTTATAATTCATTACAACTCCTTTTAAATACTGCTTCAAGCATCTCCTAGGTATTTATATTGGAGAAAGATAAAACACATAGATGCACGTTGCTGCCTAATAAATCTCTTCCATGCTTTTCACTTGCAGTGACAGAATAACCTGACCTTGCAGAAGGGCTGTCATCTGGTGTCTTTATGGAGATGTGGGAGCAGCCCCAACAAGCAAAAGCTAAAGTCTAGATGATCTAGAACTCTCTTACCATTGCTTAATCTTCTTAATATACTAAGACAAATCCTTTTCTTCATTTTTATATTAACATATTTCAATTTTATAACCCAGTTTTTTAACTCTTAAATAGAGCTGTAAAGGATATAGGAAAAATGCTAGGCAAGCACACTATTAACGGAGAACTCCCTAGCTTAAAAAAGCCACAGGAAAGCTGATTTTAAATCAACCCCAAATTACAGGAGGGAAAGATTAGGCTGGCAAGAACAAACCCATAAAACTATAAAGGATGAGGCAATAAAAGTAAAGCAGTAAGATGAAAAGTAATGTTTATTAATTGTCTAGTGACTTTTCTTCCTATTGGGTCTCATCTCTTCGTTGAAAGGAGTCTAAATAAAAATCATAGCATCTGCTTTTTTTTTTTTCTTCTGCAGATGCATCAGTGGTGTCATATATTTGCAGCTGCCTTCTTGAATCACAGGTAATTGTGTATCTGGATTCTCATTTACAACAAGCACGGTCTTTGAAGAAAAAGAGACATTTATTCATCAGTGCTTTTTACAGGCAAAGCCATGATTTTATTTGCCGAGGGTTTAACAAAAAACTTAAACACACTTAGCGGATTGTTCATTCTATTCAAGAAAAAAGAAGTCTCAAATATCATAGTCTCAATGGCAACTTTTTTTTAATTACCTAGAATGATTTCCTGCTATTGCTAATATGGCCAAAACATGCATTAAAAAAAAAAAACTGTCTCAGTACATTTTCAAACTTCATCCACTAAAACTCCTACCTGTTGTTTTAAAATTTTGCTCAGCTTAATAGTTCCAAGAGGTAATAAGGCTACCTTAAGGCTGCCTTACTGAATTTTCCAGGAGGTGAACGAAAGGGTACTTCCAAAAATTTTACTCTTAAATATTTTAGAAAAGCAGCACTAAAAAGCTTTATCATTTTAAAATATATACTCATGCATAGATTCTGTTTATAATGCCTTTCTAAAATTTGTGCTGTCAAAAACTCTTGGCAACTTATCTACTCTACGAGTGCTCCATGATTGCTTCAATGCTGTCATACACATTTTTAATATCATTTGCTATTAAATAAGGAATAGCTATTCATTTTACACATGGAAGAAAAAACAAAAATAGAAATACTTTTCAAAATAATATTTCAGATAGTACTACACAATCTAAATTGATCTAACCAGAAGGAGAATATTTTATTCCAACAAGAAGAGCTAACTATCCTAAATATATATGCACCCAATATAGGAGCACCCAGATTCATAAAGCAAGTCCTTAGAGACCTACCAAGAGACTTAGACTCCCACACAATAACGATGGGAGACTTTAACACCCCACTGTCAACATTAGACAGATCAACGAGACAGAAACTTAACAAGGATATCCAGGAATTGAACTCAGCTCTGCACCAAGCGGACCTAATAGACATCTACAGAACTCTCCACCCCAAATCAACAGAATATACATTCTTCTCAGCACCACACCACACTTGTTCCAAAACTGACCACAAAGTTGGAAGTAAAGCACTCCTCAGCAAATGTAAAAGAACAGAAATTATAACAAACTGTCTTTCATACCACAGTGCAATCAAACTAGAACTCAGGACTAAGAAACTCACTCAAAACTGCTCAACTACATGGAAACTGAACAACCTGCTCCTGAATGACTACTGGGTACATAACGAAATGAAGGCAGAAATAAAGATGTTCATTGAAACCAACGAGAACAAAGACACAACATACCAGAATCTCTGGGACACATTTAAAGCAGTGTGTAGAGGGAAATTTATAGCACTAAATGCCCACAAGAGAAAGCAGGAAAGATCTAAAATTGACACCCTAACATCACAATTAAAAGAACTAGAGAAGCAAGAGCAAACACATTCAAAAGCTAGCAGAAGGCAAGAAATAACTAAGATCAGAGCAGAACTGAAGGAGATAGAAACACAAAAAACCCTTCAAAAAATCAATGAATCCAGGAGCTGGTTTTTTGAAAAGATCAACAAAATTGATACACCGCTAGCAAGACTAATAAAGAAAAGAGAGAAGAATCAAATAGACGCAATAAAATATGATAAAGGGGATATCATCACTGATCCCACAGAAATACAAACTACCATCAGAGAATACTATAAACACCTCTACGCAAATAAACTAGAAAATCTAGAAGAAATGGATAAATTCCTCGACACATACATTCTCCCAATACTAAACCAGGAAGAAGTTGAATCTCTGAATAGACCAATAACAGGCTCTAAAATTGAGGCAATAACAAATAGCTTACCAATCAAAAAAAGTCCAGGACCAGACGGATTCACAGCTGAATTCTTCCAGAGGTACAAGGAGGAGCTGGTACCATTCCTTCTGAAACTATTCTAATGAATAGAAAAAGAGGAAATCCTCCCTAACTCATTTTATGAGGCCAGCATCATCCTGATACTGAAACCTGGCAGAGACACAACAAAAAAAGAGAATTTTAAACCAATATCCCAATGAACATTGATGCAAAAATCCTCAATAAAATACTGGCAAACCGAATCCAGCAGCACATCAAAAAGCTTATCCACCATGATCAAGTGGGCTTCATCCCTGGGATGCAAGGCTGGTTCAACATACACAAATCAATAAACATAATCCAGCATATAAACAGAACCAAAGAAAAAAAACACATGATTATCTCAATAGATGCAGAAAAGGCCTTTGACAAAATTCAACAGCCCTTCATGCAAAAAACTCTCAATAAATTAGGTATTGATGGGACGTATCTCAAAATAATAAGAGCTATTTATGGCAAACCCACAGCCAATATCATACTGAATGGACAAAAACTGGAAGCATTCCATATGAAAACTGGCACAAGACAGGGATGCCCTCTCTCACCACTCCCATTCAACTCAGTGTTGGAATTTCTGACAAGGGCAATCAGGCAGGAGAAAGAAATAAAGGGTATTCAATTAGGAAAAGAGGAAGTCAAATTGTCCCTGTTTGCAGATGACATGATTGTATATCTAGAAAACCCCATCATCTCAGCCCAAAATCTCCTTAAGCTGATAAGCAACTTCAGCAAAGTCTCAGGATACAAAATCAAAGCGCAAAAATCACAAGCATTCTTATACACCAATAACAGACAAACAGAGAGCCAAATCATGAGTGAACTCCCATTCACAATTGCTTCAAAAAGAATAAAATACCTAGGAATCCAACATACAAGGGATGTGAAGGACCTCTTCAAGGAGAACTACAAACCACTGCTCAAGGAAATAAAAGAGGATACAACCAAATGGAAGAACACTCCATGCTCATGGATAGGAAGAATCAATATTGTGAAAATGGCCATACTGCCCAAGGTAATTTATAGATTCAATGCCATCCCCATCAAGCTACCAATGACTTTCTTCACAGAATTGGAAAAAACTACTTTAAAGTTCATATGGAACCAAAAAAGAGCCTGCATTGCCAAGTCAGTCCTAAACCAAAAGAACAAAGCTGGAGGCATCAGGCTACCTGACTTCAAACTATACTACAAGGCTGCAGAAACCAAAACATCATGGTACTGGTACCAAAACAGAGATATAGACCAATAGAAGAGAACAGAGCCCTCAGAAATAATACCACACATCTACAACTATCAGATCTTTGACAAACCTGAGAAAAACAAGCAGTGGGGAAAGGATTCCCTATTCAACAAATGGTGCTGGGAAAACTGGCTAGCCATATGTAGAAAGCTGAAACTGGATCCCTTCCTTACACCTTATACAAAAATTAATTCAAGATGGATTAAAGACTTAAATGTTAGACCTAAAACCATAAAAACCCTAGAAGAAAACCTAGGCAATACCATTCAGGACATAGGCATGGGCAAGGACTTCATGTCTAAAACACCAAAAGCAATGGCAACAAAAGCCAGAATTGACAAATGGGATCTAATTAAACTAAAGAGCTTCTGCACAGCAAAAGAAACTACCATCAGAGTGAACAAGCAACCTACAGAATGGGAGAAAATTTTTGCAATCTACTCATCTGACAAAGGGCTAATATCCAGAATCTACAAAGAACTCAAACAAATTTACAAGAAAAAAACAACCCCATCAACAAGTGGGCGAAGGATATGAACAGACACTTCTCAAAAGAAGATATTTATGCAGCCAACAGACACATGAAAAAATGCTCATCATCACTGGCCATCAGAGAAATGCAAATCAAAACCACAATGGGATACCATCTCACACCAGTTAGAATGGCGATCATTAAAAAGTCAGGAAACAACAAGTGCTGGAGAGTATGTGGAGAAATAGGAACACTTTTACACTGTTGGTGGGACTGTAAACTAGTTCAACCATTGTGGAAGTCAGTGTGGTGATTCCTCAGGGATCTAGAACTAGAAATACCATTTGACCCAGCCATCCCATTACTGAGTATATACCGAAAGGATTGTAAATCATACTGCTATAAAGACAGATGCACATGCATGTTTATTGCGGCACTATTCACAATAGCAAAGACTTGGAACCAACCCAAAAGACCAACAATGATAGACTGGATTAAGAAAATGTGGCACATATACACCATGGAATACTATGCAGCCATAAAAAATGATGAGTTCATGTCCTTTATAGGGACATGGATGAAGCTGGAAACCATCATTCTCAGCAAGGACAAAAAACCAAACACTGCGTGTTTTCACTCATAGGTGGGAATTGAACAATGAGAACACTTGGACACAGGAAGGGAAACATCACACCCTGGGGCCTGTTGTGAGGTGGGGGGACAGGGGAGGGATAGCATTAGGAGATATACCTAATGTAAATGACGAGTTAATGGGTGCAGCACACCAACATGGCACATGTATACATATGTAACAAACCTGCACGTTGTGCACATGCACCCTAGAACTTAAAGTATAATAAAATATGTATATTTAATATTTATATATATTAAAAAATATATATATATGTATATATAAATGGGGTCAAAAAAAGAAGAATAAAAATAAGGGGTACATTACCATCTGTTTCTGTTATGGAAATCTATCACTTAGTATTAATTTCAGCTGGAAATAATGAAGATACAAAATTACATGGGCTGAAGCAAGACAAAATATTTATATCTTGTATAAAAATCTGGAAGAAAGCAGTCCAGAGCTAGTATGATAGTACAATTTCAAAAAAGTCCCTGAAAATCCAGGCATTCTCTGGTATTCAATTGGCCATTTCCAAATTCCATGCTGCCCCACAAGTCCAAGGTAATATCTAAAGGTACAGCCATCATACTTTATCTTTGGTAGCAAGATGGAAGAGCAGAAAATAGAAAATTAAAAAGATTTTTACATCTGTTGCAGGGTCTTCACTCAAGGTGTAAAATAACCCATCCAATTTAAACTCCTATAACGAGTATTTGATCATATTTACATCAAGCTGCAGGAAGATTTTACCCTGAGTGACAGTGTATTCAGCTAAAAATGTAAGCATCACCTTCCTGTTTAAAGTTGGTGTGCCCTAGATCTTGGCTTTGTTTCCTTTTTTTGTTGAAAGGCACAGCTTAATGATCTCATACTGTCTCAAGGATACACATACTATCTATATTCCAAAAAATATTATATTTGTATCTCTAACTTAGACTTCTCTCTGGAGCACCAGCTTGCTATATCCATTTCCTACATTAAGGCTGTGCATTGTTGTCTAGTAAATATTTTAAACTCTACATATTCAGAACTAATTATGTCCATCTTTTTTTTTCCAAAACATGATTCATCTATTCTACATCTCAGTAACTTGGTCATTGAACCAAGGAACCTTTCTTTAATCTTTTCTAATTCAGGTTAAATTCTTTTTGGTCTTTCCTTCGAAATATACCCCAAATGAAATTATTTCTCATCACCTTCGTTGCTACACCTATGTCTGAGCCAGAACCATCTTTGAATTGAACTATTGCAATTGTCTTCTATCTGTTTGAACCTTGTCACTCTGCAAGCTATTCTCAACATATTAACTGAGTAGAACTTATAAATTGTAATTCTGATAATTTATCTCTTCTATTCAAAACTCCAATGTGGCTCTTCATTGCACTAATAATTAAAGCCAAATACCCTTTCTAAGCTGCCCCCTCCACTACCTCATTGACATATCTCTCTTTTACTGATTGCCTTAGGACTCCAAACACACTAACTTCCTTGCTGTTCTGACGTACCTTCAAACATTTATTCATCTGCCCCTCTGCTTGAGTTGCATGCTTTAGCCTAGTTATCCACTTGGATCTGTCATGTCTTTGCTCAGGTATTACTTCCTCAATCAGGACTGCTTTGTTTATGTTATTCAGCACTAAAACCTCATCCCCACAACACTTTAGCATTTCTTGTTAATTTTAATATTTTTTCATAACATTAATTTCTAATATACTAAATTTATTTCAATACACTATAGTATACATATGTGTGTTTGTATATATATACATATATGTATACATATATACATATACACAAACACATATATATGATAGATATATGTTATATATGATGATATACATGTTATATATATGATACATATATAATACATATATATATATATATATATAGTTTATTGTTGGTCTACTACCCTAGTAAGTTCTATAAGGGAAGAGACTTTTAAAAAATATTTTTATTACTGAATTCTAATATTGCAAGAGCAAAAATATTTCATAGTAAATATTATGTGTGCCATACATATTTGTTTTCTGAATTCATTAAATGAAAGGTTTCGTTGGTATGGAAGAGGACTAGGATTGGTAATAACTAGCCATCTCTGCTCTAAGGATCTAAATGACGCTGAATTGCTTAAAAAAATTCTCTTGGCAACATTTAACAGAAAATGTAATTGAAGTAACATATATTACTCGTTAAGTGGCACTTTTCTACATGGGAAGTTTAATTGGCCCTCATGAAAACTGCTACAGAGGCATTATTAGTTCCATATTACTGACTGAGGGGATGAGATTAAAGGAGCTAAGAATTTTGTAAAGATCACATGGTAAAATAATAAATTGGGAATTTAAATATTTTTGCAAGTATGGTTTGATTTGCAATTTTTTCTAGCTATGTGTAAAAAAGGATTTGACTCCATTTTTTTGTATGTTTACTGTTTGCTTTAAGTCCCACTGCTTCATTTCCCATTCTGCTCCACATAAGGTCAAGCTGATAAGAAAGTCTTAGTCCTCCCTTCATGACACCAGTTGTAGATTCACAATAAGCCCCTTCCTATATGCAGGAACTTGCACCTTGGGTCCCCATCCCCTAACCAAAGCAAAATTCCAATACAGTCTCCTTTATTTGCCCTCTCAAGCAATTTTTCAGACCAGTTTGAAAAACCTGTCATTTTCTCATCAAACTCTCAAAGTAGTTATGTAACTACTCAATCTATCCTTTTACTCACAATGTGTGTGTGACATCATTAGCTTCTTCATTCAAACTAAATTTGAGCTGAGAGTCCTTCTGTGTTTGCTCCTTCTATAGAATCATTCTTACGATAAGAAGGTAAAATTTCAATTTAATTATTTCTAAGAGTAAATAATCCTGAAGGAGATGGGACAAGATAACCAAATAGAGCTCTCCAGTGATTGTCCCCTCCACAGGAACATCAAAAATGACAATTATCCACAGAAGACAGCACCTTCATAAGAACCAAAAACCAGGTGAACAATCACAATACCCGATGTAAACATCATAGGAAGGAGAGTCCCCCCTGGAGGAGGCAGAGCAAGATGGTGGAATAGAAAGCTCCACTGATCATCTCACCTTCACAACCTCCATATGAACACTAAGTTAGCAATTATCTACACACACACACACACACACACACACACACACAATTTCATAAGAACCAAAAATCAGGTGAGTACTCACAATAGCTGGTTTTAATTTTATATCACTGAAAGGGGAAATAAGAGATAGAAAAAATAGTCCTGAATTGCAGAGGCCATTTTTTCTTCCTCCATGCCTAGGAGTAGCCATGTAACGCAGATAACATTTCTGGGTGCTGGGGAGGGAGAACCCAGCAATTGTGAGACATTGAATTCAGTGTTGTCTTTTTGGAGCAGAAAGAAATACCAGACCAGCCTCAGCTGACACCCACCCACAGAGGCATTTAATTCAGCCCTAGCCAGAGGGGAATCGCCAATCTGAGTGGTTCAAACTTGAGGGCCTGCAAACCTCCCAACCAAGGGCTGAATTGATCTCAGTCTCTAAGCAAACTTGAAAATCAGTCTAGGCCATAAGGACTGCAACTCTTAGGCTAGTCTTAGGCTGAACTAGGCCCAGAGACAGTGAGGTGAGACAGATGCGCGGAGGTGAGGGCGCATGTAAAAGAGGCTTCTTTCTCCTCTTGAAGAAAGGAGAGGGGAAAGTGGGGAGGACCTTGTCTTGCATCTTGGAAACCATCTCAGCCACAGCAGGACAGGGCACCGATCAGAGTCCTAAGGCCCTCATTCCAGGCTCTAGCTCCCAGGCAACATTTCGAAACACACGCTGAGCCAAAAGGGAAGCTGCTGCCTTGAAGGAAAAGACCCAGTCCTAGCAGCATCCATCACCTGCTAACTGAAGAGTACTTGGGTCCTGAATAACCAGCAGCAATACCCAGGTACTACATTGAGAGCCTTGAGTGAGCCTCTGAGATGTACTGGCTTCGGGTGAGACTCAGCCCATTAAGAGCTGTGTTGGGTACAAGACAAAATGCCCTTGTGCTTAAGAAAAGCAGAGGAAGAGTAAAAGAGACTTTGTCTTGCACCTTAGGAACCAACACTGCCACAGGGATGTAGGGCACCAAGTTGGCTCTTAGGGTTCCTGATTCAAAAAACTTGACTTTTGGATGGGATTCTGGACTGGCCATGGGCCACAGAGGAGCCCACTACCCTGAAGGTTCAGTCCCAGGCCAGGCAGCATTTACTACAAGCTGACTTAGGAGCACTTGGGCCTTAAGGGAATATTGGCTAGTAGTCTGGCAGTACTCCTTGTAGCCGGGGGTGGTGGTGGCTATGGGATGAGGCTCCTCTGCCTTTGAAAACTGGTGGGAATAGTGGAAAGAACTGTGTTTTGATGTTTGAGTGCCAGCTCAGCAGCAATACAATAGAATACCAGATAAATGTCTAAGATTTTTACTCCAGTCTCTGGATCCCAGACAACACTTCTGGGCCCACCCATGGCCTGAGGGACCCCGCTGCACTGAAGGAAAGTAAACAGACCTGATTGGCTTTGTCACTGCTCATTGTAGACACCCAGGACCTTGAGCAAATATAAGCAGTAGCCAGGGAGTGGTTATGGCAGGCTTGTGCAAGACCCATTGCTGTGCTGGCTTCAGCTCTGACCCAGTGTAGTCACAGTGGTGGTGGACACAGGGAGGTTTGTATCACTCAACCCGCATCTTTAGGTAGCTCAGAACAAAGAAAGAGACTCCATATGTTGGGTGGAAAGTAAGAGAATAGAACAAGAACCACTACCTAGTAATTCAGAGGATTCTTTTGGATCTTGTACAGTACTGTCAAGATGGTACCTCTATGAGTCTGCAAGAACCACAGTGTTACTGAGCTTTGGATGCCCTCTATAGCAGAAAGAGCTTTGATCACAACACTCAAGTCCTTTCAAATATCTAGAAAGCCTTCCCAAGAAGGATGGCTACAAATAGGCCCAGAGAATGAAGCTTACAATAAATATCTAACTCTTGATGCACAGACACAGAAGAACATCTACTAGCATCAACACCCTCCTGGAAAATATGACCTAACAAAATTAACTAAATAGGGCAGTAGGGAGGGAGCAATACTGGAGAAACAGAGATGTATGACTTTGCAGAAGAAGAATACAAAGTAGCTGTGTTGAGGAAACTCAAAGAAATTTGAGAAAACTCAGAGAAGTTCAGAATTCTATAAGATAAATTTAACAAAGAGATTGAAATAATTAAAAATAATGAAGCAGAAATTCTGGAGCTGTAAAACGCAGTTGGCATACTGAAGAATAAACAGAGTCCTTTAGTAGCAGAAGACATCAAGCAGAAGAAAGAATTAGTGAGCTTGAAGACAAGGCTATTTGAAAATAAACAGTCAAAAGTGGAGAAAGAGAAAGGGGTAAAAATTTATTCAATGGGCCAGGTGCAGTGGCTCATGCTTGTAATCCCAGCATTTTGGGAGGCTGAAGCAGGTGGATCACGTGAGGTCAGGGGTTCAAGACCCGCCTGGCCAACATGGCAAAACCCCGTCTCTACTAATAGTACAAAAAATTAGCCAGGTGTGGCGATGCAAACCTGTAATTCCAGCTACTCAGGAGGCTGAGACAAAAGAATCGCTTGAACCCTGGAGGCAGAAACCATTGAGCCAAGATCACACCATTGCACTACAGCCTGGGCAACAGAGAGAGACTCCATACCAAAAGAAAGAAAAAAATAGAAAGTTTATTCAATGGAATAATAACAGAGACCTCCCCAAACATAGGTAAAGATATAATATTAAAGAATAAGAAAGTTATAGAACACCAAGCAGATTTAATCCAGAAGACTACCAGAAGGCGTTTAATAATTAAACTCTCAAAGATCAAGGATAAAGAAAGGATCCTAAAAGCAGCAAGAAGAGATGAACCTAACAAAAATAGTAACTACTACAATTTTTCCAAATAGAGATTGTATAATAAGATATAAAGACAAACAATAGAAAATTAAAAAGCCCGGGGATAAAGTTAAAGTGCTGAAGTTTTATTCATTTTCTTGTTGCTTATTTTCAGTTTGTTTATTTATGCAATCAGTGATTAGCTGTTGTCAGTTCAGAATAATGGATTATAAGATAGTATTACCAAGGCTCATGGTAGCCTCAAACCAAGAAACCCACAACATATGGGCAAACAATAAAATGCAATAAAATAAAAGGTAACACCAGAGAAACTCACCTTCAGAAAAAAGAAAACAGGAAGAAAGGAAAGTAGAGAAGACCACAAGACAACCAGAAAACAAATAACAAATGGCAGGAATAAGTCCTTATTTTTTTAATAATAAGATTGAATGTAGATAAATTCTCCAATCAAAAGACATAAAGTGACTGAAGGGACAAAAAGTAAGACCCAGTGATCTCTGGGCTACAAGAAACACAGTTCACCTATAAGACACATATAAGCTGAAAATAGAAGGATGGAAAAAATATCCCATGCCAATGGAAACCTTAAAAGAACAGGAGCAGCTATTCTTATATCAGAAAAAAAAAATAGGTTTCAAGACCAACACTATGAGAAGAAACAAAGAATGTCATTACATAATGATAAAGGGGTCCATTCAGCAAGACATTATAACAATTTTAAATATGTATACACTCAACTCTGGAGTACCCACATATATAAAGAATATATTAGAGCTAAAGAGACAGATAAACACCAATATAGTAATGGCTGAAGAGTCCACCACCTCACTTTCAGCATTGGATGGATCATTCAGAAAGTCATGAAAGAAACATCAAAATTAATCTGCACTATAAGCCAAATGACCCTAATAGATGTTTTCCACACATTTTGTCCAATGGCTGTTGTTCAAGGATGTTTCAAAATATGCAAATCAATATGATATATCATATCAACAGAATGAGGGACAAAAACCATGTGATCTTTCCAATTGATACTGACAAAGCTATTGATGATATTCCACATCACTTAAAGATAAACACCCTAAAAAACTGGATAGGGAATGAAAATAATCAACATAAAGAAACCATATATGACAGACACATAGCTAGTATTATATTAAATTTGGGGAATAAGTCTTACTAGGTCCTGATGATTGATCTTTTTTATGTGTTGTTTAATTTTTTTTTTAGTATTTCAATATATTTGTTGAGAATTTTTACATCAATGTTTATCAGGGATATTGGCCATTTGTTTTATTTTCTTTTCTTTTGAAATTTCTTTATCTGGTTTTGGAATCAGAGTAATACTGGCCTTGTAGAATAAATTTGGAAGTATATTCTCCTCCTGTATTTTTCAGAAGAGTTTCTGTATGATTGGTATTAGTTCTTTAAATGTTCAGTAAAATTCAGCAGTGAAGCCATTGGTTCCTAGACTTTTCTTTGGTAAACTTTGGAGACTTTTTATTAAAGCTTCAATCTCATTGTTTGTTACTGGTATTGAGATTTTGGATTTGTTCATGGTTCAATCTTGGTATGTTGCATGTGTCTAGAAATTTATCAATTTCTTCTAGATTTTCCAATTTATTGGTATATAGTTGCTTATAGTAGTCTATAATAGCCCTTTGAATTTCTGTGCTGTTAGATGTAATGTATCCTTTTTATCTCTGATTTTATTTATTTGTGTCTTCTACTAATTTTAGTTTGCTCTTGCCTTTCTAATTCTTTATGATGTATTGTTAGGTTTTTATTTGAAGGTTTTCTATGTTTTTGATGTAGGCACCTACTGGTACAAGCTTTTCTCTTAGTAGTACTTTAGTTGTTTCCCATAGGTTTTGGTATGTTGTGTTTTCATCACTTTTTTCATGAATTTTTAAAGTTTTCTTCTTAACTTTTTCATTGATCCGCTGGTCATTCAGGGGCATACTGACTAATTTTCATGTGTTTTGATAGTCTCCAAAGTTCCCCTTGTTATTGACTTCTAGTTTTATTTCATTGTGGTCAGAGAAGACACTTGATGTGGTTTCAATTTTTTGATAGTTTTTAAGATTTATTTTGTGGCCTAAAGTATCGTCTATCCTGGAGAATGATCTACATGCTGAGGAGAAGAATGTGTATTCTACACCTTACTGTATGTCTTTCAGTATTGTGTGAACAAAATACATTTCTGATTAAAGACACTTGTAATAGCTTGGAAAAGCAAGGATAACATAATAAAAATATGTGAACATATTATTTTAAAACAGCTATCAATTCTTGTGAGTTTTTTCTTTATTTCAATGCCAAAATTTAAATTTCCCAAATGAACTCTGAAAAACAGTATATGGCAGCATAAACAGAATATTTTTATTTTATCTTACAACTTTTTTCAGGAAAATTTGTTGCCAATTCACAGTAAATAATATTGGTTAGCCATATTCAAATTTCATCCACATATTTAGAACCAAATTTGTTACATTTAATATTTAGGTTCATTTAATCCTCTCACATTTTGTGAGTTTTTTTCATGTTCTTTAATTTTGCAATATGTTTTCAATTCTCAAATAAGTAATGATCATTTTTTCATATTGATATTTCTTTAGATTTATCCACATGTTTGCCCTTCATTCCTTTCTATATCTCCACGTTTTTCTCATGGTTCACTTTCCTTCTATCTGATTAAACACTTTAAAGAAATTTTATTACTGATGGATTCTGTCTGTGTTTGTCTGAAAATGCATTTTTAATTTTTAAGAATTTTTTGGTAATAGAGTGTCAGGCTGGCAAGTATTTTCATTCAGCACTGCCTTCTGTTTTTTCATTGTTTCTAAAGTGTTTTTAGATGTGGTTCTTATCAGCCATTAATTTTAGCAAAAGCTATATAATTTTACTTTTAATCTGAATAATATCAAAACAGATTGCCAAATTGAAAGGTAATAATAGTGTTGTGCAACTTACGTTTTAATAGTATTATTCTGATGATCCATTTGGAAATATATAAAGGGGTGGTTTTTGAAGGCTTTTGAAATAATTGAAGTGTTCCAATGTGGTAATATTCAAGTGTTCCAATGTGGCAATAGTTCAACTATTCCAGTGTGGTAATATTGGAGGTTGTAAGAAATGGTCAAATCAAGATATAAATTGGAATCTGAGTTAATAGGTTTTGCAATAGACTGGATTCAGGATGTGAGCGAAGAGAAAAGTCAAGTATGATCTCAAACTTATCATTTACTAAGGTAGGGAAAGCTGTGGAATGGCAGGATTGGGGTAAATATCAAAATTTTAGTTTGGTGTACATTGAGCAAGACATGCCTTTCAATTCTAACTTAGGAAGTATCCGAAGAAATGAATGTAGAGCAAAAAGAGACATGGCCCAAGGGCTGAAATCTGGACTTTCTAATATTCATAGATCAGACAGATGGAGACAGTGAAGAAAGCAAACTAATGCAGTAGAAAGAGTTAAGAGTACAATATCCTGGAAATAAAATGAAGATGTCAACAATAGAAGGCAATAACTAATAGTGTAAAATTTGGCTGTATATTTATTGCTCATGACAATCATTTGGAAATGAGACAATTTAAAGAACCACCATTGGTGATTTAAATTTCAAACTAATGTTGGTTTAGAAATCACACACTGACAGTATAAAACAGGGGCAAAAGGTCTTTGTGTTTGTCTTGAGTTATTAATTCTTCCTGTATTTTTAAATTAATATTTATTTTGAGTTTAAAAGGTTATATCTGCAAACATATTCCTCAAATCTAACATATGTTAAGTTTAGCAGCAACTGGTTCCCCATAATTTTTACTGTGAAAGCACATATAGCATATTGGTGATACAAAGTATATTATCTGTATTTGGTTTCAGTCCAACAGTGTTAGTAGGAAGAATGTTATGTTTACTTTAAGCGTCTACTTTATACCAATGATTGAATGTGACTAGTGCTTTCAAGTACGATTTTCCTTTTCTTTTGCAATACCCTGTGTCATCCATACACATATATCTAGAAAATAATGACACAATTAAACTTGGCAGTTTGGTACCAAGATATTTTGTCCACTTGGCCATGGAGAAATGGGTAATATTTATAAACTTTTTTTTTTTATTATACTTTAAGTTCTGGGATACATGTGCAGAACGTGCAGGTTTGTTACATAGGTATACCCGTGCCATGGTGGTTTGCTGCAACCTCAACCAGTCACCTACATTAGGTATTTCTTCTAATGCTATGCTTCCCCTACCCTCCCACCCCCTAACAGGCCCTGGTATGTGATGTTCCCCTCCCTATGTCCATGTGTTCTCATTGTTCAACTCCCACTTATGAGTTAGAACATCCGGTGTTTGGTTTCCTGTTCCTGTGTTAGCTTGCTGTGAATGATGGTTTCCCGCTTCATCCATGTCCCTGCAAAGGACATGAACTCACTCTTTTTTATGGCTGCGTATAATCTTTTTAAGGCATAACAGTACTGGCAGCAACTAATCTGAGGAAATACTGGGTATAAAAAGTAGGCATGGTTATGCTGGTGTATTTATGCTAATTATTAACCTTCATATAGCAGGTTAGTGTCTTGATCTTTCAATTTGAGTCATTTACAGCATTTGTTAGTTTCTTAAGTCAGAGCAAATCAATTAACTGTTTTATTATATAAGTGAAAATAAAAATGTAGCCCCAAGCTTTGAGATAGTCTATTCAAATACATGTAAATTGAAGAAAACCTATTCCTTATTAATTAATAATGGTGATTAGGCGTTATGTTTCTTTCAAATGTGCAATAAGTCTATTTAAAATGTTGACCTAAACAAAAGGGAAACGATGTCCAATTAAACTGAACTTTATTAACCACATTGAGTAGGCCAGGCAATGATTGTGCAGATATTTGCATAGGCATATTAATTTATAAATACATTAAAGAATAACTTAAATAACAAAACATAGTGCAATTTTTATTTTTTTCTTTTAAAAATAAAACTGGTTTATTTGAATTGAGTGAAATAGTGTCCTCATTTTGTTTTTATTTATTCATAACAGTTGACATAAAATTTTAACTCTGAGATAGTAACAATAATTTGAGAATATATTTTTTATATGTGATTTAGGGATCTTACTTAATATTTAGTCTTATAATATATCTAAAGTACATGTATTGCAAATATTATGTTTTTAAAAAACATTGTATTTAGGTGAATGATTAGTTAAAATTATCCAATTAATTAAAGATACATCCGGCCAGGCACCATTGCTCACACCTGTAATCCCAGCACTTTGGGAGGCCGAGACGGGTGGATCATAAGGTCAAGAGATCGAGACCATCCTGGCCAACATGGTGAAACCCTGTCTCTACTAAAAATACAAAAATTAGCTGGGCGTGGTTGTGTGCACTTGTAATCCCAGCTACATGGGAGCCTGAGGAAGAAGAATCGCTTGAACCCGGGAGGCAGGGTTTGCCGTGAGCTGAGATCACGGCCACTGCATTCCAGGCTGGCAACAGAGCGTGACTCTGTCTAAAAAAAAAAAAAAAGTACATCCACATAAAACTTAATTTGTATTTAGTTCCATCTATATTATAATCCAGCAACACTAACTATATTTTTCTTAAAATAAAGTGTTTTTTGAATATTTCCAGCAGTAGGCAGCACAACTATACTAAAAGTAATTGGACATTCATTAGAAAAAAAAAGCATTAATTAGCAGTAAGAGGAAATGAATTTGAGTATTATCTCCAACATTTTCTAGATTTATATGCTTGAGGAATCAACTGACTTCTCTGAAATAAGTTTAACTGTCTTGCCAAAAAAGCAGGATTTTTGAAGATCAAATAAAACTATTTGAAATTCCATGGTAGAGATTAATTATATATTTAGCACTATTTCTAGTTCATTATTTATTTTCTATTACTAATTTGAAATGCTTCATGGCACCCACCAGTGGTCTTAAATCTAGCTTGGGAGTGAAGAATCTATTTCCCCTTATATTTTTTGCCTCTTTCTTTTGATAGAGCAGCCCCAAATACTTTCAGATATCTGTATTTATTAGGTATTTCTCCCCCAAAAAAATCCTGATTTTTAGGTGATATTGTGTTTATATTGATGTTTTATAATCATTCTCATTCATAGATTATAAAGCACTTTACTTAACTTTGTTGTTTATTTTGGCAAGCCGTAGTTATAATATAGCTATGTAACATCTCTTAAATTCTAAAAATATTTACCAAATCAGTACTAATATAGTACTAACTTGGTTTCTTTTTAGAGTAACATATCTTCTAAATTTCTTATATAACTAGTCAACACAATTTCATAGAAAATCATGAATGCACTTTAAGAAAAATTTAATCACAAGTTGTTATTGATCCTGTGGCAAGTATCAGAGGTCCTTGTCAATATTAATTGTCCTGATCTTGCTATGTCCAAAATAAGTTGATTTACACAAATGCCTTCTTGCATCTTCAATTTGAAATAAACCTACAGTCTTGCGCTATGTCTTTTTGCTGTAGTTCCCCAAACATCAGCTGGTTGGCCAAAGTTAATTTCCAATGGTACCATCAAAGAAAGCTCATGGAAAAATATATCCTGAATTAAAGTATAGTTTTCATATTTTAAGGACAGATTGTCTTGTTCTACTATCTTTTGTTTATATTTTTGTGTACCCATTCAATATAGAGATTCTTTTTAAAAAAATTGGGGGATATTAAAATTACATTAGATCCTATTTATTATTTACTGGTGCTTTAGCAATTTCTTCAACAATATTTATTAGGCATCTATTATGTGCCTAATAGTATTCTAGCTACTGGGAATACAGTGTCAAAACAGGCAAATATCTCTGCCTTCATTGAGCTTACATTCTATTAAGGGGAAGTAAAATCAAATAAAAACATGAATAAGTAAATTATACAGAATATGAGAAAGTGACAAAATCTATGGAAAAACAAATCAGGAGGAAAAACAGAATACAGATTAAAATGTTAAAGTGATGAGGGATTCTTTTTCTTATTTTAGTTAAAGTTGTTAGAAAATAGTTCCATGAGACAGAAGAGAGAATAAAATAACCCATATAATGACTAAGGTAAAATTTCTCTAATAAAATAGAACATCCTATAAAAATGCTATGAAGTAAAAACATTCATGTGTTATTTGAAGAGGAACCAAGAAAAATAGTGTTAGTCAATTGCTACAAAGAGAATAAAATACCTAGGAATCCAACTTACAAGGGATGTGAAGGACTTCTTCAAGGAGAACTACAAACCACTGCTCAGCAAAATAAAAGAGGACACAAATAAATGGAGGAACGTTCCATGCTCATGGATAGGAAGAATCAATATTGTGAAAATGGCCATACTGCCCAAGGTAATTTATAGATTCAATGCCAACTCCATCAAGCTATGAATGACTTTCTTCACAGAACTAGAAAAAAAAAAAAAAAAAACACTTTAAAGTTGATATGGAACCAAAAAAGAACCTGCATAGTCAAGACAATCCTAAGCTTGAAGAGCTATAGTTTGAAGAGCAAAGCTATCTGACTTCAAACTATACTACAAGGCTATAGTAACCAAAACAGCATGGAACTGGTACAAAACAGATATATAGACCAATGAAACAGAACAGAGGCCTCAGAAATAACACCGCACATCTAAAACCATCTGATCTTTGACAAACCTGACAAAACAAGAAATGAGGAAAGGATTCCTTATTTAATAAATGGTGCTGGGAAAACTGGCTAACCATATGTAGAAAGCTGAAACTGGATCCCTTCCTTACACCTTATACAAAAATTAACTCAAGATGGATTAAAGATTTAAATGTTAGACCTAAAACCATAGAAACCCTAGAAGAAAACCGAGACAATACCATTCAAGACATAGGCATGAGCAAGGACTTCATGACTAAAACACCAAAAGTAATGGCAACAAAAGCCAAAATTGACAAATGGGATGTAATTACTAAAGAGCTTCTGCACAGCAAAAGAAACTACCATCAGAGTGAACAGGCAACCTACAGAATGGGAGAAAATTTTTGCAATCTACCCATCTCACAAGGGGTTATTTTTCAGAATCTACAAAGAACTTAAACAAATTTACAAGAAAAAAAACCCATCAAAAATGGGCAAAGGATATGAACAGACACTACTCAAAAGAAGACATTTATGCAGGCAACAGACACATGAAAAAATGCTCATCATCACTGGCCATCAGAGAAATGCAAATCAAACCACAATGAGATACCATCTCATGCCAGTTAGAATGGCAATCATTAAAAAGTCAGGAAACAACAGGTGCTGGAGAGGATGTGGAGAAATAGGAAAACTTTTACGCTGTTGGTGGGACTGTAAACTAGTTAAACCATTGTGGAAGACAGTGTGGCCATTCCTCAGGGATCTAAAACTAGAAATACCATTTGACCCAGCAATCCCCTTACTGGGTATATATCCAAAGGATTATAAATCATGCTACTATAAAGACATATGCACATGTATGTTTATTGTGGCACTATTCACAGTAGCAAAGACTTGGAACCAAGCCAAATGTCCAACAATGATAGACTGAATTAAGAAAATGTGGCACATATACTCCATGGAATACTATGAAGCCATAAAAAAGGATGAGTTCATGTCCTTTATAGGGACGTGGATGAAGCTGAAAACCATAATTCTCAGCAAACTATCACAAGGACAGAAAACCAAACACCACATGTTCTCAATCACAGGTGGGAATTGAACAATGAGAACACTTGGACACAGGGCGGGGAACATCACCCACTGGGGCCTGTTGCGGGGTGGGGGTCTAGGGGAGGGATAGCATTAGGAGAAATACCTAATGTAGATGACAAGTTAATGGGTGCAGCAAACCAACATGGCACACGTATACCTATGTAACAAACCTGCACGTTGTGCAAATGTATCCTAGAACTTAAAGTACAATTTAAAAAATAATAATAAATTAATTTAAAAAAAGAAAATAGTGGGTCACAAAGGACAAGAATGAAGAGAGATAGTAGGAAGCATAACATGTAGAATTGTGGCAGTCATAGTAAGGCCATCAGCTTTGTTTTTCTTTTATGTATGATGAAATTAGAATGTTTGTAATTCTAGGAGAGTGATGTGAACCAGGCTTTATTGTATGATTAGTTTCTGCCTTGTGGATACAAGATTTTAGAGAGAAAACATTGGGTAGGATTCTAGTAAGATAACTATTGAACTGATATGACTAATACGCTTGCAAAATGGTAGTGACGTCTTCTAGGGTGGTAGTGGTGGAAGTAGGAGTTGTTAGGCTGAGGATATATTTTGAAGATAAAATCTGTAAGAATTGATGATGATAGGATGCATGGTGTGAGATACAAGAAGGCTTCAAAGATAATTCTTATGTCCAACCTGGGCAACTCCATGATTTGTGGCACCTGTTCAGAGGTGAAAAATACATTGGTAGGCACAGAGTCAAGAAAGAGACTAATTTTTAGGTTTTCAATGCCTAATAAGTATCTAAGTGGAGATGATGGAAAGGTAGTTGGTCACATTGCCCTTCAATTTAGGCAAACGTTTGGGGCGTCCTCTTGAGTAGATAACTGGTTCATGGGCTCCTCCAACATTCAAAGATATCAAAAAATTATTCTTGTCTGTGAATGTATGTGATTATGTATAGATTCAAGCTGTGAGATGTTTTATTTTAGATGTCCTACACTATTACCTTCAATTTAACAGAGATTTATGGAATTGTTATATCTTGAGAGGGAGATAGCCTTATTTGTGATTTACCAAGATTGAACAAGAGGGTTGAAAGTGTCTGAGGACTTGACCAAGATGAGAGTTCCAATAAGTGGCAGTTAGCAAATGATCTTTCTTAACAAGTGATAAAAAGTTAGGCTAATTCTCCTCTTTTTATAGACTACAGTAATTATTTGTATTTTGATTATTTTCTACAAAATTTTTAGCTGATATGATACCATTTCTGACCTTGGATAGTAGTCTAGAAATCCAATTACTTCACTTTATTGACAAAATTAAAATAGTTTATTCTAGCAAAGATCTATATGTTTCATCAAAACTCATTGGCTTACAAGTCAGATAATGTATTTCTGTTACTGTCAAAAGGCATTGGTGATGCATCTCATTTATTCATGTATATTTTCATTCATCATTCAAAAGTCCATTTAGTTCCTCCTGTGAGGCAAAATTGGACACAACCTGCTGCCCTCTTATTCATGCCTTTACTCCCCCAAATTATTATCTTTTCCTTCTAGTTATGGTTAGCTTTTGAAATGTTTAACTATTAAATTTCTCCACTACAGATAAATCATTTGCACAAAATATCAGATTCAATCTAATTTCCTAGAAGCAAACTTACTATGCGTTTAGTTGTGCTATTTAATCAAGACAGCAAAAATATTTTATATTCTGGAAGATTCATTTCATCCAGAAACCTCTCTAAATATACCAATATTCTATGATTTTCTTCTGAGCTTCCATATCCATCAGTCAACATTTTTTGCATCTTAGTATTTGGCACAATTTATTAAAATTTTAGGTTTGTATGCATGTCTTTGTAATTAATCTAAACACTTAAGAGATGGATCAACTTTTAGAATTAATTTTCTGAGTTATGAGATACATAGTATCTGTTATTTAGCATTCAAAAACAAGTTATTGAAATGAACAAAAGTAACATATAGCCATAGGCTCTGCCATTAAATAATTAGTACAAAAGCTGATTTTTACTTTTAAAATTTTCAACTTCACCAACTTACTATAAATATTTTATTTGATCTAGTGGGTTTAACCAACTATGTAACATTGATGAAATGTTAAATTATGTTGTTTTATTATTGTGTTTTTCTGTTTGTTTTTAATATGCTATTAATTTATAGTATATATATATATATCTCCACTAAAATTTGTAAGGCTCTCTGTCTCATATTACATCTTATATGCTGCTCTTCTGATATCCTTAATGTTTCTATATTAAGAAACATAGGAATCATATTGTATTACTTAGTAGATTTTACTTGACTAGGTCTTCACAAACTAGAATAACTCTAAGAAACCATGCTCATCATCATCCTTAATTTTTTCCATGGATGTGTCTTAATTCAACCTTAAACAAATTTAAAAATTAAACAAGAATTTTTGTAGAATTATTTAGGTATTTTAGGTAAAGTATTTTGTCATATGACATATTTCCCAGTAATATGAGTATATGTAGTTACTTTTTAAGAACAAAAATAATGATAGCATTTAAATACATTGTTTTGTGCCCATTCAGTGAATTTGTGTACATGTTACCTCACCGCTCTAAGTGAAATTCCCTAATTATAAATTGAAAATGCCTTGCAGTCATTTTGATTATTAGTGCCAGGAGAAAATACTACATTGAGTTATTTCAGACACACTCCAAAAGAAGACTGGGAGTGTGAGAAAGTGCAGAGTGAAGAGTGTGGTCATTGTAGTCAAACATACAATATTCTAAATTTGACTTCATCATTTATAAAATGTTTCACTAACAAGTTTTTCTGCTTCTGCGAAATGGGAATATTCATTACTCACTTTAAATATTATAATGGATAACATTTAAGTCAATATTTGTAAAACATTTAGAAATATTCCCACCACTTGGCCAGTATTAAATGTTATCTCATAACTATTTATGGTTATTCCTTATTGAAATTAGGTCTCTTATTATTAAACATGTGTAAGCCTAAGGAAGAGTTGAGAATCCCTGATAACTGATCATCTTTACAGCAGCAAGTTATGAAGTACCAAAATCTTGGAGTGGGAATGTCATCATTATGGGGTTTGTGTTTAGACCTCTGAGAGGTGTTGCCTTGCATCTGGGAGCTGAGTTTGGAATTCCGGGCCAAAAGCCTTGTCACTAGTACACAAACCATGGTGGAAGGGCACGAAACACCCTGTTCTGACTACTTGAGTGTGTGCAGCTTGGTACATGTCCATAACCAAGACATAGGTAAAATTCAGTTTGTAATTTGACTAGCAAGATGCAAACAATGGAGGAGGTGCAGTATGGTCACTGTTGGTGACTTTGAGTAGGCATGACAAAGTTGATTCTGGGAGTGTCCTTAAAGCTGGAAACCAGAGCTATAACAGTTTGATACTACTGGAAAGAAGCCAATCTGAGTTCAAAGCAGGAAGAGAGTTCTTTCTTCCTTCCTCTGCCTTGTATTTTAGTCTGTTTGGGTTGCTATATGTAAATACCATACACTGGGTAATTTATAAACAATAGAAATTTATTTCTTACAGTTCTGGAGACTGGGAAGACCAAGATCCAGACACCAGCAGATTTGGTGTCTGGTCGGTGCTCTCTGTTTTAAAGATGATGCCTTATTGCTGCATCCTCACATGGTGAAAGAGGACAAGGTAGTTCCTTTCAATCTCTTTTATAAGGACACTAATCCCATTCATGAAGACAGAACCCTTGTGACAATCACTTCCCAAAATGCCTCACCAATTAATACTATCACATTGAGTATTCTGTTCCAACTTGAAATTTGGAGGGACATATTCTGATCATAACACCTTGTAATCTCCCATCAGTGTGTTTTATTGCCAGAACTTACTTAACTAGATGCTAGTTGGCCAGGGATTGTGGGAATGCAGTGTACAAAATCTGCAGAAGTATTATAACAGACTATGAAAAGACGGGCTTAGAACTCAGTGACAACAGTTAAGTAATCAGCAGAGTCCAACTCTACAGCTTATCATTATTCATATACACTATTATGGTACTATTATATTTAAACTTCAATATAAAATAACATCATTGTTGAGCAGAATAAGCAACTATCCTTCAAATAAAAATGTCAATACTCGATTTCCAGAGAAGGAAAATACAAAGTTCCAAAGCTTCTTTGGGGGTTGATAATTCTCCTTCAACTTTAATCAAAATCCCTAGTATATTCTGTCATTCAATGACCCAATTGTAAATTCAACCACTAGCAATACCCTTTATGTGAAATAATAAGAGAAAAGAGCTAGAAAAAAATGAGATAATATATTTAAATATACACACGGCAAGCATAAATAATGTAATGTTTTCACACGGTGCGACCAAAACAGTACAAAGACAAAACAATTTCAAAGATATAAGAAAACAATATCCATAAGAGGAAATCCTTATAGCCATTAAATAAGCAAACAGATACTCAATCTCATGAGTCATTTTTGAAAACAATTTTATGAAAAATGGGAAATATTTCACAAGCACTTCAGTGCTATACACACAAACAGGGGATTTTAATATTTTATGATGTTTGCTCTAGCTTTTTAATAAATATAGATAAATAAATATACCTGATAAAATTGCAGACTGTTCCAACTCCATTTATCTGTCCGTTGTTTATATGCTGAATAGTGACATTATTCTTATGTCTATTTTGATAATTTCTCTATAAATAAAATTTCCTGTATTTCTGGCCAGTTTTAAATTGGATACATATTGCATTATACTAGCCATGTCAATTTTTCTTCAAGTTTACAGTTGAAGTAAACTTTGTCTTTATATTTGAAATATTTCTAATATGTTAATTTGAAAGATTTTATAGTATTTCATTGTAAGACTATGCACAATGTATTCATTCTCCTTTGGTTAGACATGTATATTTAATTTGTTTAGTGTTTATATTTCAAAAATGATGCAATTTTGTACAAACATTTTTATGTATACATATGGGAAGATCTCCAGGATATACATGGAATATAAATGTAATCCCTGAGTCTTATGGAATTAGTAATTTCAATGTTGTAAATTACTGAAAAATCTTTTTGAAAAACGGTAATAGCATTATTGTGTGCACAGAATGAGAATTCCTGTTTTAACACATTCTACCACTCTGTATAATGTTTGATTTTTTGAACTGATGTTTGTTCTTATTTTATTTACATAGATCTGATCCTGATAATTTTATTAATTATAAAACCGTTTAAAATGTAACAATGATGCAATCGAGTAAAGCAAAAGGTTAATGATTAGAGTGTGGACCATACTTGGAGTTGGAACTTATTGATATCTCTTCTGAATAAAGATAGGAAATAATAGCTAGCACTCTGTAAATATTTAGACATCAAGCTAAAAGGAGAAAATCTCTTTGTGAAACTCAGAAAGGAATAAAGAAGGAAGCGAAAAGAAATAAAATTCAGTCTCAGTGACTGTCTCCCATCTGATTTGGCAGGAACTCTACTTTTTTTTTTTTTTTTTTTTGAGATGGAGTCTCACTCTGTCGCCCAGGCCGGAGTGCAGTGGCGCTATCTCGGCTCACTGCAAGCTCCGCCTCCCAGGTTCAAGCCATTCTCCCGCCTCAGCCTCCCCAGTAGCTGGGACTACAGGCGCCCGCCACCACGCCCGACTAATTTTTTTCTGTATTTTTAGTAGAGATGGGGTTTCACCATGTTAGCCAGGATAGTCTCGATCTTCTGACCTCGTGATCCACCCACCTCCTTCTCCCAAAGTGCTGCGATTACAGGCGTGAGCCACTGCGCCTGGCCTGGCAGGGACTATACCTTTTAAACACAAGGGAAAAAATGGTAGGGACTAGGGAAAGAAGGCATGGAATTTTGAATTTAGGTCTGCCTAACATTAAGACGGAAAAGATCTCATGGCTTATATGTGTCAAGGGAAGATTACAAACTTAAGAGAAATACAAAAATGTGGAGCAAAACTATTTAAGCCACCACAATTTAGTGATTTAAAAACTAGAATATATTATTACTCATAAACGTATAGGTTGGCAGTAATTATGCTAATCTAGCCCAGCTGAACTGATCTTGGCTGTGCTTTTGTGACCGTTGTTTCCTTGCAGGACCATGCATCCTGGATGGCCTAGCAGGGCCTCTGTCACATATTTGGTTGTTGACCAGCTGCAGTCTAGGATTGGCCAACATATCATAGAATAATTGACCAATATAATATAGACCAATGTAATGTAGAAAATGTGGTAAATGTAATGTGGTGTTCTAATAGCTTTACTTCGTTTAATTCTCAAATACCTTCAAGGTATAGCTGCCATTTTCCTAATCAGCTAAGGCCGCTATAAAATAAATACCATTATCTGGGTGACTTCAACAACAAACACTTATTTCTCACAGTTCTGGAGGCTGAGAAGTACAAGATCAAGGTGTCAGCAGATTCAGTTTCTGATGAGATCCCACTTGCTGACTTCCTGGTCTGTAGACAGCAGCCTTCTTGCTGTATTCTCACATGGCTCCTGTTTCTTCTTTACAAGCACTATTCCCATTTAGGAGAACTCCACCGGCATGACCTCATTACCTCCCAAACGTCACACCTTCAAATGGCGTCACACTGGGGATCAGGGCTTCACCATATAGCTTTGGGGAGGAATGTAAACATTTATTCCATAGCATATTATTTTTCTCACATTACGTAGGGCAAAAATGAGATACCAAGATGTAAAGTAATTTTTAATTTTCTCAAGAAGAGTTATTTTTCACTAGTTCATGTACCTCCAGCTGAGTGATACTGTATCCTGTTGAAGTATATCTGATTCTAAAATCTGTGCTCTTCCTGTCCATGCTTTATTCTGATCCACCTGGCTTTATCTTATTACTATCCTAAGGCAATACCACAATATGTCATTTCCTGCACCATTATCAAACCACTACCACCACCATTATAATTTGACATTTTGTTATTTTTCTTATAGAGTACCTTTAAAATTCTTTGGTTTTGGATTATCCATATAAATTTTGGAAGCACTAGGTTGAATTGGACTTCATATGAAAAAATAAAATGTAAAATGCATAAAAAATTTAGGATAGGATATAAGTTTTAGTAAAATACTTTAGAATTAAAACTATTGAATAGAAAAGTTGTGCTTACATAATGAAGTATTTACAGAGAAGGGTGTTTCAATCTCATTTTAGGCTGGAAGCAGTTTAAAATGTATTGTTTTTTATATTTAATCAATTGTAGTTATATTATGTATATTTCTGTAATTTATGGTTCTATATATGATGTTCATGTTGATATTCAGAAAAAATCGAATAATTTCAAAATTAATCTTTAATTTTGTTTATTTTTGAAGGGATGGGTCTTGCTATGTTGCCCAGCTACACAGTCTCTAACTAATCTAGTCTTCAACTGGACTAGTTTTGAACTCCTAACCTCAAGTGATCATCCTGACATGGCCTCCCAAAGCTCTGGGATTGTAAGCATGCTCCACCATGCCCAGCCAAAATTAATCTTATGCTGTGCTTTTACTTGAGTAGGAAATATTAGGTTGGTGCAAAAGTAATTGAGAGTTGTGCCATTACTTGAATTAATTACTTGACTGCAATTACTTTTGCACCAACTTAATAATCTCTGTAGTGAAATTATTCTTTAAAATATATGTTTAAATATAGTTGCACCTTGCTGTATGGCATTCAATCCCAGGCCATCATCCTGCCCTCACTATCTGTATACTATCCAATATTTTAGGATTTATTGCATTTTCGGTTGTCTAAATATTATGGGAATCTGTGTGTGTGTATATATATATATACATATATATATATATGACATATGTATGTTCATATGTATGCATGTGTATATGCTACACAATATGTATAGGTACAAAACAGCAAATGTTTAGCACTCTATACATTTATTTCCTCTATTTAAATTTAATATGAAGAGTTGGGGTGTGTCACAGATACACGGATCTTAAAAAAACAGAACACATCATGTACATGATTTAGAGAGAAGGTCTGTTGTTTGGTTTTCTGCAAGGATAAGTAGACAAATTTTCAACCATCAAGTTTTCAGTCAAAAAGAAATAAGCTTATTTGCAAATTACTATGCGCAAAATTGTTAATTTAGATACACAAATTTAGTATTCAACATTCTAGCTTTGTTTCTGGGTTTTCTATGGCTTAATTGTCCTGAACAATTTTAGAAAGTTGAAGAGATTGGAAGTTTGTGTCCCTTTTTTTTTTTTTTACAATCAACAAACCAACAATAAAACTTGACTATTAGTGTACATGAGTACATTATTTTGTCACATAAAAATATTTAAGACATAAAGCTTGAATTAAATGAGTGGAGAACATTTGAGTTGCATTATTTTTATCATTCTAGACTTTACTTTTCTGGGTAATTTTAGTTGTTCTTTCCTTTATTTAAACCTGTACTCTATAAATCAGTTTACATTTGTCTGTGCATTTTCATAACATGACAACACATAACTGAAAGATATGAAATAAATTAAGCAGGAGTAAAACTTTTTTTTTTTTTTGAGACAAAGTCAGCTTCATGGATTCAGGCAATCCTCCTGCCTCAGCCTCCCGAGTAGCTGGGATATTACAGGCACATGCCACCATGCCCGGCTAGTTTTTGTATTTTTAGCAGAGTTGGGGTTTCACTGTATTGGTCAGGCTGGTCTCGAACTCCTGACCTCAGGTGATCTGCCTGCCTCAGCCTCCCAAAGTGCTGCGATTACAGACGCAAGCCACCGTGCCCGGCCGGCAGGGGTAAGACATTTTAAGTGTATGAGAACCTGTGTTAATAAAGATGAGTCTATAAATGACATCCTACTACTGAACAAAGGTCAAAAAATCAAAGTAATCTATGGAGGTGTTATGAGCTAAATTGTATCCACCACAAAAGAACCATATATTGAAGCCATAACTCCCAGTACCTTAAAGTGTGACTGTATTTGTAAATGGGGTCTTTAAGGAGGTGACTAAAATGAGGCCATCAAGGTGGGCCCCAATTCAATCCGAGTGTCGTCCTTATAAGAAGAGAAAATTGGAGGACACTCGAGAGACTTTGGGATTGTGCATGCACAGAGGAAAGACCACATGGAATTGGAAGGGGAAGCCTCAGAAGAAACCAGAACTGTAAGAAAATAAATTTGTTAGTTTATGCTCTTCAGTGGGAATTTCATATAGTAATTCGTCTGAGCTACTGTGTATGGCAGCCCTACCAAACTATAGTTCTTTTAATTTAGACAAAACCTGTTGATTATAAGTAGGGGTAAAACAAAAGCCTAGATACAATGAGATTTCATATTCTTTCTAAATAAATTTATTTTATTTAGAGCCCTGAATATGAATTATTAATATGTTGACAATATAAAATGAGTGTAATTTAAGAAGGAAAAGGTGAAATGTTGCAAGCATTAAGTTCATTTTTTTTGTAACGTAAGTAATCTCAGAGCACCCTCAAAACAATAACCTCGTTTTATTTAGGGTTCTTTGGAATTTTTGTTTAAAACCATGATTTAGGGAGATGAATTTTAACTACCGTAGAAAAGCTGAATCATATTTCTATAAATTTGAGATGATATAAAAAATAGTCTCCATACAGGGACCAGTGAACCTAAAGAATTATAGGTACATCATTTAGGAAAATATTTAATTTAATCAGTGGTGGGACCTAGCCACTGATTTAATAGATGGAAGATAGATAGATAGATTATAGATAGATCAATAGATAATATAGATTTAGATAATACAAATAGATTAGATATAAATTTAGTATGTAATGCTAAGGACTGAGCATTTTCTTTCCCCTTTTCCCTATGACCCACATAGTTTGTGACTTTTAGCTAGTCTTGCACATTAAAACCTTCAGACCTTCTGTACCTTTTGAAAGAAATTAAATTTAGGTAATGAGAACAAATGAAAAAAGTAAATAATCAGAGTGGTATTCAGAGAATTTGATGTGCCAGTTTAGAAAAAAAAATTATAAAAATTCTATGAAGGTCTTGATAAAACCAAAAACTTTGACTTAGAGGTTGGGTATAAAAAGAAGAAACTGACATCAGAAACATCTTAGAAGGTAGAATCAACAGAACTAATCATTACTTAGATGTGAGAACAAGGAAGAGTATAGAATTACAAGCCTGGATGAGAGAAATGTACTGCCACTAACAGGGCCTTAATTAGAAAGTTATTAAGGGAGAGATCACACTTGTGCTTTTAGATTATAGATTCTGAATTATGGACAAATTATGGAAATAATACAGTATATAAAAGAAATTCAGAAAACTCTGATTCTAACATATATCTTTTATGTTTGGCTTTTAAGCAAATAGTTTCTTCTTCAACCAATTTTCTTTACCTCAACACCTACAAACCTGATACAATTATCATCAAATCTTGCCAAGAACACCATACTAACCTCCTAACTGCTATCCTTGCATCTACCTTTACCATCCACAATCTATTCTTAATACAGCATCCAGAGTGTTTCTGCTAAATATGAGTCAAATAATGTTTCATTTTTATTCAAAATCCTCCAGCCCTAGCAATGGCAAAAAATCCCTGCGTGTTATGCTTCCTATTAACTTTCTGTTGCCTTGTCCTATTTTCTTTCTCACTCATGCTCTTCCAGCCACTCAGAGCTCTATCTAAACTTCAAGACCATTCTCCCCGATGTTTTTCTTATCCTTTCCTGTTTCTCTTCTTAGCGCTTATCATTTTCTAATATATGAAATATTTTACTTGTTTATTATGTACTTTTTATACTTATTACAATTAAACTTCTTAGGACAAGGATTTTTGTCTGTGTTGTAAACATTGTAATTTGGATCCGGATAGAATATTTGAAAAAAATGTAATTAATATTAAAAACTCAAAGGGTACTATAAGGATGTTTTGCATATAGCTTTATCTGTAGTACTAATTCCAGTAATGTGATAGTCTAGTATGTTAACAATGACTCCAGCTAAAAGTATTTTAAAATATTTGGGAAATATTGCAACAAATCTTTAAAAATATTTGAATACTGACAATATAGTGCAAAATTATTTGAACAAAATGTAGAAAGAACCTAGAGCAATAAACAGAATACTAAAATGGCTTTTGAGGATAATTTATGAATAAAGTTAATTTGAGATTTGTGTTTACATATATGAGGAACATGCAGGAAAGAAGATAATGTTTAGGACAAGTCACATTTTGCAGAATTCAATGTAAGACACATTTTCAATAAGAACAGGAAGTAAAAGTGCTATTCACCATTTAACAGTGATCCAAAATTAAATCCACTTTATCCTCGTCTTCAGAGGACTTCATGAAAAGTTGTCTCAGTAATTAGTGGAATATGAACAATACAAAATAAATATTTGTTACTTTAAATACATAGGTTGGTCACTACATGGATATGCACTTCAAATTCATATTACCTACACTGACCAATGAGACACAAGTGATGCACTGAGCTTACTTAGCTTAGTGAAAAAGGTTAAGTAGTACCAAGGGGGAAAGAGATTTATACTTACAATCACAGTTTCAGAGAAGAAAGAAAGATATAACATGTGGCTGGAGATAATATTTGGAGAGATAACCAATGAGACTTTTTCAGAATTCTATTTAGAAAGTATTATCAGGATGTATGGAGTGCTTATTTTTACTGGCTTGACATGGCTTCTAAGCATTTCAATAAAGAAAACTGGAAGTACATATTCTTTAATAACATGAATTTAAAACAAGATTGTAAAAGTGTCTTTGATGTTTTGGATTTTATATTAATATGTCTTTTCCACTTACAAAGTTGAATCCTAATGATAATTACAGGAGGTAAATTATTTATTCATTTCATCTATCTTTTATTTACCCACACATATACATGTATATATTTCCACATAGTCATATTAATATTAATTGAGATTATTACATTCAATTAAAATTTATTTGCAATTCTTTTTAACTCTAAGCTATACATCACTGGGAATAGGGTCAAAATGCTGTGTTTTCATTCACAGATTTAATTCTTCTTTGTGAGATTAGGCCACCAAGTCTATACGCAGCTAGGTTTCATTTAATTATTTTTTAATTTAATGATTACTTTGTTAGTTTATTCTATTTTGCTTGTGAATTATGTAATATATATACATGATTTTAATGTCAAAAATATAAAACAGGATTTTTACATCTATATCTTTGCCATGTTTTCAGATTTTGCAGTATAACAAGTAAAGTTGCATTCTATTATTTTATGTTAACGTTGTATCTATTTGATAGATTATTATCAATAAGATTTCTAAATTAAGAAAAATCACTGCATGTTTAATTTTGTTAGGTATTGCAAAATATCCTCCATAAAATTGTACCATTTCGCATTCCCATCACCAAATATTTGAAAATGTATCCTTATTTAGAGCCCTGACAACAGAGTATGTTGTCAAACATTTCATTTATTGATAATTAGACAAGAGGAAAATATTTTGTAAGCATATTATGTTATTTTATTACAAATTACGTTTAAGCATTTTTATGTGTTTAAAGGCAATATTTATTTTTTGTGAAAATTTTACATACATTTTGTTTTTTCTGTATATTTGATAGCCATTTTCTTTCCAATTTTTGGAAGCTTAAACAGAAGTGTAAAAGAATAATCATTAGAGAAAAGGAATATCATTTCATATGGAAAACCTGAGATGGGAGAAAAAAAGATCAAAGAAAAGGGTTTATTCATTGATAAATACTATCCAGTTCACATATAGTAGTAATAGTCTCAAATGTGTAAAGAAAACAATATAATTTAAAACATAAAAGTAACGAAAAAGTTGGAATGGTAAATGTGTTTACACTGACCTAAGATGATTGTGTTATCTAAAAAGAGAACAAAAAATTTAATTTAAATGTACAAATGCAAACATTAACAATGCTTGACTTAAATTTTAGGCTAGCCCTTAAACAAATGCAAAGTGCATAATTTTCTACTTAGTGGACGGAAAATGAAATAATAAGTAGATGCTAGACTTCTCAACAATAATAAGGAAAACTAGAAGAGTGTGAAACGATGTTTAAATTATAACAAAATACTTGTCAACCTAACATTGGGTTTGCTGTTAAACAGTCTTCCAAAAGCAAAGGTTAAAAGATTCTTTAACAAATGAAAACTGAATATTCACCACCAAAATCTTCTCACTGAAAGAACTTCTAAAGGTTATACTTTACAAAAAAATAAAATGATCCTAAGCCAAAAATTTGCAGTGAAGAAAAATCATTAATAAACCTAAGAAAATATCAGTGTATAATACAGGAAACTTATCATCTAATTTCTTGCCATTTAAAATTCAAGACAGAAATAAAATATGCAATAGCTTACAAATTAAGAAAATGATCATTAAAATTATACCTAGATACATTCATATTGATGAATTTTATATTTAAGTTAAATACATGAGATCACTTTAAGAGATAAAGTAATGACAAAATGCTAATAAATGTTTTGGCAAAAATACATCCATCAAATAGAAAAATGTAAAACTTATGAAGTAAAAATAATATCAATTAACATTAATATTAATCTTTAATACTTAATGAGATAATAAGGAAAACATACTATAATGACAGGTACATTTTTATAAGAAAGAAACTAGTTTGAAAAGACAATACAGCAGATATATAGTGTAGAAGTAATAAATATGAAGGGATAGAAAATATAGATGAAAATGAAAGGATATATCAATGTATTACATTTGTAATTAGACATAACCATAACCTGTGATATAGATTAATTAATGTAACAACATTATTTATGTGTGTATACTCTTTTTTTCTTTGTCATAGGTTATTGTG
Source organism: Homo sapiens (assembly GCF_000001405.40). Lineage (NCBI taxonomy): Eukaryota > Metazoa > Chordata > Mammalia > Primates > Hominidae > Homo > Homo sapiens. The sequence goes on along the minus strand of NC_000001.11, from coordinate 105,277,051 downwards.
GTAAAGGTAGTGTTTGGTTACATGAGTAAGTTCTCTACTGGTGTGATTTGTGAGATCTTGTTGCACCCATCACCACAGCAGTATTCACTGCACCCATTTGTAGTCTTTTATCCCTTCCCCCCTCCCACCCTTCCCTCCTAGTCCCCAAAGTTCACTGTGTCATTCTTACCCCTTTGCGTCCTCAGTGTTTATACTCTTTTATTTCAAATTGTACAGTTTGACATGGTTTGAATGTTTGTCCCCTCCAAATCTCACAGTGAAATGTAATCCCCAAATGTTGGAGGTGGAGCCTGGTGGGAGGTTTTTGGGTCATGGGACTGGATCCTGTATGAATGGCTTGGTGCCCTCCACATGGCATTGAAATCACACAAGATCTGGTTGTTTAAAAAGGAGCCTAGTACCTTCCTCTCACTGTTGCTCTCCATCTCTCACTCCATCTCTCACCATGTGATGAGTCTGCTCCTGCTTCGCCTTGCATCATGAGTGAAAGCTCCCTGACGCCTAACCAGAAGCTAAGGAGATGCCAGTGTCATGCTTCCTATACAGCCTACAGAACCATGAGCCAATTAAAACTCTTTATAAATTACCCAGACTCAGGTATTCCTTTATAGCAAAGCAAAACGGACTAACACATAGCTGTTTCAAGAAATAATTTTTCCCCAGTTGTAACACCTGCCTTTGTTTCAAATTTCTACCATGTCACTCAGGTATACAAATTAGTTAAAGTTGTAGCCAGTGAGTATTTTGAACATAGGGTTAGTTGTATTGTGTTAGTAGTATACCATGTTGTTCCCCACAGCAGTTAAAATATGTGTTTTTAATTTTTTTAAAGTTTTTAACCTTATATTTATTTCAATTATCATTCTCTTCACTTTTTACTTTTTATATATATCATATATCTATCTAGAATAAATTAGCCAAATTCCCTACAGAATGTGTTGAAAAAACATTGGGCATTTTCATAGGCAATTTACCTTTTTTTCAAAGGCAATTTACTTTTTTTACTTGATTTATGTTATAATTTAACTCTTTTATAATCCTCTTCCAGACTTCATGTACTATATGTTCACAGCAAATTGATTAAATTGTTCTTTATTCACTAGTTCTCATGGCATCATGAATCAATGAAAAGTAAAATTCTATGTCCATAATTAAAAGCATTCACATTTTATTAAATTGCATAATAATGATAAACAGACTTTTACACACTTTTGGCATATACAGACACTGATAAATGACACATGCATAAAATAGGTGATTACGTGAGAAATCACTTCAAGCATTTCTTTCATCATTTCAAAATGAAAGAAAAAATAATATAGTTGAGATGCAGACCTTGCTGCCCCACTTTAAACATAATCCATATAACGGTTACTTTTAAGTCAGGATCAAATCATTTTATATCATAAAAGTACAGTCTGACATGCTTACTAGCATTTAATTTTCTCTTTTAAAAGCCAATCATAGATTGACTCCCCAGCAGTAATTTATCTCTCAATATCAGAAGACAGATATTTTGGTTTAGTAAGAACAAAAAGTCCCACTGGTAGTAATTTAGTTTCTCTTGTGAGCTGATAGCACAGGAGTATCTACCTGCACTCTGCCTCTCAAGGCAAAAACAATAATTTGTTTCCAGAAAGTTTTGAAAATCGAATAAAGTATTTAAAAAATGCATATGTGTATGTGTATATATATATATATATTCATATATACATACAAACACATATACATATATATAAGATACTGAAGGAAAATTTACACAAATCTAAATCATATATTCAGTCATACATTGGAGATAGTACAAATGCAGTTCCAGACCACTACACACACACATACACACACAATTGGCCTTCCTTATCTAGGGTTTCACATCTGCAGATTCAGCCAACTGCTGATTAAAAAATTCAGAAAGAGAACAATAAAAAATAACAATACAAAAACTTAAAAAAAAATGTATTAAGATGGAGGGATAAGAGGTAGGACTAGCTTGCAGCTCCCGCTCAGGCAGAGCAGTGTGTGGTGACTCACATCATGAAGTTTTGCTCCAATAAATACCACAACAACATACAAGGAAAGCTGAGAGAATCCACAGACCCTTTAAAGGAACTGGATCACCAATGCTAGCTCACTAAGATGCCAAAAAAATTGTGAGTCTGCTTACTTTCTCAGCATGGAGGCTGGTGGTCTGGGGCAAGTTCTTAGCCATGGTCACCAGCTGCCTGGAAATAGACTCCTTGCTGTTGTGGGGGCACAGTGGTAGTAAGATCGGGCCTTTAGGACTGCAGGATGCATGGGAGTGGGGTGAGGGCTGATTGTCAGCTTTCCCCCAATTCCCTGGAGACCTGTGTGACTCAGGAAAAGCAGCCAAAATCCCCCCTGGGAACATAAGTCCATTGGCCTGAGAACCACACCCCAATCCCTGTCAGCAGCAAGCCTTGCCCAGGGAGAGTCTGAGCTCAGACAGGCCTATCCCTGACCCCACCTGGGATTCTTTCTCTACCCTCCTTGCTTGCCAAAGACAAAGGACATAATCTCTTCAGAGCTCTATAGCCCCAGCCACCACCTATTCCTTTTTATACAACCGCAGCTGATGTGCTCTTGAAAGTGTGACATACTGGCTGGAGACCAACCAACACAAAACCAGCACACTAAACAAAAATACAACCAAGGACCCTAAGAGAGTCCACTTCACTCCCCTGCTCCCTCCGCTGGAGGAAGTGCTGGTATCTATCTATGGCTGAAAGACTTGAAGACAGATCACATCACAGGGCTCCTTGCAGACACTCCCCTGTCATGGATGGTAAAATCAGTATTGTGAAAATGACCATACTGCCAAAAGCAATCTACAAATTCAATGCAGTTCCCATCAAAATACCACCATTATTCTTCACAGAACTAGAAAAAAATCAATCTTCATATTCATGTGGAACCAAAAAAGGGATCACATAGCCAAAGCAAGACTAAGCAAAAAGGACAAATATGAAGGCATCATATAACCTGACTTCAAACTATACTATAAGGCTATATTCACCAAAACAGCATGGTACCTGTATAAATATAGGCACATAGATCACTGGAACAGAATAGAGAACCCAGAAATGAAGTCAAATACTTACAGCCAACTGATTTTTGACAAAGCAAACAAAAACATAAAGTGGGGAAAGGACACTTTATTCAACAAATTGTGCTGAATGGTGCTGTCTTTATTGGAAAGCCACATGTAAAAGAATGAAACTGGATCTTCAACTCTCACCTACACAAAAATCAACTCAAGATGGATCAAGGACTTAAACCTTACCTGAAACCATAAAAATCCTAGACAATAACATGGGAAAAATCTTTCTAGACATTGGCTTAGGCAGAGACTTCATGACCAAGAACCCAAAAGCAAATGCAACAAAAGCAAAGATAAATAGCTTGGACTTAATTAAACTAAAAAGCTTCTGCACAGCAAAAGAAATAACTAGCAGAGTTAACAGAAATGATATACCTCAGCCATGAAAGGAAACAAAATAATGGCATTTGCAGCAACTTGGATGAAATTAGACTATAATTTTAGGAAAAGTAACTCAGGAATGGAAAAATCAAACATCCTATGTTCTCACTCATAAGTGGGAGCTAAGCTATGGGAAGGCAAAGGCATAAGAATGATACAGTTGACTTTGAGGTCTTAGGGGAAATTGTGAGAGGTTGGTGAGAAATAAAAGACTGCACATTGGGTACAGTGTACACTGCTTGGGTGATGTGTACTACAAAATCTCAGAGATCACCACTAACGAACTTACTCATGTAACCCAAAACCACCTGTTCTCCAAGAACCTATTGAGATAAAAAATAAAATAAATAAATAAAACACAATACAAATTTAGAATTAATACAGTATAACAACTATTTACATAGTTAAGTACTTATTAGATACTATAAGTAATCTAGAGATTATTTGAAGTATACAGGAAGATGTGTATAGGTTTTATGAAAATATTATGACATTTTATATAAAAAACATGAGCATCCACAGCAGGTCTTAGAACAAATTCCCTGAGTTACTGAAGGAGAACTTACACAAATAAAAAGCATACATTCAGGCACACCTTGGGGATATTATAGATTCAGTTCCAGATCACCATAAAAAAGCAAATATCGGCTGGCGTAGTGGCTCACGCCTGTAATCCCAGCACTTTGGGAGGCTGAGGCAGGTGGATCACCCGAGGTTAAGAGTTTGAGACCAGCCTGGCCAACATGGTGAAACCCCGTCTCTACTAAAATACAAAAATTACCTGGGCATGGTGGCAGGCACCTGTAATCCTAGCTACTCTGGAGGCTGAGGCATGAGAATCACTTGAACCTGGGAGGCGGAGGTTGCAGTGAACCAAGATCACGATCACGACACTGCACTCCTGCCTGGGCGACAAAGCGAGACTTCGTCTCAAAATAAATGAATACATAAAATAAAATAAAATAAAATAAAATAAAATAAAATAAAATAAAATAAAATAAAAAAGTAAAATAAAGCAAATATCACAATAAAGCGAATCACGCAATTTTTTTCCCAATGCATGTAAATATTATGTCTACAGTACACTGTAGTCTGTTAAGTGTGCAATAACATTACATCTAAAGAAATAATGTATATACCTTAATTTAAAAATACTTTATTGCTAAAAAATATTAACAATCATCTGAGCTTTCAGTGAGTTGTAATTGTTTTGCTGGTAGAGGATCTTGCCTTGATGTTGACTACTTCCAACTGATCAGGGTGGTGGTTGCTGAAGGTTCAGGTGACTGAAGCAATTTCTTAAAATAAGACAATGAAGTTTGCCACATCAAATTTGCACTTCTCTTACAAAAAAAAAAACAATTCTCTGTAGCATCTTGTACATCTACATCAGAGATGCCATGGTGTTCCATAGCATTTTACCAATAGTAGAACTTCTTTCAAAATTGGAGTCAACAGGCCACGTGTGGTGGCTCATGCCTGTAATCCCAGAACTTTGGGAGGCCAAGGCGGGTAGATCATCTGAGGTCAGGAGTTCGAGACCAGCCTGGCCAACGTGGTGAAACCCCAACTCTAATAAAAATACAAAAATTAGGTGGGCGGGGTGGCATGCATCTGTAATCCCAGCTACTAAGGAAGCTGAAGCATGAGAATTGCTTAAACCCAGGAGGTGAAGGTTGCAGTGAGCAGAGATTGTGAACTGCACTTCAGCCTGTATGACAGAGTGAGAACTGTCAAAAAGAAAAAAATTGGAGTAAATCCTCTCAAACTCTGCTTCTGCTTTATTAACTAGGTGTGGAATAGTCTAAATCCTGTGTTGTCATTTCAACAATGTTTGCATATTCAACAGGAATAGATTCTATATTGAGAAATCACTTTCTTTGCTTATCCATAAAAAGCAACTCCACATCCATTAAAGTTTTGTCATTAGATTGCAGAATTTCAGTCTCATTTGCAGATTCCACTTGTAATTCTAGTTCACTTGCAATTTCAACCACATCTACAGTTACTTTCTCCACCGAAAACTTGAGCCACTCAAAACCATCGATGAGGGTAGGAAACAACTTCTTCCAATTTCCTGTTAATGTTCATATTGTGACCTCATTTCATGAATTGCAAATGTTCTTAATGGCACTTAGAATGGTGAATCCTTTCCAGAAGGTTTTCAACTTACTTTGCCCAGATCCATCAGAGGAATCACTGTCTGTGGAAGCTACAGCTGTACAAAATGTATTTCTTAGATAATAAGACTTGAAAACCAAAATTAGTCCTTGATTCATGAATATTGTATTAGCAGGCATAAAAACAATGTTAATCTCCTTGTACATCTACATCAGAGCTCTTGTGTAACTAGGTGCATTGTCACTAAACAGTACAGTTTTGAAAACAATTATTTTGATAACATCTCAATGGTGATTTTAAAATAGGCAGAAAATAATGCTATAAACAGATATGCTGTCGTTTCAGTTTTGATTTGGCAATGATAAAACAAAGCAGAGCAGATTTAGCATGATTCTTAAGGCGCTAGGTTTTTTTGAATGTTAAATAATCATTGGCTTCAATTTAAAGTCACCAGCTGCCTTAGCCCCTAATGAGTTAGCCTCTCCTTTGAAGTTTTTAAAGCAGAAATTTCTCCTCTCTAGCTATGTAAGTCCTAGACGGTATCTTCATCCAATAGAAGGCTGTTTTGTTTACATTGAGAATCTATCATTTAGTGAAACCACCTTCATCAATGGTCTTAACTAGCTCTTCTGGATACCTTGCTGCAGCTTCTGCATTTGCACTTCCTACTTCACCTTACACATTGATGTTAGGAGACCACATCTGCTAGCTTCTTCACACTTTCTGCAGCTTCCTCCCTTCTTCAGCCTTCATAGAATTAAAGAGACTTAAGGGTTTCCTCTGGAGTAGACTTTAGTTTAAGGAAATGTTCTGACCCATTTGATCTTCTATTCAGACCATGAAAGTTTTCTCTATCAATGGCTATTTTGCTTTCTTATTATAGGTATTTTTACTGTAGTAGCATTTTTGATTTCCATCGAGAAGTTTTTCTTTGCATTCACTAGCTGGCTGTCTGGCTCAAGAGGCCTAGCTTTCTGCCTACTTCAGCTGTCAGGATGCCTTCCTTTCTAAGCTTACTCATATCTAGTTTTTGATTTAAAGTGAGAGACGTGGGACTCTTTCTTTGACTTAAACACTAACAGAATATTGTAGGGTTATTATTCATTGGCCTAATTTTAATATTGTTATGTCTCAGGAAATAAAGAGGCCTGAAAAAAGAAAGGGAAATATAGAAGAAGGGCCAGTGGGTGGAGCAGCTAGAAAACACACAACATTTATTGATTGAGTTTGCCATCCTTTACAGGCATGGCTCATGGTGCCACAAATAATTACAATATAACATCAAAGAGTATTGATCATAGATCACCATGATAGATAAAAAAGTAATGAAAAACTTTGAAATATTACAAGAATTATCCAAATGTGTTGCAGAGATACAAAGTGAGCAAGCCGTGAAGGAACTGGCACCAATAAACTTCCTCAACACAGCATTGCCACAAACTTTCAATGTGTCAGAGACACAAGATCAAATATAACAAAACAAAACACAATAAAATAAGGCACGTTTGTATATGGACATAAATGTATGTGTTTACAGATATATTAATAAGTAAATATTACTTAGCAATCATATATAATCTCAATTTTAATTAAACAATTTTTCTAATATAAACAATACATTGAAATACTATATTAAAATGTTGATCTCTGTTTTATTCATATTTTCCTTCTAAAAATGTCAAACTCTTCTAGGCAATAGTCAGGAGTGGGCATACAGATCTAAGCATCAGGCTTCTAGTATCTCTGAAATTCCAAGCCAGCTGCTGCTGAGAACCTTGAGCTACAACTTTTACTATTTGAAGTTCCCACCAGGCAATGAAGTCAATCAGTAGAATAAGGAATATGGTAAGGATATAGAAATATAGTTGCTCAGAGAAAAAAACACATATGTGCTATACCTGGAAGCTTTCAAGTGCAAAGCCAAAACTGACTTTTCTTTTTTCCTTTTCCTTTTTATCATAACCAAATTCTTCCCCCTTCACCATACTTAAGGAGAAGAAAACAGAGAGAAAAAATATCCCCTTTAAGGATCCATCTCTCCAAAAACTTTATTCAAGCCGAAAGAAACTGGTATAAGAATTTTTTGGTACTTTGTTGAGAACAGATTATGACAGGGATAAACTATATTAAAAAAGGAAATTATGTTTTTGTTGCACATTTGGGTATACAATATACATTTTTAACCCAGTTTACCTTTACCATTTCTACTTTTCTAAAACAATGTCAGAAGATTATAATATTAAAATAGCTTTCAGCAAAAGCCCAATGAGTTTTAACTTCTGAGTCCAGATTCAAGCCTTCTTCAGCATATAATTTACAGAGTCATAACACCTATGAAAAGCTTCTCTAAGTAAAATAATTTTTATACAATTTCAACTTTTTTTATAGATTAAAGGGTACACATGCAGGTTTGTTACATGGGTAAACTGTGTGACTCTAAGGCTTGGATTACCAACAATCCTGTCACACTGGTAGTAAGCATAGTACCCAGCAGGTGGTTCTTCAGCTCTTCCCCGCCTCCTTCCTCCCCTGTCTAGTTTTCTCCAGTGTCTATTGTTCCTATCCTTATGTTCAATTTATTCAGTGTTTAGCTCCCACTTGTAAGTGAGAACATGAGGTATTTGGTTTTCTGTTATTGCATTAGTTTGCTTAGGATAATGGCCTGCAGCTCCATCCAGGTTGCTGCAAAGGACATAATTTTGTTCTTTTTTATGACTGAATAGTACTCCATTGTGTATATGTACCGAGTTTTCTTTATCTAATCCACATGGATGGGTGCCTAGATTTATTTTTTGTCTTTGTTATTGTGATTAGTGCTGCAATGAACCTGCAGGTACATGCGTCTTTTTAATAGAATGAATTATTTTCCTTGAAGTATGTATCCAGTAGTGGAATTGCTGAGTCAAAAGGTAGTTCTATTTTAAGTCCTTTGAGAAATCTCCAAACTGATTTACACAGTGCCTTAACTAGTTTATTTTCCCACCAACAATGTATATGTTTCCTTTTCTCCACAGCCTCACCTGCATCCGTAGTTTTTCAACTTCTTAAAAATCATTATTCTAATTGGTGTGAGATGGTATCTCATATTGATTTTGATTCTCATTTCTGTGATTAGTGATGTTGAACATTTTTTTCATGTTTGTTGGCCACTTGTATGTCTTCTTGTAAGAAGTGTCTGTTCATGTCCTTTGCCCGTTTTTACTTGATTTGTTTTTGTTCTGTTTTTTCGCTTGTTGATTTGTTTAAGTTCCTTGTAGATACTGGATATTAGACCTTTGTCAGATGCATAGTTCGTGAATATTTTCTTTCATTCTGTAGGCTTTCTGTTTACTGTGTTAGTAATTGTTGTTTTTGTTGTTGTTGCTGTTATTTTGTTTTTACTGTGGAGAAGCTCTTTAATTTAATCAGAACCCATTTATCAGTTTTTGTTTTTGTGGCAATTGCTTTTGGGTATTTAGCCATAAATTCCTTGCCAAAGACTATGTTGAAGGGTATTTCCTAGATTTTCTTCTAAAATTCTTACAGCTTTCTCTCTTATGTTTACATCTTTAATCCATCTTAAGTTTTGTATAAGGTGAGAGGTACAGTTCAGTTTCTTTTAATCTACACAGAGCTAGACAGTTATCCCAGCACCATTTACTGAAAAAGGAATCCTTTCCCCATTGCTTATTTTTGTTAATTTTTTCAATCATCAGGTGGCTGTAGACTTGTAGGTTTATTTCTGAGTTCTCTATTTGTTCCACTTGTCTATGTGTCAGTTTTTGCTCCAGTATCATGCTCTTTTGGTACTGTAGCATTTTAGTGTATTTTGAAGTCGGGTAATGTAATGCCTCTAGCCTTACTTTTATTGCTGAGGATTGCTTTGGCTATTCCGGCACTTTTTTTCTTCTAAATACAATTTAGAATAGTTTTTTTCTTTTTTCTAATTCTGTGAAAAATGAGGTTGGTATTTTGATAGTGATAGTGTTGAATCTTTAAATTGCTTTGGACAGTATGGCTATTTTAACTATATTGCTTTTCCCAATCCATGAACATAAAATATTTTTCCATTTATTTGTGTGATCTCTGATTTCTTCAGCATTTTGTAGTTCTATTTGTAGAGATCTTTCACCTCCTATATTAGATAAATTCCTAGGTATTTTATTTTCTTTGTGGCTAATTTAAGTGGAATTGTATTCCTGATTTGGTTCTCAGCTAAAATATTATTGGTGTATAAAAAAGCCACTAATTTTTTGCATTGATTTTTTTATCCTGAAAATACTGAATCTGTTTATTAGTCCTACGAGGCTTTTGGTGGACTCTTTAGGGTTTTCTGTGTATATCTTCATATCATCAATGAAAGATAGTTTGACTTCTTCTTCTTATTTGTGTGCTTTTTATCTCTTTCTGTTGTCTGATTGCTCTTGCTAGGATTTCCAGTACTGTGTTGAATAGGAGTGGCGAGAGGGGACATCCTTGTATTTTTCTTGTTCTCAGGGTAAACCAAACCATTTCTGAACATTAAGAAGAAAGGCAACAGACACAGATGGGAGAACTGGTGCTTGGTGAACTCCCATTTCACTAAAAAATTGGTGGCTTTAATATCATGCAAAATTAAATATTATCTCATTCAACACTTTCACTTAATATATGAAAAGAGGATCATGAAAAAGTTAGTTTATGTACTCAAGATCTTAAAGCTGATTCAAAGTCAATTTCACACATTAGTTTGTAGTATAACCAGGGTTGACATCAAGGCAGAAAGACCCTAAGTTAAGTACCAATTTCATGTTTTCTAGGAGTTAAATTTGGCAGTCATAAATAACCCTAAAATCAATATATCAAATAATTTCAACAAGGTGGTAGAAATATTACACACTATTTATATAGGAGTTACCTGAGCCTATCTGCTTTGATCTGTGTACCATGTCTACATGCTTCATACAGACTTGAGAGAAGGTTAAAAGACAAATATGTGGCTATTTATCTTATTTCCTACCAGAAGAATTGAGCTAGTTATAAAATATAATCAAGTTGAAATAATCATAATAGACTACAAAGTGGAAACCTATGTCAAAAATGTATCCAATTATCAAAAGCTATCAGCAATATGATGAAGTGTAAAAGTTTTGATTATTAGATATGTTTTTTAAGAAGACACACACACACATGCACACGCACACAGAAAGACAGGCACATATGTATGAGATATCTACGCTCCATTGTTTATTACAGCACAATAAGTAACACATAGAATCAATCTATGTGTCCTTCAATGGATGAATGGATAACGAAAATGTGATATATATATATATGCATGTGTGCATGTATGTGCACATAAATACACATACCCACACAAAAAGAAATATTTCTCAGCTGTAAAAAGGGATGAAATACTGTCATTTCTTACAACACAAATGAACTTGGAGGACATTTTAAATGAAATAAGCCAGATGCAGAAAGATAAGTACTGCATGATATCATTCATATGTAGAATCTTAAAAGTTAATGACATGAAAGTAGACATTAGACTGGTGTTTACTGAAAGATGCTATGGTTAGAAAGGAGAAGGAGGTGGGAAGACATTGATTAAAAGATACGTAATTAAATTGCAGGGTTCCGGGCAAGGTGGCCGAATACGAATAGCTCTCGTCTGCAGCTCTCAGTGAGACCAATAGAGAAGTGATTTCTGCATTTCCAACTGAGGTACCCGGCTCACTACACTGGGACTGGTTAGACAATGGGGACAGCCCACAGAGGGTGAGCTGAAGGAAGGTGGGACATCGCCTCACCCAGGAAGTGCAAGGGGTTGGGGAATTCCCTCCCCTAGCCAAGGGAAGCCGTGAGGCACTGTGCTGTGAGGGACAGTGCTATCCGGCCCAGATACTATGCTTTTTCCTATGCTTTTCTCACAGTTTTTACAACCCAAAGACCAGGAGATTCCCTCGGATGCCTACTCCACCAGGACCCTGGGTTTCAGGCACAAAACTGGGTGGCCTTTTGAGCAGACACTGAGCTAGCTGCAGGAGGATTTTTTGTTTGTTTGTTTTTGTTTTTGTTTGTTTGTTTGTTTGTTTGATACCCCAGTGGCACCTGGAACCCTAGCAAGACAGAACTGTTCATTTCCCTGGAAAGGGGGCTGAAGCCAGGGAGCCAGGCCAACATTCAAATTCAGGAAATACAGAAAACACCACTAAAATACTCCTCAAGAAGAGCAACCCCAAGACACATAATCGTCAGATTCACCAAGGTTGAAACAAAGGAAAAAATGTTAAGTGAGCCAGAGAGAAAGGCCAAGTTACCCACAAAAGGAAGCCCACCAGACTAACAGCAGATCTCTCTGAAGAAACCCTACAGCCAGAAGAGTGGAGGCCAATATTCAACATTCTTAAAGAAAAGCATTTTCAACCCAGAATTTCATATCCAGCCAAACTAAGCTTTATAAGTGAAGGAGAAATAAAATCTTTTACAGACAAGCAAATGCTGAGGGATTTTGTAACCATCAGGCCTGACTTACAAGAGCTCCTGAAGGAAAAACTGGTACCAGCTACTGCAAAAACATACCAAAATATAAAGACCAACAACACTATGAAGAAACTGCGTCAACTAATGTCCAAAATAACCAGCTAGCATCATGAAGACAGGATCAAATTCACACATAACAATATTAACTTTAAATATAAATGGGCTAAATGCTCCAATTAAAAGACACAGACTGGCAAATTGGATAGAGTCAAGACCCATAAATGTGCTGTATTCAGGAGACCCATCTCACATGCAAAGACGCACATAGGCTCAAAATAAAGGGATGGAGAAACATTTACCAATCAAATGGAAAGAAAAAAAAAAGCAGGGGTTGCAATCCTAGTCTCTGATAAAACAGAATTTAAACCAAAAAAGATAAAAAAAAAAAAAGACAAAGAAGGTGATACATAATGGTGAAGGGATCATTGAAACAAGAAGAGCTAACTATCCTACATATATATGCACCCAACACAGGAGCACCTAGATTCATAAAGCAAGTTCTTAGAGACCTACAAATAGACTTAGACTTCCACACAAAAATAGTTGGAGACTTTAGCACCCCACTGTCAATATTACACAGATCAATGAGACAGAAAATTAACAAGGATATTAAGGACTTGAACTCAGCTCTGGACCAAGTGGACCTAGTAGACTTCTACAGAACTCTACACCCCAAATCAACAGACTATACATTCTTCTCAGCACCACATAGCACTTATTTTAAAATTGACCACATAATTGGAAATAAAACACTCCTCAGCAAATGTAAAGGAACAGAAATCATAACAAACAGTTTCTCAGACCACAGTGCAATCAAATTAGAACTCAAGATTAAGAAACTCACTCAAAATCACACAACTACACGGAAACTGTACAACCTGCTCCTGAATGACTACTGAGTAAATAACAAAATTAAGGCAGAAATAAATAAGTTATTTGAAACCAATGAGAACAAAGACACAATGTACCAAAATCTCTGGAACACAGCTAAAGCAGTGTTTAAAGGGAAATTTATACACTAAATTCCCACAGGAGAAAGCAGGAAAGATCTAATATCAACACCCTAACATCACAGTTACAGAATCTAGAAATGCAAGTGCAAACAAATTCAAAAGCTAGCAGAAGACAAGAAGTTCTGAAATAGAAGCAGTAATTAATAGCCTACCAACCAAAACAAAGCCCAGGACCAGACAGATTTACAGCTGAATTCTACCAGAGGTACAAAGAGGAGCTGGAACCATATCTTCTGAAACTGTTCCAAACAATATAAAAAGAGGGACTCCTCGCTAACTCATTTTATGATGCCAGAATCATCCTAATACCAAAACCTGGCAGAGACACAACAAAAAAAGAAAATTTCAGGCCAATATCCTTGAAGAACATCGATGCAAAAATCCTCAATAAAATACTGGCAAACCAAATCCAGCAGCACATCAAAAAGCTTATCTGCCACAATTAAGTTGGCTTCATCCCTGGGATGCAAGGCTGGTTCAACATACACAAATCAATAAATGTAATCCATCACATAAACAGAACCAATGACAAAAAACACATGATTATGTCAATAGATGTAGAAAAGGCCTTTGATAAAATTCAACACCCTTTCATGATAAAACACTCAATAAACTAGGTATTGATGGAATGCATCTCAAAATAATAAGAGCTATTTGTGACAAACTCACAGCCAACATCATACTGAATGGGCAAAAGCTGGAAGCATTCCCTTTGAAAACTGGCACAAGACAACAATGTCCTCTCTCACCACTACTATTGAACATAGTATTGGAAGTTCTCGCTGGGGCAATCAAGCAAGAGAAAGAAATAAAGCATATTCAAACAGGAAGAGAGGAAGTCAAATTGTCTCTGTTTGCAGATGACCCGATTGTATATTTAGAAAACCCCTTTGTCTTAGCCCATAAACTCCTTAAGCTGATAAGCAACTTCAGCCACGTCTCAGGATACAAAATCAATGTGCAAAAATCACATGCATTCCTATACACCAATAATAGACAGAGAGCCGAATCTTGAATAAACTGTCATCCACAATTGCTACAAACAGAATAAATTATCTGGGAATTCTGGGAATATAACTTAAAAGGAATGTGAAGGACCTCCTCATAGTGAAGTACAAGCCACTGCTCAAGTTAATAAGAGAGGACACAAACATATGGAAAAACATACCATGCTCATGGATAGGAAGAATCAATATTATGAAAATGGCCATACTGCCCAAAGTAATATACAGAATCAATACTATTCCCATCAAGCTACCATTGACTTTCTTCAGAATTAGAAAAAAGAACTACTTTAAATTTCATATGGAACAAAGAAAGAGACCGTAAACCAAGATGATCCTAAGCAAAAAGAACAAAGCTGGAGGCATCATGCTACCTGACTTCAAAATATACTACAAGGCTACAGTAACAAAAACAGTGTGGCATTTGTACCACAACAGTGGTATTTTTACCAAAACAGATATATAGGACAATGGAACAGAAGAGAGGCCTCAGAAGTAATGCCGCACATTTACAGCAATCTGATCTTTGACAAACCTGACAAAAGCAACAGAGAAAGGATTCTCTATTTAATAAATTGTGCTGGGAAAACTGGCTAGCCATATGCATAAAAGTGAAACTGGTCCCCTTCCTTACAAAAATTAACTCAAGATAGATTAAAGACTTAAATATAAGACCTAAAACCTTAAAAACCCTAAAAGAAAACCTAGGCAATACCATTCAGGACATAGGCATGGTCAAAGACTTCATGACTAAAACACCAATAGCAATGGCAACAAAAACCAAAATTGACAAATTGGATCTAATTAAACAAAAGAGCTTCTTCACAACAGAAGAAATTATCATCAGAGCAAACAGGCAACCTACAGAATGGGAGAAAATTTTTGCAAACTATCCATCTGACAAAGGGCCCATATCCAGAATATGCAAGGAACTTAAACAAATTTACAAGAAAAAAAAAAAAACAAAAAAACCACCAAAAAGAGGACAAAGGATGTTAACAGACACTTCTCAAAAGAAGACATTTATTCGGCCAACAAACATATGCAAAAAAGCTCATCATCACTGGTCATTAGAGAAATTAACATCAAAAGCACAATGAGATACCAACTCACACCAGTTAGAATGGCGATCATTAAAAAGTCAGGAAACAACAGAAGATGGAGAGGATGTGGAGAAATAGGAATGCTTTTACACTGTTGGTGGGAGTTTAAATTAGTTCAACCATTGTGGAAGACAGTGTGGTGATTCCTCAAGGATCTAGAACCAGAAATACCATTTGACCCAGCAATCCTGTTACTGAGTATATGTACAAAGAAGTATAAATCATTCTATAAAGACACATGCACATGTATGTCTATTGCAGCACTATTCACAATAGCAAAAACTTGGAACCAACCCAAATGCCCATCAATGATAGACTGGATTAAAAGAAATGTGGCATATATACACAATGGAATACTATGCAGCCATTAGAAAGGATGAGTTCATATCCTTTGCAGGGATATGGATGAAGCTGAAAACCATCATCCTCAGAAAACTAACACAGGAACAGAAAACCAAACGCTGCATGTTCTCACTCGTAAGTGGGAGTTGACCAATGAGAATACATGGACACAGGGAGGGGAACGTCACACACTCAGGCCTGGCAGAGGATTGGGGGAAGGGGAAGGATAACATTATGAGAAATACCTAATGTTGATGATGGGTTTATGGATGCAGTAAACCACCATAGCACATGTATACCTATGTAACAAACCTGCACGTTCTGCACATGTATCCCAGAGCTGAAAGTATAATAATAATATAAAAAGAAAAAAATACATAATTATTGTTAAACAGAAGAAAAAAAATTCAAAAGATCAATTGTAAAGCAGCTTGACTCTAGTTAATGATTATATGTTGTATTCTCGAAAAATGTAGAGTGAATGCTATGTGCTCTTACCACCAAAATGATAACTATGTGAAGGTAAGACACTTGTTAATTGGCTAGATTTAACTATCTCACAATGTATATGTACTTCAAAACCATCATGTTGTATACAATAAAACATACAATGTTATCTGTCTTTTTTAAAGTTGTATATATACACACATATATACATACATACATATACATACATACATATATATGTATGTGTGTAATATATACAGTTGATCATATATATATGATCACATACATATATACATACATATGTGTGTGTGTGTGTGTGTGTGTATATATATATATATATATATATATATATCTACAGTTGATCCTTGAACAACACAGATTTGAACTGCCCAGGTCCACTTATATGTGGATTTTCTTCAATAAATATATTAGAACATTTTTTAGAGATTTTTAAAAATTTGAAAAATCTCACAAACTATAGCCTAGAGCTATTGAAAAAATAAGAAAACAGTTGGAGATGTCACAAATGCCTAAAATACATGCAGATATCAATTTATTTTTTCTTACCATAAAATACATACAAATCTATTATAAGTAGTTGACATTTATCAAAACATATACACACAAACACTTTCAGACTGTCCATGGCACCATTCACCGTTGGGAGAAATGTAAACAAACATAAAGATACAGTATTAAATTACAGCATAAAATTGACTCTACTCCATACAGTACTTCTGTAATAATTTCACAGCCACCTCCTGTTGCTATTGTGATGATCTCCCATTGTGAGTATCTGCTTAAAACGCTGTGTGACGCTCATCATGGCCACGTTACCATTTCCTCTTTCCAGTAAATTACATTTTGCAGTAAAAAGTGATCTCTTGCAGTTCTCGTGTGTATTTTTTAATCATGTGTAGTGCAATACCGTAAACCTTGAGTAACACCATGGGACCAAAATTAAGTGCCACTAATGATGCGGGAAGTGTTCCCAAGAAGCAGAAAAAAGTCATGACAATACAAGAAAAAGTTGAATTGCTTGATATGTACCATAAAGTGGGGTCAGCAGCTGTAGTTTCCTGTCATTTTAGACAGGCAATACATCTTAAAAATGGGCAAAATAAACTTATGGTACTAATGAATAAAAACATTACAATACTGTAAATGTATTTTTTCTTATAATTTTCTAAAGAAGATTTTCTTCATTCTAGTTTGCTTTATGGTAAGAATACAGCATACAATACATATAAAATACGAAATATGTGTTAATTTAACGTTTGTATTATCAGTAAGGCTTCTAGTCAACAGTAGGTTATTAGTAATAGTTAAGTTTTGGGGCAGTTAAAAGTTATATGTGGATTTTTAACTGTATGGGGATTTGATGACTGTAATCCCTGTGTTGTTTCAGGGTTAAATGTAGATTTTTTTTTATTTTTAAATATAAGAACAAATAGCAGTTCAACTAGTAGGAAACTAGTTTTCATTGTTAGTGTGACATCTTTGGTTGTATGTATCGAATTCTGAGTATTAGGGTAACAAAAGGATAATTCAACAGTGTGAACAGTTCATTTTCTTGAACCCTAGTTTTCTTTTGTTTTATTTTATTCAACATTGCCATCATATATAGTATAATCACAGAGATTTTCTAGCCTTTTCTAACATCACTACATTTTTTACATTTCTATAAATGAAGGTCTATGAGAATTTTTACCATGTAAAATGTCTGTACACAGATACATTTCAAAAATTTAGATTGAAGAGAAAGTTGAACATGTATTCTATTCTCTAGTTGGTTTTCTAAATTTTGAACACTCATATTTTGTACTATATCTTTCTGTATGTCAAACCTCTTGCTCCCAAAAGACACTCTTTAATTTTAAAAATTATCATATTTGTTATTAATATCAGAGAACATATTCAAAAATATGATTGGGGTGATGGGCTAGTATACAGAATGTCAGAAGTTTAACAGGAAAAATATAAACAGTAGAAATAAAATGTTAAGAATGTTTCACCTGGCCAAGGATTTCTGTATGTGCCAAGAGTTTTCAGACGACAATGGTGACTATGAGGGAAGCAAATGATTAAGGGGGAGACAAAAGAAAAAAAAACATAAATGGTGAGGCAGATTGTATTTATTAAAATTCTTTGGAGAGGGAACAAATAGAATTTTGGGACAGTGACAGTTTCTAAAAAGATTTGAAAATAAATTTATTCATGTTTACAAATTGTTTCCTTCCATGCTTCTAATATACCTAAAATTTTAAAAGAAAATAATTTTTTAAAGGTAATATATTCCTTAAATATATAAAAAGTGGTTCCGATGAGATGGTAACCATATACAGCTCTTTCAGGACACAAAGATGTCTCCAGCAGATTGTCCTAATACAAAATCTCTAGAGCTTTTACAGTAGTAAAGATGGTCTCTAAAAGATTCAAATTAGCTCTGAAATCTAAAGAGATACAAGGAATATCTCAAACAAATAATATATAATTTAAAAGTTGAATATTCACTTTTGAGTCTGCATTAATGAATGATTTGAAAATAATTATTTACATATGTATGTAAAGACTCAAACATACACATATATGCATACATATCTACATATATATTTAAAATTATAATTGTGTCCTAATTTTAAATTCTTAAGGCATTTTTTAATATGGGAGTCATTGTTTTATTTTAAAAATTACAATACACCGTTTTAATATTTGTTGGAAGTTGTATATGGAAAAAATGATTAAGAGAAAATCCATATAAAGCACTTCACTCCCTATGGTATTTTATTCATATGCTGTAAATATTTTTCCAGGGTGAGCTTTATACTTGTAAAATTCTTTCACTTAGTACACCTTATATATATCACCTGGAATTACATAAAGTTATTCAGAGTGACACAAGTTTGCATCTAAGACACTTTTAAGAAGTCCTTGCATATAAGAGGACTCACTATTAAGAAAGTCCTTGTTTTATGTAATCTGCTTTTGTCAACATATACTTCTTAAAAAAGATGAAAAATTGACTGGAGGAGCATTTCTGGACAATTATTGTACTGTTGATTGTTTATAATTCTATACATTTGATTTTATTTCATTAAAGTTTACAGATAATATTCTATTTTTATAAGTATTAGAAGGACCTGGGCTTTTCAAAAGGCTCAAAACAAGAAGCACTTATAGCTATTATCTCATTTATTTTTAATTTAAAAGCCTCTTTATTCTTTAGACTTAGGGCCCCCTTTTTAGCACTCTCATTAGCAAAACACTCACACATACACAACTATTTTGAAGCAACATCTGTCTGTTCATGTGCTTTGCAGTGAGAAAAATTTAATTTTTCAGATTAATTTTATCTATATTTTTAATTTTTAGAAAACCATATTAATTGTGAAGGCAAAATGGAATTCCTTCCTTTTATATTATTACATTTGGACAAGTAATATTATTGGAAAATTATTACATTAGAATATTAGTCACATCCTCTGACATTTGAAAATGCTAATAAAATAATTATTAATTCATAATAAATGTATTCAGCATCATCAAGTTTCAGATACTTTTACTAGAGAAGACAAAAGTTTTGAAACAAAATATCCATTTGAAGAGGTATTTTGATTTTTGGCACTTCCTATCAATAACAAATAAATATAATTATATATGTTTATACATTTAAAAAATAATATTTTAAGTAGGCACATAAGAAAACTTACAGCAACATTTTTCTTATTTCTTGATTTAATAATTTTGAAGTTGGCCTACCTAGAGATGGATAATCAATTACTGATTACTTTGATTCAATCACTGCATTTTTTATAGAACTGATTAAAAATTCATATTTTTCCAATTTCTATTATATAAACACAGGTGTAAATATTATTCCTGGAAATAATTTTAGGAAGCACCAATAAATTGTTTAAGAAAATTTAATGTTACATAAAATTGGATCATATATACAAATAAGATGCAGTTGGAAAATAATTTGATCTAGTTCTCCATGCTGTTAAGTAGATAAAGCACAGTGGCAGCATGTTTAATGGACTGTTATCTATCAATTCTACTGCACATTTAAGTTGTGAATTCAGTCCACTTTCTTTTATTCTTTAAAAATTCACGAATGTTATAAAAATAAGTACACCACTCTTCCTAATTAGAAAATATGCATAATTCATTCAAATATTGGTATGATTTAATTTGTGGCATTCTTTTAATTGAAAAGAAAAGGCCATGCCGATGACACAGTACATTTAAATTTGCTCCGATTAATCATGTTTTTTATGAGCAAAGGAGACATTCTATAACATTAGCTGTGTTTGTAGTTTGAAAGTACTACAAAAAGGGACTTTGGGGCCTTGCCTATCTTTGGAGAAAAAAATGTCTGTTTTCTTCCAGTAAGAAACACAAACACAAAACTCATACTAATTTTCCTATTTTCAGTAACCTCACTCCCACAGGATCACCCGATTGAGTTGGGGGTTTTATACTTTATTAGCGCATTATTATTCTCTTTTTCACATTTGATATGCCAACTGATAGAAAAAAAGAGTTCATTAAATATTACTAGACATAAGAAACACAAAAACAAATCCAGTTAGTCAGTCTTTCTGTATCTCTAACTATCTATCTATTTTTTCCTCTCTCTTTCATTGTTTACTTCTCTCTCTCTCACACACACACATACACACACACACACACACACACACACACACACACACACACACATCACTCCAATTTCCTAGGGGTATGACCTTCTCCTGTAATCCTCTAATATGGTGGCCTGATTTATTGAGGCCTATTTTATAATGTTATTTATTTTTCTTGTACCTGCGAAATCTATCTTCTCTATACTTGTTTCTTTTACTTAAGAATACCAATATTGGCTGGGCGTGGTAGTTCACGCATGTAATCCCAGCACTTTGAGAGGCCAAGGCGGGCGGGTCACTTGAGGTCAGGAGTTTGAGACCAGCCTGGCTAACATGGTGAAACCCCGTCTCTACTAAAAATACACAAAATTACCCAGGCGTGGCGGTGCGCGCCTGTAATCCCAGCTACTCAGGAGGCTGAGGCAGGAGAATCGCTTGAACCCAGGAGGCGGAGGTTGCAGTGAGCCAAGATCACGCCATTGCACTCCAGCTTGGTCAACAAAAGCGAGAGTCCGTCTCAAAAACAAATAAACAAACAAAAAACAAAAAACACCAATATTCCCTTTTCTGAGGTATGTAGATCCTATTTCTTCATTCAGCAGAAAAAGAACCTAAAATACCAAAACTCTCATAACATCTCAAGGTAAAAACACAAATGTCTTAAGGCAGGAAGGCAAACCATTTACAAGAGTAGGAAATTTGGGAAATGAAAATGGAAAGATTGGAGAACTGTGTAGCCAATAATGTTAACAAGGTGTCATGTAAATAGAATAAAGATTAAATGACTTTTTGATTAATAGTTACTCTGGAACTGGTTAATTGCACTGTGTGAACAAGTCAGAAACGACTGAAAGTTTAATTTATTTGAGCAATGAAAAAAGTTATTCCAGTATTCATTAATTCAAATGAATAGAGAGCACTGTCAACGTTGATTGAAATATTATAGCACAGAATTTCAATATAATAATTGAATATTGTGGTAGATTTATGAAAAAAATCTGTATAACAACATTTTGACAGCTTCTAAAGCAATCTTTCTTGTTTTTCCTTTTCTTTTCTGCACATTCCGTGTTTTCCTCTTTAGATCTATTCTTGCAAGCAGATTGTATTTGCACGAAATTTTATGATTTGTCAACAGTTATTTTTCTTTTAACAACTTCTTGTTAGTCTTTGGAAATAATTCTCAAATTTGGTCAATTTACACATTTGTATGTAACTGAATAGGACCTACATTCTACTAATTTATGTAGAGACTATGAAAAATGTGTGAAAGAGGAGTAACAGTTTTCCAAGCATAAAAAAACCAGACTGGATTTGTAATACTTGGCAGCTTTGTCTCATCTAACTTTATAGGCATAGACTCAAAAATTGGCCAGAATTTCATTCATTTCTATCCAGATATGCTATGCAGATTTGGAATCAATTCTTCATAGTCTAGAACTGAAAATAAAAATGATTCCCCAGGTTATAAGACACAACAAGGGTGGTCAATAAAGCTTTATAAAATAATTTTTTTAAAAATTACAAACAATTCTCACATAAAATGATAACTTTTTGCCAATTTTTCCACCATAAAAATATGTATAAATAAACTTAAAATTAAAGAAAAATATATCAAAGTTTTGATTTATGAGCTGGTGACTGCTGTTGATAATTTATATATGGATAATTAAAAATTGACTATTTGGCAAACCATTTATAGAATAGTGGAATATTACAAGTTCTTGAGTTTAATGAGACCAGAGCTTCAAATTCAGGATTATTGCTTCCTACCAGTATAGCTTCAAATCCTTTGCATCATTAAGTATCTTATCTATCAAAACCACAACTAAAGTACCTGGCTTGTGGAACAGTTGAATGAGTTAATTAGTCTAAAATGCATGGAAGCACATTTTCTTTTTCTAAAGCATGATATAGTAACATGTGTGTCTATAGAGTGATATTTGTGTTTCCAAAACTGTAATGCAGATACATACAGCTTAGTTCACAACATCCAAGTCCTTTTGAATATGTAGATAGACTTTCCCAGAAGAACAGGTACAAACAAACCCAGGCTGTGAAGACTGCAATAAATACATCACTCTTCAATGCCTAAACACAGAGGAACACCCATAAGTATCAAAACCATCCAGGAAAAAAAAATGGTCTCTGCAATTGAACCAAATTACCAGGGACCACCAGTCCTGGAGAAATAGAGATATGTGATCTTTTAGTCAGATAACTCAACATAGCATTTTGAGGAAAATAAAAGAAATTCAATTTAACACGGAGAAAGTATTCAGAATTCTACCAGATTAATTTAACAAAGAGATTGAAACAATTAGAAAGAATCAAGCAGAAATTCAATAGCTCAAAAATGCAATAGATATACTGACAAATGCATTAGAGTCCTTTAATAGCAGAATGGATCAAGCAGAAAAAAGAATTAGTGAGCTTGAAGACAGGCTACTTGAAAATACAGTCAGAGAAGACAAAAAAAAGAATAAAAAATCATAAAGCATGCCTACAAGATCGAGAATATAGCCTCAAATGGAAAAATCTAAGATTCATGGCCTTAAACAGGAGGTAGAGAAAGAGATGGGGTAGAAAGATTATTCAAGGGGTAGTAACAAAGAAAGTCCTAAATCTTAAGAAAGATATCCATACCCAAGTACAAGAAAGTTATAAAACATCAAGTAGATCTAACCCAAAGAAGATGACCTCAAGGTATTTATTAAGCAAACACCCAAAGGTCAAGAATAAAGAATCCTAAAAACAGCAAGATAAAAAACAAACAAAAAAAAAAACAAAAACAAAAAACAACAACAAAAAAACATACAATGGAGCTCCAATATGTCTGGCAGCAGACTTTTCAGTGGAAACCTTACAGACAGGCCAGCAGAGAGTGGCAGGATATATTTAAGTTGCTTAAGGAAAAATGCTTTTACCCAAGAATAGTATATCCAGGGAAAAGTCCCTCTGAACATAAAAGAGAAATATAGAATTTTCCAGACCAAAACAAACAAAAAAGTTGAGGAGTTTCATTAACACCAGATCTGTCCCAGAAGAAATGATAAAGGGAGTAATTCATTAAGAAAGTAAAGGATGTTAATGAGCAGTCAGAAATTATTGAAAAGTGAAAGCTAACCAGTAAAAATAAATACACAGAAAAACACAGACTATTATAACACTGTAATTGTGATGCATTAACTACTCTTAAGTAGAAAGACTAAACAATGAAAAAATCAAAACTAACGACTAGAAAACTTTTCAAGGCATAGAAAGTACAATAAGATATAAATAGTAAAAAGAAAAAGATAAAAAGCAAAAAGATGCTGTTACAATGTAATTAGTTAACTTTATGTTTGTTTGTTTACAAAAATATTTTAAAGTTGTTATCAGATTAAAATGATGGGTTATAATACAGTATTTAAAAGCCTTATGGTAACCTCAAATAAAAACACATACAATATTTTTACAAAAAATGAAAAGCAAGGAATTTAATCATATCACCAGAGAAATACCACCTTCACTAAATGGAAGACAGGAAGAAAGAAAATAAAATGAAGAGAATGCCATAAAATGACCAGAAAACAAATAACAAAATGAAAGTAATACATTCTTACTTACCAATGATAACATTGATTGTAAATGAACTAAACTTTCCAATTAAATGATGTAGAGTGGTTGAATGGATTATAAAAAAAAAAAAGACCCAGTGATCTGTTGCCAACAAGAAATACACTTCACTAATAATGATCTTCAAATGATAAAAATAAAGCAATGTAAAAATATATTCCATACCAGTAAACAGTGAAAAAGAGCAGAAGTAGGTATACCTATATCAGAATCTATAAAAAGAGAGAAATAAGTTTACCACATAACAATAAAGGGGTTAACTTAGAAAGAGGATATAACAATTGTAAATATGCATGTTCCCAACACTGGAGCACCCAGATATATAAATCAAATATTGTTAGAGTTAAAGAGACAGGCAGACCCCAAGATAATAGCTGGAGACTTCAACACCACACTTTCAGCATTGGACAGGTCATCTAGACAGAAAATTAACAACAACAAAAATCAGACTTAATGTGCACTATAGAACAAACATACCTAATAAATATATAAAGCTTTCATCCAACAATTGCAGAATACACATTCTTTTTCTCAGCACATGGATTATTCTGAAAGACAGAACATACATTAGGTCACAAAACAAGTTTTAAAAAACATTCAAAAAAATGGAAATGCTATCAATTAAGCATCTTCTCTGACCACAATGGAATAAAACTAGCAATCAATAATGAGGAATTTTGATAAGAATACAAACATGTAGAAATTAAACAATATGCTCCTGAATGACCAGTGGGGTCAATGAAGAAATAAAGAAGGAAATTTAAAATATCTGATGAAACACATGATAATAGAAACATCACGTACCAAAATGTATGGGCTACAAAGAAGCATTACTAAGAGGAAATATTATAGTTATAAATATCTGCATAAAAAAGAACACTTCAAAAACAACTTAATAATGCGTCTTAAAAAACTGAAAAAGCAATAACAAACAAATCCCAAAATTAGTAAAAGAAATAAAAAATCAGAGCAAAAATAAATGAAATTGAAAGGAAGAAAACAATACAAAATTCTACAAAACAAAACAAAAATGTTTTTCTAAAAAAGTAAACAAAATTGACCTGTAGCCAGATTAAGTAAAAAAAAAAAGAGAGAGAGAGAGAAGACACAAACAAATGAAATCAGATATGAAACAGGAGACATTACAACTGAAACTGCAGAAATTCATTAGTGGATAATTAGTGGCTACTATAAGCAAATATATGCAAATAAATTGTAAAATCTTGAAGAAATAGACACATATAACCTACTAAAATTGAACCATGAAGAAATCCAAAACATGAACAGACTAATAACAAGTAACAAGATTGAAGCCATAATAAAAGTCTCCCAGTAAAGAAAAACCTGAGACCCTATAACTTCATCGCTGAATTCTACCCAACACTTAAAGAAGAACTAATATCAACCCTACTCAAACCATTCCAAAAAATAAAGGAGAAGGAAATACTTCCAAATTCATTCTATGAGGCCAGTATTACCCTGATACCAAAACCAGACAAAGACACATCAAAAAAAGAAAACTACAAGCCAGTAGCTCTGATTAATATTGATGCAAAAATTTTAAAAAAACCCCAGCAAACCAAATTCAACAATACATTAAAAAGATCATTAATAGTGAACAAATGGGTTTCATCCCTGAGATGCAAGGATGGTTCTATATATGCAAATCAGATTTCAAAAATTAAAAACCTTGTGATAATTTCAATTGATGCTAAAAAGCATTTGATAAAGTACAACATCCTTTAATGATTAAAAAAAAATTCACAAAAGCTAGGTAGAGAAGGAACATACCTCAATATAATAAAATCTATATAAAATAGACCCACAGCTATTATACTGAATGGGGAAAAACTGAAAGCCTTTCCTGTAATATTTGAAACACAACAAGGATGTCTCTTCTTGCCACTGTTATACAACATAGGACTTGAAGTCCTAGCTAGAATATTCATATGAGAGAGAAATAAAAGGAATCCAAATTGGAAATGAAGAAGTCAAATTTCTCGTTTGCAGTTGATATTATCTTACAGTTGGAGAAACCAAAAGATTGCAAGAAAACTATTAGAACTGATAAACATATTCAGTAAAGTTGTAGGATATAGACTCAACATACAAAAATCAGTAGTATTTGTGTATGCCAACAATGAACAGTCTGAAAAAATAATCTCATTTACAATTGGTACAAATAAAATAAGATATTTTGGAATTAACAAAAGAAGTGAAAGACCTCTACAATGTAAACTACAAAACATTGATGCAATAAATTGAGGAAGACACGAAAAACGATGGAAAGGTATTCCATATTCATGTTTTGGAAGAATCAATATTATTAAAATCTCCTTACTACCTTAAGTACTCAAGAGATTCAATGTAATCCCTATCCAAATACCAATGATATTCTTCACAGAAATAGAAGAAACATTTCTTAAATGTATGTGGAACCACAAAAGACTCAGAGTAGCCAAAGCTATACTAAGCAAAAATAAGAAAACTGGAGGAATCATGTTACCTGACTTCAAATTATCCTACAGAACTTTAGCAATAAAAATAGGATACTATATTATAGTACTGACATAAAAACAGAAACATAGACCAATGAAAGAGAATAGATAACCTAGAAATAAATTCATACATCTACAGTAAACTCATTTTTGACAAAGTTTCCAAGAATATACACTGGGGAAAGGACAGTCTTTTCAATAAGTGGTGCTGGGAAAACTGAATGTTCATATGCAAAAGAATGAAACTAGACTCCATCTCTTGCCATATATAAAAATAAACTCAAAATGGATTAAATACTGAAAGGCCTGAAAATACTAAGAGAAGACATTGGGGAAGCTCTCCAGGGCAATAAACTGGACAAAACTTCTTTAACAATACCCCACAGGCACAGGTAACCAAAGCAAAAATGGACAAATGGAATTATATCAAGTTTAAAACCTGTACAGCAAAGAAAATAATCAACAAAGTGAAGACACAATCCAGAGAATGGGAGAAAATGTTGTCAAACTACCCAACTGACAAGAGATTAATAAACAGACTATATAAGGATATCAAACAATTCCGTGGGAAAAAATCTAATAATCCAGTTAAAAAAATGGGCCAAAGGGAAGGGCATGGTGGCTCATGCCTTTAATCCTAGCAGTTTGGAAGGCCAAGGCAGGTGGATCACCTGAGGTCAGGACTTCAAGACCAGCCTGGCCAACATGGTGAAACCTCGTCTCCACTAAAAATACAAAAATTAGCCAGGTGTTGTGGTCCATGCCTGCAATCTCAACTACTAGGGAGGCTGATGCAGGAGAATTGCTTGAACCCAGCAGGTGGAGGCTGCAGTGAGCCGAGATTGCACCACTGCACTCCAATCTGGGTGACAGAGCCAGACTCCATCAAGGAAAGAAAGAAAAGAAAAGAGAAAAGGAAAAGATTAGCATAGACATTTCTCAAAATAAAGCATACAAACGGGAAACAGGTAAATGACAAGGTGCTCAACATCATTGGTCTTCAGAGAAATTAAAATCAAAACCACAGTGAGATATCATTTCTCTCCAGTTAAAATGACTTTTATCCAAAAGACAGCTAATGACAAAATGCTGGCAAGGATGTGGAATAAAAGAACCCCTCATACACTGTATGTGGGAATATAAATTAGCAGAACCACTATGGGTGAATACTTTGGAGATTCCTCAAAAAATGAAAAATAGAGTCACCGTAGGATCCAGCAATACTACTACAAGCTATATACCCCAAAGAAAGAAAATCGCTATATCAAAGAGGTATCTGCACTTCCATGTTTGTTGCAGCACTATTCACAACAGCCAAGATTTGGAAGCAGCCTAAGTATCCCTCAGTAGATGAAGGGATAAATAAAATGTGGTACATATATATGCGATGGAGTATTATTCAGCCATAAGAAGAATGAGATTCTGTCATTTGCAACAACATAGATGAAACTGGTGCTCATTAGGTCAAGTGAAATAAGCCAGGCACAGAAAGACAAACTTTGTTATATTCTGCCTTATCTTTGGGAGCTAAAAGTTAAAACAATTGAACTCATGGAAATAGGTAGTAGAAGGATGGTTACCAGAGGCTGGGAAGAGTAGTCGGTGGTCGGGAAAAGAGGGGAATGGGGGATGGATAATAGGACCTACTATTTGAAAGCACAACAGGGTAAGTAAAATTAACTGTGTATTTTAAAACAACTTAAAGAGTGTAATTGGATTGTTTGTATCTCAAAGGATTTATCCTTTTGATTAAGGGGATGTATACTCCATTCTCCATTCTCCGTGATGTGCTTATTTCATTTTGCACATCGTGTAGCAAAACATCTTATGTACCCCATAAATATATACACTTACTATGTACCCACAAAAATTAAAAATAAAAAAATAGAATAAACAAGACCTAATATTTGCTAGCACAACAGGGTGACTATGGTAAAAATGATTTTATTGTTAATTTAAAAATGACTCACAGTATAGTTTATTGCTTAAAACACAAAGGATAAGTGTTTGAGGTGATGGATATTCTATTTATCCTGATGTGATTATTATGCATTGCAGGCATGTATCAACAAATCTCATGTAACCTATAAATATATACACCTACCATGTACCCACAATAATAAAAAATGCATTAAAAAACGGTAAAGGGGAAAACAACAGCATTAGAATGAAAGTGTCTTTCATTTTGCCTGCACGATGTTGACTAACAATGAGTCATATAGACTAATACATTGAAGACATTTAAAAAAAAAAAGAAACTTAAATTATATTTCTTTAACCACACTATATCTTATGTGTTTAAACATTAGGTTTTGTGAGTTTATAATGTTTTTATTTAATGAGGGAATAATTTAGAATTAATTTGATTTCAAGTGGTTTTATGAATAATGCATTCAATAATAAGTAGGAAGGTAGTTTCCATTATCCTTTGGGTTTATCTGAAAAACTGCATATATTTTATACATGTTTTCATGATAAATAACAATAAAACAAACCATTCAGGCAATTAAATTAAAAAAAAAGAAAGAAATACTCACGCAAGTCCTTCAGGTGGAAATGAAAAAGTATTAGACAGTAACTCGAGACCAAACCAAGAAATAAAGAAGACTGGAAAATGTACCCACACAGGTAAATACAAACGCTATGATAATTCAATTTTTGGTCTGTAATTCCCTTCTGGATATATGATTTCAAAGCCAATTAATAAACAATTATTATAAATAAGTATTCATACGAACACGATCTATAAATATTTCATGCAGGACTATAACAACATAGAGAGGGAGTGTCAGAGATGTATAAGTGCAAAGTTTTGTACATCATTGTAGCTAAGGTGGTAATAATATAAATAAATTTTTATAAACTTATAAATTCATGTATTTACAAATATATGACATTTACAAACATATGAAGGTAAAACATCACATTCTTAATCAGTGGGTCTTATTATACAGCCCCGGTTCCCCACTTTCCCCCACCACCAACTACACTTTCCAGCCTCTGGTAGCCATCCTTCTACTACCTAACTCCATGAGTTCAATTGTTTTAACTTTTAGGTCTCAAAGACAAGTGAGAACATAGTTTGACTTTCTGTGCCTGGCTTATTTCACTTAAAATAATGACCACCAGTTTCATCCATGTTGTCACAAATGATGGGATTTCATTCTTCTTATGGCTGAATAATACTCCATCGTGTATATGTACTACATTTTATTTATCCCTTCATCTACTGAGGGATACTTAGGCTGCTTCCAAATCTTGGCTATTGTGAATAGTGCTGCAATAAATATGGGAGTGCAGATATCTCTTTGATAGACCAATTTACTTTCTTTTGGGTATATAGCTTGGAGTGGGATTGCTGGATCATATGGTGGCTATTTTTCATTTTTTGAGGAATCTCCGTAAATCAAAAAGTTTAATTGTAATTCTTAATTAAATCACTAAAAAAATCTAAAACGTATATGAAAAATAAAGTTAGAAAGGAATAAAAGTGGTACACTATAAAAATTAAATACCAAAGAAAGGAGCAATGGAGAAACTGAGGAACTATATATATATATATATATATATATATATATATATATATATATAAATAAACAGAAAAATGGCAGAAGTGCTTCCTGATGTATAATTTAAAATGTAATTAAATTACATTTAATTTAATGTATAATTAAAATGTATAATGTATTAATAAATACATTATAAACAAATGTATTTAACTTAATGTATAATTAAAATATAAATAAACTGATAAAATAAAACAGTGAATTTAAAAATATATATATTCAACTACCTGCTGTCTACGAAAGACTCACTTTAGATCCAGAGACACAGTGTTGAAAAAAAAAAGAATGAAAATATATATATTTCATGCAAATTGTAACAGTAAGAGAGCAGAAGTGGCTATCCTCACACCGACACAATAGACTTTAAGTCAAAAATTGCCACAAGGTAGAAACAACATCATACAGAGAGAAAAGGCAAATTCATCAAGAAGATATAACAATTATAAGCATACACACCTAACAAAGGAGCCCCAAAATATATGAAGAAAAAAGTTAACAAAACTAAAAAGTGAATTAGACAGTTTTACAATAATCATTGGAGACTTCCATACCCTATTTTAAGTAATAAATAGAACAAGACAGAAGATAAACAAGGAAATAAAACATTTGAATAACACTGTAAAACAAGTAGACCTAACAGACACTTGTAACACCCTTCAGCCAAAGCCACAAGAATACACATATTCTCAAGTGCATGTGGAAAATTCTCCAGCATAGGCCACAGAGCAAGTGTTGGTAAATTTAAAAGTATTTGAATTATACCAATTATTTTATCTGACTATAATAGAATGAAACTATGATCAAGAATGGAAAAAAGTGGAAAATGTACAAACATAATGAAAGTAAAACATTACATTCTTAAACAACCAGTGGGTCAATCACATATACACCATAGAATACTATGCAGCCATAAAAAAGGATGAGTTCTTGTTCTTTGCAGGGACATGGATGAAGGTGGAAACCATCATTCTCAGCAAACTAACACAAGAACAGAAAACTAAACACCGCATGTTCTCACTCATAAGTGGGAGTTGAACAATGAGAACACATGGACACAGGGAAGGGAACATCACACACTAGGGCCTATTGTGGAGTGGGGGTCTAGAGGGGGGATAGCATTAGGAGAAATACCTAATGTAGATGATGGGTGGATAGATTCAGCAAACCACCATGGAAAGTGTATACCTATGTAACACACCGGCACGTTACTATTAATTGTTTATTTTTTCCTGCATTTATGGAGTAGGCTGATATTGGCTATCACTAATAAGAAACAATCTCTGGAGCTAGAAATAGGATCATCTTCACTTCAATCACATATTATATAATTAGAAACCTGAACAAAATTAATGGAAATAACGGTATTGAATTTTGGGTAGGAACCAATAACATTCATTCACCTAAATTTCATCTGAAGCCTCTTCTACTTCCCCAAACTTATCTAGCCAAAATTTATGTGTCCAGAATATACTATTTTAAGCCTCTCTGCCTTTGAACATTCAGTTAAATATATTCAATTTACACATTTTCAATATTTCCATTTTCATGACATACTTACAGCCATACTTCAAAACTCAAAAATAAGTTAAATTCATTAGGATAATTTGTTTATGAAGTGTTACCAGCTCCCTTTTTAAGCTTCCACATAGAAACACAAATACAGCATTCTTTTTAATATAACCCATTGATACTACAATATGGATAGTATTTGGGGAGTTGGGGACAAGGCATCACAGTATTAATCAGGAGCTATTTAATATTTTTCAGAATGTTCAGGACTGTTCTATGTCCTTGGGGCTCATATTATGCTAGGTCATTCAGAATCATACTTTACAGAGTAACACATAAAATGCAAAAAGAAATAAAATTGAGAACCCTTTTAAGAGAAACAAAAGATACCTTCCTAGAGGCACTAGAACTTAGCTACAAAATCACTATATAAATTTCATTCTTACTAGTTTGGATAGAAATATTTTATGAAATGCTACTGTATCACAATCTAATTTATGGGAATATAAACATTTATTTTTGAATTAAATATTAAATTAAATGTCATCCATGATAAGTGCCTACTGCAGAGAAAGTACCTGTAATAAATTAGCTTACCTCCAGCATTGAATTTTATTTCTCCTCTCTTTTATACCTTTGCAAATTATCTAAATTAGGGAATGAACAATGAAATGACATGATTCTTTTAAGACTTGAAGAACAAAGTTTCTAAGTAACAAAATCACAGTAAATATGAAATAAAATCACGGATTTTAGAGAATATCCTGGTGACTAATCTGTATATAGTAGAAATGATAATATATAAAAGACCTAGGGTAATTATAAACATTTCACAAAGAAAGGTGACAAAACACAGCCAAAAAAT
This sequence comes from Homo sapiens, assembly GCF_000001405.40. Taxonomy (NCBI): domain Eukaryota; kingdom Metazoa; phylum Chordata; class Mammalia; order Primates; family Hominidae; genus Homo; species Homo sapiens. The sequence continues at coordinate 105,244,325 of NC_000001.11, read as the reverse complement.
AAACAAATACATGAATACAATAAATACAAAATGAAGAGATGTCTTGTACCCAGAATGGAAATTAATATTGTAATTGATGATACTGCAGCTGCAATATTGAGTTAATTCTGGGGCACTTCAAATTCAAGCCTGTGTAGTATATGCTGGAAAGAGTCCAGAAAAAAAAAAACAACTGAATAATGAGAAGGGGATTCTGATTTATGGGGGGAGATTAAAGTAGTGTAAAATTTATAGCTTGCTAAGGGAATACGAAAATGATCTGCAAATATTTGAAAGATGTAAATAACAAGTAGAAAAAGAATTCTGGAGGAGGAAGCAGAATTACAGGCAATGCAATCTGAATGAAAAGTGGCAGTGTTTTTTATGTCAAGGAAAGATTAAAACACACACATAACTTCCTGGCTGAATTACTAAACAGAAGCACAGTCTTTCTCTTTAAGCATTAAATGCCCTTCTGCATAAAATAGTGAAATGTGTTATTATATGGATTAGCCATGCGTTGGCAGGCAGATAGTGTAAATTATTTTATCAAAACCAGAATGAAAAGACACACGATACGTTTTCTTATTCACTGTTTGAATCTATTGAGTAGGACTCCATTTTTTTCTCTTGATTTGGAAATGTAAAGGCGTATTTTCTGTTTTTAAATTTTTCACATAAGAAGTGATTGGGAATGGCTCACCGGTAAAACCATACGGAAGCAAAAAAGCTGTGCCAAGAAAAGCTGAAAATACGGAAAATCTGTGCCAAGATGTTGTTCAAAGAGGAGAGGATGAATGATTGTCATTTAAGTAGACTCACAGACGGTAACTTCTCCAGTGTAGTATTTCAATGTGTACATCTGCAGAAATGGCCTCTCAGTTCCTTGAATTCTTCTCCAATAATGTTGTCTAGCAACATGAATTGACAATCCAGCCCTATGTATATTTTTTAGAATTCCTAATTACTATTTACCCACCCTAAAAAATTGATTTGAAGGGTTTCACTCTTTTATTGTCTCCTCCAGCATTCACACCCACTTCTATAAAACTGTTTTTCTTACCTTTTTTTTTTTTTCAGTAACCCTCAGCAGCAGCCCCCTACATCTTTATTTTACTCTTTCCAAAGCTTGGATCTTTTGCTTCAATATCATAATCACTTGTTTGCATGCACCCTCAAATTCCTTAGACATCTCTCCCTTCTTTTCACTCACATTACACCTGAATGTGGATTGAGAAAATATTTTAAATGTTTTCTGTATATGCAAGGCACTGAAATTTAGTTCAAATCTATTATCTCCCTCTTCTACAATAGTTGGATGCCCAGGTAGATAACTATTGCATTATACTTTCAGCATCCTATGCCCCTATGGCAGCTGTGCTGATTTAACCAATTAAATGTCAGCAGAAGCGATGTTTTCATTCTTTGTCATTTTACTTACAAAGGAATTTAAACAATCTTCTGTGATCATTTGTGTATGTGAGTCGTATTCTAACATGCAATTCAAGTCAGTCCCTAGAAAAAAAGACAATAAAGTCTGCAAAGAAGCTTGGTCATTTAATAATCTTCTGTAGTAGGAGCATAGCTCTGCAAACTGGAGCTATCACCTCGGGTCTGTTACTTAAAAGAGAGATAAATATAGTCACTTTAGGCCGGGCGTGGTGGCTCACGACTGTAATCCCAGCACTTTGGGAGGCCAAGGTGGGCGGATCGAGAGGTCAGGAGATCGAGACCATCCTGGCTAACATGGTGAAACCACGTATCTACTAAAAATACAAAAAAAATTAGCTGGGCGTGGTGGCGGGCGCCTGTAGTCCCAGCTACTCGGGAGGCTGAGGCAGGAGAATGGCGTGAACCCGGGAGGTGGAGCTTGCAGTGAGCCGAGATGGTGCCACTGCACTCCAGGCTGGGTGACAGAGTGAGACTTCGTCTCAAAAAAAAAAAAAAAAAAAAAATATATATATATATATATATAGTCACTTTATTTATAAGAGATAAATTTATAAGCCACTTTATTTTGAGAATTTCTCAATTAAAATTGCTTACCTTTTAACTGAAATTATACACTAGGATTCCATAATATTCACTATCATTATCCTCAGTATGCTTCTAGGGTTTCCAAGCTGTCTTTCCATTTTTGACTAGTCTTGTCATCTTTTCACTCCTCTGAATAGTGATTTCAAACATTGTTTTCTCTTAGGCACATGATAACTTTTTCTTCATTCTATCTTTATTTTATAACTACTTTTTATTTCACTGAAAACATAAGAAAAAAATAATCAATCAAAGGAGAACTTCCCAAATTACATACCACCAAGCCTCCCACTTACACAGCTGGTATGCTTTTAGTGTACTGATTAAACATACGACCAATCCTTCAACTCAAAGGTATTACTCAAGCAATTTTTCAATTCCCTACTGCATTATCAGTTTTTCTTTCATTTTTAAAATCATGCCAATTAGCACTAAAATATGCAATTAGACAGTCCGTCAAAAATAACAACAATAACATTTTTGATGTTAACTTTTCTCTCCACCAGCTACTCCATATTTCTCCTCTCTTCTTCAAAGATAGTTAACCAAAGTTAAAAAGTGACCAATAGTTTCTTCAGGTATTGAATATTGTATGTATGGCAAATTCTTTATTTTAACCAGGAAAAATGAAAGAATACAATGGTTTTGTTTGTTTGTTTGTTTGTTTGTTTTGAGACAGGATCTCACTGTGTTGCCTAGGCTGGAATGCCCTGGTGCGATCACCGCTCATTGTCTGCAGCCTCAACCTCCCAGGCTTAAGCAATGCTTCCACCTCAGCCTCCCAAGTGCCATGAAAAATGTGCTTACCATTTCACAAGGCTATGTTACTAATTATACTACTTATTTTATACTTCAGTATAAACTCAAGTAGGGCATCTTTGTAATTTCATTCAATCCCAGAAACTATTCTATCCCACAGTCAGGGTACTCATTGGGAAGGAATACAACTTAGAAAATTGGAATAGACATACAGATACATGCATCCAAGAAGCTTGAAACAACAGACTGCCCTCAAGTCTTTCTGGACCTGCAGAAATGAACTACTTCTTGTTAAACTCTAATACTCTCCCATTGCTGCAGACCACTCTGTGCCTTGCAAGACAATGCATGACCTCCATGGGATCCAGATACACTTGACTAGGGTCAACTACATTACCACCTGGCCAAAAAAGTATTCATCTTGTTATGATATAAAAGATAACATAAGCCAACAAAGCATCAGAAACTATCCAATGTGAAGTAATAATACCTCAGAAAGACTGTATTGACCTAAATCCTGAGTTTGATAGATAAAAATAATTAGAACACACAGTTGAATAAAAGTCTCTGGTCCCTGAATATATAATTTAAAAGAGACTGTTTTACAGTTGTCACAATCTCACACTCTTACTGAATTCCTTTGCTTGTGGGATAAAAGCCTTTCTAAGGCAGAAGACCAAGTGTAAGCCTATGAAATTGTGCACTTCCATTTCAACTCTGACAAAGATTACAAGTCAAAAACAATATGTCATCCTAAATAAATACCAAGGTTAATACCATCATAAAAATCTTAAAAGATGTGGAAATGGTGAATCTCTTCATATCTGTATTTAATTTACCTACCAGGTCATTACAAATACCAGATGGGTCCTAGTGAATAATTGTGAACTATCATAAATTTAATCATTTCTGATGTAGCTGCTTTGCCAAATATGATATAATTATAGGAAACTGTTGATATGGTCAATGCTGTTTTCTATATCCATGTAAATAAAAATGGAACTAGAAGCAGTACATATTTAAGTAGGGTGGATAGTAGCATTCAAGATGAGTCAGTTGAATATGTAAGAGGTAACTGAAAGTGGACAGCTGCTGTAATACAGCCCCTAAAAGAGGTGGCCCTAAAAAACAAGAAGTGTACTTTGTGTGAAGTAGAAAGTTGTCCTAGGTAGTAATTACATAAAGTAGTGAACTGGGAAGTGACTTAGCTAGTGAGTGACAGCCTTAAAGGAGAAAGATTAGAAAATCAGGGATAAAAAGATTAGGTATAAAAGCATAGAGAGTCCTAGGTGAGTAGATGCAGAGTGAAGAGATTTACATAATTTGCTAACCCTCACCACACAGTACTGATCACAAAGTGGATCAAACTAGCTACTTAGAGTAACTCAGGGTAGATAGAAATATTTGGAGAGTGATGTCAGTAGGGTTCTTACATGGAACATCCCAAGACTGGCACAACAGGCTAATTAAAGAGTGGCCATGGCTGCAAGGAGGTAAAATTTCTTTGGCTCAACAGCTGTGATCTCACACATCAGGGCTGAGCTATGGTAAATATATAACCAGTCAGCAGCAAGGACTAAAGTTGAGTCTGCCATATAGTATTGTCCTTTGAGAAGATTAACCAGTAACTTCATGGTGAGTCTATTGAATTTGAACTCTTTCATCCTGAAAGTTGGTAACAGTTCCTCTTGATTGGAATCCATGTATACTTCAGTCATATATCATTCTATTCCACAGGGCCTCAGCCAGCAGCAATCTGAGGGCTAACAAAATGTTTAATACACTGGCTTGTAATCATATGTATCATTGCCCCAAACCAAAAGGCCCGATTTACAGCAAAAGAAGTATGGTTGTAAATACATGGCCATGGGATCCTCCAGTCCTCTTCTTTATCTCTCACTTACCAACCAGAGCTCTCAGACTTTCAGAGTGATCAAATAGCATTTTGATAAGCCTTGAATGTGTATTTACTTCATCATTTAGGAGAAGTCAGAATTTGAGGATGTGTCGCCACTTACTTCCTAATCAGTAGTTATTATAAAACCCTTTATCCCCAAATGGCAGAAGATATGAGTCTAAGAACTGACATTTGAAAGTGTATGTGACCCCAATTACCATCACTCCCAGTGACTGACTGTATGAATTTGTGCTTTCTTTTACCATACCTTTAGCCTCTATTTTTCTAGTTGACCTTTTTCAAAGAGGGCAAGCATCTTCTTGGGGCAATCATGTGAACATGTTCCCTTTACACTTTTAGCCACATCGGACTACTTCTGCATAAAGCCAGAAGCAAGAAAAAGAGTCACTCTTATGGTTAGTAGTAATTTATCCTTACCGTAGGAAGTAGAAGGGCTGCCATTCCAATGATGAGACAGAAAATTCTGCTTGCTACTGAGATGATCCACTGATGTGTGTCTTGTTATTCCTGTGGTCAATTGTCTTATAGAAAGGACAAATGCAACAATCAAGGTCTGAGAAGTGTATGGTGCAACCTAGACCCCATAGGAGATGATGGTGCAGGTTTCCCTTTCAAGTAAACCAATTTGGTGAGCAGAAGTAGGAACCAAGGTTGAAAGTGATTCAAATGAGTAGTAGAGAAGGAAGATGATGACTATTAGTAATTTCCTTAAGACCAACTGTAGTGTGATGGTATGTAGTTTGTCCACTTTCTTCTAAATTTCCTTAGAAAAAGACATTAAGCAGGATTCTGGAGGACTTAGTTCCCAGAAAAATTAGACTTACCATGGGAAGCAAACAGATCTGAATGGCACAATAGTGATATTGAATTCTGTGGTACACCACTCGGATCCCCTCTTTAAGAGCCAAAGCTTTCCTTTCTTCAGCCAGAAATTGTTTACTGCTAAAGAAGCGGCCTTACCCCAAGGTTAAATTATTTTGTTGGGGCAATCTGTGTCCAGTGACTGGTGAAATGCCAGGATCTTAATTTATAGCTTCTCTGAATAGTCCTCCAGCCTGCGGAATTCTCTGTGGGGCTGTCTAAGGCCTCTGCTGCAACTTTATCAAATTTTAGCTTTAGGTAGAATTAGGAATTTTACTCCAGTTTCATCTTCCAAAATTATACTAGTATTTTGAGTTCCTTGAATTCAGAAATGTAATATTATATGTTAATATAGTACTTTTCAATGTGTCATTGAATATAAAGGGAAACATATTTAAGAAAACACAAGATATTAACTTAAAGTATAATAATAAAATTAAAAAAGAAATAAAGCACTCAAAAAATTAAGAAAACATGAAAGATACTATTTTCAGCAAATAAATATTTCAGTTGTTCAATTCGCTTTTTTAGAAAAAAAGTGGTTATTATTTTACCTGCCATTTGATTATAATTATGTTCAATATTTCAATTAAAAAGTCATATTTTTATTAGAAGGGAATTTTAACTTGCAAATTAAACCAAATTCCTGAGTATGAAAAAATTTTTAAATCTCCATCTTTTCACTGAATTAGGATATAAACTTAGTGCTACAAGGCTTACCTGCAAATAAATTACATCATAAAATATTCCCTAGAAGCAGGCACACAAGTATCTCATTTCTCTATGTATTGGCAAGACATTTTCAAAAGTGCTACTTGTAAAGTACATTTTAAATTTAAAGAATAGATATCTAGAGACAAAAGAGTTTGTAAAATATTGTGCATTTACTTCTACTACAATTTATTTCTATTTAATGTCATATTCACTTACTCAAATACTAGCATGCTTATCATGCTGTTACAACATGTAATTTTGTATTTTGTCTTCATTTGAACACTTTTAAATGCAAATTTAGAGACTATTTTATATTATGCACATTATACAGATGTATGTAAAATCAGAGATATAAGTATCAGATATTATAACAACATTGTCTTGGAGAAATATATTTTCAAAAATATAGATATATTTATTCATGTGTTCAAAAATAAGTATAAAAATGGTATGAATTCATACTATATTTCCAAATAAAGTAATTATTTGTCATGTTTATAGTAAAAACAATTGATTCTGTGCATGAGCTCGTTAGTTGTTACAAGGAAAATTTATTTCTTAATAGAGATTTTTGGTTTTCTTTCCTTTTAAAAAAATGCATATAGCATTTTTTATTTTTATTTTTTACTGCATGAAGAGAAGTCACCATTAAACTGGGATTATTAATAGGTTTCAAATGACATGAAATATATATCTTGAGATAAATTTCATCAGAGTAGCAAGAGATCAAAATTAAATGAAAACTGAGTGGCGATAAAGCCTTTATCAAAATAATACTATTTTACATGTGGTTGAATACAAGTCTATACACCACTTTGACATACCAATCTCATATAATATATTGTTTGTGTTATTGCATTATCAGAAAAAGAATGTGTATGTGTAGGTGAAAAATATACACCTTAAGAAGGCAATGTTAAAATCTATCAACAATTGGTAATGTTGTAAATACTATATGTTTATTCAATAAACACCTACATACTGTGTACCTGGCATGAGGCATCAGGAATGAATATACAAAAGGGCAGACAAAAATCAATTGCTTCATTAATACTAAATCACAATGTATTATGTGCTTTTTGACCTATTTCTTCTCAATCTAACGCAGGGGTCAGAAAACTTTTTGTGGGGAGAGAGCCAGATGGTAAATATTTTAGGTTTTGGGAACCTCATAGGGTTTGTTGTAGATTCTTTGGTGCATTTTTTATTTTTTCTCCACACTTTCAAAATGTAAAATATATTTTGAGCTCAAGTACCATATAGAAACAGGACCCAAGCTGTAATTTGTCAACTCCTGATCTAAAAACATAATATCATTGTGTCTAATTATTCTCATTACCTGAAGAATTTGGATGCCGGCTCAGTCTTTTCTACTCCAAGGATGTTCATCATTTTTTGTAATTCAAACAATTCTTTGTATGACCCATTCAATATACTGGCTTTTAAGTTGGGCTGGATATCATTGACAATCAACATTTATTTCCACCTTCTAGTTTTCTTTCCTGTGTTGCAGAGATAGGACATTGATTTCAGAGTCCCTTAATGTTACATTCTAAATAAGAGTAAAGTTTCACAAATTTGATCATTCCATAAAATTTGAAAGACAAGTAATTAAGCAGAAGCCACACTGGGCATTTTATCTTGCTGAACAAGATCACAGATTTATAATGTTGAGTCACTCACTTAATGTATATTAAAAGATAATTGCAGCACTAAAAGCAGCTGGATTTCACTGTCCAGTGTCTATTATCTTGTGCAAATTCTCGCAGCAATGTCCTGATCATGGATTCTTGAATTTCAGGTTGAGTGTTCATATATTACCCCAGTAGTTCCAGCAATGATTTCTTAGTGCTGCACATTCATAACTGGCAAAGATAATAACTCTATCAAGGGTCTGTCGTTTTGTTTTCTGGCAATCACATAAGAAGCCTTAGCCCGGAGTCAACTCCTTTGGAACTTCTAATAAATTTTAGCCATCTATTTTCTTGTTTTAAATTACATTCTGCTAAATACATAAAATAATTTCTACTTTTTCTATGTATCTTTACTGACAAGCTATTACATACTCTAAATGATTGTGGGCAAACGTAGACTCAAAGATGCGAAACAGAGTGATTCATTTGACATTGTTGAGTTTGCAGTGAGGCTCATAATTACCTGGAAATGGGACATTGGTAATTCATAACATGCAAAAACAAAATATAGAAATTATTATTTGTGGTCACCTGTAATCAAATACTAATCTGATTATCATTATGTTGTAAATAAAGAACGCAAGGAACAAAGGGGTGGACTGGTAATTTCTGTCTGAATCAAAATATTTCAAGAAAGACAGAGACAAGAGCAGAGCTTTAATGCTTAATTCATCACATGATGAAGAACTAGGGAGATTTTATGACTATCCTGAAATAATTTCTTTTATATTAGCCACACAGATAACATAGCTTAAAGTCACATGCAAATCTAGTGCTTTAAGTTGCTAAATTAGAGAATAGTTGAATTCACAGATTTTTCTAGGTGAATTTGAAAAATTTGAAAAAAAAATAGGTATCCAAATCACTGAAATAGTTGTATTTGGGTGGATTCAGTTGATGCTGAATACCCCAAACTATTCCAGCATAAGCAGTCTTTTATCCACTGTTTAAGAAGCTTGCATCTACCTTTTGTAGAAACCCTATACATTGCTTGAGGTAGTAACCTTTCAGAAGAGTTTTGTTTATGCTGCTTCCATTTCTTCTTCATATATAAGAAGAATTAGATGGAATATCCAAAAGAATAATAGCAAGTACTCCTCAAAATGAGATGAGGTTTTATTTATTAGGTTGAATCATATGAAATTAAAATTATTTGACTCTGTTGACATAAAAATTACAATTTATATATTTTATCCTAAAAATCAGCATGTGTATTAATAATATATATAGGAATGGCTAGTAGGTGAAGCTAGAACAGGTAGCATAAATTCTAAATTTAATTTGACATAAATATTTTGATATACATACTACATTCTGAATTCAATGTGATACCTTAAGCAGCTCAGAGTGGTTTTAACTGCTTGTTTGGTTGACTAATTGAAAGCTCAATCTAACAATGGTCTACCCTAAAAACATTTGGACATCAAAGGTACCTTGGCTTAATGTTGAAGAAGAAATATGAAATGATAAGAATATAAAATGTTTTTGTGACTTAAGTTTACCCAACTTTTTTCCATCTGAGATAACTCTGAAGAGAATAAATTCACCAAGGCACTAAGATTAAACTCTGTAATAACTCTCCTTGCAGGCTGGTGACGAGGGTAGGAGACGCTGCCTTGTATAAGAGTTCTCTGATTAAAAGGAGTAAACGTTTTGGTGGTGATAGAGCCCAAATGGCAGTATGTAGCCAGCAGAATAAGAGTAATTATTGTAGCATGGCTGGAGAGGTAAAAGGAAGAAAGATTATCCCAAAAGAACCTTTGATTATTTTCCATGAATTTTAAGATACTTACGAAATATATAGATGAGTAATGAACAAAAGCTCTAAAATACCTATAAACCAATAGTTACAATAAAATATAATTATGATAAAGGGGAAGTTGAATAATTACTGTGATGATGATTCATGTGTCCTTCCTAAACTATCTTGAATTATATCAGCAAAAGTTTTTAACATACTTATTCCTTCTTGATTTCTACAAAGCCGTTGCTGATCATATACTGGAGTGATCGTTCTTGGAGGAAAAGTGACATTTGGGAAATGACTGGATTCTGGTTCTGAGGTATTGCTTGCATTTTATAATCCAGGAAACCAAATGGTCCTTCCCTCAGAATGGGCATCATTGAATTAAGAAAAGGAATGTAATTTGGACACAAATCTCTCTTGCCATACATTCTTGAAGTTGTGCTATGAAAATGCATCCACTCTGAGTATTCTCACAATTCTGGGATATTTGTCAGAAGAAAATGTTTCTGACATTTAAATCTACTTAGCTTGTTTCATGGGTCAGTGAAAAAAGCATAGGAATCTTGAAAGAATAACAATGTATTATTATAAATATAATTAGGTGATAAAAGTAATATATGATGCTTTTCAGTTGTCTCATATAATGGAGCAAATCAGTCTACATCATTTTGTGTGTTTCACAACCTCTGAGCTGGCCAATAAGCAGAAAATAATACTCAATATAAGTTTCAGCCTGTAAGAGACAGGGACACATCCTCATTCTTTATCCTTAAATCCAATAAAAATGTATGCTTCTCTGTTATAATTTAGTTGCATACTTTCTTATACTTGCATTTATGTTGATGACATCCAGATTATGTAACCTGAGGAACAGTGAGTAAAGAGTAGTTGAGAAGACTCAGTAAGATCCATGCATGTTAAAAGATAAGAGTAAAGTGTTACAAAAATCTGAGGAACTATATAACTGCAGTTTTTAGAGTATCAGAAGTCTTGAGCATGCCAGTATACTCTTCCTAAAATTAAAAGAAAAAAAAAAAGCAAGTACTATTTTTTTTGTCTATCTGAGCACAATAGCCAGTGACCCCATTGAATTTTGGAGGATAAATATACCACCTCATATGCATGGACCTAGCTCATAAGATTTCTAGATTTTTGGGAAAATGGCCAAGAGGAAAGTGAATTTCTCCAGGCATTTCAGACCATGATGCAAGCAGCTCTGACCTTGAGTAAATACAATGTTGTTTGAAGTATCTGTGGCAGATCAGGTTGCCTTATGAAGACTGAAACAATTATAACAGGAAAACTATATAATATGTTTCTAGAATTTTATAGCAAAAACTTTTTTTTCTATAAACTTTTTATTCTTATTTTGAGAAACAGTTGCTATACTGTTGTTGAGATAAACTGAACACTAGATCTTACAACATCAGAATCTATACAAAATGACCTCCCTATCATGATTTAAGGGTTCTCTGATACAGCAAACCATAAAGTTGAGTATGTGCAGCAGTGCTCCATCTCCATTGAAAACACATACAAAGAAAGGCATTTGTTTCAATTCCTAAAAACACAAGTAATGTACATGAGCACGTGATTGGTTTATCTAATCCTCTTATATCAGTAGTACTTTCACATTTTCCTCATGTACATACTCATGAATCTGTGCAAATATCCAGTTTCCTAAGGAAGGAAAAAGTCCTGGTTTATAGACAGTTTCAAGTGATATATTGGCACTAGCGAGGAGCAATAAGCCTCTTTTTTGTAATTCCCTCCAGTGAGTAGAATTTTCAGACTTTAAACTAAGGATGATATTACTGAAAATTTTTTTAAAAAATGGAAAGCTGGAAAATAAATGCCTTAAATGAAGATTTAAACTTGATTTTCATTAATATTTGTAGATGTATTATTATAATTATGGTGAATAATATTGTTCAAAGTTGATTTATGAAGTTTATGTATTAAGAGAAAAATTAGCAAGTCACATAAAAGGATAAATAAATAAAAATGAAAAAATCATTAATCCTGAATAAAATGTACAGGAAAAGAAATATAGCTATACGTGAATGAGACAACTCACAATTATTCAGTGATATTATCATCAATTTGACTTATAGATTCTCAATGCAGTGGACTACTTTATAGCATTTGACAGTTTAGTTTAATTTTTAAATAAAAATTAGAAAAAAACCCAAAATCTAACCCATACTGAAAATAAGAATATATCTAAATGCTATACCTTGCAGTTGTACATATTGTAAGGCACACGTGATACTCTGATACAAGCAAATGTATTTATGTATAATAAATCAAGGTAATTGGGATATCCATAGCCTCAAGCATGTATCTTTTTTGAGTGTTAGAAATGTTCCAATTCTGCTCTTCTGGTTATTTTGAAATATACAATAAAATATTAACTGTATTTGCCCTATTGTGTCACAAAACACTGGATCTTACTCCTTTTAACTACATTTTTCTACCTGTTAATCATCCCTTCTGTATCTCTCCCTCACCACGACCCTTCCCAGCCTCTGATAACTGTCATTCTACTCTCTATATCTAGGTGTTCAATTTTTTGTTAGCTCCCACATATACATAAGAACATGCAATTTTTTTTTTCTGTTTGTGGCTTATTTCACTTAACATAATGCCCTCCAATTCTAACTATGTTGTTGCAAATGAAGTGATCTCATTTGTTTTTTATTGCTGAATATGGTTTTATATTTTTTATCTCATTCATTTTTATGTTTCCATTGTGTATATATGCCAAATTTTCTGTGTCAAGTCATCTATTGATAGACACTTATGTTGATTCCATACCTTGGCTATTATGAATAATGCTGCAATAAACATCAGAGTATAGATATTTAATATGTTCATTTCATTTTTTAAAAAATATATAGCTATCAGTGACATTGCTGGGTTATATAGTAGTTCTACTTTTTGTTTGAAGGGAAACTTTATACTGTGCTTCACGTGGCTGTACCTATTCACACTCCCATTAATATTGTAAGAGGGATGCCCTTTCTCCACATTCTTGCCAGCATCTAATATTGCCTGTCTTTTTGATAAAAGCCATTTAACTTGGGTGAGAGATGATCTCATTGTAGCTTCAATTTTTATGTCTCTGATGATTTGTGATGTTGAGCATTTTTTATATGTCTGTTGGTCATTTGTATGTCTTCTTTTGAGAAATTTGTATTCATACATTTTGCCTATTTTAAATTGAATCATTATGGTTTTTTCCTTATTAAAGTGTTTGAATTCTGTATATACTCTGGTTATTAATCTCTTGTCAGATGTGTAGTTTGAAAACCAACCTTAATGTCCTCAATCTCATTACCATTTTACTTTCTAGCTTTATGAATTGTACTACTTGAAGTAGCTCATATATGCAGAATCATACAATATTGCCTTTTTGTCACTGACATTTCACTTAGCATAACGTTCTTGTTTTATCAGTGTGATATCATATGTCAGGAATTTTTATTTTTTAATATTTATTGGTACATAGGTGTATATATTTATAGGGCATAGGGAATATTTTGATACAGGCATACAATGTGCGATAATAACATCAGAATAAATGAGATACCTATCACCTCAAGCATTTATCCTTTGTATTACAAACAATGCATTACATGTATACATCACATTTTGCTTCTCCATCAATCTACTGATGAATATTTAGTTTCTTCGACATTTTAGTTTATGTTAATAAGGTAGAAATGAACATGTGTATAAAAATATCTCTTAGAGACTCTCCTTTTATTTATTATTTATTTATTTATTTATTTTTGAGACAGAATCTTGCTCTGTGGCCCAGGCTGGAGTACAGTGGCGCAGTCTCGGCTCACTGCAACTTCTGCCTCCCGGGTTCAAGAGATTCTCCTGCTTCAACCTCCCAAGTAGCTGGGATTACAGGTGCCCGCCAACATGTCCTGCTAATCTTTGTATGTTTAGTAGAGACGGGTTTCACCATGTTGACCAGGCTGGTCTCGAACTCCTGACCTAAAGTGATCCAACCATCTCAGCCTCCCAAAGTTCTGGGGTTACAGGCATGAGCCACTGCACCTGGTCTTAAATCTTTTATCTATGTATACTCAGAAATGGAATTGTTGGATAATATAGTAATTCTATTTTCTAATTTTTGAGGAACCACAATATTGTTTTCCAAAGTAGCTACACCATTTTAGACTTCTACCAATAATGCACAGGGTTCCCGTTTCTCCACACCCTCACCACCATTTGCTATTTTCTGTGTATGTGTGTTTGTGTGTGTTTCACAGTAACCATAATGGGTTTGAAGTGATATCAAATTGTGTTTTTGATTTGCATTTTCCTAAGAAGTGATGTTTATGTACTTATTGGTCATTTGTATATATTCTTTGAAGAAACATTTTAGGAGTTTTACATAAGTTCTGAATATTAATTCCTTATCAGATAAATGATTTACAAATATTTTCTCCCATTTTGTGAAATGCTTTTTTACTCTGTTAATAGTGTCTTTGATAAAAACAATTGTTTAATTATTTTGAAGTCCAATTTATGTATTTTTCTTCTTTTGTTGTCTATACTTTTGATGTTACATCCAATAAATCATTGCCAAATTAAATATCATTAAACTTTTGCCCCTTAGCTTTTTTCTTCTTAGAGGATTACAGCTTTAGCTCTTCTGTTGAGGTATTTGATCCCTTTCAGTTAAATTTTTATGTAGTATGAGATAAAGGTTCAACTTTATTCTTTTGCCTGTGAATAGTCCATTATTCCAGCTTTATTTGTTGAAAAGACTTTTTTCTCTATTAAATGGTTTTAACATCTTTGTTGAATGTTATTTGCTATATACTAGCGTCTATTTCTGGTCTCTACTTTGTTCAATTGGTCTATATTTATGTCTTGTTTATGTCAGTACCACACTATTTTGATTATTCATTTCAAATTGAGCTTATATAACACTCAAAGAGTTGGAATAAAATTTGATAACATAATCCATATACAGATTATCTAGTAGTACTACAGTTTTTATAACGAATCAATAAATAAAAACTTTCTATTTATACAAAATATACAACATATTTTTCACATTTTAGAATATTTGAAGCTGATGTGCCTATTCTAATAAATACTTTTCATGCATCTTGAAATTATATTATGATGCTAAATACAATAAGGAGGTCAAGAATAATTTGGCAATTCTATAAAAACTTTTAATAATTATAATACACAATTTTAAAATAAAATAAAGCTTCTAGAAAGGATTATGTCATAAATTGGCAGATGATGTGAATTATGTTTGATAGGAATTTAAATGACATACAGTATTACTGTTACCAATTATGCTATAATGTATAAAATGTCTTTCCTACTGTCCAAAACTACTATTCTTAATAAGCAGTTAATGGAAACCTACTATATCGAATAGGGCCCTGAGCATTGATTGACAGTTTATCATAGTGGATAAATCTAGCTTCTCTGGGTCAAAATCCCCCCTCTTTTATTTCATACTTGTGTGAACTTGGCACCTAACTTAGCTTCTGTGCTTCAGCTTCTTGTCTATAAAAGAGTGATAATTTTACTCATCATAAATGGTTTTAATAAAATTAAAAAGAGTTTATGAGATTTTTTTCACACTGATGATAAAGACATACCCAAGACTGAGTAATTTACAAAGGAAAGAGGTTTAATTGACTCACAGTTCCACATAACTGGGGAGGTCTCACAATCATGGTGGGAGGCAAAATATATGTCTTACGTGGGGGTTGACAAGAGAGAGAATGAGAACCAAGCGAAGGGGGTTTCCCCTTATAAAACCATCAAACCTCACAAGGCTTATTCACTACCAAAAGAACAGTAGGAGAGAAAACGCCCCCAAGATTCTGTTATTTCCCACTGGGTCCCTCCCACAACATGTGGGAATTATGGGAGTTACAATTAAAGATGAGATTTGTGTGGGGACACGGCCATACCATATCATTACACCCCTGGCCCCTCCCAAATCTGATGTCCTCACATTTCAAAATCTGTCATGCCTTCCCAACAGTCTCCAAGAGTCTTAACTCATTTCAGCATTAACTCAAAGTCCATAGTCCATAGTCCATAGTCCAAAGTCTCACCTGGGACAAGGCAAGTCCCTCCCTCCTACGAGCCTGTATAATCAAAAACAAGTTAGTTACTTTCAGGATGCGATGTGGGTACAGGCATTGGGTAAATAAAGCCTTTCCAAATGGAAGAAATTGGCCAAAACAAAGGGTCTAAGATTTCATGTAACTTCAAAATCCAGCAGGAGAGTCAAATCTTAAAGCTTCAAAATGATCTCCTTTGATTCTATGTCTCATATCTAGATTGTGTTGATACAAGAGATGGGTTCCCATAGTCTTGGACAATTCCAGCCCTGTGAACTTGCAGGGTACAGTCTCCCTCCCAGCTTCTTTCACAGGCTGGAGTTGAGTGACTGTGGATTTCCAGGTACACGGTGCAAGCTGTCAGTAGATCTACCCATCTGGGGTCTGGAGGACAGTGGCCCTCTTCTGACAGCTCTTCCAGGCAGTACCCAAGTGGAAAATCTGTGTAGGGCCTTCAACCTCACATTTCCCTTTCACATTACCTTAGCAGATGTTCTCCATGAGGTCCCCACCCTTGCAGCAAACTTCTGCCTAGACATCCAGGCATTTTCATACATCCTCTGAAATCTAGGCAGAAGTTCTCAAACCTCAATTCTTGACTTCTGTGCACCTGCAGACTCAACACCTTGTGGAATCTGCCAAGGCTTTGGGCTTGAACCCTCTGAAGCCATGGCCCCAACTGTCCCTTGACCCCTTTTAGCCATGGCTAGAGTGGCTGCGACACAGGGCATCAAGTCCCTAGGCTGCACACAGCAGAGTAGCCCTGGGCCCAGCCCCTGAAACCAGTTTTTCCTGCTAGGCCTCTGGGCCTGAGATGGGAGGGGCTGCCACAGAGGTCTCTGACATGCCCTGGAGACATTTTTCCTATCTTGGAGATTAACATTTGACTCGTCATCACTTATGCAAATTTCTGCAGCCAGCTTGAATTTCTGCTCAGAAAACAGGTTTTTTATTTTTATTTTTTTCTATTACAGCATCAGACTGCAAATTTTCTGAACTTTTTATGCTCGGTTTCCCTTCAGAACTGAATGCTTTCAATAGCACCCAAGTCACTTCTTGAATGCTTTGCTGCTTAGAAATTTCCTCTGTCAGATACCCTAAATCATCTTCCTCAAGTTCAAAGTTTCACAAATCTCTAAGGCAGGGACAAAATGCCACCACTCTCTTTGCTAAAACATAGCAAGAGTCATCTCTACTCCAGTTCCCAACAAATTCCTCATCTCCATCTGAGACCATCTCAGCTTAGATTTCGTTGTCTATCTCATTATCAGCATTTTGGTCAAAACCATTCAATAAGTCTCTAGGAAGTTCTAAACTTTCTCACATTTTCCAGTCTTTTTCTGAGCCATTCCCAACTGTTCCAGCCAGTTACCCCGTTCCAAAGTTGCTTCCACATTTTCAGGTATCTTTACAGCAGCACCCCTCTCTACTGGTACCAATTTACTGCATTAGTCCATTTTCATGCTGCTGATAAAGACACACTAAAGACTGGTTAATTTATAAAGGAAAGAGGTTTAATTGACTTATAGTTCCACATGGCTGGGGAGGCCTCACAGTCATGGTGGAAGGCAAAATACACAACTTACATGGAAGCAGACGAGAGAGAATGAGAACCAAGTGGAAGGGGTTTTCTCTATAAAACAATGAGATCTCACAAGACTTATTCACTACCAGGAGAATAGTATGAGGGAAGTAGCCCCAATGATTCAATTATCTTCCACTGGGTCCCTCCCACAATTATGGGAGCTACAATTAAAGAAGAGATTTGGTTAGGGACACAGCCAAATCATATCAAATAGGTTATCTATCTATCTATCTATCTATCTATCTATCTATCTATCTATACACACTTAGAATATTTTATAGTTCATAATAACCATACAATGAATGTTAGTTAAATATATCATTCAGTAAGGTGGAGATTTATTAATGCATAGTTTCTATAATCATCACCCTCTGTCCATCTTACATAAAACTCTAGTACCTTAATATTATTCTTGACAAATGAAGCTCTTATGTCTTTTTTCTGTTGTTAGTGCTTGGTCAGTATTAGATGAATAATGTGTTATATCCTTCTTCAGTACAGTGATATCAAAAGTTTGGCATCTGACTAGATTAAAACACTGTGTGCTATAAAATATATTTGATGAATATCTTAATATTTTTCTAGTATGTCTTTGAATCTAAAGCCTTTAAAATATATAAACAATTGATTTAAAATGATATCCACTTGATGAATTAAAAGTGGCACTTTGAAATTTCATTTGGATAAAATATTTTATGTGATTACATCAAGATAAGTGAATTACATGTGTGCTCAGGGTCTGCAAAGTTTCTATTTTTAATTTTACTTAGTAAGTAGAAAGGAATACCTAAAATGATCAGGTTATATACTTATGTTACTCTGTATATTTTCAGAGCACAATAAAATAGATAAATCTGATTTAAGCTATTATTACTATAACAGCATGGAATTATATGTATCTTTTGATTATTACACAGTAAGCAAAAAACATGGATTTTATGAATATTTCAAAAAGCTCTCATCATGTCATATTTATTTTAGTAGTCAAACATGCCTCTGTGAAAAAGAAATAATATAGTTTAGTCACAAGCTGTATTGTATACTGGTTAAAAGAACTCTCAGATCATCCCTGCTGGTTTGAATCCACCTAAAGAAAAGACAGTCCAACATCATGCCACATTGTTTTGACTGGGATGCTGTAATGTGGAAGATGTTTTAACAAAGCCCTTTCAATAATGTAAAATGCAATATTTTATTAAAATCAGTGTGACAGGTATCTCTGACACATCATACCTGAGAATCTCTCTTTCCTGAATTTTAATTCTTATAATGAGCCAGGGAATAGGGTTATAATAGGGTGAGTGAAATAAAATTGTAGAATTTACTTTACATGTAGAACATGTAAATATGTAAACATTACATGTAGAACATGTAAAATATTCCTGTATTATTTAGTGGATATAGATATGTTTTAATTATAAAGAAAAATATTATATGTACAATAATTCCTCAGTAGCCACTAGGGATTGGTTCCAGACCCGTGTGGGTACCAAAATCCACAGATGCTCAAGTCTTTTACATAAAATGGAATACTATTTGCACATAACCTACATATATTCTCTCCTATACTTAAACCATCTCTAGATTACTTATAATGCCTAAAACAATCCAAATGCCATATAAATAGATGTTATCATGTATTTTTTTTAAAATTGCATTATATATTCTTGGATTTTTTGTTATTTTTATTTTTTATATTTTTAACCCACAGTTGCTGGTTGAGTCCATGGATGTGAAATCCCGAAAAATGCAGGGCCAACTGCATATATGCTATAATTGTTGACTTAATCCATTAAATAAATGTATTCATCAGAGATCAGGTTATGAAAATTATTTACATGGGCAGCAGCATGGGAATGGATGTTCTTTAGCCATTACCTTTCACACTTGTATGTCTTCAGGAGAAATTATATGATAAATGTAGCTTGAGTGTTATATCCACTACTTGGATAGAAGAGGGCAGGATACCTAGTTTGTAGAATCACAAATGCTATATGCAATACATAAGAGATAATTTCCACAAAGTTAATTAGGGTTGCTATAGAGAGGGGAAATTGATTCTGGATAAGAAAATAAGCACACAAATAACAGCAAATTATCACTAAAACTTCTCAGCTTGTCTATAAACTTAAAACCATAAATAAAATAAATGACAGGTATATAACTAGCCAAAATAAACATAAATATACAGAACCCCACCACCATAATTGACAGATAAAATATTAATACTTTAATAATATTCAAGGGCTTTTGCAGTCTAATTAACCAGTCTCTTGAATCTCTTGCAGTCCAATTTCATTGCCAATCTATGAAGAATTACTAAAAAAATTAATCATGTAGTAATTTTAGAAATAGAGATAATAGTTAAGGAGTAGGAAAGTCAAATAAACATGGCCAGCTCAAAAACGTATCAATTGAGTTTTTTATTACTCCATAGTCACTAAGGCCAATGTCCCTGAAATAGATATCAATCTTCCTTTTGGTTGAGTGAAATTTCCCTTTCTCAGACATTGGCAAACTCTTAACTATTAATATTTCTAGTAATGAGTATTAACATAAGTTTACACATTGTATTTTGGTTACTTCACAATGGGAAAGTGGGAAGGAACAAATCAGGGATTGTTAGTTATTATAAAAATCTTTTCAAAAGTACTTTTGATGTATTTTATCAAATACTGGATCCCTGTAATCTTTCATATTATCAGTTTTTAGATATTGTTTTCCCTTAGTTATCTTTACATTTTATTGACTACTATAATTTCAGATTTAGTAATCTTTATTGTAAAAAGTTAAGCAATACAGATTGTATACAACAGAAAAAAATCTTTCTTTTTACCTCCTTTAATAACATTCCTTAGCTTTAGGTATATTTATTACATATGTTATGTATTATAATTTTTCATAATATCTCCACTTATACTCCCAAATATCCATATATATGTGTATGCTTGTGTCCTTCTGTGTGAGTACATAGAGAGAAAGGATAGAAAGGGAGGCAGAAATGGAGAAAAAGAAGGAGTTTTTTTATTTATAGATACAGAATTCTATAACTTTACTTTGCAACATTTTAATTCAATACATCATGAACCATGTTCTGAGCTAATATGCAGATCTAACTA
Organism: Homo sapiens; assembly: GCF_000001405.40. NCBI lineage: Eukaryota > Metazoa > Chordata > Mammalia > Primates > Hominidae > Homo > Homo sapiens. The sequence goes on along the minus strand of NC_000001.11, from coordinate 105,223,796 downwards.
ATTGTTAGTAACTGCTTAATGCATACAAATAGGAAAACATTATATGTTTCTTTTCCTTATGATATCTTATGATATACATAAGGTTAACAATTTTTGTACTATTCTGTTCTGCAAAAAACAAATATGGCTGTGATAAACATTTTACCAATATATCTCTATATGCTATTGCTTTTACTTTGGTAGGGAAAAGGTTTTAAAGTATAATTGTATAATAAATGGATAGAAACTTTTAAATTTTGGTTAAAATTACCAGATAAATTTTGTACAATTTTTAAAATTTTATATCTTACCAGAAATAAAGAGTGTAACAATTTCTCCATATCTTTGCAGTTACTATATTTCATCAGCATTTTTTTGCCCATCTAATTTCTGAATAATTGTATTTTATTGTAATATGGTTTTAGACAGCATTGCCCATTGTGCTTATTAAATCTGCTAAAACATAAAAATGTAAAACATAAACCCTCATTTCCTAATACACTAAGCCAAAATTACTATCGTTAAAATTCTCTCTTAGGTTAGAATTCAAGGATAGATTTTACTTTCCAGAACTCATTTTAAAAATCAACACCAATTATGTAAGTATTAGAACAGTGTTTTCCTTGATTGTCATTGCAAGGTATTTTTAGCTGTTGAATGGGTTAAGAGATTTCCTGTATCTTGTGGAGACCAGGAACAATATTTAAAGAGAGGCACACTTGGGGGACATAAGAGAAAGTCCTGACAGGTGGTAGAAGCATAACAGGTGTATTCTACATGTACACAGATGTGCCAACAGACAAATAAGGTGAGAACATGAAAGCATAACAGAAGACACTGAAAGCTTATCAAACAGACACCATCTAAAACTTCTTTCCAGATATCCTTTGTAACATCAAAAAACAATAAAAAACAAAAAAATAAGGATTAAAGCATGATCGTTGGTGTAGGTGTATATGGCAAAAGAATGCAAGCTTAGCTAGTGAATTGTGGATTCTGGAGCAGAACTCCAGAATTCAAAAAGACTTCAAAAAACAAGAGACACTCACCTAAGGCAATTTTTAATTTCAGACAGAAATGAAGACAGGAAAGCTTCTATTGAAATCAAGGTAAAATTTTATACCCTGGTCATTAATAATAAGGGGAATATTTAATTTCTGGAATGGGATTCAAAGACAGGAATCCATTTTGTGCCAACTAAAGAATTATGCTCTGCATTAAATACAGAATGAGTGTGCCTTATGTTTAGCAAAACCTGCTCCCCAGGAGCACACTTAAAATAATTTAAAATAGAGTAAGTAGCAAGAAATTAATTTAAATGAGTTATTCACATAGTGCCATCTGCTGAACAATTCTGACGATGAGAAATTTAGGTAAGAAGAAAACTTTTATGATCCGTTGCCTTTTCTAATATATGACAGTTTGTGATTTATTCCCAAGAAAGTAAAAAAATATTTAGGAATATGTCTGTGCTATACAATTAAGAGTCTCAAATCTGTTTTGATGAAAAGTATTATTTTGATTTTTTTTAAAATCACATTTGGGAATCTATTATTTTGAATAAACTAAAATTACATTTTTCTCCTATAATATTGTTTTCTTCACTAACCACACCAAAACAATCACCTGAAATTATTATCTCCAGTGTTGTATTTCATTAGCTTTTCTATGTGTACCTTATATAGTCATATAAATTCCACAAGATTATTGTGTTGTAAACAAAAGAAGAAACATAATTCCAACAAGGTATATAATTAACGCTTAATTGGAGAGAAAAGTTAGGCAAATGTAAAATGCTGGCTAAATAATAACTTAGAGATTAAGAGGAAAAAAATAAGTGCCAACTGAATTTAAAGTGGAAGTGATTAAAACAATCAGAGAGCTTAAATCTCTGTCACATATGCATACTCCAAGAAAACTGATGAAAATCCCGAGTTAATATTGGGTAGTAAAATAATGCATGAACCATAATAGACATCTACAGAACTCTCCACCCCAAATCAACAGATTATACATACTTCTGAGCACCACATTGCACTTATTCCATAATTGACCACATAGTTGGAAGTAAAGCACTCCTCAGCAAATGTAAAAGAACAGAAATTATAACAAACTGTCTCTCATACCACAGTGAAATCCAGCTAGAACTCAGGATTAGGAAACTCACTCAAAACCACTCAACTCCATGGAAACTGAACAACCTGCTCCTGAATGATTACTGGGTACATAACGAAATGAAGGCAGAAATAAAGATGTTCTTTGAAACCAATAAGAACAAAAACACACCATACCAGAATTTCTGGGACACATTTAAAGCTGTGTGTAGAGGGAAATTTATAGCATTAGTGCCCACGAGAGAAAGCAGGAAAGATCTAAAATTAACACCCTAACATCACAATTAAAAGAACTAGAGAAGCAAGAGCAAACACATTCAAAAGCTAGCAGAAGGCAAGAAATAACTAAGATCAGAGCAGAACTGAAGGAGATAGAAACACAAAAAACCCTTCAAAAAATCAATGACTCCAGGAGCTGGTTTATTGAAAAAATCAACAAAATTGATAGACAGCTAGCAAGACTAATAAAGGAGAAATAGAGAAGAATCAAACAGATGCAATAAAAAATGATAAAGGGGATATCACCACCGATCCCACAGAAATACAAACTACCACCAGAGAATACTATAAACACCTCTATGTAAATAAACTAGAAAATCTGGAAGAAATGGATACATTCCTGGACACATACACCCTCCCAAGACTAAACCAGGAAGAAGTTGAATCCCTGAATAGACCAATAGCAGGCTCTGAAATTGAGGCAATAATTAATAGCCTAGCAACCCAAAAAAGTCCAGGACAAGATGGATTCACAGCCGAATTCTACCAGAGGTACAAAGAGGATCTGGTACCATTCCTTCTGAAACTATTCCAAACAATATAAAAAGAGGGAATCCTCCCTTATGAGGCCAGCATCATCCTGATACCAAAGCCTGGCAGAGACACAACAGAAAAAGAGAATTTTAGACCAATATCCCTGATGAACATTGATGCAAAAATCCTCAATAAAATACTGGCAAACCGAATCCAGCAGCACATCAAAAAGCTTATTCACCATGATCAAGTTGGCTTCATCACTGGGATGCAAGGCTGGCTCAACATATGCAAATCAATAAATGTAATCCAGCATGTAAACAGAACTAAAGACAAAAACCACATGATTATCTCAATAGATGCAGAAAAGGCCTTCGACAAAATTCAACAGCCCCTCATGCTAAAAACTCTCAATAAACTAGGTATTGATGGGATGTATCTCAAAATAATAAGAGCTATTTATGACAAACCCACAGCCAATATCATACTGAATGCGCAAAAACTGGAAGCATTCCCTTTGAAAATTGGCACAAGACAGGGATGCTCTCTCTCACCACTCCTATTCAACATAGTGTTGGAAGTTCTGGCCAGGGCAATCAGGCAGGAGAAAGAAATAAAGGATATTCAATTAGGAAAAGAGGAAGTCAAATTGTCCCTGTTTGCGGGTGACATGATTGTGTAGAAAACCCCATCATCTCAGCCCAAAATCTCCTTAAGCTGATAAGCAACTGCAGCAAAGTCTCAGGATACAAAATCAATGTGCAAAAATCACCAGCATTCCTCTACACCAATAACAGACAAACAGAGAGCCAAATCATGAGTGAACTCCCATTCACAATTGCTTCAAAGAGAATAAAATACATAGGAATCCAACTTACAAGGGATGTGAAGGACCTCTTCAAGGAGAACTACAAACCACTGCTCAACAAAATAAAAAAGGACGCAAACAAATGGAAAAACATTCCATGCTCATGGATAGGAGAATCACTATTGTGAAAATGGCTATAGTGCCCAAGAAAATTTATATATTCAATGCAATCTCCATCAAGCTACCAATGACTTTCTTCACAGAATTGGAAAAAAAACTACTTTAAACATCATATGAAACCAAAAAAAGAGCCCACATTGCCAAGACAATCCTAAGCCAAAAGAACAAAGCTGGAGGCATCAGGCTACCTGACTTCAAACTATACTACAAGGCTGCAGTAACCAAAGCAGCATGGTACTGGTATCAAAACAGAGATATAGACGAATGGAATAGAACAGAGCCCTCAGAAATAATACCACACATCTACAACTATCTGATCTTTGACAAACCTGACAAAAACAAGCAATGGGGAAATGATTCCCTATTTAATAAATGGTGCTGGGAAAACTGGCTAGCCATATGTAGAAAGCTGAAACTGGATCCCTTCCTTACACCTGATACAAAAACTAATTCAAGATGGATTAAAGACTTAAATGTTAGACCTAAAACTATAAAAACTCTAGAAGAAAACCTAGGCAATACCATTCAGGACATAGGCATGGGCAACGACTTCATGACTAAAACACCAAAAGCATTGGCAACAAAATCCAAAATTGACAAATGGAATCTATTTAAACTAAAGAGCTTCTGCACAGCAAAAGAAACTACCATCAGAGTGAACAGGCAACCTACGGAATGGGAGAAAATTTTTACAATCTACCCATCTGACAAAGGGCTAATACCCAGAATCTACAAAGAACTTAAACGAATTTACAAGAAAAAAAATCAAACAACCCCATCAAAAAGTGGGTGAAGGATATGAACAGACACTTCTCAAAAGAAGACATTTATGCAGGCAACAGTTACATGAAAAAATGTTCATCCTCACTGGCATCAGGGAAATGCAAATCAAAATCACAATGAGATACCATTTCACACCAGTTAGAATGGCAATCATTAAAAAGTCAGGAAGCAACAGGTGCTGGAGAGGACATGGAGAAATAGGAACACCTTTACACTGTTGGTGAGACTGTAAACTAGTTCAACCATTGTGGAAGACAGTGTGGCGATTCCTCAAGGATCTAGAACTAGAAATACCATTTGACCCAGCCATCCCATTACTGGGTATATACCCAAAGGATTGTAAATCATGCTGCTATAAAGACAGATGCACACGTATGTTTATTGTGGCACTATTCACAATAGCAAAGACTTGGAACCAACTCAAATGTCCTTCAATGATAGACTGGATTAAGAAAATGTGGCATATATACACCATGGAATACTGTGCAGCCATAAAAAAGGATGAGTTCATGTCCTTTGTAGGGAAATGGATGGAGCTGGAAACCATCATTCTCAGCAAACTATCACAAGGACAGAAAACCAAACATCACATGTTCTCACTCATAGGTGGGAATTGAACAATGAGAACACTTGGACACATGGTGGGGAACATCACACACTGGGGCCTGTCATGAGGTAGGGGGTAGGGGGAGGGATAACATTAGGAGATATACCTAATGTAAATGACGAGTTAATGGGTGGAGCACACCAACATGGCACATGTATACATATGTAACAAACTGCACGTTGTGCACATGGACCGTATAACTTAAACTACAATAAAAAATAAAAATAAATAAAGATAAAAAGGTTTACATTTTAAAACAAAACAAAACAAAACAAAAATTCATGAACCTGAAAAGACTCCAGTTCATCCCACTGTAAATGTCTGAAACATATTTAACAGACACTACTCTTCATTGGTCACCTGAGGTTGGATGTATAGACAGAAGATGAGACACCTTTGAAATAAATGTGTCTGCCCCATTTATTTTTGGCTACATTTAATGCCTAAAATTCTACAAATATGTCTTAATTTGATATCAGCTTTTCCTTATTGTTAAATTACATGTATTTCAGGAAGATTAAACACTATAGCAGTTATTTCTCTCTTATGTAAGTAAATTAAACAGAATATGAATTTGAAGTAGGAAGCATATAAATGTGATAAATTTGTAAAGTGTACCTATCTCAAAAGGTATGATGAATACTGCAAATATAAAGCTAAAAGAGTGCATTTTAGGAAATTAAATAAACTCCACATCTGTTTTCTACATAGGCAATAAAGCCCATCTCAACATTCTTTAAATCAAATCAATATTTTAAAAACTAGATTCAGGGAGGAGGAAAGGAAACTTAGTCTAATTGTGAGCAACCATATTTTCTACAAATAGAGCTCTTATTCTCCATCCACTGATTCAAGGTTTTCTGACCAAGAAAGGTTAAGAACCATAGATCTGAGGGTTCACAAGACAAAATATTACAGGTATTTTATTCAAAAACATATTAAAACATTAAAAATGTCAAATATTGTTAAAGTGGAATGTTTTAAATGTTAAAAAATGCCTAAAGTGTCTCTTCATACAAATACAAAATGAGCACTTTGAAATCATTTATTACAATACTTCATTAATGAGAGAACTAGTAAGCTAGTAAACCTAAATCAAAGGAAAATTAGATGCATCTGGGGTTATATATTTAATCAGAAAAAGTATTCCAAGTTGGAGACAAAACTAAATGATATCCTACCAGCAAATTCAATCATAACCTATGAATTTATTTTTTTTAGCTGACAAAACATGCTGCTACAGGAAGAAGTACCAGATACTCTGCAAACTCACAGAATGAGTCTTCACTTAACAGCAAACAGCAAAATAAAACAAAAATTCACTCTCCTAGATAATTAAATAGATAATTAGATAAAGCTTAGATGGAAAATTAAGCAACACACAGCGTGAGAGCAGAACATGCTGTATTCTTGGCATTCATTGTAAATTTTGGATAATTTATCTTATTAGCAACACCAACAATTTTTCTTTATTCTTAATAAGAAGTACTGTGATTAAATGTGGTTTAATCTAAATGGTATATTTTACTAATACTTGTCACATACATTGTCTTAAAGCATATTTTATTTTATGTATAGTAAATTAAATTATTTCACATTACAAAATTGTCTTATTCAGGTAGAACTGTTATCTATTTATATTCAATGTGTGTTATTCTGAATTAGCAAATCATAGCTCATTTAACTGACCACCTGCTTTTGTAAATAAAGTTTTATAGGAACACAGACATGTATAGATTATCAATGACTGCACTGAAGCCACAATAGAAAAATTAAATAATTGCAGCAGAAAATGTATCACCCACATTCTTCAAAGATTGACTGTCTAGCCCTTGAACAAATCATTTGCTAATCCTTAAAAGAATGGTTGAAAATTTATGTATTAGAACTTTGAACTTTTTCAATTAAAAAAAAATAAGCCAATACTTAAATAATTCTACCAAAGCTATGAAAGAACTTTTTTTTTTTTTTTTTTGAGACGGAGTCTTGCTCTGTTGCCCAGGCTGGAGTGCAGTGGTGCGATCTCGACTCACTGCAAGCTCCGCCTCCCGGGTTCACGCCATTCTCCTGCCTCAGCCTCCCGAGTAGCTGGGACTACAGCCGCCTGCCACCAAGCCCGGATTATTTATTTATTTATTTATTTATTTATTTTATTTTATTATTTTTTTTTTTATACTTTAAGTTTTAGGGTACATGTGCACATTGTGCAGGTTAGTTACATATGTATACATGTGCCATGCTGGTGCGCTGCACCCACTAACTCGTCATCTAGCATTAGGTATATCTCCCAATGCTATCCCTCCCCCCTCCCCCCACCCCACCACAGTCCCCAGCGTGTGATATTCCCCTTCCTGTGTCCATGTGATCTCATTGTTCAATTCCCACCTATGAGTGAGAATATGCAGTGTTTGGTTTTTTGTTCTTGCTATAGTTTACTGAGAATGATGATTTCCAATTTCATCCATGTCCCTACAAAGGACATGAACTCATCATTTTTTATGGCTGCATAGTATTCCATGGTGTATATGTGCCACATTTTCTTAATCCAGTCTATCATTGTTGGACATTTGGCTTGGTTCCAAGTCTTTGCTATTGTGAATAATGCTGCAATAAACATACGTGTGCATCTGTCTTTATAGCAGCATGATTTATAGCCCTTTGGGTATATACCCAGTAATGAGATGGCTGGGTCAAATGGTATTTCTAGTTCTAGATCCCTGAGGAATCGCCACACTGACTTCCACAATGGTTGAACTAGTTTACAGTCCCACCAACAGTGTAAAAGTGTTCCTATTTCTCCACATCCTCTCCAGCACCTGTTGTTTCCTGACTTTTTAATGATTGCCACTCTAACTGGTGTGAGATGGTATCTCATTGTGGTTTTGATTTGCATTTCTCTGATGGCCAGTGATGATGAGCATTTTTTTTATGTGTTTTTTGGCTGCATAAATGTCTTCTTTTGAGAAGTGTCTGTTCATGTCCTTTGCCCACTTTTTGATGGGGTTGTTTGTTTTTTTTCTTGTAAATTTGTTTGAGTTCATTGTAGATTCTGGATATTAGCCCTTTGTCAGATGAGTAGGTTGCGAAAATTTTCTCCCATTTTGTAGGTTGCCTGTTCACTCTGATGGTAGTTTCTTTTGCTGTGCAGAAGCTCTTTAGTTTAATTAGATCCCATTTGTCAATTTTGTCTTTTGTTGCCATTGCTTTTGGTGTTTTGGACATGAAGTCCTTGCCCATGCCTATGTCCTGAATGGTAATGCCTAGGTTTTCTTCTAGGGTTTTTATGGTTTTAGGTCTAACATTTAAGTCTTTAATCCATCTTGAATTGATTTTTGTATAAGGTGTAAGGAAGGGATCCAGTTTCAGCTTTCTACATATGGCTAGCCAGTTTTCCCAGCACCATTTATTAAATAGGGAATCCTTTCCCCACTGCTTGTTTTTGTCAGGTTTGTCAAAGATCAGATAGTTGTAGATATGCAGCGTTATTTCTGAGGGCTCTGTTCTGTTCCATTGATCTATATCTCTGTTTTGGTAACAGTACCATGCTGTTTGGGTTACTGTAGCCTTGTAGTATAGTTTGAAGTCAGGTAGCCTGATGCCTCCAGCTTTGTTCTTTTGGCTTAGGATTGCCTTGGCGATGCGGGCTCTTTTTTGATTCCATATGAACTTTAAAGTAGTTTTTTCCAATTCTGTGAAGAAAGTCATTGGTAGCTTGATGGGGATGGCATTGAATCTGTAAATTACCTTGGGCAGTATGGCCATTTTCACGATATTGATTCTTCCTACCCATGAGCATGGAATGTTCTTCCATTTGTTTGTATCCTCTTTTATTTCCTTGAGCAGTGGTTTGTAGTTCTCCTTGAAGAGGTCCTTCACATCCCTTGTAAGTTGGATTCCTAGGTATTTTATTCTCTTTGAAGCAATTGTGAATGGGAGTTCACTCATGATTTTGCTCTCTGTTTGTCTGTTGTTGGTGTATAAGAATGCTTGTGATTTTTGTACATTGATTTTGTATCCTGAGACTTTGCTGAAGTTGCTTATCAGCTTAAGGAGATTTTGGGATGAGACAATGGGGTTTTCTAGATATACAATCATGTCGTCTGCAAACAGGGACAATTTGACTTCCTCTTTTCCTAATTGAATACCCTTTATTTCCTTCTCCTGCCTAATTGCCCTGGCCAGAACTTCCAACACTATGTTGAATAGGAGTGGTGAGAGAGGGCATCCCTGTCTTGTGCCAGTTTTCAAAGGGAATGCTTCCAGTTTCTGCCCATTCAGTATGATATTGGCTGTGGGTTTGTCATAGATAGCTCTTATTATTTTGAAATACGTCCCATCAATACCTAATTTATTGAGAGTTTTTAGCATGAATGGTTGTTGAATTTTTTCAAAGGCTTTTTCTGCATCTATTGAGATAATCATAAGGCCAGCATCATTCTGATACCAAAGCCGGGCAGAGACACAACCAAAAAAGAGAATTTTAGACCAATATCTTTGATGAACATTGATGCAAAAATCCTCAATAAAATACTGGCAAACCGAATCCAGCAGCACATCAAAAAGCTTATCCACCATGATCAAGTGGGCTTCATCCCTGGGATGCAAGGCTGGTTCAATATATGCAAATCAATAAATGTAATACAGCATATAAACAGAGACAAAGACAATTTTTTTTTGTATTTTTAGTAGAGACGGGGTTTCACCTTGTTAGCCAGGATGGTTTTGATCTCCTGACCTCGTGATCCGCCCACCTCGGCCTCCCAAAGTGCTGGGATTACAGGTGTGAGCCACCGTGCCCTGCCAAGAAATTTTTAAAAAATCAAACGTTATGTGAAACAAAAACATTCTATCAGCACTAATTAGATAATTGAAGAGGGTCTTATAAATTATTTTATCTAGAACAACCCCCCAAATTTTTGTGTGTTATACTCAATTTCCCATTCAACAATGTGAAGTTTTACTCTTGATTCACTTTTCTTACTCTATATCATGGCTACTTTTTAAAATTAGATTATAAAGACTCAAACATATTTCTGCCACGTAGAGTTTTTTGAGCTTCAGCAAACCATTCACATTTTAAAATTTCAATTTAATAAAACATATATTATGAAAAAGATATGTATCTAAGGTAAAACATTATTGTGATGTTTGAAAGTAAAGCATTTACATTGTGAATGGCAGATAAAAGTGGTAATGCTTATTATTTATTTCTATTGAATTGCCCCAGCAAATGTAAACACTATTACCTCTGCTATTTCTTTTAAATCTCTTAAGATATATAAATACTTAATTACACAGATACTGCCTTATATAAAGGATTAATCTGGCTTCCTTTGGTTACTGCGGTTTTTTAAAACTGTAACATTATATTTATTTATTTTTCCTTTAATATTTACAATGTATTTTCTACTCTGCACACATAACGATGTGTTTAGATATATATTTTTGGCATAATATCTCAACATATTTGCCTATTAATATTCACCTAATTCTTACTCTTCCTAATATTCAAAGTATTAATTATGCCTATAAGGCTGCTCAGTTATATCAATTACATCTTAATGTATATCTCCAATTCTCTGATTATAGCTTCTTAAAACTCTCAAAGTTCCAAATATTATAACCTGACAACCTAACCTCCTTCTTCAATCCACAATTTGTTTTCTTATTTCATTTTTTAAATTTATTTATTTTACTTTAATTTCTTCAGGGTACAAGTAGTTTTCTGTTACATGGATCAATTATATAGCGGTGAATTCTGAGATTTTAGTGCATCTATCACCTGAGTAGAGTGCATTGTACCTAATGTGTAGCTTTTTATCCCTGCCCCCCTTCTCACTGCCCCCTTTATGAATCTATAAAGTCCATTATATTACTCTTCATGCTGCTGTGTACTCATAACTTAGCTTCCACTTATAAATGAGAACATACAGTTTTTGGATTTCTACGCCTGTGTTACTTCACTTGGAATAATGACCTCCAGCTCCATCCAATCATGCTGCAAAAAACATTATTTTGTTCCTTTTAATGGTTGAGTATTATTTCATGGTGTATATATGCCACATTTTCTTTATCCACGTAATAGCCAATGGGCACTTAGGTTTGTTCCATGTCTGTTCACTTGTGAATTGTGCTTCTGTAAACATATGTGTGCAGGTGTCTTTTTCATATGACTTCTTTTTCTTAGGGTGATACCCAGTAGTGGGATTGCTGGATTGAATGGTAGTTCTACTTTTAATTCTTTAAGGAATCTCCACTCTCTTTTCCACAGAGGTTGTACTAATTTACATTCCCACCACAAGTGTATAAGTGTTGCCTTTTCTCCATGTCCATGGCCATATCTAATGTTTTTTGACTTTTTAATAACGGTTATTCTTGCAGGAGTGAGGTGTGATTTTAGTTTGCATTTCCCTGATGATTAGTGAAGTTGAACAGTTTTTCATATGTTTGTTGACCATTTACCTTTTTTTGAGAAATACCTTTTCCAGTATTTTTGCACTTTTTATTGGAATTATTTGTTTTTTCTTGGTGATTTGAGTTTTTTTATAGATTCTCAATACTAGTCCCTTGTCGGATGTGTAGTTTGCAAATACTTTCTCCCATTCTGTGGCTTGTCTGTTTACTCGGTTGACTATTTCTTTTGCTGTGCAGAAACTTTTTAGTTTAATTACTAGTCTCATTTATTTATTTTTGTTTTTGTTGCATTTACTTTGGGCATCTTAGTTATGAATTATTTGACTAGGCCAATTTCTAGAAGAGTTTTTTCAATGTTGTCATCTAGAATGTTTGTGGTTTCACATATTAGATTTCACTTTGCTCCATCTTGCATTGATTTTTGTATGTGATAAGAGATAGGGATCCAGTTTCACTCTTTGACATGTGGTTTGCCAGTTTCCCAGCATTATTTATTAAGTAGAGTTCCCACTTCTCAATATATGCTCTTGTAAGCTTTGCCAAAGATCAGTTGGTTGTACTTATTTGCCCTAATTTCTGTGTTCTCCATTCTGTTCCATTGGTCTATGTGCCTAGTTTTATATCACTATCATGTTGTTTTGGTAACCATTGTTGTAATATAATTTGAAGTCTGGTAATCTAATGTATCCAGATTTGTACATTTTGCTTAGGATTGCTTTGGTTATTTGGATTCTTTTGTGGTTCCATGTGAATTTTAGGACTGTTTTTCTAATTCTCTGAAAAATGATGTTGGTATTTTGATGGAAATTACATTGAATCTATAGATTGCTTTGGGCAGCATGGTCACTTTCAAAATATTGATTCTTCCAATCTGTGAGCATGGAGTGTATTTCCATTTGTTTGTGTCACCTATGATTTCTTTCAGCTGTGTTTTGTAATTCTCCTTGTAGAGATTTTTTTACATCCTTGATTAGCTATATTACCAGGTATATTATTTTTTATATTTATTTAAAGCTCTTGTAAATGAGACTGAGTTTTTTATTTAATTCTCAGCTTGGTTGTTGGTGGTGTATAGCAGTGCTACTCTTTTGTATACATTGATTTTGAAACCTGAGATTTTACTGAATTTGTTTATCAAATATAAGAGTCTGTTGAAGGAGTCTTTAGGGTTTTCTAGGTATACAATCATGTCTGCAAACACCAATAATTTCACTTCCTCTTTTCCAATTTGAATGCTCTACTTTTTTTTTCTTTCTCTGGTCTTATTGCTCTAGCAAGTACTTCTAGAACTATGCTGAACAGAAGTAATGAAAGTGGGCATCCTTTTCTTATTTCTGTTTTCAGGGGGAATGCTTTCAATTTTTTTCACATTCACTAAGATGTTAGCTGTGGGTGTGTCATATATAGCTTTAATTCTTCTATGCCTAGTTTGTTGAAAGTTTTTTATTTTAAGCAGTTCTGGATTTTGTCAAATGCTTTTCTGCATCTATTAAAATGATTCCATAGTTTTTGTTTTTAATTCTGTTTATGTGACGCATCACATTTATTAACTTACATACATGAAACCATCCTCGCATCCTTGAGATGAAACCAAGTTGATTATGATGAATTATCTTTTCTATGTGCTGTTGGATTCAGTTAGCTAATATTTAGTTGAGGATTTTTACATCTAAATTCATCAGGAAAACTGTCTGTAGTTTTATTTTGTTGTTGTGTCCGTTTCTGGTTTTGTATCAGGGTAATGCTGGCTTCATAGAATGATTTAGAGAGGATTCTCTCTTTCTCAATTTTTTGGAGTAGTTTCGGTAGGATTGGTATCAATTCCTTCCTTGATGTCTGCTAGAATTCGGCTGTGAATCCACATGTTCCTGTACTTTTTTTGTTGGCAATTTTTAAATTATTAATTCAATTCCTCTGCTTGTTATTAGTCTGTTCAAGGTTTCTATTTCTTTCTGATGTAATCTGAAAGAATTGTATATTTCCAGGAATTTGTCCATTTCCTCTAGGTTTTCTAGTTTGTGCACGTAAAGATGTTCATAGAAGTCTCAAATGATTTTCTTGTCCATTGTAATATCTTCAGTTCTATTTCAAATTGAGCTTATTTGGGTCTTCTCTCTTCTTGATTAATCTAGCTAATGGTGTATCAATTTTGTTTATTTTTTTAAAGAACCGGCTTTTTGTTTCATTGATTTTTTATTTTTTGTTTGAATTTCATTTACTTCTGCTCTAATCTTTAGTATTTCCTCCACCTTTAGGTTTAGTTTGTTCTAGTTTTTCCAATTCCTTGAAGTGTGACATTGAGTTGTCAATTTGTATTTCTTCAGATTTTTGGACGCAGACATTGAGCACTATAAACTATCCTCTTAACACTGTTTTTGCTGTATTCTAGAGGTTTTATAACTTGTCTCACTATTTTTTATTTAATTAGAAGAATTTTTCAATATCCATCTTGATTTCATTGTTAACCCAGATATCAATAAGGAGCAGATTATTTAATTTCTATGTATTTTTATAGTTTTAGGGGTGGCTTTTGGAGTTGATACGTAGTTTTATTCCTGTTGTCTGGGAAGATACTTGATATGATTTCATATTTTTAAAAATGTGTTGAGACTTGTTTTGTAGCCTATTATATGGTCTATCTTGGAGAATGTTTCGTGTACTGATGAGAAGATTGTATATTCTTAAGATCCTGGGTAGAATGTTCTGTAAATATTCATTAAGTCCACTTGTTCTAGCTCGTCATTTAAGTCCTTTGTTTTTCTGTTGACTTTCTCTCTCAAAGGTCTGTCTAGTGCTGTCGATGGTGTATTGAAGTCTCCCACTATTATTGTTTTGCTGGCTATCTCATTAATTATGTCCAATAGTAATTGTTTTATGAATGTAACAGCTCCAAATTTAGGTACACGTACCTTTAAGATTGTAAAATCTTCGTGTTGAATTGTTTTTTTTATCATTATATAGTGATCATCTTTGTCTTTTTTACTGTTGTCGCTTTGAAGTCTGTTTTGTCTAACATAAGAGTAGCTATTCCTCCTTGCTTTTATTTCTATTTGCATGAAATGCCCCTTTTCACAACTTTACCTGGAGTTTCTATTAATCCTTCTGTGTTTGGTGAGTCTCTTGAAAGCAGGAGATATTTGGATTTTGACTTTTTATCCATTCCAAAATTTTGTATCTTTTAAGTGAAATGTTTAGGCCATTTGCTTTCAATGCAATCATTGAGATATGAGGCACTGTTCTGTTTATTTGATGATTGTTACCTAGTTTTTTTTTCTTATTATGTTATTGTTTTATAGGCCTGTGAGTTTTATGCATTTAAAAGGTTTTGTTTTGGTGCATATTAGACTTTTGTTTCAAGTTTTAGAACTCCTTTTAGCATTTCTGCTTCTTTTTATTTATTTATTTATTTATTTATTTATTTATTTATTTAATCACTCTGTCACCCAGGCTGGAATTCAGTGGTGCTATCTTGACTCACCACAATCTCTGCCTCCCGGGTTCAAGCGAGTCTCTTGCCTCAGCCTCCCGAGTAGCTAAGATTACAGTTGCATGCCACCATGCCTGGCTAATTTTTGAATTTTTAGTAGAGATGGGTTTTCACAGTGTTGGCCAGGCTGGTCTCAAGTTCCTGACCTCAAGTTATCCACCCACCTTGGCCTCCCAAAGTGCTGAGATTACAGGTGTGAGCCACTGTGCCCGGCCTAGCATTTCTTATAATGTGCTGCTTTGACTGTGACAAATTCCCTCAACATGTGTTTGTCTGAAAATGACTTTATTTCTTCATTTATAAAACTTAGTTTTGCAGAATACAAAATGTTTGGCTAAGAGTTGTTCTGTTTAAAGAGGTTGAAAATAAGACCCCAATTATTTCTGTATCTTGTATGATTTTTGCTAATAAATCTGCTGTTAGTCTGACAGGTTTTCCTTGTAGGTTATCTGATGCTTTTGTTTTACTGCTTTTAGAATTTTTGCCTTCATGTTGACTTCAGATAGCCTGATGACTGTATGCCTTGGTGAAGACCTTATTTATTTATTTACTAACTTATTTATTTATTTTTTGAGGTGAAGTCTCACTCTGTCACCCAGGCTGGAGTGCAGTGGTGTGATTTTTGCTTACGGCAACGTCTGCCTCCAGGGTTCAAGCAATTCTCCTGCCTCAGCCTTCGGAATAGCTGGGATTACAGCCTACATCTAATTACAGCCATCACATGCAGCTAATTTTTGTATTTTTCAGCAGAGACGGGGTTTTGCCATGTTGGCTGGGCTGGTCTTGAACTCCTGACCTCAAGTGATCCACCCACCTTGGCCTCCCAAAGTCCGGGTATTACAGGTGTGAGCCACCACACTTGGCTGGTGAAGACCTTTTTACAATAAATTTCCCAGGAGTTCATTGAGCTTCTTTATTTGGATATTTAGATCTCTAGCCAGACCAGGGAAGTTTTTGTCAAGTATTCCCTCAAATTGGTTTTCCAAATGTTGAGACTTTCTACTCCCTTAGGAACACCTGTTATTCTTAGGTTTGGCCATTTTACATAGTTCCAAATTTTTTGGAGACTTTGTTCATTTATTTTTATTATTTCTTCTTTATTGTTGTCTGATTGTGTTAATTCAAAAGGCTGCCTTCAAGCTTCTACTTGTTTTAGCCTTTTGTTAAAATTTTACACTTCATTTTGTAATTTCCTCAGTGTGTCTTTTATCTCTAGAAATTCTGATCAGTTTTTCTGGATGATAGTTATCTCTCTAGAATATTTGTCATTCATATCATGATCTGATTTTTAAATTGACTTATAATGGTTTTTGTCTTTCTCTGATATTTTCTTAAGTAGCTTAATAATTGACTTTCTGAATTCCTTATCTGATATTTCAAAGGTTTCATTTCGGTTTGGGTCCATTGCTGGAGAACTAGTGTGATATTTTGGGGTGTTGAAGCACATTGTTTTGTCACATTACCAGAGTTATTTTTCTGTTTCCTTCTCATTTAGGTAGAGTGTTTCTTCTAATTATTCTTTAATTTATGTTTGATTTGACTGTGTGTTTCTTTTGTTTATTTTTAAATTTCTATTTTCCCTTAAGGATGAGACTTTCATGCTTACAGTTAGTTATAGGTTAAATTTGTTCTTGGTGTTTTCAGGGGCAAAGACTCTTCAAGAGTTTCTTCGTTTTAGAGAATCTTTGTATGAAGGCTGATATGGTTTGGCTCTGAGTCCTCACAAAAATCTCATATAGAATTATAATTCCCATTGTTGGAGGTGGCGACTGATGGGAAGTGATTGGATCACAGGGGTGGTTTCTAATGGTTTAGCACCATCCCTCTAATGCTTTCTTGTGGTAGAGTTCTTACAAGATCTGGTTGTTTGAAAGTGTGTAGGACCTCCCCATTCACTGTCTCTCTCTCTTGCTGGCCATGTGAAAATGTGCTTGCTTCCCCTTCACCTTCTGCCATGATCCTAAGTTTTCTGAGGCCTCCCCAGAAGCAAAAGCCTGCACTGCCTGCAGAACCATGAGCTAATTAAAACTCATATCTTTATAAATTACTCAGTCTCAGATATTTCTTTATAGCAGGGTGAGAATACACTAATACAGTGGCTTTCTCATATACTGGTTGTAGTAGCAATGCGCTCAATGTGTGAAAAAGTTAACTATCCCCATCAGATTGAAATGATTGAGATCGCTTAAAGCTTAATCTCATTCTTCTGTGGTTTGCCCACTTTTATTTATTTATTTTCCCCAATTTGATGATTCTGGCTTCAGGCCAGTAGGGGAGGTATCTCTGAGTAGGAACTGGGTGTGGCTATAGCAGGTGGGTAAATGAAGTCCCAGCCTTGACAGAGATGGCTGGAGGAGCTGTCAGTGAGTTGCACTGAAGTCTTATTAGGGGGAAGAGTTGGAGCCACCTCAGCAACCCCTGCCAGGGCAGCAGGAAAGTTATCCACCTCTTAGACATGTTCCTGTGTCAGGGCTCCTGCTGTTTAGATTAGAAAGGCACCTCTTTTCATCTGAAGTAATGTTGGTATTCCAAATAGAGAGGAATTGTGACTCTGTTTCTCATGCAAGCCTGAACCTTGAGGGCACTCCTCATGTGGGGATGCAGTCACACTGATGTATTCCAGAAAGGCTGTCTATAATTGCACCTGTGCCAAGTTCCTATGGGAGAAGCCCCAACTGTGCCTACAGTGGTGGACAAGGTGGAAAAGTCTTCCGCTTCTTCAAGACCCTTTATGCACACAAGGGCTGTCTGACTGTTGAAACAGAGCTGAAGAGTTTCCCTGCTGAGCCCAGCACTTCAATTTTGCCTCTGCTGAAAGAAGCTTTCTACCAGTAGATAAACCTGGTGCTCAAGGCCTGCCATCTAAATTCTTTTGTCCCATGGGGTGTTCTTTTGATAGGGTGCACTCCACCTAAGAGTAGGAGTCTCTGGGAGCCAGACTACTGTTAGTGTTGTTGCTCATCTGGGTCTAGCTGCCCAGTGAGGTTGCCACATCCAGGCTGCCATTGGTGAATGTCTGCAAGGAATCCGGTGATGTGATCTGTTCTCAAGTTTCCCAGCAATGGGTAGCAGCACCAGCTCTAATGGAGTGGCAGGAGAGTGACACAGCCTCTGTGAAATTCTTCGGTTATTGATAGCCTTAGTGTGTTCCTTTCTTGAATGCTGATTATAGTAGTAATAAACTGATCATATGACAGACTCAGGACCTTCCAGTTAGCCAGAGTGGTGCAGGTGGTGGTGATAGCTGAGACTGTGCACCTGTTTTCTCTTCCTTGGGCACAGTGTTATTTTACCAGGAGATATTATAATGAACTGTTTTGGTTGTCCTCCATCCATGAGATGATGCTTGCAAAAGAGCACCAGCTGTGGTAGTAGCAGTGGGATTTTTGCTTGCCTTACGTTACTCAGACTGGGTACTGTGGTTTCTCAGGCAATTGGATTGCGGGGGTGGGTGTAGCTCCCAAGAGATTCTGTCCTTTGTGTTAAGCTATCAGGGTGGGTGGTGGGGAAAAGCCAGGAGGGGACTGTATAGGGTGGATTTGCACTCTGAGTCTCTTTGTGCAGGGCAAGCAGCAGCACCTCTGGGTGTTGGGGGATGGGAGTTTGTCTCAGACCACTGAGTTGATGTTCCAGAGAGGAGCGTTGCTGCCTCTGCTGCACAGAAGAGTTTGTGCAGGGAGTGAGGAGTAGCAGGCTGTGGTAAGTCCCACAGTTGTAATGCACTTGGGGAAGCAGATCCGCTCCTACAGTTTTCCACTGTCAGCAGCAAGCCGACTTCCATTCAGCCTATAATCAGAACTTGCTACTACTGCTGGGAATCATAAGCTTTCCCTGCAAGATAAGGAACACAACTTTCACGTCATGCCGCTCCCTGTCTGCTGCAAAGCTTGGCCACCTGCTCTTGTACTCAAGGTGCCTGAACCCACAGTTCCTGCACTCATGCCTTCTGCACTTATGGCCCACTTTTTACTCTCCCCAACCCTGGCCTGGCCAAGTGAGTTCTTCCCTACCCAAGGTTATATAATGAACTCCATTGTGAGATTCTTTCTACCTATGACAACTACTGAACTTTTTTTGCTGTCCTCTGCAGGGTCTCCATGACAGAAACAGCAAGGAATGGCTACCCTTGGTCATTTGGGATTTCAGAGTGCATGCAAGATTCTTCCCACTGTTGCTCCTACTTTTATATTACGCCACCCTCTGCAAGTCGGTTCCTGAACTGGGTGGGGTTAGGGAGTTCTCCCATGTTCTGGACTTTCAGGGTCCTTGATCGGAGTATGTATCCCGAGGCAAACTCTTTTTTTTCTTACACTCTTGGGACTTGCAGCCCTTCAAGTGACTTACAGTGTAGGCTACAACCACTTCCTTCCTTTAAAGGGTCTGTAGATTCCTTTGGTTTTACTGTTCAGTTCCTGTGTCCTTTCTTGAAAAAAAGTTCAGAATGTGAATCTCTACACAATATTTTGCCCTTTCAAGTGAGAGAGGTATGCTAGCAATGCCTCTAATCCACCACCTTAGGGGAAAAAAAGGCCCCAATATGTGGGTTTAACTTGGGGAGCATTCTAGATAAGAGGCACAATCTGAAAAGGCTCAGAAACAAAGAGTTTGACAGACACAGAGACATATGTGTGCAATATGGCTGAATTGTAAAGGCTGGTGTGGCTTCAACCGAGGCTGAACAGGAGCTATAAGCCAGACTATGTCACGCTTCATATGTTACATTAAAATTTAATGTTTTCTACACTCCAGCCTGGGTGACAGAGTAAGTGATTTTTAATTTTTGTTTCTCCTGTCAGTTATCTGATCCAAGTAATACATTAGTAACCATTTCTTTTCATATGAGTGTTAAGTGAAAGAGCATTAAACCAGTAGCAAAGACCTTGTTTATATTATGTCATGTATAGGCCTTGAAATTATTACCTTTTTTTTTTTTTTTTTTTTGAGACGGAGTCTCGCTCTGTTGCCCAGGCTGGAATGGCTGGAGTGCAGTGGTGCGATCTCGGCTCACTGCAAACTCTGCCTCCAGGGTTCAAGCGATCCTCCTGCCTCAGCCTCCTGAGTAGCTGGGATTCCAGGCGCGTACCACCACGCCCAGCTAATTTCTGTATTTTCAGTAGAGACAGGGTTTCACCATATTGGTCAGGCTGGTTACAAACTCCTGATCTTGTGATCCACCCACCTCAGCTTCCCAAAGTGCTGGGATTACAAGTGTGAGCCACTGTGCCCGGCCAAAATTATTACTCTTACAAGCATACTTTCATAAATCTCATTTCCTTAGGCTTATCGGAGATTAAATAAGGAGTCTTACAAAAGAACAATAAATGTACTTTAGAGTTATTGTAGTGTTCACAATTGTGACAAAGGTAATTTTAATCTGAGAAAATGTTAAAAGAATGAAAACATGTAAACCATTTGGTGCAGCACTTATAAGCATACAGTGGATGTTAACTATTAGTAGTAGTTGTATAGTTGTATTGTAAATACATTCTTTCTATTCCTTCTAATACTCTATTACTGGATTTCTA
Organism: Homo sapiens; assembly: GCF_000001405.40. Taxonomy (NCBI): domain Eukaryota; kingdom Metazoa; phylum Chordata; class Mammalia; order Primates; family Hominidae; genus Homo; species Homo sapiens. The sequence goes on along the minus strand of NC_000001.11, from coordinate 105,203,146 downwards.
TTAAAATGTTTGTCTACAGCAACCACCAAGAAAGAAACAACCATTTTGTTATCCTGTTGATAAGGTACAGAGAAATAAAGAATGGCCACCTGAGAAGTAAGGTGTCAGTCTTAGCATATTTGGAGATACATCAAAATTTTATTATTAGATTCAATATTGTTCTCCATAGGTTTTTTGAAAACTAAAAGGAAACTCTGTGAAAATACAAAGGCATACATGGGAAGGGACTGATGGTATGTGGAGTGACTCCAACTGATTCCACCTTTAGAGCTATCGCCTTGCTTTTTCCTTTTTAATAATATCCCCTAAACCGAGCTTACTAGGCTCACAGCAGGCGGCAACTCTGTCTGCCTAATGCTTCCCAAGGGTTCAGTTGAGTTTAATTAGTGCCTTTCAGTGGTAATGGTACTTTGCATGGGGAAAAAAAAGTTGCTAAATCAATCCCCAATATTTTTTAAAGTTAGCACCTTTTCAAACTATGGAAAAGAAACCTAGACTAGTAATTCAGAATAATGAATTTTTTCAAAGACATTGTTTGAAAAAGACAGTATTCTTGTGTGTAAAGAGCCACATTACTTCCCACTGTAAGTTTTATTTACATATTTCTTTCTACACATATTGACTAAGCATCGGACAAAAATGACTTCTTACCTCTCATCATCTCATGGAGCTTATAAGCAATGAAAGAGTAACATTTATATATAAATGGTCACAAAATAAAACACATTATGTTGCACTCAAATAACAATTATAAACCAACATATGTAGTAATAATTCAAATACAAAAATTAAAATTTCACTGTTATAGTAATTATAATAAAAATAATTATAGATTCATAAATACAAGTATAAATATTTAATGTAAGTTATTATTTTATGTGTTTTTAAATGGTCAAAGACATATCTTTGATGTCTTTGATCACTTAAAACACATTTAAAGACATCATTTAAGTTCATTTAACACATTTAAGTTTACTTAAAGACATCTCCTTATTCATTTAAGTTTCATTTATTGTTGTTCATTATATTTTCTTGATGGCTTTGAGCATTTTGGTAAGGTTTATTCTACTACAAATGCATTTGTTTTCATTGTTGCATAACAAAATTAGTGGTTTTAAACAGCATGCATCTGTTATATTGCAGTTTTTGTGGGTCAAGAGTCCATGCATGAGTTACTTAGGTCCTCTTCTTTGGTCTCCCCAGGTTGAAATGAAGGTGGCAATTATTTCTTTCTGAAGCTTAGGGTTCTGTTCCCAGCTCAGGTGGTTGTTGGCTCCATTTTCTTGCTGGCTGATAGCCGAGGGCTACTCTTAAGTCTGAGAGGTTGCTCCCAGTTCTTTATCATATGTCACTCTCACAGGCTTTCTCAGAACATGGCAGCTTCCTTCTTCAAGGTCAACAGAAAAATCTCTTTCCAGCCACCTAAGAAATTATCAGTGTAATGACTACGCCAATACTTTTGCCAAATTCAATTGGTTTGATACAGACATATGCTTAGCTATTACATAGAGGAAGGGAATTATGTAAGGACATTTCTCATTAGATGTAATCTTGAATTCTGCTTACTGTGGTGGATGACATAATAATGTATTTTACTTCTCTTTTCTTTATTAGGATTCTGGTTTTGGTTTGTAAAAATCTCAGAAAGTAAAGATTGTAAACTTTTGTAATTTAACTTTTAATCTAGCATTTGCTTTATTATTTATTATTATTTTTGACCTCCAAATGCTTTCATTATTAAACATCCTAATAGGTTTTATAAGTTTTGTTTTTGGTATGATGTTCAGAAAGCTTCATTTGCCACCAATAGATTATAGTAATCTGACTTCTTATATATAAACATAGTTTCCAGTATTGTTTCTTGATGTACTTGTATAAGATACAAATATATTGTTATCTAACATCCTATTGCTCTGAGATATGGTAAAATTTTCCAAATAGGATGTGCACACAGATGGAAAAAAAAGAAATAACAAAATTTTATATTTAACCATAATAATCATATTAAACGTAAATTGCTGAAGCCATGCTTCATAAATGCAGAGATTACCAGGTTTGATTCTTTTAAAAGCAAGAACGAACTATATACTGTCAACAAGGAGTCCATTTTTCATGTAAGGCCAACTTTTAAATAAGCTTAAATATACAAGGAATGAAAAAGATACATCATGCTAACACCAAAATAAAATGAAATAACCATATTAATTTTTAGAAAAAAATAGATAGGCCGGGCGCGGTGGCTCATGCCTTTAATCCCAGCACTTTGGGAGGCCGAGGCAAGCGGATCACGAGGTCAGGAGATCGAGACCATCCCGATTAACACGGTGAAACCCCGTCTCTACTAAAAATATAAAAAATTAGCCGGGCGTGGCAAGCGCCTGTAGTCCCAGCTACTCCGGAGGCTGAGGCAGGAGAATGGCATGAACCCAGGAGTCGGAGCTTGCAGTGAGCCGAGATCACGCCACTGCACTCCATCCAGCCTGGGCGACAAAGCGAGACTCTGTCTCAAAAAAAGAAAAAACAAGAAAAAAATAGATAAAGAAAAGAATATTACCAGAGATAAAGAAGTTCATTTCATAATGAGTAAGGGGTCAATTCATGTAGAGGACACAGCAATAGTATATGTTTATGCATGTAATAACAGATTTTTAAAATACTTGAAATTAAAATTAAAAGGAGAAATGAATAAATTTATAGTGCTAGTAAGATTTCAACACTCCTTCCTCAATAATGCATGCACGTAGAAATTCAACAAGACTATTGAAGACTTGGCAAACACTAATAATTACCTTGACATAATTGATATGTCTAGAAAATTTTAGCCATCAACAGACAAATCAACACATTTTTTTCAGTGCACATAAAATATTTGCTAAAATAGACTGTATTCTATACAACAAAACAAATACTAAAAATTTTAAGGGGTTTAAATCACACATAGAATGTGTTCTGATGATAAAATAATTACATATTTCAAAAATACAAAAAGACTCAAAATCCTCAAATATTTGAAAGCTGAAAAAACACACAGAAGATTGATTTCAAGCATAACCAGTATAAGCCTCTCTCCAGTGAAACTCAGAAGAGCTGTATATAAAAAAAAAAAGGAACCACCATTTGAAGTCTCTAGAAATGATCTTAGGGTAAACAGCAAATGAATATATACTCCAGAACATCTATGCAAATTCAGTAAGAAAGGCAAGAGTCTGGTATTTGAACCAAGGGTCTCTCCTTCACCGCTTGTAGCTCGGAGAGATAAAGACTTCATTTCAGTCAGCTGTAGTAATAACACAGTTAACACAGACAGAGGAATTTCTTCCAAGGAAGAGCAGAATGTGTTTCTCTTCATGCCTACTGCTACACGTTGCTGAGGCTAGTTCCCCATAAGCATAGTTAAGAGATGAAGGATCCCTTTTCTTGTCCAATTTCCACTTGCATGATGGAGGTATTACCTTGAGTGTGGTGCGCTGACAATACTGGGGCCCTGATCATTTTGCCATTTTCACAGTAGGAGAGGCAACTGAGAAGACCCCTGGATCCTGACATCTGTCCAGTAATTTCTTTACTCCTATAGTAGCAGTGTCACTCAGAAAAAAAGTTTTCCATTGCCTCCACCTCCAGCTACAAAGCCATGGCTCAGAAATTTTGCCTGGGGAAGAAACAGACCATAAAACAGAGTGTTTATAATATCCTCTCAATAAACTAACCTCAGTTGAAAGAGAATGAGGAAATGAAGATTCTGGTGATAGGCGGTTAGAAAGAGATTTAATTTATGAGATAAACTATAAGCTACCCAGTTTTCTAGAAAAAAAAAAAAAAGAAAGAAAACAGGAAATAATACAGCTAGGAAGAGTCCTCCTAGAGTCAGAACGAAAATAAAACATTGATCTCAGAAATTATACTTTCAAAGAAGCCAGAATGTAAATGGATTAGTGTGTAGAGGAATTTACTCCTGAGGGCATTGTTGAAAATAATAAAGCAATGAGTTGCAATTAGTGAAGTACCATAACTAAGTGTGGTGAGGGAAAGAAGTTATCCCTACCTAGAAATTATCACATCAGGATGACTCTGGGATGCTTCCCTTCTCAGAGGAAAAAAATCAGAGTCTAAACATTGTAGGTGGAAAAGTAGACTTCACTAGAATAATTCAGTTAGTAAGTATACAGATAAACAAGCAAAACAACAAGTCCCAAAGGGGTGGGTTTGTGTTGCTACAATATATTATCTAAAATGATTTTCAACAAAACATTATCAGGCATGAAAAGAAACTGGAGGGTGTCCAGGTTCTTGGCATCTTGAACAAAGAATTGGACAAAACGTACAAACAAAACAAGGAAGGAATGAAGGGTTTTATTGAAAATGAAATACTTGCCACAGTGTGGGAGCAGGCTTGATCACAGAGGCCCAAAGGCCCTGTTACAGAATTTTTAAAAGTTTCAATACCACCTAGCAGATTCCATTAGTTACTTGGGGTAGGCTGTATGTGAATGGAGAGGATGAAGTAAAGTTACAAAGTCATTTACAGCATATGCCCTATGGAGAAGATACTTCCTGTCATAGCTGAAGTGTAAATTGGCCTTATGTTCTCTGCCTCCAGACCGTATTTTCCTGCCTCACCACGGAAAGAAACAAACAAACAACAACAACAACAACAAAAAACAGGCAACATAAACAGCCTTAGAAAAACAATGTCAGATTAACATATATATATAAATTATATTTTATACACATAAACATGCTAAAGTAGTTATAATAAACAAGACAAATGCAAAACGATCTACATAGACACATGATAATAAAAATGCTAAAAGTCAAAGACACACTACAAATAAACAATCCAAAAATAAAATTTAAAAACAAATTCCATTTTTAATAGCACCAAAAAGGTTAAAATACTTAAATGGACAAATTTAACAAAAGAAGTGCAGTACATACTCTTAAACCACAAAATGTTTTTCAGAGAAATTAAAAGAAAATCTAGGTAATTGGGAAAATCATTCCGTGTGCATGCATTGGACAATTTAACCTGTTAAAATGGCAATACTCTTCAAATTGATCTACAAATTTAACATAATCACTACCAGAATCAAAGATGATGTATTTATAGAAATTGACAAATTGATTTTAAAGTTCATATGGAATTGTAAGGGTTTCAAAATAGTGGAATATAGCTTGATAAAGACTAACAAAGTAGTAGGACTCACACTTATCATTTCAAAACTTAATACAAAGCAACAGTAAGCAAAACAATGTAATGCTGGCAAATGGACGGACATATAAATCAATAAAACAGAATTGAGAGTGTTTTTAAAAAGAAACGTTATGTTCAAAAAATTGCAAAGTAATCAGGAAATATTTCAAACAATTAAAACTGCAACCTGGCCTGGCACGGTGGCTCACGCCTGTAATTCCAGCACTTTGGGAGGCCGAGGCGGGCGGATCACGAAGTCAGGAGATTGAGACCATCCTGGCTAACACAGTGAAACCCCCTCTCTACTAAAAATACAAAAGAATTAGCTGGGCATGGTGGCGGGTGCCTGTAGTCGCAGCTACTTGGGAGGCTGAGGCAGGAGAATGGCGTGAACCCGGGAGGCAGAGCTTGCAGTGAGTGGAGATCACGCCACTGCACTCTAGCCTGGGCGACAGAGCGAGACTCCGTCTCAAAACAAACAATCAAACAAACAAACAAAAACTACAACTTAAAATATGTCATGGGTTGGGATGTAGCAAAAGAAATCCTGGGAGAGGTGTTTATAGTGTTAAACAACTGTTAGGTTAGTGCAAAAGTTGTTAACGCAAAACTGCAATTATTTTTGCACCAGCCTAACGTTTTAGAAAATTAGTTTAAAAAATAAAACCTGTCTGTACCTTAGGAAACTAAATAAGCAAAAGACATAAAGTAAGCAGAAAAAAAAAATGAAAATAAGAGTAGAAATTGATAAAGCAAAAATAGTAGAAAAAAATTATAAAAATAAAAAAATTAAAGATCAAATGTTCACACAAATATCCTACACAATTGTTCATAGTAACTTTAGTTGTAACAACCAAAATCTAGAAGAAAAAACAAACAAACAAATAAAGTTCTTCAACAGCTGAGTGGATAATTTGTGGTATGCTCATTTAATTGAGTATTTTTCAGCAGCAAAAAGGCACAAACAATTGACAAACAAAACAACATGAATGAATCCCTGAATCATTGTAGTGAGAAAAGCAATCAAATACAAATAATACAGACTGTGTGACTCCAGATACAATTCTGAAAAAATAAAGTGGAATCTATAGCAACAGAATGCAATAACCTGGTTCTGGACATTATGTAGGGTAGAATGCATTGCAAAGAGACAAAAGGGATCCCTTTGAAATGATAACAATGTTCATTATCTTAATTGCGATGATAGGTTCATGATTGTATCCATGTATCCATATGTCAATGCCTGTCAATTTGTACAATTTCAATATGTATGGTTTATAGTACATTACTTTGTTTTTTTCTTTTAGAAAGAAACTAGGTATTTGAAATCTAGTAAAGAAATAATATATATGTATATACATTTACTCTATTTAAAATTACAGAACAAATGTAAGATTGTTTTTACTATAGTGTCACAACTATATCATAATGATTTTACTATGTTTGTTGTTGTAATCCGAAATTATCTAGGGAAATTTCTCTTCCTTATATCACCCTTCATACAGTATCATCTGCCCAATGTTCAAAGTTGAATTAGCACATTAGTCTGTCTTTTCTGAAACTGTTATCAATTTTTCCATTCAATTGTAGCATGACCAGTCTTCTTCATTTCCTTCTATAAATTTTTCCTCTATATACTTCTCTTTGATATGATTTACAGGATAGATATCCATTCCAGGTGTAGTCACAATTGCACTGTATTTTTAATTAATTACAGAATTACCTCTAATACTACAACAGTTATTTCCTAACAGTTTCCAATGAGCATTTTGAAGACAGGTGAGACCAACCAAGCAAGTGCCAGATTAAATTTGATATTGAATTTTTACTTATTGCAATAAAGTTTAAGCTCTACCTCTAATTTATACAACAGATAAAATAAACTCAATTTTAATTTGGATTCCACAGACTACTTCAGACGTCCTATAACAGCAGTTTTGAGTATCTTAAATTAAGACCTTCTCTGGCTATTAACTGCAGGAGCCCTCAATACCTCAGTGCTCATTCATTACTCTCTGTCCCAAAAGAAGCAAAAGCAACTCACTAACAGTAGAAACATATTAATATGCTTTTAATTTTCAGCATTTCCACTGGAAAAATAATTGTGCTAAAGAAAATTGTTATTTTTATTTCACAGGGTATCAGAAGATATAGTGTTCTTTTGAAACTGTACAATACCAAAAGATTGCAGCAAAAGTCTATTACAATAGCAGCAGGGTATAGACCTAATATTTTATAAAGTTATTACTTAAGTTGTCAAAAAAGAAAGATCTTTGTATAGATATCTATTATATTTGAAATTGGAGGAATAGCCAAAATATTAATTTTCACCAAAGCCAGCTTTATTATATCCTTTTAACCTATGACATTGAAGTGTAGTTTCACTTTTAGTCTAGGAAAAAGAAAGATTGCCACTTGCCAATGTGGTAGAGAGGACACTGTGGTATAATCATTTAAAAAAAAAAAAGAAAGAAAAGAAAAAAATAAAAGAAGGATTCAAGAGAATTGAGAATTGGGTTCTAGCCAACTGTTTTTGATTCAACTTTAAACTGCATTTACCTATGTAATTTGGCTTTTTGACTGTCTTTTTACAATAACACAATGAGGACGTTGTACTAGATGATTCTTATAATCCCTTTTAGCACTCAATACTTATTGTCACAAAAAGCAGATTTAACACAATATCTCCCTTCCTGATGATGGCGTGGATCTGTTACATGTAAATGGCTAAAAGTGTAGTTAAGAAAAAATAAAACTGTTTTTCAGTACCTGTATTAGTTGATTCTCGCTATAAGGAACTGCCCAAGACTGGGCAATTTATATTTAAAAAAATGATATTAAATTGACTCACATTTCCCCATGGCTGGGGAGACCTCAGAAAACTTGCAATTATGGCAGATGGGGAAGCAAACACATCCTACTTCACATGGCAACGGGAGAGAGAAGTGCAAGCAAAGTGGGGAAAAGTCCTTTATAAAACCATTAGATCTCCTGAGAACTCACTCTCTATCATGAGAACAGTGTAGGGAAAACACCTCCACGATCTAATCACCTCCTATGAGTTCCCTCACCCAGCATGTGGGGATTACAATTCGGATTACAATTCAATATGAGATTTTGTGTGGGGACACAGCCAAACCATATCAATACCCATCTTAGGTTTATTGTTTGGGAGCCTGTGAATTAGATTGACAAAAGACAGATTATCAAGAGAAAAATAAACAGTTTATTATGTTTAACACATATCACATGGGAGAAACCTCAGTGATAAGTAATTCAAAGGAGTGGTTAGACCTTGGGCTTGTATCACATCTTAGCAAAGAACAATAAATATGTAGACAAATACGACGATAAAGTAAAAGGCTTTTAGGATTTCAAGGCAGTAAACCATCAGGGGGTAAGTACATGTGGGAGAAACTAATGAAGTATTTGTATAGCCCACCTTGGTGCCTACTTTGTTTTTTATGGCCATAAAACTTCCCTAGGAGAGGGGATTTTATAGCAGTCATCATTTTTTGGAATTTTCTGATTTTAATCAAATAAGGAAAGCTTTGGAAGGCTGATTTCTGCATCTGTTAAATCTTATGTATTTCCAGTTCAAAGTAATCTTATGCCTAATTAGCATACTTGAGAATGACATATTTTGATCCCCTACGAAATGTAATGTGTGTCTACTTAAGAATCTTGCAATCAGCTACTGCTGATCCACTGGCTCAATTGTTTAGTATGACCAAATAAATATTCCCAGCTGAGAAACCAAACCAGTTTCTCTGAGATTGAATCTTCTTCTTTAAAAAGTGTAGATGTTATTTGAAGTAAGATCTGAACATTATTTTGGTAATAACGTCTTCTAGGTTACTGTGATGTTTGTATTCATTCATTTGCTTATTGTTGCAGCTTCTTATTTTATTATTGCTCACTTGGCTTCTGATTGCTGTTTTTAGATAAGAATACTTAATGCCAAGGCTTCTTTTGTGGCTTCCAAATGCCAGTGTGTCACATTAATATTGTCCTCTAGTCTCTTGAAAATAGATACCTGCACTTGTCTTGCTCTTTGTTTACTATTCCCCTGTGAGATTCTTATGGTATGGTATGTCTTTTTAATTTCATTCTTAGAAAAATTTCAGCAGAACAAGTCATTTTGCAGTGACACAAACAACGTTCACTTGATTTTCAGAAAAGTTGATAGAAAATCTTAAATGAGACTCTCAGAGGCTATATTTTGTATTGACAAAGAATAGATGCATCAGCCAAAAAAAAAAATGAAATAGTCAAAAAGTAGATGACCTGATTTTCAGACATGCAAATGAATTATATTGCATGGAAACAGGAAGTTCAGTAACTTATTAGAACTCTTTATTAGTTAATTAAGTTGAGCAATTATTTAGATCTTCTGCTTTGGAAAAATATTTTTAAATTATTGGCAATTAGATAGAATATAATGTATATCTAGAATAGCAGATCTTAAATTTGGAACATATATCATTGTAGAAATCATAAAATTGTCATATTTGATAAGTTTTATGCTGTATGTGATCGTTACTTGCAATATTCCATTACTTCATTTTCAATACTAAAACAACACATTCTTTAGGGACAACTTATCTGTTTTCATATGTTTTAAATGTTTGCAAGTGTTAAAAGTTAGCGTTTCTTTGTGGAGTTTTCTTTTTCACTAAAATCTTGAGTTAAATCTTCCTTTTTTCTTCATTTTCTTTCTTTTTTTAAATTTTTTTTAAACATACTGGGATCTGAAAAGTCTATTTGTTGTTGCCTCCACTGTCCTTTAACTTAGCATTAGGAAAAGACTCAGAATCTCACATTGGGTAGAAGATAAGCCATGTCCATTGAAATAATGCCAAACTTACTAAACTTATTTTTTTCTGTCAGAACATTTGAAGAAGTATGAATTATAGTGAGAATGAAATAAAAATCCGGAAACTAATCTTGCTCATCTCATGACAGAAGTTTGTGGTACTAATCTGATTTGGAGCTCACAGGTAGGTAAATAATTAAATGGGCTGAGGGTCCAAATTTCAAAATTTTGGGTCAGCTTTTGGTGGGAGATGGGAATGAGTCCTTGCTGCTGATGATGTAGGGACTCAGGGCCAAGCACCATCTGTGTTTTTGTATGCTGTTTTTCTGGTTTTTGTTTTTTATTTTTTTCCTTGGTTGGTTGTTTTTATAAGCAGAACAAGCCAGGAGAGCAAATGAAATGGTACTTTGGTAGGTTAAAAACAGTTCTATCATGAAAATACCCTGATCAAAGCTGGTTAAATGATGCCCAGATGCAGTGTCTAAATTTTATTCCAGGGAAGTAACTTTTAGCGGACTGTTTATCACTTTTTTCTCCAAATGTCATTTTTGCCCAAATGATCTTTCAAAGATCTTGAGGAGCCTCAATTGTGGTAAATTCTCTCAATCTTAGAGATACAGTTGTCTTTAGTTATACTGAACTGGAAAGTTGCACATAGAGGAAAAACAATTCAATCTGACTACTTTGGAGTTGTATCCATATTCATCAAACATCTATATATAAGTTACACTACTTCTGTTTGCCTTAGTTTCTTCTGCAATAATGTAGAGATAATAATGGTATCAATCGTGTAGAGTTGTTGGATGAATTAAATGAGAAATAATTGTAAAGAACTTAGTGGACAAGTGTTATCACAACTGTTAATCAGTAGTTATTATTGTATGTTAGTAGTTAACATCTGTAATTATTGTATTAGTCATCACAGGGTAATGCACATCAGGCTCTGTGGTGCGTGTTAAGGTTATAGCATTGAATAAGAAAACTTCTGCCCCCGCACAAATTCATAGAAACTTGGGAGAGTAAATTGCATTATTTTATGCAAAATATGCTTATACAGAGGCTTGAAAGAAACATGAATGTGTAGTAGCTAATCCTACCTAATGAAAGCAGGCACAGATTTACAAAGAAAGTAATGTTTAATGTACATTTCAGAAGTATGTAAAGCAAAGAGAAAATTAGGAGCAAAGTCATGGGAGTACTGGAGTATGTACTATACTGGGGGAATATTGGGTAACGTTGAGTTCAGAATGTAAGTTTTCTGGAGTTGAATCTGGGGAAGCTGATTGATTTATGATTAAGCCACAAGGAAATAATGAGGTATCAAAAATTTATTAAATAATAATGAAAATATATTATTATTGTTAAGGACACCACTACTAGAGTTTGTATACATACTTTATTTCTAATGCCTGAATAACTAAGTAACTTGAAATACATTATCATTAACAATATTATACTTCCTCTATTTATAAGAAAAAGATGAGAGACATTTGTCAGGAATTTTTCTCTCAGTTATTTTACACAATCAGCTTTCTAAAAAAATAAAAACTGTAAGCATTCCGTTTGAAAACTGGCACAAGACAGGGATGCCCTTTCTCACCACTCCTATTCAACATAGTGTTGGAAGTTCTGGCCAGGGCAATCAGGCAGGAGAAGGAAATAAAGAGTATTCAATTAGGAAAAGAGGAAGTCAAATTGTCCCTGTTTGTAGATGACATGATTGTATATCTAGAAAACCCCATTGTCTCAGCCCAAAATCTCCTTAAGCTGATAGGCAACTTCAGCAAAGTCTCAGGATACAAAATCAATGTGCAAAAATCACAAGCATTCTTATACACCAATAACAGACAAACAGCCAAATCATGAGTGAATTCCCATTCACAATTGCTTCAAAGAGAATAAAATACCTAGGAATCCAACTTACAAGGGATGTGAAGGACCTCTTCAAGGAGAACTACAAACCACTGCTCAATGAAATAAAAGAGGATACAAACAAATAGAAGAACATTCCATGCTCATGGGTAGGAAGAATCAATATCGTGAAAATGGCCATACTGCCCAAGGTAATTTATAGATTCAATGCCATCCCCATCAAGCTACCAATGACTTTCTTCACAGAATTGGAAAAAAACTACTTTAAAGTTCATAGGGAACCAAAAAAGAGCCCGCATTGCCAAGTCAATCCTAAGCCAAAAGAACAAAGCTGGAGGCATCATGCTACCTGACATCAAACTATACTACAAGGCTACAGTAACCAAAATAGCATGGTATTGGTACCAAAACAGAGATGTAGACCAATGGAACAGAACAGAGCCCTCAGAAATAATGTCACATATCTACAACTATCTAATCTTTGACAAACCTGACAAAAACAAGAAATGGGAAAAGGATTCCCTATTTAATAAATGGTGCTGGGAAAACTGGCTAGCCATATGTAGAAAGCTGAAACTGGATCCCTTCCTTACACCTTATACAAAAATTAATTCAAGATGGATTTAGACCTAAAACCATAAAAACCCTGGAAGAAAACCTAGGCAATACCATTCAGGACATAGGCGTGGGCAAGGACTTCATGTCTAAAACACCAAAAGCAATGGCAACAAAAGCCAAAATTGACAAATGGGATCTAATTAAACTAAAGAGCTTCTGCACAGCAAAAGAAACTACCATCAGAGTGAACAGGCAACCTACAGAATGGGAGAAAATTTTTGCAATCTACTTATCTGACTAACGGCTAATATCCAGAATCTTCAATGAACTCAAACAAATTTACAAGAAAAAAAAAACAACCCCATCAACAAGTGGGTGAAGGATATGAACAGACACTTCTCAAAAGAAGACATTTATGCAGCCAAAAGACAGATGAAAAAATGCTCATCATCACTGGCCATCAGAGAAATGCAAATCAAAACCACAATGAGATACCATCTCACACCAGTTAGAATGGCGATCATTAAAAAGTCAGGAAACAACAGGTGCTGGAGAGGATGTGGAGAAATAGGAACACTTTTACACTGTTGGTGGGACTGTAAACTAGTTCAACCATTGTGGAAGTCAGTGTGGCGATTCCTCAGGGATCTAGAACTAGAAATACCATTTGACCCAGCCATCCCATTACTGGGTATATACCCAAAGGATTATAAATCATGCTGCTATAAAGATACATGCACATGTATGTTTATAGCGGCACTATTCACAATAGCAAAGACTTGGAACCAACCCAAATGTCCAACAATGATAGACTGGATTAAGAAAATATGGCACGTAAACACCATGGAATACTATGCAGCCATAAAAAAGGATGAGTTCATGTCCTTTGCAGGGACATGGATGAAGCTGGAAACTATCATTCTCAGCAAACTATCGCAAGGACAGAAAACCAAACAGCACATGTTCTCACTCATAGGTGGGAATTGAACAATGAGAACACATGGACACAGGAAGGGGAACATCACACACTGGGGCCTGTTGTGGGGTGGGGGGAGCAGGGAGGGATAGCATTAGGAGATATACCTTATGCTAAATGACGAGTTAATGGGTGCAGCACACCAACATGGTGCATGTATACATACGTAACAAACCTGCACAATGTGCACATGTACCCTAAAACTTAAAGTATAATAAAAAAAATTAAATTAAAAAGAGCTTCAAAAGGAGAGAAAACATTTAAGATGCTCCTGATATATTTTTCTTAATCATGTGGGGCTATAGGCAAAATGTATATTTTCTTATTCTTTAAAAAAAGTTTCTTTCTTTGTGGAATCTTCTGTCTTTTGATTCCTATTTTAAAATATCTGAAAGTAACTATTTTCACTTCACTAAATAGTCTCAAATATATTATTGATACTAATTTTCTTAAGTTCATGAAAAAGTCTGATCTTAAAAACAATTCTAACTTGTGTCTACATTGTTTTTAAGTACATTGGCAAGTATTTATCTTAATTTAGAATTTCAATTGTGAACTTCTCTTCTATCCACTAACAATGTTTTTTGTTACCTGTACATGTTCCATGTGCCTATGTCATTTATCCCAATTGATCATGAAAGTCTCTTTGTTTGACTCAAGCACTATTCCCATATTCTTCCACTATCACTTAGCTAACTTATCTTTATTCCCCTCTATCTCATTGGACTTATTGTCTTTGGGTTATTTACATCCTGAAAAGAATATGAAAGCTTTCTACGTTTTTCTTATTCTATATGGTGACAGCCATAGATCATTTTTATTCATAGTTTTCTTTTGTACTCATACAGATAAGACTCAAATATACCTGTTAGATTTAATGATACATTTTTTATAGCACTAAGGATTCACTGATAGTTATTCAATGTATATAACTTTATTGTAGCTTCATCGACAAAAAAATGAATCATAATTGATGGCTCTAATCAAAATATTATTGAAAGAAAAATTTTAAACGTTTATTAGCACATAGTGGTATGTAAATAATCTATTACCTCAAACTGTAAGAAATACTTTGATTTGCATTCAAATAGTGTAAAATAATAAAGACTTTGGCAGAAAATAACATGAGATATTCTAACCTTCTGCCCTTGAGATTCTGATACTCACAAATAAGTATATAAATAAATACATTCTTCAATTTTTATTATTTAAAATTCTAACATTTGTGTTAATACCATAATTTTTACTATTTCCAATGTCATACATTTAAAGCTTATTTGAATTTAGAGACAAACTTCATCTATATTTGAATTTTTTTAATTTGTTGATACTTTTTCTCTTTTCATATTCTTCACTGGAGATTTATTTTTGAGATTGTTTAAACAAAGCTCTTTATCAGCACTATAAACAAAAATCATCTTGTTTTGACTAACTAAGCCTTACATTTTTTCTGTTTGTTAATCTCAAATTTTATGTTTTTGTCCTGTATAATACTCATAGAACAATTTTTATGATTAGTAGATTTCCTCTAACCCTTTATTAGACTTGATACTGAAGGTTAATAAATGCATGCATACTAGCAATTGGCTCTCTGGATGCTACCTCTATTTTTCTAACTTGTGAACTAGTATTTAAATTAAAAACCTATTTTAAGAATGTTTTTATTATGGAGCATACATTTAAAGTATTGATGAAATTGTGAGTAAAATTTGATCAGGTGGCCAGGTGCGGTGGCTCTCGCCTGTAATCCCAGCACTTTGGGAGGCTGAGGCGGGCGGATCACGAGGTCAGGAGTTGGAGACCATCCTGGCTGACATGGTGAAACCCCGTCTATACTAAAAATACAAAAAATTAGCAGGGTGTGGTGGCGGGCAGTTTTAGTCCCAGCTACTAGGGAGGCTGAGGCAAGAGAATGGCGTGAACCCGGGAGGCGGAGCTTGCAGCGATCCAAGATTGCGTCACTGCACTCCAGCCTGGGTGACAGAGACTCCGTCTCAAGAAAAAAAAAAAAAAAAAAAAGTTGATCAGGTTTTTCTAATATTTTATTCATAATAGTCATTATATTGACTGTAGATTAAAATACTTTTAATACTCAGTTAAAATTTCACAGAACTATGATTTGAAATAAATAAAAGTGTAACTGCAGAAGCTGATAATCATGCAATGTCCATTTACAATATGTTCTCTGTATTTCTTGAAATGTTCATAAATATTTTCTACCAAATATTGTTTTTAGAATGTCATAAATACTTTTAAAATACCAGCACCTTATTGTCCCTTACCTGGTATTCCATACCAATACAATATGATCTCCATTATAATGACCTACTTTACGAAGATTAAATGCTTTTGCAATTCAAACACAGTAAAATTGGCTTAAAGCAAAATCAAACACTAGTTTGCTGGTTCAGAATTTAAATAGTGGAATGAGAAATCTCTCTTATATTGCTATTGTGCACTGGTCAGCTAAGAAGTAATTGCTTTTTATAAGGCAAATTTGCTTTTACTTTTCTAAGGTAATGAAATGAACCTGAAACATTTCCTTTGAAATCAAAGTCACTATCCCTGAAATGTCACCAGACAAATTCCATCATATAGTTTCAGCAAACACATAATGAGAAAGTTTGGCCTGGAGTTGATTGACAGAATTCTATTAGAGAGCCTTCTCACACATTCATCTATAATTATCTGTGGTGTAAATCAATACTGACTTGATTTCTTCATATTTGTGTGCTTGTAACATGGAGGGAAACCAAACCATATGTATTTCTGAGAGAAATAGATAATGCAGAGTGTACCGGTATGTTAAGATGCCCAGAACTAGATTCCTGACCTGCTTGTGATATAATACAAAATAGAAGATGATCCAGTGTGACAATTGGCAAAAAGAGCCCTTAGCAATAAATATACACATAATTATTAAATGTGTAAAAAAGGTCAATTTTGCACATTGTCCACTTATTCATAAATGTCAAAAACAGAAGTTTATTTTTAAATGAAATATGACTGCTCATATTGGTTAAAAGTAAACTGTAATAGATAAAATACTTGTCTGAATGCTCTATATGTGCTTGAGTCTGTAAATTACAGTTCACAGAGATATTCAGTGGGGATATGATGATACGTAATGTGAATTTAGTTGTAACAGAATAAAAAGTAGAATTGAATATTTCTAGAATGAACAAAAGATACAGGTAAATAGTAAAAGATATATTCTGTATTCAAACATTCCTATGAAGTGATATCTAGATAATTACCAATTTTGTTCTTTTCTTAAAAGCACATACACTTTATGATAGTTTTATTAGATAGATTTTTCAAAATAGAAACATCATAGTGATGTTTTAATTAACAGCTTTTCAGTATATGGTTTTGAAATAACTCCTTTACTTGAGAAGAAGTATATAATTATTTTGTGGGCTACTAAGGAATTTTTTCTTGGTTCTTGCAATGCCCCCATCTTAGTAAGCTGATTTAGAAAAGCATGACATTATCATGTATCAAAGGAATCCATCAATGGAACACTATAAATCAGTATAATTGAAAAGACAGTACAAAAGCACATGACACTGGGCGATGGAAACTCTTTAGCTTATGTGAAACCATTACTCGAGTCACATTTTATACTGTTATTCAATTTTCCATTACCTCATATTATATAAAACTAAAGCCACATGCTAATGTAGACATCCCTGGGGTACTTCATTGGCTGTTGGGATTCAAACTCTGTATATAAATCATATATATTTTTGTTTAATGCCAGGACTCATTTGGTATTTAGAAAGCTCTATTTTATTGTTTTAATTCATACCTTGATATATATACATTATTACCTATGTTTTCTTCTCAGGAGGACTTCATAGAGGTTAATTGATCTTCGCAGAGACTTTTATACATTGAAAACCTACTTCTTTCTCATTCTACCTAACGTGATGTTTATAATCATGATTTACTGGCTATAAACAAGTGATATCAACAATTATACTTTAAGCTCTAAATGTATACATCAGTGGCAGAAATAATACATCCCTATGAAAGATCACTTTTTTGGATAACTGCTTATTATAGAAATTTATACAAAATGCTTATGTGCCTAATTTGCTCTTTTTTATCATCAGTTTATTCTTAAACAAGTGCAAGTACATGGAATAAGCACTGTGGGGTGAAGAAGAGAGCCCTGAAAGAATAGTTGACATACGAAACATAGAGTATGACATTACTGAAAAGAGTGTTGTGATACTGACCCCGCTCAGTTTATTTGTATTTAAAAAAATAGTGACATTAGCAATAGTCTCAGTTCAGCTTTCTTGTACTGTGTTATTGGCTACGGGCCAACACCAAAAAACTACTAGATATAATTGAGGTTGTCTGTGGCTAAGCCTACATTAAAAAAAAGAAAAGAAAAGAAAAGAAAAGCTATGGCATGGCCTGCACACGATCTGTGCAGAAATTTTAAAGAACTGACTTTAAGACAATTTTTCAGCCTAAAAGAGGTGAACAAATTGTACTCTAAAAAGCAATGAAAATATCTACTGTTTAAGTAATTTCTATTGTTTATATAGATGTATATAAAATTATAACACCAACTGTTTCAGAACTTAAAGTACCTAAAAGTATAAAGGTTTTGATTCTAAGTATAATAAGAAAATTCATAGATAATAAGGTGCTAAATACTAGGTTGTTGAATAAAATTAGATGTTTTCCTTTGAGAAAAAAATACAAGGCTATTTCTAGACAGCTCAAAGTTTTTTAAAATTTTTTCAAGTCAATTGTATTATTTAGCTCCCTGATTCCCATTTAAAAAAGGGATACTGATTCAGAATGTTGAATGTTTTCTTTAAAAGGTCATTTTTATGTTGAAAATAAAAGTGTCTCCTGTATATACTCAAGTGCATTGTTGAATGTAATAACCTCATTTAAAACACTTGAGTATCAGTTTTATTTCCGAATGAGATCAGTCAGTAATATTGTCCAATGTGTTGACCTTAATTCTCCTTTACCAAGTTGATATTTAAAAGAAAAGGGTGGTTAGACTACCTACATGGAAGAAAGCTAAAGTAAAATTCAGTTTAATTCTAATTCCCAATCCATTGCACCATGCTTTCAGTGTGTAAGAGGCTCTGTGAAGATCAATTAACCAGTATGAAGTTCTCATGTGATAGAAAGGGCTGGATTGACCCAAAATGGAAAGGTTGCATTAGCCTAAAAGACATCCTACAGTAAAAAATCAGATTTCCACAATCTAGGAGCACTTTTCGTCATCTTCATTGGGTGCCCTCTTTGTAGAAAGTTGGGTTTTTAATAATTATATTTATATCACATTCCATTTTGCCTCTAAGTCAAGATGTTCAGAATTATTATTGGTTTAGGAAGGTTAAGCATTATAAACCCCAGAGCCTTTTTTTAGCCCAATTGAGCTTGATATTTATGCAGATTTTAAAATTTGTATTTTGATCCTTTGCTAAGGAAATGAAACAATCTTTCATATATGAAATACAAAAAAATGACAACTACAATGTACAGACAGCTTCATAATAAAGGCTATCAAAATTTATTGAAAAGATTTATCTACTTGGGTATTTATGAACACATACTACTAATACATTTCTAGGATAAATACCTTTACTATACAGTTATTAATATAGAAATATATTATTAATATAGAAATATATCAGTAGTATGTGTTCATAAATACACATAGGTGGGAATTGAGCAATGAGAACACTTGGACACAGGGTGGGGAACATCACACACTGGGGCCTGTCGGGGCATGGGGGAGGATGGAGGGATAGCACTGGGGGATATACCGAATGTAAATGACAAGTTAAGGGGTGCAGCACACCAACATGGCACATGTATACATATGTAACAAATTTGCACGTTGTGCACATGTACCCTAGAACTTAAAGTATAATAATAAAATAAATAAATAAAAAAGAGCCAAAAAAAAAAAGAAAAATTCAATACATTTTCTACTCCAAGCAGTGGATCCAAAAAAGATCAGCTTTAGACCTTTTCATAGTTCATTCCTTCTACAAAAAAAAAATAGTTAACAATAAGATAAAAAAATGAATAACTTATTACAGAAAAAAATCTATTAGCTTTACATAGTAATGCAAGAGAACCAGTGTCAAAAAATATCCACATTAAATGATATTATCCAAGTATATAGTTCCCAACCTCAATAAGAACACAAAGAAAGTGAGTTTGAAGAATAATGGGTTAATAGAATTGAATGAGAAACAGGGGTATATTTCAACTAAACCAAAAATACAGAAAAAATTGTTCCTCCAAGCAATAAGAATAAAGAAAGTCATCTGCCAAAAAGAAACATGTACTTGCGTATTCATTGCACCACTATTCACAGTGGCAAACATATGGATTCAACCTAGGTGTCCATCAATGATAGGCTGGATAAAGAAAATGTGGTACATACACACCATGGATTATTGTGAGGCCATAAAAACTAACAACATAATTTTCTTTGCAGCAACATGGGTTCTGCTGGAGGCCGTTATCTTATGTGAATTAATATAGGGACAAAAAAACCTAATAACACATGTTCTCACTTACGTCGGAGTTAAGCATTGGATACTCATTATATGAAGATGGCAACAGTAGAAACTGGGGACTATTTGAGAGGGAAGGGTGGTAGAGAGGCAAGGGTTGAAAAACAATTAGGTACTAGGCTAAGTACCTGGCTGATAGAATCACTCATATCCCAAAGCTTAGCATCAAACAATGTAACCAGGTAACAAACCTGCACATAGGTACTCCCTGAATCTATTTTTTTTAATGAAAGAAAAGTTGATAACATAAGAGAAAAAAAAAAATCAGGAAATTTTATTAAAAATGTAAAACATAGTAAATAATGGGAGAATTTGAGAAATTGATGGAGTATTAGAAAGAATAATACATATGGCAATGTTACTTACATGCCATAAAAAGTCATAATACCTAAGGGAAAATTATCAAAATACTTGTGCTGCGTACTTTATGTGATTAACATATTTAATATAAACTACTGACTGTTCAACAGTTTACCAATTTTAGGATTACCCTGTATACATAGTATAAAAGAAGATCTATGGTAACAAGCTGAAATACAGAGTTTACAATACCTAAAGATCCAAAATAAAGAAGAAAATTTAGAGGTAAAGGAAAGGCAGGGGTGATAGAGTAAAAGATAATGAATATTTGATTACAAGGTAGATTATCAAATACTGACAAAATCTTATGAAACAGTAGCAGATGTTGAAATTTATTATTTAAAGATACAAAGTAACCCAGATCAGAACCAAAAATAGCTAGTAATTATATTTTCAAAAGAGGTGGGAAAAGAAATAAAAAATAGTTGAAATCGTGGGTGGGAAAGAGTAGAGCCCAAGAGATTTATGTTTGCATTGCAAGTTTTATTTCATTCTTCTTGAATCTTTAACCATGAGGACTTACCACTTTGACAAATAATTGTGTGTGCGGTGTGTATATTAACTTAAAAAAATACTTAAGTATTGTTAGCAAAAAAGTAGACAATTATCAAAAATCCACCCTGCATCTAGTTCCCAAAAGTGTTTGAAAACAAACATCAATTTCATATTTTTAATAGAACAAAAATGGTTAATGAACAGCTTTTCAAAAGAACAGCTTTTTTAAAGAACAGCTAAGTAGGATATGGAATGTAGGTTAATACAGTATAAAATGGCATTACCTACATTTTACTTTGAACTTCATTATTTGAGATATCTCATAACACTTCATGAATAAATTTTTTTTCTAGGAATATAATCAGCTGTAAAATCGAACTGGTTAGTCATTATTTCAAAGGAACATAGACTCATACATATAACCTGTTTGTTGATGGTGGTTCATGTGATGCGGAATTAGTTACTTAAAGCCAAATCTAATGCTTAAAGCCAGTATATAGGATCCTCTATCTGTGGATGCTTTGCAAATCTGATTGATGCTCATGACTTTAGAAGTCTGTTTAGACGGTGAAACCCCGTCTCTACTAAAAATACAAAAAATTAGCCGGGCGTAGTGGCGGGCGCCTGTAGTCCCAGCTACTTGGGAGGCTGAGGCAGGAGAATGGCCTTGAACCCGGGAGGCGGAGCTTGCAGTGAGCCGAGATCCCGCCACTGCACTCCAGCCTGGGCGACAGAGCGAGACTCCGTCTCAAAAAAAAAAAAAAAAAAAAAAAAAAGAAAAAGAAGTCTGTTTAGAAATTTATATAATACATAAATTTGATAATTAAATTACACTCTAAGTGTCCCATAAATAAATCATATTTCTGAGATACTCATTTTCATTTGTATACACTGCTGTGTGTGTTAAAATAACCACATATACTTTATTATTTTTTCATAATTTTAGTAATGTGTTTTGATAGGATTAGAATCAATTGTGAGTAACAAAGACTGAAAACAGCAGCAACTTAAATAATGATAGAAATGTATTTACCTGTTACGTTAAAATCCAGTTGAGACTTCCATTTATAGTTATTACATAGTTGCTGATAATTGGAAAAAGCCTCACATTAAGAAAAAAAAATGAGCAAGCTGGATTAAAATAAAACAAAAATATTTTTGGAAGTATTGTGATAAATCAAGCATGCAAGACATAAGAAATCAAACTCTCAGAGAGAATGGAGGAAGTTGAGATGGCCCAACATTAGAAGCCACTTTTTTTTTCCTTCTGAGCCATTTGCTAAGTGAGCATATAAATCATGGATTCCAAACAGAAAGTAATAGACTAGAATTTGAGGCAGTATGACTGGGCTGGAAAGAGAAATATTGGTGTCCTTTTTAAGTACTTGGAAATTTTCTAGTTATCTTCATTTTACAAATTGACACGGGGGCCAAAGAATATACTCTTCATGTTTTTAATCATGGCATAATAGCTGTTGTTTTCCTTATGAGGAATAAAATTCTGCACATATATAATTCTTCTTTGAGCATCTGACAAATTATTATTTCCTTAGTTCATATATCTCAATCATGTCAACCTTTTAAATTGTGCTGTTCATGATTTATATACATAGTTTTCCCTCTATTTTTTCTAAGAGGCATTTTTTAATTACTCTGACTATGATTATAGATTTCCGTAGATTTACCTTTAACTTTGTCAATTTTGTCTTCATATATGTTGACGCTTTTGTATTCATATAGATTTCAGTTTACATATTTTTGTCATATTGGCTCACCATTATATTATTACAAAATGTTCCAATTTTTGTCTAGCAATAACACGCACCTCCAAATCTATGTTGTCAATATTACTATAACTATCTCAGTTTTTTTTTTTTTTTGGTTGGCAAGTGAATTTTATATCCTTTGTGTATCTTTTTTTGTATATCATTCAATCTTTCTGCTATCTTAATTTTAAATTAAGCCTCTTATAAACAGAATGCACTGGGTTTTGTGTACTTGTATCTTATTAAAAAAACCCTTAGTTTTCTGGTTGCATTTTAAAATTTTACATATATTAAATATAATTGCTTATTTATCTGGGTTGATAAGTCCACTCTCTTTGCTTTCTGCTTCATATCTTCTACTTAAAAATAAATAAATAAATAAAGATGAGGTCTTCTTCTGTTGCCTAGGCTTGAATGCAGTGGCATGATCATAGCTGTGTAACCTCAAACTCCTGGGCTCAAGTAATCCTCTTGCCTCAGCTTCCCAAGTAGCTAGGACTGAAGGCATGGGCCACCATACTCTGCTCTGCTAATGTTTTATATTTTTTGGTAGAAACAGGGTTTCGCTATGTTGCACATGCTGGGATGGAATTCCTGGCCTCAAGCAATTTTCCTGCCATGGCCTCCCAAAGTATTGGGCTTACAGGTGTAGACCACTGTGCCCAGCCCTTCTGACTTTTTAAGTGCCTTTCTTACCTTTTCAGTCTTTTTTTCTTTTTTTGATAATTGAATAATGTATTATTTATAATTTCTTTATTAAGTGTGTATTATTTTCTTTTTGATGTTCACTCTAGAAATTACAAAATGGATACTAATCTCATAATAGTCTAATATAAACTATAACATTTTCACACACACCCTAATAAATTGCTTAAAACAAAATAAAATAAGTTATTATAGGGAGCTCAAAAAAGATATCTCCAAAGGAGCAAAAATAAGACTTACAATGAATTAACAAAAAAAAGCCATAAGAAAATAATAAGACATCTTTAAAATACTAAAAGAAAATTTAAAATGCCAATCAAGAGTTAAGCATTTTGGGAGGCTGAAACGGGTGGATCATTTGAGGTCAGGAGTATGAGACCAGCCTGGCCAACATGGTGAAACCCTATCTCTACTAAAAACACAAAAATTAGCCAGGTGTGCTGGTGAGGGCCTGTAATTCCAGCTACTTGGGAGGCTGAAACAGGAGAATCACTTGAACCAAGGAGGTGGAGGCTGCAGTGAGCCGAGATTGTGCCACTGCACTCCAGCCTCAGCGACAGAGTGAGACTCCGTCTCAGGAAAATAATAATAATAATAATAATTTTATATCCTGTTAAGCATTCTTTAAAATTGAAGGCAAATTTTTTTTTTTTTTTTCGAAACGGAGTCTCACTCAGTCTCCAGGCTGCAGTGCAGTGGCGCGATCTGGGCTCACTGAAACCTCCGCCTCCTGGGTTCAAGTGATTCTCCTGCCTCAGCCTCCCCAGTTGCTGGGACTACAGGTGCACGCCACCACACCCAGCTAATTTTTGTACTTGTAATAGAGACGGGGCTTCACCACGTTGGCCAACATATGAAATTTAAAAAAAAAAAAAAACACCAAGACCAACGTATAAAGAAATAGTAAATTATATTAACCCTTTGTCAAATATATGGTTTGCAAATATTCTCTACCAATCCATTGGCTGCCTTTTTATTTGGTTATTTTTCATTTACAGTGCAGAAATAAGCTTTTTACTTTGATGTAGTCCCATACATTTATTTTTGCTTTTGTTGTCTGAATGATATCACAAAAATCATTGTCAAGAATAACATAAAGAAGCCTTTCGCCTATGTTTTCTTTTTAAAAATTGACTCATAGGGTACATGTGTAGGTTTGTTACGTGGATATATTGCATATTTAGGGATTTGGACTTCTAGTGTACCCATCACCAAAATAATGAATACTGGACCCAATAGGTAATTTTTCAACATTCACTCCCCTTTTACCCCCACACTTTTGGAGTCCCCAGTGTCTATTATTTTTTTCTGTTTGTCCATGGGTATGCATTGTTTAGCTACCACTTATAAGTGAGAACCTGCAGTTTTTTATTTTGTTTCTGCATTTTTCACTTAGACTAATGGCATCCAGCTCCATGCGTGTTATTGAAAAAAACATGATTTCATTATTTTCTGTGGCTACGTAGTAGTTCAAGGCATACATATTCCACATTTTGTTTATGCAATCATCCATTGATGGACACTTAGATAGATTTCGTGACTTTGCTATTGTGAATAGTACTGCTATAAACACGTGAGTGCAGACGTCTTTTTGATATAATGATTTCTTTTCTTTTGGGAAGATACCCAGGAGTGGGGTTGTTGGATCAAATGATAGTTCCATTTTTAGTTCCTTGAGAAATTCTCATACTATTTTCCATTGAGGTTTTCCTGATTTACATTTGCACCACCAGTGAACAGTGTATAAGAATTATTTTTTCTGTTCATCCTTGACAAAATCTTTGTTTTTTGACTTTTTAGTAATAGCCATTGTGACTGGTGTGAGATAGTATCTCATTATGGTTTTGATTTGAATATCTCTTGATTAGTGATGTTCAGCATTTTTTCATTTTTGTTGGCTACTTTTATGTCTTCTTTTGAGATACGTCTGTCCATACACTTTGCCGACTTTTTAATGGGGTTATCTGTTCTTTTTCTTGATGGGTTATTTGAGTTCCTTTTAGATTCTTGATATTAGTCCTTTGTCAGATGCATAGTTTGTGACTATTTTATCCCTTTCCGTAGGTTGTCTGTTTACTCTTTTGATTATTTATTTTGCTGTGCAGAAGCTTTTTAGTTTAAGTCCCATTTGTCTCTTTTGGTTTTTATTGCATTTGTTTTTGAGGTCTTAGTAATAAATTTATTATTTTTGGTCTTCTATTTAGGTATTTCACCCATTTTGATTTGGCTTTGTGAGATACAGTTCCAATTTTCTTCTTTTGCATGTGGATATCTATTTTTTCCCAGTATTATGTATTAAAGAGACTATCTTTCCCATTTTATCTTCTTGGTGTCCTTGTTGAATATTAGTTTTCCATAGTGTTTCAAATTATTTCTGGGTTCTCTATTCTGTTCCATTGCTCTTTATGTCTGTTTTATGCCAGTAGTATTATTTTGATTACTATAGCTTTATAATATAATTTGAAATCAGGGAAGTATAATGCTTTGTTTTTCCTGCTTTGGCTATTTTGGGTCTTTTGTGTTTTTACATAAATTTTAGAATCATTATTTTTAAATTTTCTGAGAAGAATGCCATTGGTGCAGTGGGTCATGCCTGCACCCATGCACTTAGGGAGGCTGAGGAAGGAGAATTGCTTGAGTCCACAAGTTCAAGACCAGTCTGGGGAACAGAGTGTGAGACTCCATTACTTAATTTTTTAAAAAAAAATTAGCTGGCTGTGGTGGTGCTCACCTGTAGTGCTAGTTACTCAGGAAGCTGTTAGGAGGATCACTTCAGCCCAGGAGTTTGAGGTGTCAGTGAGCTATAATTGCAGCTCTACAACAGCCTGGGTAACAGAGTGAGACCCTATCTCAAAAAAAAAAAAAAAAAAGAAAGAAAGAAAAACAAATACCAGAGGCCAGAGGAATTTTGATACGGATTGCACTGAATTAGTATATTGCTTTGTGTAATACAGATGTTTTAACAATATAATTATTCTATTTTTTTTGTTTGTTTGTTTGTTTTGAGACAGGCTTTCTATTGCCTGGGCCGGAGAACAGTGACATTATCATGGGTAACTGCAGCCTCAACCTGCTGGACTCAAGTAATCCTTCCACCTCAGCCTCCCAAGTTTTCAGTGTATGGGTATTTTACCTCCTTAGTTAAATTTATTCCAGAGTATTATATAAGTTTGGATATTATTGTAAATGAGATTATCTTGACTTAGTTTTGGAAAGGTTGTTATTGTTATATAGAAATTCAACTGATTTTTGTAGGTTGATTTTGTATTCTGCAACCGTATTGAATTTATTTATTAATTATAGTAGTTTTGTGGGATTAATCTTCGAAATATAGAAAGAACTCAAATAATTCAGTAGCATAAAAACAAGTAATTCAACTTTTTTAAATGGAAAAACACCCTGACATTTCTCAAAAGAAGACATACGGATAGCCAATAGATTTATAAATTAGTCTATGCAAAGAATTTTTGATTAATATGACAAAAGCACCGGCAACCTAAGCAAAATTTAACACATGGGATGACATCAAGTAGAAAAACTCTGCACAGCAAAGGAAACAATCAACAAAGTGAAGATATAACCCACAGAATGAAATGAAATTTTAGCAAACTACTCTTCTGACAAGAGATTATTAACCAGAATGTGTATGAAGCTGCTCAAACAACTCAACAGGAAAGAAGAAACAAATAATCAATTAAAAATTGAACAAAAGATATGAATAGACATTTCTCAAAAGAAGGCATACATGTGACAAATATATGAGAAAATGCTCAATATCACTAATCATCAGAAAAATGCAAACCAAAACTACAATGAGATTGCATCTCACCCCAGTTAAAATTGCTTTTATTCAAAAGACAGGCAATAATAAATGCAGGTGAGGATATGGAGAAAGGTGAAATCTCATAGAGTATTGGTGGGAATGTAAATTATTACAAGTATATATATTACTAAAAAATCTGAAAATAGAATTATCATATGATCCAGTAGTCTCGCTGATGTGTAGATATCAAAAAAAAAAGAAAATCAGTTATTGCAGTACTATTTGTAAGACCCAAGTTATAAAGTCAAATGTCTATTAAGAGATAAATGAATTTAAAAATATGATATATATTGCACAATAGAATACCATTGAGATGTTTTTAAAAAATGAAATTCTGTTATCTGTAACAACATGCGTGAAACTCAAAGACATTATGTTAAGCGAAGTAAGCCCAGCACAGAAAAATAAATATCTCATTTTCTCACTGTCTGGAAGCTAATAAAAATAAAAATAAGTAAAACTAAACCATGGAGACAAATAACAAATGATAGTTACCAGTGTCTGGGAAGAGTAGTGAGGATGGGTACAAATATATGCATACACAGAATAAGATCTAGTGGTTGGTAGCACAATAGAGGGATAATATTTAAGAGTAATTTATTGTATCCTTTAAAATCACTAAAAGAGTGGATATGAAATGTTCTAAACAAAATGAAATGACAAATGTTTGAGGTGATGGATATCCCAAAAACCCTTAATTGATTATTACTCTTATATATTTGTATCAAAAAATATCACATGTATCCCATAAATATGTATAGCAATTATATATCCATAATAATTAAAATTTTTTAAAATAAAAAAAATCATGAATCGTGACAGAAATACAAATTACAACCACAATAAGATATCGCCTCACACATGTTAGGGTGTGGCTGTTATCAAAAAGAGAAGATATAACAAGTGTTGACAAGAGTGTGGAGGAAAGGAAACACTTGTACACTGTTGCTGAGAAGGTAGATTGGTGCAGCTATGGCAGAAAATTATATGGAAGTTTCTAAACAAATTAAAAATAAAACTACCGTATGATCCAGCAATCCCTGCATAGGTTTACACCCAAAGGAATTCAAATTACCACCATATAAAAATATCTGCACTCCATGTTAATTGCAGCACTGTTAATAACCGCTAAGATATGGAAACAAATGATGTGTTTGTTAATGAATGAATGAAGAACTATGATAGATGATATGGATAGATAAAGATATATTTTCACAGAAATATCCTAAACACCAAGAACATTGCCTGGTACATAGAAGATACTGAATAAAAATGTTTGTAGAAACATGAAACACTTTTAAGCTCACTCTGAGAAAATTATTATAATAAATTTCAATTTATTTTTAAAATTATGTTAAATGAGAAATGATATCAGCAATGCTATGTTCTTTTCATTAACAAACTAAATAAAATAAATATTAATTGTAGTAAGTTCAACCTAAATAGTGGATTTAACTAAATCTTACAAGACCTGCAGTACAAAGACTATTATTACAGAATAATAATATTATGTACTTTTACAGTATTTGAACACAATATTTAGCATAGAAATAAGCAGCGATATGTGGTCATAATTATAAAGAGTTACCTAGTGAAATGAGTGACACTAGTTGTGCTATTGAGACCAAGTTTATTATTTTCTCTTTTCTGTGCTACCAGGAACAAATGCCAAAATTAAAGGTTTTATTTAAATAAGCAGTTGAGGTATAGTGAAATGATCTCACTTAAATTTTGTTAGCATTGCTCTCAACAGGAGTCTAAGTATTATTACAAAATTATTTACTCTGACTCTATAGCTTTCCAAAATCAAGTCAACAAGCTTAAAGATCTGCCTCAATTTTTATTTTATTTTTGAAAATATTTCTGACTTCATCTTACATGTTGCACTTAGCTTCCTACTCAGTAGAAAAGTTTTACTTTTCATACAAATTCTTCTATTTATTATATTTATAAACATTAATTCATAGACATACTCCATTCTAACCGTTCTTCAATATTATAGTTGATTTTACCTTACTTTTAGGGTTGTGTGCAACTCATACCACCATCTTGTTCTTTCTCACCTTTGAGTAGCCCCTTAGAGTACATACTGCCTGTACTGATCATTTTAAAGTTCAGCATTGAAAGATCAACAAAATGAAATTTGGTAATAATGCGTATTTATAAAAGTTTAATTGTTATGTGAATTAAAAATAGGTGAATGCTAAAAAAAAGTTTTTTTTCTTTTTTTACAATTTATTTGTTCTAAGAACAAGGCAGTTTCTCTTATTTGAAACTCAGAGTAACAGCCACTCTCTCCAGAAGTCAAAATCTACAACTCTAAATTTAATTTAAGTAATAAAGACTCAGTTCTTGTTTAGTAATAAATAAAATTACATGAGTAAATCACTATAATATTTTAAGCCTCCTTTGATTTCTACAGAAGACAATTATTGCTGCTTTTTTAGGTCGTCACAACATACATGAAAATACGTAATTTGCATTTTAAATCACTTTCATCTAAAAGAATGACAGTGCTTTTTCATGATTTATAATTTTGTATAATAGAAACAACAGTTCCACCTATCTTAGAATCAAGTATTTTTGAGATATCATAAAAATAATTTTATCAGTTAAATTATATAATAACTTATCCATTAAAACAATGTTAATATTACCAATCTTTCTAAAGAATTTCCACATATGTGCCCATTGGCCTGCATTTTCTTTATGTGAATATCAGTTTGGATGCAAGAGCACAAGTTGACAGGATTTTATTAAGCTAATGAAGGTTTGTATGCCTTTATTTTGTTAGTACATATTTTACATATTTAGCTTTTGAGTTAGTCATGTCATTGTGAAAAGGTAAGGGGCAAGTTTATAATGACAATACTGACTATACTTTCTTTTTCTTCTTTAAAAATTGTGTGTATCAGAAGGCACCTAAAAATAGGCCACTCTATAATTACCACTGAGGTCCTGGGCAGCCTGCCATTGTCACAGCATATTTTATAGACAACCATAAATAACACTCCCAGCAGCATATCAGGGACAATTATCCCGCACCATCGGCCTCATTGTTTTGACTTAGTGGGGTCTTAGAAGCAAAAGCAATGCTTACTTGTCACACCTAATGGCAGGACTCTAATGTTAGGTATTTTTCTCAGGGTTCATTATGTTTGGCTTTGTTTCTATTATTTTAATGCTCATTTTGTGTTTCAAAGGTGAACACATAAAGACGTATGAGTTTTCTGTCTTTTCATGAATGAAACATGTACAAGGAAATTGTGGAGGGTGCTAACTAGTGTTTATAATCTGATCCTTTTCATTTTTTGGAGAGCAGAGTGGAGAATGGGAAGATACACACTTTTTATAAGCATGGTATCCATAATTTGTATTTCTAAATAATTTTATAATTTAAATATCCAGTCCTTCTCTAAATTTTTACATATAAAGAGTAGTTTTGTTTCCCAGTCCTCTGCTCATCATTTATATTTGTTCCATTCCTTCCCTTCAGCCCTTAATGTGTTGTATTCTTCAAGCAACTCAAATTTCTAATATCTGTACCTATTTATATTTGTCAAGTTCACTGTGGAATTTGTTATGATAAAAGAATAATAGATGGTTTAAATATCAAATGAAAGGAAAAAAATAAAGTTTCATATAGAATTTAAATATCTATTTTCCTGTTACACTGCACTTTATTTGCCTGAGGTTCCTAGACACGAGCCACACCCTAATGGAACATAGGGATCAGTGCAATATTTCTGAAATTATTCATGTGAGTCTAAATTGTATAGAGGGAGAAAAACTTATTTTTCAGGAAAAATCAATTTATTTTATTTACAATTAATCTTACTCCATTTTGCACATTTTAAAAATAAAATGTCATTTTAAATTTTCTTCTGTAGCTTTTAAAATAATTATACAAAGTTTAATCTATCAAAATATCTAGTAATTTGCATTTTATTTGAGTGTAGTATTGTGTGAAAGTGCCAGTGTTCACCTATACTCCTAAAATAGTGAAATCTTACTATCTCTTTATAATCTTTACAACTAAAACAAAAGCTGTTGACTTTTTTAGTGATTTTTTTCTAGTTTTCTTTCCCTTCCTTCCTTCCTTTCCTCTTTCCTTCCTCCCTTTCTTCCTGATAGGAGTTTTATCTGTAAGACATAATAATAAAAAACGTGCCTGCTAATTTAGGACAGAAAATCTTTCATCAATCTATATTGTACTCAGTTGAATGCACACCATATGTTGGACCTTGTAATGGGTGCAAATATATATCACACCTACTCTATGCCCACAGAAAGCCTATGATCTATTAAGGATATGCTAATTTGCAAGTTCAGTGGAAGATAGTATGTTCAATAAGTCATAAAACAGAATAATGGCTGTTTAAAGGGGAAAAGCTCTCTTCTGAAGAGGAAATCAAAATGGTTGCGTAAATAAAGTTTTATTTAAGCTGAGCCTTGAATAACTGGCAAGGTATCAAAGGAAATAATCTGGCTTTAGGTATATAAGAAAATAACAGTGTAGGCTGGGTGCAGTGGCTCACACCTGTAATCCCAGTACTTTGGGAGGCCTAGGTGGGTGGATCATGAGGTCAGGAGTTCGAGATGAGCCTGGCCAACACAGTGAAACCCCGTCTCTACTGAAAATAGAAAAATTAGCTGTGCATGGTGGCACGTGCCTGTAGTCCCAGCTGCTAGGGAGGCTGAGGCAGGAGAATTGCTTGAACTCAGGAGGCATAGGTTGCAGTGAGCCAAGATCATGCCACTGCACTCCAGCTTGGATACCAGCAAGATGTCGTCTCAAAAAAAAAAAAAAAAAAAAAAAAGAACTGTCTAATAATTTGCATATAAAACCACAGAGAAATATCTAAAAGTATGTAATGTATGGATAAAATGTCACCATGAGTACTAAATGCGTATGAAAATAAAACATCAGTTTTATAAAAAAATTTTATGGTTTTACAGTTGTGTACATGTCAATACTTATTTAATTATACTTTTTAAATATTTTTAGTCAATTGTAATATAAATTTGTTTTTAAAAAAATACAATATCTTTCCACTTTAACATTTAAAATTTATGGATTGGTTGTGAAACTACCATATAAATGAAAAAATATATGTATATGTATATATTTTGTGGTGCTTCAAGAGGTCAAAGCTACTAATAAATTTCATCAATATAAGAACTTCCATCATCAAGGAAGAATACGTATGACATTGGTAAAATTCAACCAGTGTATATAAAAGTTTTAGTCTGTGATCATCTGGAAAGCAATGCATGACATATAAAAAAGTAAAGGACTTGTTTAAGATGCTAAAATAAATGAACTTTACAATTTATTTCTTCAAAGAATTTCTCATTAAGTATAACTGTAAATATCAAACAGTGATGTTCTGCTATTAACTGATAAGATTATAGTAATGCATTTTCTAACATATCTAGCAGCAGCAAAATATAATAGCTTTAATAATGGACAAAGTATTAAGCTTTCTCAACACTGAAGCATATTTCTTAGCTGATATTAGAGTATATGGATATCTTTGATATAGTTGAATGTATGGGAAATTAAGCAATTCAGAAAAAAATGATTTTTAGAAGTGAAAACAATTGTTTATTTTACAACGTCAGGTACTATGCTTCAGTTTACTCAATTGATCAATCAAATGTCACAATACAGTTTATTTTCACTTGTGTGTATTTAATTTTTTTCCTTACTGTCTCTGTTTTTGCGTATGTTGTGTACACTTCAAGTAGCATAAGATTTTCTTGGGGATTTTATTTAACTTCCAGAATGCCTATTATATTAATGACTCTCCTTACAAATGATTGCAATGTTATATGTGTTGTGATTTCTCTGCAAACCAGAACTGAAGCATTTATTTGTGCGATGAATGTAAAGATTTTCATGGTTCTACTATATTGATGCTTTCCTTTTGGCAGTGATGTTCTTATGCTGGGAGTTAAAAGAAAAAGATGGAAGAAATGCTTATTGTAGGCAGGCTGTAAATTGAGATAAATCTTCTTTCGATGACCAGGGTGTTTTTCTTATCTCACTAACTTCTATCCTGTGAGAGTCATTTCTCCTATCTTAGAGGGATTATTGTCCCAAGTTTTCCTGAATTAACCTGTTTCTGCAGTTATAAAAATGCCCTTGCCTTTAATTTTGTTATCTTATCAATCAGTTGTAAGGGGAAAAGATTTTCAATTTTGGCAAATGACAGATAGCTAATGGTGTTATACACCATTCTAAGCACCTTTTTAATACATTAACTTAATTCTCACAAGTATCATATGTAGTAATTACTTTAGTTAACCCAATTTAAATGGTGAAGTTAAGATACCTAGACTACTTAAGATTCCTGTGCTCATATAGCACATGAGGCAGAGCTGAGATTTAGTGTCTATTTTTTAATTTGATCACATACTACACAACCTTTTAATAAATCAGAAAATGTAAATAAATATGTTCATTAACTATCACCTCTTATATATGACATAATGCTTTTAAATCAAGATTAACGTAATTTTATCAAAAGGTTGAAAAATTATCACAACAGAAATGAAGTGAATTATTTTATTATGCTATAGCTTTGGTTTCAGGATATGTTTAGGTTAGTCACATAAATGTAAAAATATCTACTCAGTCTACAATAGAATTGCCCAAAACTCTGATATATTTCTTTCATTTTTCTTTTTAATTTCAATAGGTTTTTCGGTAACAGGTGGCCTTTGATTACATGAACAAGTTCTTTAGTGGTAATTTCTGAGATTTTAGTGTACCCATCAACTGAGCAGTGTTCACTGTACCCAATATATAGTCTTTTATCCTTCATCTCCCTCCCACCATTTCGCCTGAGTCCCCAAAGTCCATTGTATCATTCTCATGCCTTTGCTTCCTCATAGCTTAGTTCCCATTTATGAGTGAAAAAATACAATGTTTGGTTTTCCATTCCTGAGATACTTCACTTAGAATAATGGCCTCCAATTCCATCCAGGTTGCAATGAATGGCATTAATTAGTTCCCTTTTATGGCTGAGTAGTAATCCAATACGCAGACACACACATACACATAGATATTACTTTTTTTCATGTCATATATATATATATATATATATATATACATTTTGTTTATCCACTCATTGATTGATGAGCATTTGGGCTGTTTTCATATTTTTGCAATTGTAAATTGTGCTTCTATAAACATGTGTGTGCAAGTATCTTTTTCATATAATGACTTTTTAATTCTCTGGGTAGATATCACGTAGTGGGATTGCTGAATTAAATAGTAGATCTAATTTTAGCTCTTTAAGGAATCTCCACACTGTTTTCCATAGCGGTTGTACTCATTTACCCTCCCACCAACGGTATAAAAGTGTTTCCTTTTCACCACATCCATGCCAGCATCTATTATTTTTTGATTTTTTTATTATGGCCACTCTTTTTTTTTTTTTTTTAGTTTCTGGTCAGTTGTTAATTTTAATCATTTTTATTTTTTTAAATTACACTTTAAGTTCTGCGATACATGTGGATAACGTGCAAGTTTGTTACATAGGTATACACATACCCATCAACTCATCATCTACATTAGGTATTTCTCCTAATGCTATCCCTCCCCACTCTCCCAACAGACCCTGGTGTGTGATGTTCCCCTCCATGTGTCCATGTGTTCTCATTGTTCAACTCCCACTTATGAGTAAGAACACGTGCTGTTTGTTTTTTTATTCTTGTGTTAGTTTGCTGAGAATGATGGTTTCCAGCTTCATCCATGTCCCTGCAAAGGACATGAACTCATCCTGTTTTATGGCTGCATAGTATTCCATGGTGGATATCTGCCACATTTTCCTTATCCAGTCTATCATTGATGGGCATTTGGGGTGGTTTCAAGTCTTTGCTATTGTGAACAGTGCCACAATAAGCATACATGTGCATGTGTTTTTATAGTAGAGTGATTTATAATCCTTTGGGTATATACCCAGTAATGGGATTGCTGGGTCAAATTGCATTTCTAGTTGTAGATCCTTGAGGAATTGCCACACTGTCTTCCACAATGGTTGAACTAATTTACACTCCCACCAACAGTGTAAAAGTGTTCCTATTTCTCCACATCCTCTCTGGCATCTGTTGTTTCCTGACTTTTTAATGATCGCCATTCTAACTGGCATGAGATGGTATCTCATTATGGTTTTGATTTGCATTCTTCTAATGACCAGTGATGATCAGCATTTATTCATATGTTTTTTGGCTGCATAGATGTCTTCTTTTGAGAAGTAAATGTTCATATGCTTCACCCACTTTTTGATGGGGTTGTTTGTTTCGTTTTTGTAAATTTGTTTAAGTTCTTTGTAGATTGTGTATATTAGCCTTTTGTCAGATGGATAGATTGCAAAAATTTTCTCCCATTCTATAGGTTGCCTGTTCAACAAAAGCCAAAATAGACAAATGGGATCTAATTAACTAAAGAGTTTCTGCACAACAAAAGAGATTATGGCCATTCTTGAAGAAGTAAAGTGGTATCACATTGTGGTTTCGATTTGCATTTCCCTGATAATTAGTAATATTGGACTTTTTTCATATGTTTGTTAGCCATTTGTATATCTTCTTTTAAGAATTGTCTATTCATGTCATTAATCAAATTTTTGAGGGGATTGTTTGTTTATTTCCTACTGATTTGTTTGCGTTTGTTGTAGATTCTGAATATTAGTCCTTTGTCGAATGCATAGTTTGTGAAGATTTTCTCCCACTTTGTGGGTTTTCTGTTAAATCTATGGATTATTTATTTTGTTGTACAAAAGCTTCTCTAGTACAATTAAGTCCCATCTATTTATTTTTGTTTTTGTTGAATTTTATTTTGAGGTTTTGGTCATGAAGTCTTTGCTTAAGCCCATGTCTGGAAGGGTTTTACCAATGTTAGAATATGTATGGTTTCAGGTCTTAGATTTAAGTTTTTGATTCATCTTGAGTCAATTTTTGTATAAGGTGAGAGAGGAAGATCCAGTTTCATTCTTCTACATGTGGCTTGCCAATTATCCAAGTACTGTTTGTTAACTAGAGTGTTCTTTTCCCACTTTATGTTTTTGTTTGGTTTGTCAAAGATCAGTTGGGTATAAGTATTTGGCTTTATTTCTTAGTTCTCTATTCTGTTCCATTGTTCTATGTTCCTTTTTTTATACCAGTACCATACTGTTTTGGTGACTATAGCCTAATGGTATAGTTTGAAGTCAGGTAATGGGATGCCACCAGATTTGTTCCTTTTGCTTAGTGTTTGCTTTAGCTATGTGTGTGGGCTCTTTTTTCGTTCACCTTAAGGTAATAAAAGTCATCTAAGACAAACCCATAGTCAATATTATGCTAAATGGGGAAAAGTTGAAAACATTGCCCGGAGAACTCTCACAAAAAAAGAATGTCTACTTTCACCACATCTATTCAGCATAGTAATGGAAGTCCTAGCCAGATCAATCAGATAAGGGAAAGAAATAAAAGGCATTCAAATCAGTAAAGAGGAAGTCGAGCTGTCACTGTTCCCTGATGATATAATCATACACCTAGAAAGCCCTAAAGGCTCATCCAAAAAGCTCCTATAACTGATCAATGAATTCAGTAAAGTTTCAGGATACAAAATTAATGTACACAAATAAATAGCACTGCTATACCCCAACAGCAACCAAGCTGATAATTAAATCGAGTACTCAATCTCTTTTACAATAGCTGCAAATAAATAAAATAAAATACTTAGGAATATACTTAACCAAGGAGATAAAAGGTCTCTACAAGGAAAAT
Organism: Homo sapiens; assembly: GCF_000001405.40. Lineage (NCBI taxonomy): Eukaryota > Metazoa > Chordata > Mammalia > Primates > Hominidae > Homo > Homo sapiens. The sequence continues at coordinate 105,166,241 of NC_000001.11, read as the reverse complement.
TACAAAACACTCTGAAAAAAATCGTAGATGACGTAAGCAAATGAAAACATCTCCCATGCTCGTGAGTGGATATAATCAATATTGGGAAAATGACCTTACTGCCAAAAGCAATTCAATTCAATTCCCATGAAAATACCACTATTCTTCACAGAACTAGAAAACACAATCCTAAAATTCGTATGGATTCTTCCATTTTTCAAATTAAAAACACATACATATGAGAAAAAAAATCCTATTCTATTTGTTATTGGGATTATAATTACTATTATTATTGGTGAGAATATTATTTTATGATCAGTCTTTCATTACATTGCTCTATCTCTAATACCAACTTATTTTGTTGAGTATCAATTTCATGCTAGAAATCCTATGTATATTCAATATACGAAGTATCATAATAGTCATTTATATTTAATGTCAATATGTCAAAATATACAGATAAAAGAGTTGAGGCTTATGCATTACAAGTAAATTTTAATGGCACTCAAGTTATTTGTATTATGTTAGAAGAAAAGAACCGGCTAACGGCACTATTAGAAAAAATAAAAACTTGAGCATTTACCTGTTAAAAGGCCATAATTTTGTGACACATAAAAGCCATGTTCTTATATTTATTTCTTTTTACTTATTAAGACATTTAATCATTTTTTATTTATTTATTTTTTAATTGATAAATAATAACTATACATTGTTATGGGGTACATGTGGTATTTTGATACACCAAGACATTGTGTAATGATCAAATCAAGGTAATTAGAATGTTCATCAACTCAAATATTTACTATTGCTTTGTTATGGGAGCATCTCCTTATCTTTTAGATTCCCACTTTTAACACTGAGGGAAACAACACTTTTGCTTCACTTAAACAATATTTTGAACTGCTAGTCCCCTAACAGTTAAGACTAGTTACACAATAAATAAAGGATGAGAGTAGTAAACTGTTAGACCGTTTATAGACTTTTCATATTAGATAGATAAAGTAGACCCTTCACATGTTGTTGGTATCCTTAGTAGGAACTTTTCTGTCACTGTTGATTAATGAGTCTAGTAAAACTCTAATTGTAGTGAAAAAAAAAATCAAGTCTTTGCAAGAATAAGAACAAAAATAAGGAGAAGAAAGAAGAAGAAAAGAAATAAAAAGAGAAGGAAAAGAGGAAGAGTTCTTAGAGGAAGAAGAAGAAAAGAGGAAAAAGTTGGGGAAAGCAAATGGCATAACACTGAAAATTTCCTATGTTCATAAAAAGTGTCTCATGAACGAGTACCAAAATAATACTGGGACAATGCACATTCAAAATACAAATACACGATTATCTCTCCTAAAAAGAAAATTACTACTTAAGAATTAAATTAACAATTAAATAAAACGTTAATCTTATATATCAGAATATATATTTCATAGTATCTATAATCTTACATAATATCTAATATATATTTTGGACACATTAGATAGTATGAGTTTAATGATAATGAAATTTATGGCATGGTCAACCTCAGAGAGAAGTCCACAGTTAAAGTGGTGAAACAGAAACACAGAGAATGTAGTAAATTTTATCATGGACTTTGACTCGTATATGCAACAGCAAATACTGTCAGCAAAGTGCCGCCCATCTGCAATCCTGCCCTACCACTTTACCACTACACCCTAGGTTAAGCCTTCATCATCTCTTATTGGGCATTTATATCTCAGACTGACCTCATTTTCTCGTATATATCTCCCTACCATCTCTGCACTACCGTAGAATTGTCCTGCCATTGCTTTGCATCTTCTTTACTATAAGAATCTAAACTGTTTTCAAAGTCCTCTAAGCATTTATCTGAATTACTCTTCATCTTCACAGTTTTCTTCTCTCATGTTGTTCCAACCACACAAATATTTTTGTTATTTTATCAAGTCAGACATATGCTTACTTCATAGCCTTCACACATTATTTCTTCTCATCTCCTGTATCTACATCACTCACTCTTTCACATGGTTTAGGTCCTCCAACCATGCATTTTCAGATAAGGGAAGCATATCATATAACTTACTAAAAGACAGAAATTACATATGAAAATTTGTGTCACAGGCTATGTTAAGATTCAACTTTCACAGACAAGTAACTAATCAACAATAATGTAACAATTTGCAATTATAATATGTTACCTGATATTTATTCCAATGTGACTTTTATATGTGTATTTTATGAATACTCTCATTTTTTTATTACTGCATTTTCACTTAATTTTTATTCTCCAATAAATAACGTGTAATGATGGAAAAGAATTGTAGAGATTATCTAGATCGACTGATTACAAGATTTAAAATCCAATACATAGCACCTCCTATAAATATCACAGGGCTTATCTTCATGAATAACATCAATGATGAGAAAATTGTCGTATTTAAGGACATTCTAGAATAAGAAAACTAAACCTGACCTTTCAGCTGACTTCAGATACGAGTGAGCCCATCTGAAATTGGTTTAATCAGTCCCAAATCAAGATAACTTCTCAGTCTACCTATAGACCTCTGGGGTTGAGGATTCAGTATATTCTTGATGCTACTGAGGTTTTCTAGTTTTTCATTAAATAACATTGTATAACAACAAAAAACTAATACAAGTAGTTAAGAGTTTAATTGGTTAATATATTTGCATGTGGTGTACACCAAAATGTAATATCAAAACTAGACTATATGTACATATATAGAAATTTTATGCTGAAATTATGAATTTCATCATACAAAATTTAAAAAGCAACTAGGTAAAACTATTCAGCAATCAGCTGGAATTTAGAGTAGGACACAGGTGACAGCTCTGTGTAGAAATTATTTGAAAGTCTTTCAAGTTTTAATTTACTCAATAGAGATTTATTATGAATCCGTGGAGAGGCAAAAATGTCAACATATGTGTGCAGACAAAGCCATGGAAAATAGATTCAATGGTTTTTTCATCAAAAGAAGTTGTTTTCTAATTTATTTTGCATAGGCATCAACTTGAGCACTTGTTAATAATTGGGTATATAATAAATAATCTTTAGACTCAAAGTTTTGTGTGCAGTTCAATAAATTGCTATGTTAAAGTGTTCTCTGGGTTATTCTAAAATATTTACTTGTCAGATAACACTTTGAGAAACATTTATATAAAGAGTACAAATAGACATAAAAAGTAAAAAAAAAAAAGACCTTAAAACCCCTAATATTTAAAATATAAGAGACTCAGGCAAAAATGAAACTGAACAGAAGCCTTAACACTATTATTCAAATGTTATCTTCCCTAGAAACAATGAAAAATTTCAACCACCAGCTCTCAGTGGCACTTTCCAGCTGTTTTTTCCTGCTTAGTTTTTAACCTCAGTTGTCATAAATATCTGACATTTTATAATAGCTATTTAATTCTTATACCAATTAATATTACTTTAAATATTTAACTTGGGTTCTCTCTCCCACTACGGAGCTCTGAGTGGGCTGATGTCTTATCCGCTCACTGCTTTAACCTCAGTGCCCTGAAGATAATCTGGCACAAATTAGGCTATTAGACTCTCAATATTTAGTTGTATAATACTAGATAGAAAAAACAAATTTTTTTTTTTATTTTCTAGAAGATCCCACAACTATTAGTAATTGTACCTAATTGTCATTAGAGCAAACTTCCATACATAAGGGATACTTCTCAAGCAGAGCTAAAGATTAAAGGCAGTGGGAAGGCCGGGTGTGGTGGTTCATGGCTGTAATCCCAGCACTTTGGGAGGCCAAGATGGATCATTTGAGGTCAGGAGTTCAAGGCCAGGCTGGCCAACATGGTGAAACCCTGCCTGTATTAAACTACAAAAAAAAAAAAAAAAAAAAAAATGGCTAGTCTCAGTGGCTCATGCCTGTAATCCCAGCACTTTGGAAGCTGTGGCGGGTGGATCATGAGGTCAGGAGTTTGAGACCAGCCTGGCCAGCATGGTGAAACCCTGTCTCTACTAAAAGTAATAATAATAAAAAATTAGCCGGGCATGGTGGCATGTGCCTGTAGTCCCAGCTACTCGGGAGGCTGAGGCAGGAGAATTGCTTGAACTCAACAGGCAGAGGTTCCAGTGAGCCGAGATCGCACCACTGCACTCCAGCCTGGGCAACAGAATAGGACTCCCTCTCAAAAAAACAAATGAACAAAAAAAGTAGCCAGGCGTGGTGGTGGGCACCTGTAGTCCCAGCTACTCAGGAGAGGGAGGCAGGAGTATCACTTGAACCTGCTAGACAGAGGTTGCAGTGAACTGGGATTGCACCACTGCATTCCACCTGGGTGAAAGATCAAGATTCTACCAAGAAAAAAAAAAAAAAAAAAAAGCAGTGGGAAATAGCAAGATTAGCAGTGCTTGTAATTCTAAACTCAAATGGCTGCTGCTTGTTATACTTATGTAACTAAAGGGCAAATTCATGATTTTTTTTGAAATACTTTAGTTATTGCGGTAGGCTGAGTTCCAAAATGAACCCCATATTTTCATGCCCTAATCCTCAGAATCTGACTGTAATAAGATATCATGGTCATAACATTTCAAGTGTTATAAAGGTAATAATAATTTGGCTTTGATTTATGGGAAACAGAGGTTCTCTAAATGGGTGAAATCTAATTGCATGAGAGTTTTAAGACAGAGAGCTTTTTTTCTCTTGGAGCAGAAGAGGAATCCAGAGAGAAGTGGTGGATGGGAAGATGTAAAAGGCACAGTTTCTATTTAGAAGATGTAAAAGGCAATGTAAGAAAATATGACCTTATGGGTCAGATGCTGTGAGACATATCTGGCTCAAACTCATAAAATGAGAAAGGGCAGATACATTTTTACTCACCTTGTTAAAGGCACCAAAGTCTTTTGAAAACGGTGAAGAAGAATAACTAGTAACCATAAATCTGTGGAGCTGAGACATTTCCAATGTTGAGTTGACAATATTCAGCCATGTTTTTGGTAGTGGATGCATTTACAAATTATGGACAAACACAAAGAATCTGGATGGAAAATTGAAAAGCAAAATCAGAAAAGGTTTTTAATGGTTCAGCAGGGCTAATAAAAATCTGGAAAGTTAGGGGGATACAAATAATAGCTTGCTGCATGGGATAAAGTGGAAAGTACACATATCTCTTAAAAAGCAGAGTACAATTGCACTCAGTCTTGTGATACTTATTGCTGTGGTGCACATATAATTTGTTTGCCCCCATCAAAACTTACGTTGAAATTGCACACTAATGTGGTAGTGTTGAGAGGTGGGGCCCAGTGGGAGTTATTTGGGTCAAGGCGGCAGCTCTGTCATGAATGACTTGGTGCTATTCTCACAGTAATTCGTGAGTTTTTTACCTCAAAAAATTGGAGTAGATTTTGCAGGAGTAGAAATGGATTAGTTTTCTTGAGAATAGATTGTTATGAAGCCAGAATGCCCCTTAAGTTTTTCCTCTTTCCATGTGTCCAGATCTCCTTTGACATTCTCCACCATGTTGTTAGGCAGCAAGAAAGTCCTCACCAGAAGCCAGAGCCATGCTCTTAAACTTCACAGTCTGCAGAGCTTTGAGCTGAAAGTAGATTTTTTCTTTATAAAAAAAGTATTTTTATATTAATAGCAACACAAGACTAAGAAAAAAAGTAACAAGCATTTACAATGTAGTATCTATGAAAATAAATTGAAAATTAAAACAATGTACTAATCACAAGTTAATCACATAAAAAATGAAATAATTAAAAAAAACTTGTTAAACCAAAAAAAGACAATGCTAAAAACATGTGATGATCTTTAAAAAATTAGAAAAGGCATGAAAAAATTCTATGCAGATTCTTGACAGTATTCTAAGACAGTATTTCTGTGATGGTATTAATTGTCAACTTGATTAGATTGAAGGAGGCAAAGTATTGTTTCTGGGTGTATCTGGTGTTTCTGGGTGTTGCCAGAAGAGATTAACATTTGAATAAGTGGACTGGGAGAGAAAGACCCACCCTCGGGGAGACCCAATCACAATGTGAGTGGGCACTATCTCATTGGCTGCCAGCATGGCTAGAAAAACCAAGCAGGAGAAGTTGGAAGGAGTTGACTTGCTGAGCCTTCTGGCCTTCGTCTTTCTCCCATGATGGATGCTTCCTGCCTTCGAACATCAGACTCCAAGTTCTTCAGCTTTTGGACCCTTGGACTTACACCAGTGGTTTGCCAGGGGCTGTCAGGCCTTTGGCCACAGACTGAAGGCTGCACCGTCGACTTCCCTACTTTTGAAGTTTTGGGAATCTCACTGGCTTCCTTGCTCCTCAGCTTGCAGGTAGACTATTTTGGGTCTTCATCTTATGATCGTATGAGTCAGTACTCCTTGATAAACTCCCTTTCTTTTTTTTTTTTTTTTTTTTTGTTGAGACGGAGTCTTGCTCTGTCTCCCAGGCTGGAGTGCAGTGGCACGAACTCGGCTCACTGTGCAAGCTCTGCCTTCAGGGTTCACGCCATTCTCCTGCCTCAGCCTCCCGAGTAGCTGGGACTGCAGGCACCTGCCACCATGCCCAGCTAAATTTTTTTTTTTTTTTTTTTTTAGTAGAGACGGGGTTTCACCGTGTTAGCCAGGATGGTCTCGATCTCTTGACCTCGTGATCTGCCCGCCTTGGCCTCCCAAAGTGCTGGGATTACAGGCATGAGCCACCGTGCCCTGCCAAACTCCCTTTCATATATATATCTGCATATTAGTTCTGTCCTGTCAGAGAACCCAGACTAATACAATTTCTGTATATGTAAGAAAACTTAAAAAGTTGACAAAATTCTATAAGAACAATGTGAATCTAGCAGTTATGCAGAATTAAAAGTAAATATACAAAAATTAATTGTACTTATATATTGCTGTAGCCTGAATATTTGTGTCCCTCCAAAATTCATATGTTGAAATTCTAACTGGGGCAATGCTTAGTAAAGCATTGGGACTGGTGGAATGGAATTAATATATTTTGTATATAATAGTGACATGAATTTTGGGGCCAGAGGTGGTACGCTAAAGTTTAAATTTGTTCTTTAAATAGCATGTATTGGAAACTTAATCCCCTATTCAATACTACTGGGAGGTGAGGTCTGATGGAAGATGTTTAAGTCATGGAGGCTCCATGTTTATGAACAGATTAATTAAAAATGGAAAAGTTGTTGACCCTGTGAATTTCATCTCTTGCTCTCTCTAGAGCTCTCTTGACTTCCATCTTCCAACATGAGATGATGTGGCACAAAGGCCCTTGCCTGATGTGGGTTCCTCAAGCTTGATCTTTGCTTGTCCCTGAAACTATAAGAAATAAATCTATAATTTTGTTAAATTACTAAATATTAGATATTCTGTTATAGCAACACAAAAAGGACTACTACTGAGTTTAAACAATTCAATATTTCTGTGACAAAAAAAGAACATGGACCCTTCCTTTACTATATATATTCAAAATTATCTGACATGTATGAAAAAGCTAAAATTTAGAACTTCTACAAGATAACATTAAATAAAATAATTACAATATTCTGTAGAAAATTATCTGAGGACACAAAAGTCACTAACCAAATATGAAACAGCATGAAATTGAACTTCATCAAAATTAAATGTTTATAATATTCAAAAGGTATCAATAGAAAATAAAAAAGATAGTCTCAGAATGTGAGAAAATTATTGAATCCATTTCCAGATTGCCAGACAAATAATGTGTATACAGTGTACCTAAAATGTTTTTAAAAAACTCAATAATAAAAAGATAAACAGAAATAGCCCCAAGATGATGGGGTAGGAGATACTAGCATTCATCTTCTTACAAAACAAAATTATAAATAGCAATCTACAAATCAAAATACCATTGGAAGGGTTCATGGGCACAGTTAAGAATCTGCAGCAACACTATAGAAGAAAATAAAAACATAACTAAGGATATCCATACAGAAAATAATTCATGGTGAGATGGACATAACTGAGATGCCTAGAGATGGCTAGAAACATAAGAGAAAACTGAAGGCTATCAGCGTGAGCCATGCAGTGAGACCCACCATAGTGTCCAGTGGCTGTTCCACAGGGGAAACTGATACCTTTTGTCAGTGAGGTAACCAAAGCCATTTCTGCTGGGGAGCCTCAGGAAGGGAGATATGGCTACTCACTCACTCCCCTCTCAACAAAAACAGCTGCTATTGTGCTGCCCTGGGACTGAAGCCATGAGTTCTACAAACTGCACACATTTCCTGACTCCCAAACTGTGCCTGATCCACAAGGGCACATATTCCAGACTCCTGCTTTGTGGTTGCCCTGTAATCACTCAACCCTCAGACACTAGGGCCACCACCATACTGGGCTAGTGTATACCCCAGAACCCAGAGCTAATTTTCATCCATTAATGCCTGTGTTTTAAAAACAGTAGCTTAGCTACCAATGAAGGGTAGCCTATGCTGCAGATTAAGGAGGTGCTATACATCTGCACATGCCTATGCTCTTGAACCTGGCTCTCTGGCTACTTCACAAGCATCAACACGTTTTACTTGATTACCAATGCAATAGTGGGGGTGAATGCCTCTGGTGTAGTATTTCCAAATGTGTCCAAACTTCAAGCTTTAGCTTCATGATCACTGCCAGAGCACCACTCATTAGACATTGGTGCTGCCACTAGTATGAGTGAGCCTGCAAGCCATATCTAGTGCCAAGAAGGATCCTCTTGGCCACAAGTTACCTGATAGAAAAAAAAAAAAGATATCAGGAGGACCCATGTGGCTTTTGCCACTGAGGACCCCAGTAGGCTTTGCACCTGATGTGGACACTCAAATGGTTGGCTGCTGAGGAATCTCACAATCTTTAGTAATTGAAGATTGACAGAGCCGCACAGAGACTACACTACTGCACCCTCACTGAAGCCAAAACTGCGGCACCTCACCCAGCCATCACCCTTACAATCTTCCATAGACAAAGGCCTTCCCCACCAAGATCAACCAGTAGTGCTTAGAAAAAATAACCTCACCAAATGCACAGATATCAAAATAAGACAATGAGAAACATGAAAAAAACAAAGTATCACTAGCAAAGGATACAATAATTCCCCAGTCACTGATCATAAAGAAATGGAGCTCTACAAACTGCCTAACAAAGAACTCAAAATAATTGTTTGAAGGAAGCTCAGTGAATTTGAGGAAATACAGATAAACAATTCCAATAAATCAGGAAAACAAGAAATGAACAAAATAAATAATTTACAGAAATTGAAATTATTAAAAAGTTGGAAACTGAAGAATAGAATAAATGAAATGAAAAATTCAATAAAGAGCATAAAGAACAGAATTGATCAAGCCGATGAAAGAATCTGTTACTCAAGGATAGGTTATTGAAAAAGGTAGAGTCAGATGAGAATAAAAGAATGAAAAGCAATGAAGAAATCTTGAAAGATTTATAGAATATTATCAAGAGCTAACATTCATCTAATAGGATTTAGAAAGGAGAAGAGAAGAAAATGACAAAAAATGAAGAAATAATAGCCGAGAACTTGCAACATTTGGAGAAAGATATAAATAAATATCCAGGTAGAGGAAGATTAAACAGTTCTAATCAGGTTCAATCTATACAATACTGTACTATGACATATTATAGTTAAGATTGGCAAAATGTCACAGAAAAAGAAAGATTCTGGAAAGGCTCAAGAGAAAATAAATATAGCACATACCAGAAAATTCTAATAAGGCTATTAATAAATTTCTCAGTAGAAATCTTACATGCTAGGAGAAACTGAGATGATGTATTCAAAGTGCGGAATGAATAAAAAACTGCAAAAAAAAAGCAGACTTTTCCATGCAAAGAAGTCCTTCAGAAATAAAAGAGAGATGAGGACATTCCCAGACAATTATTAGGTAGGTGCAAAAATAATTGCTGTTTTGCCATTGTAAGTAATGGCAAAACTGCAATTAACAAAATAGCAATAGTAACTCTTTATCAATCAGTCATTGCTTTGAATATAAATTGTTCAAATTCTCTACTCAAGACATGCAATGACTAAACAGATTTTTTCAGAGACCCAACCATATGCTACTTAAAGGGACTCACATCACTTTTAAAGACACAGATAGATTACGAATTTAAAAAATGAACAAAAAGATATTCTATGCATATGGAAAGCCAAAGGAAGGAAAGGTAGCTACACAGATAATAAAAATCTTATAAAAGAGTTTTTAGACAGGAAATGTGTAAAACAAGACAAATAAGGCCATTATATAATGATAAAGTAGTCAATTTATCAACAGGATATAACAATTGTAAATATATGCACCTATGATTGAAGTAACAAAATATATAAAGCAAACGTTAATATATTTAAACAAAAATATATAATGCTCTACAATAATAATATGGTAGCTCATTGTTCCACTTTCAACAATAGACATATCATCTAGGCAAAATATTAATAAGAAAACATTAAACTTGAACTATACTTTAGGTAAACTTGACCTAACAGTCATATACAGAACATTTCATCTGAAAGCATCAGAATACAGTTTCTTCTCAAGTGCACATAGAACATTCTTCAGAATAATTCAGTTTTTAGACCAAAAAGTAAGTCTTAACACATTTAAGAAGATTTGAAACGTATCAAATATATTTTCCAAACATAACTGTATGAAACTAGAAATAAAAGGAATTTTATGAAATGTAATAAGTATGTCAAATAATAAATTGGATACATGATCTTAAACATGATAAAAGACAAAAATCATACAACCATCACAATACATACAGAAAAATTATGCAAAAATTATACATCCTTTTATAATACAACCTTTTAACAAATTAGGTATAGAAGGAGTATACCTCAATAAAATAAAGCCATAGATGAATAGCCCAGCTATGCATGTATAAAGTACCATAAGATGGTACTTAGTGGTGAAAAGTTTAACTCTAAGATCAGATACAAGAAAAGGATGCCCACTTTCCCCACTTCGATTCAACGTAGTACTGAAAGTCCAAGTCAGAGCAATTAGGCAAAAGAAAGAAATAAAAAGGATCCAAATTGAAAAGAAAGTTGAATTGCATACATTAGTAATTGTTAAATTATTAATTGTGTCTGTTTGACATAGTCTTGTATATAGAAATTCCTACAGATTCCATCAAAAAACTGTTAGATCTAATAAATAAATTAAGTAAAGGTGCAGAATACGAAATAAACACACAAAATCGGTAGCACTTTTATACACTAAAAACAACTCTTCAAAATAGAAATAAAGAAACAATCACTGGAGCTGTATTGTCCATGGAGTATATAAAAGAATTCTACTTACGATAGCTACAAAAACCATAAAATACTTAGGAATAAATTTAGTCAAGGAGGTGAAAGAGCTGTACAAACTATAAAACACAGATGAATGAAATTGAAGAAAACATATATAAATGGAAAGATATTCTGTGTTATCAATAGGAATAGTTAGAATTTTACCCAAAAAGATGTCCAGAGTCAATGAAATTCCTGCCAGAATTCCAATGACATATTTCACAGAAAGAGAAAAAGAAACTCTGTAATTAGTATGTAACCACAAAAGATGTTAACAACCAAATAAATCCTTAGCAAAAATAGCAAAGCTAGAGGTGTGACACTATCTGATTTCAAAATCTACTACAAAGATAAAATAATTTAAACAGTATGGTACTGGCACAAATATAAACACATAGACCAATGAAACAAAATAGAGCCCAGAAATAATTCCATGCATTAACACTCAATAGAATTTTGACAAAAATGTCAAGAACACACAATAGGGCAAGCATAGTGTCTTCTCCTCAATACATGGTGCTGGGAAAACTGCATAACCACATGCAGAGAAATAAAAATAGAACCTAATCTTACATTATGTATGAAAATCAACTAAAAATAAAGACTTAAATGTAAGGCCCGAAACTGTAAAACTGCTAGAAGAAAACATTGGGAAAATTTTTCTTATAGTTGGTCTAGGCAATGATTTTTTTTTGGTACCATCCACAAACCACAGGCTACAGAGGCAAAAATAGATAAATGAGATTACATCCAACTAAAAAGCTTCTGCACAGCTAAGTAAACAATAGCATGAAGTAACAACTTATAGAATGGAAGAAAATAACTGCAAACTATATATCTGTTAGGTAATTATCATTCAAAATATGTAAGGAACTCAAGTCAATAGCAAGAAAACAAATAACTCAATTTAAAAATTGTCAAAGGACCTGAACAATTAAAAAAAAAAGATATAAAAATGGTCAACAGTTATATCTAAAGGCACTTAACTTTATGGAAATGCATTTTAAAACCACAATGGAATAGCATCTCATGCTTGTTAGTTGGTTTTACTAAAAACAATAAAAGATAACAAGTGTTGGCAAGGATATGGGTATGAGACCATTTTATAGTTTTGGTGGATATATAAATGAGTACAGACATTGTGGAAAATAATGTAGAGCTTCCTCATAACATTAAAATAGAACTACTGTATGATCAAGCAATTTTACTACTAGATATGTATCCAGGGAAAATTATTCAGTATCTCAAAGAGATCCACACTCTCAGGTTCATCACAGTATTATTTGCAATAGCCAAGTTATGGCATCAACTGAAGTGTCCATCAATAGATGAATGAATAAAGAAAATGTGGCATATATACACTGATATGGTTTGGTTGTGTCACTAAATCTTGAATTGTAGCTCCCACAATTCCCACCTGTCATGGGAGAAACCCAGTGGGAGATAATCGAAGCATCAGGGCAAGTCTTTCCCATGCTCTTCTCATGATAGTGAATAAGTCTCATGAGATCTGATGGTTTTACAGAGAGGAGTTCTCCTGCACAAGTTCTCTCTCTTTGCTTGCTGTCATCCATGTAAGACATGATTTTCTCTTCTTTGCCTTCTGCCATGATTTTGAGGCCTCCCCAGCCACATGGAGCTGTGAGTCCATTAAACCTCTTTCCTTTATAAGTTACCCAGTCTTGGGTATGTCTTTATTAGTAGTATGAGAACAGACAAATATATACACAATGGAATACTATTCATCCTTAAAAAAGAAAATTCTGTCACTTATAACACATTGCAGGATGAACCTAGAAACTATCATGTCAATTGAATAAGTGAGGCACAGAAAGACAAATACTCCATGATCTCACTTCTATGTAGAATCAAAAAATGTCACATCACGAAAGAAGAAAGTACAGTAGTTATTATTAGAACTGGTGGTGATTGGGAAAGTGTTAGTCAAAAGACACAAAATTTCAGTTAGGAAAAATAGGTTTAAGAAATCTATTGTACATCATGATGATTATAGTTAATAATAATTTATTACATAACTGAATATGTTCAGAGTAAATTTTGTGTTCTTACTACAAAATAAGTGATAAGGATATAAGGTAAATATATGAAGTAATAGTAATGTGTTAATTAACTTAATTTATACATGGCAAAATGGCTATATATAAATTTTTTACTCATCAATTAAAACAAATAAATAAAAATTAATGAAGTTAAAATATCCAAAAATTGGGTAAGAACAATTTGAAGAAAAGCATTTCACTAAAGGAAATATATGCATCCCCAGTAAACACATAGAAAGATATTCAGCATAATTAGTTATCAGGGAAATGCTAACTAAGACTACATTGAAAGGCTGCTTCCTTTAAAATATGATTAAATTTAAAATAAATAAAATTAATGATATCAATTGTTGATGGGAACATGAGATAATAGAATCTCCCACTTTGTAATATGAGTTTAAAATAACAAATGACTAATATACACAACAACATAGGCACATCTCTAAAGTATTGTGCTGTGTGAAAGAAGCCAGACAAAATAATGCATGCTCATATGAAATTCAAAAAAAAAAAAGACAAATCATATCAAGAAAACACGAAATAAGTCTATATTGACAGGAAGCAGATTTGTGTTTCTTGCTGCCAGAAGTGTAGATGAATGATTTTAAAGGGGCATGGTGGTACTTTTTAGGGTGAGAGAAATGCTTTACATCTTGATTTTGGGTAAAGTTATACAAATATACATGTATGTATTTTAGAACTCATAAAACTATACCCTTAGAAAGGGTGTAATTTTAATGTAAATTATATTTAAACTAAGCAGATTTTTAAAAAGACAACAGATTTATCCAGTAGGAAACAAGTAATAAAATAGCAACTATAAACCCCATTATATGAATTATTTCATAAAATATGGACTACATACTGTAAATAAAAGGTTAAGACAATCAAGCTATACTGACAGGAAAATAATTTAAAACAACCTTGACAAATTTAAAATAAACTGAAATCCTTCAGACTTAAAAACATTTCACAAAGGAGTATATTCATATGGTCAATAAACATATGAATAAGTTTTTAATGGCATTAACCGTTAGAGTAATTCAAATAAAAACTACAATGAGACAGCACCATACATCCACTAGAATGAGTAAAAGGCAAAAGGTAGAAAATAGTAAGTTTTGGTAGAGGTGGGAAGCAACCGAAACTCTCACACACTGCAAGTTAAACTGTAATTTGATCAACCATTTAAAAAATATGTTGCGTGCTACATAGACTGAACATATGCCTCTTCAATCACCTAGTGTATTCATTTTCAATTATTGTTATTAAATGTTATCACAAAATTAATGACAAAACAACATAGATGTATTCTCTTACAATTCTGTAGAAGTACAACACAAATTTTATTAGACTAAAATCAAGGTTCTTTAATAGAGGATCTTGAGTAAAAGCCATTTCCTTGTTTATCCAGCTTTTAAAAGACATCTCTTGGCTTTTGGATCCCTTCCTTCATCTTCAAAGCCAGAATGGTTGCAGCTGTCTTTAATTGATCTTCTGTAATTGTAGTTTACTTTCACTCTGAATTCCGCCAGGACACTTTCACAGATTTTAAGAACCCATGTAATTAGGTTGGGCCTACCTAAATAATCTGAGATAAATTCTCCATCTCAAAATCCTTAACTTAATCACATACACAAAATTCCTTTTGCCATATAAGATAATAGGAATACAGGTTCCAGGAATTAGGATGTGGACATCTTGGGTTGGGTGGGGGGCATTATTTTGTCTAGCACATCCAGTAAATCCAGTGTCACAGTTATACCTAACAAAAAGCATACATATGTTAACAAGAAGATAAATACTGTAGTATCCAGAACCACACTATGTGTAATAACCAAACACCAAACAGCCCAATGTCTACCAGCAAAGAATATATTTAAAAATTTACCTTCACACAATGAAATTTTATACTGGAATAGTATAGAACAATGAAAAGAAACAGCTGCAACTACTTCAAACCATATGGATGAGTTTTAGAGACATAATCTTGAGCCAAAGAAGTCTAACACAAAAAAGTATCCACTGAAGCATTTCATTTATATAAAGTACAAATACAGCATTAGACATATTAGACATAAGTCTAATTTATGTTGTGAAAAGTCAGGATAGTGATTACCTAAGAAGTAGCAGAGTACAAGCAAAACTTGTGTTACCCATATTCTTTCTTTTTGTTCAGATATGAGTTGTACAAGTATGCTTAATTTATAAAATTTCTGTGATCTGTATACTTAATTGCACATTATTATGTATGTTACAGTTAAAAATATTTATGCAGCTTTGTAAAAAAAAAAAGCTTTAGAATAGTATTCAGCACAAATAATAATAGGTGACATTAATTAAGCTTTTACAATGTGTGAACTGCTGTGATAAAAACTTTACTTCCCAAAATTCAGTACTTCCCGGCGATTTAGGTAGTTTTGTCATTTTCCTGAGTTTAAGTAACATGACCAAGGTCAAACAGAGAGCAATTGAGCCTAATTAAAAACCTAACTCATTCTGTTTCAAAACTCATGATTGCCAGAAAACACACACACACACACACACACACACACACACACACACACACACACACACACACACACAGAGGCATCCTTAGAGATACTGCAGGTTTGGTACTAGACCACTGTAATAAAGAAAATACTGTAAGAAAGCAAGTCACACAAAACTTTGGTTCCCCAGCACATATAAAAGCTATGTTTACACTATACTGTAGTCTTTTATGTATGCAATAGTATTTTGTCTAAAAACCATAATGTAAATACTTCAGTTTAAAAATACTTCATTGCTAAAAAATGCTAACAATCATCTGATCCTTTAGGGAGCCACAAATAGTAGAGGATCTTGCCTCAGTGTTGGTGGCTGCTGATTGACTGAAAGTTGGGTAGCTGTAACAATTTCTTAAAGTTTGTAAATGGATTTTACAAAATATTTCCTTTTACAAAATATTTCTCTGTAGCTTGTGATGGTGTTTGATAACATTTAATCCCCAATAGAACTTCTTTCAAAATTGGAGTCAACCCTTTCAAACCCTGCTTCTGCTTTATCGACTAAGTTTATGGAATTTTCTAAATTGTTTTTTGTTATTCTAACAATGTTCACAGCATCTTCATCAAGAATAGTTTTTTGTTTCAAGAAACCACTTTCTTTGCTCATTCATGTGAAGAAACCTCTCATCTGTTCAAGTTTAATCATGAGATTCTAACAATTCAGTCACATCTTCAGGCTCCGCTTCTAATTTTAGTTCTCTTGCTATTTCCACCACATCTGCAATTGCAGTAGTGACACCAAAGATCACTGATGACAGATCACCACATCAAATATAACAGTTTGGAAAGTTTATACTGTTGTGAGAATTACAAAAATGTGACACAGAGAAACAAAAGTAGCAATTGCTGTTAGAAAAATGGCACTAATAGACCTGCTCGACAAAGGGTTGCCACAAACCTTCAATTTGTACAAAACTCAGTATCTGTGAAGCACAATAAGACAAGGTATGCCTCTGTGTGTGTATGCATTTTAGATGTATTTTAATATTGTATATATTTTAAATATAAAAGATTATTAGAAATCTAAAAGTTTAAATATAAAGTCTAAAATACTAAATCATTACAGACCATTAAGTTTCATATATTTCATAAATACTTTTAGAAAGTATTATAAAAGAACATTTGGCCTCCAAGGAAGTTCATGTTCTAATCCCCAGAGCCTATGAATATGCTATGTTACATGACAAGGGAGGATTAATGTTGCAGATAGAGTTAAGGTTGCTAATAAATTGACCTTAAAATATACAGAGTGTTCTTGTTTATCTGGGTGGACCTAATGTTATCATCACAAATACCATTAAAGTGAAGGAGGGAAGAAGAAGAGCAGGTCAGAGAGAGATTTGAAGATGCCACACTGCTGACTGAAGAAAGGGCCAGAAATGAAAAGAAATAGAGAAAGCCTCCAGAAATTGGGAAAGGGAAAGAAATAGATTCTCCCCAGAGCTTCCAGAAAGAACAAAATTCTGTCAGCACCTTAATTTTAGCCCAGAAAAACCTGTTTCAGATTTTGGCCCCCCAGAATTGTAAGATATAGTAATATTAGTAATTGTGTAAGTTACTAAATTTGTGATAATGTCTTCTAGCATTGATAGGGTAAACTAATGCACAAACTTCATGTCACATACAATTTTAAGTTGAAGCTTCACTGTACTGGCATTGGCCTACTCATCTGCATGTTTCTATCTAATACACGAGGCAGTTACCTCTGGAGAAGAAAGTTTGTAACTCAGCATTTTAGGTAACCCCTTATGAAAATATGTGAACATTAGTGGTTTTCTATGGTATGTGACTTGTCAAAGACAGTCAGTCCACTATCCTTTTTTTTTTTTTTTTTTTTTTTTGAGACGGAGTTTTGCTCTTGTCACCCAGGCTGGAGTGCAATGGCATGATCTCAGCTCACTGCAACCTCCGCCTCCCGGATTCAAGCGATTCTCCTACCTCAGCTTCCCGAGTAGCTGGGATATTAACAGGCATGTGCCACTGTGCCCAGCTAATTTTTGTATTTTCAATAGAGACAGGGTTTCACCATGTTGGCAAGGCTGGTCTCGAACTCCAGACCACAGGTGATCCGTCCACCTCTGCCTACCAAAGAGCTGCATTTACAGGCATGAGCCACTCCTCCCAGCCAATTTGTCCTTAATATCAAGAAGTAGTTCTTAGTTGGAGTTTGCTTTATGAAGACAATCCTAAATTGTGAAAAAAAAAATCTAAAATTGTAAAAATTAAAGTTGATAACCAAATGCACTGGAGCAGGTGCCAATTATAATTAGAACCTTATTAGCAACAGATAAAAATTAAAAATAAATATTTATTTAAAGAGGATATAATAATCAGTGAATATTTTGTGATTCGAATAGCAAGACCCTCAAATTACTTGAAGTCCAGAGTTGTAAAACTGTTAAATATTACTAAAGCACAGTACAAACTGAGTATTTTGGATACTAAGTATCTGAATGACCTGTAGGTTTATAAAATGTAGTCCAAAGTCCTTACGCCCATTAAACATTAGACGTCTTTAGACTCCAAAGTTGGCCAAATTGGGATAGGAAGGCATAGATATCACTGGTGAGAAACAGACAGTTCTATTCCAGGGGTAGCAACTCTCGGAAACATTGCCACTATTGGAGTTATTGTTCATAATATTTGAGCTGTCAACTTTTACCTATTGCCATAGTCAACCTAAACAAGAAGCCAGCCTTGTAAAAAGAGCTGAAGTTGTAGATTCTGGAAAAAACATATAAATAATAGAGCTTGCTCTTAAGGTCTGACAAAAAAAGTGAAAGGTAATGTTTCAAACTGAAATATCTTACTATAGAATGAATAATTTTATAGTGTAAGAAGAATTATTAATATATAACATGGTAATAAAATATATCTAGAAGGAATGGCTTACTTAGTTCCATGTTATAATACTATTTAAAGTCCCAATGGTACATGAAGTGCAATCTGCCCAACAGTTACAATGTCCAGATATGACCTTCACGAACTTAATTTATTTTATTCTTCTGAGAAACTGTCTTAAATTGTTAACTGCCCTACTTGTCAGCACCACCTGTCTGTACACTCTTAACCCTCAGAAGGTTCATTTCACTGGTCCATGTGGGAAACCCAGCGTCTGATTCACTGAAAGAGATTTCTCTTCTCTTTTTCCTAAGAAACAATGGCAGTTACACCTAACTGCTTTCTGAAGCTTGGATAAAGATAAACCAATTCTAACCCTGGATTGAGGAATCATGTTTAATTTAAATATGCAAAGAAAGATTTGAACAGACACTTCATAGAAAAATTAAAAAAAAAAACCCATAAGACCACAGGCAGCAAACCTAGGATACTTTAATTAATAGAGCACCTCATACATGGAATGAAAATGGCAGGCCTGAAAAAGAATACAAGATTTAAGTTACAATTTACGTGAAGCAGAAACATAATCCTTGGACTGCTAAGGTTAATTAGGAATTGACTATAATGAATGATTTTTCAGGTTGGGTCAAACAAATGGTATAATTGTATCTAATGCCTTAGAATACTGTTATTGTTGAACTTGAAGTAATTGTGTTTTTTTTTTTTTCACCAATTCTTTATTGTTGCTGAGCCAGATAGAGACCAATCCCCTCTTCCTCCTATCGTTGAGAGTTAACAAAGCCAATATTTTAATATGTCTTAAATACCAACACTCCTGCTATTTTTCTCTTCACACCTCTTAAGAAGAACTGAAGAACGCCACATCAGCTGGAGTTGAGATAACTATTTTTCCACCAGATAACTTTTTAAGAAAATGAAATTGGAGTGTAAAATGCGCTAAAAAATGTCCGCCTTTCAGTAATAATTATATAATAATCTAAAAAAGAAGCGATCATATAAATGATATGCTACCACTGCATAAGAGTTATTCTGTATTTATAGTTTGCTCTATGAGATTAAAAAATGCATTCTTAATATATATTTCTTGTAATTACTAGAGAAGGTTTAAGTCTCAATGATTTGAATGGTAAAGAAAATATTACAATCATATATCATTAGTATCAACCACCTCAATATAAAACGGAAGCAGATAAATTCAACCCCAGGATAGTACTGACTAGCTAGCTTTCCTGAAATTTAAGTTTGGGAGAAACTCTCTTTTTCTATTCTTCTTAGGATTATGGAAATAGTTAAAACAAAGGATCATTACTAGTAGTGGAAAATCATTCTTCATATTATCTAATAATTAATATAATCTTTGGTAGAAAGTGTAAATAAAGAGCTCAAATGTTAGGAAGCAGAACAAGCTGCCCTGCAACTCTGGAGGAACCAAGAAAATTGTGAGACAAGTTCTGCATTGATATGTGATATGAGGCTGGAGGTTTTGTCCTGGGGTAAGAAGCAGGCTATGGAAGGTAAGAGAGGTGAGGAGTTGGAGTTTTGTTTGCTTCCCCTGGACCATGCTCTGCAGCAAAAAGTTACATCCAGTATTAGTAATAACTCAACTTTCCACCACTGGTATACTCGTGTAAAATCAAGGCTGTAGGAAAACTCTGTGAAAATGAAAAGCTGAGAAAAATCATGGGGCTAAGTAGATTAGGGTATTTTATTCTCCTCCATCTCTAAATTTTTAGGGCCTGTAAATTTTAATTTAAGGAGCATCTGCTCCTAAACTGTGTGTCCTTTAAGAA
Organism: Homo sapiens; assembly: GCF_000001405.40. Taxonomy (NCBI): domain Eukaryota; kingdom Metazoa; phylum Chordata; class Mammalia; order Primates; family Hominidae; genus Homo; species Homo sapiens. The sequence goes on along the minus strand of NC_000001.11, from coordinate 105,145,747 downwards.
CAGAGATCTGATCTGAGGAGTTATTTTGCAGTATTTGAAGTGATAAACTATTCTGATGCTAGTGTTCTAGGTTCTATATTCTAAGGTTCATATATAGTTCTTTGACTCTTGAGTTTATCAACCCGGGCTGTAGTCTGACCTACCTAAGACCAACAGATCCCATCAGGATAATCCTTGCTTTCCCTTCGAATACTTGAAAGGCTGCTTTGGGCAACATAGTGAAGTTTCTTAGAAGGTCTGTTGTTGGATAGAGAGATGTGTCAGTGGTAATTTTCTGACAATCATTCTCTAAGGAACTGCTTATGCCTTTCTGACATTTCATGGAGGGTTACATATTCTCATCTGGCATTTCACCTTTGCGCCAATGCCCTTTTTTCACCTGAAAATAGTGGAAGGCCTGAGAATAAGAAACATAATTTTAATTTTGAAACTACCTAGTACTGGTTCCTTTCAATTTTTTGACAACTTTACTTAAAAATTGAATAATTAAATTTTCAGTCTATTTCTTCTCCCTTTCATTTTATTATAGGTAGTGGATAAAATCCAGGTGGTACATTGATGGTTCTATTTTGAAATATCTTTAAATAAATTACCCATTTCTTAGGTACGTTTTTTTTTAATTTTTCAGGTTAACAAAGCTGACACTTTTAATTCCTAACGTACATAATGAAAATCCCACTTCCTCTAGTTTCTCACATGTTCCTCCTGTTCCTCTAAGCCTCCACTGATATTTTCTTCAACAACATTAGGCTACAGAAACTGACTCCTTGAAGCGTTTTAGGCTCTGATCAACACTCTCTAAACATCCTTCAAGCTTCATCTAACCAGCTGGTCCTTAAGACACTTGCACATGTTTTAAATATTTTCTACAACAAAACGCTTCCAGTCACCATGAAAACAACCCCAAAATTTAGAGCCTTAAAAATATTTTTTCTCTTAAATATGCAACTTTGGAAGAGATTAGCAAGAAGTATTTCACCTTTATTCAACATCAGGAAAGATATTAAAGTATATGATTATAATTGTAGATTTGCTTATTTCTCCTTCTAGTTTTGTCAATTTTGCTTCATGTATGGTAAGCTCTCTTCATATGTAACAGCATTTAGTATTGTTACATCCTATAGATGAATTTATCCCCTTTATCTTTAGAAAATGACTAAATAAATTCCTTTATCTCTAATAAATGCCTCTTATAAACTCTGCTTTAATATGTATACACCCACTCCAATTTTTACCTTAGAACTTTTTGTATCTTTATGTTTTATCTTACTTTTTTCTTCAATCCAATTTTAATTGAGGTGTTTAGACTTTTATAATTTTATGTGATTATCAATATGGTTAGGTTTAAGGCTACTATCTGCTGTCATCTGTTTGTTCTTTCCCTTTTTCTTTTTTTCTGCCTTCTTTGGAATTAATTTTTAATATATTTTCTGATTCTATTTAGTTTGTTTTCTTGGCATATTAGTTATAATTATTTGTTTCTTTATTTTAGTGGTTGCTATAGAGATTATAGTACACATTTTTAACTTATCAGTCTACATCTAAATAATATGATACCACTTCATGTTTTCACCTCATTGTTCTTTTTACTATTTTGTCGTTGTTACAGATTTTATACATCCATATGTTATAAATGCTACAGTATATTGTTTTTATTTAATTTTTAATTATTTTTTTAAAGAGTCAATTATGTCAAAGAGATTTAAATAGTGCGAAAACAATCTTTTATATTTATCAATGTAGTTACTATTTCTGGTGCTCTTTTTTCTTTTGTGTAGAACTATTTGCATCTGGTGATATTTTTCATCTTTCTGCAGAATTGTATATACATTTCTGGTCGTGTGAGACTACAGCTAATATAGTCTTTAACCTTTCATATGTCTGAAAATGTTTTTTAAAAATTATTTATTTATGAAATATATTTTCAATGAGTATGAAGTTCTAAATAAACAGGTTTGTTTTTTTCTCTCTCTCTTTTTTTATTTTATTTTATTTTTTTGAGATAGAGTCTTGCTCTGTCACCAGGCTGGAGTGCAGTGGCGTGATCTCTGCTCACTGCAATCTCTGCCTCCTGGGTTCAAGTGATTCTCCTGCTTCAGCCTCCCGAGCAGCTGAGACTACAAGCATGCACCACCATGCCCAGCTAATTTTTGTATTTTTGGTAGAGAAGGGTTTTCACCATGTTGGCCAGGATGGTTTCGATCTCTTGACCTGGTGATCTGCCTGCCTCGGCCTCCCAAAGTGCTGAGATTACAGGCGTGAGCCACCATGCCTGGCTTCTTTCAATGTTTTTAAAAATAGCTCTCCACTGTCTTATTTACAAAATTTTGATAAAAAAAAATATGTTGTCATTCTTATATGTATTTTCAGTATGTAATATATATTTTGCTCTGGTTACTTTTAAGATTTTCTACTGAGCACTGAATTTGAAAGATTTGACTTGGTGTCCTTTTCTTTGTTTCTTGGGCTTAGGGATCATTGAGCTTCTTAGACTCATGGGTTTGTCATTTTTATCAAATTAAATTTTTTTTCTGTTATATCTGCAAATATCAAACCTTTTCCCAGCTGAAGGACTCAGATAACTTATTAGTCCACTTGGAGTTGTTCTACAGCTCACTGATGCTTTTATTTAAATTATTTGAAAATTCCTGTTTATCATTTTAGATAACTTTTATTGATGTGTTTTTAAATGCACTAATTTTTTTATTCTGCTGTGTTCAAGCTGCCCTTAAACCAATCAAGTTCATGTTTAATGTAATATCATGTAGTTTTATGTTCAAAAGTTTTATTTGGGAGCCCTTTTTATATTTTATTTTTCTTTACTTAACATGTTCAACATTTTATCTAACTTTTCACACACATGAATACAGTTAGAGTATTTTAAAGTGTTTGAGTACTAATTCAATCATCTGTGTTATTTCTGAAACAGTTTCTATCAGTGGTTTTAATCCTCATTATGGCTCAAAATTTCATGCTTTTTTGCAAAGCCAGGAATTTTTTATTGAATTTTACCTTGCTGAATGATAGGCATTTTAAAGTTGTATAAATATTATTGAACAATTGTTCACTATTGTTATAAATTTCGTTGGATGCAATTAACTTACATGGAAACAATTTGATCCTTTCAGGTTCTCATTTTTTTAAAAAAATAGGTAGAACTTTTTACTATGGATGTAAAACCTTTATGAGTACTCTACTTATATCTACTCTCCTCCATGAATTATGAGGTTTTACAGTTTGCCTGGTAGAACAGGCATCATCCCCAACCATATGTGAGTGCTGAACTCTGTTCTCCCTAATCCTCTCACTTGGTTCCTCCACTGGATGTGAGTAGTTTCCTCACACATATGCACAGATCGTTACTCAAGTGAATGCTTGAAGGGAATTCTCAACAGATATTAACATTTTCTGTATGGCTCTCTTCAGTGGAGCTCTGTCTTGAAAATAATATCTGTCTGGCTTTCTCCAGTCTCTCAGCTCCATCTCTCCAACTAAGAAAGTTCATGGAGCTTTTCCTGTGCCATTTCCTGGAAATTAAAGTCAGTGACCTGAGGCAAGAGTAGGCCTCATGTCATGTTTCTCTTGTCTCTCAGGAATTAATGTCACTCGTTGTCTGATGTTCACTGTTTTGCAAACCATTGCTTTATGTATTTCATTTACTTTTTATTGTTTTACTTGTTGTTTCAGGAGGCAGAGTAAATCTAGTTCTTTTTATTTCATCTTGTTTGATAGCTGAAGGCCTGTTTTCTTTCTAAAATATAACCCTAAAAATCCAGAAATGCAAACAACTTTTCTTAGACTTTCCATAAACCTTACTTATTCCACTAAATTCTAAATCTCTGTATTCACCAGAAATTATTGGATTTTTCTTTTTCTTTTTTTTTTTTTGAGATGGAGTTTTGCTCTTGTTGCCCAGGCTGGAGTGCAGTGGTGTGATCTTGGCTCACTGCAAGCTCTGCCTCCCAGATTCAGGCCATTCTCCTGCTTCAGCCTCCAGAGTAGCTGGGACTACAGGTCCCCTTCACCACGCCCGGCTAATTCTTTGTATTTTTAGTAGAGACGGGGTTTCACCATGTTAGCCAGGATGGTCTCAATCTCCTGACCTCGTGATCCACCTGCTTCAGCCTCCCAAAGTGTCGGGATTACAGGCATGAGCCACTATGCCCGGCCAATTCTTAAATTTTTTAATGGTCACTTTCATTACTTTTTCACTTTCATAGCATCCATGGCCATCACTCTACTGAAATAATGATTTCCAAGTTTATCATAGAGTCTCGTTATAGAGCTTACTTTTTGTGAGTTCTTCCCAATAACTGAAACAATTAATCACTTTTTAAAACAACTATATAATCATTTTAGCTTCCCTGCTTAAGACCATTCAGCGTGTCCCCACTGCTATAGGTAAATGCCTAAACCACTATTTCTGGCCTACAGAGCTCTAAATTGCATGGACATTACACGTCTTCACCATGTCTCATCACTGACCTCCCTTTTCAATCTATATTTACTAAATTTAGTGATTTCTAAGACCATACTTTGTCTTCCCTTCATTCCTGTGTACTTATTTTTGATATACCTGAAATACTCTTCACTGTCTCATCCTGTTATCCTTTTTGTTTGTTTGTTTTTAAGACAGAGTCTCACTCTGTCACCCAAGCTGGAGTGCATTGGCACAATCTTGGCTCATTGTAACCTCCACTTCCCGGGTTCAAGCAATTCTCCTGCCTCAGCCTCCCAAGTAGCTGGGATTACAGGTGCCTACAACCATGCTCAGATAATTTTTGTATTTTTAGTAGAGATGGGGTTTCACTGTGTTGGTCAGGCTGGTCTTGAATTCCTGACCTCAAGTGATCTGTACACCTTGTCCTCCTAAAGTTCCGGGATTACAGGCATGAGGAACCTCTCCTGGCCTTCATCTGGTTATCTTTTATCTTGCAAATATTCTTTCGTGTTTCATGTTGCAGTCATCTCCTCAAGGCAATCCTCACTGATGTCCTCCAAACCAGTAAAATGCTTTTTCTATCTGCTCATGTAAAAACTTGGCTCCACATATAATGATACTCATAATTTGACTAATTGCCTTTTATTTTCCCTGCCTGTTTCCTTCAGGCAAGGTAGACTACACTTATTTTATATGCTGTTATAAATATAGCTCATGGTACAGTGCCTGCTACATAGAAGTCCCTGAATTAATTTTTTTATTAAAAATAATTCTGTAACACCTTGTATATATCAAACATTGTTCTAAGCACTTACGTCACTTTCATGACTAGGATTGCTAACCTTATGGAATTTATGTTCTAATGGGCTTCACAGAAAATGAATGATAAGCATAATAAATATTATTTTACTATGCAATAATGTGATAAATGCTACAATGGAAACAAAATCAAACAAACCAAAATTAGAGCAGAAGCATGTCAGGGAAAGGAAATAGGTGGCAGAGGGACGGATTTCATGTAGTCTTCCTTGAAGTGGTGAAAATTCGGCACATCTTTGAAGGTGAGGTATTCATCTAGGTATATCTAAGGGGAAAGTGTTCCAAGAAGAAAATACAAGAAGAAAACAAATTCTTGAAGTAAGAGTGTGCCTAATATGTTTGAGAAATAGTAAGGAGTTCATAGTGGTTGAAGTAGAAAGAGCAAGGGAGAAAATCAGAAAGGTAGCAGTGCACCTCATGTAAAGATTTCAACTTTTACTCTGAGTAAAACAGAAAAACATTGCAGAATTTTCACCTGATAAGGAACATAATTTTACCTATGTGTTAAAAAATTACTCTGACATTTATATTGAAAATAAATTTCATAGGTGCAAAAGGAAAATGCAAGTTTCCATCTTAGAAGATGTGTTAGCATCTTATTGCTGCTGTAACAAATTAACCCAAATTTAGTAGTTTAAAACAACACAAATATATTCTTGTACAGTTCTGGGTTGTAACTTAAAAGTACATTTTACGTATGCTTTCTGGGATCTCTAGAAGAAAATCTGTTCAATTCTTTTTAGAGCGTCTACAAGACTCCTGGTATTTCTTGGCCTGTGGACCCCTTCCAAGCTATGACATCACTCTGATTTCTGCATCCATCATAATATCTCCTTCAGAAGGAATAACGCAGGGGTAGTTAGATAACAACAATGAGGGGTAATTAGGTATATAACCTAATTACATGAAATTCAAAATTGAAGAATTTACTAATAATAAAAGGAGGAAACTTAAAAAGTAGACCTAAGGATTAAAGAAAGATGCCTACCAATTCTTCAGGTCTATTGGAATAAATGATATGGGAGAAAAAATCACCAATATTTTAGAGGGCTTTTGGGAACACATTTTCATTATGGGAGAGCAAGACAGAAAAGGCTAAGTTTCTATTAGAACTAGAAAGTTAGGACAAAGTTTAGAAACGAATTTAATGATGTAGGGATTTGGCAAACTGTGAATTTTAGAGGGCATAGGAACAAGATTGAAGTTTGAGTGTGAGGTGAATACAATGGGCAAGATTGAGGGTGTGCAAAGCTTCATAGGGGTTGGATTAGAGCGAGAGGTAAAAAACCTGTCTGGAATTGTGGGGTCGCATATATTTATAGTCAAAAATAGGAAAAAAGAGCATAATGATATTAGTTCTGGTGGATCCAAGGCAAATTTCAGTGATGAAACTCTTGGCATTGGAATTGATGATGGCAGTGGTGTCAGGTTCAAGCCCCAGCTAAGGTCCCAGGGGAGTGGGTGGACAGGGGGGCAGGAAGCTGGAAGAACACTTGAGAGACAGCAGGTAGATGGGACATGGTTTTATTCAGCTGCTCTCTCACACTGTCTGCCTTTGTCTCGGCTGCCTGCTCTGGCTCTCTAGCTGCAGCCTCTCTTAGCCGCCGGCTCTGTGGCTCCTGTCACTCTCACACTTACAGCTGCACTCACTGGCACACTTGCTAATTCCTAGCTCCCCTTTCCCCCAGTCCATCTGCAAGACAGCTGGCTCTCCCTACAGGGTCAGCAGCTTCACTCTCTGCCTCTGGGTGCGCACCTCATGTACAGTGTCAGCAGGGTAGTTATACCATTTATGGACAATGGTGGCTCAGAGCCAAGTTTAAGATTGCACAAACTGGTTATATAACAAGCAGAGTTGTGGGCCTGCGCCCAAAACTCGCAGAATCACCCTGGCCGGGATGTCTGCCTCGGCCTATTCTAGACCAAAGCATATCTATTTTCCTTACACTCCATCCCCTCGGACCCCAACTAGGGCTGGAACCTGACATTTGACAGAGTCAGCAGGATGAGGTGAGTGGGTCTTCAGCCCCTGAGGGTCCCAGGTAGGCTATGTGGCCACAGCATGGGCTGTGGTACCTAGATGCAGTGGTGCTTCTAGGATGGGCCCCAACAGAAACGTGGGAAGAAGTGGAAGGGCCTCCCATGAGTGTGAAGAAGGCAATGAAGCAGCTGGAAGCACACAGTACCAAGAAGGAGCGCAGCTTTGCCAGCAGCGTCGGATTGGAGTTTCTGACTGTACTGCAGGAAGTACATGCTCAGTCTCTGCAGGATGCTGCACAAGCAAGGGACCTCCAGGCACAAGATGTGCACCTGGGGGCCCAAATGCACAGCTTGGAGCAAGACCTGGGGGTAAGGGACCTCCAGGTACAAACAGGGCACTTAGAGGCCCAGATAAACAGCCTGGAACAGTAGTTGGAGACGGCAGTCAGTGCGACCTTGAGCCCATCCATCTGGCTGGAAACTCCCATTCTGTCTGATGCTGAGGAGGAGGAGGAGGCTTCTCCTCTGCACTCCCCATGATCTCCCAGAAGACAGAACATGAGCAGCCCATGGGGCCCCAGGAGTAGGCCGAGGGCACCCCTACCGTGGTGGAACACACTTCTTACAGTGCTTATACTCCCACTAAGTTGCAGGAGTTAGGCAAGCAGTGCTGGCGTGCGCCCAGAGGGAGAGAGTGAAACTGCTAACCCTGTGAGGGAGAGCTGTCCATCTTACAGATAAGCACTGGTGTGTTTGCGGGGGTGAGGGGGTGGCAGGCGGGCAGGGGTGGTAGCCAGGAACTAGCAAGTGCGCCAGGGAGTGCAGCTGTAAGCTTGGGAGCCGCAGGAGCTGCAGAGCAGGCTGCTAAGAGGGGCTGCAGCCAGAGGAGGCAGCAGAGACAAAGGCTGACAATGTGAGAGAGCTCCAGAATAAAGCTATGTTTCATCTACCTGCTGTCTCTCAAGTGTTCTTCCAGCTTCCTTCCCCTGTCTGCCCACTTCCCTCAGACTTCAGCTGGTGCTCGAACTTAACAATTGGGAAGGCTAAGACCACTCTACATAGTGACCTTTGACCCCACTCACACCCCCAATCTTTAACCCTCCTAAGGGTTGAATGGAAAGAGCATAAAGCTTAATTTTAAATTAGTGGATAATTGTTAAGAAAAACGTACCTTTGAAGAAAACACCCTACACAGTATTGCCCAAATCAAACTGAATATAATTTCTTATAGGGAAGTTGGATATTTTAAAGAGACCAGTGGTTTTCAGGCTGTTTGTTGAATGCTTATTACCTCCCACTTAATTTAAGAAAAGGTTTGTAGTAGTGTATCCTTGGAAACCTCCATGAATAGGTATTTCAGCAATAGCAGTTACCTTAACAAGCCACAGTGTTGCACAGATAATTCTTATAGAAAACATTTGTAGTTGATAGAGCTCAGCTCTGTTTCTAAGCAACACATTCTTCTTGATACCTAATCATGACCAATAATTTCTGCTTTTCTGATTAGTGATAAGAAGTAGCAGTACATCCCATGACCAGGCAGAAAATATAGCTTTGGAAGATGATGTCACATAGTGATGCCAAAAATACTTCTTTTTTTTCTAAATGATGCCTTGGAGGTGAGCTCTTCTGTCACCTCTTAAATAATTATTTAAAATATTACCTAAAAATATGATCACTCTCTTTTAAATGTAGTAACATAAAGAATAAGTAGAGGGAGACTATAGAAATAGAAATCACTGTGATATTGAAGTCTCCATGGAAAGTGACAAAACACTTATCACAGTTGGATTAAATCACAAAACATCTAGAAATTATAGAAGTCAACTGAGATTAAATGAATGGCCCCAAGCGGTGTTAGTCAAGGAAACGAAGAAAAAAGGATGTCTATACGTGAAACTGTCAGACTGAAAGAAAACAACATTATTATTGGTTTCCCGTTTTTGTGTGAGTATAAACAAAATGCCAAAGTCAAAGCAAACAGTCAATTACAGACTACATAGAGAACTTGAAAGGGAAACAATTTTGAAAAAGTTTATTCTAAAGAGACTCTTGAAAAGTTACCATTTACCAGCAAAAAAATTATCTTCAGGGCAAATATCAAAAGACGGGGTAGATATCATAAAAAAAGAAAACGCTTGAAAAGGTGAGATAAACTTTTTATCTATGTTATTACTCCCTTTATTATTTGTGAGAATTTTATATGCCTGATGTAGAATGGAGAATTTAAATATTAACAAGTAGAGCATTCATAAAAAAATTCTGAAAATAGAAGAAATACCCCAAAACAAAGACACAGCAAGAACAATTGAAACTATACAATACATTTTAAAATTAAGCTTTATGCTCTTTCCATTCAATATAATGATACGTTACTATAAATTTAGAAAAAAATTAACTAAATTAATACTATGTTATAAATATATAATACTATTGATTTATGAGATTAGAGAGTTTGACATCATACAATGAGAATTCTAATGTTCACCACATAACAGCTTATACATCATTTATAGATTGCTGTTAACATTATTTAATTTGTTATATACATTATATTTAAATTATTATCATATAATTTAACCAGCAAACAAATGTGTTTCGATAACTTTTTTGTCACTAGTATTATTTGAGGTACAGCAAAAGTAACTAATTCTAGGAAATTTTTAATTACTATCATAAAACACATTTGCAGCTCCAAAATAATGAATTATCTTATGTTCAAGCTTGAAAATAAGAGTACAAAATTTGAAAAATTAAAGTATAATTGTGTGCATAAAAAATAAGATAACTAGGAGATCTAAAATTTAATGGGTCTTGGAAAATAGCTTAAGCAAGCACAGGCAAGAGGACACGCAGATGTCCAGAAAAAAAAGATGTTATGTTACAATGTATGAGAGAATTTGTATAGCTCAATATATGTAGTACACATCATATGAGGAACGGAATGAATAAAGTGTAATATATTTGTATTTCAATCCTAATTACTCTTTTTCAGTCATATTACTGTGTGATTTTAAGAAAACTATTCACTATACTCATTAAATATGCATTGATCTATTTAAAATTTACGAATAATATAGTAATTAACTGGAATAAAGTTATTACATATAATAAATTGTACATATATATGTATAAGTAATATTATATTTCAGTAAAATTAATAAATGATATCTCTGTGCCTCAATCTGAGTAATTATCAGGAATATAATGCCATTAAAGTAAACAAACAAGTAGCAGAAGGATATGTTCAGAATAAACCCACAGGGTTTAAAAGCAAGAAAATAATGTAGGGACTACAAATACATAGGTAGTAAATACATAATGAAAACGAAGAAAATTATTAAAACAATTTATAATAGCGATTTCCTTTGTAGAAGGGAGAAGCAGGTAAGAGGATCAAGAGAGACAAAAAATATCTAAATTTTATTGTAATACTTCATTTCTTGAGCTGGATATTGGGTACGTATTAATTTAATTGTAATTATGTATCTTCTGCACAAGCTCTGTGAATATCCTTTTATGCATTCATATTTATTTAAAGAAATTTAAAATTAAGTCAAAGATTTCACAAAGTCTGACAGCATAATAAAATGATCAGGTAAAGAATTCACCAAATGATTATATAAAAGTACTCAGTATAAAAATAGAGATGTAATATTTTTCAAGGATTGGGGGCAGAGCTGGAGGATAAGCTTTAATTTAAGTAGATAGAATTTACATTTTTAGAAGATTTTGTAACAGTGGGTATATACCTTCTACCAAGCATTACTGTCTTGTAAATGATAGGTTTGGATAGCATTATATTATGCCACTTAAATAAACCTGTAGCTTTAAGGAAACTAGAACTCACAGAGACTTCTATAGATCATTTGTTCTAGAAATATTTAAAACCTGACATTAAGAGTGCTACTATGCCTAATGGTACTTACACAGATGTTAGTTCTAGTTTAGACACTATAAATAAAAACTTCCCCAGTCAGTCTCTCCTAAGTTTTAAAATTTTCTATTCAATAAGGTTATCACATTAGATTTAATCAAATGATCTCTCTAACTTAAACAGTAAGTGTATTTATGCCCTCCCAGGGTAGAACCTGTGTCTTTTGTGACTACCTTAATTTTTAATTACTCTGCTGGTACTACACTTGTACAGAATGCTATTAGGTCTTTATCTGAATCATTCATCGATAAAATGCAGTGTTAAATACTGATTGATGCATGTTCTAAAAACCTCTTGACTAATGAGGCTAGTAACTCAGAAAATTATATAGCTGAGGGAAAACAATAGCTATTCTGTGTAATACAAGGACTTAAAATGTTTTTGATGATTTATTGCCCTGCTATATTCATAATATTCATCTTAAAGTTATTGTCTCAAACCACTATATATGCATCTATAATTCAGTATTCAGAAAATGTGCTGGCTAAGTTTAATAATTTTCACAAGAATGCTGGAAATATAAATATCTTTATTTTGTGTAGTTTCTGTGGTTTAGACTTGAAAATATATTGTCTATATTTTGTGTTCATAGCTTCTTTCCTGGAAAAAAAGCAAATGAACATGTAAATGAAATTAATTATACAACATAAAAAATTATACTTTCATTATTCTAAAAGAAAACAACATAATTGCAGACTTGAATCATATACATCCACAATTACACATCAAGAAATCACACTGAAACCTATAGGTAATATGGTAAAAAAAAAAAAACTATTACCTAGGTTCTATTTGTCTATAATTTCTTTAATAGTAGGTGAATATTAGATCAAATAAGTGTTATTTTAAGTTCATTATTACTTTTCTATAAGCTCCAGTTTGTTTTTTGAATTGTTTCTATTAATTTCAAAATAAAATGTTTCAGTAGTCCAAATGAGTTTATATTAGCAGGAATAAACATTTAATTTAATTACAAAATATTGCCATTCTTCCAAATACTTTCAAGTGGTTTCTTATGATAATAATTCTCTCATTTCCCACATTTTGCTTAATACTTTGAGTAGTTGTCTTCTAGGAAAGAAACAATGAGAACTAGAAATATTAAAATAAAAGGTTAATGAAATTGATTCACCCAAATATATATATATATATAATTTGATTTATTAACATATATACATATACATAGTTAATTTATTTTCAACAAAAAACATTCAATAGGGAAAGACTACTCTCTTCAGCAAACAGTGCTGGACCAAATGCATATCCAATTAAAGGAATGATGTTGCACCCATACCTCACAATATAAACACAAAATAATTCAAAGTGGATATATCTACACGTAAAAGTTAAAGCTATAAATTGTTAAAAGAAAACACAAAAGTAAATCTTCATTTCCTTAGGTTCAAAAATGGTTTCTTAGATATGACACCAAAAGCACAACAACTACAACAAATAAATGGAACTATATTAAAATGTTAAAATTGTGCGCTTCAAAAGGTGCCGTCCAAAAAAGTGAAAATATCCAAAATCCCACAGTGTGAAAGAAATTATTGGAAAATTGTATATTTTGTAACACATTTGAATAGAGTATCTATAATATTATAAATATACACTGATATATAATATATAGGGGTGTGTGTGTGTTTGTAATTTCTTAGCCCACGACATCTTGGGCTACTATTTATACTATTTGCATGAGTCTGGTGAGACAAAACACTCATGCTACAAGTTAAGCAAAACAAATTTATTACTCATAGATAGGCAGCAAGGGACAGTAAAAGCTTAAGATTTATGTTGAGCCAATCCCCCAACACTGAGGAAAGCTGCCCGAGACAGGTAACATCTTGTCTTTATGTGCCCCACTTGCATCATAGCTGAGGGACCACAAAAAGCAGCCAGTTCTGGTTTGTAAAAGGTTCGTGCAAAAGTAATTGCAGTTTTTGCATTGTTGAAATTTGCCGTTTGATGTTGGAATACATTTTTAAATAAATGTGGTTATGTTATACATCATTTTAACGTACATTTCTTGCTTTATGGGTTTTTTTTTTTTTTGCTAATGACGTTACTAGCTGTTTATTTTTTTTTTATTTTAGACTATGGAAATGATGTTAGACAAAAAGCAAATACGAGCAATTTTCTTATTCAAGTTCAAAATGAGTCAAAGCAGCGGAAACAACTCAAAACATCAACAACGCATTTGGTCCAGAAACTTATAATGAATGTATAGTGCAGCTGTGGGTCAAGAAGTTTTGCAAAGGAGACGAGAATCCTGAAGATGAGAAGCACAGTGGCCAGTCATCACAAGTTGACAATGACCAATTGAGAGCAATCATCTAAGCTGATTCTCTTGCTACTACAGGAGAAGTTACTGAAAACTCAACGTCGACCATTCTACGGTTGTTCGGCCTTTGAAGCAAATTGGAAAGGGGAAAAAGCTCGATAACTAGGTACCTCATGAACTGAGTGAAAATCAAAAGAAACATCGTTTTGAAGTGTCATCTTTTCTTATTCTATGCAATAACAACAAACCATTTCTCGATTGGACCGTGACTTGTGACAAAAGGTAGGTTTTATACGACAACTGGTGATGACCAGCTCAGTGGTTGGACTGAGAAGAAGCTACAAAGCACTTTCTAAAGCACTTTCTAAAGCCAAACGTGCACCATAAAAAGGTCATGATCATTGTTTGGTGGTCTGCTGCTGGTCTGATCCACTACAGCTTTCTGAATCCCAGAGAAACATTTATGTCTGAGAAGTATGCTCAGCAAATCAACAAGATGCACTGAAAACTGCATCGCAGGCGGTCGGCATTGGTCAACAGAAAGGGCCCAAATCTTCTCCATGACAATGGCCAATCAGACATAGCACAACCAAGGCTTCAAAAGTTGAATGAATTGGGCTACAAAGTTTTGCCTTATCTGCCATATTCACCTGACCTCTTGCCAACTGACTACCACCTTCTCAAGCATCGCAATAACTTTTTGCAGGGAAAACGCTCTTGTTCACATTTTTATCTCTTTACCAGTATATGATGCACCTGGATAATTTATTGAAACATAATTTCTAGTTCCCTTTCATACTTTCTGTCTTTGCTGTTATTGCTGCTAATTAAAGTATAATGTACATCAGGAAAAGTTTTCAAAAAGATACAAAGTATACAGCTCTATGAATTATTACAGAATGAGTAAAAAGATTCAACTAACATCTAGGTTTAAAAAATATAACTTCACCATTAATCAGAAGTCCCTGCCCTACCCTTACCCATATATCTCATCCCCTTCTTCCACATCTTTAATTACTATACTGAGTTTTTGCACCATAAAATGGTATTAACAGTTATAAAATTTATTAAAAATCAAATTTAAAAAATTGTCAAATTTCATTATTTAAAATACTTATGAAATTTATCCACATTTTAGTTTGTATATGTGCTTTACTTTTTTGTTGCCATATAGTATTTCCTTATATGAATAAATTATCATTTATCTATCCCTTTTACTGTTGATGGGATTTGTTTCTAGGATTTCTGTATAATAGATGATGTTGCAATGAACATTGTTATACTCACCCTTTGGTGCACACATGGAGATACTTTGGGGGGCATAAATCTAGGACTGAAATTGCCAAGGTCGGTAGTGACATTTTTCTGAAGTCATTGTCCAGTTTACACTCTTTCTAACAGTTCCTGAGAATTCCTTTGCTTTTATATACTTGAGAACACTTGTCTAACCAGTCAGTCTTTTTAGTGTTTTTTCTTTCGCCTCATATATAGTTGTGTCTCATGAGTTTTAATTTACATTTCCTTGATTATAACACTAAGGCCCATTTTATGTATCTATTAATTATTTGGATATCCTCTTTGGCAAAACATCTTTTTAGTTCTTTTGCCAATATTTTTGTTGCATGTGTGTACATTTTTTAGTATTATTTTTATTGAAGTCTATTGTCCTTTATACATGTTGCAAATATCCTTTTATTATTCTCATGCTCTTATTGATTCCATTTCAGAAGCGTAAGTTCTTAATTTTACTTTTAGGGGCCTTGTTGGTTTTATGTTCCATGCTTATATATACAGTCAACCTGGAATATTTACAAATAGGGGTATGCAATTTATCGTTAATCATTTTTCAAAGAGATCATCTTTCTTCATTGGTTTTAGTGACATCTTTCACTTAGATCAAGTAAATTAAATATGTGTGGGTCTCTTTTTAAATATTCTATTTCATTCACTTCATACTTTCCAACCTTACATAATACTGAGCTAAGCTCAGTATTATATTATCTTAAAGACTGTATATTTGTAGTCTTCAAACCTTACAGAGTAACTTCAACTTAATTTACTTTTCAAAAGTGTTAGGACTATCATTGGATTTTTGCAATTCTTTTTACATTTTAGAATCAATTTGTTAATTTATCTGTTATATATTTTCTTTTGTTTTCCCTGAATCAATTAACTAATTTGGGGAAAAATAACATGACACTTTAAATATTTTGTTTTTAAATCCAAGTATATGGTATATCCTTCCATTGATATTTCTTCTCCAATACTATTCAATAATATTGTTTTCCATATAGCAGTCTTAAGTATTTGTATAACATTTATTCCTACTTAATGATTTTAATATTATTCTAAAGGATATGTACATAGTTCAATTTCTAAAATATTGATTGCTGCTTTAATTTAGTTTTGTTTAAGCACACGAACACACACATATGTAATTTCCAGATATTTTATTTTTCCAAAACTATTTGACAGTTTTTGTCTCCTTTTTTAAAATTTCCTTTTCATTTTTTTGCATCTGATAATTTCAAGATCTAAATTTTTTGTTTGATGTGTCTGTCTATTGTTCTACTGACTGTCATAAACAGTGCATTATTTAGATGTGATTTTTTTTTTTTATTTTGGATTGTTAGCTTATTTTTAACAGAAATATTATCTGGGAGACTTCAAAGGCTAGGTTGAACTGGAGTTTTCCCAGAAAGTATTTGCTTTTGCTTCATATCAAACATCTCGGAGCACTAAAATTAATTTGAAACAAATTTTGCAACTTGTAGTTTCAGGAGCATTCAGTCAATTATACAATAACTTTGTTAAATTTTTAACATGGTAAGTTGCTTCCTTCCTTCTTTCCTTTCTTCCTTTTTTCCTTTTCTTTTCTCTTTCTTTTTTTGACGGAGTTTCGCTCTTGTTGCCCTGACTGGAGTGCAATGGCATGATCTTGGCTCACTGCAACCTCTGCCTCCCAGGTACAAGCAATTCTCCGGTCTCAGCCTCCCAAGTAGCTCAGATTACAGGCATGTACCACCACGCCTGGCTAATTTTTTTCTATTTAGTAGAGACTGGGTTTCACCATGTTAATCAGGCTGATCGTATGGTAAACAGCTTTATATTTTTCTTAAGTTTTTAATAATGTACTATTTCTTAAAATGTGCATAAATCTGTACCACCTCTGCATTAATAATTATCATTGTTGATTTATTCCATTAATTAGATCGAACTAGATCAAAGATAGTTAACTGGCATGGCTTTTCCCTGTACATGAACATGAAGACAATGAGTACATACTTTTTAAGTTCTAGATGACGATTTGCTAATATAAGAGATAAAACATTTTATTTACGATTGTAATCTTACATTTCTTTAATTAATATATAAGTATTTATTATATATTAAATTACTTTCCCATATATTAATTTTCTCACTGTATTTCCCCTTTGATGAATTGTGTATTTATTTTGACATTACATCTATTGTGCCCTTTTAATAGTGTTTTTTGTAAATCAAGATGCTTTTAAAAAGTAGCTTTTTCTGCAGGTTGTTTTTAACAAATGCCCCATGTTACATTACAATTTCATGCTTTCCCTTGAAAAGCCTAAACCGATTTTCATTAACAATTACTTTCTCATCTTTTGATACTTTATTTCACTGTTAATCCCTAAAGCATTACATGTCAAGCTTTAACAATTTAGCAATCACATGTATTTTGCTTTTCAAACTTGTGACCATTTAAGGACATTTTACAGATAAAAAGATGTTTGGTTTTGCATCAAAAAATAAAAAAACTGATCTTCTGAGTCCAAAAACATCTCTCTGTGAATTTTAACTCTACCACTTACCATCTTCATAGATTATAAATTGTTCTATCTTTAAATTTTATTATTAATAATAATAATAATGCCTCCAGATGCGGTGGCTCATGACTGTAATCCCAGCACTTTGGAAGGCTGAGGCGGGTGGATCACGAGGTCGGGAAATCAAGACCATCCTGGCTAACATGGTGAAAATCCATCTCTACTAAAAATACAAAAAATTAGCTGGGCGTGGTGGCGGGCGCCTGTAGTCCCAGCTACTCGGGAGGCTGAGGCAGGAGAATGGCCTGAACACGGGAGGTGGAGCTTGCAGTGAGCCGAGATCACGCCACTGCACTCCAGCCTGGGCCACACAGTGAGACTCCGTCTCAAAGAAAAAAAAAAATGCTGGCTAATAATATTGTGTTCCTTCATTTGTTCAGCAAATACTTATCATGCATAGACATGAACAAAACATACAAATAGCTTGTTATTATAAAATTTATATTTTTAGTAGTACTAGAAAGATAATGACAGATTAATATGTAATATATCGCATAATAGTAGTGTTACAAAGAAAAATAATGCAAAAAAAGAAAAAGATATGGGAAGAAATGGAAGTTACCATTTTGGTTGGAATGTCAGAGAAAACTTTTCTGAGGAGTTGGTGCTTGAGCAGATCTCTAAAGAAGTGGGCAGTGATACCAAAGAGGTATCATTAGAAGATTTGTCTAGTGGAGGGAACAGGAAAGCAGCAAGTATAAATTCCCTGATGTGGAAGTGTGGTTATCCTGTTTGAGGGAATGCAAGACAACTAGCATGACTGGAGTCAACAAGGATAGCATGGTAAGAGCTTCCAAAGGGCAGCTGCAGGTTTAAGGAGAGGTAACAGATACTTAGCTTGAGAACAGTCCTCTTGAAAATTGTAAAAAAAAAAAAAAAAAAAAAAAAAAACAAAAAACAAATACAAATTATAAAAGAAAGTGAATATTTTGTTATATATATATATATATAGTTTAGATGGAGTCTTGCTCTGTTGCCCAGGCTGGAGTGCAGTGGTGCTGTCTTGGCTCACTGTAACCCTCACCTCCCGGGTTCACGCAATTCTCTGTATCAGCCCACCCAATGGCTGGGATTACAGGCGCCCGCCATCACGCCCGGCTAAGTTTTGTATTTTTAGTAGAGACGGGGTTTCACCATCTTGGCCAGGCTGGTCTTCAACTCCTGACCTTGTGATCCACCCGCCTCCGCCTCCCAAAGTGCTGGGATTACAGGCGTGAGCCACCATGCCCGGCATAAAATAGAAATTTTAAAAGCTTAGGATAACACAAATATTCTTCTATATAATATACATAAAATAAAAATAGTCTTATTTTGCTCTGTGGCATCTTCAAATATTTTGGGATTTTCCATATATTTATCCAGTTTGTAACTCTATCAGATGTAATGTATTTCTTCTTGGAAATAAAAATCAAAGAATATATTCAAACTTTGGTTGTGAAAAAGAATGCTAGCAATATCTAAGTTTGACTGTTTTTATTTAAAACCATCTGTTTAGACATATCTGCTTGTTTTATTATGTTTGTTTTGGTTCTCTGTAAATATAACTGCAATAGCATTAAAAAAACTTTATATAAAATCATTGCTCATAAGAGGTCATAACAAAACAATTGTAGTTCTTAATGAATTCACATAATTAAATTGCTGATGACCTTCATCTATACTCTGTTAATGAGTCTAGTGATATTTTTGTATTAATTTTATTTTCCTTCTGCTTACAATTTTTTAGTTTGAGTGTGTCCTAATTGCTAGTTTTTTGGCCAATTATCATTTTATTAACTATAATTTATGGGCTATAAGGATGATTTTTCTTACTTTTATGAGCTTGACCCATGAGAAATTTTAGTTGCAGTATAATGCTGAAAAAGAGACTTGATATTTTATAATTCTGGGTATTTTTGTCTATGCTTTTACCTTCTGCGTAGACAATTCCTTTCTATCGCATTCACATTTTGGCATGATTATAATTGTGAAACACATAAAAATTAATATTAATATGTAATCTAGATCCTTTAAAATTTCCACCACTCTGTACTGAACTATGGAACAAAATTCTTTTTATATAATATACCCTGATCTATTGATAAATAAGTATTGAGATTTTAATATTGATAATGTTTTATGGACAATTTCACAGCATCTGTGGTAATTTAGTATGCCATACATTGGAACTACAGGATTCTGTCAAGAGAATTGGTGAGTCAAATATGCTAATGTTCAGGTCTGTATTTGGGGATTTGTGAAATGAGATTTCACATACAGTCATCTTATTATTTGAAGTATTGTACAAGACTTGTGTCCCATGAGCAAAGTATATTTTGTGAAAATTCACTAGAAACTCCCCACATATCTACGAGGCCCATATAGTTATAAATACTGCATTATCCAGTGTGTTTTGATGGATGAGACCTTCATTTTTGCTAGGCATTGATAGAATTAAATCTCCGGTGAATCATTTTATACATACAATATAATGATTTGAAAAATTTCCGTAGCTGGTCTCTGGCTTCATGCATTAAATATTTTGATTCTTTTCTACCCTCCCTGTATCTTAATTGTCAGAGACCTGAAGACTTGTTTCCATTACATAGAATCTGATGTTGCAACCTTGGGTCACTGTGCAAGGTGAGTCAATTTGGTGAGCAGCAGAATGTTATTCTCCTGCATGGTATTTTCTCTGGGGATGACCAGGAACATCTTCAGTATGAATGGAGGTATCTTTGCACACAAAGTTAAAAAAAAGTTGTCTGCTTCCTGTAACTGATTCCAAAAATGCCCATGAGCACTCCAACAGCATCATAAAAAAAAAGTGTTTGGAGGGAAAGAGAAAAATTATCTAATGCTAATAAAATGTTTACAGAAAGGTTTAGTAACTGTTCAATACATTCAATACATAGGTAATGTATGTGTGCATACACACAACTATGAACATAGACATATATATTCTGTAATATGAGTTTTAAAGTTTCTTTTATTATCTGTTTCTATGTGTCTCTGTCTCTTCTCTCCCTTGCTCTTGTTCTCTCTCTCTCTCTTTCTCCCTCCCTCCCTCTTTCCTGTTCTGTCTCTCCACATACACACACACATTAATGTATGTACGTATATGCTATGGTCTGAATGTTTGTGTCCCAGCATTTAAATGCTGAAATGCTAATGCCAAAGATAATGCTATTAGAAGGTGGGGCTTTGAAGAAGAGATTGAGTCATGAGGATAGAGCACCAATTAATGGGATTAGTGCCCTTAAAAACGAGACCCCAGAGTGCTAGCTATCTGCTTCTTCCAGGTGAGATCAGAGCTAGAAGCGGCCATCTATGAAGAACAGAGTCTCCCAGACACCAGTACCTTGGTCCAGGACTTTCTATTCCCCAGAAGTGAGAATTAAATTTCTGTTGCTTGTAAGTTCCCCGGTCTATGACAATTTATGTAGTAGTGCAAATAAACTAATATAATATATAATCTGTAATATGTATATGTGTTTATGTATATATAAATACACATGTATATATGTATGTGTGTATGTATATTATACATACACACACACACGCACTTTCTAATGAATGTTTCAAACTGCCTTTATTTCTCATAGAATGCTATATATTCATCCGATGATACTTCCATTACTCAATGTATTTTTAAAATATCACTTTAGAATGCTCTCAGAAAGGATTAAAATGTTAACTTGTACATTCATTTGTTCACTGCCTTAGCAAATATTCTTGATATAATAATACCAGGTAATTTTATTAGTGTTCATAGTAGTGTTGAATAAGCTAAATTCATTAACTCATGAAACTAGCATTCTAGTAAGAGAGTAAAATAAAAGCAATTTTAGTTAACATACATGATAAATTTTATGAAAATATTATAATAAAGCATATTTAAACATACACAGTTGAATGGAAACTTGCAAAATAAAGTATTGTGATTGTGGGATGTTTCTCTAATACAACTGAATAAAATGAAATGCAAACATTCTTTATAATCACTGGACTTCCTCTTTTAGATAGGAAACTTGCTTATCATTGCCCTCTTACCATGCTTCAGCTTAACTTCACTATTTTCTTTTTCTATGAACTTACATTTTGAATTTATAACAGTACTGTCCTAGAATTGAGAATATGATTAAAGGAGAAAGGACCTTAGAAAATCCTCCCCACAGAAAAAAGAATCTTCAGACTGACTGACGTGATGAAAGTTGATAATATACATGTAACTTGCTTAGTGCCATAAGTGTAAATTGATGTAAGTTGAATTCTGCCCATATGATATATAAACACATTTTGTGTCTTTCCACATTTGAATTTTGGGAAAAGTGAAGTTTTAATATTCTTAGATGAAATATCAAACTATATATCAAAGTCAAAATGATATTCTGGTTTATGTTGTGCTGTGTGGGAGGGAACTGAGAGCTATTTATAAACTGTGTAGGTCCCTAATCACATTGTTTCCGCACAAGTTTTAAATTAATCAAAATTTCCTCGTAGATTGAGTTTGGATAGAATTTTTTAATTAAAGTCGAAAAAAAAAGCCCCAGAAAAATAAAATATCAAAAGGAAGATCTATGGAATCTGCTAGAAATATAGTCCACAAAAACACACACACAAATGTTTAAAGCAATTAGAGCTTAATTTTGAATTGAAGGAAGCCAGTTCTTGTATAAATGACCATCTTCTCTATATTTTCATTGTATTAGTACCATGTTATAATGGCAAATGTGTTATTTCAGATGAAACCCGAGCCTAGAAATAGGCGAAGAGTGAAACATTTGGGTTTTAAAACTTATTCAGGGAAGATGGCATGCTTCAAGCTCACATAAGCTGGGACCATATAAGTGTGGAATCATTAGTAAAAGGAGGTCAGGAAACATGGCCTATTACCTCGAATAGAAGGATTGTTACAGCCAAGTCTCTGTTTAAAGAAAAACACCACATTAGATATTAAAGCTTCAAACTTAACCCTATTATAAATCTAAAGAAAAAGAAAGTCATGATCTAGGAAACGAGGGACTCCCCAATATAATAACAGGGTAGTGATATTCTTAGAGCTGAGACTGAATAAAAGCGATAATTAAAAAAAAAATTGTTTGTTGGAAACTTAATCCCCAATGCAACAGTATTGGGAGGTGGGGCCTTTTGTGAGGTAAACAGGTCATGAGTTCCCTGCCATCATAAATAAATTAATGCTGCTATAAAAAGGGGAGTGGATTCTTTGTCTCTTTTGCTCTTTGGCCATATGAGGACACAAGGTTTGTCCCCACTTGCCCTTCCACCTTCCACCATATAAAGATAATACAGCAAGAAGGCTCTCACCAAACACCAGATATTGGTGCCTTGTACTTGGAGTTTTCAGACTCCAAAACTGAAAAATAACCTTCTGTTCTTTATAAATCATCCAGTCTCAGGTAGTTTGTTATAACCACATGAAGTAAACTAAGACACATTGATAAAACAAAACATTCTTAAAATAATACATTTTAAACATTTACATTTAAATGTAATTTAAATTTCAGCTGGGTGCGGTGGCTCATGCCTGTAATCCTAGCACTTTGGGAGGCCGAGGTGGACAGATCACGGGGTCATGAGATCGAGACCATCCTGGCCAACATGGTGAAACCCCATCTCTACTAAAAATACAAAAATTAGCTGGGCAGGGTGGCGTGCACCTGTAGTTCCAGCTACTTGGGAGGCTGAGACAGAAGAATTGCTTGAACCCGGGAAGCAGAGGTTGCAGTGAGCTGAGATGGTGCCACTGCACTCCAGCCTGGTGATGGAATGAGACTCCATCTCAAAAAAAAAAAAAAAAAAGCTTAAATTTAAAACATTTCAATTAAATATGTAATCGATTTTTGAATCTCAGAGAATCTGTGGACAATTCCATAATTAGAAAAAACAATGCTCAATAAACTATTCAAAAGATTATCATCCCAGAAGCACTATGTGTATAAAATTTTTATAGAGTTATAGTTGATATATGGTGTATTAACCCATTTTCATGCTGCTGATAAAGACATACCTGAGACTGAGCAATTTGTAAAGAAAAAAGGGGTTTAGTGGACTCACAGTTCCATGTGGCTCACATGGAGGAGAACTCACAATCATGGCAGAAGGCAGAAGGCACATCTTACATGGCAGAAAGCCAGAGAAGTGAGAACTAAGCAAAAGGGGAAACCCCTTATAGAACCATCAGCTCTTCTGAGGCTTATTCACTACCACAAGAACAGTATGGGGGAAGCGCCCTCATGATTCAATTATATCCTATCAGGTCCCTCTCACAACATGTGGGAATTATGGGAGCTGCAATTGAAGATAAGATTTGGGTGGGGACACAGCCAAACCATAAAATATAGCTATTGAATAATGTTATGGTAGTTTTACAAACACACGATTAGTTCTTTTACAAACACATGATTAGTTCTTCAAAATTATTTTTGTTGGAAGACTATACATGTAAGTCAATTATGGTTTCATTGATTAAAAATAATTTTGCATTTTATATTTTCACAATAAATTTATAAAAGAGCTTAACTGCTAGTATTAATGTCTTTATTTTTCCGTTGGTAAATTTTTTTTATGTTCATTTTATTCTCACATTTATTTCTGCAAAAGAAAGACATTATGTTCGGCTATAAGTTTAATGTAAGTCATATTTTTATTCCTATTCCTAAGAGTTAGCTTGATCTTAAATAGCAGTATAATAAGAATTGCATCAAAAACAAGAGTAGTAAAATTGCCACTGTCATCTATATTGATCAAGCCCCACAATCCATTCATTCTTTTAATAAATATTTATTCAATTTCATGTGCTGTGGTAGGTTTTAGAGATCAAATTAAAAACAAAGCCACTGGAGATAGTGCATAGAAAATTACAGTAAGTCATGTTAGTCACTACATGGAGAAATGCAAGGATATGGAATAGAGTTCAGAGAACTGACCTCTCAAAAGAGGTGTGAACAATTTTCTTGGAGGAATGACTGTGTATAATTTAATAATAAGTAGAGAATAGACAGATGAAGGAAAAAAAGATAAGTAGATTATCCCAAGTAAAGGAAACATCATGTTTAATGTCTTAAAGATGAGGGAACTTAGCACTCAAAGCCCCATGGAGTATACCTGCAATACAGAAATGGAGGCTGTTTGGAAGATAAAAATGCTAGAATTTCTACTTAGGAATAATAGTAATGAATTTAGACCTACTTCTAAGAGTTATGTGAGGCCATATATGTGATGTTGTGTTCCTATCAGGCTCTCACATTCTTAAAGTATTAAGTATACAACTATAGGTTTGTTTCCTTTCTTTTTTTTAGGGTTTTTTTTTTTTTTTTTTTTTTGAGATGGGGTCTCACTCAGTGGCCCAGGCTGCGGTGCAGTGATGTGATCTCGGCTCACTGGAAGCTCCGCCTCCCGGGTTCACACCATTCTCCTGCCTCAGCCTCCCAAGTAGCTGGGACCACAGGCAGCCGCCACCACGCCTGACTAATTTTTTTTTTTTTTGTATATTTAGTAGAGAAGGGGCTTCACCGTGTTAGCCAGGATGGTCTCGATGTCCTGACCTCGTGATCCACCTGCCTCAGCTTCCCAAAGTGCTTGGATTGCAGGCTTGAGCCACTGCACCCGGCCTAGGTTTGTTTTCTTAACACTCTCCTCTCTTCTCTGGAGAACTAACAGCTATTACCATCTTGCTAGTTATCTACGGAGCTGATATTTTTTACATTATGTCACTACCTAAAACAATAGAATTCTTCCAGGGGCAGTCTGCTGACTCCAACCGGGCAAATTATAGGACCTCCCTCCCATGCACAGTCACTGTATATTGACCAGTAAGTAAGTTATCACTCACCCAAAGATACTGAAGCAAATCTCCGCTGCAAGTGACATTGAAGGGAGATTAAACTGGTGTCTTTAAGTTCTTTGCAAACATATAGGAGAAGCTATTGTGTAGTAAAAAAGAATGAAATTTTCATACACATAATGGCAGAAACCACAATTACTTTTGCACCAACTTAATAGTTGTCCCAGAGACATGACTGCATCTCTGCTCTTTCATTATTTTGCTTTCTTTATCCATTATTGTTTTCCTTAGTCACATAGTTTCTGAATTTGTAAAAGCTGGCTTGGGCCTTAAGGGGTGAAGCAGAGTTAGTAGGGCAGTATTAAAATAACTGAAGCCCAGTTATTGTTGGCTATGGGCAGGTCTGCTGCTAGAAAATCTTGACCAAGGCTTATGAGCCTGGAAGAAACAAGACAGTGAATGATGCAAACCTAGCACAGAAAAATGTTCCTACATGATAAGAGAATCAAATCTTTAAGGTTGGTATACTTCCAGGCTACCCCACCGCTTCCCTCCAGAGGTATAAAACCTTACAGAAGATTAAGTGGCTGTGGTTCTGGACTCTGCTATTTCCCTTACTTTGCACAGGCTACCAGGTTTTGGGCGCAGCTCCATGAAAAACAAATGTAATCACTGAATAGCAAAATATGGTCTTTGTACTCTTCAACTAGTATTTCTCCTACATTGTGCCCTTGCTGTTTCAATAGTAATCTCACATAAAAGTATTCTCGGCCAGGCGTAGTGGCTCACGCCTGTAATCCCAGCACTTTGGAAGGCCGAGGCGGGCGGATCAGGAGGTCAGGAGTTTGAGATAAGCCTGACCAACATGGTGATACCCTGTCTCTACTGAAAAAACAAAAATTAGCCGGGTGTGGTGGCACACACCTGTAATCCCAGCTACTCAGGAGGCTGAGGCAGAAGAATTTCTTGAACACGGGAGGTGAAGGTTGCAGTGAGCTGAGATGATGCCACTGCACTCCAGCCTAGGAGACAGAGTGAGACTCTGTCTCAAAAAAAAAAAAAAAATTATCTCAAAAGTTCTTTAGGTGTAGAAATATTTATATACAAACTAACTCCATTGTCCTAAAGAGAAAAGTACAGATTTGAAATTGTTCTGCATATGCAGACAGAACTAGTATCAATATTTAGATATTTTAGTTAAATGATACAATATAAGGAGCTCTTTATGCTAATTAAATGTCTGAGTTACAGAGAGGTGATTGATAAGGCTAAAATATATCATCCTTGTATGTTTATTTAATCAACTTATTTCTTATTTCAATAGGTTTTTGCAGAGCAGGTGATGTTGGGTTACATGAATAAGTTATTTAATTATTCTGAGATTTTGGTTCACCCATTTCCCAAGTACTGTGCACTGTACCCAGTGTGTAGTCTTTTATTCCTCACCCCCTCTTACTTTTTGTCCCAGTACCCAAAGTCTATTGTATTATTTTTATGCCTTTGTGTCTTCATAGCACTTATGAGTGAGAACATACAATGTTTGGTTTTCCATTCCTGAGTTACTTCACTTAGAATAATAGTCTCCAATTCCATCCAGGTTGCTGCAGGTGCCTTTATTTCATTCCTTTTTATGGCTGAGTAGAATTACATGGTATATATATACCACACTTTTTTACTTGTTGATTGATGGCCATTTGGGCAGTTTCATATTTTTGCAATTGCAAATTTTGCTGCTATAAATATGCATGTGCAAGTATCTTTTTCATTTAATGACTTTTTTTCCCTCTGGGTGGATACCTCTAGTAGTGGGATTGCTGGATCAAATAGTAGATCTACTTTAGGTTCTTTAAGTAATCTCTACACTGTTTTCCAAAGTGGTTGTACTAGGTTACATTCCCACCAACAGTGTAAACATGCTCCCTTTTCACCACAACTATACCAACATTTATTTTTTGATTATGGCCATTTTTGCAGGATTAAGGTGATATTGCATTGTGGTTTTGATTGGCATTTTCCTGATAATTAGTGATGTTGAACATTTTTTCATATGTTTGTTGGCCATTTGTATATCTTCTATTGAGAATTGTGTATTCATGTCCTTAGCCGACTTTTTGATGGAATTACTTGCTTTTTCTCTTGCTGATAATTTGAGTTGTTTGTAGATTCTGGATGTTAGTCCTTTGTTGGATGTATAGATAGTAAAGATTTTTCTCCCACTCTGTGGGTTGTCTGCTAACTCTGCTGATTATTTATTTCGTTGTGCAGAAGTGTTTATAGTTTTAAAGTTTCATCTATTTATCTTTGTTTTTGTTGCATTTGCTTTTGGGTTCTTGGTCATGAAGTCTTTGCCTAAGCCAGTGTCTAAAAGGGTTTTCCTGATGTTGCCATCTAGAATTTTTATGGCTTCAGGTCTTAGATTTAAGTCTTTGATCCATCTTGAGTTGATTTTTGTATTAGGTGATAGATGAGGATCTGGTTTGATTCTTCTACAAGTGGCTTGCCAATTATCTCGCACCATTTGTTGAATAGGGTGTCCTTTCCCCACTTATTTATTATTATTATTATTATTATTATTTATCTATAAGTATTTGGCTGTATTCCTGGGTTCTCTATTCTCCGCCATTGGTATGTGCCTATTTTTATAGCAATACCATACTGTTTCGGTGACTATAACTTTATTGTTGGATTTTCCCTTTTTCTGTTTCCTCCTTGATTAACTTAATAATCGACCTTATGAATTATTTTTCTGGCAATGCAGAGATTTCATCTTGGTTTGGATCTATTGCTCATGAGCTAGTGTGACCTTCTGGGGGTGTTAAAAAACCTTTTCTTATATGACCAGAATTGTTTTTCCGTGTCTCTTTATTTTATTTATTTATTTATTTATTTATTTATTTATTTATTTATTTATTTTCATTTGGGTAGACTATGTCAGAGGGAAGACGGAGGACTCAAGGGCTGCTGTTCAGATTCTTTTGTGGCATGGGGTGCTCTATTGATGTATCGATGTGGTGTTCTCCCCATTCCCCTTGGGATGGGTCTTTCTAAGAGCTGAATTGCAGTGATTGTTTTTGCTCTCCTGGGTCTAGCCACCCAGCAGAGCTACCAGGCTCTGGGCTGGCACTGGGGAGTGTCTGCCAAGAGTCCTGTGATGTGATCCATCTTCAGGTCTTTTAGCCGTGGATACCAGCATTTGCTCTGGTGGAGGTAACAGGGGGGCAAAGTGGACTCTGAGGGTTTTTAGTTGTATGTTTGTTTAATGTGCTGGTTTTGTGTTGGTTGGCTTCCAGCCAGGAGTTGACGCTTTCAAGACTGCATCAGCTGTGGTACTGCAGAGAGAATGGAAACTTGCTCTAGGGTTGCTGGGTTAAGTATTCAGATTTCTCAGGTGGTGGGCAGGGCCATAGAGCTCTCAGGAGATTATGTCCTTTGTATTTGGCAACCAGGGTGGGTAAGGAAAGACCACCAGGTGTGGGCAGGGTTAGGCATGTCTGAGCTCAGACACTTTTTGGGCAGGGCTTACTGCTGCTGCTGTGGAGAATGTGTGATTTAATTGCAACATTTAATAATTAAAATGAGATAAAATAATTTAGTTCCTAGGTTGCACTAGCTAGATGTCAAGTATGTACTAACCATATGAAAATAGTTGCTACCTTGTTGGACAGGACAGATATACAAAGCATTTCCATTTTTACAGAAAATGTGTATGGATACCATGGAGGTTTGAAATAAATGCTGAGTTCATTCAAACTATAGTGAAATACAGCATGTGAAAAAGTAATTACTTATTGACTATAATAAATGCTTCATAAAATATAATAGATGCTGATTCTGGCCAAGATTGACAAAATCTAATGCAGCCTACATGTCTCAGTGGTTAATACTAAGACTCTGAATAAAATACAAGCAAATAAACACCTTTGAGGACTTTGAACAGTAAATAACAGAGGGCGGGTTTAAGGGTAATCAAAACTTGAAGAAACATCTATATGGTAGTGGTGAATTTATTATATTTTTCTTGCTTATCTCCTAGGCTGTGACCTAAAGACTATCTCAATGGGAAAATGTGTAACAGGCAAATTTAGCAAAACCT
Source organism: Homo sapiens (assembly GCF_000001405.40). Classification (NCBI taxonomy): domain Eukaryota; kingdom Metazoa; phylum Chordata; class Mammalia; order Primates; family Hominidae; genus Homo; species Homo sapiens. Next base: position 105,116,559 of record NC_000001.11, on the reverse strand, counting down.
ATGGGGAACCACATATTTCTTGGCTATAGGGCAAAGAGAAAGGCCCTATACTAGCAGGAGAAAGTAGGAAGAAACCTTTTTATCTTTTCTTTCTCTAGCAACCATGTGCCATTGAGCTGTACTTCTCCTCCTAACACAGTGGCACAGGCACTAAGACTGAGAGAAATATAGTTATTTCTAGATAGAAGAATGGATCAAAAGAGGTTTCTATTAGGTAAAGAATATAGGAGAAAAGAGTACGATTATTTATTATTTTTTTATTCTCACTACTGTGCCATGTTGAAAATTCCCAGTCATGTAGAATTTTAGGACAGTGCTTGAGACTAAAATCTAAAATAATACCCTTTTTTTAAGCCAAAATATTGTAAAATTGGGCCATTGGGAAGCAGAAAAAAATGAGAGAATTCCTAACATGAATGAGCTAAAGAAAGAGATCCTTAAATCTATGTATGAACTGGTGCACCCATGTCTGAAATACCCTGAAGCTGCACTAAAGTATAAGTAGAACAAAGTTTAAGAGAACTGAACTAGGCCAGGCACGGTGGCTCACACCTGTGTGTCCAGAATTTATTCCTTCCGGTGGGTTCTTGGTCTCACTGACTTCAAGATTGAAGCCGCAGACCCTTGCGGTGAGTGTTACAGCTCTTAAAGATGGCGCGTCCAGAGTTGTTTGTTGCTCCCAGTAGGTCCATGGTCTCACTGACTTCAGGAGAGAAGCCGCATACGTCTGCAGTGTTATAACTCATAAAGGTAGTGCAGACCCGAAGAGTGAGCAGCAGCAAGATTTATTGTGAAGAGTGAAAGAACAAAACTTCCATGGCATGGAAGGGGACCTGAGTGGGTTTGCTGCTGCTGGGCGGGTGGCCAGTTTTTATTCCCTTATTTGGCCCTGCCCACATCCTGCTGATTGGTCCATTTTACGGAGTGTTGATTGGTGCATTTTTACAGAGTGCTGATTGGTGCGTTTACAAACCTTTAGCTAGACAAAGAGCACTGATTGGTGTGTTTTTACAGAGTGCTCACTGGTGCATTTACAAACCTTTAGCTAGACACAGAGCACTGATTGGTGCGTTTTTACAGAGTGCTGATTCGTGCATTTACAAACCTTTAGCTAGACAGAAAAGTTCTCCAATTCCCCACTCGACCCAGGAAATCCAGCTGGCTTCACCTCTCAATCCCCCCTCTAAACAGGACACCCCAACTGCTGTTGGGAATTGAGTGATGACTGCTCTAGCTACTTCCTGCTGGATGGGGATGAAGAAGGAGCCCTGCAATTGTAGTGTCCTCCAGAGGGGAACTCTTTAAACCAGTGAAAAGGCCAGCAGGTCGGTCTAGGGGTCCTTGGTAGAAGTTGTTAATTGAGCTCATTTGGGTTTCCATTTGTAAGACCATCTGTAGCGTGATGGCCTTGATCCTAGAGGAAACAAACTTGACAAGGAGGTTAAAAATACAGGGCTTGAAGGTGACTAAGAGCAAGATGGCTGCCATGGGACCTAGAAATGGGAGAAGCCATGTCACCCAACTGGAGAGTTTGGTATAAGAGTTTGAAAGGTGTTGTCTGATTTCAGAAGCCTTTTCCTGTAAATGCTGGGTGGCATCTCATACTATTCCTGACTGGTTAGCGTAAAAACAACATTCTTCCCCTAAGAAGGTGCAGAGTCCTCCTTTCTCAGCAGTGAGGAGGTCTAGCCCTCAGTGGTTTTGGAGAGTCACTGCTGTCAGAGTCTATTTGGGATTGTAGAGTAAGGATAGATTTCGTTATTTCTTGCAAACTGTCTGATAGGCAAATATAGGTTGAAGTTCCACATAAGAAGAATATGCCTTGGCAGGGTAGACAGAACTTTACCCTGGCTTTTAAAGAAATAGGGTACACTATTTTTTCTTTACTATTTCTATCTCTCTCTTTCTTTCTCTTCAACTTCTTCTTTGTCTCTCTCTTTCTCTCTTTCTGACTCCCTCTTTGTCTGTCTCCTCTCTCTCTTTGACTTTCTGTCTCTCTCTTTCTCTCTCTCTCTCTGACTCCATCTTTGTCTCTGTCTCTTCCTCTCTCACTCTCTGATTTTCTTTATCTTTCCCTCTTTCCTTTCTGCTGGTCTTTCCCTGCCTCTGCCAGCTGCTTATGCTGCTGTTCTCCCCTCTCCTTCCCCTTTTGATGGCTTCTGCAGTATAAGACTGCCACATCCTTGGGTTTTTGTGCTGCATGCAATAATTCCATGGTTTCCTTGTGATATTTAATGGGGGTTCCCCCAGAGATTAGGAACTCCCTTTCTTTCCATATTGCAGCATGGGCATGTAGGATTAGATAAGCATACTTGCTATCTGTATACACATTTATTCTTCTTCCCTTTCCCAGTTCTAAGGCTCAGATAAGTGCCACTAGTTCTGCTAACTGGGCACTGGTGCCTGGGGGAAGAGGCTTACTTTCAAATAAAGCTACATCACTAACTATGGCATAAATGGCCCTTTGTAGCCCATTCTCCACAAATAAACTTCCATCAGTATATAGGTTAAGGTCAGGATTAGCTAAGGAGACTTCTAAGAGATCATCTCAGGCAGCTTAAATCTGGACTGTAATTTGTTGGCAGTCATGCTTGAGTGGTTCCCCATCCTCTGGGGGAAAACTGGCAGGGTTGAGAGCCACACATGTGGGTATTTGAAGCACTGGTCCCTCAAGTAGTAGTGCCTGGTATCTAAGCAGGCAGTTGTCTGATAGCCATAAGCTTCCTTTGGCAACCAGTATGCCATTTACATCATGAGTATACCAGACAGTAAGATCCTTTCCTTGTAGCCTATGACACAAAGACAGCCACTGCCACAACTACCTGTAAACAGTGAGGCCAGCCTTTTGCTACTATATCAATTTCTTTACTTAGGTATGCCACTTGTTGTGGGGTTGTCCCATGAGTCTGAGTAAGGACCCTAAGAGCTATCCATGCTCTCTCTGTGACATATAAAGAGAAGTTTTGTCCTGTGGGAAGGCTTAAACCTGGAGCTTGTACTAGGGCCTGCTTTAAGGTTTCGAAGGCTGTTTCTGCCCCTGGTTCCCATATTAGTAGATGAGTATTTGCCCTCTGGGTCTCCTTGATTAGAGTGTAGAGGGGCCTGGCTATCTTGCTGTATCTGGGGATCCATAGTCAGCAAAAGCCAGTGATTCCAAGGAACCCACGCAACTGTTTTAATATCTTAGGGTGAGGATAAGCCAGTATAGGCTGTATCCATTCCTTGCTGAGGGCCCTTGTCCCTCTGGCTAAGATTAGGCCTAGATATTTGACTTGCTGTAGGTAAAGCTGGTCCTTTGACCTAGAAACCTTGTACCCTTGATTAGCTAGAAAGTTCAAGAGATCTAGAGTAGCCTTTTGGCATGAGGCTTCTGAACTGGTAGCCAGAAGTAAATCATCCACATACTGAAGGACCAGAGTGCCTGGACTTGAGAAGCGGCCTAGATCTTGGGCCAGTGCCTGACCAAACAGATGAGGGCTATCCCTAAACCCTTGGGGCAACACTGTTCATGTAAATTGGGACGTGTGATCTGTGGGATCCTCAAAGACAAAGAGAAATTGGGAGTCAGAGTGCAGGGAAATACAGAAGAAGGCATCCTTGAGGTCCAGAACAGTGAACCATTCTGCTTCCTCTGGTATTTGAGAGAGCAGGGTATAGGGGTTATGTACAACTGGATATAGAGGAATTACTGCCTCATTGATGAGTCTAAGATCTTGCACTAGTCTCCACTGACCATTTGTTTTTTGTACTCCTGGAATTGGGATGTTGCAGGGACTGCTGCATTTCCTTACTAGGTGTTGAGCTTTTAAATGTTTAACAATATCCTGTAATCCTTTATGAGCTTCAGGCCTTAAGGGATATTGACTTTGATAAGGAAAAGTGGTGGGTCTTTTAGCCTGATTTGAACTGGGCAGGCATTTTTTGCCCTTCCAAATTGTCCTTCTAATGCCCAGACTTCAGGGTTGATTCCCTCCTCAAGTATGGGACAACAAATGGGTAACTTGTTCCCCATATTCATGTAGAAAATAGCTCCAGCTTTGGCTAATATATCCCTCCCTAATAAGGGTGTGAGACTTTCAGGCATAACAAGAAAGGCATGAGAAAAGAGCAAAGTCTCCCAATTACAACTGAGGAGGTGGGAGAAATACCTAGTTACAGGCTGTCCCAGGATTCCTGGGATGGTAACGCACTTTGAGGACAGTTGTCCGGGACAGGAGATTAACACTGAGAAGGCCGCGTCAGTGTCCAGGAGGAAGTCAATTTCCCGGCCCTCAATGGTTAAACGTACCTGGGGCTCAGTGAGGGTGACGACATTAGCTGGCGTTTTCCCCGGGCACCCTCAGTCCTGTTGTTGGATCATCTGGTTGGGGGCTTCTGACCCAGAGAACCCATTGCACTCTGGGTCAGTGTTCCTTCCAGTGATTGCCTCAGCATTGCAGACATGGACGAGGGGGCAGCTTGTTTCTTGTTGGACAATCTTTTTTAAGGTGTGCTTGCAAATCACACTGGTAACAAGCCCCACTGGGTGATTGGCCTGCTCCATTTTCTGTCCTCTCTGAACCACCAAGGTTTGTTTGTCTGAGGGCCATGACTAAGGCTGCGGCCTTTCTCTGATCTTGCTTTTCCTTTTGGGCTTGTTCCTCTTGGTCCCTATTATAGAACACTTACAGTGCCAGGTTTAATAATGCCTCCAGATTTTGTTCAGGGCCCAGGGCTCACTTTTGGAGCTTTCTCCTGATATCTGCTGCTGATTGGGTAGTAAACTTATCTTTGAGGATCAATTGACCCTCTAGTGAGTCAGGTGACAGGGGAGTATATATTCTTAAGGCCTCCCATAGCCACTCGAGGAAGGCAGAAGGATTTTCTTCCTTTCCCTGAGTTATGGTAGACATCACTGAATAATTCATGGGCTTTTTCCTAATTCTCCTAAGTCCTTCTAGAACACAGGTCAACAGATGTTTACAACTCCAGTCCCCCTGATCTGAGTTGAGGTCCCAGTGGGGATCCATACTGGGGATGGCTTGCTGACTGGTAGGGAATTTGTCCCTTTTGGCTGTCATTCTATCATTTTCTTGACTAAGATACCAGGTATCTCCAAACTCTCAGGCTGCAGCTAAAGCCACATTCTTTTCATTAAAGGCCAGGGTTTGATCTAACAATAGCATGACATCTCTCCAAGTGAGATTGAAGGTTTGCCCTAGACCCTGTAGGACATCTATGTACCTATCAGGATCATCTGAAAACTTCCCCAGATATACCTTGATCTGCTTTAAATCAGAGAGGGAGAAGGGGGCATGTACCCAGGTTTGGCCAAATTCCCCTCCCCCTACAGCTTGAAGGGGACATAATTGATAGAACGGGGGTTTTTGTGGTCCTTTGGAGATTTCTTTGCTTGTCTCCCTCTGGGCAGGGGAGAGTAGAGGAGGCTTATCATTAATAGGAAGGGGAGCTATAGGGAGGCTAGGATATGGGGGTAAGTTGAGAGGTCCTCCTGTGGGATGTAAATTGCAAGCTTTGCATAGTTGTGTATTCTCCTTCAATGAAAAGAAAGCTTGGACATAAGGTATTTCACTCCATTTGCCTTCCCCCTTACAGAAAAGGTCAAGTTGCAGGATAGTATTGTAATTTATACTTCCCTCAGGTGGCCATTTTTCCCCATCAGAGAGGGAATATTGGGGCCAGGCTGTAGTGCAGAAAAAAATTAGCCAGCTCTTTTTCAGGGTTTGTGGGTCAAATTGGTCCCAATGGCTTAGGATGCATTTCAAGGCTGAGCCTGTTGATGCCTGAGTGTTTCCCATCTGAAAGACAAAACCGCCTGCACGTTTGGTTTGTTTGTTTCTCCCCCTGCCCAAGAACCCGCAACTGTTCCTGGACCCTGCTGATTGGAATAGTTGCGCTCACCCACACAGTAGCAGAAACACTAGTTTTCCTCCTAGACCACAAGGAGGACCAAGGAAGGCTGGATTTAGTGGCCCTTACAATGCATTCTTGAAAACCTGCACCCTTGCCTGTCCTCCTAGACCACAAAGAGGACTGAGAAAAATCGGATTTAGAGGCCCTTACCAATGCATTCTTGAAAACCTGTTAGAGTCCTAAGCATTCTCCTGTTAGTATTGGGACTTTACCCCTGTCCTATAAAGATGTTATGCCCCAAAAAATGAAGTGGAGGGCCATACCCTGAGGGAGGGAAGGGATCTCCAGGGTTGGAAGCTTAATGCCTTTTGTCCTCACTTGAATAGGAAGGATATCATTTCTGAGGCTCCCCCTATCCTGTCTTCAGGAATAGCTTTTGTTAGGCCTGCTAGTCGAGGAGGGATCCTAAAATTCCAGATAAGATAGTCCCCTACCCCAACAGGGCTGTGGGCAAAAATTTTGTGCCTAAAGAAGTGAATAGACTCCTGTAGTTTATACTAGAAATCACTCTTATAGGAGAAATTAGAAAAGCACCAGAGACAGGGTGTGGGTTTTAGAAGTGGGACTAGCCTCAGAGAAGAGAGGTGAGAGGAAGTTTGTCTGACAAGCATTAGGACTCAGGAGGCAAGGGTCAAGATAGATAGGCTAGATGGGCGAGTCTTGCTTGGGCGATGTGACTTTCAGAGTTCTGCTCATGGCCGCAGGTCAACCAACTTGTCAGGACCCCGAAGCTGAATGGCTTTCCTCTCTGTCAACCCTTGGCTCAGTCCAGAAGTACAGGGAAAGTGGAAGCTGGTTCCAGGCAAACCAATGCTCCAAACTCCAAAGATTTGGGGGTTTTTAGAGAGCCCTTTCCCAGAAAGCCTGTCACCCATGTCTTTAGTCTGGCAGCCATGCTAGTCACTTTTAACTGGCCGACAGGTGCCTGGTATTTAGCCCCTGAATTCTAAGGAAAAATAGGACAGAATGGCAAGTGAAAGTGGTCTGATGGTACTCACCACTTGGTGATAGTCCCTGTTCAGGCACCAAAATGTGTCCAGAATTTATTCCTTCCAGTGGGTTCTTGGTCTTGCTGACTTCAAGAATGAAGCCACAGATCCTCACGGTGAGTGTTACAGCTCTTAAAGGTGGTGCGTCCAGAGTTGTTTGTTCCTCCTGGTGGGTTTGTGGTCTTGCTGACTTCAGAAGTGAAGCCACAGACCTCCACAGTGAGTGTTATAGCTCATAAAGGTAGTGCAGCCCCAAAGCGTGAGCAGCAGCAAGATTTATTGTGAAGAGTGAAAGAACAAAGCTTCCACAGCATGGAAGGGGACCTGTGCAGGTTTTCTGCTGCTGGCTCTGGTGGCTAGCTTTTATTCCCTTATTTGGCCCCACCCATGTCCTGCTGATTGATCCATTTTACAGAGTGCTGATTGGTGCGTTTTTACAGAGTGCTGATTGGTGCATTTACAAACCTTTAGCTAGACACAGAGTGCTGATTGGTGTATTTTTACAGAGTGCTGATTGGTGTGTTTACAAACCTTTAGCTAGACACAGAGTGCTGATTGGTGCATTTTAACAGAGTGCTCATTGGTGCATTTACAAACCTTTAGCTAGACAGAAAAGTTCTCCAATTCCCCACTGGACACAGGAAGTCCAGCTGGCTTCACATCTCATCTGTAATCCCAGCACTTTGGGAGGCTGAGGTGGGCGGACCATGAGGTCAAGAGATTGAGACCATCCTGGCCAACATGGTGAAACCCCATCTCTACTAAAAATACAAAAATCAGCTGGGCGTGGTGGTACATGCCTGTAATCCCAGCTACTTGGGAGGCTGAGGTAGGAGAATCACTCGAACCCAGCAGGCAGGGTTGCAGTGAGCTGAGATCATGCCATTGCACTCCAGCCTGGGTGACAAGAGCAAAACTCAAAAAAAATAAAAAATAAAAGAACTGACCTAAATCGTATCACTGCTCAAGTTCCATAACAATGCCTAAGTAGAACATGCAAAAATGACATAACAATGTCTAAGTAGAACATGCAAAAAAGACACATGACAAATGTGTCACTGTTTGAAACTATTTCAATTATTACACATTTTTCAACCCACACAAAAAATGTAAAAAACAACTTTAAAATATGGAAGAAAAATTACTGTCAACCCATTATTCAATATCCAGTAAAAATATTTTTCAGAAATGAAAGTGTTACAAAGATACTATAAAATGAAGAAAATTACAACAGATTTATTCTAAAAGAAAAACTAAAAGAATGTCTTTAGGGCAAAGGAAAATTATATTACAGAGAACCTCAGAATTTTAGAAATAAAGGAAAAGCAACAGAAATGACAAATAACTGGGTGAATATAATATTTTTCTCTGCCTACGTTCTTCAAAGTATTTACACCCATTGAAAGAAAACTAATATGGCATAGTCAGGGAGTTTAATATACATCATATAATACATAACTGTGATACAAAGTAGTTAGGTTTAAGGAATTATCTGTCTGAGAGATTTCTTTTTTTTTTTTTACTTAAAGTGGTAAAAGCTTACCTAAATGAACTACAAAATGTTATATATGCATATTATAATTCCTTTAAGTACTAAAAATCATAGTAGAGATATAGCCAAAAAAGAAAGCAGATAAATTAAAATATAATAATGAATTTATTCAAATAATCTAAAAGAAGGAAACAAAGTAGGAGAGGAACCGAAAACAGAAAATCAAAATATAATAAAATGATAGCCTTGAGTTACACCAAATATAAATAGCCTAAACATAAAAATTAATTAATTAAACTAAATATGATGGATTAAAAAAATACATCATCTAAATACTATTCGATGAAAAGCCAAAATACCTGCATTAATATTGTAACCACCCAATGGATTCACCTTGCCACTGCGTAGACAGAGCCAATTGATCAAGATGGGGGAATTGCAATAGAGAAAGAGTAATTCACACAGAACTGGCAGTTTGGGAGATGGAAGTTTTATTATCACTCAAATCAGTATCCCTGAGCATTCAGGTGTCAGAGATTTTAAGGATAATTTTGTGGGCGGGGGAATGCCAGTGAGTTGAGAGTGTTGGCTGATTGGCTTGGAGATGAAATCATAGGGAATTGAAGCTGTCTTCTTGTGCTGATTCGGTTCCTGGGTGGGGGCCACATAATTGGAGGAGGTAGTTTACAATCTGGGTGGTGCCAGCTGATATATCAAGTGTGGGGCCTGCAAAATTTCACAAGCACTGATCTTAGGAGGAGTTTAGGGGGGTCCACAATCTTGTAGCCTACAGCTGCATGACTCCTAAGCAATAATTTCTAATCTTGTGGCTAATTTGTTGGTCCTACAGTCAGTTTAGTCCCCAGGCACGGAGGAGATTTGCCTTCTGAAAGGGCTGTTATCATCTTTGTTTTAAACTATAAAGTTCCTCCCAAAGTTAGTTCAGCCTACACCCAGGAATGAACAAGGACAGCTTGGAGATTAGAAGCAAGATGGAGTTGGTTAGGTCAGATCTCTTTCACTGTCTCAATTACAATTTTGCAATGGAAGTTTCAATATCAGAAAATGTAAACTTAGGAATTTTAAAAAATTACCAGAGAAAAAAGGAACATGGCATACTAATAGGATCAATTCATTGAAAATGCTTTTGCAAAAATCGTAACAGTAGAAAAATTATGACAGTGAAAGAGATGTGATGTAACTAACTCCTCCATCTTGCTTCTAACCTCCAAGCTGTCTTTGTTCATTTCTGAGCATAGGCCGAATTAATTTTGGAAGAAATTTAGATTATAGTTTATTTATTTAATTTAATTAATTAATTTATTTTTTTGAGACAGAGTCTTGCTTTGTCACCAGGCTGGAGTGCAGTGGCATGATCTTGGCTCACTGCAACCTCCACCTCCCAGGTTCAAGTGATTCTCCTGCCTCAGCCTCCCAAGTAGCTGGGACTACAGGTGTGCACCACCACACCCAGCTAATTTTTGTACTTTTAGTAGTGAGGGGATCTCACCATGTTGTCCAGGAGGATGTTCTCTATCTGTTGACCTCATGATCTGCTCACCTCAGCCTCCCAAAGTGCTGGGATTATGGGTGTGAGCCACCACACTTGGCCCTATAGTTTAATTTTGAAACAAAGCTGACACCAGCCTTTTTCCAAAACAAACCCTCTTCTTGCCTGGGGACCAGACTCATTTTGTAGGACTAACAAATTAGCCACAAGATCTTAGGAGTCATGCAGCTAGAGGCAACAAGATTCTAAACCTCCCCAAATTGCGTCTGGAAATAACATAACTATGGTAAAGCCTAAGATTGGTGCTTGAGATATTTTTCATACAATTCATTCAATCAGCTGATCAGCTGGTGCCACCCAGATTGGTAAACTCTGTCATCTGAGCCTGTGGTCCCCATCAAGGAACTGACTCAGAGAAAGAGGTCAGCTTCGACTCCCTGTTATTTCAAATCTGACCTGAATAATCAGCACTCCCCACTCCCTTGACCCTTACCCACAAATTGTCCTTAACAAACCACAGTGTCCCGAGTTTTCAGAGAGACTTATTTGAGTAATAATAAAACTCTGGTCTCTTGTTCAGTCAGCTCTACATGAGTTAAACTCTTTATTGCTATTCCTCTGTCTTGATAAGTCAACTCTATCTGGTCAGTAGACAAAATAAACTCATTGATCAGTTACATCATCAGGAATACACACTAATCCCAAATGTGTATACACCTAACAAAATATCTTAAAACATATGAAAAAAATGAAGGAATTGAAATGAGAAATAGATAAATTCATAATTATATTGTTGACTTCAATAATTATCTCAATGATTGATAGAATAAGTAGTCAGGAATCAGAAAATGCATAAAATATCTGAACTGTGTCATCATTCAATTTGATTTAATAGATATTTATAGAACAAGACACTTGAGAACAGTGTTATGCATAGAATACATATTCTTGTCAAGTGTGCATGAAACATGTACCAAGATAGTGTGCTGGTCCATAAAGTCAACCTCAAGAAATTAAAGATTTGAAATCATACAAACTCTACTATCTAACCTCAACAAATGATATCAGAAATCAAAAATAGAAAAATATGAAGAAAAATGTCCAAATACCTGAAAGTTGCAGAAAACAATTGTATTGTAAATAACCCATGGATAAGAATGGAAGTCATAAAGACATTAGAAAAAATACTTTAAACTGAATGAAACTGAAAATACCACGTATCAAAATGTGTGTAATGCTGCTACAGTGCAGTTAAAAGAGAAATTCAGAATGGCCAATGTTAGGAATTTAAAGAAGAGACTTAAATCAATAATCTAAATCTCAACTTACAAAAAAAAATGAAACAGAAGAGCAAATCAAATGAAGAGTAGAATCAGTAAGATTTAAAACAAAATAACATAGCCAGGCATGGTGGTGTGTGCCTGTAGTCCCAACTACTTGGGAGGCTGAGGCAGGGGAATCACTTAAACCTGGGAGGCGGAGGTTGCAGTGAGCCGAGATTGTGCCACTGCACTCCAGCCTGGTGACAGACCAAGACTCCATCTCAAAAACAAAACCAAAGCAAACAAAAAAATAACAACATAGAAAATAAATGAAAGCAAAAAAAAATTTCTTAAAAAGATCAGTAAAATGGATACACTTCTATCAAGAATAATAAAGACGAAGGCCCAAGTTACCAATATCAGAAATGAAATAAGATGTATTACTGCACCCCTGACAGATATTAAAAGAATAGGGGAAAACTACAAACAGCTCAATGCCAGTGAGTCTGACATTTTAAATCAAATGAGTCTGTTCCTTGAAAGACAAAAACTACCAAAGTTCATGGAAGAAAGGATAACCTGAACAATTTGTCTATTAAAGAAATCAGATTCATAGATAAATCTTTTCAGAAAGAAAATACCAGGTCAACAAATTTTATCTGGGTAATTCTAACAAACATTTATAAATAAATATTTTAATTCTTCATAATCTTTTTTGAAAAAGGAATACTTCCCAACAAATTTCATGAAATCAGCATTACTCTAATACCCAAACCAAAGACATTACAAAGAAATAAATCTACAAACCATTATATGTCTTATGTTATTGAACAAAAACATTCTCAACAAAGCAAAACAATTATTTATCCAGAGATAAATCTACAGACCAATATCTTTTATATTACTAGAAATAAAATTCTGAATTTAGTTTTTCTGAAAATCAAATCCAATAATATACAAAAAGGATAATATATTCTGGTCCTGGAGATTGGAGAGGTTAATCCTGGAATGCAAAGCAAATTCAACATTTGGAAATAACAATCCTCAGTTGCCCTGTTAACTTATTAAGTAGAAAATACCACATAGATATATCAGTAGATGTAGAAAAAGCATGTGACAAAATTTAACACTAATTCATAATTAAAAATTAGCAAATAGTAATAGGAGAAAATATTCATAATGTTATAACATCCAAAAAAAAAATCCTGCAACTAAAGTCTTAATAGTGAAAAGCTGAGTGAATTCTCATTAATATTGTGGACAAAGCAAGTATTACCACTCTCACTGTAACTGCCCAACACGTCCTTCCTGTTCAATGAACAAACAAAATCAATTTACAGAAATCCTGGCATTGCTGTAAATAAATAATTTAATTAACGCGAGGCTGGACACGCCACACAGGAGACAGAGTTATTACTCAAATCAATCTCTCAGAACGCTCTGAAGTTAAGGGTTTTTCAAAGATAGTTTGATGGGCAGGGGTCTAGGGTATGGGGAGTGTTGACTGTCTGAGTTGGAGATGAAATTATAGGAAACTGAAGCTGTCCTCTTGCACCTAGTATCTTCCCGGTGGGGCCACAGGGGCAGTTGGCAGGTTCAAGTGGAGCCATCAGTCATCAGAAATGCAAAAATCCTGGAAAGATCTCTCAAACGGCCAATTTAGGTTCTACAGTAGTGATGTTATCTGTAAGAGGAATTGGGAAAGTTGCATATCTTTTGACCTCTGGAATAATGGCCAGCCATAGTTTATGTCTACACCTTAGCAGGATTCAGGCTCCTCTGTCCTCCTAGACAGATGGTCTCATATTACATATTAGCTTCACAAAGGCAGTCGAGTTTTGGGGAAGGGTTATTATTATTTAAACTATAAACTAAATGTCTCTAAAGTAAGCTTGGCTTAAGCCCAGGAATAATAAAAGACAGCTTGCACACTAAAGGCTAGAAGATTGGCTAGATCAGATCTCCTGCACTGCCATAATTTTTTCACTGTTACAATTTTTGTAGAGGTTGTTTTACCACCATTCCTTTTCAACATTGTAGTGGAAATTTTCATAGAGCAAGAAAGCAAGAAAAAGAAGTTAAAGGCTTACCAATGGAAAGGAAGAAATGAAACTATCTCTTTTCACAGATAACATTTTCTAACAAACAGCCCAAGGGATTTTAAAGTTACATTTCTCATAGAAATGTTACTCAAATGAATAGAAAATCCATATACACAGAACTACATGCAAATAATTATAGCAGGTTTATTCATAATCATCAAAAACTGGAAACAATCCAAATGTTGCTCATGTAAAGAACAGGTAAACTGTGGTTCAGCCACACAATAGAATCTACTCAGCTGTAAATATGAACTATCAATGTACCCAACAAAGTAGATGATTGTCAAACACAACACATTAAGCTAAGGCACAGAAAGTGTGATTTATTTATGTGACTTTCTGGAAGACCCAACAATAATAGGGACTTAAAGGAGATCTGGGTTAAGGGTAGAGTAAGAGTTTGACCACCAAGTGAAAGCATCCAATGTACAACAAAAATAGTGAAATTTGCTATATGTAAACTAAAAATTCATGAAGAAAAGTAGTAAAAATATTTCATAATTTAACCAGTTATTTTTATTTTTATTTATTTATTTAATTTTTCTAGAGTGAAAGGGAGAAGGAACAGAACAGAGGTGGCTCAGTGGCAACACAGGTTTATTGGGAGAAAGATCTGCGGTGTGGTGTTGGCGGGGGAAACAACTAGCACCAGGTCCCCCTTCCCCCCTTACAGGCATGGACCCCAGAGGTCTGGGATTGTTGCAAAAATGGGGTGGGGGCCATGTGTTTGGCCACTGATAAGGAAGGAATTTACTGTGGTTAGGGTTAGGCCTGGGACCTGTCCAACTGTATGTTTTTCATGGTCCAGGCCCTGGTGGAATTTTCCACTCTGAGCAGAGTTTGTAAAATCGTGGGGGTCTGCAAAATGGCATGGCTTGGATTAACATTTCTGCCTTCTTTTTTCTAGTAGATTCCAAAGACAAATATTAATTAAATGATTCTTTAAGATCTGTTGCAAGTGAACATAGTGCATATTATTTAAAATTGTCTAAACTATTGTGGACATCGAGTCAAAATTTAAATCAAGAACACAGTAATAAAATGGTTTATATTTCTATTTTTAGTGTTCTGAATCTTGTATTCTTTATAATGCTAGCATTAGAGCTGTTCTACAATAAATGAGGTCAAGTCTTTGAGGTATATTTATTTAGATGTTAAAAAGCTGAAGAATATAATTTGCAAATTTACAAAGTTAAATCATAGCTGAATTAAAATAACTTCTCTTAGTAACTGAAACAAACCTGAATATACAGAAAATTCATGTGTTTAATTCAAGCAACTGAAGCATAAATCTGACAATAAAAATAATAAATTTGTAATGAAAATTCAAACCCAAGAGGAGCAGTTCCTTCTGCTTCCACTACTCAGATATTATCTTCGCAGCCTTTCTCCTTGATTTACATGAGAAGCCAGAAGTCATTGATGGTTAAACACAATGGCTTTAAAATAGTTTCGTTGACTTTTTCAACATTTTTTGTATGTAGTAAGCCACAGGAAAGCAGAAATCAAATTATTTCTGTTGAGAAAATAACAATAATACATACAGTTGCTTCATATACAAAAAGAATGCTTTCAAAGTATATTCAGTGACGAGTATTAACCAAAGTCCAAGTGTAAGATTTATTATGCCCACCAGAGATGACAAGGCAGTTTACATTTGCTGTTGTTACTGAGAAAGGAAAATAAAAACGAGGGACCCCAGTTCATTCTGCCAAAAAAAAAAAAAAGAAATTAAGATGTAAGCTGAGTCATGCAAAAAAGCTGTCTTTTCTTTTATTCCTAAGCAGATAGCTACAGAAGAAATGTATCTCCAAAGATAGCTATTCTACTCTGTGTTCACCTTATCTTATAGTGGGCAGGAGACAAATACATAATTATTTCCCTACTGTTACTTTTGTCTTGCAACATGTAGATTCAGTTAACCCTTTAAATATTGAAGCCCTCAAAATCATTCTGGAGAAAGGCACAGACGTTTCTCCCAGGCATGCGCATTTAACCTTGGCAAAATAAACTTCTAAATTTATTGAAACCTGTCGCAGGGAGTTTTTGGTTTATGTTACAAAATATGTTCAAAGATTATGAACAAAACAAAATTTATAAACACGAAGCATCTCCAGGATTTCTACTTTATGTCACAAAAGAGAAATAGCTTTGAACCTCACTTATTTAGAAATAGCAGAGTTTTGTATATTTTGCTTCATTACTATTTCATTAGTTATTACAAAAACTGTGACCATTTTCACATTATGGATCAATTATAATTGCATAAAACTTAGGGAATCCAAAGTATGATATATTTTTTAAATGTTTTCTCTTGAAAACCATAAACATTTTATTTTAGAAGCCTGGGTCTAATTATCTTGACTTGTATTATTTTAGTTTATGTTACTACAACAAGATTAGATAAAATCATTTTCATTTATTTTGAAATGAGAAAACATGACACTTTTTTTCTGTACTCTTATCTTTCATATAATTTTAATATATAAATTTAATATTAAGGGCCAAATAATCTCAATCTATTGATCAAAACTATACACAAGTACACCTGCTCATTTAAACACATGTAGGTGTGAATTTTATTAAGGTAGATGTAATTACAATATTAATTACTCCTGAAACCAAAAAACCTCAATACCACATCCTTGAAAGACCAAGAATAATAAATGCAAACTTCTAAAGGCTGGCATACTGGTAGAATGTGCATGTGTGCCAAGAAATTTAATGATTATCATTAAAATACCCATTACAACATAAAAATAGAATGCCAGCAGATGATGTATTTAAAAGTTGCTCCTGTTGTTTTTAGGTTGATTCTGACAACCATTATTTGGCTGATTGAAAGATGTATATTTTGCTAATTTGTGTCAATGTCATATACAGAGATCTGTGATTGTTCTAACCTTGTATTCCTTGTTGGCCCATATCTGGTATCACACACTTACAAATAATCCTCAGACCATCTGGCTACTGACAGAACAGGGCACAGGTCAAGGACTGTTTGTACAGAGGGTAGTATGCCAGCTGCCTTCTCACAATGCCCTTCATTGTATGTTTCATCTTTGCTTAAAAGACCTATTCTTTGTAATATTAAGATGTCATTTTCTGTCGCTTAGAAATATTTGAACTATAACCAGCCTTTGTTTTATAATGTTAATACAGGATATTTGAGCTTTTCAATTGTTTCATGAGTGCAAAATAGCCCATTTAAATAACGGATATGTGCAAAGAATGGTATATATTAATATTCCCTAGGTCAACTGTAATAATTCTCCAAGTGTCACTTTCTTAAACTAGATTTTTTAAGTACTATCATAAGATTACTGTTTATCCAGCAGAATATTAACATAGAGTGTAAGCATCAATCAAGGGTTAGGTCTTTTTCAGATATATGTATGGCTATGAATAGCAGAAAAGGTAAAAAGGAAATGTGAAGTCACTGACTTATCAGTACATGGAAAGATATCAAACTCTGAAGAAACAGTAAGGTTAAATTAAACTTTTGTCAGTAGTTATGGTTAATCATGTCTAAAACTTACAAATTTTATTCTGACTGCAACACAAGTGGAATTACATATCATTATAATGAAAACACTATTACTACAGTACCAAATTAGATGTATTAAATTTTAGTGATGCCACATGTATGAATAAGCAGTCTTTTTTTTTTTTTCCGAGATGGGCTTTCACTCTGTCACCAAGGCTATAGTGCAGTAGTACAGTCATGGCCAAACTGCATTCTGGACCTCCCAGGCTCAAGTGATAATCCGACCTCCTGAGTAGCTGGGACTATAGGCATGAGCCAATAAGCCAGACTAGTTTTTTGGTTTGGTTTTGTTTGGTTTGGTTTGGTTTCATAGAGGTATGGTCTTGTTCTGTTGTTCAGGCTGGTCTTAAACTCCTGTCCTTAAGCAATACTCCCACCTCAGCCTCTAAAAGTGCTGAGATTGTAAGCATGAGCCACTGTGCCCAGCTGAAATCAATTTTATAACCAAAGATAATAAAACACATTTTAAAGGAATTTAATAGCTTATTTAGAACTAGTCTTTAATGCCAGCTTTATTGAGGTTTGCTATTGAATTAAATGTGTGATGTCATGTATCTAGCCACATTCTGAAGTGTTATATTAATGCTAATAAAATAGTAATAATAAATAAGAAATTTGATACTTAGTTTTCAAACTTTGCATGAAACATAGCATTATAATGTAATTTAATATATGTATTTTTTGTAAAGGGTATAAAATACAATGGTGGGTCCTAAAATCACCCTGCCTCCATTATTTTTAAAATTTATTTGTATTTAATATATTTTGACCGTTTGTTCAGTATCCTTCTAAATCTTTTGAATCCATGTCAATAAAACGCACCAAAAATTAATGGATAGTAAAATTATTTTGATATAAGGAATTTATCTTTTATAATAGTGAAATGGTTCATTTCAATAAAAAGCAGAAAATTGATATACAAAAACAGCAGAAAAAAGAATTCATCATTCTACTATAAAAATGACAAGAGTTAAATACAGTTGAACTTTGAAATAAGTAATTTAAAAGAATGGCATATTTACTAAAACACATAGCTGAAGAAAATAAAAATTATGCAAACTAGATAAGACATACATAATTAAATGCATGAAATCTAAATATTCTTATAGGGAATCTATGTATCACACAAATACATGTGCATAAAATTTTATATATTATCTGTACTTCTGAAGCCTCGTATTCAAATAATATTTTTATACATTTAATCATTTAAAATATTTGACAAGGCTCATTCATCTGAGTAGAGTTGTGCAAATTCTCTCTCTCTTGTCTATTTCTTTCTTTCTTAAGTTTATGATACTATTTCTGTGTATCCTGATTTGTCAGAGAAATTTTTCTTTGTATATTTATTTACTGTAGCTAATAGTGTTTCACATTGGTGCATCATACTTTTAAAAAGTCATTTTAGATAGGCTTTCCTCAGTTCTATAACTTCAGCCCAAAGGAAGATGGTATGTCCTTTGATACCAATGTCCTGTGATAGCATGTCCTGTGATAGTGAGAGGTGAAGCTGGCTAGGCTTCCTGGTCGGGTGGGGACTAGGATAACTTTTCTGCCTAGCTGAAGTTTTGTAAACACACCAGTCAGCACTCTGTAAAAACGCACCAATCAGCGCTCTGTGTCTAGCTAAAGGTTTGTAAACGCACCAATCAGCATTCTGTAAAAACAGACTAGCCAGCACTCTGTAAAATGGACCAATCAACAAGACGTGGGTGGGGCCAAATAAGGCAGTAAACGCTGGCCATAGGCGCCAGCAGCGTCAACTTGCTCGTGGTCCCGTTGCAGGGTGTGGAAGCTTTGTTGTTTCACTCTTCATAATAAATCTTGCTGCTGTTCACTCTTTGGGTCCACACTACCTTTATGAGCTGTAACACTCACCACAAGGGTCTGCAGCTTCATTCTCAAAGTCAGCTAGAGGATGAACCCACCAGGAGGAACAAACAACTCAGGACATGCCACCTTTAAGAGCTGTAACACTCACTGCGAAGGTCTGTGGCTTCACTCCTTAAGTCAGCAAGACCACGAACCCACCGGAAGGAAGAAACTCCAGACACATCTGAACATCTGAAGGAAGAAACTCCGGACACACCATCTTTAATAACTGTAACACTCACCATGAGGGTCCGCGGCTTCATTCTTGAAGTCAGCCAGACCAAGAACCCACCGGAAGGAACCAATTCCGGACCCAATAGTGATAACCAGGCAGATACTTTAGGTATCTGAGCTTTACAGCTAGTATGGTCACCACTATTATTCTACCATGCTGTGAAGATTAATTTTGTGTGTCAACTTGGCTAGTTTATAGTAGCCAGTTATTTAGTCACACACTAGTCTAAATATTGCTGTGGAAGTATTTTTTAGATGAGATTAATATTTATGACTACTTGACTTTAAGCAAAGCAGATTCCTTTCCATAATGTGAATGGGCCTCATCAAATCAGCTGAAGGACTTTGGAGCAAAGACTTAGATTTCCTAATGAGAAAATATTCTGTTTCAGAACTGCGACATACAAATTTTGCCTTAATTTCCAGTCTGCTGCCCTGTATGATCACTCAAGATTGGAACATCAACTCTACCTGAATTTCTCATTTGCCAGACTGCCCTGTGCCACTCCCATGATTCCATGAGCCAGTTTTTAGAAATCTTTTACCCCCTCTCTCTCTGGAGGCTGAGGTGGGATAGTCACTTGAGCCAGGGAGGTCAAGGCTGTAGTCAGCATGGTGGTACCACTGCCCTCCAGCCTAAGTGACAGAATGAGACCTCATGTCAAATAAAAAAAAAAAGTTATAAATCCTGCATATAAATTGTAAATATATATGTGTACATATTTACAATATTTTTTGTGTTTTTGGATAACCCTAACATAGATGGTAAACAGTAGAGTAAAAAAGTGAATTCTGGCCCTACATATTAATGTGTGACTGAATTGCATTCAACAAAAATTTAGTCTTCATTTTCAAAAAATTTGAAGACCTTTTTACCATTGAGATAATCAAGTCATGTCCTTGTCTCCTATTCCTTAAAAATTGTTTAATATATTTTTTATTATTCTGATGCTGTTAGATGAAATAACAAAAGTATGCAAACTTAGTAAATATTGTTATTTTTTAAATTTCTTGCAAGCTCTTTGCTGAAGTGCAAAGAGAATATATATATCAACTAACATTTATATTCATGTTTTCCACTAACAAGTTATCAAAATAAACTGCCTATTAACATGTGATTGTAGATTTTAAAACTATTTTACAAACCAGATTTTTTTTTTTTTTTTTGAGACGGAGTCTTGTTCTTTCGCCCAGGCTGGACTGCAGTGGTGCTATCTCAGCTCACTGCATGCTCCGCCTCCCGGGTTCACTCCATTCTCCTACCTCAGCCTCCCGAGTAGCTGGGACCACAGACGCCCGCCATCACGCCTGGCTAATTTTTTGTATTTTTAATAGAGACAGGGTTTCGCCGTGTTAGCCAGGATGGTCTGGATCTCCTGACCTCGTGATCCGCCCGTCTTGGCCTCCCAAAGTGCTGGGATTACAGGCATGAGCCACCACTCCCGGCCACGAACCAGATTTTTTAAACCATGACATATTAATAGTTTTCAATGGGTGGATAAAGGAGGAAAAATCTATCTTTCTGGAGAACTATAATCAAGCAAATATAACTATTTTTAATAAGTCCTATAAAGTTACTCGATCTATATTAATTTGACCTGGAGTCACCTCCCATCTTGGTATCTATATTAAGGCATTTCACTCTTTATTTTTCCTTTTTTTTGGTGAGAGGCCAAATTGCCTTTAAATTATTTCTATTTACCATGCAAAAGTATATTTATTTATTCATTAGTAAGAATTAAGTGGTAATAAGGGCAAGTTGGATATAATTCTCATTTATAAAGAGTCTGAATGTGATAATTTAGTCTAATGAAAATTGTTTAAGAGGACAGACATTTTGGAGGAAGCCTTGTTTAAAATTAGCTCTGTGTCTAATGCAGCAGATGGGCTATATTCTTGTCTATTTCAGAGACATAAATATTTTTATACTCTTCTGTTAACATTAAGGCAAGGCCTATTTTGCAGATGATATGGTTCAATCAAATGACGTGAATAAAATATTTTTGCTTGTTTGATCACTAATCAGTAGAAATCAAAACAATATGTGCCATAGCTTCGATTAGGATAAGTATAATTTGATAGTTTACCAAATAAACTGCCTACTTTAGTTTTATTTTTTCAAAGCCAGATTGAGATTATTATGATGTCTAAATAAGCACCAGAAAGCTGTGTTGTAATTTTTAAATGTTTTCATGTTACCTGTAATTTTATAAAATAAAATTATTACGAGATATAATGGAAACTCATAAAATATGCCAGCAATATAAGGAACACATTAATTTTAAATTATTAATGTAATTATTTTAAAATTGTTTATAATATTTTGGACAATGCAGTGAAAAAGAAGTGCAATTTTACCTTTGCCCCTCACTATGACATCTTGGGCAGACTATTCATCTGGGCTTCATATTCGTCTGTGAAATGAAGCATTATTATAATATATTCAAGATATAGTCTCAATTTTTTAAAAAGCTACTCACTATTCTCAAAATACATAAAATAATGTAAACAAACTGGTAACAACAGCAACATCTGTGTTACTGATTGGCTACCCATTGTCAGTTACTTCACCTGGAGCTACTCATATATTATCCTCATTTTAATACTAACAACCACCCTGATTAATTCACATGATTGTGCTCATTTTACGCATTAGGAGGATCATTTGTCATTTTTCTATAAACTTGTGTATTTCTAGTATTGAAGACACATTGGATGTCTTACAAATATTTATGACATAGGTATGTAATCTGTTTCAGAGGCTAATTTGTGCCCTATAAAAGACAACACATTGTATTTACTCATCTTGTGTTCTAAGGACCCTCAGTTCTATGAGGGAAAGAACAGACTTTCCCTGTTTTTGACAACCTTAACAGCTTTGGTAAGTAAAGTATGATACTTTGTAGGGCATTACTAAGTTCGGATATGTATAAATATTTGTTTTCTCATCATTACCCAGGAGGGTGGGTTTTTGAGGAAAAGACCACAAAAGTTATATCATTCTTATCACATTATATCAAGTGTGCATGCTACCAAAATATGTACAGGATCTAATTATGGTAAACTAAAATTCTGATAAAATGAATCAAAAAAGTGCTAAATATGTAAAGAAATATTCAACATTTTCTTGGTTTGCCTGGCTAGAGATTTATCAATTTTATTAATTTTTCCAAAGCACCTGCTTTTAATTTTGTTTATTTTGCTTTTATTTTATTTTGTGTATTTTTTTATTTTATTTGAAGTTCTAGTGTACATGTGCAGGATGTGCAGGTTTGTTACATAGGGAGATGTGTGTCATGGTGGTTTGCAGGACCTATCAATCCATCTCTTAAGTATTAAGCCCAGCATGCATTAGCTATTTTTCCTGATGCTGTCCCTCCCCCTACACTCCCAGCAGTTCCCAGTGTGTGTTGTTCCCCTCCCTGTGTCCACGCATTTTCATTGTTCAGTTTCCACTTTTAAATGAGAACATGCAGTGTTTAGTTTTCTGTTCCTGCATTACTTTGCTGAGGATAATGGCTTCCAGCACCATCCATGTCCCTGTAAAGGACATGATCTCATTCCTTTTTTATGGCTGCATAGTATTCCATGGAGTATATGTACCACATTTTCTTTATCCAGTCTATCATTGATGGGCATTTGTGTGGATTCCATATCTTTGCTATTGTGAATATTGCTGCAATGAATATATATGTGTATGTATCTTTATAACAGAATGATTTATATTATTTGGGTATATACTCAGTAACGGGATTGCTGGATCGAATGGTATTTCTGGTTTTAGGTCTTTGAGCAATTGCCACACTGTCTTCCAGAATCAAACTAATTTACATTCCTACCAACAGTGTAAAAGTGTTCCTATTTCTCTGTAGCCTCACCAGCATCTCGTTTCTTAACTTTTTAATAATAATCGCTATTCTGCCTGGTGTGAGGTGATATCTCATTGTGGTTTTGATTTGTGTTTCTTTAATTATCAGTGATGTTGAGATTTTTTCATATGTTTTTGGCCAAATAAATGTCTTCATTAGAGAAGTGTTTGTTCATGCCCTTTGCCCACTTTTTAATGGGGTTGTTGGATGCAAAATTTTTGGATGGATAGGATGCAAAAATTTTCTCCCATTCTGTAGGTTGTCTGTTCACTCTGATGATAGTTTATTTTGCTGTGCAAAAGCTCTTTAGCTTAATTGCTTTTGTTGCAATTGCTTTTGACATTTTGATCATGAAATCTCTGCCCATGCTTATGTCCTGAATGGTATTGCCTATATTTTCTTCCAGAGTTTTTACAGTTTTGGGTATTACATGTAAGTCTCTAATCTGTCTTGAGTTGATTTTTGTATAAGGCATAAGGAAGGGGTCCAGTTTCAATTTCCTGCATATGGCTAGCCAGTTCTCCCAGCACTATTTATTAAATAGTGAATCCTTTCCTTACTGCTTGTTTTATCAGGTTTGTCAAAGATCAGATAGTTGTGGGTGTCCAGTATTACTTCTGAGTTCTCTATTCTGTTCCATTGGTCTTTGTGTCTGTTTTTGTACAAGTACCATGCTGTTTTGGTTAATGTAGTGTGGTATAGTTTGAAGTTGAGTAGCATGATGCCTCCAACTTTGATCTTTTTGCGTAAGATTGTCTTGGCTATACAGGCTACTTTTTGCTTCCATATGAATTTTGAAATAGTTTTTTTCTAGTTCTGTGAAGAATGTCAATGGCAGTTTAATGGGAATAGCATTAAATCTATTAATTATTTTGGGCAGTATGGCCATTTTCACAATATTTATTCTTTCTATCCATGAGCATGGAATGTTTTTATTTTCTTTGTTTATGTCCTTTTTGATTTTCTTGAGCAATGGTTTGTAGTTCTCCTTGAAGAGGTCCTTCATTCCCTAGTTAACTGTATTTCTAGTTATTTTATTCTGTTTGTAACAATTGTGAAGGGGAGTTCATTCATGATTTGGCTCTTTGCTTGTCTATTGTTGGTGTATAGCAATGCTTATGATTTTTGTACGTTGATTTTGTATCCTGAAGCTTTGCTGAAATTGCCTATCAGCTTAAGAAGCTTTTGGGCTGAGATGATGGGGTTTTATCTAGATATAGGATTGTTTCATATGCAAACAAACGCAATTTGACTTTCTCTCTTCCCATTTGAATAGCTTTATTTCTTTCTCTTGCCTGATTTTCCTGGCCAGAACTGCTAAACTGCTAATACTGTGTTGAATAGAAGTGGTGAGAGAAGGCATCTTTGCCTTGTGCGAGTTTTCAAGGGAAATGCTTCCAGGTTTTGCCCATTCAGTATATTGGTTGCAGGTTTTTCATAAATTTTTTTTTATTATTTTGAGGTAAGTTCCTTCAATACTTAGTTTATTGAGAGATTTTAACATGAAAGTATGTTAAATTTATCGAATGCATTTTCTGCATCTATTGAGATAATCATGGTTTTCAAATTGCTTCTTTGTTTTTAACTTAATTATTTGTGTTAATTGTTATTCTAGCTTTTCTGTGCTTGATTTACATTTAGATTGTTCTTTCATTAATCCTTAAGACAGAACCTTATGTTGATGAACTCAGCTCTTTCACATTTTCTAATATATGCATTTAGTGCTATAATTTGCCTTTAATAATTGTTTTCAATGCATCTCATAAATTTTAACAAGTTGTATTTTCACTTTTTTAAAATTCACGATATTTGTATTACTTAGAAGTGTTTTTTTAATTTAAAATATTTGGCAATTAACCATCCATCTTTAAATTATTGATTATTAATTAATTCCACAGTGACATCTTTTTTTGGTATTGCATATTTGTTTTATGGTATAGAATATGGTTGATCTTGTTGAATGTTCTATGTGGTCATGAGAAAATGTATTTTCTGCTGTTGAATGGGGTAGTCTATAATTGTCAGTTAGATCAAGTTGATTGAATGTTGTTTAGGTCAACTACATCTTTATTGGTTTTCTACCTGTTTGATCTGTCAATTACTGAGAAAGAAATGTTGAAGTCTCCATATAATAATAGTGAATTTGTCTATTTCTTTTTTCAGTAGTACTTTGACATTGTGTTAGGTGCATACATTTGGGATTATTATGTTTCCATAAATAATTGGCCCACTATTCCTGATCATTTCCCTAGTTCTTCAGTTTACTTTTGATTAATGTTAGCGTGATATATATCTCTTCATCTACTCACCTTTAAACTGTTTATATTTAAAGTTTTTTTTTTTGTAGGCAGCATATATTTAGAACTTTTTAAAAGTACTCTCTGACAATCTCTGTACTTTTTTTCTTTTCTTTTTTTTTTTCAGACAGAGTCTTGCTCTGTTACCCAGGATAGAGTACAGTGGTGTGGTCATGGCTCACTGGATCCTTGCTCAAGCAATCCTCGTGTCTCAGCCTCCCAAGTAGCTGGGAGTACAGATGTGTGCCACCACACCCAGCTAAGTTTTTACTTTTTGTGGAGAAGGGGCCTTGCTATGTTGCCCAGGCTGGTCTTGAACTCATGGCCTCAAGCAATCCTCCTGCTTTTGTCTCTCAAAGCGGTGGGATTACAGGTGAACCTAGCCAACCTCTCTATTTTAGTTGTTGCATTTAGATGATTCACATTTAAGTGATTACTGAAATATTTTTATTACTGTCTTTAATCTTTATTAACTATCTGTTATATTGATTCTTTGTTTTCCTCCTCTTTTTTCTGCCTTCTTTGGTTTTAACTGAACGTTTTATGGGATTATATTTTTTCTTCTTCCTACTAGATTATTTATACTTATTTAAAAAATTTTAGTGGTTGTTGAAGAGTTTAGAAAATACTCTTAAATAATCTAAACTCACTTTCAAATAACTTTATAGCACTTCATTTGTAGTACACATACAGAATAACCCCAGTTTCTCGTCCCATCTCTTGTGACATTGCATCAATCCTTTCACTTATCCATATGCTATAATCACCCAATATACTCTTACTTCTTAACACGACTAGTTATCATTCAGATCAATACAGAAAAAGAAAAATAATTATCATCATATTGCCTTTCTCCAATTGTCTAGGATTCCTTATACAGATCAGTATTTTTTTTTCTGTGTTATTTTCCCTCTTCCCCTGAGATTTCTTTTAACAATTCTTGCAGGAAAATTGTGTTGGGGATGAATTCGCTCTGTTTCCTTGGAGAATTTTGTTTCTTTTCTTTTCTTTTTTTTTTTTTTTTTTTGAGACGGAGTCTTGCTCTGTCACCCAGGCTGGGGTGTAGTGATGCCATCTTGGCTCACTGCAACCTCTGCCTCCCGGGTTCATGCCATTCTCCTGCCTCAGCCTCCCGAGTAGCTGGGACTACAGGCTCCCACCACCAAGCCCGGCTAATTTTTTGTATTTTTGGTAGAAACGGGGTCTCACCGTGTTAGCCAGGATGGTCTCGATCTCCTGACCTCGTGATCCGCCCGCCTCGGCCTCCCAAAGTGCTGGGATTACAGACTTGAGCCACCATGCCCGGCCTGTTTGTTTCTTAACTCACTTTTAAAAGATAATTTTAACGAATAGAGAATTATAGGCCGATGAATTTTTTTCTTTTAACATATTAATATGTCACTTTATCTTTTCCTGCTTTTATGGTTTCTAAGGAAAAGTATACCGTAATTATATATGTAGAGTGATTTCCTTCCCCTTTGGTTTTAAAATTTTTTCTTCTTTGCCTTTGCATTTGGATATAATATGTTAGTGTTGTTTGCTTATTTGTTTGCTTGCTTTTTTTCTCGATAATGGTATATTTAGTATACACATATATATTTAGTATACATATATTTGCTTTTTTCTGTTTTTAAATTAATAATGATGCTCATTGAATTTTCAGAATCTGTAGCTTGGTGTCAATCATGAATTTAGTCATTATTACTACTATTTTTTTCTAATGCTGTTTTTGTT
Organism: Homo sapiens; assembly: GCF_000001405.40. NCBI lineage: Eukaryota > Metazoa > Chordata > Mammalia > Primates > Hominidae > Homo > Homo sapiens. Next base: position 105,089,738 of record NC_000001.11, on the reverse strand, counting down.
TTTTCTTTCTGATATATTAAATTTTGGTGCATAAAGAATTGCGGTTTTGGAAAGTGAATTTTAAGTCATTATAACAAGGCTCAAACACATCTTTATTAATCAAAATAGGAACCATTACAATCAACATTTTTTTTGCCAATGAGAAATAAGTTTGTTTATTCTTGTAGTGTAAAAATCTGTGCTTCGGGATTTAATTCTTGGAAAGGATTTTCTGCATCCTGCTAGTTGTGGAAGCATTTTTCTTGCAAAAAGTTGCCAAGATGCTTGAAGAAGTGGTAGTTGGTTGGTGAGAGTTCAGGTTAATATGGCAGATAAGGCAAAACTTTGGAGCCCAATTCGTTCAACTTTAGAAGGATTGGTTGTGCCAAGAAATTTTGTGGAGGGCCCTTTCTGCTGACCAATGCCAGCTGCAAGCGTTGCAGATTTCAAGGCATCTCATTGATTTACTGAGCATACTTCTCAGATGTAATGGTTTCACTGGGATTCAGAAAGCTGTAGTGGCTCAGACTGGCTGCAGACCACCAAACAGTGTCCTTGATCTTTTCTTGGTGCAAGTTTGGTTTTGGGAAGTGTTTTGGAGCTTCTTCTCTGTCAACCACTGAGCTGGTCATCACCGTTTGTTGCTTAAAATCCACCTTTTGTCTCATGTCACAATCCAATTAAGAAATGGTTTGTTGTCATTGCATAGAATAAGATGATTTTTTTGATTTTTACTCAGGTCATGAAGAACCCACTTATCAAGCTTTTTTGCTTTTCCAATTTGCTTCAAATGTCAACAACTGTAGAATGGTTGATGTTGAGTTTTTGGCAACTTCTTGTGTAGTTGTAAGAGGATCAGCTTGGATAATTGCTCTCAACTGGTTATTGTCAACTTTTGATAGCTGCCCACTATATTCCTCATCTTCAAGGCTCTCGTCTGCTTTGCAAAATTTCTTGACCCAACACTGTACCATACGTTCATTAGCAGTTCCTGAGCCAAATGCATTGTTGATGTTGCAAGTTGTCCCTGCTGCTTTATGACCCATTTTGAACTTGAATAAGAAAATCACTCAATTTTTTTTTTGTCTAACATTATTTCCGTAGTCTAAAATAAACATAAAACGAACAGCAAATAATAATTAGCAAAATATAAAATGAGGTAAAAAATGCCCATTAACATGATGTATAACATAACCACATTTATTTAAGAATGTATTTCAATATCAATGGTCAAATTTCAAAAATACAAAAACCACAATTACATTTGCACCAACCTACTATCTAGTACACATGTGTTATGACTTTCAAATGTCACACAAGTTTTGGATGTTTTGCTTTTTTCATGTTCTCTTTATTTATTTATTGCATTTCAGTATGAGAAGTTTCTATTGACTCATCTTCCAGGTCATTGATTGAGGTCTATTACTGTTTTTGTGTGTGTGTGAGACAGTTTCCCTCTTGTTGCCCTAGTTGGAATGCAATGGCACAATCTCGGCTCACTGCAACCTCTGCCTCCTGGGTTCAAGTGATTCTCCTGCCTCAGCCTCCTGAGTAGCTGGGATTACAGGTGCCTGCCACCACACCTGGCTAATTTTTTTGTATTTTTAGTAGAGATGGGGATTTCACTATGTTGGCCAGGCTGGTCTCGAACTCCTGACCTCAGGTGATCCACCCACCTTGGCCTCCCAAAATGCTGGAATTACAGGCATGAGCCACTGCATCTGGCCTCAGGTCTATTACTTTTTAAATCAAAGGGCAAACAACGATGTTGTATGAAACAGGTTTTCCAGTTTCTTTGTCTAATGTTTTGACATCTGGAACCTTGAAGACTAGGAAAAGATTGCCCATCCCAGAGTTAGAAGACTCCTACATGTAACGAAGGATTCTTCCTAGAGTGTGTATTTTATATGAAAATTACCCAATCTAAAGCCCAACCCCCCTACCAGCCTCTATTTTATTTACTCTTAACGCTTCTGAGACATTATTCATCTGCTTAATCACTCTGGCACCGGGCCTCAGCAAACTTACAGCCTGAAATCCATTATAGTTATTCAAACTAGCCAGTCATAAAACCTGTTTAGCCATTTATGCCGTCTCACTCATTCCTTCCTGCAAAAACCGCAGTAAAACTTTTCCCACCGTTCTCCTCACTCTCCACCTATGACCACCCTTGACGTGACTCTGAGTGGTGTGGTGAGCACCCCTTTTTTTGGTACTTTAAGTAATAAATTATCTTTTTAATGGCAATCATCTCCTCATCTGTTGGCCTCACCATACCTGAACAAAAACAAAATCCAAGTATATATTATTTTTATTCACTATTTTATGAAGTTTCTCTGTTGACTATCCAGTACATTTCTAACTTTGGCTCATGTTGCAGTTTAAAAACACAAGTTATTTCTCTTCTGGTTAAAATTATTTTTAAATGTAATTTTGTCACCCATAAGATTCCCTATAATTCTTGAACTTGCATTGTACTGATTGCCTTCAAGTGCAAAACAACTACATCGCTATTTCTCAGATTTAAAATTTTGTTTCTATTTTAACATTTTGAACATTCTGTTTTCAATCTTTATACAGCTGGTATTTTGGCATCATTATTCCTAAATTTCATAAACCTCACATGGAATATCTGACCTCCCAATCTGATTCTCCACAACACGCTACTGAACTAGTCATTATCATTTAAGCCGAACACATTGTTTAATGTTTAAATGCTTTTCTCAGCCCCTGTAATAGATAAAATATTACCATGTTGTTGATTTTTTGTTTGTTTATATCTTTGCAACCCAGAAGGTAAACTTCAAGACCGAAAGAAATGAGTATGTATTACTTAGTTTTGTATTCACACTGTATTGCCTGTATACTAAATATACATTGGTGTAATTAATGTATTCTATGAACTAATTAGGTCATTATACTTATAATAACTAACATTTGCATCTACTATTAATCAGATATTATATTAAACACTTAATATCTATTATCTAACCCTTAGATCTCTAATTTAATTTCCATATAGGGAGAATATATGTCTACTCATGATCATAAAAGAAGGAAGAATCCAGCTGGATGTAAATCTGTAATTTTTTACATCTATAATCTATACTCATACTAAATTTTAACAACTCTCTTAGAAATTAGATTTAGGTCATTATTCAGCACAGAAAAGTCACTGTGGGCCAACTATTGCAAAACAAATTTTCTGTTTTTGTACTGAAAGCAATGTATTTTTTCAAGAGAAAATTAAGTCAAATGATATAATTTTGTAAAAGCATTTGTCAAAATCAATATTTCTGAATTGAGAACATGAAAGTTTCTCACTAAAATATTTAAATTAAATTATAAAGGTTGCCTAATTTGTTTAATAAATAATTTCATTTTTTCCCAGTTTTGTCATATAAAATAGGATTGCTTCTGTTGGTATTAGTCTATTAAAGCAATAAAAAATTATTGTAAAATATATTAAAGTTACTATTTTAGCAACAATTGATTGTTATTGCTGTAACCTAACACCTATCTAATGTATTTGTTTCTGTGAATATAGGGTTATAATATACTTCATAAAATTATTGAAATTATTATTTTGCTTTTGCCATGTGAAACCAGATTAGAGTTTTTAGAATAATTCTACTTTAAAATTTTTAACTAAACCACAAGAAACTAAGTAATATGCAGTGTAATTTTCTCATATCTTATTAATCAATAATAAAGACACAAAACCTTGTAACATATTTACCTAAAATATTTTAAAAACTCATATGTATGATTCATCAATAGTAAATAGGGCAAAGACGCTATTGATTATCTTGTCAATACCTAAACTTACAATATGCTTAATTTTGCAACTTCATGAAATATAATATGAAAACTTTACGATAGCTGTGAAAAAAATTAAAATCATAAATAAAAATATTTCTATTCACTTTTCTCACACATTGTGGAAGTTGCAATAAAATGTTTAAAAAAAGTTTAAAAATCTAGTGTCTCATGAGAAACTACTGGCACTTGACTCCATATAAATAGTATTTATAGTAATGAAAGGCATATTTTTTATAATAATCATACCTTACTCTACTTTAGATAAGAATTTTTAGAAAAAAAAACTTTTCAATGTTCACTTTTATGCTCTTTCAGGAATGTATAAATGTTGTTTACACTGAGGAGAAAATATTAAAAAATGAAGTTGAGAGTTGCTAAATATCTGAATATTTCTAAGCAGATGATACCAGTGTAATGTTTTCTCACACTGGCTTTCCATGTGTGCCTATTTCAGCTATCTTTTAATCCATCACCCACACTACTCTTGCTAATATTTTCCATTCATCCATTATTAAGGTAATTGTAATTTGCTTGCTCAATATTTTGACTCTGATAAAGAAGCTCTCCTTTGCTTATGAAATTTAGTTCTCAGCTTTGCTGCCATTAGTCTAATTTAGATTTTATCTGAAAGAGTAAATGAGAAAATGCCACCCACACACACACAGAAGAATCCAACATAGTTCTATGAGAAACATATTATATTTGTAAGATAGCGGTATCAATCAATAATACAGAAAATTCAAACGATTTTGAATTTTGTTTATACATATATAAATAAATGTTTATACATATATAAATGTTTATATATATCAGGTATATATATACCTGATATATACAGCATATATATATATATAGATACAGCATATATATAGATACAGCATATATATATATGGATACAGCATATATATATATATATATGCTGTATCTCTAATATTTTCCTAAGGCAAAGGCAGGCTTATAATAAAAAGCATAATACAAAGTATGCTAGTTTTGTCCTATATATGCTTGAGATTTGTGTTTGATATGTAATATTTATTTTCATATATATATATACACATATATACATTTATATGTTTGTACATACACACATAATTATTTTAAAAACAAACTTGCCAGTATGTCATTCTCCTAAAACTTTTATTTTCCTTCATAAGGGATAATGCCATTTGAGGTTCAACTTGCTTTATTAATAATTTTCTTTGAAGGGAAATGGGAAGCATTGACGTTCAAGTGAAAATATAACAGAACACTAATTATTTTCATTCCCCTGATATTTTCAAAGACTTAAATTGAAGAAAACTGTTGGCTTATTGTTTTGTTTGTACAAAATTAAAAATCAATTATGACTGATTTTTAGAGCAAATTGGATAGGTCTCTGCTATTGTCTAAACATTATTTTTGTTTAAACACAATTGAGAGCCTTGTAATCTGAAAGATTAGGAAAACATGACTGCGGCATATAATTTTACTACAAAAATTAATTATTCCCTGATTTAAATTTGAATCTTTATCAATGATCTAAGCAAATTGGCAATGAAAAATGGAAGTTTGATTGATCTCACACACCTAGGTAATTACTGCATTAATTATCTATTACTGGGTACCAATATTAACACAATACTAGCAACTAAAAATAGCACACGTTTAGTAACTCACAGTTTTGTGGATCAGAAATGGTGACTACTTTAGTTTACTCATAAGGGCACAAACCAAGGGGTCAAAAAGGGCTGTGTCATCTGAGACTCATACAAAAAAGGATCTGCTTCTAAGTTTATGAAGATGTTGGCAGGAATCTGTTTCTGTCGAACTGAAGTCGACTGGGGTGGACAGAGGCCTTCATCTCCTTGAAACAAGGGTCTCTATATGTGGCAGCTTACTTTTTGAAAACCAGCAAGGAAGGGCATCAACAGAATTGGCTAGCAAGAAGTTACAATCTTACCTATTGTATTGTCAAAAGGAACATTCCATCGCCTTTTTGTATTGTTTGGTAAGAAGCAAATCACAAGCATCACCCACTATTCAAGAGAAGCCGATTACATAAAGCTATGAATATCAAAATATGGAAATAACTAAGGGAAAACACAGAGTCTTTCTATCACAGTAATCCAGCTAATTCAGTAAAATCGTTGCCAGAACAGAAAAGCCTTGGAAGAAATCTAAGTGGAGAATTGCTTGCAGACAATACTTCAGGAAACAGGAGAAAAAAAAGTACCCATTTTCTCCCTAACTTTTCACTTGCATGAATAATTTTTCCTGCTGATGTCCAATATCTTTTAATGGAAAGCAATTTGTTTATTTCAAATTAACTCCGTTAATTATAGAAAATTGTTACAGATTAACAATTCTCTCTTTAAGCTAATATTACATACTAACTGCTGTTCTAATTGCTGATACGACACGGTTAATGGAACAGAAATAAAGAATAAAAGTTAAAATATTCAAGACATTTGAATTAAAAGGATATTAATTATTTTGCTTAAGATCTTTTATGTTAAAAGTAACTAAGAGCTACTCATTTTATGTGAAAATACTTTTTGGACTGTCCAAGATAAAGAAATTGTCAGTAATCAAAGGAATAAGAAAATAGCTATTCTCTCATTTTTGTACAGTAATTCTATTTTCTCTCTAAAGAATGTATTTCCTCCTATGTTCTTATTATTCTAGATTTTCCTCTCCTGTAGTATGATCGTCAGGCCCTGATTTTCCCCCTTGTGTGTGTGTGTGTGTGTGTGTGTGTGTGTGTGTGTGTGTGCGCGCGCGCGTATGTTTAATTAATAAGTAAGGGTATTAGAGGTCCCCTTGAAATACTGAAATTAAAAGACATAGATTTTCCTCCATATTATGGCTCCATGTTATTTACATAATATGGAGGGAATTACATAAAATTAGATAATTACATGCCTGATTGAATTCTGGAATTACCAATGTTTTAAATTATTTTGTGTTATGAATTGACCATATTCTATTTTCCTTTACACAAATATCTAGTTAATTTACTTTGTCAACTTATTCTCCAACTTTTACCCATATCTAATAGTTGAATTTCTAAAATTGGTAGAAATCATTCTATTCATACATTTTCTGTCATGATGATCAAATATGTCATTATTCCACCTAATAGAAAGTAAGAGAACATTTACAGAAAAATTCATTTTAATTAATTTCATTTAATAATTTATGTTCATCTCTTTATGATATAAATAATATATAAACATATAAATTTATGCTTAGTTTTTATAGCAGAAATATGATGCTAGATTTTTTGTGTGGGATATCAGTACTTGAAGGACTCTATTACTTTAAATTTTCATGCTCATTTTATTTCATTTATCCATAAATAAAAAATTCCAGTTATGCACTCTTAATTAAGGGTTAAAATAAGTGGATTTTTCAAAATGTTTCTGCTTTTATTTTATTTGACCTGACAAAATTATCTGAATAAGTATGTACCTATTCTGTGAGGTTTCCTTATTTACTTCAGTTTTTAAGCTTTTTATTTCCTGCAGATTAACAGTTTTTTTATTGCTTTTTATGTTGGTCTAGCAAAATACATTGTAGATCTAATTAGTTATATTATAAATATTTACTTTAAAAACTATACAAGTATTGCTGACTTAAAAAGCATTAAACTTTAACAGTGCTAAAATCAAGCTAAAATAGTCTGTTGCTAATGGTATATTCATTGTTTTGTTAACATAACTTTTAGTGAACTTTACATTTAGATATAAAAATCTGTGTATTAACACTTTACTCATGATTCATCCCAGAGCGTTACTAGACTATCTTGCAAATCAGTAATTGTTTGTTGAGATTTTTTACAGTGGATATTTACACATACATAGAGCTAGGCTATTTGAATGAATAAACCCTGTGGAAATATGAGTTTCTGCAGCTGACTTGTCATGAAGGAAAGCCAGCAAACTCTCCTTAATCTTTTGCAGATGATATTTCAATTTATTTTCTAATAAAAAATGTATGTGAACCATATGTAGAAGAATAAAACTGGACCCCTAACTATTCACCATATACAAAAATTAACCCCAGGATGTCTTAAAGATTTAAATGTTATTCATCAAACTATAAGAATCATAGAAGAAAACCTGGGAAACACCATTCTGGACACTGGCCTTGGGAAAGAATTTATGACTAAGTCCTCAAAAGCAATTGCAGCAAAAACAAAAATTGACAAGTAGAATCCAATTAAACTAAAGAGCTTCTGCACAGCAAAGGAAACTGTTCATAAAGTATGCATCTGACAAAGCTCAAATATCCAGAATCTACAAGGAATTTAAACAATACAGGAAGTGAAAAAACAAATAAACTCATTAGAAATGGACAAAAGTCATGAACAGATATTTCTCAAAAGAAGACATACACATGGTCAACAAGCATATGAAAAAATGCTCAGCATCCCTAATCATCAGAGAAATTCAAATCACAAATCACAGTGAGATACCACCTCACACCATTCAGAATGGGTATTAGTAAAATTTAATAAATAAATAAATAAATAAATAAAAATAAAAGAAAAAGATGCTAGTGAGCTGTGGAGAAAAGGTAACACTTATACACTGTTGCTGGGAATGTAAACTAGTTCAGCCACTGTGGAAGATAGTTTGGAGATTTCTCAGAGAACTTAATACAGAACTACCATTTGACCCAGGTATCCCATTACTGGGGATATACCCAAAAGAAAACAAACCATTCTACCAAAAAGGCACATGCACTCCCATGTTAATCGTACCACTATTCACAATAGCAAAGACATGGAATCAATGTAAGTGCCCATCAACAGTGGATTGGATAAAGAACATGTGGTACATATACACTATGAAATACTGTGCAACCATGAAAAAGTATGAAATTAGGTCTTTTGCAGAAACATGGATGCACCTGGAGGCCATTATCCTAAGTGAATTAACACAGGAACAGAAAACCAAATACTGCATGTTCTCACTTATAAATGAGAGCTAAGTATTGGGTACTCATGGACCTAAATATGGCCACAACATACACTGGTGACTGCTAGAGAGGGGAGGAAGGGTAAGAGGCAAATGTTGAAAAACTAACTATTGGGTACTATGCTCAGTACTTGGGTAATGAAATCATTCATACCTCAAACCTAAGCATCACTCAGTATACCCATGTAACAAACCTGAACATGTATCTTCTGAATCTAAAATAAAAGTAAAAAATAAAATTAAATAATAAAATGCTAATATTGGTTTTGTATAGTTGGTTTAGCATGTTTATGCCATTCTTTAGGTGTTGAATGTAGAATATGATTGGGTAACGTGACACAGCAAATAACATTATGCAAATGTGGAGAATGTCCTGAGGTAGTTTGAGCTTAATGTAGCTCTCAAGATATCCTTTCCACTGCCTCATAACAATGTACAGATAGAAGCATTTCTTGATTAAGCTGCAAAAGCAGACGTTAAAGAACAGTAAACTTCCCAACTTTCCTAAGTTGAAGCCATTGTGCAGTAAGTGAAATCTATATAAATAGATGATTAGGAACATTTGAACACTATGTACATTACCATGAAATTCCTTATTAAATAAAGTGGACATTTTCTAGTAGTTTAGTGAAGGTGTATTTCAGTAGAAAATTGAGTAACACAGACAGGGTAATGTCAGAAATGGATTCTTAAAGGGGTAGAAATAAACCAGTCTTAGTTTTAAGTAGCATCTCTCAGATCCCTTCAAAATTAGTCTTTAAAATTTTCTGTCAAAAATTATTTTTTTTTCTGCTAATACATGCTATATTTAGAAGTGGCTTTTAACTCTGTTGTTTAATATTTATCCTGAGAAGGAACACAGACTAGCCTAACACAAGAAAGAGAATTCTCACACTAATAAATGTGTATTTTTCTAAAATGTTATGAGTAACCATCTAATGTTGAAGCAATTTTTAAAACACTTGCTAAATAAGCATATGTTATTTTATTAATTGTGAAATGGAAAACTGATTTTACTATAAATATAAAAAATAAAGGCTTGGTTGGTTATGCTACAAGACACTCCGTATTTCTGATTTTTAAAAATCACATATTTAAAAAAAATCACATACTTTAATTTGTGATTTTGAATTTTCAGAGTATTATGAGGTTGAAAATTCTTGGCAATTATGTATGCACACTATCTTAATTTGGTATAATTATAGGACAAATCCATGTAGTGTTATGGAATGGTGTCATATATGAATTTTAAATAAACATCCCTAAAATTAATTAGAACGAGATTTAAAAATACACCTTTATAGTAATTTCCAACTTGCCCAAGAAGGAGTTAAATTACAAAATACTTCACTTTCTCTCTCCCTTAGATTTAGAATATAATTAAACCACTCATTTCTTTTATTATTATTACATACATGAATTTCGAATGTATAATTTAGGTTGTATCCAGTTTTCAGAGCTTCTTACTGGATATGGCTTGAGTATTACTACACCTTAGAAATAAATAAATAAATTATTAAAGACTAAGCTGTCTGTGTTCTATCAACTTTTTGGGGATTAATCTTCCATGAGGTGTATGCCTTTTTCTCCCTTTTTGTCTCTTCTTTCTTCTTTATACTGAATTATTGAATATAGTTAAACTGTATTTTATAAATAAACTGTGTATAAAAATAGTTGTAACACACGATCTTCTACAGTGTAAGTTAAATAAGAGCAGGAGAATGTGATTGTCTTGGCTGTATTCTCAATGCACAAAATAGTGCCTGGCACATCATAGCCATTCAAGGATTGTTTATTGAATTAATATAATACAACATTTAACCATGCGCCTATCATATAAGCTTGCCATTCCTCTCCTAGATATTTCACCAAATTATTTATGTTAGGTAATTAGCTAGAAGGAATAAAAACATAAGCCCAGGCACCATGAGTGGCTCACAACTGTAATCCCAGAAGTTTGGAAAGCTAAGGCAGAAGGATCTCTTGAGTTCAGGAGTTTGAGACCAGCCAGGGCAACATAGCGAGACCCAGTCTCTACAAAAAATAAAAAAATATATTAACTGGGCATGGTGGCATGCACCTGTGGTCTCAACTACACAGGAGGCTAAAGTAGGCAGATTTCTTGAGCCCAGAAGTTCGAGGATGCAGCGAGACATGATTGTTCCACTGCATTCCAGCCTGAGCAAGAGCAGAACCCTGAATAATAATGATAATAATAATAATAATAATAATAATAAAGAGTTACATGAAAAGGTTCACAGCAACTTCATTCATTTGCAGTAGCCTCAAAATGGAAACAACGCACATATCCATCAACAGGTGAATGAAAAAATACAATGTCTCATATCCAAGCAGTTTGAAAAGAAGGATATATTTTACAACATGGATGTATTTCAAAAATAATTATGCCAAGTGAAATAAGCTAAGAAAATCAAAGATATTTTATAATTCTTTTAATATAAATTTTAAAAATTTATACTCATCTATAGCGATAAAAATAAATTCACTGGTTAGCTCTGGATGCGACTGTGAAGAGAGAATATGTTTGGGGAAGTTGATGGATACATTCATTATCATGATTGCGGTTATGTAAAAATCTATTAAATGTATGCTTTAAGTATCACGGTATATGTCATTTATTCCTCAATTAATTAAAAAATGAGAAAAGCAAAATGAACAGTAAGAATTATCTGGTGTTAATTGTTATTGGCCATTAATAGCCAAATCTTGATTTTTGTGGTTAAAAGTGAAACCTTCGAGATCTTCAAAATAAGTCCTTTTTTACTTGATAGTCAAAATTATTTATCAAGCCATGAGTAAAGTTTATTTGTTAATACAGTTGAGCTGGAGAATATAAACAATTATATACCACTGAAAAGGCTAATTGGCTACCAATGCATACAAGCCAGAGATGATAACTCTCCTAAATGAATTGGTTCATGCTCTCTCAGTCACATCTCTCATGGTAATAAGCATCCCACATATGAAGCAAATATGGGACATTCAGGCAATCATGGAATATCCATTATGCGAAGTTGTATTCTTTCTTTACACTATGTAAACTCTGTCCAGCATAAAGTCTATGGTGTCTCATGAGTTTCAATTTCCATTCCAATCCAAAACTACTATTTCTGGTTGAGTAAAGGACACCTTGTAGGGTTGTATATTCTACAGGCGAATATTTTTCATCCAGTCTTTTCAAGTGTGTTGGATAAAGCTGAAGTGCTCTGGTTTACACCTACATTTCTTTTAGCTTCTGTGAATTTGAGTAGTAGTAAGATCTAGGACTATCTAGATCCATTTGTGCACCCATTTATAATTAATTCATTAATTCTCTCATTTTTCTTTAATTCAACAAAATATTTATAGAAATGCCTAACATATTGAGGCACTATACTAAGTGTCAGAAGGAAATCATAATTAAAGTAACACACTTGCAATACTTCAGGGCTAAAAGGAATCTTATTTTAAAAGTGATTGCCAAAATTTTTCCCTTTCAGTCATCATGGATTTTACTTTAATTTTTACTGGTTATGATGTGTATGATTTTCAAATACCTACATGAAAAAACGTTATAATCAAATTATATTAGGTAATTTCATATAAATGAAAATAAAAGAGAAAGTGATTTTGCTCTTCCTTTATCATTTTCTGTTTTGCTGCATTTTTATAGTACATAAATCCTTTCTATTTCCATCAGTATGCTTTTCAAGGTAATTGATATGGAAAGTATTCAAGGATTTTTAAAAAGTGATGGATTGATATTAATCTGTTGGTCTGACAGATAATGTTAGCATTCAAAAATAATACTTTGGGTTTCAAAATGACCTATTTGGCTATATCCTGAATATTATTTCTGTGTGTGAGATGTCTGTTAAAATCAAATTTACTGTGCATGCAGAGGAGAGATAAAAGCTTTTTAAAGTCCAAAGAAATTGTCTAGGCAAGTAGAAAAATGTAAAAATGCAATAAAATACTAGAGCAAATATTGGATTAACAACCTTATTAGTAAATAAAGTTTCTCACGCTTTCCTCTTTGTCTGGAAAAAATAGTCTAGATTATTCAGTGGTGGTTTTTAATAGAATAAAGTTTAAGTTTAGAGACATAAATGTGGAATAATCTTAAATGCTAATATGAATATGAGGAAATTCTCTTGGCAGAAGTTATAACTAATAAAACTAATTAAACTTAAATAAAGTTAAAACTAATAAAAATAGTTTTATTTTTGTTGGAATGTGTAAAAATTGGTACATTTATTATTATTTTGTTTGTACATCATTTTAAGAACTCTAAGTGTAATTGTGAGAATGTATCATATGGTTTTGTTAATAATAAATGTGCAATATGAACTGTATTATTACACATATAATAACTTAGTACATAGTAAATACTCAGTAAGTATGTAACATTTTTTACACAGAAGCCAGGCAGGTAAAATAAATAATGCAGATAGGTATAATTAAACAAGAAGTGGTAAGATACTCCTTTGACAATGGGAGAATGTAGGCCCTATCTAAATACATTTAAAATCCAAATTACTGCAAGCACCATGCAGGCTTCAAATAAATAAATAAATAAGCATGTACATACATATATTTGTACATGTGCATTTGTATGACATGTATGTAATACATACGTTTAAGTATATGCAATTAACTATAAGACCAAACAAGTACGTACAATTAAGTACAATACAAGTCCGAACAAGTATGGACTTAAATATATAAGTACATACTTAAACAATTTACTTTTGCTAAATATTTTTTCCTGCTCATTAGTGTGCACACTCTGGAAATTTCTTGCTAAGATCACCCAACATCCAGATGCATCCAACTCCATAATTTTTATAACCCTATAGGATAAAACTTCCTAGTTATGTATCTGTTGAGCAAACTTTATTTCATTTTACATACCTCAAACAAACCACATGTAAAACCAAATTCACTTAGTCATTCCTCTTACCACCTCAGTGGACTCAGTGCATATTTCATTTTTCTTTTGTATTTCCTATCATTTTAGTGGTGCCATCACCTATCCATAAATCTGATTCAGAAGCTGAAGGCTTGGGAGTCAATCTAAAAGTTCACCTTACTTCAAACTCCAGCATCTAGATGTTTATTAATTCCATGACGTTGGCACTTACTCTGCCCTTTTCTCCATTCACAGTGTTATCTTATTTCCTATTCATCTTTCAGGTAAGTATAATATTCTCTTATTCAATGTCTCGGCCTCTTATTTTGTTTCTCTTCTAATTTATCTTCTAAATATTTGAGTATCATAAAACATTTTAAATTAGAAATAAATAATAAAAATCTTTTGGCCTAATTAATATTTTGGATTAGAGTAATCAAGTTACAGACATTCCAGGTGTAGGGCAGTGGTTAGCCTTCTCACATAACTTAGGCAGAAACAGTTTCATTTAAGTTAAGTTATTGTGAAGAGTCATAAAGCTAACTAGTGGAGCAGAAAGCATAATGGATTTGATTAAGAAAACCAATGATACTAGTCACAGGGCTAAGCAACTACAGTATTTCATACAACCTTCACAAAACCCTGTGAAACTGTACTATTATCTCTCTCTATATATATATACATATAAAACAATATATATAATATATCATATATATGTTATATATAACAATATATATATACATATATGTATACATATATGTATACATATATGTATACATATATGTATGTATACATATGTATATATGTATGTATATATGTTGTATGTATATATGTATGTATGTATGTGTTATATGTATATATGTATGTATATATGTTATATGTATATATGTATGTATATATGTATATCTGTATATATGTGTGTATATATGTTATATGTATATATGTATGTATGTATATATGTATGTACATATATATGTATGTATGTATATATGTATGTACATATATGTATGTATGTATATGTATATATACATACATATATACACATATATTGGGTGTATATATATACATATATATGTATACATATATATGTGTGTGTGTGTGTATATATATATATAAAACAATAATTATTCTTTTGAGACAAGTCACGCTCTGAAGCCCAGGCTGGTGTGCAATGGTGCAATCTTGTCTAACTGCAACCTCCACCTCCCTGGTTCAAGTGATTCTCCCACCTCACCTTCCCGAGTAGCTGGGATTACAGGCACACACCATAATGCCCGGCTAATTTTTGTATTTTTGGAGAGACGGGGTTTCACCATGTTGGCCATGCTGGTCTTGAACTCCTGACCTCGGGTAATCTGTCTGCCTCAGCCTCCAAAAGTGCCAGGAATACAGGCATGAGCCACTTTGCCCAGCCATATTATATTTCTTAAGTAATGTTATTTTTTCCATCACACCAGAGAGTTTTGTTTAATAAAATTAAAATAAATAAACATTTTATGAGAAAATTTTTATTTGGCATTTATATATATACAACCCATTAAGTAGAAGTCTTCTAGTCAAACCAAGAGAGAGCTCTTAGACACCAACTTCTGTATCTCCATTTCAGGCAGTGAACAGAGCTTGAGTTATTAAATAGACTGTACCGGTCTTTAGGATGTGGACTGGTATTGCAAATGTGCTTATTTTCGTTGATCATTTCTGCTTATCATTTATGGTTTTGTATCTCACTGTTTTAGGAAGAATTCTAAGGTGTAATCTGCACATTCAGAGAGTTTCATTATCAGTTATTGAAGTCTACTTTAGCCACCCATTGCATACAATCTATGTTTGTGTCACTGGGCTCTAAGTTGGTGAATTTTAATTCTCCAAAAGATCTACACATTTAATAAAACATTCAATAAACACTTCTATGGCTACTCCTCCACAGAATAACTACATATTAGGAATAAAACTTAATTTAACCCTAATTCAAATCCAAGTGTAAGAGAATTACGTACATTTGTATTTTTCTACATTGTCAGTCACCAATTTAATTGAGCATACTTAGTTATTGGTGAAGATTCCTGCCTTGTAAGTATTCACATAAATATATTGATGATTTAATCTCTGCCCCCTATTTTCTGCTTTTGATTGTATTGGCAGAACAAAACCAGCTTTTCTGAGTAATTCCCATTGCACACATTGTGAGTCATAAAATGTGAACCTGCTTATTCTTACTCTGCTGGCTTGGCTGTTGCAATGTTAAAGAGTAGAGCCCAGGTACCTATGGAGTGTTACCTCTCTCCAGCCAGGTTGAGCCAATGGCAGGAATAAAATGGTCTACAGAGCCATACAAAGTGTACAATCATCACTCTACTCTTTTAACCACTTAATGTTAAAACAATACAAAATATAAAAAAAATGGAAAGAAACTATCCTAGAAATTAAAGGGAAAGAAGAGAAAACAGTGGGCATAGACTTATAATTTGGGAGACTCAATATATTGAATACTTTAAATATATTTAAGCACGTTGCTATAATCTGGTTCACTTAAAATAATTTGGTTTCATGTAAAGATTTTCTGAGATGCAACTAGCATTTCAACAATTACATATTGACATGATGTGTTGTCCCACTGCACTTCAATTTCTGAAAAACAAAATAAAAACTTAATGCATCATTAGTATGGTCCTCCTTTATACCACACTTTCTGTCTCCAAACATACACAAGATTCTCAAGACCCTAGTCATGATGATCTAGGTTAATGGTAATAGTTAGCATAAAAATGATAGCGGTTGTTGCCATAAAAAAGCCGGTCTCATCTGGAGAGTGTAACAAGATGGTGGAATGCCTTTAGCGTTCATTCTTCCTACTGGAACATCACACTTTAACAACTATCTGCATACAGAAAAGCACTGTCACAAGAATAAAAAATCAGGTGAGTAATTACTGGATTTAACTTCATGTTGCTGAAACAGACACTGAGGAGGGCAGGCGTGACAGTCTTCAATCACAGATACTACCCCTGCTCCATCCACTGGCAGCAGCCATGTAGTGCAGAGAAAGAGTCTGCATTTTGGGAAGGAAGAGTGCAGTGACTGAGGGACTTTACATTGAATTCACTGATGCCCTGTCATAGTGGAGAATAAAGCTGTGATGGGCTTAGCCACTCCCCGTGCATGGAGGGAGCATTGAATGAGCCCTAGGCAGAGGGGAATTGCCCATCCCTGCAGTCAGAACTTGAGTTTCATGGCAAGACTTCCCACCACAGGCTGAAGTGCTCTGAAGTCCCAGGTAAACTTGAAACGCAGTCGAAGACACAATGACTGCAATTTCTAGGCAACTCCCAATGCTAGGCTGGGCCTACAGCCAATAAAGTAAGGTGCTGTGTGACCTAGGGAGACACCAGTTGGCCCAACTAAGGAAGTGGTTGTGCCCCAGGCAGTGCAGCTTACATCAACAAAACTGACTCCTTCCTTCTGCTTGAGGACCGCAGAAAGTAAGGACTTTGTCTGGTATCTTGGATACCAGTTCAGCCACAGTAAAATAGGCCACTGAGCAGAGTCCTGAGGCCCTCATTCCAGGCCTTAGCTCACAAACAACATTTCTAGACATATCCTGCACCAAAATGAAGCCTGCTGCCTTGAAGTGAAGGACCCAGTCCTGGCAGGAGTCATCACCTCCTGGACTAAAGAGCTTTTGGGCCCTGAATAAACAGCATCAATATGCAGGCAGTACACCATGGGCCTTAGATTTGGAGACATGCTGGCTTCAGGAGTAACTCAGCACATTCTCAGCCATCAAAGTCTCTCTTTGTTTGAGAAAAGCAGAGGAAAAAGCAAAGGGGAATTCATCTTGCACCTAAGGTACCAGCTTGGCCACAGTTGGGTAGAGCAACAAGCAGGCTCTTAGGATCCCCCAAAAAACAGGCTTTTAGTGTCCTGTGCCTAGGCCTTAACTTGGGTATCCTAAGCATAGGCCTTAACTTAAGGATCCCAAGAGCCTGTTTGTTGCTCCGGACCTGCCCTGGAGTCAGAGGGCAGCCCATTGCCTTGAAGAGTGAAAACCAGGCCTGGCAGAATTGGCCACAAGCTGATGAAGCAGCCCTTGTGCTTTAGGTGAACATTGACAGTGGCCTGGTAGAACCCCTTGTGGAACAGTGGTGATGATGGCCACAGAGACTCCACTGCCTATGGGAAGGGAAGGGAAGAGCAGAAAGGACTTTGTATTATAGTTTGAGTGCCAGTTTTGAATGCCAGTTTAGTCACAGTAGAACAGAATACCAGATAAACTGCTAAGATTTTTGACTCTGATCTCTGGCTCCCAGGCAGCATCTCTGGCTACACCTGGGACCTTGGGGAACACACCACCCAGAAGAGAAAGGCCTTGGGCAAGACCCAGTGATGTGCTGGCTTCAGATCTGGCCCAGTGCTGTCCCAGTGGTGATGTCCACAGTGAGCCTTGCATCACCATGCCCCCAGTTCCAGGTGGCTCAGCCAAGAGAGTGAGAGTGAGAGAGAGAGAGAGAGAGAGAGAGAGAGAGAGTCTCTCTTTAGGAGGAAATAAGGAAAAAGAACAAAAGCCTCTGCCTGGTAATCCAGAGAATTCTTCAGGATCTTATCTAAGACCATCAAGATGGTACCTCTACGAGTCTGCAAAAAATAAAATAAAATAACAAAATAAAATGAAATAAAGAAAAAGAAAAACAAAACAAAACAACAACAACAACAACAACTGTTATTGGGCTTGAAGCCCAAGTCTACTGGAATACCTGGAAAGCTTTTTCAAGAAGTCAAGGATCAAACACCCAGACTGTGAAGACTACAATAAATACCTAATTCTTCAATGTCCATATATTGACAAACACTTAAAAGCATTAACACTATGCTGGAAAACATGACCTCAGCAAATGAACTAAATAAGGCACCAAGGATCAATCCTGGAGAAATAGAGATATACTATTTTCAGACAGATAATTCAAAATAACTGTTTAGAAAACACACAAAGACATTCAAGATAACACAGGAGATTAAATTCAGAGTTCTATCAGATAATTTAATAAAGAGATTGAAATTACTAAAAAGAATCAAGCAGAAATTCTAGAGTTGAAAAATGCAATTGAAATGTTCAATAATGCATCTTTCTCTTAATAGCAGAACTCACCTGACCAAGGAGAAGAAAGAATTAGTGAGCTTGAAAATAGGCTATTTGAACATAAATAGAGAAGACAAAAGAAAAAGAAATTAAAAGCAATAAAGCATGGCTACAAAATCTAGAAAATAGTTTTATTTATTGATATATTTATTATTATTATTATTATTTTGAGACAGAGTCTCACTCTGTCGCCCAGGCTGGATTGCAGTGGTGTGATCCCAGACTGCTACAACCTCTGCCTCCTGAGTTCAAGCGATTGTCCTGCATCAGGCTGCCAAGTAGCTGGGACTATAGACATACACCACCATGCTTGGATAATTATTTTGAATTTTTAGTAGATACAGGGTTTCACCATGTTGGCCAGGCTGGTCTCAAACTCCTGACCTCATGTGATCTTCTCGCTTTGGCATCCCAAAATCCTGGGATTATAGGCGTGAGCCACCATGCCTGGCCAAAATCTGGAAAATAGTAACAGGCAGATTTAAGAGTTATTGGTCTTAAAAGGAGGTAGAGAAAGACATAGTGGGAGAAAATATATTCAAAGGGATAATGACAGAGAAGTTTTCAAACCTAAAAAAGAGATCAACATTAAAGTAAAATAGAATACCAAGCAGATTTAATTCAGATAAGACTACCTTGAGGCATTTATTTAATAATCAAACTTCCAAAGGTCAAGGATAAAGAAAGAATCCTAAAAGCAGTAAGAGAAGAGGAACAAATAACATGCAACAGAGTTCCAATACCTCTGGCAGCAGGCTTTCTTGTGGAAATGTTATAAGCCAGGAGAGAGTGGCATGACATATTGAAAGTGCTGAAGGAAAAAACCCTTTTACTTTAGAATGCTATATCTGGTGAAAATATCCTTCAAACAAGAAGGAGAAATAAAGACCTTCCCAGACAAACAAAAGCTAAGGGATTTCATCAACACCAGACCTACCTTACAAGAAATGCTACATGGAGGTCAGTTAATAAGCAAGAAGAAATCTGAAGGCGCAAGATTCACTGGTAATATTAAGCACACAGAAAAACACAGAATATGATGACAAAGTAATGGTGGTACATAAATTACTCTTGTCTTAAGTAGAAATAACAAATGATGAGCCAATAAAAAATAATAACTACAGTAACTTTTTAAGATGAAGACAGTACAATAAGACATACAAGGAAACAACACAAGATTAAAAAGTGGGGGACAAAGTAGAAGTGTTGAGTTTTTATTAGCTTTCTTATTGCATGTTTCTTTATTCAGTCGGTGATACGTTGTCATCAATTTAAAATAATGGGTTATAATATTTGCAAGCCTCATGCTTACTTCAGATTGAAAAACACACAACAGACACACAAAAAGTAAAAAGCAAAATATTAAAGCACAGCACAAGATAAAATCACCTTCACTAGAACAAAGGCAGAAAGAAAGGAAAGAAGGAAGAAAAGACTCCAAAATAAACAGAAAACAAATAAGAAAATGGCAGGAGTAAGTCCCTATTTATCAATAATAACATTGAATGTAAATGAACAAAACTCTCCAATGAAAAGACATAGAGTGGCCGAATGAATTTTAAAAAATGACTCAATTATTCATTGACTACAAGAAACACATTTCTCCTATAAAGACAAAAATTGACTGAAAACAAAGGGATAGAAAATAATATTCCATGCCAATGGAAACCAAAAAACAAAAAAAAAAAAAAAAACAGGAGTTACTTAGACAAAATAGATTTCAAGACAAAAACTATAAGAAGAGACAAAGAAGATCACCATGTCTTGATAAAAGGGTCAATTCAGCAAGAGATTACAAGAATGTAAATTTATGTGCACTCAATATTGGAGCACCCACATACATAAAGCAAATATTATTCGGGATAAAGTGAGATACAGACCCCCAATACAAAAATAGCTGGAGACTTCAACACCCCATTTTCAGCATTGGACAGATCTTTCAGAGAAAAAGTCAACAAAGAAACATTAGAATTAATTGGCATTATGGATCAAATGGTCTTCATAGATATTTACAGAACATTTTGTCCAGTAGCTACAGAATACACATTTTTCTTCTCAGCAAATGGATCATTCTCAAGGACAGACCATATGTTAGGTTACAAAACAAGACTTAAAACATTTTAAAAAATTGAAATAATATCAAGAATTTTCCCTGATCACAATGACATAAAACTAGAAATTAATAATGAGGAATTTTGGAAATGATACAAACACATGGAAATTAAAAACTATTCTCCTGAATGCCTAATGTGTCAATGAAAAAATTAAGAGGAAATCTGAAAAATTTTTTGAAATGAGTCATAATGGAAACACAGCATACCAAACTTAATGGGATACAGCAAAAGCAGTGCTAAAAGAGAAATTTATATCTATAAATACCTGCATAACAAAAGAAAAACCTCAACTAAATAACCTAGCAATGGATCTTGAAGAACTAACAAAGCAAGAGCAAACCAAACCCCAAATTGGAAGAATATAAATGTTAAGAATCAGAGAAAAAATAAAATTTTAAAAAATAAAACAATCCAAAAGAGCAATGAAACTAAAAGTTGGGTGTTTTTATAATTGAAAAACAAAAATGACAAACTTCAGCCAGATTTACAAAACAAGAGAGAAGACTCAAATAAATAAAATCAGGGATGAAAAAGGAGACATTACAACTGGTAACAGAAATTCAAAGGATTATTGTTGGCTGCTGTAACTATATGCCAATAAATTGAAAAATCTAGAAGAAATGGATACATCCCTAGAAACATACCACCTACAAAGATTGAACCATAAGAAACCCAAAACCGGAATACACTAGTAACAAGTAATGATTTTGATGCTGTAATAAAAAAAGTCT
Source organism: Homo sapiens (assembly GCF_000001405.40). Taxonomy (NCBI): domain Eukaryota; kingdom Metazoa; phylum Chordata; class Mammalia; order Primates; family Hominidae; genus Homo; species Homo sapiens. Next base: position 105,068,085 of record NC_000001.11, on the reverse strand, counting down.
CCAAGTAAAGAAAAGCCTGGGACCTGATGGCTTCACAGCTGGATTTTACCAATTATTTAAAGAAGAGCCAATATCAATCCTATACCCAAACTAGAGAAAATAGTTTCAAAATAGAGAAGGAGGAAATACTTTCAAACCCATCCAATGGAGTCAGAATTACCCTTATACCAAAATCAGATAAAGTCACATAAAAAAGCCAATATATCTAACGAATATTCATGCAAAAATTCTCAAAAATACTAGCAAACTGAATTCAACAATGCACTAAAAATGTCATTCATTATGATCAAGTAGGATTTATCACGGAGATGCAAGGATGGTTCAACACAAAAAAATCAATTCAGGTGATACATCTTATCAACAGAAAGAAGGACAAAAGCCATATGACTATTTCAATTGATGCTGGGAAAGCATTAGATAAAGTTCAACATCTTTCCATGATCAAAGCTCTCAAAAAACTGGTTATAGAAAGAACATACCTTAACAAAAGTCATCTATGACAGATGGACAGCTAGTATCACACTGCCTGGGGAAAAACTTAAAGCTTTTCCTCTTAGATCTGGAACATGGCAAAAGTGCCCACTTTTACCACTGTAATTCAAACTAATACTAGAAGTCCTAGCTACTGCAATCAGACAAGAAAAAGAAACAAAAGGCATCCTAATTGGAAAGGAAAAAGTCAAATTATCCTTCTTTGAAAATGTTATAATTTTATATTTGGAAAAACATAAAGATTCCACAAGAAAACTATTAGAACTAATAAAGAAATTTAGTAAAATTGTAGGATTCAAAATCAACATACAAAAATCAGTAGTATTTCTATACCCAAACTGAACAAACTGAAAAAGAAGTCAAGAAATTAATACCATTTACAATAGCCATAGATAAAATAAAATACCTAGGAATTAAATTAACCAAACTGAAAGATCTCTGTAATAAAAACTATAAAACATTGATAAAAACATTGAAGACAAAACACAAAAATGAAAAAGATATTCCATGTTCATTAATTAGAAGAATAAATATTGTTAAAATGGCCCTATGGCCAAATGCAATATGCAGATTTGATGTAATCTCTATCAAAATATCAATGACAGTCTTCATAAAAATAGAAAAAAATCATAACATTCATATGAAACCACAGAAAACTGGAGGAATTACATTACCTGACTTCAAATTATACTACAGAGCTATACTAACCAAAACCACATGGTATTGGCATAAAAATAGACACATAGACCGAGGGAACAGAATTGAGAACCCAGACACACATCCATACACTTAGAGTAAACTTATTTTGAACAAAGGTGCCAAGAACATACACTGGAGAAAAGACAGTCTCTTAAATAAATGGTGCTGGGGAAACTAGATATCCATATGCAGCAGAAAGGAACTAGACCCCTATCTCTCGCCATATACAAAAATCAAGTCAAAATGAATTAAAGAGTTAAACCATAGATGTTAAACTATAAAACTACTAAAATGAAACATTGGTAAAACTCTACAGAACACGGTTATGGGCAAAAATTTATTGAGAAAACCTATAAGAATAGGCAACCAAAACAAAAACGGACAAATAGGATTACATCACATTAAAAAGCTTTTGAACAACAAAGAAACAATCAACAAAGAGAAGAAACAACCCAAAGAATGGGAGAAAATATTTGCCAACTACCTCTCTGTCGAGGGATTAATAACCAGAATATATAAGGAGCTTAATCAACTCTACAGGAAAAAAATATGATATTCCAATTTAAAAATGGGCAAAATATTTGAATAGACATTTTACAAAGAAAACATACAAATGGCAAACAAGCATATGTAAAGACGCTCAATATTATGGCCATCAGAGAAAAGTAAATCAAAACTACAATGAGATGTCCTTTCAGACCAGTTATAATGGCTTTTATCCATGATAGGCAATAACACATGCCAACAAGATGTTGAGAAAGGGGAAGGAACCCTTTTACACTCTTGGTGGGAATGTCAGTTAGTACAACAACTATGGAGAACAAGTTGGAGGACCCTCAAAAAACTAAAAATAAAGCTACCATATGATCTAGCCATCCCACCGCTGAGAATATACCCAAATGGTAAAAGTTAGTATATCAAATAGATATCTGCACTCCTGTGTTTGTTGTTGCACTGTTTACAATAACTAAGATTTGGAAGCAACCTAAGTGTCCATCAACAGGTGAATGAATAAAGAAAATGTGATACTTACAGACAACAGAGTAGTATTCAGCTATAAGAAAGAATGAGATTCTGTCATTTGCAACAACCTGGATGGAACTGGAGGTCATTATGTTAAGTAAAATAAGCCAGGCGCCCGCGCGCATTTCCCCCCCAACCCCCACCCACAAATATCTCATGTTTTCACTTATTTGTGAGATCTAAAAATCAAAATAAATGAACTCATGGAGATAGAGAATAGAAGGCTGATTATGAGAGGCTGGAAAGGCAGTTGGGTGGGATGGTGAGGAGGAGATTGGAATGACTAATGGGTACAAAAGGAAATAATTTGGAAAAATGAATAAGACCTAGTATTTGATAGCATAAAAGAGGGGGATATAGGCAATAATAATTTAATTATACATTTTAAAATAACTGAAAGTGTATAATTGGACTGTAAAACAAAGGATCAATACTTGAAGGAATGGATACTTGATTTTTCATGGCATGATTTTACACATCTCATGCCTGTACCAAAATATCTCCTAACACCATAAATATGTACATCTACTATGTACCCACAAAAATTAAAAATAAAAAACATTGTTTAAAAAACCCAGTCTCAGTATCACCTCCACCTTTTACTTTTTCTTTTTAACAAAACTAATTGCTTTACTTTTATGTTACATTCAAATCTTTTAGCATCATTTTTTTCCACTTTTGAACCCTCTCCTCAACATCTCTAATATTTTAGAATTAACAATGCCTCCTCACTTCATATATACACAGAACATCCATGTTCTTGCTTTTTGAGAAAAAAGTTGAGAGAAAAATTTTTGTTTCATTTGATCTATTTTTTGATGAAACATACCAGCATAGTACTGTATTCCTTCAGTATTCTTCACAGTAATACTACTGTGTCTCTGTGATATTCTGCTCGTTAGTTTTATTACCTGTCTTTTAATTCCACGTCTGTGAGTTTCTATTTTTAGAAAATATTTTATGGACCAGGGAGTGCAACTATTATGAGCAATCATTTCCCAGAGGTTAGGCTTCCTGATTCTCAGCCATGTATAAACATATTCCTCTGAGAGATTCAGAGTTGGAAAGACCTCAGAAGGACTTTTCATCCAGATGTAGAAGCAGGAGGCTGCACTGAAACTATTCATGTCATATCTGTCCTCTTATATCTTCTTTTGAAAGTGATCCCTATCTTCATCTGTTCCCATGTCTATAGATACTTCTTGTTAAAACTTCTGCCTGAAATAAAGTATAAAATCTCTAATAAAAATCTGAAAAGAACTTCTGACATAGTTTCAAAGAGAGGTTGGGACTACATTTACCATTTTTATTACACTAATATTTGAGATATTTAAAGCCAGTACAACTTCTCCTCAGAAATACTAAGTTTCCATGTTTTAAGCCAATTTATTGTTAGCATCATTTTATCAAAAACTGTCCTAATCTCTCCTAAGCCTAACAGAACACATATAAGTTAGAAGCAAAAAGTCATCTGAAGGATTAAAGGAAGACACGTGCAAAAAATTATTCACCTGAGCTGGTTTCACTGTTAAACAGAATGAAAGCAAATATGAGACACTGAATCAAATTTCTATAATCACGACATACCTCTAATGGGAATATTGGGTGAAAAGCTTCCAGGGCAACAAAGCAGTAGTAGTCAATGGAAAAAATAAAACCAAGGTGCTAGTTAGCAGGATAACTAAGACAAAGTTCACTAGCTAGAAACAATGAAATAAAAATGTATTTTGTTATTAATTCAATGAGAATAATTTTGAAATGCAAGTTTGAGCTCTGGGAATTGGTATTTTGTTGCCCTTTTGAGGGCAATACTTCGCTTCCTCCCTGGATACTACATAATAACTTTAAGTGTTAGAAAGCCTGAGGATATTCAAGCCACCTTCACCATGGCCTTATGGCATTTTTTGGATGATAATTAATATTTCATATTTGTTTGCCCATTTATAGAAGAACTTAGAAAAGCACAACATTGAGTTTTTTAGGGCATATCAAGGTACCTAGAATAGACTGATGAAATATATATGTATGTAGCCTATATTTCACATATTTCATATATGTATGAAATATATATATGTAGCATATATATATATATGTAGCATATATATATATATATATATATATATATATATATATAGCCCATTTCAACTGACAAATCTACTAGCAAGCTGAATAAATTAATGGAAAAATAAATTACCTAGATATTGTTACTTTTTACAATTTAGAGTTAATTAACTTAAAAATATGATACTCCTGGTCTAATATTTTACATCAAAAAATTACTACCCCAAATAATTATAAACAGCTTTTTCAGAAGAGATGCTCAATCATGAACACATGTTTATGTGTAAATAAAAATGCCAGCCACTGTTCTCTCACTAAGGATACAGCAATAAATAAGGCTTTTGTGATTCCTAACTTCTCAGGGCTTACAGTCCAGCAAAGAAGACAGACACTTCAACACATTATCTTCATCATGATACACCAAAACTTATTAGAATAAAATATAAAACAATGTTTTATAGATGAAGAAAGCTTGATGCAGATCATGGAAAAAATAAGGTCAGGGAAGACTTTACAACAGGCATTAAAGCTGAGAACTAAGAAAAATCTCAGGAACAGTTAAAATCAAGCTATAATTTGTTTTATTTTATTATGTTTGATTTATATTCTTAGAACTTATGATTGAGTCAGGGTAGTAAAGATTAAATCAATAGTCTTTGGAATTCTTACCTAATAAGATTCAAAACTTGCCAGACTTAAAAAGTAGGTCAATGTTGATACATGCTGTAGGACAGCATCTTTAGTCCACCATCCACATTGATCGAGCTTCTCACATTTCTGGACATGACATCTCAGTAAGTTGTTATTCTCTAATAAACATAAGCATTCCAGTTCTTCTACCAGGAAGAAAAACAGTTCTTTGGGCTTACTAAGAGTTGGTTTCTAAGTTCTCTAGTTCTATCTGTAAAGTCAGTAGCATTATTTGTAATAGAAGTAAATAGAACCACTGAGCAATTTTTCTACAGCTACCATAAAGAATGTTATTTTCTAGAATTCTTTGATAGATCTTTGAACAGGTATTTGGGGATAGCACTAAGCCAGGTGTCTAGTATGGTCTTAATCTCCATGGTATATGGGTATAGTTCATTTAAGAGAGCACATAGGAACAGGTAATGCATTATTAAATTGGTTGAACAATGCTGAAATCAAGTAAAATGACAATCTTAATTGTGGAGTAATAGGTATATATAAATAGTGATTCAGTCAAGTCAGAGGTGAAGTCTTTTTATGTATGGATGGTTGGTTGAAGACTTTTTTAGGTATTCCTATTTCAATAGCACCCACATTGAAGGCTAATTAATTAATTATTATCATAAAACAAAAAACCCTGCTATACGTAAGTTGCAGGCTGCTTTGTCAGAGAAGATATAAGTAGCTATATCTACTTGTCTAATTATATATAGTACATAATGGGTGTGCTTTCATTTAACTGTTAACATTTTTTAATTTGGGTTGTTCAAATATTCTAGTCACTGTTTATAAAGCATCATTTTGTCCTTGGTATTAGACAAACTATTTTTGGAATCAAACTTAAACACATTCCTGTCTCTTTTAATATTGATATGACTTGGATCTGTGTCCCTACCTAATCATATGTCAAATTGTAATCCCCAGTGTTGGAGATAGGGCCTAGTGGGAGGTGACTGGAACATGGGGTCAGAGTTCTCATAAATGGTTTAGCAACATTCCCCATTGGAACTATATAGTGAGTGAGTTCCCACAATATCTGGTTTAAAAATGTATCACAATGTATCCTACCTGCCCCCCCACCACTTTATTTTTCTCCTGTTCCAGCCATGTAAAGTGCTGGCATCCCTTCACTATCCAACATAATTGTAAATTTCCTGAGGCCTCCACCGAAACTGTAAAGATGCCAGCATTATACTCCCTGTACAGAAAAGAGCCTATGAAACTTCTTTTCTTTATAAATTTTCTAGTCTCAGATATTTCCTTATAGCAATTTAAGAACAAACAAAGGTAGAATATTGGTAGCAATAATTGAGGGATTGTTATGAAGATACCTGAAAATGCAGACGTAACTTTAAAACTGGGTAACAGGCAGAGGTTGGAAGAATGTGGAGGGCTCAAAAGAAAAAAAAAAAGGAAGACAAAGGAAAATTTGGAACTTCCTAGAGACTTGTTAAATTGTTATGACTCAAATGCTGATAGTGATATAAACAATAAAAGTCCAGGCTTTCTGGATTCAGATGGAGATAGCTTTCTCTCAGATGGAGATGAGGAACTTACTGGTAACTGGAGTGGAGGTCACTTTTTAATGCATTAAAAAATAATTTGGAGGCATTGTACCTCTGCCCTAGGGATCTGTGGAACTTTCAACTTGAGAGAGATAATTTAGGGTATCTGACAGAAGAAATCTATAAGCAGCAAAGCATTCAAGAAATGGTCTGGCTGCTTCTAAAAGCTCATATGCGTGAACAAAGAAATGATCTGAAGTTCAACTTATATTTAAAAAGGAAGCAGAACACAAATGTTTGGAAAATTTTCAGCCTAGCCACACTGTAGAAAAGAAAAACCAATTTTCAGGGGAGAAATTCAAGCAGGTTGCACATATTTGCATAGCTAAAAGGAAGGCAAGTGCTGATAGCTAAGACAATGGGAAAATGGCCACCAAGACAATGAGAAAAACGCCTCCTAGGCATTTCAGAGACCTTTGCAGCAGCCTCTCTCAACGCAAGCTCAGAGGCCTAAGAGGACTGAATGATTTCCTGGGCCAGGCCCAGGGCCCACTGTCCTGCAAAACCTGGGGACACTGTTCCCTGCATCCCAGCCATTCTAGCTCCAGTTGTGGCTCAAAGCAGCCCAAATAATCCTGGGGCCCTTGCTTCAGAGGGTGCAAGACATAATCCTTGGCAGCTTTCACTTGGTATTAAGACGGTGAGTGCACAGAGTGTAAGAATTGAGGCCTGGGAGCCTCCACTGAGACTGTAGAGGATGTATAGAAAAGCCTGGATGTCCAGGCAGAAGTCTGTTGCAGGGGCAGAGTGCTAACAGAGAATCTCTTGTAGGGCAATATGCGGGGGAGCGGAAATGTAGATGTTGGAGTCCCTTCGCAGAGATCCCACTGGGGTACTGCCTAGTGGAGTTATAAAAAGAGGGCCACTATTCTCCAGACCCCAGAATGGCAGATACACCAGCAGCTCGCACTCTGTGCCTAGGAAAGTAATAGGCATTCCACACCAGCCCATTAGAGCAGCCACAGGGGCAGAGCTGCCCAAGGTATTGGGAGCTCACCCCTCACACCATTGTGCCCTGGATGTGAGACATGGAGTCCAGGAAGATTATTTTAGAGCTTTAACATTTAATGAATGCCCTGCTGGGTTTCAGACTTACATGGAGACTGTGACCTCTTCCTTTTGGCCAATTTCTCCCTTTTGGAATGGGCATATTTACCAAATCCATATACCCCCATTATATCTTGGAAATAACAAATTCAATTTTGATTTTACAGGCTTATAGGCAGAAGGATCTTAAGTTGTCTCAGATGAGGCTTGGAACTTTGGACTTTTGAGTTAATGCTGAAATGAGTTAAGACTTTGGGGGAGTATTGGGAAGCCATGATTGGATTTTTCAATGTGAGAAGGACATGAGATTTGGGAGGGGCCGGGGCAGAATAATATTGTTTGGATCAGTGTCCCCACCCAAATATTATGTCAAACTGTAGTTCCCCAGTGTTGGAGGTAGGCCCTGGTAGGAGGTGACAGTATCATGGGGTCAGAGTTCTCATAAATGGTTTAGCATCATTCATCATTGGTACTGAACAGTGATTGAGTTCTCATGAGACGTCATTGTTTAAAAATATATAGCACCTTCCCCCTCTCCCTTTCTTTCTGTTCTAGCCAACTGAAGTGCTGCCTTCCCTTTTACCTTCTTGCATGAGAAAAAGTTTCCTGAAGTCTCTCCAGAAGCTTAGCAGATTCCAGCATCATGCTTCCTGTATAGCCCATAGAGCCATGAGCCAATTAAATCTTTTTTCTTTGTAAATTACAGTCTCCATTATTTCTTTGTAGCAATTTGAGAACAAACTAATACAAATATATTTACCATTATGTTGAACAAATAAAACAATAAAATGTGATTATAACATGCAAAACAACCTTATCTTTTAACATTTGGCATTGCTAAACTGTTAGAGAACATCTATCTTCATTCAGAACACCTTAAAATTCTAAGCAGTTTTACATTTTTTTTAAATTTACTTGGATAATTAAAGTATCTTGTACACTTTCAACCACAGAACATGGTCAGAACTGTCTTCTTCTACCTTGGATTTACTTCCTACAAAAATCCTGGAGTAGAAATATGATCTGGGGACATGATCGGTTACTGTACTTTTTTCTCCATCTGTCAATTTTTCATTTCTCCTCAGTTTGTTGGCAGAGAATGCTGACTTTCCCAGTATCAAAGGGATTTTTTCTGGAGCTGGGGAAGAGAAGGAATCAGAAACTCAAAAAAATAAAATAAAATAGGGGTGAGGGAAGATCTTACCAAGGTCTTATTTGACTGGTGAATTTGTTTTCTAAGATTGGTGCTTACTGGGATTCATAATGTTCACAACTCTTGTGGTGTGTTTGTAATTTCAAGGTCCCCTATGGTGACCTTGATACAGTAAAGTTAACCAATTCAGATAATATACTCTCTTGCTCCTCTTTAGAGACATCCACTCTTATTCCCCTAAACAGTGTATGCCACAGCCTCTGATTCCTGGGTTCCCCTTACCCCAGAAGGCTGAGGTTGGTCCAACTTTGGCTATGTTACTCAGCAACCACTTGGCCTTTGAAACACTATATTTATGTATGTAACTGCTTTGCCCCTTACAATTCTGGAAGCAGACCATTCTCAACACAGCTACCTTTCCTTGGTGCTCTTTAGCCAGCTGGCCAGCAATAGTTTCTTTCTTTTAAACTTTCTACCATATTGGCCTGGCAACAGCCTAAGTGTACCACTGACTCCAGGTGACACAAGTAACTCTCTCCCTTGAAGCTTCTTGTTTTAGGCTTGTGTTGAATCAGTTTTTGTCACTTTATAACCAAGTTTTGTCAAAGCAGTCTAGCACTAAACTTCCAAATAGAAAAAAATTCACATTGATGTTTTATACTTAATAGCTCCTACATTATCACAAACTGACACATAAAAAGCCTCATTCTAACATCTTGTACATGTGCCTTCCTAAAATCCCCAAACTGTCTGACCCAAATGATTATCTATTTTTTTAATCTAACCAGTTGTGAACGTTTGCCACAGCTAGACTTATTATTGCTTAGAGATGTTTAATAATGTTAGATTTGGGGGAAAATGGCAAATCATGTATAAATACAATAGTTTTTTCTTTATAAAGATTTACTTTAAGGATATGAGTTGATCTACTAATCCAAAGAAGTAACAGTATGTTATTTCTCATAATCAATAATAATTGTACAAATATTAGAATAGATATAAGCAATATTAAAATACATACATTAATTGTAAAGTAATTAATAAGTGAAAGTTCTTTGTAAGGAAACATTCTATTATTTATTTTAAATTTAAATAGAGGGACTGAAGCAACCACAATAAATATTAAATTAACAGAATATTTTAAATTGATAAAGTATTTTCATTTTTATCTCGTGGTCAGGGATGGGCCAGTCAAATCAAACAAACTGTAGAGTAGATAATTTTTAAAGAATATCATTTATGATTAAAGAATGCTTAAAGAGATAAAATATAATAAATTACCATTAAAATAAGTCTATATTAAATGTAATTTTATTTTTCATTGAATCAAAAAAATGAGAATTTTGACATAGAATTATGACTTTGAAAATAAAATATTGTTGTTGGAAAATACCAAATTATTACTGATGAAAGGCTGTTTACTAAATTACAAAACACTCTCTGTAATAGTATTTAAACTTCAACAAAATAGCACATGCATTTGAGTTGAAATGTGATACAGAATACCAAATTAAGCATTTCAGTTTAAAAAACTGTCAGTGAGAAGAATTTACCTAAAGGATAACGTGATGACAAAAACAATTTTGGAGGAAGTAAAATTCATGTCATTGATTTCTAAACTTCTCTTTGCCTTACCTTGAGAGGGTAGTTTGTAGGCTTACTTTAGTTTCTTTAAAAAGCAATCAACAAACCACGCAGGAGAAAAGTGGGCTGTATACCAATGAAGAAGACGATTGGGTTATAAATGCTATTTCTCCTTAAGAAGTGTTTCTTGAGTCATCGATCATGAAAGTGACCTTGCTGCTCAAAGCTGACTGAGTCCTTAATTGTCTGATTTCAGAAAGCAGATGAGTTAACCCAACCATGCTATCAATGTCATGTGAATTCTCATGTTCATCACAGGTCAGTGATAAGGCAATGTCAAGTTCTATCTTTCACTAGAAACCTCTTTGTGATCTTATATGGCTTTATTGAATTTCTGTACCTTGGGTGAATTTTAACTGCACTATTACCCATATAATTGCAACTAAAAATATGAAAGGTAGAATTTTTCTTTGTTTTGTTTTCTCAGCTATTGAAAAAGTTTATACCTTATTCAATATTCATTTCTTGCTAGTTGTTCATTTCAGATTAAAAAAGTTGATATTAAAGCAGTTTGTTTAATATATTTTTTAAGTTGCTGGTTGTTTGGCTATCAAGATATCAGCTGGTAAAGCTTTCTCAGAGATTAGTTTTTTTCTCTGTGTTAAGGAGAACCCAGTTTTAATGTTTTAAAAATTGTAGCAACTTTTTAAAGGGGCCAATTTGTATAAACTCGAAATGACTTTCAAAAGTATGCATGCAAACAATTTAGTAAGAAATCTAACTATTCCATTTAATTTACACATGTAAATTATATTTTCATACAGAAGGTTTGTATATGAAATTATAGAGCCTGCATTAAAATTCAGTCTGAAATGTCAAAACTATTAATCTACTCATCCTAAAAACTTTGTATTTTAATTAGAATTAGTATTTTAATTATTAGGGATGTTTTTATTTATTAAAATATGACAAATATATCAGAATAGTATAATTACAAATGACAACTGTAATTAGATTTCTTCTTAACTACTACTTTTAGGAAATTATCTTAAACGAAGCCTGCTACAGGAGTAATCCTTTATCAGTAAAACAAACAAAAAGCTAAACAAAATAAACTTTAATGCCACTGCTATAAGCAATACAATTAAGTTAATAAAATATAAAAGTGCAATGATTCTTTTAGTTTTTTAATTTACTCTGTAAATTTTTTTTACTGAGTAACTAATAGATATCACTTATCATGCTGTAATCTGGATATACAAAGATAAATACAATTTGTTTTCTAATCCTGAGATGCACAATTTGTAAGATTGCAATCAAATTATTATAACAAAATGTTATATTGATGTATACAATTATTAACATAATTATGTAAAATGCCATGAATAACTCAGACTAGTAGATAAATCTGGCAGAGGAACAACACTTGGGCTAGTTTATTCAAAATGAATTGAAGTTTAACATAAATAGATAGATTGATATAAGAGAGAGAAAATTCTAAGTTAAAAGAATAGCATGAGCAAAAGAAAAGAGAGAAAAAGAGCTCAATGCATTTGAGTAGTGTGCATATTTCAGATTTGCTACTGCGTAGGACATGTGGATGCACTTGACAAGAAAAGGCAGGACAATCTGATAAATTGTATACGTCCATTTTTATCAAGAGAAATATTTTATACATTGTTCTATATGTACCTAGAAGACAAAAAATCAATCAACTCTGATGTGATCATCTGTGTGTCTATGTGTGTGGGTGTTTTGAAGGGGCAGTTGGGGAAAGAAGTAGGAGCAGTCATCTATCATCTTAGATGCCACCAGAGTGCAGAAAAATACATATTGGGAGGGGGAAAATGTAGAAAAAGATCTATTAAAGACTTTTCCTTTAACAAATTGGTCAAGTAGACATTTTTGTGATCAGCATAGATGAGGCTATAAAATGTGATGCAACATTCTAGAGTTAAATGTAGAAGGTAGGTAGCCAGTGTACATGCAGCTCTGAAAGCACCTCTTTATCCCTCTGCTTCTTACCCAGCTTGCTCTTGGTTATCTAGGGCCTTCAATTTTGTTTCTCCTTGACTTAATTATCACATTATTTTCTTTGATGGCTGACTCAGTTCAACTGTTGTAAATATTCAACTTGATGTTTTCTGAAAACTCTGTGAGCTCTTCTATTTTTGTGATATTGTTTTCACAATGTTTTCATTTCTGATTAATCCCAGAATGTTTTTCTTCTTGCCTGCCTATCATATTATACTTGTTTCAGATCAGAGGTGTGTAATTGTCTTATGGGATGCCTAACCTACTTTAAATTAGAAAATTGACACTACAAAGATCACTGAGTACGGTAATAAAAAAAATCCCCAGATGTGATTCCTTGCTTACCACTGTTTTCATTCTCTTTATATTTTCCTATGTTGGAGTTGCTGTTCTGGTTCATTGCTGCTTGATAAGTGTATTTTTTCCTGAACTTTGCTCTGATGTAGTACAAATATATACCACATCTGAGTTGTATACTATCTGCTCCTTGCTATATTTTGGCAATGCAAACTCTTCCCAGACCTGTGTAAACTGTTTTTGAGTTCTCTCTTTTTCACTATGGTCTAGAAAGTACCTCTATTAATAAGCTGAATAAATTTTATAATGTAATACCTCCATTTTTTTTTCTTTCTCTGAAGGATCACAGTCCTGTGGTGCCTATTGCTCTATATTGGAATACTAATATTTCATATACATTAACTAGTTACTCAATTATTTATGGTAGTTACCTATTCTAACAGTGTTCAATGGGCCAGTAATAGAGAAATCTGTGTTGCCAACTTATCTGTGTGTATAGCCAAAGTGAAAGTACTATCCTCTTTGGACTTATGGTGGGAGTTAAGGCGTTATTTTCCTGGCTTTGGAGAAGTTCTGATGATTCTATAACTCAATCAATATCATTTGAATTAAGAGTTTTTTTACCCAAATTAGCAAGTGTTGATTAATTTTCCTTTCAACTAAGAATCCTAAAATACATAAATGGCAGTAATAACTTTGTTAAATGTATGTTGCAGAAAAATCTGGTCCTCATGCCTATAGGCTCAGAAAAAACTTGCTCCAATTTCTGGCAAATCAGTACTGAATTTCATATATAAAGGACATTTTAGCATTATTCAATTTCCTAAAGCTACTATATAAAATCATAAAGCTAAATTATTAATTTCAATTAAATATATAACTCAAACAATATGCAAAATAATTTGTTCTACATTGTTGGTTATTTGCCTTTAGGAATCTCTGAAATATTTTATCATAATCTGAAGAACCCATTGTAAATATGTTCAATTAGAAAACCATAATTATTCTATTCAAATATTTATCATTAATAGACTAATTCAGCCTGATGTACCCATATCCCATTAATGATTATAACATTCACATGTATTGTATTCAAACCCTTTATACACAACATTGAATTGAGGAGTGCCTTGCCTGTGGAACCATAATATCTAACCTATTGGTCAAAGGCTTTTCTTCCCTGGATACTGTGTGGAGAATTCCCACAGGTGTTTTGGTTAAATTCTTTATTTTGTTGTGCCCCCTCTTGTTCTCTGATTGTATAGTTAATTAATTCACATTTGTTTTGATTACATTTGTTTTTGGTATGTTAACAAGCTCTTAGAATACAACCAAGCCTTTCAGACTTTGGAGCTATTCCCTCCCTTTATGATTATTTTGCTTTTGTTGTTTTAATGTCTTTTTTCTTACTATTGATCTTTTGTAACCATTGTTCTAGTCCATAAACAACAGTAATTGTTGCTAAAGACAATGATATAATTTATTTTTGTTCCTGTTATTGTTTGTTTTTGCCTAAAAGGAGAACACAGTGAAATAAAGTTAGAGAAGTTGATAGAGTCGTTAATTTTACGTTAATAAAACATAGCCTCAATCGGTAAACTGTCTGCATTTAAACAATTTTATTGGGAAAGAGAATCAATTGAGGGATTTATTATTAAAATTAATCTAATTTTTTAGAGTCTCTGGTGGTGCTTGGGAAGTTGGCATAAACATGGTATAGTCAGAAAAACTGAGTAAGCGAGTAGTAAAACACAGTAATAGGTTATAATTAATAGCAGTTAACCATAGCTGCGGAAAGAGAAAAGTGGAAATGAATGGAAAAAATATATATATTTATTGAGCATCAGAAATGTGTCAGATATGACCCTACATTCTTTACATGCAAGTCACATTTAGATAGGGTTGTTTTTATTTCCATTTTGCAAACAAGTGATGAAGAAGCGATGGAACTTGCATAAAGTTACGGAACTATAAGTTGTGCGTACAGTAACTAGACTCAGGCAATTTTTCCCCAGAGGCCACTATCCAACATCACCTTAGCATAAAATCCAGGGTTATTTGTTACTCCTTCGATTTCTTATTATCCTCTAAGGACAGAAGAAATAGGTCTTAGTTACCACTTTGATTTTTTTAATCATAAAAAATTGAAAGAGTAAAAAAATGACTCTGGATATTATACTAAGTTAATATTGCATAGTGGCCTTTGCAGCAAGATTGCCGAAATTTAGAACCTGGGTGCACAACGTACAGCTGCACGACCTTTTGCAAGTTCCATAACCTCCTCATTGTTCATATATAAAATTGAGATAATAATCAATCATATCTGAAATTATTTTTATATATAAATAATGTAAGATAATACGTAACACACTTCAGGTATTCAATAACTGATGTGATATTTATTTTCAGACTCAGAGTCACTTGAAAAAAATGTTGGAATCATGGAAAAAAGTAGAAAACAAGTTTTGTGGGGGAAATAATATATTCAACAATGTAGAGTGAGTTTTAGTTGGTTGATAAAGTTCTAAGAGAAGGTATAGGAAAAAATGTGGAAATATGAGTCAAGAATATAAAATATCAAGCTTAAATTTATTGCTTTTGTAGTTGTCTCCACAGAGATGATGCATACAGCTTAAAGAAGATAAAAGATCACTAATGGAACAAAAATAGAAAGAAGAGGAACAAAAAGGAAGGATTTGTGGTACAACAGCCTTATTTTGACTTAGTCATGATATTTATCATCTTGCTATTTATTACAGCTAGCATTGCTATCTTCAAATAGCACAAAATATTTTGAATTACAAAATGAAATTATTAGTGCATGTATTTCTATGTTCTTAAACATAATTTTAAAAAATGTTGCTTAAAATTGTACAGAATGCTAAGATACAAGAGACAGGGAAAATTTTATTTGATATTTACTGATAATCATTAGCAAGTCAAAGTAATTAGTAAATTAATAAATAAAAGAACATAAAAAATGTTATATGTTATGGAGATTGGATGTGAATATATATTATATATATTTATATGATATCTTTATATGTCTATCATCTATCTATCTAATAAAGAGGAAAGAAAAATCAGCAATCTAATATACCATGCAGATGACAATTAATTAGTATACTTATCTGAGATTTTGAGATGATTTTGACTATGATTTCATATGCTCTTATATATACAAAGTTATGCTAAAACTGGAAAACAGAGATACAATATATTTGCTGAATTTCACGAAATTCCTATGGTTCCTTTCCTCAAGTTAAACAATACAAGGATTATAGGCTGGTGAAAAATGCTTGAAATCTGAAGTAATATTATCAGATTATCAGACCTTGAATAAGCATTTCTCTGATATTCTACAAATTAATGAATTCTGTAGGCCTCATGGTTTTGTTTTGATTGTTGCTTTATACAAAAGGACCTAAGAATATTAAACCCAGGCTTATTGTGAGGCAATAATTTAATAAGAATGAGCTATTATCTAACCCTTATTATGTACTAGAAACTTACAACTTCGAATAGCCTTTTCTAATAATTTCTAAAAATCAGTTTAACAGGTATTTACTATTCCTATTTCTATTATGCAGATAAAGAAAACTAACTACATAGGAGTTAAGCAATTTGCCCAATATCTTACAGCTAATTTGTCTGAGCGAGGATTCTAATCTGAATGGTCTAATTCCAAACCTTATCCCCTCAATCATATGTATAATTATTTGTAAAATTGTTTTGAAAAATATAAAAGTTCCAACTGAATGTTACATTTTTGAATTTTTAATTAAAATTAATCCAAGATTAAAACAGTATAAAATTCAAGTACGCATATTTAATTACCAAATATATTTATCTGTGCCCACATCAAAGTATTATGTGATCTCCAAAATTAAACTTTAACAAGATTTACAGCCTCTAATCAGCATTTGAATTTATTTGGCCTTTGCTTTATATTTATGCTTACATTTAAGCATTTAATAAATAAAGAATTAAGGTGGCACCATTAAATAAAATAAGCTCGGAGAAAAATTTAATTATTAAAAAAATCCAAATGTTGGAATGAATTAGTTTATGAAGAAAGTAATTCAAGAAATATACAGAAGAAAATATAAACATGTATACAATTATTTAGTTGGCATATTTCCTATATTTGCAAAAAGAAGCAATTCTACAATATTGTGATGAGTCTGTAAGGAGTCACTATTTAGTGTGATAACTGAATAAATGTGCTGTAATAGCTTATCACTAAAGTTGACGCTACAGCCAATAACGTAAAATTACACTTAAAAATAATTTAAAATTCATTCTTTTGTATCACTATATAGTATTCCATTGTATAAATATATCATATTTTTTCCACTTATTTCTTGATGAACACTTCAGTTGATTCCATATCTTGGCTATTGTGAATAGTGCTTCAATAAACATGTGAGTGCAGAAATCTCTTTAACAACCGATTTCATTCATTCCCTTTGGATATACACTCAGTAGTAGAATTGTTGGATCATATGGTAGTTCTATTTTTAAATTTTTTAGGAACCTCCACACTGTTGTCCATGATGGCTGTGCTAATTTACATTCCCATCAACAATGTATGAGTTCCCTTTCCTCCACATCCTAGACAGAATTTGTTGTTTTGTTTTTGTCTTTTTGATAATAGCCATTTTAATGAGAATGAAATGATATCCAATAGTAGTTTTGGTTTGCATTTTTCTGATGACTAGTGATGTTGAGCATTTTTTTTCACATAACTCTTGGCAATTTATCTGTCTTCATTTAAGAAATGTCTATTCAGATATTTTGCCCATTTTTAATGGATTATTTATTGTTTTTTTTCTGCAACTGAGTTATTTGAGTTTCTTATATATTCTGGATGTCAACTCATCAGAACTATAGTTTGCAAACATTTTCTCCCATTTTATAGGTTGTCTGTTCACTCTGTTGATTGTTTCCTTTCCTGTGTAGAAGCTTTTTAGTTTGATATAATCCCATTTATCCATTTTTGCTTTTGTTTCCTGTGTTTTGAGATATTATTTAAAAAATCCTTGCCCAGACCAATGTCAGGAAGCATTTATTCAGCCATAAAAACAATAAAATTATGCCATTTGTGACAATACAGATAAACCTAGAGGACATTGTTAAGTTAAATAAGCCAAGTATAATAGGGAAAAATACCATATGGTCTCACTTCTATTTGGAATCTACAAAGGTTGACCTCATAGAAGTAGAGAGTAGAATAGTTGTTACCAGAAGCTGGGGAGGGGAGGAGGGAAGGGGATTGTTAAGAATTTGGTCAACATGTAGAAATTTACAGTCAGATGAGTGAAATAACCTCTGGTGTTCTATTGTAAGGTAGAGTGATGATAGTTAGCAATAATGTGTTGTACATTTAAAAATAGATAGAAGGGAAGATTTTGTATGTTCTTACCACAAATAAATGACAAGTGTTTGACAGGATAGATATGCTCTTTATGCTGACTTGATCATTACACAATACATATATGTATAAAAATATCATACTGTACCCACAAACATATACAATTATTATGTCAATTAAAAACAAAATCTACAAAGCTAATAAAAAATAAATAAATATTCAACTTCAAAAGAATATTTAAAGAAGCACTTAAAGAAAATTTAAAGGAAATATTTGACATTTAAAGAAAATCAAATTTAAATATTTGTTTTAAAAAATAAGTGCTTTTAAAGACATTTCCTCATGTATATTTTGACAAGCATCGATATGGTTAAAATAGATAATTGGCAGTAATAACTATTTCAAGTTATTCATTTGTGGGCAAATTGGAAAGGGTCTTATAAATCCATTGCATACCTTTTTGTAGCACTTGGCAATCTACAATATTCCCATAGACCGAGATCACTTTCCCTTATACATCATGTAAAAAAAAAATAATTATAAGAAAAAGAAGAATCTACAATAAAATGGAAATTTTTATAATAATTCTTAAGTAATTTATAGAGAAATCATTGATAAAGAAAATAATACAAACTATAACTATTTTAACACTAAAAATAACCTCAATACAATATTTTTGTTAGGTATATATTTAAAGTGCATATTGAGTATTTACCAAACAAACAAATAAACAAACAAAACTCAGGAATTGCCTAGAGCAAGTGTCTACAACAAATTTCTAAAGATTGAAAACATCCAAAGTACAATCTCTGTCTGTAATAGAACCAAGTTACAAACCAAAACACAGACCATGAATGTATTTAAAAGCCAAGCAGAAATTTCTAAGTAACCAAAGGATCAAAGAAATCACTATGAAAATCTGAAAATATTTTGAATTAAATAAATATTGAAATATAAAAGTTAACCTTATGGAATGCAGTTAAAATCATGCTTGGTGGGAAATTAGTCTTTAAAGCATTTATTTTAGGGTAGGTAAAAATGTGAAAATTAATTCACTAAGCATTATGTCAAGAAGCTGAAAAACAAATGGAAGTTAAATTCATCAGGAAGTAGAAAGTTTTTAAAAGTGAAATAAGAATTTATTAGAATAGAAAAATAAAATTGAAGAAATTAATAAAACAAATTTGACTATTCAAAAAAATTGATAACTTTCTACCATTTCTGATCAAGACAAAATGCAAGTAAGCATAAATAGCCATGTTAATATTCAGAGGGGGACATTACTGAAGATATTATAGTAATTTTAAAATCATCCAATAATAGACTTTATGTAGATTATTTTTATAATTTAAATAAATTTTCAGAAAACCACATTTACCATAATTAAGCAATGGAAAACTAAACCTAGTATTGCTATAAATATTAGAAACACTGAATATGTAATTTAATATCTTCCCATGAAACTAAAGATTCATAGGACATTAGCAGTAAATTTGATCAATTATTTTAAAAATCCCAATATTTCTAAAACTCTTTCACATGACTTGTCTTATGAGGACAGTAAAGCAAGATCAAACTTGACATTTCTATAAGAATAGAGGAAAATTTCTTTTATTAGATGGGAAATTGTAAATGAAATATTAGCAGTCAATGATACATAAAACAGATAATAGAATATGCTCAAATTAGATTATTCCAAGAATAAAAAGGTGACTTAACATTAGAAATTCAATTTTTTTATTTTAATTAATTAATTTTTTGAAATAGAGTCTTGCTCTGTCTCCAGACTGGAGTGCAGTGGTGCGATCTTGGCTCACTGCAACCTCCGCCTCCCGGGTTCAAGCAATTCTCCTGCCTCAGACCCCTGAGTAGCTGGGACTACAGGTGCACGTCATTATGCCCAGCTGATTTCTGCATTTTTAGTAGAGACAGGGTTTCACCATGTTGGCCAGGATGGTCTTGATCTCTTAGCCTCGTGATCCACCTGCCTAGGCTTCCCAAAGTGCTGGGATTATAGGCGTGAGCCACCGTGCCTGGCCAAAATTCAATTATTTTAATGCAGCACAAGACAAACAAAAGATAAAAAACAAGTAAAATTTCCACATGAAAAAAGAAAGTACTTCTCTGTTCAGCCAATTCTATTATTCAGCATAACTTTCACAAGAGGATTTAAAGTATCTGTGTAGCTGCTAGCACTTATGGCCTATGGAGAAAACATCAGGTATTATAGAGATTCAGTTGTATGGGATTAATGAAGAGACGGCTTCGTGGATTTAATAGACTCTTTATCTAGCTCATTCTTTGATCTATTTGGCTTTAGGTGGTTTGGCTTATGGGGACCCTGGTAATGAGCATATGCCAAACTCTTGGTATTATCCTCCCACTAGTCATAATAATAGCCTCCCTTGTATGCTATATTCTCTCAAAGGTTTTAAATGTTTGTATATAGCCATCTCAAGAATGTCAAATGGTCTCTCTTCAACTGGATTGACCAGAGCTGAAAGAAATGTACAACCATGAGGACACTGTAACCTATGAATGACATGCTGAGACCAGCAACCCGAGATAATGGTACCTGAGAGTGGTGCTAAGGCCCCAAGCTTTGGTCACACTCTCACTTAAGTGAGAATCTCAGCAAAAAGGGTGAATTTTTTAAAACAAAATTATGGGAGGCCATTTTTGGGGGCTGAGCTCATGCACAATGCCCCAACAGACCAAACCAAACAGAAATGGAGCTGCTTATGCAAAATGTGACATAATCAAACTAAGACTTTAAGGAAATACATAGATCCTTAAAGATGTGTTCAACAAACCAGGTTTTGTTCTTCTCCTGTAAACAGGACGTTCCAGCATAGGAGATAACCCTCTACTCAGTCCTTGTTCCTACCTTTGCAAAACTGACTGTTCTACTCTTTCCCAGTAGGTTTCAAGACCAAGTAAGTACATTTATGATGGTAATAGTGACATCGATGACTAAAGTTTTGGTCATTCTCTCAAAACAGAAAATGACCCAAAGAGGGGAACTGTTAAAGTTAATTAATATGGCCTGAGTAGAACTCTGTACTTCTATATTTGAGACCTTGCAGACAAACTGTAATCTAACATAATAGACACACAAGATTGAAAACCTAATTTAGGAGTATTCACCTGTAACAGTAGCTGAGTCTTGTCCAATCTCAGCAGCCATACCTCAACCACTCATGCACTGCTGAGTGTTCAAACTGTGTTCAAATAAGGCAAATGTTGAGCTGTAACCAATCCATTTGTTTCTGTACCTCACTTCTGATTTCTGTACCTCATTTCCCTTTTTTTCATCTATAAATTTTATTCCATGACATGGCTGTGCTGGAGTCTCTCTGAATCTGCTGTAATTCTGGGGGCTGCCTGATTTGCAAATCATTAATTACTCAAACTTATTTAAATTAAAAAAGTGAATATAATAAAATTCAATAACCACTCATGATTAAAAAAACCTAGCCAAAAAATATATGAAAAATGCTCAACATCACTAATCATCAGGGAAATGCAAATCAAAACCATAATGAGGTATCTTCTAACTTCAATTAGAATGGCTATTATCAACAGAAAGTTAAATAAAGAATATTCTTACTCATGTGGAAGTTTGAAAAAGCAGATCTCATAGAAGTAAAAATAGAGCCGAGGATATTAGAGGCTGGGAAGGGTACTGGGAAGGGAGGAATATACAGAGGTTTGTTGAAGGATACAAAATTACAGTTAGACAGGAGAAATAAGTTCTAGTGTTCTATACCACTTAAGAATATTATAGCTCACAAAAATACATAGTTTCAAATAACTGGAATGAGGATATTGAATGTTCCCAATACATAGAAATGATAAATATTTGAGACGATAGATATGCTGATTACCCAGATCTGATCACTATACATTATATGTATCAAAACATCACCATGCACCCCATGAGTATGTACAGTTGTCAATTAAAAATAAATTCAAAATGATACCCTAGTAAAATATATGTAGAAAAAAATTTCTAAATCTGATAGTGTCATTAAAATAAACTTACAAAAACCGTGATCATTAATAGTAAAATCTTTAAAAACTTTCACTCTGACATCAGGAACATGATAACGATTTCTACTGTCATCATTTCCATTCAAAAGCATACTGGACATCTTACTTGAAGTACTTAGACAAGAAGATGGTAAAATATCTAAAAGTGATAGTTAAACTTTTGCTATGAGCAGAGCTTTGAGTGCACATGTTCAGTATTTTAATTATGACTATACAATATATAAAATAATCTACAGACAAATCACTGAAATTAATATATGAGTTCATAAAATTATCTGAATGAAAATTTAATGTTTAAGATTATTTATATTTCTGTATGGATAGAACAAATACCATTGTCTCATCACTTCATTGATTGTTTATTTTGTTGCATAGATGATTTTAGTGTTGATGCAATCATATTTGTCTATTTTTCCTTGTATTACTTGTGCTTTTGAGGTCTTGCCCCCAAAATATAGTTTTATTATTCAGGTTTTATATTTAAGTATTGAATCCATTTTGAGTTGATTTTGGCATATGGTGAGAGGTAGGGATCTAGTTTCATTCTTCTGCATATAGTTACCTCATTTGCCTAGAACCATTTATTGAAGAAAATGTCCTTTTCTTGGTGCACATTCTCGGCACCTTTAGAGAAAATCAGTTGACTGTAAATGCGTGGACTTATATCTATATTCTCTATTTTGTTGCATTGGTCTATGTGTCTGTTTTTGTGACAGTGCCATGCTGATTTGTCCACTATAGCTTTGTGGTGAATTTCGAAGTCAGTGTGATGCCTCCAGCTTTGCTTTTTCTGCTCAGGATTGCTTTTCTATTTGGGGTCTTTGGTGGTTCCAAATAAATTTTAGGATTTTTTTAGTCCGTGCAGAATGTCATTTGAATTTTGATGGGGATTGCATTGAATCTGTAAATTGCTTTGATAAATATTATTATTTTAACAATATTACTTCTAATTCTAAGGCTATCTTCCATTTATTTATACCTTCTTCAATTTTTTCATTAGTGTCTTATAGTTTTTTATTGTAAAGATCTTCCACTTCTTTAGTTAAGTTGATTCCTAGATATTTTATATTCCATGTTTGCTATTGCAAATAGGATTGCTCTCTTGGTTTATTTTTCAGTTGTGCACTGTTGGCATATATGAATGCTACTGCTATTTGTATCTTGATTTTGCATCCTACTACTTTACTAAATTCCTTTTCCAATTTTAACAATTTTTTGAAGACTAAGTTTTTTTCTAATTTAACATTATGTTCTCTGCAAACAAGGCTAATGTGACTTATTTCTTTTCAGTTTGTATCCCCTTTATTTTTTTATCTAGCCTATTTTCTCAGGCCAGGACTTCAAGTATTATGTTGAATAAAAGTGGTAGAAGTGAACACCCGTGTCTTGGTACATCTTTAGAGGAAAGTCTTTCAATTTTCTGTTGTTCAGTCTCATGTTAGCTGTGGACATGTCATATATGGCCTTTATTATTTTGAGGTATGTTCCTTCTCTACCCACTTTGTTAGAGGTTTTATCATAAAGGAATGTTAAATTTTATTGAATGATTTTCAGTACCAATAAAAATAATCATATGGTTTTTGTTCTTGGTTGTTTGAATATGATGTATTGCATTGATTGATTTGTGTGAGTTAAACTATATTTGCATACCTGGGATGAATCCCACTTGATCATGGGGAATAATATTTTTAATGTGTTCTACAATTTGATTTTTTAGTACTGTGTTGAGGACTTCTGCATCTATGTTCATTGGGGATATCGCCCTGCAGTGTTGTTGTTGCTCTTGTTGTTGTTTTATGTGTCCTCTGATTTTGGTATCAGGGTAATGTTGCCCTCACAGAATGAGTTTGGAAGTATTCCCTCCTCTTCACTTTTTTTGAAGGTTTTGTGTAGAATTGCTATTAGTTCTTCATTAGAAATAATTCAGGAGTTAAGCCATTATATCCTAGGCTTTTCTTTGTTTGTAAACTTCTTATTATGGCTTAGGTCTCCTTATTTGTTATTTGTTTGTTCAGATTTTCTATTTTTTATTATATTTATATTTTTGTGTAGTTGTACATTATAGTCTCTATTTAACTTTTCTCAGTTGTTTAAGTCTTTTTAGTTTCTGATTTTATATTTTGGGCCTTCTTTATTTTTTTTTGTTGTTGTTGTTAGTCTAGATGAAGTCTTGTTAATTCTGTTTATCCTTTAAAAAACAACTTTTTGTTTCATTCTTCTTTTTTATAGTTCCAAATTTATTTATTTCTGCTCTGATTTTATTTATATGTTTATTTATTTATTGCTTCCACTAATTTTGAGTTTGGTTTGTTCTTGCTTTTCTACGTCTTGAGGTGCACTGGGGTTGTGTTGTTAGGTTGTGTCTTTCTACTATTGCTATAAAGTTTCCTCTCAGTACAGC
Source organism: Homo sapiens (assembly GCF_000001405.40). Lineage (NCBI taxonomy): Eukaryota > Metazoa > Chordata > Mammalia > Primates > Hominidae > Homo > Homo sapiens. The sequence continues at coordinate 105,043,612 of NC_000001.11, read as the reverse complement.
TTTTGCTGTATTTGGTAGATTTCTTTATGCAGTATTTCCATTTTTATTTAATAAATTTTTAAATTTTATTCTTAGTTTCTTCATTGTCCCATTCATCATTCAGGAGCATGTTGTTTAATTTCCAAGTGTTTGTGTGGTTTCCAAAATACTTGTTATTTGTTTCTTAGTTTATTTTATTGTGGCCAAAAAGATATTTGATATGATGTCTACTTTTTTGAATTTGTTGAGATTATTTTGGGGCCAAAGATATGGTCTATTCTGAAGCAGGTTCCATGTGTTGATAAAATGAATGTGTATTCTGCAGCAGTTGGGTTACATGTTCTGTAAATGTCAGGCCATTTTGTTCTAGTGTGCAGTTTAACTCCAATTTTTTTGGTTAATTTTCTGTCTGAATGATCTGTTCATTACTAAAAGTGGGGTGGTGAAGTCACCCACTATTATTATATTTTATTGTATTTCCTGCTTTTGATTGGTTAATGTTTGCTTTATATACTTTGGCACTCCATGGTTGAGCATATACAATATTTAAAATTGTTATATCCTCTTGCTGAGTTGACCATTTTACCATTATATAGTAACATTCTTCTTCCCTTTTTATAGCCTTTGACTTGGTGTTTAATTTATCTGATACAAATATAGCTACACCTATTCTTTTTTTATTTCCACCTTCATGGAATATCTTTGTCTATTCCTTCACTTTTAGCCTGTGTGTCTCATTATAAGTGAAATGGATTTCAGTAGGCAGCACACTCCTGGGTCTTGTTCCTTTATTTATGCAGCTACTCTATGTCTTGTTTTTTTTTTTTCCCCCAGGGTCTCACTCTGTTGCTCAGGCTGAAGTGCAGTGCTGTGATTATGACTCACAGCAGCTTCAACCTCTCTGGCGTCAGGTGATCCTCCCACTTTAGCCTCCTGAGTAGCTGGGAGTACATGTGCATGCCACCAAACATGGCTAATTTTTTCTTTTTCCTTTTTGTAAAGACAGGGTTTTGCCATGTTGCCAAAGCTGGTCTCAGACTCCTGGGCTAAAGTTATTCATCTACCTCAGCCTCCCAAAGTGCTGGTATTACAGGTGTGAGCCACCACTCCCTGCCCACTCTATGTCTTTTAATTGGAGAATTGAGTTTACATCCATTCAGCAGGGAGTTGCTGCTATTTTGTTGTTTATTTCCTGATTCTTTTGTAATTCCTCTCTTTTTCATTTCTTACTACCTTGCTTTGTGGTTAAGTGGTTTTCTGTGGTCTATGTTTTAATGTTTTGCTTTTTATTTTAAGTGAATCTATTATAGATTTTTTGCATTGTGGTTAACCAGAAGCTTACAAATAATATCTAATAGAAAAAAATGTTTTGAAAAGAGATGACAGCCTATCTTTAATCAAAAAGAAAATAATAGAAACAAAGAAAAAAAATTTAAAAACACATCTATAGTTTAACTCCATATCCCCTCTCCCATTTTGACTTTTTATTATCTCACTATATTTATTTTTATGTTGTCTATATCTTAACAGGTTGCAGTAATTCTTACTGTTTTGATAGATTTGATTTTCGGGATTCATCCTAAAGTTAAGAGAGGATTGCACACCACAATTATGGTATTAAAGTATTCTAGGTTTGTCTGTGACCTTGGTTTTACCAGTTGGTTTTATATTTTCAAATGTTTTCCTTTTGCACACTAGTGTTTTGTTTTGTTTTGTTTTTCCAGACTGAATAACTCCCTTTAGCATTTCTTGTAAGATATATCTCATGGTAGTGAACTCTCCGGTATTGTTTATCTTAAAAAAATGTTTTATTTCTCATATATGAAGAATATTTGAGGAATATTTGAAGGAGTGCTTTGCTGGGTAAAGTATTCTTGGATGAAAATTGTTTTCTTTCAGCACTTTGAAAATGTCATCTCATTCATTCCTGACCTATTGGTTTCCATTTAGAAAGCCTGTTGCTAGAGGAATTGGAGCTGTCTTTTATTTTATTTGCTTCTTTTTTTCTTACTGCTTTTAGGACCTTTTTTTTGTCCCTGACTTTTGAGAATTTTATTATTATATGAGTTGGGGCCTTATTTGGACCAAATCTATTTAGTGTTCTCTGACCTGGACACTTATTTGTGTCTCAAGTTTAGAAAATTTTTATGTGGTTATTTGTTTCAGTAAACTTTCTACTCCGTTTTCCTGCTCAATTCCCTCTTGAATATCAGTAATTTTTAGATTTGGTCTTTTGAGGTAATTTTCTATATCATGTAGGTGATTTTCAATTATTTTCATTTTTTCTCTTTTTTTCTCCTCTGTTTGTGTATGTTCAGTGTCATTAAGCTCAGCCATTATTTCCCCTCTCCTATCCATTCTGTTGTTGACAGCCTTTAATGAATTTTTCCATTCAGCAAATATATTTCTCAGTTCTCCAATTTTTTAAAAAAATTATTATTCCAATTTCTCCATTAAATTTCCAAATTTCATTTCTATGTTATCTTGGAGATCACTTAAAACTCCTATTTTTGAATTATTAATCAGAGAGCTCAAATATTACCATCTCATTGTCATCAGTCAGTGATCCCTTGCTTTGTCCATTCTAGGACATCATGATTTTCTGTTTGCTGATGTTTCTTGTGAATGTCCATCTATTTATTTACACTGAATTATTATTTATTCTACTCTTCTCTTTATGATTTGTTTTGGCTTTTATTGGCTATATTGTTAGATATCCTTTATAATTTATGTGTTGAATTTTTTCCCCAAATTTTCTGTTTGCTGCTCCCTTTTCAGTAATAGATGGTGCCTTAGGACCAGGTTTGCCTCAGTTATGCTAAATCATCAAAGAACTGCTGATATCAAATTGGGGATATCCCAAAGGGGATATCCTTACAGTGTGAAAAGGCTGGCTAGGGGTTCATGCCCAGGGCACCTATAGAACATATCTCCTTCAACATGGTGCTGCCGAATAGCCATTCTGGTTTGGTGTTTCCTTTGGCCAAGTTACAGAGTTTCTAGGGCTTGGGAAGGTAGTTTCACTTCTTCTCTTTGTCTTCCCTTTTGCTGTCCTCTGAGATTTATCTTCCTTTTAAGGCACTTGCAATGCTTCCTGTGTGTTGAGACAGAATCAGATATCTTGACAGGGAACCAAAGGTGATGGGAAAGCTGGTTGTTCACCTTAAACTCTTATTTCCTAGTGGAAATAGGAAACGGTGAGTTGGGGAGATATTTTTTATGTACTTGGGTGGCAGACAAATTGGGAGAGTAGCATCATAGACATGGAATTTTTATTCTTCTACCATCTCAGATTTTTAAATTTCTCTGTGGCCCTAAGAACTGTCTCATTCTCATATTTGAATTGTGAAATATTGCTGGTGATCATCTCAATGCTGTGTATTTGTTTTGGTTCACTGTGGTGTGGGGAGGGTTAATAAATCCAACTTTCTACTCTCCCATTTTGCAACTGAAAGTCATCACTTTTAGTTTCTGGAAGACATTCTCTATAAAAAGAAGCTTAGTCTAGACTCCTGAATGCTACTGGCCAAGCAGATTGGCAAACTGGATTCTAACTAAAACCAATTTGATTCCAATATGTCAATAGCCAATAAGAAAAACTGGGGTCCCAATGCAACACAATGGAGCAAGAAGGACTATTTTGGCAATTCCAGGGTTGACTACAGTGCCTCTTAGTTATTCTTTGTTTTTTTTTATTTTAGTGAAAATGTTACAACACAGACACACAGACACACAGACACACACACACACACACACACACACTACTAAAACTCATATCATGTCATCAAATAAAGAACACTGTAGAGTTGAAGTGCTTAGATGAGTCAAAGGGAATGTGAGATGAGTAGTGAAAGAAGGCATCTATAATGACCTGGCTAGGCCTCTTTGCCAGCTATAATATTTTAGGCTTCATGTAGAAGTGTGAGAGAATTGATATCACCCCAAATTATAAGCTGGCCCATCAGACTTGGCTGTTTTCTGTATCGGGAATATAAACTTTTCACCCAGATGAAGGCAGCCAAACTATTGAAGGATAGAAGGTATGGACAGTGTTGGGTAGCTTATGTTTAATTTTTTATTCTAGTCTTCATCGCTTCTTATGCTGCCATCTGTTCAAGGATGATGACCTCTATAAATTGCATCAATAGGTTCCTTTGCCTCATACTTCCAAGTCCAATGTTGTCAGAGGATTTCTCAGAATATTTGGAAAGAAACAAGTGAGACAGGGAAATTTTTCTCTCACTCTTTCCCTGTGGGATTGATTTTGGCTGGTTGTGTTCCTTGACTGCAAGCCACTGCCTTTTTAGTGCTACTTTTCTATAGGACTTTCTCCTTCCCATTTACAATACTCTGTACCCCTTTTTCCCCCTTCATGGACCTAGGGATAATAACTGTAACTCTAATGTTAGCCCTTGTTTATAGTCCTATTTTTCATGTTTGCCTTCATGTTGTGCAAAGCTTTGCAAATAACTCTTTTATTACACCCTCCTTACATATTGTAATTAGTGTGTGTTCTCTGTTCCCTGATGGGACCCTGGCTGGTATACTAGTTATCTCAGGGAAGAAAAATTAAGGCAAAGTGAAACTACTCAAGTCGATAAAGTGATTGGTAATGTCCTAGATTCTCACAATTCCTTCATTATCTCTAAGAATCAAAGTGTTTTGTATATCACATGACAACACACTACAAGAAAATACTTTTTAGACTGTATCCTAGTCCTAAAATTCCATCGGTAAGTTCTTTAATGAGTTTTTTTAATACTCATCGTTACCAGCTTCTCTCCTACCCTTCTTAAGCCTAGCTTACCACTGTTCACTTAGGTTTGCCATATTATAAGATGGTTCTCTTACTCACTGATCACCAACATTCTCCAGTCTTTACAATTCTGTGGCATTCTTATTCAGTGTAATTAATTTTGGTACTTTTTTCATTAGTCAATGTCAGTTTAACTAATAGACCCTAAAATCTTAAACATCATAACACAGTAATAATGTATCTCTTTCTATTTCGCTCTCACAAAAAATCTGATGCTGACTGGATCACCCTCCAAAGCAACAATTTTCAATATAGAAATTCTAGCATCTAGGCTGTTTCTATTTTGTTCCAAAGTCATATCAACACGTGACATTCATGTTCATTATTAAAAAGGAAGAAAAAAATGAGGAGGGACACCAACTCTTCTCTGGAGAATTCTATCTTCTCCAAGCCTTCACATATAAACAGCAAAAGGAAGACAAAAATTGTACAACTCTATTACTTTCTCTGGTATTCATATGTTAATAATTAGGCACATATTCTTTTCCTATAAATTTCTGAATGTGAACTGATTGCAGTCTATAAAAAGAGAGGGCCAGTGAAATTAACTAATCTATATATTAAGGTAGCTAGTTATTATCTCCCCTTTAATTTTTCTATAATAACCCAATTGTTAAATAAAATAGTTGGTTGTCAAAAGAATAAAGAAACTGAGTATTGTTAGTTTCTCTAATATAAAAGAGCATTACTCCAAATATGTAAGTATTAATTATATTTGGTAATTATTTTCTAAATACAAATATAATATTCCTGTGTTTGCTTGCATTTGCATATTAAAGGACATGATTAAATTTTATTTATTATAATAACAAGTTGAAAATAAAGTAAATAAACAAATCAGAAAAATGAAATAAAACAAAACAAACAAACATACCTAAAACCTTGTTATACTTCCAAATCCAGTAGCCCATCTTGTCATCCAAATCAAAAACTGTGACTGCATGATACTGACATTTCATTCAGCTTTTGGGAAAGATATCAATTTATCAGACATTTTCCCTCCAAACTGCATCAGCTAAAATCTTTCCTTACCATTTCTATTAGACAATTCTAATACAACTACTAGCCAGTTATCAGAACCTTTCCATTTAAAGTTTCTATCTATTTAATTCTATTTTCTAAATCAGACAGTGACATGATCCCGATGACCATAATAGGATACCAATCTCCTTAGGCAGTCCTTCCACTGGCATGGCTACACAAATTGTATGACATTTTCTATATTTCCACAATGCCTCCATCATTTGAATCCTGAAGCTTTTCAAGAAACAAAGAAACAAAAAAATCAAAGGAAAATGTGTAACTTCTAGAAATTAAAGTGGCTTTATTAGATAAGAATATATATATATATATCCTAGATAATGAATAATTAGTGCTTTTCACAGTACTAATATAACATTTTGTGCTTTTCACACATATATTATGATTTTATAGCATGTAATCTTTAAAAAAATCTGATATAGACATCAATTTTAAGCACAATTTAAGAATGCTGGATATTACAATTAGACAAACAAGTACACATTATAATCATTTTAACATAAAAGCAAACAGGTCTTAAATATATTAATTGTACGTGCTTGGGATTACTGGTAATTTATAAGATATTTCTGAATGTCATAGATTGTAAGGTGATAGTGCTTTTTGTACTCTTGTATATATTTAAGAGAAAGACAATAAAAGTTCAATTACATATTTTACTATTTAATAGCTAAGTATGCTTTTAATATTTTCCTACTGATACTTTTAGAAAATCTTATTACAGGCTGACATACATGAGGCAAATCTTTATTTCCAGGAACATGACAAGGTTTTTATTGTTTTAATTAGAGAATACATGTGAAAAATCAAGGTTGTAAAATAAAGTGCATGGTTTCTATTAGTGTGACATTGAGTTTCAAACTGTAAGTATCTTCTTAAAAAACATAATATTCATGGTAAACTATGATAGATAAGCATGGCATATTATCTTTCCCTTTTTACTATCACAAACGTACATGAACCAAAAATCTGTAAAATAGAAAGTCTAGCCCTTTTTATCTTCCCAGACCTGCAAAGAGCCCAAAAGGTTCCTGTAATTTTATTTATTATAAATTTTGTCTACTGATGCCGATTACCATGGTGGTTTCCATTCATCTAAACAAGAAATTTTATTGTTTTAAATAAATCCCTTGTAAATGAATACAGCATTATGAAAATAAATGGCTCTTAAAAACATGTAAGAAATAGAAAATAATGGCAGCAAGTTAATTTATGTCTAAAATGTTGTTAAGCATTTCTTCTCAAACTCAGATATTCTTAGGCTTTAAGGTATGCTGACTTTTGACTTTCAAAAGGTAATATGATGTGCAGGATGTTTATACCTTTTATGTGAACAATTTGTTTAAAGGTCTGATATGAAGCTATTGAATGGGGAATAAAAGGGGATTATCTTTTTATTTTACATGGTCACTCTCATTACTTCCAAAGTCTATTAACACAATGGTAGATTTTGGTTTGAGTAATTTTCATTAATTGTCTATTCTAAAAAGCTTTTAATATGGCTAAAAACAGTAAACTTCTTTTCACACTAGTGATGACTTGCTCATGAGATTATTTCTCATGAAGTATTACATATATATATATAAAAGAGGCAAAAATATAAATACTGTTTTGAACATTTGTCCTTTTTACATATCTAAGTCATTATTGATTTTGACTGGCTTTAATTCTATTGTTTAAGATTGTCATGATATATTTTAGCACTTCTCTTCTACGGGACATTTAATTTTCCAATATTCTTACCTATTTATAAAAATGCTGCAATGAAATGTTATTACACGTATCCAGGGTACTTGTTTGAATACTTAATGGCAAATCCTAGAGATTTACTTCTGTTATAAAAGAGATAACACTTTTTTTTTTTTTGAGACAGATTCTCACTCTGTTGCCCAAGCTGGAGTGCAGTGGCAGTGATCTCTACACTCTGCAGCCTCGACCTCAAAAACTCAAGCAATCCTTTGACCTCAGCCTCCCAAGTAGCTAGGACTACAGGCACGTGTCACCATGCCTGGGTAAATATACATACACTTTTTTTTTTTTTTTTTTTTTTTTTTTGAGAAGGAGTTTCACTCTTTTTGCCCAGGCTGCAACGCAATGGCGCGATCTCGGCTCACTGCAACCTCCGCCTCCCAGGTTCAAGCGATTCTCCTGCCTCAGCCTTCCGAGTAGCTGGGATTGCAGGCATGAACCACCACGGCTGGCTAATTTTGTTTTTTTAGTAGAGACGGGGTTTCGCCATATTGGCCAGGCTGGTCTTGAACTCCTGACCTCAGGTGATCCGCCCGCTTCAGCCTCCCAAAGTGCTAGGATTATGGGCGCGAGCCACTGTTCCCGGCCAAGTATACACATTTTAATGATTTAATATATACATACATTTTCCTGGCCAGGTGTGGTAGCTCACGCCTGTAATCCCAGCACTTTGGGAGGCCAAGGCGAGTGGATCACCTGAGGTCAGGAGTTCCCAGACCAGCCTGGCCAACATGGCGAAACCCCATCTCTACTAAAAGTACAAAAATTAGCTGGGCATGGTGGCGGGCGCCTGTAACCCCAGCTACTCTGAAGGCTAAGGTAGGAGAATCACTTGATCCTGGGAAGCAAGGTTGCAGTGAGCCGAGATCCGCACCACTGCACTCCAGCCTGGGTGACAGAGGGAGACTTTGTCTCAAGAAAAATAATAATAAATAAATAAAATAAAATAAAATATACATACATTTTGCCAAAAGACGCTGGAATAAAGTTCCAAAGGAGTATAAATATTTATAGACGTGCATTAGACAAGACTCCCCATATAACAATGCTAGGAATACTCATCAATATTACATATTGTCCTTTTTTTTAATAATGGTTTATCAAATATTCTGGATAAGATCTTGTAATAGAAAAATGCATTGCAAATATTTTTTCTTGTATGGTTTTTATTTTCTCACCTTTAGTGGTGTCTTTCTATAAACAAAATTTGTTTATAAGTTATTCTTGTATTTTTTAGAGACAGAGTCCCACTCTGTCAGCCAGACTGGAGTACAGTGGCACAGTCATAGCTTGCTGTAGCCTCAAGCTCCTGGGCTCAAAAAATCCTCCTGCCTTGGCCTCCCAATGTGCTTACAAGCATGAACTACCACACATGGCCTTATAACTATTTTAAGAGCTTAATAGAGGTATAATTAGTACACAACAAAATGAGTGTATCTAAAGTCTACTATTTGATAAGTCTTGGGATATGCATATACTCAGGAAAATACTCCCAAAATTAAAATAATGAATATGTTCATTACCCCTAGAAGTTTCTTTATGACTATTTGTAATCTCTCTTGCCATTGTTCCCAAACCCCCAATTCAGCACATCTATAGGCAGACACTAATTTCCTTTCTGCACTATAGACTAGTTTGTATTTTCTAGAATTTTCAATAAATAACATCATACAATAGACATCCGTGTTTTTTGTCTTGCTTCTTTCTCTCACAAGAATTATACTGAAATTTTTCCATGCTGTGTATATCAATAATCTACTCCTTTTTAGTGCTGAATGGTATTACATGAATGAACATATCGGAGGTTGTTAATCCATTTCCTTGTTAATGGATATTTGAATTATTTCCAATTTGATTATTAGAAATAAATGTTTTAGGAATATTTGTGTACATGTTCTTTATGAACTTATGCTTGGGTAAATATCTAAAAATAGAATGACTAGAAAAATATAGTAAGTAGATGATTCAATGTTAATAATCTGCTGTCTTGTTTTTCATCAGGGTTGTACCATTTGCCTTCTCATCAGAAGTTAAAGAGAATTCCAAGTCCTCAGCACATTTTATAGAGAGTCTTTTTTTAATGTTGAGTACTCTAAGCCATATGCAGTGGTATGTCATTGTGGTTTTATTTTGCATTTCTCTAACGACTAAAAGATGTTGAGGATCTTTATATGGATTTATTTACAATCACCTGCAGTATTCAAATATTTTGCTCCCTTCTTTATTGGATTTTTTTTTTAATTATTGGCTATAATAGGCTGATAATGGCTGCTCAAATATGTCTATACTCTCATCTGTAGGACCTATGAATATGTGATTTCCATGGCGAAAAGAATATTGCAGAAGTTATTAAATTGAAGATCTTAAAATGGAAGATTATTCTGGATTATCTGGGTGCTCCTAATGTAATTACCAATGTTCTAAAAAGTGAGTGGCAGGAGAATCAGAATGTGAGAGAAAAGATGTAAAGACAGAATCAAAGGGCAGAGAAGATTTTTTTTGTTTCTAGCTTTGAAGATGGAGGAAGGCACCAAGAAACAAGGAATGTTGGCATCTTCCAGAACTGGGAAAGGCAAGATAATGGATTCTCTTTCTGAGCTTCCAGTGGGAACCAGCCCTGGTGAAATCTTGATTTTATTCCAGTGAAACTGATTTCAAGTTTTTGGTTGTCAGAATTTAAGAGCATACATTTGTTTGTTTTAAGTCACTAAATTTGCAGTAATTTGTTACAGCAGTAAGAAGAAACTAATACAGATTATGAAACAAGGAATAGGTTGCTCCCCTAAAAAATACATAAGACATGGAACTTATTTTTGGATTAGACAAATTGGAAGAAGCTGGAACAATTTTAGAAGTATCACATTAAAAGCCTAGATTGCTTTCAACAGACTCTGAATACAAGTTTGGAAGTAAATGACTCTGCTAGGAAGGCCTCAGAAAGAAGGGTGGAACATGGTAGTAAAAAAATTATCTTAGATAATATTCAAATAATAAACACACTGTAAAAACATGCACATTAAAGGTGCTTCTGCTAAGGGAGCAGAAGGATGTTAGGAACATGGAAGCAAAAACATATATGGTCTGAGAGAATACATAAGTCACCTCTAACAGGCTATTTATAAAAATAAATATATCAAAGGGGTGTTAGGGAGGACTTAGATGAATATGAGGAATATGTTACTAGAAAATGGAAAATAGATACTCCTTGATCTGTAGTGGTAAAATGTTTAGCTTAATTGTTTTCTGTAATTGTGTAAAAAGCAAACTTTGTAGATAATGAACTCTGATATTTAGCTCAGGAAATTTCTAAGTAATGTGTTAAAGATGGAATTGATCATTTCTGGCTGATTATAGTAAGATAAAAGTGGAAAGAGATGAATTAAAGAAATAATTATTAAGCAAAAAAAAGAAGCAAGACTTGATGATTTAGGAAATCATTTACTATCCTATCCATTTGGTAAAAAATCAGGAGATTCACTGTTAAGAAAACCTGCTTCTGAGAGAAAGCCAAGGGTGTGGCTGGACAACCTTTTGTGCAAGATGGAAGGATGGAAGCAGAGGTCAGAGAGAACAAAAGATGCCTATTAGTTTTGAAGATGAAATAAGGAACATGAGCCAAACAATGCAGGTGGCCTCTACAGACTGGAAAAAGAAAGGAATTTAGACCTTAGTGCTGCCTGAAGGAACACAGTCCTGCCTATACTTTTACTTTACAGCCAGTGAAATTGATTTTGGATTTATCTACTGCAGAACTGTAAACATTTTTTTAATTGTTTTAAGTCACTAAGTTTACAGCAATTTGTCAGAGTGGAAATAGGAAATTAATCCACTAGTTTTGGAAAACTATTTGTTCTGAATACAAGCTTTTTATCCAATATATGCTTTACAAATGTTTTCTTCTGTCTAAGGCTAGACTCTTTTCTGGCTTTCAACAGCATGTTTTGAAGACCAGGTATTTTTAATTTTGATTAAATCCAACTCAACATATTTGTTTTTTGAATAAGTCCTGTTTTTGATGTAATTTTAAGAAACACTAACCTAACTCAAAATTATGAATGTACTACTTTTAAAACTATATAATTTGGGTGGTTACATTTAGGTCTATGAACCACTTTTAGTTAATTTTTGAAAAAGATAGTATCAATATATAAAACAGTATGAGGGAAAATACCATGACTAATATATCCCTTTCCCCATTATTTAGTACTTAAACATTTTTTTCTAAACAATGTTTCCAAATTTTCCGTGAAAAAGTCTTATACATCTTTTGCTAGAACATACATGTTATGACTTTTCAATGTATTGCAACTTGTTTTATGGCTCAGAATATGGACTATCTTAAAAAGGCTTGTGTGCTTTTGAAAATCATATGTATTCTGCTTTTTTTTTTGAGATGATTATTCCATAAATGCCATTAGGTTCGGCTTTGGTTGATAGCATTATTCAAACTTTCTGTATCTTTACTTATTTTCTGTATATTCCATCAACTAAAAGTATTTAAATCTCTTATAACTTTTATTTCACTTATTATATGTATTCTGAATTTCTGTTATTAGGTCTGTTAACATTTATAATTATACTGATAGATTCACATTTTATCATTAAGAAACAACCCTTTATATCCCTGATATTTGTTGCTCTGAAATCTTAGTCTGATATTAATATAGTCATTCCAGTTTTTTTGACTAGTGTTAGCATTTAATATATTTTATAATTATTTTACTTTTAATCTATTTGTATCTTTAAATTTGTTTCTTACCAGAAAAGTAGAGTTCTTTCTTTTTTACTTAATGTGCTATGCACCACTTTACCACTTTTATTTGAGTTATTACATCGTGTTTATTCTGTGTTTTCATTGATTGTGTTTTGATTGTGTTCAGGTTTAAATCTATCATCTTACTATTTCTTTTCTGCGTGCAACATTTTTGCCTTATTGAGATTATTTGAATATTTATTTTATTATTTTTGTATGGCCACTATAACATATAAAAACAAATAGTGGCTTAAAACAGAACAAATTCATTATATGACAGTTATGAAGGTTAGTAGTTGAAATTGAGTAGCAGTTGGCTAAAATGAAAGTGCTACCATAGCTGCGTTCCTTTCTGGAATGTCTTAGAAGCCATTTTCTTGACTTTTTTTTTAACTTCTAAAGTCTTCCCTCAGTTTTTGGCTCATGACCCCTTCCATCTTCAAAGCCACAAATAGTCGATTCTTTCTCACATCATATCACTCTGGCTGGCATTGACTTGCTGCTGCTTCTCTCTTCCATATTTACGGACCATAATAACTGCAATGGGACACCCAGATATCTAGAATAATTGCCCTGTCTTAAGGTCAAGTGATTAGCAATCTTGATTCTATATGACACTTTAATTTTCCTCCATCGTGTAACATAACATATTCACGACTTCCCGAGTTTAGGACATGGGCAGCTTAAAAAGGATATTACTTGGCCTACCACAGATTCCATAGCTTCTTATTTTTGGCTTATGCTCTAAACCTATTTGTTTTGTTATAAAGTCATAATCTTGGATTTATAGTGTATATATTTAACTTGCAGTTCACCATCAAGTGATATATATCACTACATAGAGATTATAATAAACTTATAATAACAGAATTCAATTTACCCCTTTGGGACCTTTGTATAACTGTTGATATCCATATATTTACCATTTAATTTTTATTTTTATATTTGTTAAAAACCTCACCTACATTGTTATATTTTGTTTAAACTTTCAATTTTTTTATTTTTAATTTCTGTGAATACATAGTAGGCATATATATTTATGAGATACATGAAATATTTTCATACAGGCATACAAATAATTTTTATTTGTATAAAAATAAATAAATAAAATAATAAATAAATAAATAAAAATTTTTATTTGTATAATTATCTCCCACAATAAGTGAGAACATGTGCAGTTTGCCTTTCTGTGCCTGGCTTATATTATTTCACATAATGTCCTCCAGTTCCAACCATTATGTTGCAAATAACAGGAGCTCATTCATTTTTATGCCTGAATAGTTCTCCATTGTGTATCATATCTTTTGATTGGAGAGTTTAGTTCATTAATTTTAAATGTTATTATTGATAAGTAAAGACTTACTTCTGCTATTTTGTTTGTTATTTGTTTTCTGTTTGTTTTGTGATTTTCTCCTCCTTCTTTCCTTCCTTCTCGCCCTCCTTTTAGTGAAGGTGATTTTCTCTGGTGGTATGTTTTAATTTCTGTTTTTTTTTTAATTTTTTTTTGTGTGTATCTGTTGTATATTTTTTGATTTGAGGTAACCATGAAGCTTGCAAATAATATCTTATAACTCATTTTCTTAAACTGATGAAAACTTAACACTGATTGCATAAACACACAAGCAAGCAAAGAGAAAACTAATAAAAACTCTACTCTTTAACTTCTTCCCCTTAACTTGATTTAACCTTTTGTTGTTGCTATTTATATCTTATTGTATTGTCTATGTCTTAAAAAGTTGTTGTAGTTATTATGTTTTATTGGCTATCTTGCTGTCTTTCTACTCAAAAAAATAAGCAGTTTACACAACACTTTTCCAATATTATAAAATTCTGTGTTTTTCTGTGTACTTACTATTACCAGCGATTTTTATACCTTCTGATAATTTATTAGGCTCATTAATGTCTTTTTCTTTCAATTTGAAAAACTCCATTTAGCATTTCTTGTAGGACAGGACTGGGGTTGATAACATCTCTCAGCTTTTGTTTGTGTGGAAAAGTGTTTATTTCTTCTTTATGTTTGAAGTATATTTTCACCAGATATAATAGTCTAGCATAAAAGTTTTTTTTTTCTTTAGCACTTTATGTCATCCCAATGTTTCCTCATCTGTAAGTTTTCCACCGAAAAGTCTAGTGCCAAATGTATTGAGCTCCCTTGTATTTTTTTAAAATTTATCTTGCTATTTGTAGGATCGTTTCTTTATTCTTGAAATGTGGGAGTTTGATTATTGAATGTCTTGAGACAGTCTTCTTCAGGTTGAATCTGCTTGGTGTTCTATAACCTTCTGGTATCTGTATATTGACATCATTCTCTAGGTTTGGGAAGTCTTTGTTATTATTCCTTTGAATAAACTTTCTACTGTATCTCTTTCTACCTCCTCTTTAAGGCCAATAACTTATATTTGCCCTTTTGATGCTATTTTCTAGATCTTATGGGCATGATTCGTTCTTTCTTATGCTTTTTTTTTTCTGTCTCGTCTTACTGTGTATTTTAAAACGGCCTATCTTTAAGTCCTCTAATTCTTTCTTCTGCCTAATCCATTCTATTTTTAAGTGACTCATGTATTCTTCCCTATGTCAACTGCATTTTTTATCTCCAGAATTTCTGCTTGATTCTTCTTAATTATCTCAATCTCTTGTTTAAATTTATCTGATAGTATTATGAATTCTCTCTCTCTGTTATTCCAAACTTCATTGAGCTTCCTCAAGACAGCTATATCAAATTCTTTGTCTGAAAAGTCACATATCTCTGTTTCTCTAGGATTGTTCCCTGATAAATTATTACATTTATTTAGTAAGGTCATGTTTTCCTGGATAGTCTTGAAGTTTTTGGAGGTTTATTTGTGACTGGAATTTGAAGAGTTATGTATTTATTGTAGTCTTTGAAATCTGAGCCCATTTGTACCCATCCTTCTTGGGAAGGCATTATAAGTTTTCTAAGGGACTTGGGTGTTGTGATCTAAGTTTTTGGTCATGCAGCCATATCTGCATTAGGGGGCACCCCAAGCCCATTAATGCTATTGCTCATAGAGGTACTGCCTTGGTGGTCTTGGATAAGATTCAGAGGAACTCTCTCGATTACCAGACAGAGACTTTTGATCTCTTCATCACATAGAGTCTTTCTCTATGTGCTGAGCTCCCTGAATCTGGGGAAGTGGTGACAGTGGTCCCCTGTAGCTACCACCACTGGGACTGCACTGAGTCAAAGTGGAAGCCAGCACAGCTCTGGGTCTTGCTCAAGGCCCGCAGTAACCACTGCCTGGCTACTGCTTATGTTCCCTCAAGGCCCTGGGGCTCTACAATCAGCAGTCAATGAAGTCATCCCCACTTGTGTCCTTCACTTCAGGGTAACATGTTCTCTCCAGATTCAGGAAGGTCCAGAGTTGCCATTCAAAAGCCAGGGCCTGGAGTCAGAAATCTTAGGAATCTACGTAGAGCTTAATTCAACTGTAGCTGAGCTGGCACTCAACCATAAGACAAAGTTCTCATTCTTCCCTCCCTTTTCCACAAGCAGAAGAGTCTATTCCCAAAGACACCACTGTCCCAGGCCTGTGGCAAGTAGTGCCAGGCTACCACTGAGCTTTACTCAAGGACCAAGTACTCCTCAGTCAGATTGTGGTGAATGCTACCAGGCCTGGGACTTTCTCTTCAAAGTAATGGGCTCCCCTTTGGCCCAGTCCAGGTACAGAAATGCCATCTAAGAGCCAAGGCCTGGAATGCAAGACCCCAAGAGCCTGCTTGTTGCTCTACCCCAATGTGGCCAAGCTGGTACCTAAGCTGCAAAACAAAGTCCCCTTTTCTGTTCTTTCTCTTTTTCTGAAAAAGAAGGAGTCTCTCCCTGTAGCCACCATACCTGGTAATGTGCTGAGTCACACCTGAAGCCAGCACTTCTCTGAGTCTCATTCAAGTCCCATGAGAAGTAATGCCTAGTTACCACTACTGATTATTTGGGGCCCAAAAACTGATTATTTGGGGCCCAAAAGCTTTTTACTTGGCAGGTGATGAATCCTGCCAGAACTTAGCCTTTCCTTTCGAAGCAGTGGGTTCCCTTCTGGCCCAGGATGTGTAGAGAAATGTTTTTCAGGAGATAAGGCTTGGAATGGGGATCTCAGGTCTCCGGTGCCCTATCCCACTGTGGCTGAGTTAGTATCTAAATTGCCATACAAAGTCCTTTTTAGTCTTCCTTCACTTTTTCTCAAGCTGAAGGAAGGTCTCTCCCAAAGCTGTGAGTTGCTGCCTGGGGTTGTGGGAGGGGTGACACAAGCACTCCCTTTGCTACCCCAGCTGGTGTGTCACCAAGTCACATGTCCTCCAAGTCCACTGGCTGTAAGCCCAGCACAGCACCAACTATTGCCCCCAAACTGCTGTCTCTTTCAAAGTTATCTAGGACTCCAGAGCAATTTAGCTCTTTTGATAAGCCTTGCCAGAACTCAGGTTCTGACCGCTGGAATGGGCAATTTCCCTCTGGCTAAGTCTGGTCTAAATGTTCCTTCTGTAAGTGCCAGTTGATTTCTACCCAGTGTTGCTTTCTGCTGTGACAGGGCAGCACTGAGTTGCAATGCAAAGCTCCACAGTCACTAGGCTCTCCTTCCCCCAAGAAAACAGATTCTCTCTCCATGCCATGCAGCTGCTGCCAGAGAATGAAGGATGGTGTTAGCATTTCAAGACTGTCTTTTCTGCCCTCTTCCGTTCTGCTTTCAGTGATATGAAGTTAAAACCAGGTACTGTGATTGTTCACCTGATTTTTGGTTTTTATGAAAGTGCTTTTTCTGTGTAGATAGTTGTTCGATTGGATGTGCGTGTGGATAGGGCAATTAAGGAGGGCTTCTGTTCAGCCAGCTTGCTCGAACTTCTTCTCTATTTTTTTAAAGTGATGTAAATAATGAGAAGAATTTGTCTGTGCAAATTTATATATCCATCTGGTAAAATTTTATTATTGCCTGAAAAACTTCCTTCAACGTATCATGTAGAGTGGATCTACTGGTAAGTTATTTAAGCTTTTGTCTGCATGGAAAGATTTTTACTTTGCCTTCATTTTCAAAAGATATTTTACCAATTATGGAATTCTGGATGGAGAATTGTTTTGCATGCTTTTTTTGTTTGTTTTCTTTCAGTACTTGGGAAATGTTGCCCAACTCTCTTCAGACTTGCATTGTTTAAGATATTTGTTCCTCTGTCCATACCATGCCTTTTTGTTTTGACTGATTTCAAGATTTTGTTTTAATCATTGGTTTTCAATGATTTCATTATGACGTTCTTTGGTGTAGCTTTGTTTATAATTCTTGTGCTTGGAGTTTGTCGAGTTTCTTGGATCTTGTGAATGGCACTTTTATTCAAACTTGTAAACATTCTGGCCCATGTTAGATATTTCTTGTTTACTGTTCTTCCTTCTTTTCATCTTTCATCTTCTATGAATTCTATTTGCGTATGTATTAGGCAGCTTGAATTTGTCTCACCATTCACTGGTGCTCTGCGTATGTATTCTATAATTCTACTTATTCTCTGTTTATAGATAGATAGATTTTTTTTCTATTGCTATATTTTCAAGTTTACTAATATTTTCCTCTGCGAAGTGTAATTTCCATTCTGCATTTTTTTTCAGCATTATATTTTACACTTCTACAACTCTGACTTAAAATATATCTTTCATATCTCCACCTAAATTTTGAGTATGGAGAAAACATTTATGGGGGGGAAGGAATGCCTATGATTATGATAGCTTTTTAGATATCCCTGTATAGCAGTTATACCGTTTGTGCCACTTTTGAGTGTCTTTCAAGTTGTTTGTTGTTCTCCTTATTAGTTATTTCTATTTTTTGCATGCATAGTAATTTTTGCTTAGCTACCAAGCAGTTTTTTTTATCTTGTTGAGTACTGGATATTTACATATTTCTATAAATATTGGCTTGCAATCTAGTTTAACTACTTAGAAAATGCTTACTGGGAAGGGGAGTCCCGTTTGTAAGAACTGTTTGATAGGAGTAGTGAAGTGTTTCGTCCAAGATTAATTATACCCCACTACTGACTCAAGACCTTCTGAATACCCTACCCAATGCCCTGTGAATTATGAGAAATTCACTGTGGCTTCTGAGAACAGACACTATTTTTGGCCATGTGTTGGTACCTAATCTATTCAGGTGGTTGTTATTCTGACCTAGGATGTTTTCCTTACAGGTATGGACTTATCTGTACTCAGCCAACTGTAGAAGAACAACCCTTCAGAGGTATCGAGAATTTTTTCCCTTTGTAGAATTTTTTTCCTTAGCATTCTGTTCTGAACTCTCTTGATGTTTAATCTCCCTGGACTCTCGGCTTCATCTCCTAACTGCAAGTTTTATTAGGACATTCCTGAATTTCTCCCTCCAATGTCCTGCTGCCAGGAAACTCATACAAGGAAGTGAATTAAAACAAACCCAGCGCTCACTTTATTTGTTCCCAGAATCTCAGGGACCATGGTCTTCATTGTCTGATGTCCATCGCCTTTAAACTGTTTCATATATTTTATTCATTATTTTTTTTAGAAAGAAGTGTACATCTGATCCCTATTACTAAATGTTGATTAAAAGACCAAGATTTTTTAAATTTATTTTCAATTATTTATTTTTATTATTTTTAAAATTTTATCATTTTTAAAATTTAATATCTTGTTAAAGATATCTTTGTTTACTTAAACTACATTAGAGATACTACTAAAATATTCAAAATATTTTTGAGAGAAATAAGTAATCTAAATAAAAGGAAAGATAATGACAATGGTCATTAACTGGAGGACTCTAGCTAAAAACAAAAATTATAAAACTTTTTGAGGAAAACATATCAACTATCTTTAAGATATTGGTAAAAACATATAGCCTTACCACTGACTTTTCAAATAACTTGTTAATACTCTACTCTTACACATCATGTTGATAGCTTTTTCTCTGCTTTCAGCCAGCAATCCAAACAACTATTTCTTTAAAAGACCTTACCTAAATATGTTAACATACGAATTGTCATTTAAATCTGTTTATTTCTTTAACACTAATTCTACTTGATAATATTATACTTGTTATTTATATGGTTTTCTCTTTTTTACTCACTGACAGGAGGTTCTGTGAAGTCAAGACTAAGGTATATCTTCTTTACCATGGTGTCCCAGGGACCTAAAACAATTCCTGGAATAAAGTACTACTTTTAATTATGAGTCCAATAATTTATTACTCAGCACTGAGCAATACTTTTACATTTTTGATATATCTTGAGCTTTCCTTTGAACTGTTTTCCATTTTCAGCCCATATGTGCCTTCCTACCAGGCACTTTTCTTGCTCTAGCTTGGCTTTATTTGCCAATATATGTTGATGATTTCCAACTTATTACTGCCAACTCATCATTTTTTTAAAGACCATAAAAACATATCTGTTTATTTGAAATTTTAATTTCAAATATTGGTTATTCTACTAAATATTATAATTAAATATGACTAAAATTAATCTAATTATCTTTCATTCCCTTACCATAAACTTTGTTTACATCTTGTAATCTGTTGCTTTCAGTGTATGAAATATATTGCTTCTTAGGTGTCATTCAGAAATCATGTCACTCTGGCCTACCCTTTCTTTGACCACCTCCATACAATCAATCATAGACAATATGATGTTTCTGAGGAACAAATATGATTGGCCACAACTCTTCTCAAAACTTTGCTCATCCTTTTCTATAGCTTAAAGGCCGACTCAATCTGTAGTGTTAGAACTAACAGTCTGCTCCTCATTGTCTATCTGGCTCCTTTTTTTCTGCTGTTCTCCTTTTTTTCTATTCCAGAGACATATAGAATTACTCTCCCAATTACAGAAAAAAATTGATGATGTTTTTTCTCTTAAAATGTTGACCATAATGTTTGTAGTGTCTATGATGCTCAACTTGTACTCCCAATACTACCATTTGTCTTCTCCACTCAGTTCTTTATCTCAGGAGGCTAAGATTGTAGTTTGTACCAATGAGTTCTTTTGCACTTTATCTTGTTGGATTTGGCCAATAGGAGATATTTTCAGGAGAACAGAGAAGTGGAGGAAAGATAATTCAGGATATTGTTTCTCCTGATTATCTTTCTGACAGGTTAACTTCAGTGGTCTGTGTCTTTCCCACAGCTCCTGAGAGTTGGTCGTCTTCATACAGCTACTCTGGATTTAGGTAAGTGGTCCCTCCTCTTGCCCAGAGGTGCCCAATGGTATCTATCATGTAAACTCAGGAGTGCTGTACTCTTCCTATTTTGTTTTCTTTGGTGAATATTTCTTTTATTAAACTTTCTGAGATGTACTCCTTCTAGGATCCTGACTAATCTCAGTACTAACATGCACGTAATTGCCAAATAATTTTAAGTGGAAGCAGCAAGTTTAAAAAGTGGTAAAAGTTATGAATCTAAATAATCCTGAACTTATTGTAGGTCCTGGGAGCCAAGTTTGGTTGTACAAATTCCTAAAATATTTTAGATATATAGAATTCTATGTACTTATGTAAAAATTAACCTACTTTGTTAAAAGTGTAAGTGTGAAGCTCCTTTTCTACTAAGAATAAGGCAAATCTTTCCTTAATTTGGAATTATATAATGTTAATGTCATTTTTTATCTATATCATTAAGCCACAGTGCCCTAATTAAATATACTATTAGATGATTGACAAAATAAATTATTGGATAAAATAGAAACAAAGATATGAGATAGAAACTGTTACTCAACACTATCAAATTTCAAAATATATTACAAAAATTTATGGTTTCATAGATATTATTTAGGAAAAATATAATAAGTATTCTAATAGATTTGTTATATATCAAATGAAATTTTATAGTAAAATGCACTTTGACTAGCCATAAATTGTTTAATTTAATGTAAAATGTGGGAATTAATTTATATCCATTTTAGAAAAGATACCGGCATGATTATTATAGTTCCCATTAAATTCATTACCTGTACATTACAATCCTAAAGATAAATTTAAAATACAATGCATGATTAATATTATTACTACTAATACACTATTAACACATTGCATTTTAAGTTAATCTTTTGATGTAAAAATTAACACAAAGAAATGTTAATAAAAATGGTCACTGTCTCATTAATAATGCATACATTTTACCAAAATAAGATACAGCAAAATGTTATTTATAGAAAACTAAGTATATATTTTTTGTGAAGACTTACATTCATCTGTGTAAAGAGTACTCTGCTTACATAATACTAAGGATTTATTTCTTTATGGTTCATATTTTCAATGGGGTTTAGTCTCTCTTGTATAATTTTATCATAGCTTTTATTCTGTTTTCTCCTTTTGCAGTAACACATAAAATTAGGTCTGTTTCCACAGGGTTGTAAAGATAATTTCAAGTCTTTTCCTTTCAAATTGATTTTTACCTTAGCTGTTTTTCTTGTTTAATAAGGTGATAAAATCATATTAATAATATATTTACCAAACTCAGACCTGCATGTACATATTAATGTTGTTTCTAGCCAAAGTAGAATAAATTTAGGCAATGTAGACTCAAACATAGTTAAGTAATTATTACCATATTGTATTGTGATATTTTTCTTCAGAGGACATTTCTCCCTTTACAAGTTGGTGATAAATGTTTCCCGCCTTTTTTGCTCTCTAGTTTCTTTGCAGTGACTCATTGCTCTTAGAATATTTAGAAAAATTATCTTTCAGTCAAACTATCAAAGACATTACACTACGTCTTGCTGTACCTTACTTTAAGTGGCAATTATGAGACATTATCACACAGCAATATCAAATAACAATTAACATCCTACAGGTTCCTATTATACTTTTAGCATTGTGTCTTGATTTTCATTCTCATTGCATCCTTTGAAAGAAAATAGACGCAACTTTTTTTATTACTTAGAAGTGGTATGAATATACTAAGGTACAAATAAATTTATATACAAAGGAAAAGAGAGTGTGTTTTATAGTTTTGTTATATTTTTAAAAAGTGTTTTCAGGATATCTGAAAATATGCATAAACCTGTAAAATTCAAGCCCAGTATATTCTCTAGTGTAGTCCACTGTACTGTAGAAAATAGCAGCGTCAAAATGCAATAAAAATATTAAATCATATAAAAAGAATTAACCTATAATTAATAAGCTCAGTAATGAAAATCTGGAATGAACATAGAAACAGGTTGTAACTCCCTATCCCCCAAGATGCAAAATTAAGTTGAAAGATAATATCATTTTCTTTGACCCAAATATATTCTTCGTTACTCTTATCTAAATTCTCTTCATTATAATTTTATGGGTAAAATACTTTATGGCAGAGAATAGATATTCTTTGGTACTTTGTTTTGTTCACGTTTTTCTTTATGTAAATAATATTTTTGTAATCATGACGGTAAGATATAGGGGCATCATTTTAATTAATTTTTTCTTTTTGTTAGATATTTTTATTCAATTCTGCAAAACTGAGAGGAGAGAATGTATCATTAAACCCAGTTGGATGAGCATATTTTTTGACATTACGGCACTAAAAAGCAAACAAATACCACGAAACAGAGACAAGCAAGCAAACCCAGTATAATAGAAATAAAAGCATACTGAAAAGTCAATAAAACCTTAGAAAATATAAAGAAGATAGACAAAATAGCTTAACGTATCAATTTAAAATGTGTTTAAACATGAAAATTAACTGTTCTCACATTCTAAATAAAAAGCAATGCCCTGTTGAGATTCCTGACAGATAATTAAAGTTTTGGGTAATTTTAAATAATAATCTGAAAAAGAAGTAACTGGTTAAGTAGAAGGTTAATCCCCAGATTCATTTTCCAAGCCTATTATCAAGTGACTGGGCCTCACAAATGTAATGTTTACTTCCTGATACTAAAAGAGACAAGTGCTAGAACATAAATACCAGACACAACTGAGAATGAAAGTGAGGTGCCACACTGAAAACAGGTAGATTATATGAAAATTGGCAGGATGAATTTGAACAACCTCAGTTTGTTTTTTTTGTTTCTATTAGATTACTATCAGAATACTAGAATCTAAATTTACAGTCCCCCAGAAAGGATACTGAAAATTGCCTTCTTGAGAAACTAATTTGACCAGGAGAAAAAAAAATGTATATATATATATATATATATCTGTGTGTGTGTATATATAATATGTGTATATATATATATATATATATATCTGTGTGTGTGTATATATAATATGTGTATATATACACATATGTATACACATACATATGTGTATATACATTTTCATATATCACATGTCTTACATGCATTTTCATGTATCATATTTTCATATATCACATGTATGTGTATATATATATGTGTATATATATATGAATTTTAGTAAATTCTCCAAAAAAAGACCCAGTTTTCTGACTTATCAGTCCCTATGGTAAGAATGACCAATGCTCAGAGAGCTTCCAAACAACTTATTAGTACTTCATTCATAAACATTCACAATTACCACAAAAAAGAATAAAATTCCTAGAAATACAGCTAACAAGGAAAGTGAGGGACCTCTACAAGAGAAACTACAAACCACTGCTCAAAGAAATTAGAGACGACACAAACAAATGGAAAAATATTCCATGCTCATGGATAGGAAGAATCAATATCGTGAAAATGCCCATACTACCCAAAGGAATTTATAGATACAATTCTATTCCCATTAAACTACCATTGACAGTCTTTGCAGAACTAGAAAAAAAAAACTATTTTAAAATTCGTATGGAACCAAAAAAGAGGCTCAATAACCAAGGAAATCCTAACAAAAAGAACAAAGCTAGAAGCATCATGCTACCCAACTTCAAACTCTACTGTAAGGCTATAGTAACCAAAACACCTTGATACTGGTACAAGAACAGACACATAGGCCAATGGAACCGAATAGAAAACCCAGGAATAAGACCGCACACCTGCAATCATCTTATCTTTGACAAACCTGACAAAAACAAGCAATAGGGAAAGAACTCCCTATATAATAAATGGTTCTGGAAAAATTGGCTAGCCATATGCAGAAAAGTGAAACTGGGCCCCTTCCTTACGTCATACACAAAAATCAACTCAACATGGGTTAAAGACTGAAATGTAAAACCTAAAACTATAAAAACCCTGGAAAAAATCCTAGGCAATACCATTCAGTACATAGGCATGGGCAAATATTTTATGATGAAGATGCCAAAAGCAATTGCAACAAAAGCAAAATTTGACAAATGGGATCTAATTAAGAGCTTCTGCATAGAAAAATAAGCTATCAACAGAGTAAACAGACAACCTGCACAATGGGGGGAAATTTTTGCAAACTATGCATTTGACATATCCAGGATCTATAAGCAACTAAAACAAATTTACAAGAACAAAACAAACAACCCTAGTAAAAAGTGCAATAAGGACATGAACAGGCACTTCTCAAAAAAAAGACATATGCAAATATCAACATCACTGATCATTAGTAACATGCAAATCAAAACCACAATGAGATACCATCTCACACCAGTCAGAATGGCTATTATTAAAAAGTCAAAAGACGCTTTTCATTCATGCTCTGTAAGCCAGCTAGAAGCCGATGGTCAGTACTCGTTTATCAGGAAGGAATGCTCTGTAAGCTCGCCAGCTGTCATGTGGAAATCCGGAAAATGGAGGGGAGCCTGGTAGTGGTGTCATGAGGTTGGTGAAGTTGAAGTCGCTGTAGGAGTCTTACATTCTTTGTTTTCCAGGGCTGGATTCTGTTTAACTATTAGGAAAAATATTCTGTTAATGGTTAGTGAGGAAGAGGGTATCGTGAGGTGCAACTGACCTCTTGTCTTGTCATGGATGGGGAAACTTTTGAAAGTTATTCTGTGGTCTCCTTGGCCAAGAGGGGTCTGTTCAGTCAGTCAGAGGGATAAGAATTTTACTTTTATGTTATAAATCTAGGATATTTTCAGAGTCAGCCTATACCACACATGTGATATATGAAAATGCATGTAAGACTATGCATCAGACTAATTCCTGAGATTCAGCAAAGGATAACTTTCATTGATGCAATGAAGGCATTCCAGATAATGGGGGTAATAACATTTCTGAGGGAGCTGAGTGAATTGCAGGTGACATTTAATTACATGCATTGTGTGAATTGTGTGGCTAACTAGGTATCAATGCTTAAATAGCCCTGAAACCACCATTGCAAAATTGTAATTGGGACAGTGAAAGAGATATTACCTAACCAACTCTGTCTTGCTTCTAAACTCCAAGCTGTCCTTTTTTATTCCTGGGCGTAGGACAAACTAACTTTGGGAGGAACTAAGTTTACAGTGTAAAACAAAGATGATAACAGCTTTTTCCCAAGACAAACCTCCTTCTTGCCTGGGGACTAGACTGCCTTTGTAGGACTAACAAATTAGCCACAAGATTAGAAATTATGTTTTAGGAATCACGCAGCTACCAAGGGAGGCTGTAAACTGGCTCATCTGATCTTGTGTGCCTCCCAACCGCCCCCTGGCCCCCGCCCCAGGAACTGACTCAGCACAGGAGGACAGGTTCATCTCCCCGTGATTTCATCTCTGACCGGACCAATCTGCACTCCTGGCTCACTGGCTTCTCTCCACCCACCAAGTTGTCCTTAAAAACTCTAACTCCCAAATGCTCAGGGAGACTGATTTGAGTAAAAATGAAACTCCGGTCTCCCTCACAGCCAGCTCTGCACGAATTATTCTTTCTGTATTGCAGCTCCCCTGTCTTGATAAATCAGCTCTGTCTAGGCAGCAGGCAAGGTGAACCCATTGGACAGTTACAGCCCCAGAGCTAATTATTTCCCTGAATGGAAGTACCTATATGATGTGATTTGAATATTTGTCTCCTCCAAATCTCATTTTGAAATATAATCCCCATTGTTGGAGGTGGGGTCTGGTGGGAGGTGTTTGGATCATGAGATGGATACCTCATAAATGGCTTAGCACCATTTCCTTGGTGATAAGTCAGTTCACGCGAGATATGGTTGTTTAAAGTGTGTGGCACCCCTTCCCTCTCTTTCTTGCTCACACTCTCATCATGTGAGACAACTGCTTCCCTTTAACGTTCCACCATGACTGTAAGCTATCTGAGACCCTCACCAGAAACAAATGCCAGCCAGCACAGTGTTTCTTCTACCGTCTGCAGAAATCTGAGCCAATTAAACCTCTTTTCTTTATAAATTACCCAGTCCCAGGTATTTCTTTATAGCAACACAAGAATGGCCTAATACACCACGCACATTTACATCGTTTTATGATCAAGGAAAGTTGTACCTTAAAGACATGACATATGAATTATACCATGAATGCTATGTTATTTCTTAACCTGCATGCTTTTTAATTTATTTATTTATATTTATATTTTTACTTTATAAAAGTTAGGATCTTGCTATGTTGCTCAGGTTGGTCTCGAACTCTTGTGCTCAAATGAATCACCTGCCTTAGCCTCCTAAAGTGTTGAAATTACAGTCATGAGCCACCATGCCTTGTCCCTGCACAGTTTTTTAAACCTAAATAAAATTGTGCTGGGTGAAGCTCATGAATTTGAATTTTACTCAGTCCCCAGGAACTCTACTAGTAGAGTGAACACTTTAGAATAGAACATTAATCTCAATAAATAAGTAGCAGCCCTGACACATTTGGAAGTTGTCATCCTATCCTTACAAAAAAGACCAAGCTGAACAAACCAAAGTAAATGACTTCTTGGACTCATCAGAGATGGGAGCTTGCAAAGCAAACCACCACACCCAAACTTGGAGAGATTGCCAAAGGAAAAAAGTAAAAACACAGCCAACATCTGCTTACCTGAAGTAGATCTGCTCCAGCAGCTTCTGAGTTTTTGGGCTGCTGGAACAATAAACTGGTAACACTTTAATAGTGATTTCGATGAATTGCTGGAGGCTGAGTATAAAATAGCTTCAGGGTGGGAGCCTTATTTATTTTCCCCACACCAAAATTAATACAGTGAATGAATGATACCTCCAGGAATATTACCAGATTCTCATCATAAAAAGCCAAGAAAGAGTCCCTGTTACCTCTGGCATAGGAAAGAAGAAAATGACCATGATGAAATGCATCCAGAGAGTTAGCCATAAGAAAACAGGGGGAAAGACTTTATCGGGAGAAGAAATATTACCAAAACCCAGATCTTCTTGCTCTCCTGTCTAACCTAAGGAGAGAAATTGGAGATAAGAAATGCTTGAGAATATCACAGCCTAGGGACACTTACCCACTAAAACATTGAGATAAACACATATAATTATCTTATAAAATCATGGAATATTTCCCCTTCCCCACACTTTACCACCATATAAACAGGGCTCCACTATAGTGGATTATAGTTTTAAAAGATGCAAAATAGCAAGAACAATACTTGATAGAAGTTCTTAGGAAAACCCATACACAAGGGAGACAAAAATACTAGACATTAGAATAATTTTAAGCACCTACAGCTACAGAAAATATGAAATAGAACACAACTTCTAGCCATATTAGCATAAAATCACAGTAAAGATCTATTTTTCTCAGTTCCTATTACTCAATACATCATGCTTATCTTTAAACAAAAAATGCTAAAGGCAAGACAAAAATACTGTCTGAATAGACAAAGCAAGAATCCCAACCAAACTCAAACATGAAACAGATTATAGAATTATCTCACAGTAATATAAAATACCTATGGTTAACCTGTTGAAGGCTTTAATGGAGAAAGTAGACAGCATGCAAGAATAGATAGACAAGTAAGCAAAGGGATGGAAATGATAAGACAGAATCAAAAGGAAATGCTAGAAATCAAAAACTCTGAAATGGAAACAAATTATGCTTTTGATGGGCTCATCAGTAAACTGGCAGACCAAAGAAAAATATTAGCAAGAATCAAAGAAATCTCCCAACCTGAACTGCACAGAGAAAAAGGAATGAAGAAAAGCTGAATGTGAGACAATTTCAAAGGGCATAACTTATGCAAAAATAGAAAACCAGAAGAGAGAAAAGAGCAGAAGAATAGCTTTAGATAATAGTGGTCAAAAAATTGAAAAAATCAATTACACTAAAAAAAGTCAATTACAGACAAAAAAAAAACAAAAACAAAAACAAACAAAAAAACCCACCAGATCCAGAAATCTCAGAGAACACAACGCAGGATAAGTCCTCAAGCATCTATACCTAGGTATAGCATATAAAAAGTGTAGAAAATCAAAGACAAGGAGGAAAATCTCAAAAAAAAAAAAAAAAACCTAGATGGAGCAGGGGCAGAGGACACATCTTACATGTAAAGAAACAAGGATAAGAATTACATTGTACTTTTTCTTAGAACCGTGCACACAAGGAGAGAATATAGTAAAATATTTATGTGGAAAGAAAAAAAAAACTCTATGAGCCTAGAATTCTATATCAGGCAAAATTATCCTGTAAATGTGAATGGAAAAGCCTTTCTTAAACAAACAAAAATCAGGAAAATCTATTGCCAGCAGGCATGCCCAGAAAGAAATGTTAAAGAAGTTCTTCAGGCAAATCAAAGTCAGAAACTCAGATTGACATAAAGAAAGAGTGTTGAGAAGGGATAAATAAAGGCTGAATAAAATAATTTACTTATTCTGTTTTTAATTGATCTACATGATAAGTTTTTTAAAGTAATACTAAAACAGTTATTCACACAGCTTTGTGTGACTATAACATAAGAATAAATGAATGACAACAGTGTTGTAATGTATGGGAGGGAAGTATTGAGAATGATCTGCGTTAAGACAACTGCAGTATATGTGAAGTGGAATAGTGTTATTTTAAGAGAGGTTTAGATTAGTTTAAGATGCTTTTGAAAACTCTAGAACAAAACTAAAAATATTACAAAGTAATTTATATTATTGATATAACTGAATAGGGGTTAAAATGAAACTATATAATACACCCAATTAAAACCAGAGAAGGTAGAAAAAGAAGGGGAAAAAAACAAAGAATAAGTGAAATGAATGGAAAACAGTTATAAATGTGATCGATATTAATCAAATGTATCAATGCTCACTTCAATAGTAATATGACTTAACTGCTGAAAAATAAAATAAAATAAATTGATTGATAGTATTGGCATTTATCCATATGTAAGGCAATAAATGTAGCTCTATAGCTCATACAATAAAATACAAATATCTGTATGTGATATAAATTTAAAAACCAAAGCAGGACAGGCACGGTGACTCATGCCTATAATCCCAGCACTTTGGGATGCTGAGGCAGGTGGATCAACTGAGGTCGGGAGTTCAAGAGGAGCCTGACCAACATGGAGAAACCCCGACTCTACTAAGTAAATTACAAAATTAGCCGGGTACGGTGGGGCATGCCTGTAATCCCAGGTACTCGGAAGGCTGAGGCAAGAGAATTGCTTGAACCCAGGAGGTGGAGGCTGCAGTGCCTCCCGCCATTGCACTCCAGCCTGGGCGACAGAGTGAGACTCCATCTCCAAAAAAAAAAAAAAAAAAAAAAAAAAAAAAAAAAAAAAGTAAACAAGAACAAGAAAGACTAAAGACATTGTTTTTAGAAAAAGTACAATAAGTACAATCTAGGGATCACGGAGCACAACCTTACCAGGATCAGTGGCTATCTCATTCATCACCAATAGAGATGTAAAATAATGCAGACATTCTAGAAAATAATTTGACCGTTTCCTTTTGTTTTGCTCCATTTGTTCCAGCCTTGGCCACTTGGAGCTCTTTCAGTAGGCACATGTATTTGCTTGACATATCGTTTTCTTTTCTTTTTTTTTTTTTTTTTTTTTTTTTTTTTGACAGAGCCTCACTCTTTTTGCCCAGGCAGAAGTGCAGTGGCTCAATCTCAGCTCACTGCAACCTCCACCTCCCGGGTTCAAGCAATTCTCCTGCCTCAGCTGCCCAAGTAGCTGGCATTACAGGCACACACTACCACACCTGGCTAATTTTTGTATTTTTAGACAAGGTTTCGCCATGTTGACCAGGGTGGTCCCAAGCTCCTGACCTCAAGTGATCCACACACTTCAGCCTCCCAAAGGGGTGGTATTACATGAGTAAGCCACCACAGCTGGCTGACATACCATTTTCATTACATTTTGCTCATATGTATTGCATGAGAAAATTTATAAGACAGTGGTTTCTTAATAGGCCCTAAAGGGCAAATTACTTAAAGAATTTTCACTTCAAAATAATTTAATCTAAGTTTAAAGAATTACTATATATATACTTATAGTAAATGTAAGACATACAGATGAAGACACAGATGGGCATGTAGATATAGATAGATGATAGATAGATAGATAGATAGATATTGATCTAGATATATAAAATATATAATATACATATGTATGTGTGTGTGTGTGTATAAAGGATGCTTTTCCAATGTTAAATGATAGACATATCATATCAGTTAGCACTTGAAGAAGTACTCAAGGATGGTGTGGTAGCCAAGATAGGAAAATGCTTGGTCGAAACAGGAGAATGCTTGATGTGTGTTCAGAATAGTGAAAAACTGAAGTTTCTGGATAAGAGGTAGAGCAATAGGTGACAAGGTCACAAAGATAATGACAGAATAGATGTCTTGCAGGAACTTTTGCTTTTATTTTAAGTGTGAAGCCTTTAAGGAGGTTGGAACAATGGTATGACATTATAAGACCTACCTTTCTAAAAGATCACTTTGTCTGCCTTTGGATAGGAGAAAGTAATATGACAAGGTCAAAAGGTGACCAGTTAGGCTATTGTAAAAATTTTGAGAAATTATGGTGCTTGAGCAAAAGTAATGGAGACTGTGAGAAGTGATCAAATTCTACAAACATATTTCAAGTAGAGTCCACAGAATATATGGAGAGATTGAACATATTCAATTAGAGTCCACAGAATATATTGAGAAATTGTATGAAGTGGAAAGAATGGGTCAACTATAGCATTTGGGTTCCATTTGTGCAACCAAAATAATTAAATAACCATAACTATTTAGTAAAAATGAGGAAATCTATGACAGGTTTTGGGGGAATGTGCAGAGAGCATCTAAGTGGAGATCTATATCAAATCATTAGGTTTACCTGTACGGAGTTTAGGAGAGGAAACTTGGCTAAGGATGTACATCTAGGAATTTTCATTGTGTAGATGGCATTGAATCTGATGAGACCACCAATCAGGGAGAGAGAGAGAGAGACCTATTTAGAGTTCAGAGTTAGAATCATTCGTAGGCACTATAAAAATA
Organism: Homo sapiens; assembly: GCF_000001405.40. Taxonomy (NCBI): domain Eukaryota; kingdom Metazoa; phylum Chordata; class Mammalia; order Primates; family Hominidae; genus Homo; species Homo sapiens. The sequence goes on along the minus strand of NC_000001.11, from coordinate 105,012,096 downwards.
ATAACAATGAGGGTTCATACTATCGTATCGATAATCTTCTTTTCCTACTTTTTACAACTATTAAATGACTCTGGTTGACAGGTTGTTGTATACAGATTTAGAGTTGTTAGAAAATAAAAGTGTGGAGAAGTGCAAGCTTAAAAAATACAAATATAACACAGCCTTTGGGTATCTCAAAACATTATGGAACAATTCTTGTCAAATATTATATTGCTTTTCAAAGGCTCTTTTTTATACTTGAGAGTGCTGAAAATTAGTCTTTGTGCTATTATGTACACACCTGTTTAAAATAGCAAAACTTTCAGGTTTTCTATCAGAATCAAGTGTTTAAATCAACACTTTATAGGGAAAGTGCTGGTAGGGCAGGGGGAGAAAAATTAACATTGCGTGTGGAATAATGTATTGGTAAAAGTAACTAATGTTTGTTATGTCTGTAATTATGCGTAGTTTTTTTTTCAATTTTCTTTGGATACCCTTTGGCCTTTATAGGAAAGTTTGTTGTTACTTTTCTGATGGAATTTTTTTCAATATTAGATCAGATGTTTAAAGAGATTTAGATTTGAGGAAATGGCCTTTTCTGTATGCCACATCTAGTTTGCATTTATATGAGGAGATCTGCAACTTTCAATCTTGTTAAACACAAAGTTCCTCTTGGAAAGAGCAAGATATTAGAACTTTAAAAATTATTTTTAGCCTATTCAAATTTTCTTATAAAATTATCAGTTTTATAAGTGAATTACATTTATAACCCCGAACTTTTTGTCATTATACAACTCAATGATTAAGAAAGTTTGAAGAATTTCTTAAAAGAAAGAAATGTGGTTAAAAATATATATTTGTATCATCAAGCATGAAAAAAAATTCTGTGGAAAACACGGATTTGGTATGATGTGAATTAAATATCTACATAACATATGTATTTATTTAATTGGTTAATTATTTATGATCTCAGGTATAAAGTTGAATTATGCATAGTTTTTGTTTTATGAGAACAATTCCAATATTTTTAATGCCTGGACATTTACTCATGCAGATATGTAAAAACACTGTCGAACAAAAGTAGAATATATCCAAAAATGTATTACATAGGTAATAACATCTTATTTATTTATTTGCTTGTTCTCTTTCCTTCCATCAATTTTTTATTTTGTTTTTATTTTTGAGTTTTAATATTCTCATTCTTTAAAAATATTTATCATACACTCACATACATTTATAAAGTTTTATCATATCTTTTTTTTTCCCCCTTAGTGACTGAGTTTTACTCTGTTGCCAAGGTTGGTGTATAGTGGCACAATCATAGCTCACTGTAACCAAAACTTCCTGGGCTCAAGCAATCATCCTGCCCCAGCCTCCCAAGTACCTAGGACTACAGGTACACGCCACCACATTCGGCTAATTTTTAAATTTTTATAGAGAAGGGAATCTTACTTGCTCTGGCTGATATCAAACTCCTGGCCTCAAGTGATTCTCCTGCCTAGGCCTCGTGTAGGCCACCATAACCCCCAACCCTATTATCTATTTCTGTCTATATACTTATCAATTTGTATTACTTGCTGAATTTTATGAAACACTCTCATATTATATTTTCATTTCTGGGGCTTGCTTTTTTGACTTCATGATATGATATTAAAATTTTATTCTTGTCATAGCTTATAGTTGAGATTCATTCCTTATCATGACATAGTATTTCATTTTGTGACTATTACAAAATTTATTGATCCATTCTTAAATCTATGATTACTTTCATTGCTTTTCTTTTTCTTTTCTTTCTGCTAAATGTTTCTGTAGACATTTTACTATGGTTATCCTAGTAACTGTGTTCTGAAATTCATGTTGAATTTGTTATAGCTAGTAGATTGCAGGCTTATTAAGTGTGTGATATTCAAATTTAAACACTAATGTCAAAGGCCAGAAATAGCAAAAGGAGACTAAAATTCATTATGAAGCCTTAATAATTTAGATAGTATGATATTGGTATAAAAATAGATAAATAAAACAACAGAACTGAATAGATAACCTAAAGGGGTACATGAATATATGTTTATCTGAATTATGAAAAACAAAGTTGCAGTGGCAATGGAATCATCTTTTCATTAAATTGTGCTGGATCACTGGTTACCTACTGGAAAAAATTACTTAGAAATTTACCTCATAGCACACTAAGTCTACATAAATTTTAAATCTAAATGTGAAAGCCAAATGATAAAGTGCTTTGAAAAAAAAAACAGACGATACTATTTTCATGACCATGGAAGTTAGGCAAAGGTTTCTTAACCAAGGTGTGAAGGATAAAAGTGATAAAACTAAGAACCTCTATTTATCAGTAAGCACCTTTAATGGATTGAAAAGCAAGCCAAAATGAGAAAAGTTGTAAAAGAAATTTTATATCCGTATCACACAAATCAATTATAAAAATTAACACCCAACTAAATAGATACTTTATAAATACATAAAAGACCCATTCAGATATTTTAAACAATGTTTTAAAAACCAGTGATATTATGAGAACATGTTCAGATTCATTAGTTATTGAAAAACTGCCAACTAAACCACAATAACTTATTCCTACATATTAATCAGAACGTCAATTCGTGTATCTCTGTGTATCTCTGCAGGGATGGGCTGCTTCTTTTGTCATTCTCTAGTACCTTACCTTCTTTCTATAATCCATGATTAACAGCAGAGTTAAGTCATATAACAGCTTTCTAACCAAAAATACATTTTAAACTTCTACATAGCACCAAGCTGAGCGTATATCAAACGTTTTCTGATGTATTGCTATGGAAATTTCCATGATTATGAAATAGGTTTGAATTTGTCTCCTAAAACTAAGAGCTCATGCCTGGGTTGTCAGAAGACAAAGTCTTCTTATTTCCGGTTAATTTTATATATATATATATATATATATATATATATAATAACATCATGCCCCACATTCTTAAGTAAAAATGTGTAGGCCCCATGTTGTTTTTTAGAGACTTGCCAACTCCTATACTGTATTATCATAGTCATGGGGATTTTTGTTGTTATTTGTTCCATAACTGTTTTCTCAAACTATTTCCAAATGATTTTACTGGAAACGTTTTTTTAAAACTGGCAATAAATTTTGGCATAAAAATTTTAATCTTTTCTGACACTCTTTCTATTCTTCATTTAAATCAGAAATCTAAAATTATGCTCTGACAAAGTACATGTAAAATGAATATTCTAGTGTATTAATACTATTTTATAAATAAAGTAGGATCAACGGTATATTGATATGAATGATTATTGACGTGTTTGCAATAGTTCTTGGATTTCATCTGAGAAACTACTCCCTTCAGTAGGTGATATAAATAATAATGTATATTAAATATAGGAGCAAGGATATTAATCAACAAGTCAAAGTCCTGGTAATTAATTAGTTATAAACTAATTAGTTTAGAAATTATAGATAAATATTTTCTTTGGGGGAGGCAAGCCAAACACATTCTCTATTATTAGACAAAATTTTTCTTAAAAAATGAGAGAATGTTTATGATAATGCTTTAATATTGTATAATCAAAACACATAGTTAATAATCATGAGATTCTGTGCTTATTTACGGTAAATTCACTCTGCTCTACACAAGCACATGATATTTTCCTATATCTATGGCCAACCTTATGTCTTAGTATTCCATATTACTTTGTCTTATTGTTTTCTTTTAAAATGTGTTAGAAATATCATATATGACAGTATCTTTTCTTACATTTTATATTATGGTATAATGCATTTTTAAAGCTTATTTATAGACTTTCTTCTTTGTTTCCATATGTCAATGGGGGAAAATTTCCTTGCTAAAAAAATACTCTGGCACTTGCTAAAACAGTAGGGAAAACTTTAGTCAAGACTATTGCAATAGGGATATTGCAATAGGAAATAAAGGTGAGGCTTAGCTATGAATATGGCAAAAAAAGAAAAAAAAAGAAATCAATGTAACTGACAAGCAGGATGAGGGAATCAATGGATGGAAATTACTGAAAGGAGACATCAAGGAGAGAGGATTTTTGATAAACCCACTTAGAATCTTTGCTTAAAGCAGGCCAGGATGATCAGATATCAACAGTGATGATTTCTTGTTAAACTGGCTTAGGATTCTTGCTATCAATGAATTTGACAAAGATGAAGACAGAAGCCCAAGGTTGAGACCTAGTGGAGCAGAGGGCTCACAGTTACCTGACTAAATTTTGGTCAAAGAGGAAGTCTTTGTCACAGTGAAGGCAGAGTTCTTTCAACCACACTAATATACTTTTAACAACGAGGCCTAGAGTTTTACTCTTCAGCACCAGGCCTGGAGGTATTCCGTCAGAAATAGCATGATGCTGTTGAATACAAGAAACTATAGTAAGGTTAAGATCTTCTGATCCAATATTTGCCTTTTCTGACTGCATGTGTGAGACATACTGTTTATAAAAAATACGCAGAATAAAATCTTATGTTAGATCTCCCTGGTTTAAAAATCTTTGTTATTCATTTAGTAAACAAATGCAATGTTTTCCTATGCATGGATTAAAATGATCACCTTGGTGTACTTTCCAAGTATCCATGTAGAATAGTTTACACATTTCAGAAGATACTCTACTAAGCAGATGACAGAATAATAAGTAGTCTTTTTTCTCTCTCAAATTTCTGTAGTGTTTTAACTTAATGGGTTGTGTCTTTCAAGATAATTTTCCCTCGCTGAAGTCAGTGATTATTTGGTTATGTATTTTAAGAGTGAAAAGATGTATCTCAAAACATAAAGCTACAACTAGATCTGTAATTTTCTAGTGGAAATATAGGCTTCACATCCTTTTTGTAACCAAGAATTTTGTACAAAGTTGTTAATATCTGCTGCTTGATTTCATTAAAACTTAACTTGATCAATTGCTTTCTTAGCCTGGGAAAAAATTATATCCACTCTCTAGAATATATAACTCTTAAATTGGTATTTTATCAAGTAGATATAAAAAAGAAAAAGACAAAAATGGTTATTTTTAAAAATAAATAATCTGTTTTGATACATTAATTGAAGTACAACATTTCTGTGTAAGAAGCATGAAAAAGGATGACAATAAAATACATTATCCTTGGCTTAATATGATAATAACCTACAAAGCACAGAAAGCAAACATGTTAATATGATCAAGGTGATCATATAGTGTAATATTTTCTTTATTAGTGCATATTATTTAAATAATCAAAGGAAATATTTTATCTTAAAGACAGCATTTTAAGTTTACCTGTTTATCTCATTTTGCATTATGAAGCACTTTAGAATTTAAATTTGTATTTATGTTGTAATTTAATCAATTTGCCAACAGTTAAATGGAGATGTTTTGCAAATGACCTTGTCAAAATATTCAACTATATCTAATTACGGACTAACTGTATGAAACAGAGATTAGCAACCTTACCCAAATAATTATTTTTATTTAATTATAAGAGAATAATGTTTCTTAAAAAGGCAGTATTGAAGAATACCTTGAATATAAATTACATAATATACTAATACTTTGCCTTTATCCTTGATTATAAGTCTCTCTGAACTTTTTACACCCATTATTTTAAGAACTAATTAACATTAATTGATATATTAATTTATTAAGCATTTATTTATTCAGCATTTATCATGTACAAAGCTCCTAATCTTGGGACATTCACATAAATGTTAAAATGTTTAGTGGGTCTGTATTTCACAACTGTATGAAAAATAATGTATCATTTAAAGTCTCTCCAAAACATATTCCCTTTTCCAGCTATGCCTCAGGATGTCTGGTGATACTTTATAACTTTTATAAATTGCTATAGGGGGCCTTGGTATTATCCAAAATTGGCATTCTCTCAATAAACTACTAATTGCAAGAGTGGCCCGTCTGGTGCAGCCACTGTGAAAATGCTGGCTGCAGCGGGGCTTAGGTCTACTCAGAGCCAGCGGGAACTGAGAAAAGTCAGGAGCCCTGCCCTATACTGACTTGGTGGAGCAGAAGCCCTGCACTCCTGGGTGTAGCTGCAGCTGCCCAGCGGTGGCTCTGGACCAGGGCATAACTGCCCTCTTAGAGACCCTGGAAGCCCCCAGCTCTGGTGCACTCGGAAGTACCTGCTACTGCTCACTGGCCTCTCCCCACTCTCAGTGCTTGCTCTGGGGGCACAGTGAAGTTGTGGCTCAGCCTGAGTGCTGTTGCAACCTGGCAGGGTGTGTGCATGCTCAGGCTGGTGCTGACATGCCAGCCCCCTGCCTTATTGGCCCTCTCTGGACTTGGGCATTGACAAGCATGGGAGGGAGCCTCAGGTGGGGCTGAGAGTGGTTTGGCATGGGCCTTCAGGCGCTTCTTGACACAAAGCATGGGCACCGTGGATGGCATGTTTATGGTGGCAGGAGGCAGACAGGGTTCTGGGTCGAAAGGGGTGGGTTCCTGGTAAAACTGCACCTTCAAACCAGGGACAGCCTGAAGCCTTGGGTCCAAGCTGCCAGTTCCAGGTGGAGTCCATGGCCCAGAGTGAGAACTTATGGTGCTTTTTCCAGGCCCACCCATGATCACCCATGTATCAATCCACATGCACTTCCTCCCTTCTGAGCCCATAAAAACCCCAGACTCAGCCAGACTAGGACAGACATTGGGATACCCTGCTTGCAGAAAGGAGCTACCCACTGAGGGTCTCCTCTCTGCTGAGAACTGGACACTCACTGGGATGACCTGCCTGTGGAAAGAAGCTACCCACTATGGGTATGCTCTCCACCGAAAGCTGGACACTCATCAGAACAACCTGCCTGTGGAAAAGAGCTACCCACTGTGAGTTTCCTCTCTGCTGAGAGCTGGACACTTACTGGCATGACCTGCCTGCGGAAAGGAGCTACCCACTACAGGTCTCCTGACAGCTGTTTCATCACTCAATGATGTTCCTCTCTACCTTGTTCACCCTCCAGTTGTTTGCATACCTCAATCTTCCTGGATGCAGGGTAAGAATTTGGGTTCCACTGAATGGCAGGACTGAAAGAGCTGTAACACAAACAGGGATGAAACACACCCTCTCACCCACAACTGCTCTCCATCTTGCAGGCGATAAGAAGGAGAGAAGACCTTTTGGAGAGCCCAGACCTAGAGGATCCTAGAGCCAAGGTTGTGATGCCCTCTTCAGGGCTCTGTGGTTCCTGGTGTTTCCAAGCTTTTAGGAACCATCACATTCCCCTTGTCCAGATGCAGATGCAGATGCCTGCAGCAGATGCCTCATGCAGTACATCTTGTCTAGCCACAACCTTCAGAAGCCTCATGCAGTACATCTTGTCCAGCCACAACCTTGCATAGAGCCCACACCTGTGCTGGCACCTGGAGCTGGCCTGCCCTGCTGCAGCAGTGACATGCCTGGCTGTATGCAGTGGCCAGACCCTGTACTTGCTTGGCCACACACCTCTTGCCACACTGTGCCTAGCTCCACCTTGGCAGGTATGGAATCTGGGTCAGTAGTTCAAGCTGAGCGCAGCCTGCTTGGCTGTGTGGGAGGAACAAGCCCAGCAGGTGTGAGCAACACTCAGGCAGAAGGTGCCACCAGCCACAAAAGTTCCCAATTGGTGAAGCTACACTCCAAGGATCCTGTGACACTAATATATGTCCATATCAGCAGTAGAGGTGCTACTTTTCAATATCATGAGTATTTCCTTCTGATGGATTACATCTCCAAATTTTTTAGGTATTACTTTTTATGCAGAATACCTGCTGCATAACCTGCTCCCCCTTGAACCAACTTCATAATTTTCTGGCTTAGTCATAAACCCTAATAAATAGCAAAAGATAGATGTAATTTGCTTGTTTTTAGATTATGTGAAGTTGCAAGACTTTATTTATTTTCAAAATGTTGACACTATTAAATTATACTAGCTACTAAATATTTTACGAAATTACTTCTGAAGAGCTGCAAAATTTTAATATGTAAAGTTGTTAATGGAAGTAATATTGTTTTTCATAAATTAATAATTTTAAAAATATTATTTTGAGCTCAGGATGAATGTTTGCTTCTTCATTTAACAATTACAGTGTGCCTTTCTGTGCTTCTCTCTTCTTTTCTCAAGACTGTTTAGAACATATAAAACTCTTGCAGAAAAATACTTATTAATCTCAAGGTGCATTATTACTTATCTATTGGATAAAGCACAAACTTGAGAATATTGTTTATGCCTCTGCAAGTTTCGTTTTGTGTGTGACCTTTGTTACAACTCATTCTTGGAGGCTGCTTGGATAAATTACAGAGAAATTACTAAATTTTCAATTTGATTTTTTACATATGCAGAATTGCATATATACATTCGATGCAATACATAGAATTGCAGAATTATGTCATACCAATGATTGTCTTTCTCATAATTTTTCAGATATATTTCCTTAAAGAGAAAATTAAAATATGAAATTTAGACTTATAAGATGGTTTAATTTGTAGAAATATTAAATTGGGGAGATATTTAAAATATGAATATTGCTGCTATTTTCTAGAATCACATTGCACCAGTTAATTTGATAACCAAGGTGTTGAAGATACATTAAGAATTGAAATATAACCCCCAAAATACAACCTCCAAAAACATAAATATAAATACCTGATACTTGGAAGCACTGAATAAACTAGAGTTCGCTTGCAGCCAAACTTGGGCACATTTATGCCTATCTCCAAAGATGTCTAGAAGTCTTGTATTGGCTCTTGGTCAACGTAAGGATGAAACAGGATAATTTCATAGTCTTAGTCTTGACCTAGCACAGAGTTTAGAGGAAAGGTAGTTTTTTAGGTTTAAAAAAGGTACAGTACAGGAACAGCATGCCAGAGGTCTCACAATTCCCAGGCAAAGCTACCAATACTTCTAGACACACACACACACACACACACACACACACACACACACGCACACCAGAACCACAAGAAATAAGCTTAAATGGGTGCAGTCCACATTAGCACAGTGAAACTATCAGCTCTGGGTCTCTCCAGCCTTTATAACTTGCTAGTCAAATAACCCCCTCAGAGATATATGACTAGCTTGTACTTGTTGATTCAGCTATAGGTCATCAATTATAAATTAGTACACTGAACAATGTTGACAAAAAGTAAAGTATTATATACAACGTAAATTCCTGACAGTCCCATATTGATCCATATTTTCATTCCTGTAAATGAATTCAGTACAGCTAATTAAGACTCTTTCATTTTCCTTAAATTAAATAGAAAGCAGTTCAAACAAGGGTCAAATCCTAAAGATCTCTGTAGCTGAAAAAATATTATACTTCATTATGTAACCATTTTCTTACAATAAGAAAAAAATAGCAACATAACTTCAAAGAGAAAAGTAGGAGAATATATCACCCTTTGTAGATAAAGATTTCTTAAACTGAACATAAGAGCACCATTGTAAAGAAAGTTTCAATTTAAGTTATATTAAAATTGTAAACTTCTAATTATCAAAATATTCTATTAAGCATTTGATAAGATTTCTACACATTGTGTGCCTGTATCAAACTATCTCATGTTCCCCATACACACCTACTATGTATCCACAAATTTTTTAAATCAATTTTAACCTCCCACAAAAATACATTGATAAGGAAAGACATAATGTAAAAATGTACGATACATATGTACAATAAATAAATACTAATAGAAACTGTGAAAAAGACAGAAAACATAAATATGGAAGAGTCTTAAACATATTTCCTGTAAACGATATCCAAATAGTCACTAAACCTATGCAAAAATGTTCAAAATATGCTTAAAATTTGGTAATTAAGCTAATATATGCTATTTTAATTATATACTATACCCTACCTTCAATAGTTGGAAAATATTATGAGAAAAACAATACCAAGTGTTGTCAATAGTGTTCACTAACTAAACCTTTCATACACTGCAGATGGAAGTAGAAATTGACAAAAATATTTTGAAAATTGATTAGCAGTATCACTAAAGTTGAATGTGGACATAGTTTATGACATAGGGGTTCTATTTATAGGTCTATACCCCAGGGAAATGTACACATAAGTACACCAAATTATCTTTACAGTTGGCAGCATTACTCAAAATATTCCAAACCTAGAAACAGTCCATATATCCATAAACACTGTAATAGATACTTAAAACTACACTATATTCTGACAAAGAGAGTATTACACAGTAATGGAATAAACAAGCTAGTAAGTACAACATCAAAAGAGATCCTAGAGACAAAATGTTAACCAAAAGAATAAAAAAAAAACCTTAGGCCTTTGACGATAATAATTTTTCTAGAACAATATTAATAGTTTATGGAAATGAAAAATAATTTTATCAGTCAATAGAAAAAAAATTGCCATTGTGTCTCCATAGTCATATGTTTAATTTAATGCTATTAATTAAATTAATAACCCATCTTCATTATTAGATTTTATTCTTAATGGGTACTGACAGTTTCTAATATATAAAATATACCTTAGAAAAATTATTATAATTTGACATGCTAATAAATATTCTTTTATCTCTGAAAGCAATTCTAATGGAAAAATTTCCAAAATATTTCAGGAAATATTATCATCAAAGGACTAAAGTATTATTCTCATCTAGACATATATTTTGGGATATTTGTTAAAGTAAAAAGAGAGGGGAGGAGTGCAATTCTTTCTCACCAGAAAGCATGCATCAATTTTGTAGCAACTGTCCCACATAAGAAGAAAACATTTTATCAATAAAAATATTTCTGTATACCACAATTTTATTTCATGAAATTGATTTTATCAAATTTGCATAAATACCCTGTTTTTATTGCTTTGAAAAAATACATTTAGTCTGATTTTATTTTGATGGTTATGAATAACTTTATGAGTAAAACATTCTTCCAATTGAAAGCAAATTTCAAAAGGAATAGAAATTGTAAAGAAAATTCTGTTGTGTCATTATTAGTAGAATTGTGCTGTGGAAAGGATTAACTGAATGAGTGCATTTTGTCAAGAACTATGGATAATTAGAGATTTTATCAAACTTTCTAGCTAATAACTTGGCCTGCCACAGTCTCATGGATCTGGCAGAAGACATGAAACTCCTGGGTCAGAAGAAAAGGATTTTATGACTCGCAGTACAACAGGCAGCTCTTACTTCGTCTTCACATCAGTTACCTTTCTCATCTAAGTCCCGCAAGGGTGATGCTGAGGTCATCCCAGATGGATGCTAAACACAAAACATGTGAGTGTCATAGCTGAGGAACCCTAAGCTTAAGAAAACCCTAATTTGATAACAATGCTACTAGCATACCTGCTAGACTCTTGCCCTGAAAACACATTTTTTTTTTTTTTTTTTTTACTATGTCTATCAGGAAACAAAGCTACCCTCTGCCCTGGTAGTGTTTTCTTATAGGAAAACACTATTGCTATCTTTCAGGATTGCTTGCTACACAAATGTTCTTTGAAAGATAGCCCTGGAACAAACACAGAAACAAAACTTGCAGAAATGACACGATGAAGTGTTTCCCAGCGTATGTTTGTACAGTGTTCTTCCTGCTGAGATGTGACCCTAAGTTTTAGGAATATTCTCTCCTTCTTCCACTGTCCCAGGTACAATGACTGCAGCTAAGTTCATAAACATTACCTCGTATATCATCCAAATTGAGCTAATAATGGCCCTCTGCCCAAATTTGCTCTATGCTTTGGCAAACAGGGAGAACTGTACACCACAAAAACTAATATGCAACTGTACACCACAAAAACTAGTATGTATATTAGGAAGTTGCAAGTACCATTTTTAAGTCAAATATCAAAGGTTAACATACAGGCATAAGAATGAAAGAGATAGGCAGGGTAGAGAATAAATAAGAGATAAAAACAGGAAACTAGGACTTGAGCCTTGAGCAGTGGCCCCAAATAGGTTCTGAGTCCCAATTGCTTGCTTGACTTTGAGTATAACTTCCCCATGAGGTTCTCCTTTTTGCCTAAATTAACTCGAATACATTATTTTTATTTACATATGCATATGAAAAAAGAGATAACTAAGACAAACATAGTATCACTTATCCTTGGAACATTTTTGAGCTCCTTATCTGTGCTAGACAAGAGAATAGGTGCTGAGATGGGAAGACTATTCCCTCTTTCAAGTGCCTCAAAGTCTAGATGTTACTTGCAGGACAATGTGGCCAGTTCTGTGAGAGAGATGTAGTCAGATTGTATTTGGAACAAAGAACAAGGATAATTAACACAAACTGGAATTGGATATTGAATTATTTCAACTCTCAGGTTTAATATGTGAATTGAGAATTTGTGGGTTGAACCATTTCACTAGGCATGCTTGGCCTTTGGAATAGTTTATAATTAATTATTTTATTATAATACTAGCTTAGTGTCAGAAGAATTATATATAATTCAACACCCTTTATAGAAAGTAAAATTAATCTGAGATTACAGAAAAGTTTAAATACTAAACTAAGAGTACATTATTCATCCTAATATAAGAAACTGTGTTTTATCATTTTACTAATTCAGTTTACACTCCCAAATGTGTTCAGTCTTTATACCCATTTACAGGTGTGTGTATTGAGGTTTTTTTTTACAATTTTACATGTCAAGAGTTTTTTCCTTCATGGAGCCAATTCCCAGGCTCCTGAGCTATTAAAAAAGAAAATTCCTCGTCGGAATTAAACCAGGCAGGGTTGGTCTTATCTAGAGGCAAACTTAGACGCTATTAAATGTGTATCAGTGAATAGACGAAGGGTTAACTAGGATAGTTAGCCAGGTAACAACAAAACGAACGTGTACATTAGATTTTTTGATGCCATTAACGCAAGTGGCACTTGAATATCAAGTTGGAGGTGGCTGAGGTCCCATGAAACTCTTGGAAAACAGATTATGCTTGAACATTTTCTTGATTCCGCCACCTTCATATAAGTGACATTTCCTTTTCTGAGAATTACCTGTTAAGACATTTTGCCTTTTTCTTATCATGTTTCTTTATATTTTTGTATTGTTTTACAAATGTCTTTCAATATACTTATTAACAACCCCTTTACGTTTATGTCTTGCAGTATATTCTAATTGTAAATTTGTTACTTTTTTAAAAATCACGTTTAATATCTCTTGATGTATAGAATTTTGAAAATATAATTTAATAAAACATATCAACATTTTTCTTTATGGTTTTTGCTTTCCATTTATATGTATATATTATTTATAAAATCTGTGTTTAACTTGAGATCTTAAAAATATGCACTGATACCTATTTAAAAGGTTTTAAAATTCGAAAATGCCAACTTTTATATAGAGGATTTCTGTATAAATGTATGTCTCAGTTCTGGTCTTTTTATTCTATTATTTTGATCTATCTCACCAAACATGACCACCCTATTTTAGTGCTATAATTTAAAAATGTAAATTAATATGTGTGAGAGACCATTTTTTCTACATTTTTATTCTATTTAAGTTTTGATGAATTCTTCTTTGCTATTTATTTTCTCACATTATTTTTACATAAAGTTTTAGATACAGTGTAACAATTTGTATCAAAAATTGGGATTTTAAAAACTGACATTGATTTAAATGTGTATGTTAATTTGGTGAACTTTTTTATGTTATTATATACCTTTTGCATAAACATGGATTATTTCTCTATTTATTAAAGATGTCTTGTCTTTTTTTTTTTTTTTTTTTTGAGACGGAATCTTGCTCTGTCACCCAGGCTAGGGTGCAGTGGCGCCATCTCGGCTCACTGCAAGCTCCGCCTCCCGGGTTCCTGCCATTCTCCTGCCTCAGCCTCCCGAGTAGCTGGAACTACAGGCGCCCACCACCACGCCCAGCTAATTTTTTTTTTTTTTGTATTTTTAGAAGAGATGGGGTTTCACCGTGTTAGCCAGGATGGTCTTTCAATAGCTTTGTCATATTTTTCGTAAAACCCTGCAAATCTTTAAATACATTTAATCATATATACTTTTTCTAACTTTAATTTTAAATTGTATCTTTAAAATTCACTTATTAAACTCTTCTGTTCATCTTGACATAGAAAGTGACTATATGACTATTTCAAATTTGAACATACATTACTTTGGTAAAACTAAAAATCATTTTAAAGGTTTAAACAAGTTATATCTTAATACCATTAAATTATAAATGGTGATGAAATCCATGGCTATGACATGTGGTCTCATGTAAAGAATAAATATAAATCTCATAATTGAGCCCCTAATCCAGCCTGTGGTGTTTTTGTTTTTGTTGTTGTTATTGCTGTGGTTTGTTTTCCTTTATTTTATTTGCCTAGTATCTGTTTTACTTTTGATTTTATTTTCCGAACTGAATTTTTACTCAACTTTTTCTAACAGTACAATGAATACTTTGTGCAGTGTGTGATATATGTTTCAAATTATAACAGATATATGGCTTTAATCTAAATTATGACACTCTTTTATCACTCTTTTTTAAGGTAAAGCTCTTCCACAAATCTAGTTGATCTGGTGAGTGACAGAAATTCAAATACTCAGGCTTCTAGAATTCCATAAATATTCTCTTTCTGCCATTGGAATTATGTTCTGCCATATTTTCATAAAATTTTTGCTGCTTCAAGGCTGAGACACACCACTAAAATTAAAAAGATGGTGATTTTTTCTTTATATTCTTAAATACTGTAAATTTAAAAAATGATAGTTTACTTTATGTATACCAAAACAATGTCTTAAAATTAAAAATTACCATAAAAACAAGCACACATATACATATACATGCATATTTGTGTATGTATATATATGTGTATGTATATATATATGTAGAAATATATTCCTTTTTGTCACATCTATGGGGATTAATAAATAATGCTGCTGTTGATAAGCCATGTAAATATTTATTTTCTATGGTCATATATTTATTTAAAATGCTCTCCTTAAAATAAGCATTCATGATAAGATAGTTGGTAAATTTTTAATGCTGTACGATTTGACTGTTATTGACAATTCTTTCATCAATGTGCATTGGCAGTGCCTTCTGTCTTCTGCCTTCAATGTTCAACACTCTGAGGTATGTTGAATCACAAAGAGGTACAAATGGAACTGCATTATCTCCATATTGATGCACATTGGGCTGTGGGTGAAGGTAAAGGTGAAACCATGTGTTCCAGCAAGAAGCCAGATGCCCCTGTGAGAGCAGATGTATTTGTTCCTACACATTTGGGGACATTTGCCAATTCATAAATATAACGTTAATTAGATTAAACACAACACTTGAACTAAAATTCTTATAGTACAATACTGCAAACTCCAGAGCCTACAACTCAATAACTGTAATGATCAAACTTCTACTTGAACAATGTTTTCATAATACATTTTCATTTTAAATTCTGACTGCAAAACCAAAACTTAGAAACTACTTTTCCTTTGAGGAGGTCAAGTGGATTTTTGTTTAATCTCAGAATGATTTTAAGAATCGTTAGTGAGACAATCAAGTTGTATATTAATATAAATGTTCAGGGTACACTATAAAACATCAAGAAGTAAGAACACAATTTACTCAGTATTTCAAGGTAATACTGCTAGGATACAAGGGAATTGGGTTTCTCATTGTTCTTGTACAGTATCCTAATCTCTTAAGACTATATATATATATATATATATATATATATATATATGTATATATCTGTGTATATATACTGTAAAATTAGTGACTGTTTGCTTTGACTTCTCCTAGAACATGTTTACATACCATAAAGTTCAGATTTGCAGTTATTTGTTTACATTTTTCTTATCTCCCCAAGATCCAAATAATTACATCCTGGGATATGTAGCTAAGTTAGTGCAGAAGGTAACTGGGAGACTGGGGAATTGTCTTCCTACACATGCAAATTCCAGGGAGACATCTAGTGAAAATACCTGGGGCTCTGTTGTTCCTGACGATATTTTATTTATGTTTTAACAACAAAAGAACTGGAGTCAGAAAGAGATCCCTTCTGGAGAGTGGGGGTATGGGTGTCTCCTATACCTTAATAAACAGAAAAAAATTGTTTCCTCTTTTCTAGCCTGTGGAGGGTCTTGCAACTTGCCTTGGACAATTGACTAGTCTCTCATCACATCGCCATAGGAGTAACTCCCAGGGCAAAGGGAAACAGATGCACTCATCATTTACTGTGTAGTATTTAAAAACTGTCTCTGACCCAGAACACCAAATGGACCCATTTAGGATAAAAAATATAAATACAGAAAATTAAAAAAACAACACAAATAAATATTTGGGTTCAAATAATTTCAACAAAGGGATTATAATTTGCTGAGTGTCAGTCATTCAAAGATATTCAAGTAGAATTTGAATAATGGTAATAATTACAAAAATAATATAATATCCCCCAATTTTAGTATTTATGCCAAGAACTGTGCCATACTTATTATTAGAACTTTTTATCATATGTACAACAAATCTCTATTTCGCAGATGTAGTAACCTAATTTTTGGATCTAACGTGAGTCTTCAACTCCCTCAAAATGTTTTAGCTAAACATTCTTTTACATAGTGCACTACAGCTTTTTTTCTATAATGATATTCTATCTCTTCTCTTTGCTAATACTTACCAAAGTTTACCATTATTTCATTAAAAGGTTGATTTTTAATTGAACGTCAATACCTCCCCCAAAATAATGCAAGGTCCAATAAGTAAAAACCTTATATGACTTTTCTAACATTTTATTTTCATAGCTAGCACTGTGGCTTTGTCCATTCTACACTCGTTATCCTTTTTGAATGAATGAATGTATAAACGAGACCTACAGGTATTAAATAACCTTCTCATATTCCCACAACTACCAAGAGACAAAGCAGGAATGCGAGCCTGTCTCACTACAAAGCCTGCTTCTTCATCATTTTACAAAATGGTTTTGCCCAAACATTTTGTAATCTTGGGTTTCAAATATGAGTACCATCTTAAACTCTTACTCTTTTGGCTTTCTTAGGGAGTCTAAATGACTCCCTCACTTTTTTTCTGGCAGTTTTCTATGCTAGCCATGATGTAAAAGTGTCCCATACCACCTCAGCTACTCACACATACATTTCAAGATTTTCTCCACTGGGATAGCTGACTGGAACATGAGAGGCATTCTTTGAGAATTACAGTAGAGTTGAAGTTTTCTTCATTGGCAGTGAAGTGACAAAGTGGTAATTTACATGTCTTCTGTTTTTTTCTTTCTTTTTCCTTTTTTTAAATTTCCATTTTATTGCCAAGTTTTTACTCTAAGAGAGTGCAGGGGTAACATATGCTGGGCCTTGCATGTGACTTTCCCTTGGGTGTTTTCTGTTTGATTTTGCATGGTGACATGGAGTTCTGGCAATGAATGGCAGTGGTCCTTGGAAATATGAGAAAATGGTACAAATACTTTGCAACTAACTAAAAATCTGTGGTGTTGACATCTGCTTAATATAGGTAGTAATTTCACAAGTTGGTAGCAGACCACCTCTAAGCAGCAAGGGCATGGTGCTGCCTCTTTAAATAATTATGACGTGTAGTGGCATGGATATAAACTTGGAGGTTATCCAAATAGAGTCATAAAATGTGTTAATTGGTATTGAGGATTAGAATGCAGTAAATCAAAATTTACAATGCTATTTTACAATGGAAGTAACTTTTCTACTCCAAAGCCTAAAAATGCCCCTGAATATTAGGAGAAAAATGTTACTAGGTTTCAATTATTCTTGCAACTTTAAAATATTATAGGTTGTATTCATATTTAGGAATGTTATATAAGTGACTTTTAATTCACATATTTAGTTAACAGATACAAAGGAATAGTATCATTGTACAATTATTAACTATTTGAGGATTCTATCTAAATATGGAATAGTGACTTATGAAAACACTCAGAAATTACACTGAACCACTGTCATATAAATCAAGATACTGGCATAATAAATATTACAACTTTTATGTGTACATGCATACATTTTTGTCCCCCATAAAAAATGACAAAAAGATTTTAACAGATCAATAAATAGTGAATGTAATGTTAATATAATTGTAATTATATTTGTTTGCACTACATCATAGAAAAGTCTATGAGCTGAGGTTTTAAAATTATTATTAGGGTAAATTAACAAAAAACAAGAGTTAATTTTATTGTTTCACAACACATACAATTTTGAATCCATGAAATCCTGTGTTTAAAGGGAAGTTGAGAAAGATGTTTAATTAAGTATAATTTTGAAAAAGATAAGCTAAATTAAAACTGATGATAGAAAATCAATATGATTTTCATGGAATTCTACTAGAAACTAATGAGAATTTAATACTTCAAATTGTCATACTAAAAATCTAATTTTACATTTGAATTAGCAGTAAAATTCAAGATGATTAAAATTATAAAATCTGTGCTTCTATAAAAAATTGAATATATTACTTCAGAAGTAATAGTAATGAGATACTTTATTCATAAATCTTAAAAGAAATACTTATTTTCAGACTGTTAGAGTTTCTGATACATAATAAACATTATATAAAACTAATTATTCATTCATTAGTAGATGGAAATTTGGGTTGTGTTCACTTTTGAGCTACTGTGAATAATGGTGCCATTAATATTTGTGAGAATATTTTTATATGGACCTATGTTTTCATTTCACTTGAGTATATAACTACGAGTGGAATTGATGGTTCATGTGGTATCTCCATATTTCACATTTTGAGAAAGTGCCAAATTGTTTTCCATTTCACAATTTTACCTTATAAACGTTACCAGAAATGTATGAGGGCATCAAATATTCCACATTCTCACTGGTTATCATTTGTATTTGACTTTTAGTCATCATAGTGAGCATGAAGTGATAACGTATTGTTGTTATGATTTGCATTTGCCCAATAAATAATGATGTTCATGTGATTGTCAGCTATTTATGTATTTTATTTGAGAAATGACTATTCAAACCTTTTGCTCATTTTTAAATGAGTTATTTGGCTTTTTATTATCCAGTTATAGAGTCCTTAACCTATTCTGGATAACAGTTTCTCATCAGATATCTGATTTGCAAATATTTTCTTCCACTCTGTGGTTGATTTTTCACTTTCTTTATAGTATCATTTACAGCAAAAAGGTTTTAAATTTTTGATAACGTCTCTACTTTTTTCTTTGTCCTTATGACTTTGGTATCATGTCTAAGAAATCATTGCCTAATTCAAGTTCACAAATGTTTACTGCTATGCTTTCTCCTGAGAGTTTTATACATTTAGATCTATGATCCATTTTGAGTTTATTTTTGTGCATTGTGTAAGGTATAGTTCCCACATCAGTCTTTTGCTTGTGATACCAGTTGTCCCAAGACCAGCACCTGAAAATACTACTATTTCTCCAATTGAATTTTCTTGTGAAACCAAAAGACTGGCAGCTGGTGTACATCTTTTTCCTTCAAGGCTCAAGGGTTAGCTTTTTAGAGAGAAAGGCAATCCTAATCATAAACCTGACTGAATTTGTACAAAACCTTAGAGGTAACCAATCTCTGCCTGTGTTAAATCATAGTACTTACTTTTCTTCCTTACTAATACATGACTTTTGTGGCATATTTTTTCCAGATTAGGGTACTTTTGTTTGCATTAAATACTCATTCAGGCAAATATTCTATCTTCTCAATGACTTTCTTAATGACATATGGAAACTCATCTGTTACTCTTGGTTAGCAGGAACTGCTTCTCCTGTTATATTGACATTTTTTTCAGCCAAACCTCTTTCTAAAATTATCAAACCATCCTCTGGGATTAAATTCTCCAGCTTTAGATTCATCTTCTTTTGCTTTAACTTGTCACAGAATGACTTTGCTTTTTCTGGAATTATACTAGAGTTTATAGATATACATTTCTTATAGCAATACTGCATCCATATTATAGCTGCAATTTTAATACAAAATAAAAAGGTATTTAGCAAAAAGAGCAAGATTTTTGTGTCTGTTAGCATAGCTGCAATGACAGCTACAAAAATTGTTTTCTTTTCCTTTTTTTTTTTAAGTAGTCCTTATGTTGAATTCATTTCTCTTGAAATGGTGGGCAAGTGCGTTTGTAGGCTTCAATCTACAGTACATATTAAGGAATTCAAGCTTTTTTTTTGTAATGTCATGGCTTTTCTCTGCCTCTTGGGAGCACTTTCATCATCGCTAGTGGCACTTTATCTAGGTCTCATGGTGTTATTCAAGGTTTACAGTACTGGATTAAATAGGATGAAAGATACGTGAGAACTGTGAGAGATCACTTTTTATTGTGATAAGTAATTTACTAGAGAGAGACTGATCATGCAGAGATGATTAGTGTCACGTGGTGTTTAAAGTGAATCATCAGAGCACTTGAGCTCACTGCAGTAGCAACAGAAGTGACTATAAAATCATAGTAGTACAGTATGTACTGCAGTTAATTTATGCAGTTATAATTCAATACTGCATCTTTATGCTTGTTTACATTTCTTCTCAACCAAGAATGGTACCATGCATGATCTGTGTTTGTGTGTATAATTTTTAATAAATTATAACTTTACATAATATCTATATTTTATATTACATAAGAAAATAGACTAGTATTTACATATATTTTATGCATTCATGACATCTCAAACTTCTCAATTTTTTTGATATTTCTATGACACATGATTTTTCTATAAAAAATTTTCAAACAGCTGAAATCTCCCAAAATTTTTCTACATTTTTAAAATTTGCATATAAGTAAACCTAAATATAATAAGCTCAAGCCCCCACCTTTTTTTGCCATAGCCATAATCTCTTCCCTAATTTTTTTGATTGGCCTGTCATAAATCCTGCAAAGGCCTGCACAACATCTGGACACAGGTTTCTTTAGCAGAAGTTTATTGTTTTGGGCGTGATGGCTTTCACAGCTTTCCTGTAACAATGGCCTCTTCAATTGTGTAATTTTTCCTGAATTTCAGGTTCAAGAATCAACTGTATACTGTATTTTGCTGTATTTTAAGTTCAACAATATAAGTATAAATATATATTGCAATACTAATGCAAGTAAATATGTAATTTATTTTAAAATCATTTAAGAAAAAAGATATGTATGTATTAAAATACTGTATCTGTGATTAGTGACATAATTTTTATTGTGTGATATTTCTAAGGTTCTTTTTCCTCCGTGTGTGTATGTGTGTGTGAGCATGTGCACACACATGCATATGTGTATGTAATCAAACTACTGTCTGGTGTCACTTGGTTTTAACCTGAATAAATCATTTCAGTATTCCTTATCTCTAACACTTCTAATACCAGGCTATTTCACCTTTTGATTAATTAGGGATTCCTTTATTTTGGCTTCATTTTTGAAGACAGTTTGGTAGATAAAGTATTCTTGCTAGGCATTGTTTTTTGTTAGTTTGTTTGATTGTTTTGAACTTTTTAGCACTTTGAGTATGTTATCCCTTTGCCTATTGGTCTCAATTATTTATGTGGAAATATCAGCTATGGATTTTATTTAGCATTCCTTGTATGTGGTGACTGATTTTTCTCTTTCTGCTTTCAAGATTTTCTCTTTGGCTTTTAACATTTTGACTACAGTATAATGTAGATATTGATATATTTGCATGTGCCTTATTGAAGGCCATTGGTCTTCTTGGATGTGCAGATTAATATTTTTTATTATATTAGAGGGTTTAGAGAAATTAATTTGAATTTTTTTCTCTAATCTTTTCTTTCTCTCTTTCCTTTTGGTGTACCATGTGTGTTGGTCCCCTTAACAGTGTTTTACATTAATCAGAGGATCTATTCATCTTTCTTAACTTGTTTACTCTGTTCTTCGGATTGTATAGTTGTTCTATATCATATTTGGTGACTTTCCTGTCAGTTCTAAACTAATTTTAAGACACTATCAAAATTTTTATTTTTGTTATCATACTTTTCAATGGTAAAATTTTCATTCAGTTCATTCTTATAATTTATATGTTTGTATTTATATTCTTTTTTACATAAGATATTGTCATCATATATTTTTACTTATACATGGTCTATTTTAGTTTTCTGATTATACTAATATGTATAAAGCTACTTTAAAAATCTTCTTCTACCAAGTTCAACATCTGGGCCTCATCTAAAGCAACTTTTATTACCTGCTTTTTTCTGTGTATGAATCACACTTTCCTCCTTTTCATAATTTTTTGGTTGTTAAAAATCTTTACATTTTTATATTTTGTATCATTACTGTTCTGGATACTTCTCCTCCCTCTCCCCATGAAGGTTAATGTTTTTGCTGCTATAGTTTTTGTTTGCTTTGCCTTTTATTTATTTGCTTAATGGTTTTGCATAACTCAGTATGCAAAATTTGTTCTTCCACAAATACGAAGTCCTTGATACCTCTGTTTAAATTCTGTTTTTGTTTTATGTTTTACCTAGCAGTCACTGTGGGTCAATGTAAGATACATATTGATGAAGGGTTGTATCTAAGACCCTTTGGTTCATTCTTTCCATTTTATTTTTACTAGTTGTACTGTATTTACACTGGTAGAGTATATAGCCATCATATTCTTTATAGTATTCCCCATAACCTTTAATTTTCTTAGATCTGTGAGAAAACGTGTATTAATTCTCACTATTAGTATTTTGTGCTTAAGTATTTCCAGGCCTTATATGTTTCTCTAGTAGATTAGTGATGAAAGACCCATGGAAAGAATACTTCCTGAGCTCTTGTATGGTCATCACATATATTTTTAGTAATGTTTATACATAAAGCTTATCATGAGGATTAAAATGCTTGTTCTACATTAATTTATCTATGGATGTATAAATAGTGCTACATTGTCTTGTAGCACAAAATATTGCTATGAAAAACTATAATGAATTAAATTTACTTATCTTTTAATGGCCTGATTGTAATCCCCGAACATCGAAAATAATTGTCTTTTTTATTATTTAAGAGTATTTTAAATAATTAAAATAATAATTTTTTAAACTTAAGTTTTAAAAACTAATTTTTATACAAATTTTAATATTTTTATCACAAAATATTCAGACTGATTTTCCCCTCATATGTTCTTCCAATTGGTAGTTTCAAGTTCTTCTCATTTCAGTAAAATTTTTCAATTGTTGCCTTTATGTTTGCTCGTATTGTATTGCTTTTGGCATCTTTGTTTTTCCAGAGGTGTGTGATCTTCTCTATGATTCTCACCTCCTAGTATCCATTTTCTTATTTAATCCCATCTGCTTGAGTATGGGTGAGGTTTGTGATGTACATCTAACAAATACATGGCAAAGGTGATGAGATATCATTCCCATTATTTTATTTATTATATTAATTTTATTGTATTATATTTATATTCTATTCTATTGCAATAAAGATGAAATGTCATTACATTATATAAGGAACCCTCTTACTAGTAGAATTACCTTGGAATCTTTGAATAAGCAAGTTTCTTTGAATCCTACAGCCACAAGGAAATAAATTCTACAAACAGCTTGAGTGAGCTTGGAAACAGACCCTTTCCCAGCCAATCCTTTAGTTGAGAAACTAGCTACATCTAATACCTTGATTGAATTCTTGCACAAGTCCTGCACAGGACCAGCTAAGCAATGCCCAGACTTCTGACACACAAAAAAACTGTAAGATAGTAAGTGTATGTTGTTTCAATTCTCTAAATTTGTTATGCAGTATAGATTACTTTCGGCAGGATAGGTAAGAAGCTTTTATGAAACATATGCTGTGTTAATTCTGCCTGCCTTCAGTAACTTTGTCTTTTTAAAAAATGTTTTAAATATCTAGAAACATCTTATATATATATATATATAAAATCATTATTCATTGTTTCATTATTTGCTATTGCATTTCTTATAACTTGGTGTTTATTTATGAAATATATCTATTACCTTAGATATAAATATTTTCTCTCTTCTAACAATTCTTGCAAAAATCTTTCATTTTTTCAAATGATCTCATTAATGCTTTTTTCTAATTATGATTTATACTGTTTTGATTTTTCATAGCTTCTATGAATTAATTATTTTATGTAATTAATTACTTTTAACTTGCTTTAAAATATCAAAACAAAGTTCTGTTTATTTGCAGGCATCTTATTTGGCATGTATTTATGGTCTGAATTGACATTAGTCTGCACTTATTTCATTTTTTAAAATAATGTTTATGGGATTCATTTCAATCTATGTTGCTCAGGATGAACTAAGAGTTTTCCAGTACTTTTAAAATAGTAGGGCAGCTTTGCTAATTTCAAAAATCTAGAACTCTCTCTTCTATTGTTTTCTCGAAGTGTTGATGAATACAGTGTTCTCTTCTCTGAATTCACTGACTGTATCACTTATAAATTTTCACCTTGACATTCTCCTTTTAATGCTTCTATTGTGCTGTCTTGCTCAATCTATATTCTATTTTTAGCAGTTTCTCCTCCATGTAGATCTTTGTCCTGGAAGGGAGGCTTAGTTGGTTAGTTAGATTCTGTGCTCCTGTGGTCCTCTGCTCATCTGCACCTGTTCTCATTGGGAAATCCTTGCCCAAGTTTTGCTGCCATTCCCAGATTGGTGTGCCAAAGTTTCCTGTGGGTATGTGTTGAAATATATGTCATTTTAGGACATTCAGGACTGTTGAAAATTCCTTTCTCTTGCTTTATCTTTGACTTCTTCCTGCGCAGTTGCTGATCACACACAGTACACAGA
This sequence comes from Homo sapiens, assembly GCF_000001405.40. NCBI lineage: Eukaryota > Metazoa > Chordata > Mammalia > Primates > Hominidae > Homo > Homo sapiens. Next base: position 104,987,500 of record NC_000001.11, on the reverse strand, counting down.
GCTGTCAGTTTGCCCACTGACTCTTGACTCTTATTTTTGGCTTTGTGGTCATTATGTTCCTGATACATGTTTTCTGTTTCTGTGAAAGTTTGTGTCTGAGCATGTTTCACTTGCTATCTTAGTTTCTCTGTGTGTTACACATTTGATCTAACAAATTACTTCAAACTTGGTGACTTAAAACAAGAGAAATGTTTTATCTCACAGATATGAAAGGAAAGCCACAAGTCCAAAATCAATGTGTCAGTGAGGCTGTGTTCCCTCCAGAGGCTCTATGGAAAATTGAATTGTTTGCCTTTTCCAGCTTCTGGTCACTGTCTGTGTTCCTTGACTTGTGACTGCTCACCAACCTCATTTTACAGAATCTTCTAAATTATCAGTTATTTGAGAACATAAATCATATGTTATGATTTTTACTCTTTTGCAGGTTTAATAGCTTCAACATATTCATCACTCAGGGGATAATGTTTAATAAATAATCATTAAGCTCTACGAATGTAATTGTCAATGAGTTCTTATAAAATATCAAGCTATAACCCATGGAGTTTTCAAATTAAGAAAGAATGCCTTATTTCTGTGTCATAGTTGTTTCTCTTATTAACCTAATTTCCTAAATTCCTTGGATATGAATATCAATCAATACAGTTCATATAGTTTCAAAAATTGTGGGTAGTGGGAATTAGGGTGCATGTCATGCATAAGTACAGGCCTATGCAAAAATCCTAAGGGCTTCCTCATCTATTCCTCTAGGAATACGGAGAGTTTCTAAATGAGACAAGGGACAAGTAGAGCTCACAGTCATTCATAAATTACCCTACTATATCAAAGTGAATATCGATTTTCCTGTGTTTATATTTGAACTCGATCCCAAAGTTATCATGGCTGTTTGAAAACTTAAAATATTATATTGTATTTGCTAGTGTAGCTTCAATACATTTGAAATGTTAGTCTCTGGTTTTCAGGGTATAGCGAACAGATATAATTTATTTAACTTTCTCCCATTTTTCCCACCTGCCTATAAAAAAATGGAAAGGGAGGCTGCAAGAGTTTCTTCTTAAAGTGAATGTGTTACAAAGATCACTTGGATTAGAGTCTATGATTTTGAAATTAATATCGTATAAATATTTTATGTCATACACTTCTTTATATCAGATTTCCTGCCAAGATGGCTACTAAAATATTCTATAAGAGAAACACTATATGTTAAGTACATAATGATTATTACAAACATAAACATGCATTGCTTATACTTAGTTTTATTAATCTTTTCTTTTTTTTCCTGTGTTTTATTCATGAGCTAGGTTATCGCTAAGGGCAATAAATACTAACAGAATAAAAGTAATTAATTGAATGTATTATCTTGAATACATATAATGTCTTTGTCTAAGTAAACGTTTAAAGTGAATCTTATCAAATTCATTTTAATTAATTTAATATTTATGTACTTCCATTGTGCTATAAGTACCTACAAAACACTTGATATGAAAAAAGTAACAGATTTGGCACTTGTTCTCGTGGTATCAAAATTATGTAAGTATTTGAGGCTATTACCTCTATTGCTTGTACATATGTCTAATTTACTAGGGAAATAATTAAAATCAATAGGTAATATAATACACCCAATTCTTAAGGAATATATTTTAGGAATAACAAACAAAAATCAGTAGCAATTTATGTATGTCAAGACCAAACAAACTTAAAAGAAATCAAGAAAGCAACCTCAACTACAGTAGCTATAAAAATAAAAAATACCTGGAAATAAATGTAACCTAAGTAGTAAAAGATCTCTCCAGGGAAAACTATAAAACACCAATGAAAGAAATTTAAAAAGATGCAAAAAAAATGGAAAGTTATCCCATGCTCATGGATTTGAAAAATTAATGTTATTAAATAATGTCAATACTGGCCAGGCACCGTGGCTCACACCTGTAATTCCAGCACTTTGGGAGGCCAAGGTGGGTGGATCTCCTGAGGTCAGGAGTTTGAGACCAGCCTGGCTAACATTGCAAAACCCCATGTCTACTAAAAATACAAAAATTAGCCGGACATGGTGGTGGGTGCCTGTAATCCCAGCTACTTGAGCAGCTGAGGCAGGAGAATCCCTTGAACCTAGGAGGTGGAGGTTGCAGTGAGTAGAGATTGCAGCATTTGCGCTCCAGCCTGGGTGACAAGAGTGAAACTCCTTCTCAAAAGAAAAAAAAGTCAATACTACACAAAATGATCTAGCATCAGTGGGATCCCTGCTGTATTATCAATTATAATTTTTAATATTAATATTCATTCAGTATTCTTCACAGAAATAAAAAAGCCAAATTTCACATGAAACCACAAAAGACCCCAAATAGACATAGCAATCATATGCAAAAAAAAAAAAAAAAGCTAGAGGCATCACACTACCTGACTTCAAAATATACTAAAAAGCTATGGTAAACAAAACAGCATGGCATTGACATTAAAAGAGATACACAGAGAAGCAGAACATAATGGAGAACCTAGAAATAAACCTACATATTCACAGCCAGCTCATTTTCAACAAAGACACCAAAAACATACATAAGCAAAAGAGTAGTATTTTCAATAAATGATGCTAAAAAAAACTGGATAACCATATGCCAAAAAAAAAATGAAGCAAGACACCTATCTCTCATCATACACAAAAATTAACTTAAAATGGATGAAACACTTAAATATAGGACTTGAAACTATGAAAGTACTAGAAGAAAACATTGGTAAAACATTTTAGGATATTGTAAGTGAAGAATTTGTATAAGACCTCAAAAGGACAGACAAAAAAATAGACAAATGACGTTACTTCGAGCTAAAATGTTCAGGACAGCAAAGGAAACAATCAATAATGTTAAGAAACAACATCACAGAATGGGAGAAAATGTTTGCAAGTTACCCATCTGAAGGGGCATTAATAACTAGAATATATAAGGAATTCAACCAACTCACTAGGAAGTAATAATAATAATAATTTCATTTTAAAATGGGTAAAGTGTATGAATAGACATTTCTTAAAAGAAAACATACAAATAGTCAACAGGTATATGAAAACTGTTCAACATCACTCATCATCAGGAAAATGCAGGTCAAAATCACAGTGAGATATTATTTCACTTCAGTTGAAATGGCTTTTATCAAAATGTTTTACGTAATAGATATCTCAATTAGCCTGATTTGGTAATTATGAAGTGCACTCACATATCAAAATATCTCAATTACCCCAAATTATGTGCAATTATTATGTATCAATGAAAAACTATATTCTGTTAATATTAGATGGCTAAATGCAGCAGATGAGAAGCTATTTAAGAGTATATATAGGTTTTCCCATTCCTACTCTTGATGTATTTCTAACATTAATGGAGAAATGACAGAGGTACAGAATTGTTAGGCAATACAAACTGTGTTACTTCAGTGACATTTTCAAATGCATTAGTTGTGGGTAAATTTATTAAATGACCTAATATTTGTATTAGTCCATTTTCACACTGCTGATAAGACATATTTGAGACTGGGCAATTTACAAAAGAATGAGAGGTTTAATGGACTTAAGTTCCACATGGCTGGGGAGGCTTCACAATCATGGTGAAAGGCAAGGAGGAACAAGTCCCATCTTACATGGATGACAGCAGGCAAAGAGAGAGAGCTTGTAAAGGGAAAATCCCCTTATTTAAAACCACCAGACCTCGTGAGACTTATTTACTATCATGAGAACAGCACAGGACAGACCCACCCTCATTAGTCAATTATCCCCCACTGGATCCCTCCCACAACACACAGAAATTCAAGATGAGACTTGAGTGGGAACACAGCCAAACCGTACAAGTATTCAATGTCAGTTATCACTGCCCCATAAGCAAAATAGGAATATTTTTGGAACTTGATAGAGCTATAGAATTCTAATTATTTACAATGTATCTTATTATTTCCTTGTTTTTAGGAACAAAACACATTTAATTTTTTAGCTGAAAGTTTGCTAGTTAGAAGTAATAATCACTAACACAAGAGTAATGGCAGTAACATAATCACTTGAAAAATAAAGAAGATTTGGAGAACTAAGTAAAAACAAAGTGTTATTAACTCAGAGAGAAAATGATTTTAATATCCCTGTAGTGAGCATGTGGTTTAATTATATGCCTTTGAATCATTCAGATGCTGATACTACAATCTCACAATAAATAAAATATAGATGTATTTTATTTTATATTTATTTAGGTTTTACTTAAAACATGGATATAGAAAATCAAGTTCTGAAAAAAAATCCTAAATGTGTCTCAGTATAATAAATTTATTCCAACTTAAGAAAATATAAAATATTGTTCAAGATTATGACAGACACAGGTGGTATTTAATTCCGGTTAAATTATTCTCTCTATAAGAAATAAAGTCATCCAAAGCTAAATTTCCCATAGGGTTTTCTTGAAAGAAGATTTGTACAAGGTATATATAGTTAAAAATATTACTAGTTGAACATGTAAAATAATGATTTATTTGCTGAGAAAAAAACACATTAGTTTTTATTATGACTTAAATGGTGAAATGAGATTTGGAAGCCCTTTGCGTTTCTATTAGACAGATTGATATGAAGTTGGTTATGAAGTAACTTATTCATATTTTAATCTCATTTTCATATACTTAATTGTACCTTAAAGTTACAATCTAGTACTATTGATAAATCTGGCAATTTAGACAATTGTGGAGAGTATTATTTTTAACCATTCTAAATGAAAACCCAGATCTTGGAGTTAGACCAAATCTAAAACCTGTTCCATTACTTTAAAGGACATCTATATTGTCACTTTTGGAATTTATCCATACATCTTACAAAACCGTCTTTGAGGGAATTGCTTTTTTCCAACTTAAGCTACAGGATTCTAGTGGGGACTGCTAATTGGTTTACATTACATCTCTGACACATGAGTAGCCGCATGATTTGATTGGGGCCACCCAAAATTCTTATCCAGTACCTTTCAATTCTTATTCAGTACTAAACTAAAGAAAAAAGAATTCATCCACTTGTTAGTGAAGCTGGAAAAATGTAAGTCTGGCAGCCATCAGTGCCCATGATTCAGGCTTAGGTTAAAAAGACAGCATGATAAAAACCAAACCAGGGGAAAACAGAAAAGAAATGAAAATAAGAGAATCATATTTTATTTATTTATTTATCTATTTATTTAATTATTTATTTATTTTGAGACAAAGTCTTGCGCTGTCACCCAGGCTGTAGTGCAGTGGCATGATCTTGGCTCACTGCAAGCTCTGCCTTCCGGGTTCAAGAAAGTCTCCTGCCTCAGCCTCCCGAGTAGCTGGGATTACAGGTGCATGCCACCATGCCCGGCTAATTTCTGTAGTTTTTTAGTGGAGACAGGGTTTCACCATGTTGGCCAGGCTGGTCTTGAACTCCTTGCCTTGTGATCCGCCCACCTCAGCCTCCCAAAGTTCTGGGATTACAGGCGTGAGCCGCCGTTCCCTGCCAAGAATCATATTTTAATTCCACTGAGCAAAGGAATCTATGCCCCTACCCTTCCTCCCATTGATTATGCAAGTTAATAATTGTTTCCGAATTTATTTTGTTTTTGTTTTAAGTTGGTTAAAGTTTAGTTTCTTTCTCTTTACAACATGTGACTTCTGACAAAAAACTTAATGTCTCACTCTTTCACTTATACAATTATTGTAATATTTGAATCAGTAAACCTGTTTTCCTTTTTTTCATCTGTTTCGGCTCTCAGAAAACTTGATTCTTTGAAGTAACAGAAAATTTGACTCAAACTGGCCCAAATAATTTGGAGTGTCTTTGGATCACTGCAGATTCCAGAGGAGGGCTGCTTCAAATAGATAATCCAGCAGCTCAATTACATCATCGAAATTCCATTTTCTTCTTTTTTCTACTCCAATCTTCATAGGGTCAGTTTCATCCAAAAAAAAAAATCTTGTTACTGGTTGTAGCATTTTTTTTTTTCATGTGCAGTAGAGAGAAAAAAATGTATCATCATCTGTGAATTTTCTTAATAAAGGTCTGAAAGTCCTATCTCTACTTTTGTAATTCATTTTTCTCGTATTAAGTTATTCTGTATATATAAAATATCCTTTTCACATGAATTAAAAAAATAGTTAAAAATTAGTTTTCCACCACAGATTATTTCTTTAGGTCACAAACTAAATTCAGAAAACCAAGCTCTGAGGTAGAATGGATGAGATGTGCTGTTGTTTTGTCCTTCATCATCTGCCTCACTTACGTGCTTTCATAATTTTTTGAAGGGGGCGTAAAATACTGTAATAATGGAAATTATTTAGCCTTTAAAACATGTAACTTTTTGTTAGTTACCTCAATTGCTATAGCAGTCAACAATATGCTCAATAAATTGCCAAATCATCTGGTCAAAAATATAAAATTGCCAGTTGACTTTTTCTTTGTTTCTAAAGCATTAGTATGCTTTTCTCAATTGTTTAAGTTATCTCAATATTTTAATATCATATTTAGTTCAATGTGTGGTAAAGAGAAAGATGCATCATCCAAATAACCCTTTAAGAGAGACTTGCTGTTCCAGCTATCAGCAGACTGCTTTCAGATCTCAGCTCTTCAGGCCTTGCCTCGGGTACAGAAAATTACCTTGTAGAAGGGCACACCCCCATCCAATGACCAATTAAGGTGTATACATAAAGGGTTAATAATTTCGGTGAAACATAGGACATTTCTAATGGCCACATATTTTTCAAATCTGTCTGTAATGTTGGCTGAATCTGCATTGAGCCTGTACTGATCAAGGGAACCATAACAAAAGTTTGGATAGAAAAATATTTACTGATATGTGAACTTTCTCCCAAAATACACGATTTAAATAGCTGGTAAAGACTCCTGGAGATAATGAAAACTGACTACATAAAAACATGATGGTTCTTGGGCCAGTTTCTGTACTCCATTCACTTTCCAAATTCAGAATCTACTGACAGAAAAGGAGCTAGGTCCCCTGGAAGAAGAATGCAGCACCACCATTGAGAGTATGCCACTAATGAATACCCAGTGCTTGCACAAACATATCTATGGTCATTTACTTGAGTTCCTTCACAGGGCAAAATAAAATAAATATTTGGAGGCCTGTTGGACACACAGACAGACCTAATTATTGCTTTAGTATTTATGGCACATACTAAGTATGGCAATCCCAATTATACATTTAGGGATTGTAAAAATGACCACCAGGTAGGTTGATGGCTTTAGCAGATCCACAATAAGCTGAAGCTTAAGCAGGAATCAGTTGAGTCATGAATCCACCTAGTGGTCAATTTCACAATCCCTAAATAATAATTGGTATTGGCATACTTAGTATTTGCCATATCTCCCAAATTGATGACTTGATCTGTTGGGTAAGATCTCTCACAGTCCAGAAAGTAAAATGAAGGCATGGAAAATGCTACTCTGCCAATATAGTAAATAGAAACCAATAATGCATCCTGGGACAGACAACATAAATTAATATGGATTTGAAGGATTTAGAGATGATGGTTTCCATCATATCTCCATTTGATTCACAGGTCTGGCCCATCCAGAAACCAATAATGCATCCTGGGACAGACAACATAAATTAACACGGATTTGAAGGATTTAGAGATGATGGTTTCCATCATATGTCCATTTGATTCACAGGTCTGGCCCATCCAGAAACCAGATGGATCCTGGAGGTTATCACCAACTCAGACAGGCAGCAGCACTCACTGCTGGGCTAGCTAGGTATTGTTTGCTAGAACAGATTGTTAAGGACTTGGGTGTGGGAAAGCAGCTTTGATTTGGTGAGAGCATTTGTTTGTATTATTATCAGAAAGGAGAATAATTAGAAACAATTCTTATTTACATGGAATACGTAATAACGCAGATGTACAATTTTGTCCCAGGGTTATATTATCTCTTTCGATCTCCATCATTTTAGAGTACCAAGAAATCTGGACAATATGGTTATTCCACACAGTGTCAGATTGAACAACTATATCATATTACTAAAGTTGAGTAATCAAGAAATACCAGCTGGGCACAGTGGCTCATGTCTGTAATCCCAGCACTTTGGGAGGCTGAGGCGGGCGGATCACAAGCTCAGGAGTTTGAGACCAGCCTGACCAACATAGAGAAACCCCGTCTCTACTAAAAATACAAAATTAGTCAGGAGTGGTGACACAGGCTTGTAATCCCAGCACTTTGGGAGGCTGAGGAAGGAGTATCGCTTGAACCCGGGTGGTGGAGGTTGCGTGAGCCAGGATGCACCACTGCACTCCAGCCTGGGCAACAAGAATGAAACTCGGTCTCAGAAAAAAAAAAAAAAAAAGAAAAGAAAAGAAAGAAATACCTAGCACAATAGAGGCCCTAGTAATGCAAATTAATTCACAGAGAGTGAGATAAACTATATGAAGATCAGCATCCTGACACATCGCATTTAGTGGAAGTAAACAGCATTTTCTTTCAAGCTCCATAATCATATAGATGATAAACAGACATCCTTAAATTTGAATGTAATGCACATATATTTGAAAAATTAAGTTTCAAGAGAAAATGCTTTGTAAGGGAGCAAAAATAACTTGAAATAACAATATTTGCATAATTTGCTATTGTTGTTCTAAACAGAACATTAAGATCTGATCTCTTTGGTTTTTAAATGAGTCTCTATTGAATTACACATTTTAATGACTTAGAAATATAGATTCTTTTAGCAGTTGAATTTGACTGCTTGTGGTATTAATCAATGTATGAAATCAACTTTAAATTTTATATAATTAGAATTGCTTGAAGGAGAATTAAAGATTTTCCAAAAAGAAAATAATTAAACTGTTAAAATCTTTGGCAAAAAAATTAACACAGTGAATTATTCTAACTTTGCTGGTATTATATGATTTGATGACAGCTTTTGTGCATGACAGAAATAATAGACTAATATATGTAGAATATATACTTTTAAAAACCTAATTATTGTCAGTTTGATTAGCTAGGCTAATCTCAGAAAACAATAAGATCGATAATTTAAATGAAAACAATTCCCAAATAATTAATATTTTGCTTTCCAAAGTTGCTTTTCCTTGCAGATTTAACATTCCAATTATTCTTTCTACCCTTAAGGTAAAATTAAAACTAATTTATAATTGAGTTCAAATGACTTCACCATTAACCTATTTTTAACTTATTTATTTGAAAATATTTTTCTGTTTATTTTATTTTTACCTATCTTCAAACATACAGCATATCCCACTTTTTGCCATATTTATTAACACAAAAATGTATTTTTATCTTACTGTTAAAAAACGTTCTCATGACCTCAATATTCTTCCATTATTCCATTGGTGGGCAAAACTATCATTTTTAAAAAAAACTTTACACGTAACTAAAAAGAGAGCAAGTAAATTACAAGATTAAAATTTCAAGAGTATTGTTTTTTCAATTATATGAAAATATTCAAGTTTAAGTATTTCCTCTTAAAAGCGAATGCTACTGGGATTATTTTCTTTTCTTTCTTTCTTTTCTTTTTTTTTTTTTTCTTTTTTTTTTTTTTTTTTTTTTTTTTGAGATGGAGTCTCGCTCTGTCACCCAGACTGGAGTGCAATGGCGCCATCTCAGCTCACTGTAACCTCCACCTCCTGGGTTCAAGCGATTCTCTTGCTTCAGCCTCCCCGAGTAGCTGGGATAACAGGTGCCCACGACCACACCTGGCTAGTTTTTGTATTTTTAGTAGAGACGGAGTTTCACCATGCTGGCCGGGCTGGTCTCAAACTCCTGACCTTGTGATCTGCCTGCCTTGGCCTCCCAAAGTGCTGGGATTACAGCTATGAGCCAGCACATCTGGCCACTACTGGGATTTTTTATGCATTATATTTTTCAGAATATACTTTGGCAATTTCTTATAGAATTGAGAGCATCAAAAGTATTTTTTTGAAGAGTGTTTACCACATATTACATATTATAAAAATGTAATGTAATATAAATGTGCATTCTAATTGCTATATGGTTTTCTAAATTGATAGCAATTAAGTAAAACATATTTTCATTATCTAATTTGAGTTGTACTTAATGTGTGATCTTTAAATTATGAAGCATTTATTTGAAAAGAGAAGAGACATAATCTAAGAAATTTTTCTGAACACATGAAATGCTTTTCTTAGTAGAGTTATTTTCTTAAATAATTTAATTTCAAGAAAATATAACTTTAAAAAAATAATGGCAATTCTAGTGTTTCATAGTCTTTAATTTTCTTCTATTTTCCTACTGTAGGTGGATTAAAACTCCAATCAAGTACTTTGCAGTGTGTAGTGCAAAAAGTCGTGGGTGAACGGATTTTAAAAAATTTTCATTTTGTCTACAATTAATTATGACTTTTATTTACAAATTTATTATTTTGCACTTCAAGAAAATCATTTAAGAATTTTAATGTTTTGTATGATATAAATTTTGTTTATTTTTATTATGGGACAACAATAATTTGTAAGTATCGTATCACTCCCATTTGTGGATGGCTGATTACTTTTTTTTTTTTTTTTTTGAGGCTGAGTTTCGCTTTTGTGGCCCAGGCTGGAGTGCAATGGCAGGAGCTCCACTCACTGCAACCTCCATCTCCCAGGCTCCAGCAATTCTCCTGCCTCAGCCTCCCGAGTAGCTGGGATTACAGGCGCCTGCCACCAAGCCTGGCTAATTATTGTATTTTTAGTGGAGACAGAATTTCGCCGTGTTGGCCAGGCTAGACTTGAACTCCTGGCCTCAAGTGATCTGCCGGCCTCCCAAGTGCTGGGATTACAGGTGTGAGCCACCATGCCTGGCCAGCTGACTACTTTCTAAAGAAACAATGTAACCTGGATCTATTCTCAACTAATTGTAACCTGTTGTACTTAAGAAGCAGGGGAAAGGACAACCCTACAAACCTGGAACAAGGTTTTTAGCAAAAGTGAGCTTACAGCTAGCTATCTTTTAACTACTTGTTGGAAATTCAGAATTTAAACAACTACTGAATGTTGTCATTGGGTATTTTTCGTATATATATATATATAAAATATATAATTTATTGTACCATATATAATTATATATATAAATACAATAAAATTAATACCACTAATAGTTTCAATTATAGACCCTTGGAGTTTCTAGGAAACCGTAAAGGAAATCTGATCTTAACTCTGTATTTGCAGGCTTTTTTTTGTTTTTGTTTTTGTTGTTTCCCTTTCTTCACATTCTAATAGAACACCTTCCATTATAACAAAAGCACCCTTTGAACAATCTTTCTATTATAATTTGGACCATTATTACTCATAAAGATGCTACTAATTGGCCTACAAATTAAGCAAAATAAAATATTTTCAAATAACGATCTGCAAATAGTTTAAAAAACATATTTTATATTTATTTCCTTAAAAGTGAGTAAGCTGAAGTTTGGTTTCCTAGAATAAAATAATTTAGAAAGAAAAATGTGAGGTATCTGTGATATAGTAATCATCTTTTTGTTTCATTTGAAATGCATGTCATAATTATTTAAATACTTTAATTCAACTATATGCCTAAAATACTTTCAGTCAAATTAAATACACAGATTATCAGATATATATTGCTAAAAATAGCAGTTTTAAAAATAATAATGTACAGGCTTTGTGGGAAAGCAGGAAATTTGTTTTTCAAAGGTATTTATGTTTATCATAAATATTCTGCCAGTTTGAAAAAATTAGAATTCTAATCAGAAAAACAAGGTAAATATTTTAGAAATTGAATAATTAAAGTTGACTGCAATAATGAGCTAGCCTTTACCCTTGTAGAGCAAATTAAATGAAAGGAGAATACACAGCTTCTTGCATTTTGGTGCTACATTAAGTATTTCCTTATATCCTTTGAGAGCAGCTTGAAGTCAAATAAATAGGTCACTTGCTGTGTGGCTGAGCTTCTGGTTCTCAGCCACTAGGTTTTCTGACAACATCATCCTGTCAAATGTTGCCTTTTTATTGACAAGTATATTGATTTTCTGATTAATGTACAACTCCTTCTCTGGCATCTGCTACAGGAGACATAATTTTAATGTTTGTATGATCAATAGCTCCATCAACACTAAGAACTCCTACTGTTAGTTTGAATGGCTTTAACTGTAGGGAATTGTGTGTTTCTTGATAAATACAGGAAATACATTGTAAATATTATCAAAGCAAATAAAATGGATGTTCTATATGGTCTTCTATTATATCTTACTCCCAAAGTAAAGGGAAAATATCAAAAACAAAACAAAATTTGTAAAGTAATTCTGTATAGAGGAAGCAACCTAGCAGCTGTTATTTGTTTGGGATTTAAGAGAATATATGAACAGAAAGTATTTATATAATTTTCTTCTAGTCCTTTAAATGCAGAATGTGTAAATACATGTTACAAAAAATATTGTAAATGTGTAAATGATCATAATAGGTTTCATCCGAGTAATGGAATTCAATGATGGTAACAGCATTTTCAGATGTATAACATCTACATATTAAATGAGGTACATCAGAGTGATTGTCTAAAACATTATAAAGTTGTATTTAAAATTGTAATAGATGCTACAATTACCTGAATTTAACTGAATATATATTTTTCTTTACCATGTTTAAAACTAAATGAGTCATCAAATCAAATGGGAATTTATTCCAGGTAAGCAAGATTGGTAAATCAGTGTAATTGATATTATCAGTAGGTTAAAGAGTAAAGTGTCATATGATCCTATCAATGGATGCTGAAAAAGTACTTGAGAAAATTCAATTATCTCTTTATGTAAATAACATGGAAGGAAAACTATGTCTTTAATTTTCAATATTTCGAGAAGACCTCAGATACTATTATTTATCAATTAAATATATTTAAGTGTACATACATACTGGGGTAAAATCAGGGCCACGATAGCCATGACAACCATACTATAGGAGACAAAAATGTATGAATAATAAGAACTCGAATAAGTTCTGAGTTTATTATTTGCTTATAATAATAAGCAAAAACACAGTTTAGAGAGAAAAAGGAATTACTGTGGGAGAAAATGAGAGAATATTTTCTTATCCCTTTCATTACTGACAATTACGTTATCTGGAAGGGTCCAAAAACTGTTTTTTTTATATAAAATGAGTAGCTGTTATTTACTTTTAACATAAAAGACCTTAAGCAAAATAATTAATATGCTTTTAATCCAAATGTCTTGAATATTTTAACTTTTATGATTTCTTTCTGTTTTATTAACCATTGCATATCCAGCAGTTAGAACAGCACTTAGTGTATAATATTAGCTTTAAAAGATCATTGTTAATCTGGAACAAATTTCTTCAATTAATGAAATTAATTAGTAATAAAATTTATTTTCCCATTCAAAAATGTTAGACATCAGCAGAAAAAGTATTCATGTAAGCGAAAAGCTGGGGAGGAAAATGGCTACTATTTTTTCCCCCTGTCTCCTGAGGTATTGTCTGTAAGCAATTCTCTACTTAGATTCATCTAAGGCTTTTCTTTTCTGGCAATGATTTAACTGAGTTAGCTGGGTTACTGTGGTAGAAAGACTCTAAATTTGCCCTTAGTTATTTTTGTATTCTGATATTCATGGCTTCATCTCCTTCTCTTGGATAGTGGGTGATGCTTGTGATTTATTTCCTACCAAAGAAAAACACGAAAAGGTGATGGAATGTCCCTTTTGAGAATAAATTATGTAAGACTGTAACTTCTTGCTAGCCAATTCTGTTGATGCTCTTCCTTGCTGGTTGCCAAAATGTAAGCTGCCACATACAGAGACCCTTGTTTCAGTAAGGTGAAGGACGCTTCTTTCCACCCCAGTGGACATCAGTTTAACAGGGACAGATTCCTGCCAACATCTTCATGAGCTTAGAAGCAGATCATCTCCTGCATGAGTCTCAGATGACACACCCCTTTTTGACACCTTGATTTGTACCCTTGTGAGAAACCTAAAGTAGTCACATTTCTGATCCAGAAAATTGTGAGTTACTAAATGTGTGCTGTTTTTAGTTACTACTTTTGCGTTAATATTGGTACACAGCAATAACTACCTAGGTGTGTGAGACTAGTCAAACTTTCACTTCTTATTGCCAATTTATTTTACAGTTAGATTATTGATAAAGATCCAAATTTAATGAGGGAAGAATTAATTTACTTAGTTAAAATATATGCCACAGATATGTTTTCATACTCTTTAAAGTTTCAGATTACAAGTCTCTCAATTGTGTTTAAATTAAAAAAAAAATGTTTAAACAATACCAGAGAGCTATCCAATTTGGTCTAAAAATCTATTTTAACATTGTACGAACAGAACAATGAATCAACAGTTTTCTTCCATTTAAGCTTTTGAAAAGATCAAGGGACTGAAAATAATTAGTGTTCTGTTATATTTACACATGAAAGTGAATGTTTCTCATTTCCCTTCAAAGAAAATTATTAATAAAGCAAGTTGAACCTCAAATGGCATTATCCCTTATGAAGGAAAAATAAAAGTTTTAGAAGCTCGACATACTAGCAAGTTTGTTTTTAAAATAAGTATGTGTGTTTGTACAAATTTGAAATACGTATGTGTATGTACAAACATATAAATGCATACATATTTGTATATATATTTATATGCTTCCAAGAAAATCAATAGTATATATCAAACACAAATCCCAAGCTTATATAGGACAAAAATAGCATAGTTTGTATTATGCTTTTCATTACAAGCCTGCCTTAAGAAAATATTAGGAATACATATTTATAGAAAAAAAAGTTTATTCTAATTAACTTGTTTGAATTTCTTGTATTATTAATTGATGCCCTTATCTTATAAATATAACATGTTCCTCATAGAACTATGTTAGACTCTTTTTTGTGTGGGTGACATTTTCTCATTTACTCTGTCAGATAAAATCTGAATTACACTAGTGGCAGCAATGTGAGAACTAAATTTCATAAGCAAAGAGGAGCTTCCTTGTCAGAGTCAAAATATTGAACAAGCAAATTACAACTGCCTTAATAATGGATGAATGGAAAATATTAGCAAGAGTTTGTGGGTGATGGATTAAAAGAATAGCTGAAATAGGCACACATGGAAAGTCAGCGTGAGAAAACATTACACTGGTGCCATCTGCTTAGAAATATTCAGATATTTAACAATTCTCATCCTAATTTTTCTATATTTTCTCCTCAGTGTAAATAGCATTTACAAGTTCCTGAAAGAGCAAAATCTGAAAGTGAAATTGAAAAGAAGTTTGTGTTTTATCTAAAGTTAGTAATGATTATTATAAAAAATATGCATTTTATTACTGTAAATATTGTTTATATGGAATCAAGTACCAATAGTTCCTCATAAGAGATGCTAGATTTTTGAACTTTCTTTTTTTAAATTTTATTACAACATCCAAGTGTGAGAAAAGTGAATAAAATATTTTTATTTATACTTTTTAAATTTTATTTTTCCCATTTATCATAAAATTGTCACGTCATAAAATTGCAAAATTAAGCATATTGTAAGTTTAAGTGTTAGCAAATAAGATAATCAGTAGTGTCTTTTGCCCTATTGATAAATCATACATATGAGTTTTTAAAATATTTTAGATTAATATTTTATAAAATTCTGTCTTTATTATTAAGATTATTAAGATATGAAAAAATTACACTGCATTTCACTTAGTTACTTGTGATTTCATTAAAAAATTCAAAGTGTAACTTTTCTAAAGAATCTAATCTTGTTTCAAGTAGTATAACAAAAATAATACTTTCGGTAATTTGTGAAATACGTATTAACCCTATATTCACAGAAACAAATAAATTAGATAGGAACTAGGTTACAATAATTACAATCAATCGTTACTAAAATCGTAACTTTGATATATTTTAGAATAATTTTTAATTGATTTAATAGATAAGGTAAGGATATAAACAGAAGCAATCCTATTTTATATGAAGAAACTGGGATAAAAATAAAATGATTTATTAAATGAATTAAGTAACATTTATAATTGAATTTAAAAATATTAGTGAGAATTTTCTATCTTCCTAATTAGGATATATTGTTTTTGACACTTTTTTACAAAATCACATCATTTGCCTTAATTATTCCATGATAAAATACATTGCTTTCTGTATAAAAGTAAAAAATTCTTTCTTTAATAGTTGGCCCACAATGACTTTTCTGTGCTGAATTATAATCTAAATCTATTTTCTAAGAGAGTTGTTAAAAACAGTAGGAGACTGTACATTATAGACATAAAAATTCTGTATTTGCAACCAGCTAGATTCATCGTTTTTATGATTATGAATAGTCACATATTCTCTCTAAATAGAAGTTGAATTAGAAATCTAAGGGTTAGATGAGGTAATCAATATTGTGTTTAGCAAAATAACTGATTAATAGTAGACATAAATGTTAGCTATTATCAGTATAATGACCTGATTAACTAAATAAATCAATTCTACTAATGTATATTGAGCACACCTGCAATACGGTGTGAATACAGAACTAAATAATACATACTGACTTCTTTCAGACTTGAGGTTTACCTTCTGGGATACAAGGACATAAAAGAATACAAAATCAAGCTGTTAATATTTCATATATTACAGGGGCTGTGAAAAGCATTTAAAACATTAAAAAATGTGTTAGGCTACGATAGTGACTAGTTTGGTAGCATGTTGTAGAGAATCAGATTGGGAGATCAGATATTGCATATGAAGTTTATGAAATTTGGAAATAATGATACCAAAATACCAGCTGTATAAAGATAGAAAGCAGAATGTTCAGAATGTTAGAATAGGAAGAAAATTTTAAATCTGAGAAATAGTGATGTGATATGTTTTAGGATTGGCTAGTTTGAATAATTACAGTGGATTCCAGGGTGTAAGGGCATCGTCTAGTTGTCTGAGGCCTGATATCAGGGTGATTAGGGCAGACGAATAATGTCTCAAAAGTGTAAGAGACCATAAAACAGGGGCTGGTGGTGGGGGGTTTGTCTTTGAATTGCGTAATTTTCATACAGAAGACACATTCTACAGAGAGTCCTTTGTTATCTGTAGGAATCTTCTAACCTTGGGATGGGCAGTCATTTCCTAGTCTTCAAAGCTCCAGATGTCAATATATTATACACAGAAACTGAACAACTGGATTAGTCCAGCGACCTTCTTTTCTCCCTAATTTAAAAAGTAATATACCTGAATCAGTGACGTAGAAGATGAGTCAATAGAAACATCTCATAGTGAAATGCAATAAATGAGTAGAGAATGTAAAAAAAGAAAAAAAAGCAAAACATCCAAAAATTGTGTGACATTTGAAAAGTCTTAACACATGTCTACTAGGTATATCAGAGAGAAAAGGAAAAGAAAATATACCAGAAAAAAATAGTAGTAATAATTGTGAGAAAAACACACTCACCCTTCCAAACCCAAAGAATGGACTCAGAGACACAAAGAACAGCGGAAGCGAGACTTTTAATGGTGGTCTTTCAAGATCGAGTGTCTGATAGGCAAACACACCCAGGGCAGTTACAACAGGTAATTTATCTCCTACCACGCAAGTCCCTACCCCCACTTCCTCATTGGTTGAGTACTATGGGGTTACAATCATCCCAGACGTTACCTAAGTTTCATTATCCCCCGATAATGTTATAGCCCAGTCCCCTTCCCCACTAAAGTTTCTATTTCCCAATAACAAAACTTTCTTCCCTTTTACGGGCTGACCCCTCCTCTACATTCTGTTCACTTATCGTGACCTTCTAGGTGCGTGAGCCGTGCAGTTTGTAACATCCGCAGCCTAGCTGCCAGTACTTAGATTTATCATGCCTTGAAAATGGACAATTTAAAATGTTTCCTCACAATAATGACCAAGATCTTCCCAAATTAATGATTGACACCAAACTACAGATTCAGAAAATTCAGTGAGCACCACAACCACTTAATGCACAACAAAAGAAAGCAAACAAATAAGCACACAACACTAACATATTATCTTCAAATGGAAAGGCAAAGAAAAAGAAAACAAAAATCTTAAAATCAAAGGGGAAAGGGAGTCACTCTACCTATAGAATTAAAGTATACATTTCCTCAGAAGCCATACAAGCAGGAAAAGATAGAGTGATATATTTAATATGCTAAAAGAAAAAAAATGCATCAATCTACAATTCTCTGTTTATTAAAACTATCTTTTAAAAGTGAATTAAACACACAGAAATTCTCAAAGAAAACAGAGGGAATTTATCCACAACAGAATTACCCTGCAAGAAATGTTAAAAAAAAAAAAAAAAAAAAAAAAAAAGTCTCAGGGCATGTTTTCACTTATAAGTAGGAGCTGAACAATGGGAATACATGAACACAGGCTGGGGATCAATACACACCTGGGGCCTTTTGGAGGGGTTGTGGGAGGGAGAACATCATGGTAAACAGCTAATGCATGCAGGGGTTAATACATAGTTGATGTGTTGATAGGTGCATCAAACCACCATGGCACATGTTTACCTATGTAACAAACCTGCACATCCTGCACTTGTACCCCAGAACTTAAAATAAAATAAAATAAAATAAATTTTTTTAAAAAATCTCAGGGGAAGAGGGAAAATGATACAGACAAAAATATTTATCTGTATAAAGAAAGCTAGACAATTGGAGAAAGACAATATGATGATATAATATTTTTTTCTTTTTCATTATTGATTTCAATGATAACTAACTCTTTGTGTTAAGAAATAATAGCAAGAGTATATTGGGTAATTATAACGTATGGATAAGTGAAAGGAATGATGCAATTTCAGAAGGGATGGGAAGAGAAACTTGGGTGACCCTGTATCTGCACTACAAATGAAGTTGTATAGAGTTATTGGAAGGTGAGTTTAGATTATTTAAGAGTATGTTGTAAACTCTTCAACAAACACTGAAATTTCTTAAAAGAAGTATAATTAACACAGTAGGGAGAAGATGAAATACAATCCTGTAAAATGTTCAATTAAAACCAAAGAAGGCAGAAAAAGAGGAGGAAAAGAAACAAATAACAAATGTGACAGTTAATAGTTATAAAGATAAAAGATTGTAATAAAAATGTTTCAATAATCACTTTAAATATGAATCATCTAAATACAAAATTAAAATAGATTGGTTACGTGCGGTAGAACACACCTGTAATCTCAGCACTTTGGGAGGCTGAGGCAGGAAGATTGCTTGAGCCAGGAGTTCGAGACCAGCCTAGGCAAGGTAGCAAGACCTTATCTTCACAAAAAATTAAAAGTTAGCTGGGTGCATTGACACACATCTGTACTCCCTGCTACTTGGGAGATTGAGACAGGAGGAAGGCTTTAGCCCAGGAGGTTGGGGCTACAGTGTGCCATGATTGTGCCACTGTACTCTTTATCCTGGGTGTCAGAGCAAGACTCTGTCTGAGAAAAGAAACACACACAGATTTTCAGAGAGGACTTTTTAAAACTTCTAAATATATGCTGCCTACAAAAAAAAATACAACTTTAAATACAAAGACTCTTAACAGTTTAAAGGTAAATATATGAAGAGAGATGTATCATGCTAACATTAATCAAAAGGAAACTGAAGCAACTAGGTAAATCATCAGGAATAATGGGCTATTTGTAAAGACATAATAGTTCTAAATGTATGCACCTCACAGAGTATCAAAATAATACTGAAAGGAGAAATAGACAAATTCACTATTATCATTTGAAGATCTGAGCACTGCTCTCTCAGTAATTGACAGATCAAGTGAGTAGATAATCAACAAAGATGTAGTTGACCTAAACAACACTCAATCAACTTTATCTAATTGACAATTATAGACTACCCCATTCAATAGCAGAAAACACATTCTTCTCATGACCACATAGAACATTCACCAAGATCAACCATACTGTGTACTATAAAAAGACTGTAACAAGTTAGAAAAAGAGAAGTCATTGTGGAATTAAATTAAAAATCAATAATTTAAAGATAGATGGTAAATTACCAAACATTTGAAATAGCACACTTCTAAATAATACAAATATTGTGAACTAAGTTAAATTAAAATACAGTTTTATTTTTAAAATAAAGTTAAAATTGTGAAAATTTGTGAAATGCATTGAAAACAGTTATCAGAGGGAAATTTATAGCACTGAATGCATATATTAGAAAACATGAAAGAGCTTAATTCATCAACATAAGGTTCTATCTTAAGAATTAATGAAAGAAGAACAGTTTAAATCTAAATCAAGCACAGAAAAGCTGTAATAACAATTAGAGCAAATAATCAATCCAATTCAACACAGAAAAGCAATTTAAAACCATGTTACCGTGACAGATTCAGAAAAGGCCTTTGATAAAAGTCAACCTCCTTTCACATTAAAAGTTCTTAATAAACTAGATATTGAATAATACTATTCAATTGAATATTGAATTGATATTGATATTCAATTGAATATTGAATTGATATTGATATTCAATTGAATATTGAATTGATATTGATATTCAATTGAATATTGAATTGATATTGATATTCAATTGAATATTGGAGGAACATACCTCAAAATAATAAGAGCCATTTATGACAAACCCACAGCCAATATCATACTGAATGAGCAAAAGCTGGAAGCATTCCCTTGAAAACCAGCACAGGACAGGGATGCCCTCTCCCTGTTGCATATATCCAGTGTAATCATCATATAGAATATGAAAGAAATTTGTGAATATGGTGGAACAATTACTTTCCTGGTTATATTACATTATATAAGATTCCACTGTAGTAGACTGGAGAGAGACACTTTTGCTGGCTTTAACTAATTTTAGCTGCCATGCTGTGAATAGGACATGTATCTAGGTACCTCACATAGCTTCAAGGAGTTGAAAGTATTCCCAAGTGTCCCAAGGTCCAATTTTCTTTCTGAGTTGTTGGCAGAATTCAGTCCCTTGTGGTTGTATGAATGAATGAGGTCCAGTGGAAGGGAAGAGAAGGGAAGGGAAGGGAAGGGAAGAGGGAAGAGGGAAGAGAAAGGAAAAAGAAAGAAAGGAAGAAAGGAAGGAAGGAAGGAAGGAAGGATGGAAGGAAGGAAGGAAGGAAAAAGAAAGAAAGAGAGAAAGAAAGAAAGAAAGAAAGAAAGAAAGAAAGAAAGAAAAAAAGAAAGAAAGAAAGAAAGAAGGAAGGAAGGAAGGAAGGAAAGGAAGGAAGGGAGGGAAAGAAAGAAAGAAAGAAAGAAAGAAAGAAAGAAAGAAAGAAAGAAAGAAAGAAAGAAAGAAGGAAGGAAGGAAGGAAGGAAGGAAGGAAGGAAGGAAGGAAGGAAGGAAGGAAGGAAGGAAACTGACCCTCACTCATACAGCCACAAGGGACTGAATTCTGCCAACGACTAGTGAACTTGGAAGATAATCTGAAGCATCAGATGAGATCATGGTCCATGTAGAGAACTTGATTCAGTGACATGAGATCCTGAGTATAAGACCCAGTTAACCTGTACCCAGACTTCAGACCCAAATGTAAGAGCATATATTCACATTGTTTTAAAATGCTAAATTTTTACACAACAATATACAACACAGATATATTATTCTGAAAATATATTAAATTAATTAAAATCCAATAATTGTGTGTTACACATTAATATATAGTCATTATATAATATATATTTCTTGATTATATTAATATCCTCTCTCTCATAGTTGCCTGTTTTGATAATACATTATGGTTAATCTATGCATGCTGCACATCCAATTTACTAATTGTTGTTAGTTCTGTAACTTCCACAGACTCTCACTACCATATATACCTACCTGCAACATTTGCATCTATGGAAGTCTACCCTCCTCAAATTTCAATTACTTTTCTCACTTTTAATGAGCTAAGTTACTGTCATTCTTCAGTTGGATTACTCCAAAAGACTCATAATATGTTTGTGTCTAATCTCATCCACCTCATTCACTTGCATATGTCGATAATGGTCCTCAACACAGATACCAAACATAAGTTAGATCTTGTCATTCTTGTGCTCAAAATTCTGCAGTAACCTCATATTTCAGTCAGAGTAAAAGCCAAAGTCCTTGCAATATATATCAAGGCCTTACATGGTCTAGTATACTTTCTCTGTAGCCGCCCCCAGTTCTTGAACACACTAGGTTTACTTAGACCTTTGAGCCTTTTTTCTGTTTTTTTTTTTTTTTTTTTTTTTTTCTACCTGGAATGCTCCAGGTAGATATTTGCATGGCTAACTCTTCCTCAAAACTTGGTTCAAATCTGACCTTCAGTGATGTCTGTCTTGGCCAAGCTTTTGAATGTTAAAAGTTACTATCCCACCATCTCTGGTGTACCTTATCATGCTTCTCACCTGATTTACTTTCCCCTGCTCCACCCCTTTTTAATAACATGTATTGTTTTCTAGCACATAATAGCATTTATCTATTAATTTTTCTTCTTTTTTTCTCACTGCTAGAATATAATTTCCATGACTACATGGAATATTAATTGTTTTGTATCATTACTGCTTATCAAATACCTAGAAATGTGTATTGGACCCTAGTACATATTCAATGAACATGATTTAAATAAATACATTGATACAGCAAATTTTCCTCTCTGGTTCTTTCTTGTCTGCAGAAACCCCCTCACATTTGCACCCACTTGAACTAACTCCTTCCCTTTCTGAATGCTTTCAGAGATCATATCACAAAACCTTTATAATTTTATGTTAAATTTAAAACACATAAAAGTAATTATTTACTGCTATTAGACAGGTTTTCTTGATAATGTATTAAATTGGTCTATGAAGGACCTTACCTTTCCCAACATTTGGCACATACTTGGGCAGATGGCAGATAGTCAATTTTTAAATTGTAAGATTTTCAGGGAGGACATCAATGAACATACTGGTGATTCCTTAGGAAATTTTTAAAAATTTGCCTAAAATGTTCATTTAGAAAACTTTGACAAAGTAGTGGGTAGAATCATATTAGGTGCAAATGAATTGGATTAAAAAATTAACTGTCTTATTTTGGTAATTAATCAAATGAATAATTCACACATGTATAATTGGAAATTGATTTTACTAATATGTATTCTAATTAGTTTGAGTGAGAAATAAAATCACCTTTAAATGATTTCTCACTATTTATAGACAAAAGAAATGCCATAAGTATATTTTGACATACTTCTCCAACTTTGTGTATAAGAATACAATAATATATATCTTTTTTCATTCTATGGAGACTGATTTGGTCTTAAGAAAAGGCCTCGTGGCTTGAACTTCTAAAGGAGATGAAAGAACTTGGTATATATTAATCTACTATTTATTTTGTTCATTTGACATTTGTAGTTTGTGGTTTTTCATGCAAAAAAAAAAAAAATCCAACAGGCTGCATTGTTTTTCAGACTGATCCCTCTGTAAATTAGAATTGTGCTATATAAAAGCACCTATAATTACCGTACTCATACTGAATCTTTTCTAGATAAATTAATTTAGATGGGTTTTGTTTTGTTTTGTTTTTGAGATGGATTCTTGCTCTGTCGCCCAGGCAAGAATGCAATAGCACAATCTTGGCTCACTGCAACTTCTGCCTCCTGAGTTGAAGCGATTCTCCTGCCTCAGCCTCCCACGTAGCTGAGACTACAGGCATGCACTACCATGCCTGGCTAATTTTTGCATTTTTAGTACAGACGAGATTTCTCCATGTTGGCCAGGCTGGTCTCAAACCTCTGACCTCAGGAAGATCAG
Source organism: Homo sapiens (assembly GCF_000001405.40). NCBI lineage: Eukaryota > Metazoa > Chordata > Mammalia > Primates > Hominidae > Homo > Homo sapiens. The sequence goes on along the minus strand of NC_000001.11, from coordinate 104,963,836 downwards.
CCCCCCTTGGCCTCCCACAGTGATAGGATTACAGGCATGAGCCACCACACCAGGCTATTTTTATTATTTAAAAATAGTAATATGATGTTATTATCAGACTTATCTTGCTAAGTTATTTTAACATAAGTAATACTTTGTGAATCACTTATTGGATATAAAATAATAAGTGAGTCAGATGACAAAAAAGTGTTAAGCTATCTTATCTGTCAGAGATATATTATTGACTATATTTCAATGGAACTATAATAAATATAAAGTTAAGGGTAACTGAGCTCTGTGGGGTTTATGTTTCTACAGGAAATAATGGACAAACCAAAGCACATCAATCTTAGTATCATTAAATAAGTCTTCACTAAAGGGAATAGTGATGAGGCAACAGAGAAGAAAAAAGTCATTGCAAATTCAAATATTAGCCTCTATATATTAAAAAAGAAGAAGAAAAAAAGCAAAGAAAATGCAAACCTAAAAAAAGTCAGAAGTGTTTATAACTTGGAGTTCAAATTCAAACTAAAAAATCCAATATAATATGATATAACCTATGGAAGAGTTGGGAGATAGAGAAAGTGAGGGTGGTTCCAGTTGGGGCAGATGGCATGGGGTTGCTACAGGCAAGGAATATTATTTCAGCCTTAGGCATTTTGAACCGACAGCTGAGTAAGGAGAGAAAATCTAAGGTCATTTTGGTGTCTTATTAAAGTTATGAGAATCAGCCAGTAAAAGTTTCTATTGACTTGAGTGTCAAGAAACTGACTGGCTAATACTTTTATAAAAAGTTATTGGTATTGTAAAATGCAGGCTGTATCTCAATATATGATCACATGCAAAGCTGTTGTCACGAGAGTGAACAATAAGTATATTAAATAAACACTTTTTAACTATATAAACAAATCAAGTAACTCTAGGTCTAGCAGGGAAATGTCATAAATTAACATTACTATGTATAGTTTCAAGATTATCTGGTAACTATCTTTGAAGTAAATTGAGGACAAGTGAATGATTATGTGATAATTTCCTCGGCACATTTGTTTAAATTCTTGACATACATATCAACCCTCCCTCCCAACCTTCTGTGAAATTTTCATAATAATATATACACAGGAAATACTATAAAGGTAATTTATATCACAAGTGTTTAAATATTAATAAATGAAATTTAAAGCAAAATCAGTTTGTGAGAATAGTCTTTTTTTAAAACCAATGTCAGTTTGTAAAATGCTAACTCTTCTAATAATAACTTTAACAAAAGAAGCTAAACTAAATTTCTACTGGATTTTAAAATAGGTAAAAAATGTAATAGAAAATACCATTATAAATATTGAACTGAAACTATCCTGTATATTATTAAAACATTTCCAAACTTCTACTTGGGAAATAATCTCCAAATTTAAACTTAAATTTTTAGTCAAGATGATGAGTTTACATATGGAAATTAACTCTTTGCGCCAAAGCGATGACAGAATACATGTACACAGACACACACACACACGTGCACACACAGAAATGTAATGTTCATAAATAATAGGGAATGATGAAATAAATATAGCCAGGTCTGAAAAAAAACTGCTGTATACGGGAATAGTAAATCTGTGTGTGTGTATAGAAATAGATATACGTGGATCACTATGTATACATTCAGACATAATTATTTAAAAATACCCTCAAAACTGGGATATACTTTAGGTAAGCCATAGCAGATAAATAAAGGTATATAACAAAAAAGTTCAGAGATACAAAAGTTCAATAGTGGAGTTCCATCTCCCATCTATCAAGAAAATAGTGAAGGGCAGAATTTATAGGGAATTCCTAACATCCTGGATAACATGGATTTTTTTTTACAAATTGATAAGAAATAAATGATTTTTTTGTCTTCCTCAGATGGAGAGCACACCAAATCACACAGTTATATCATAGTGAAATTACACAACACCAAGATAAGACAAATTTTAAAAGCTAAGAGAAAAGCTATTATAAAGCAACAACATTAGAATAATTAAGACTATTAATCAGCAAGTATAAGATTCAGCTAACAAAATACAGCTAAATATAGATATTTAAGAAAATTTAAAATGTGGGCTATTATCACCCATACGGAATGTCATAGTTGTCTCTGAGCAGGGAAGAAATTAGACCTCACAAGAGTAAAAGCAACACATGTCAACTTTATCTGTAGTCCTTTTTGTTTATTGTGGTAAGAAAATTTAAAATCTACTCTCTTAAATTTTTATTTGCACAATACACTTTTGTGTGCACTATGGGCACAATACTACACAGAAAATCTCTAGAAATTATTCATCTTGGACAACTAAAACTTTATAGCTATTGGATAGCAAACCCTCCATTTCTAACTCTTCCATCCCTTTTAACTGCTACTCTACCATTTCTTCCCATGAATTTGACTATTTTAATGACCTCATATAAGTGAGATTATGTAGTATTCGTCTTTTTGTAAATGGTTGTTTTTCACTTGACATAGTGTGTACAAGGTGCATCCGTATTGCTGTATATAACAAAATTTCCTTCATTTATTTTAATAGAGCAGTTTTAGGATCACAGTAAATTTCAGTGAAAGGCACAGAGATTTTTCATATATTCCTTGCTCCCACACATGGATAGCCTTCCCCATTATCAACATCCTCCACCAGAGTGGTACAACTGTTACAATTGATAAGCCTACACAGACACCTCACAATCAATCAGAGTCCACAGTTTACATTAGGGCTTACTCTTGATATTACACATTCTATGGGTTTGGAAAAATGTGTAATGCCATGTAGTCATCATTATAGTATCATACAGAATAGTGTCACTGCCCTAAATATACTCTGTAATCAACCTTTTCATTCCTCTCACCTTCGTAACCATTATCAACCACTGATCTTTTCATTGTCTCCATAGTTTTACCTTTTTCAGAATGTAATACAGTTGGAATCATAGAGTATGTAGCCTTTTCAGATTGGCTTGTATCACTTAAGAGTACACATTTAAGGTTCTTCCATGACTTTTCATAGCTTGCTAGCCCATTTCTTTTGAGTGAAGAATAATATTCCATTGTTGGATTGTACTACAGTTTATCCACTCACCTACTAAATAACAGCTCGTTGCTTTCAAACTTTGGCAATTACAAAGAACGCTGCTCTAAACATTTATGTGCAGGTTTTGTGTGGACATAAGCTTTCAATTCCTTTGAGTAACCACCAAGAAGCTTAACTGCCACATTGTATGTAAGGTAAGAATATGCTTAGCTTCTTAAGAAACTGCCAAATTGTCTTCCAAAGTGGTTGTACTATTTTCCATTCCCATCAGCAATAAATAAGTTTGTGTTAATCCACGTCCTTGCAGGATTTGGTGTTGTCAGTGTTGTGGATTTTGGCCATTCTAATAGGCATGTAGTGGTTCTTCATTTTTAAGGCTAAATAATATTTATTTGTACATATATTCTACATTTGCTTTTTCTTTTCATCCACTGATGTACACTTTTGTTGCTCCCATATCTTTACTATTGCAAATAATACTGCAGTGACTATGAGAATGCAGATATCTCTGAGATCCTGATTTCAACATTTCTGAATAAATACCCCAAAGTGGAATTTCTGGATCACATGGTAGCTTTATTTTTAATCTTTTGAGAAATCACCATACCGTTTCCATAACAGCTGCATCATTTTACATTCCTACCAACAGTGTAAAAAGATTTCTTAGTTTTCACAGGCTCACTACTGCTTTTTTTTTCAATACCCATTCTAACAGGTGTAAGGTGATATTGTGGTGTTTATTTGCATTTCTCTGCTAATTAATGATGTTAAGCATCCTGTTTATATACCCATTATCAATTCGTATGTCTTCTTTGGAAAAATGTCTATTGAAGCCCTTTGCTTCCCTACCCCTTTTTTTTTGCTATTGAGTTGTAGAAATGTCTTATATATCTTGGATATTAACCCTTTATCAGATATATGGCTTCTAAATGTTTTTCTTTCTGACTCTGTAGGTTGTCTTATTACTCTGTTGATTATTACCTTTGCTGTGAAAGACATTTTAGTTTGATGTAGTCCCATTTGTCTGTTTTGCTATTGTTTTCTATGTTTTTGGTGTCATATCTAAGACATCATTGCAAAGACCAATGTCATGAAGATTATTCTCTTCTTTTCTTCTGGAAACTTAACAGTTTCAGCTTTTATGTTTAAGCCTTTAATCTATTTTTGGGATAATTTTTGTGTATTATGTGAGATAAGAATACAAATTTATTCATTTGCACATTGATATACAGTTTACCCAACACCATTTGTTGAGGACACTATCTTTTCTTTATTATGTGTTCTTGCCATACGATCAAAAATTAGTTAACTGTATATGCATGAGTTTATTTATCAGCTCTATATTCTATATCATTGGTCAGTATGTCTGTTTTCATGCTAGTGTCATATTGTTTTAATTACTGTAGCTTTGTAATGTATTTTGAAATGAGAAAGTGGTATGCTTGAATATTTGTGGTCTTTTGTACTTTCATATGAATTTCAAAATTATTCTTTCTAATTTCGTAAAAAATGCCACCACATTTTTGATAGGGATTTCACTGAATCTGTAGATTAAGTAGCATAAATATTTGAACAATATTAAATTTTCTAGCTCATGAGTGTAAAATATATTTTTATATATTTGTGTCTTCTTTAGTTTCTTCCATTAAAATTTTGTAATTTTCAGTATACAAATGAAGGGTGGAGTTGCCAGAACATATAGAGAGCAATAGCTAAAGTTATATAGAGAAAAGGACCACTAGAAAGGAGCTGATGCCTTGCAACAGAGCCGCTAACAATCTGTATAACTATAGGGAAGGATGTGGGGAAATAAATGTTCTCGTCCTTTCCTTTATACAATATCATACAGGTACCTACCATTGGCTGAATCAAATCAGATGATGGAGGGCAAGAGGATAAGAGGGTTACTTTGGTATAGACCATAAGACAGACTTCTGTAACAGAGAAACATGAGTAGTGAATAAATCTATGGTGGCTAATTGAGAAGATCCAGCACGCTACAGTTAAGCAGTGGAGAGGGAGAATGGTGAACATAGAAATGCTTAGTCCAACTATAAAAGTTTATGGGTGAGAAGTCATTGATTAATGTGTTCAGAGTCTTCAATGTGTTAAACGCAGGTAAAATAATCAAATGTGTAAAAACATAACTGAAGAAAATATTAAAATTAAACATTTCCAAGGGATCCTAAGATATTGTGGGCTATAGGCACTGTGGCAATTGTGTGTGATGAATAAGTTAACCTTAGTGGGCAGACTAAATTTCCCATGTAGTACAAAATCCTGAGGTTTCTAATATAAGGCCAGTTTAGTGATATGCAGCATAGATGCCTCAAAATAGCAAACAAAAAACTACACAACAAAATGGAATTCAAAGAGAAACAAAATTTTATATAACATAAGCTCTCAAACAAAAATTGGAGCACTTATAACTTATCAAACAAAAATTACTTTTTTTCAACAGAAAATGTGAATTAAGGAGAATACTTATTAACACATAGAGATATAATGAGAAATTCCAAGAGGACCATGAAAATAGTAGTTACAAATGTCTAAAAATATAAAGAATAGCAACCATGACATGAATAAAGGAATTTATTAAATAATATGGTAAACACATTATACACAATCCCCAGTCCATCACACTTTCGTGCACCTCCTTCTTTTGAGCACAGGTGGAATCTGTGACTTGTTTCTAGTCACTAAAATATGAAAAAAATATGGAATGTCACTACCATACATGTTTGTTATATAAGACCGTAATCACGGGAAGAACAGGTTCTTCTGCTGGCACTGGAGAAGTAATTTACATGCTGTTAAAGGGTCTGTGGGAAGACCACATGACAGGGAAATGTGGGCAGCATCTAGAACCTCAGGGCAGCCTCAAGCTAACCATCAATAAGAATCAGAGGACCTCAGTTATGCAGTCACAAGGGGATGAATTTTGACAACCAGCTAAATTACCTTGGAAGCGTATCCTCTCCCAGTCAATTCACCAGATTAAAATGCAGCCCGGTAATTATGCTTCTACGCTCAATTATTATGCATTCATTGCATGCCTGTATCAAGGTTTCTCATGTACCCTATAAATATATACATCTACTATGTACCCCCTAAAATTAGAAATTAAAATAATAATGAAATATATAATAATAATAATAATTATTATTATTTGAGACGGTTTCTCTCCTGTTGCCCAGGCTGGAGTGCAATGGCACGATAACGGCTCACTGCAATTTCCGCCTCCCAGGTTTAAGCAATTCTCCTGCCTCAGCCTCCCAAGTAGCTGGTATGCACCACCCCGCCTGGCTAATTTTGTCATTTTAGTAGAGACAGGGTTTCTCCATGTTGGTCAGGCTGGTCTCGAACTCCCGACCTCAGGTGATCTGCCGCCTCGGCAAAGTGCTGGGATTACAGGTGTGAGTCACTGCACCCGGCCTAAAATATATACATTTTTAATGCAGCCTGACCCACACTTTGACTGTAGTATTGTAATATGTCAAGCAGAGTCTAAGTATGCCATGCCAGGGCTTCTGGTGCACAGCAACTGTGAGAAAATAAATATGGATTGTTTTAAGCCGGTAAGCTCTGATGATAATTTATTACACAGCAGTAGAAAACTAATACAAATAAGAAATAAAAGGTATGAAATAAAACTGATTTGGGAAATAAAAATATTCAGATACTTAAATAAACGTTCACTCACACTCTATCGTACGTAGATTAAATATTAGACACATTTCAGCAAAAAGTAGAATAAATTGGGGGAATAAATATAAATAAATATCCCCAAATAAAGTATCTAGAGATGTAAGTGAAAAACATATTTTTTAAAGTTCAGAAATAGCATGACTAGAATGAGTAGTTCCATCCTATATTTAATTTTTTTTTTTTTAGGAAATGAATAAAATTTAACAAGAAAAAAAGTAACATTTGAAGACTATTTGGGGATGAATGAATATTGTGGCTGAATATCCTCTCATACCAATTAATATTTTGAGTGTTTGGGCCAGAAGTATTATCAAGTTAAGAGCAGAGCTAAGAAATTTTAGAAAATAATCACGATTTTACCATTGCATATTGAAATTGCAGAACATCATATATAGAGACAAAATCTGAAAATCAATCAAAAAGAAATGACAGATCTCTTTCAAAAGTACAGGAGTCAAATTAATAGAGATGTTTTATGAACAGAAAGGAATACATAAACTTTGAAGTAATTGCTGTAAAGCGAAGTAGAAAATAGCAATAAATTGGAATTAAGTTATTCTCTACTCTTCAAAAGAAAGGGTATACAGTAGTCCCCCAGTATTCACAGTTTCAGTTACCCACAATAAACTGCATCCTAAAATATTAAATGGAAAGTTCCTGAAATCTACATTGCTTAAGTTGCATGCCATTGTGGGTAGCATAATGAAATCTTTTGCTGTCTTATTTTGTCTTGCCAGGAATGTGAATTATCCCTTTGTCAAGTGTATCCACTGTATACACTGGCCTTCCCATTAGTCCCAGAGTTGCTGTCTCAGTTAAATCAACTGCATGGTATTGCAATATGTTCAGGTAGCCTTTATTTTATTTAATAATGGCTCCAAAGTACAGCAGTAGTGATACCAGCATATTGTTATAGTTATTCTATTTCATAAGTCACTGTTAATTTCTTCTGTGCTTAAATTTATAAACTAAATTTTATCATGGGTATGTATGTATGTATACATGTATATAAAGGAAAACAACATAGGAAATACAGGGTTTGGCACTATATGCAGTTTCAGGCGTCCACTGAGTTATTGGAATGTACATCCAGAGATAAAGCAAAACAACTGTACTATCAACATTTTGGGAAAATGATGCAGAAATTTACTACTTATAGACCCTATGAGAAAGAACTACTAAATTCTATCCTTCAATAAAAAGAAAAATTAATTCCGTAGAAAAATAATCCAAAATGAAACAAAAAAGTGGAAAAAGCTATAGCGATCAAAGAAATTTATAGAATAAATCTAAAGGTATGCAATACCTTTACAATAAATAAGAATTTATTGTAAACAATAGATGATAATAAATAAATAATAAAAAAATACTAAAAATTTGACATTCAAAGCAAACTGGAATTAAAAGTGCAGATAAAAATACAGAAAAAACGGAATTCAAAGGAAAATTTAATGACTAATATTCTTTCTCATTCTACAAGAGGTCATAGTTTCTAATAAGTTTCGGATTTAGAAAAAAATATTTATGCTAAAATGTTGTGTGCTAGTGAAAAAATAAAATTTGTATTTTATAAACCATTAAATTTAAAAAGCCTATATGAAAAGGACTTTATCAATCCTACGAAAATCAAGAGGTTGTAGAAAAGTCAAAGAACAAGCATGGTGAATAAAAAGCACAATTTAAGATGATAATAAATGCAAAGTATGTTCATAATCACTAATGTTAAACTCATCTGTCAAAAGTGAGAGAACTTTGTGTGAAACTATGAACTATTTCAAATAATTAAACTACGGACAAGTTTACAGAATAAGTGGAAATAAATTGTTGGGGGGCTATACACCTCAAAAAGAGTAACCCCCCTTCTCTAAATAGATTGTGCCTCAGTATTTATATTAAAAATGAGCCTAAGGCCTAGTTATTATGTGAGAAAATTCTTATTAATAAAAGTAAATATATAAGTAATATTTTAACAAGTTATATTATTGAGATATAAATTATATGGAAAAAATACAGATCAACCCCACATATTTATAAGAAATTCACAACTGCAATAAGAAATTATAACACACTTTTCTTAAAAACTGATCTTCAAGCAGTCAAAAAAATATTTAATTTATAAAGATTGGTATAATATAATTTAAAGGCTATCATATGCATATAGAACACATTAATAGATTTAGAAACATAGTGTGCAACAGTACTCTTTTTTTTTTTTTTTTTTGATACGGTCTTGCTCTGTCGCCCAGGCTTAGAGTGCAGTGCCGTGATCTCAGCTCAATGCAGCCTACGCCTCCTAGGTTCAAGCAATTCTCCTGCCTCAGCCTCCCAAGTAGCTGGGATTACAGGCGCCTGCCACCATGCTCAGCTAATTTTTATATTTTTAGTAGAGATGAGGTTTCACCATGTTGGCCAAGCTGGTCTTGAATTCCTGACTTCAAGTGATCCACCTGCCTCAGCCTCCCAAAGTTCTGAGATTACAGGCATGAGCCACTGCACCCGGCCTGCAATAGTACTCTTGAGGCCCAACTTTATTTGCTGATGAGGATGTGCCATCTAGAAAGTTCTTCTTGCATTTCACAGGGTTGAGAAGTAAATATATGTTTTACAAATATATTTAGAGAAACAACAATGTTTTAACATTAACCAGTATCAAGCTATCATATACTGTATCTATAATTTAGAAAGAAAATAATGAGCTTAGTTAAGATAAATCTGAATTTAAGACTGAATATTTATTATGTAATATCCTTCTCAAGATATTCTTAATTAAAATAATTTATTGCTTTATCATCTGCTTTTAAAGGCAAACATAGTAGTGTTTTAGTCGGCTATAATCCTGCTATTGATTAAACTCAACTTTTCAATAATGATTTAGAATTTTAGGAAAATGTCAAGTTATAAATAAAGCCCATGTGATAGATTTTGAGGCACAAATTAAATTTCTAGTGGGACCGTAAAAATACCAACATCTTTATGTCCCATTTGAATAGTCAACACTAGAGACAGAAGAGATCTTTGTGGGTGATACAAACCTCACTAACCAACTGCTTATATATATTTTTCAGCAATGTCAATATAAAAAAAAAACTGGTTAGGGCTTTCATTACACACAGTGAAATTTATAGATATGCCTGGAAGGCACAACACTTGAATTCCTACTATTTGATTGATCCAGAAAGCATCTATTTTGAAGCAAACATCCCAGCATCTAGGAAAGAGGTGACATCACTTCATATCATTTATTAACATATTTCCAACAAACTAGTCACACAACATAGATAGGTATATTTCAAGCAAAGTGGGTATATTCATTTTAATGTGAGAGAGGCGGTAGTGAAATTGTCATGTTATATGGATGCCAAGCCATAAAGAGATTTGTAAACAATCCACGGTAAGGAAGCTTCTTAATTAAATATTTGACTAAAGCCAAGAAATGACTCATTATTCTTTGAAGTAAAAATATTGCTGAAATGAAAGTGATAAAAAGAAAGACAGCAAAATTATGTATTATTTTTGAATGTTAACTTCTATTCGGTGATTAATTTATTATTGGTAACTATTACTTAATCTTTAAACAAGTTATTCTTTACTTCAAATTCTGATTGAAGAAATTCAAGCTCACATACTATTGCCAGTGATTATACAGATGGAAATTTAGAAAACAGATTCTAATCCAGTATTGAAGAAATTCAAGCTCACTTACTATTGCCAGTGATTATATAGATGGAAATTAGAAAACTGATTCTAATCCAGTTAGACTTGAATTAAAAGCCTGAACTGTTTATAAGGATACTTGATACCTCCATGAAGAAATAGATATTGAATATAACATAACATACAATCTAGTTTTTGTATTTGAAAATAGACTAAGAAGAATTTATTTTCAGGTCTTATGAACTGTGTTAGCTTGATAAGAAATTGCTGTTTTTTTTTTCAAATCCTTCTCTTAAAAATAAATGTTTTCTAACTGAAGGAATAAGAAAAGAGATAATTAATATTAAATATTTTTTCAAAAATTAATTGAAGATGTTTATTTTGGTTCATATAATTAATTTGCTAAGTATTCTATTTTAAAGGAGAAGAAAGAAAAAATATACAGGAGAGAATACCTTACAGAAACTATCAATTAGAGCCAAATTATTGGTAGATTAGTTGAGTACATTGATTACTGTAAATTCAAGTTCCTATAGTTACCAGTAAGGGCTAGACTGATCTTTCGTGAGACTCCTAATTTCTAAATGTTCAGTTATTCTTAATTGTACTATAATGAACTATTTAATAGGTAGAGAATATTTGTTAAAGTGTTGAGTATAGTAGTACGTGTGTGTGTTTCTATATATATATACAGTTCTTAACATTTCAACAGAAACTGTGTGATATACCTACTCAGCAAGAATAATTCACAGGTGGAATATATGTCTATTTTATTTGTGTTTGTCCAACTATTTAGTTGACTTGGTGACACTAATAAGTTAATATGGAAAGGCCCTGGGGTCTCAGTTGCTCCTCTGAGGACGGAGACCCTTCTAACTTTAAAGGACAATGCATTCATCTAGAATTCTTCCTATTTATTATTTAAATGCTCCCTGGAACAATTCATATATATGTTTACTTGATAAAATATCAGATTAAAAATAACTAGGGAGTAATTTTTTACTTCAGCTTGAATAATTGTGGAAAGACAGTGTGGCAGTAGAACTTTAAATGATACATCTAAATTTCTATCCTTTAGAGAACTGCAGCAAGGAATTTCAATTATAAAACAGCTAACAATCTAAATATTGTCAGCTAAGCAGAAGCCTCACGCCATTCAGTTGATCACCTACACCTACTGAGAATTGTCTTGTTATGTGTCTCTTGCTAGCTTTCCAATGACAAACTTCAGATTTTAAACTATATTATTCATTTTTTTATATAATTACATTACTCTATAGGACTGTTAGAATAATTAAAAGGACAAATGAATTATGCGCTGTGAAGCAAAAAGAAGGTAGTTGAGTTCTTTAAATGAAAATTCATGATAATGTAGAAATTAGGTATGTATGCAGCCAGAAAAAGCACAGTATTACATATGGTAAATACTGCAAATTTTAAAAAATTAAAACAATCAATTTATGTATACGGTACATTCTTAGTGCAGTAAGGTAACTGTTAAGAAAAGAAAGTAAACCATAGCATCTTCCTCTGGTTCCACATCCTGTCATTATCTTTATTACTCTCTAATTTTTTTTCTGTTGCATCCATTCAGATTTACTGAGATTACTTGCAATCTTGGCTCAGGCTCATAGCCTACTTGATTAGAAAATTATTAACAAACTGCCGGAAAACCATAGAGTTCCCAAATAGCAAATCAAAGGTCTTTATCTTGTACTGTGTAATTTAATTTACTTTAATGTTTAATGTCTTCATTTTGTACCATGTAACTTAATTTACTTTAATGCCTTTTCTGCACTTATACTCCACCTCCTCATTCTCTTTCTCCTCTTCCTTCTCTACCTCCATTTTCTTTCTGGTTTGGGTATGATGTACCAGAATTAATCAACATCGAATAGAAGGGAATAGAAATGTGAAGTTGACGCTGTTTCAACAGAGTGATAGAAAGAAAATAGGCATTGGCAAACAAACATACAGTCGCTACTTTTCTTGGACACAGTCTATAATTTACATATAAACAAAGCTGCTAAACACACGTTACCACCAAACATAGTCATTATCAGAAGTGGTACCCAATTACCTACACTTTATAATCTTTATGACATTTGTGGTGTGAGCTTTAACTTCTATCCTGGCCAAGGACTATTATTTAAGTCTCAGACTTGTCTACTTTTCTCAGGTAATTTTTCTCTTGATTCATGGCAATAAACACATGCCTACATATTCTGTCACCAAGCCATAGAATAAATGCAGTTCCTAGGAAAGGAGACCCTAGACAGAGGGCAAGCACTGGAATCAACAGAAGTCAGTTGCTGGATACTAAAGGAAGGTAAATGGTGGTTGTAGATCCCCCTAAGTTTGGCGGGGGAGAAAATATCTTAAACATCAAACCTAGTAAAGGGTATACAATTGCTATTAACAATATCAATAATTTTCAAGGCTAAAGGGTATACAATTGCTATTAACAATATCAATAATTTTTCTTCTTTTTGTTTTTTTTTTGAGACGGAGTCTTGCACTGTTGTGCAATGGGGCGATTTTGGCTAACTGCAACCTCGCCTCCCGGTTTCATGCGATTCTCCTGCCTCAGCCTCCGGAGTAGCTGGGATTATAGGCTAATTTTTTGTATATTTAGTAGAGACGGGGTTTACCTGTGTTGGACAGACTGATATAGAACTCCTTACCTTGTGATCCGCCCACCTCGGCCTCCCAAAGTGCTGGGATTACAGGTGTCAGCCACTGTGCCTGGCTGAATTTTCCTTTTTATAAGGCTTAATGTGTGTAGTGGTCAATAGCAAAAGTATTCAGCTGATTTACCTTTCTACTTGAAGCAATCATGATTATTCAGTTATAAAACAAATTTTACATCATCCTCGCTATTTCTTTTACTTTTTTAAGGGTATATTTTATGGAAAAAAATTATCTTTCCACACTTTCTCTTCACAATCTTGTTTCCTTGTATTCATTCTTAAAGCTAACCACTTTTATGAATTTGGATGTATATGGCCCTTTAAAATAGCTTAATACATATATGTCTATATAGTGTGCAATGTTTTAATTATTTAATTAAATTTTCAAAAATGGTATATTATGGAAGCTTGTTTGTTATGAAATACTATTAATTTTGAGAACTATCCAGAAAGAATTTAGATTCAGTTCTTATATTTTAACCACTAAAGAATAGTCCTCTAAATAAATATCCAAAATGTATTTATTCCCATAATAATGGATACTTAAATTATTAACAAATTTATAAAATTACCACAAAAAGCTATGACAAATATCCCTGTAAATTTATTTAATTTAACCCACCAATATCTCCAACATCTATTTGTAATTGGCATTAGTGTGTATGGGTTTTCACAGTGTAAAATAGAACTCCAATGTGAATTCACCAACAACTTACTCTCTCAAGCAAAGTTCAAAAATTTTTATTTTTGGAAGGTTTTCAAAAAATAACCATAGATTTTCTACATTTTCCTTTGCCTGTTTTTTTATTGTGCTATTGATTTTTCCTTAGATATTTTATTGGCTATTTTTGTAATTGTGGATGCTAATCCTTTGGCTGATATGTGAAAATATTACTTAAAATATTAAATATTTTTGTTTTCTGTACTTATTTTTGATCAATGTTGCTGTATTTTTATATTATTTGTTGTATCCTAAAATAATTTTTTGATATTTTGATTCCTATTTTATTCCATTTTAATAGTTTTTATTACTTTTATAAGGTTAATATTGCTATTATTTTATAGCCTCTGATTTAAACACTGAGCTTATTTCAAATATTATTGATTATTTTCCATAAACGGATTTAAAATTTTAATTTAAAATTTATTTTAAGTTTCACTTATATTGTAATACATGTTTATATGTAGTGCTTCCTTTGTCAATCATTGCTGAGTACTTCAAACAAGTTAGTATGGCTTTCTATTAATCCATGAGTTATTTAGGCTTTGTTTAATAGTTATTTTTCAATTTTATTGCATTTTTAGTCAGGCTCATATATCTTAACTATAATGTACGTTATTTTATGGCCTATTTTATGGCTTGATTTTATCAATATTCAATTTGTAGCATGTTGCAGGTGAAAGTTTCTAAAACATATTTTAGATAAATTTTATTCATTGAATACGCTTAAGTCCTATGAATCCTTAAAAATACTTTGTCAGTTTTATCTTTCAGTTTCTAATTGAGAACTTTAAAAATCTGTTACCACCTATTTGTAGTTCTTTTAGTTTGTGGGATGTGGCTTATATATTCCAAGTCATTGTTTAAGTGAATGGAAGTTTGTAACAGTTATACTTTTTTTATTGGCTGTATTATTTTGTAGTACTCCTATGCAGCCCCATTAATTATTTTCCACTTAAGTGGCAATTACCTTTTGATTATTTTGACATGATTTTTTAAATATAGACTTTTTATAGGTGGAGCAGAGTCATAAGATTTTTCACATTAGTTATGTTTCAGAAGATATTTTTATTCAAAAAGTACTTATAAAATTATGTCTTTATGAGAACAATATAATATTGTTCCCCTCAATTCCACCTCTCTCTCCTCTAATATAATTTACTTGCAACACTAGAAGTTTTGTTATTTAGTTATCAATGAAGAAAAATAACTTCTAATCATAATACTCTCTATGAAGGCAAAGGGAGCTCCACCAGCCTTGGGAAACTCTGCCCTTGTGGCTTTGCAGGGTACAACCCCTATCAGGGAAACTGCCGATATTCACATAGGTTCTTTTCTATTTTCCTGAGGCGTTGGCCAGCTTGAAAAATAAAAGGACAGAGTACAAAAGAGAGAAATTTTAAAGCTGGGTGTCCGGGGGAGACATCACATGTCGGTAGATTCTGTGATGCCCCACAAGCAGCAAAAACCAGCAAGTTTTTATTAGGGATTTTCAAAGGGGAGGGAGTGTGCGAATAGGTGTGGGTCACAGACATCAAGTACTTTACAAGGTAATAGAATATCACAAGGCAAATGGAGGCAGGGTGAGATCACAGGACCACAGGATGGAGGCAAAATTAAAATTGCTAATGAAGTTTCGGGCACCATTGTCATTGATAACATCTTATCAGGAGACAGCGTTTTGAGATCAACTGGTCTGACCAAAATTTATTAGGCAGGAATTTCCTCTTCCTAATAAGCCTGGGAGTGATATGGGAGACTGGGGTCTATTTCACCCCTGCAGTCTCTACCATAAGAGACGGGCACGCCCGGGGGGCTGATTATAGGCCTATACCTCCAGGCTTGTATTCTCTTTCCCAGGGGTGTTACTTGCTGAGAAAAAGAATTCAGCGGTATTTCTCCCATTTACTTTTGAAAGAAGAGAAATATGGCTCTGTTCTGCCCGGCTCACCAGCAGTCAGAGTTTAAGGTTATCTCTCTTATTCCCCAAACAATTGCTTTTATCCTGTCCTTTTTTCAAGGTGCCCAGATTTCATATTGCTCAAACACACATGCTGTACAATTTGTGCAGTTAATGCAATTATTACAGGGTCCTGAGGTGACATACATCCTCCGCAGCTGACAGGATTAAGAGATTAAAGTAAAGACAGGCATAGGAAATCACAAGGGTATTGATTGGGGAAGTGATAAGTGTCCATGAAATCTTTACAATTTATGTTTAGAGATTGCAGTAAAGACAGGCATAAGAAATTACAAAAGTCTTAATTTGGGGAACTAATAAATGTCCATGAAATCTTCACAATCTACGTTCTTCTGCCATGGCTTCAGCTGGTCCCACCATTTGGGGTGCCTGACTTCCCGCAACAAGCCCCCTTCTGGCTGCTTTTCTTGAGTGTCTGTGGCTTTTCCAGGCACACAGTGCAAGCTGTTGGTGGAGCTACCATTCCTGGGTCTGGAGGTCAGTGGCCGTCCTCTCACTAGGCAATGCCTTAGTGTAAGCTCTGTGTGTGGGCTCTGAACCCACATTTCCCTTTCACACTGTCGTGGCAGAGGTTGTCCAGGAGGACTCCACTCCTGCTTCAAAATTCCTGGACATCCAGGCATTACCTTACATCCTCTAAAATCTAGGTGGAGGTTTCCAAACCTTGGTTCTTGACTTCTGTGCACCCACAGGCTCAACACCACACCATGGAAGCCATCAGGGCTTGGGGCTTGCACCCTCTGAAGCAATAGTCTGAGCTATACCTTGGGCCCTTTTAGCCACAGGTGGAGTGATGCAGCTGGGACACAGAAAACCATGTCCCTAGGCTGCATAAAGCAAGGAGGCTTTGGGCCCGGCCCATGAAACCATAATTCCCTTGTAGGCCTCAGGGACTGTGATGGGAAATGCTGTTGTGAAGGTCTCTGACATGCCCAGGAGACATTTTCCCCATTGTCTTGGCTAGTTTCTTGTTACTTACGCAAATTTCTGACTGTGGCCTCCACAATTTCTCATGAGAAACTGGCTCTGCTTAAGGATCTTTTGTGTATGATGAATCACTTCTTTCTCATTGCTTTCAAGATTCTCTCTTTGTCTTTGGCTTCTGACATTGTGAATATTGTGTATCTTGGGGTGGATCTTTGAGTTTATCCTTCCTGTAGTTTATTGAGCTTATTGGGTATGTAGATACATGTTATCAAAATTGGAAGATTTTAACCATTTTCTCTTTCTTTGTCCTTCTTTTATTTCTGACTTTTTTGTGTGTGGGTGGGGGGATTCCCACACTGCATGTATCGGTATGCTTAATGTGTCTGGTAGTTTCCTTAGGCTCTCTTTATTTATTCATTTTATCTTTTTTTTTTTTTTTTTGAGGGGAGTCTTGCTCTGTAACCCAGGCTGGGATGCAGAGGCACAATCTCGGCTTATTGCAACCTCTGCTTCCTGGGTTCAAGCAATTCTCCTGTCTCAGCCTCCCAAGTAGCTGGGATTACAGGCATGCACCACCATGCCTGGCTAATTTTTGTAGTTTTAGTAGAGACAGGGTTACTCCATGTTGGTCAGGCTGATCTTGAACTCCTGACCTTGTGATCCGCCCCCCTCCCCAGGCCTCCCAAAGTGCTGGGATTACAGGCATGAGCCACCACGCCCAGCCCATTTTTCTTTTTTCTTTCTCCTTTCTGCTTCTCATACTAGGTAATTTTAATTATTCTGTCATCAAGTTCACTGATTCTTTCTTCTGCCTGTTCAAACCTGCTGTTAAATCCATTTGAATTTTTTTATTTTAGGTATTGTGCTTTTTAGCATCAGAATTTATATTAAAATACATTTTCTACTTTCTATCTCTTTGTTGATATTCTCTACTTATTCTTACATCATTCTCCTGATTTTCTTTAGTTTTGTCCACAGTTTCTTTTAGTTTTTTGAGCACTTTAAAAGCAGCTGAAATCTTTGTCTATGAAGACCCATGTCTAGGCTTTCTCTTGGTATTTGTAAATTTCTTTTCTTTCACCTATGAATAGGCTTTACTTTATTGTTTCTTTGTATGCTTTGTAATTGTTTTGTTTATTAAGTGACCTTCTAAATAAGTAATGTAATTCTGAAAATAATTGCTATTGTTATTTGTTGCAGGCTCCAGTGGTCCATTAATTTACAGACTTCTCTACACTATTTTATTTCAAGAACTACATTTCTTGTCATACGTTGTCACTGAGGTCACTGTGCCATTATCTCCATGGTCAGCCAGTGATCTGACAGAGATTTAACTTTAATGCCTGTATCCATTAAAAAAAAATGAAAAAATTTGCTCTGTGTCTTTAAATTCCTTGGACTGATGCCTCTGAGGAAGCTGATTCAGTTCATAGAGGTGTAAACAACGGTGCTGGCTTCTCAGTGATCAAAAATAGAGAATAAAATAAGCAAGCCTTATTTTTGGAGGACAAAATGCCTATTGTGCACCCTGGCATCAAGCAGCCATGTGATGAACATGGGACACCATCTTCATGGCTGACTGCCCCACGGGGATGGCAGCAAGTACACAAAAAAGCCAAAATTCACTCAAATTTACCAGCCTCTTTCTTCATCAAGTAGACCCCCAAATGGTACAATGTTTGCCTAGGCTCAAGATTTCTTACATAGTTGATCAAACAGTTCTTGGCAGCTCAATAGTTGTTTTGTAGAGGGACTGATTCCTGGAGCTTCCTATTCTACTATCTTTCATGATGTCATCTCACGTTATCTTTCTTTTTCCTTTGATAACGAAAACCTTATTTTAAATGTTCAATGCCATTCTCATATATCTAGTTGTTTTATTAGCTGTTTTTAATAGTATGAAGTTTGAAAGAAAAAAGACATTTTGCTATTTGTTGAATATTCAATAATTTTATAGAAGCAATTGCTATCTTAATTGCAAAATGCTCTCTTTTACTTTTATTTACCACTGTTTTGATTGCTTCTCAAAAACCTATGAAAAAAAAGTTAATTATACATTATCATGGCCAGAAAAACCTCTAGGTCTTAGTTGTAAAGAAAAAAATAAAAAAGAACAAATTTTATTTTTAAAACTACTCCTGGTCAGAGGTCTTAGATGGATTACACTTCTTGATGATTCAAACAAGCCCTGTAGCTATTCCTGTATTTCTGTTGCTAATTTCAAAAACTTCTCCTAACCAACATGGAGAGATTTACATATGTAAAATTTCTACTGATGGGCATTGGCCTATGTTTTGTTCTTTTTATCTTTTATTTTCAATCATTTGGGTCATATAAATATTGTGTATGTCTACATCTATGCTCTTCATATCATATAAACTGAAAACAGAGAACATTTTAGATCTTAAGAAGTCAACAGTTTTTACATTATTTTAAAGCAGTGAAAACTTTTCTATTCCAGAAAATTTATCTATATATATACATATTTGAATAGTGTGTGTGTGTGTGTGTGTGTGTGTGTGTGTATGTGTAAATGCAAGGATATCTGATTGCAAAAGAGCCCCACCAATTTACTCCCTGTTACCCCAAATTAGCCTCTTTAGGCAATATTTAAGAAACCGCTATGTGCCTTTCTGACAAGGCTAAACAAAATTCACATAACTTATATGGCTTAATATCTACAGGAACAGTTTAGAAAACTAGAAAACGAACACACAAAAAGTGGTAAGGGACTTATTCTCTGAATGTTGGCTATCCTGGTTTTGTTTGCTGTTGTCTTTATTATACTTTTACTTCAGACTGATTAACTAAAATCTACTTTGGGGCACAATGCTAAGTTAGCTGAAATGATGGGAACAATATCCATATGAACAGACATGCTAAATAATGATGCTTTAATGATGGACAATATAAACAATGGTAGTCCCATAATTATAATACCATATATTACTATATATTTTAATGGTTACATAGACAAATACCATTGTGTTACAATTAACTACAGTATCCAGTGCAGTAACATACTGTACATATTAGTAGACTGAGAGGAACAGTCTATACCTTATAGCTTAGTTTTGTAGTAGGCTATACCATCTAGGTGTGTGGAAGTACACTCTGGGATGTTCACACAATGACAAAATTTTGTAAAGCTACATTTCTCAGAATGTATTCTCTTCCATTAGTGATGCATGACTGTGTGTGTATGTGTATGTATGTGTGCATGTATGTACAGCTAATCAAAATATTAGCTTCAGTGGAAGTTTTGTAGAATAAAAACAAGAGAACCAAAGCTAATGTAAGGGAGGAAAACATATGCTTAAATATCTCATCTAATTGAAATACAGCAGATTCTCACAAATGACAGAAACTAGAAAATCATCAGAAACCTAGAACCCAGACTATTTTTTCTTATGTATTTTATTTTCTCTGTCTGCTTCATTTCTCCCATTATCCATAATTTTGTGGGGGTTTTTTTGTTTTCTTTTTCTTTCACAAAGGAAAATCACAAATGGGCCAGATGTAGTGTCTGGTAACTACCCCACTAGGTTTTATCCTCTGCTCCTGCAATGCGTCCCAACCCAATTCCAGATCCCCTCCCCCTCCTCCCCCCAAAAAAACTCTGATTGAACTTGTTCAGATGATGTAACTTCCCCTAGCCAAACAAGTATAAACTAAGGAATTTGCTAAATAAGATAGTTCATTGAAAATTCCTAGTTCAAGGTTTGTTGAAAAATAATGCATCTTTGTTATTATCTTTATTGCCACCATGGTGTGTACACTTATGGTAAAGGACAACCACTCTAACTCTAATTCACATGTTTATTCTAAGGTATATGTGCAATCTCAGTATTCTAAATGATCTGTTATAGGAAAATACAAAAGATATTAGTCCAATACAATACTCCAAAAAGCAAACATGAAAATATGTTCAGAGGAGAAAAATTTCAATAATGATAATATATAGATCATTTCAGTTTCTCAAATGTATGTTAGGATACATTAGAGAAAGGATAATTAGAGCTAGGATAATACGTAATAAATAATATCCATACTCCCTGCAAAATTACATACAGGAGTTCAGTCTTGCTTTATTTTTATTTTCTTATTTCTTGGATTTTGGATTCTGGCTCATTACAGTCTTTTGAAAAGCCTCAGCAGAAGTGTTTATATGTGACCCAAAACAAGATCTGCATATGTTATGTGTCATAGGCAACATGCTATTTAAAAGTTTAGAAATTGCTAATTATTGGAGACGCTCAGATGGTTGAGCCTGAAAAGGAGAGCCAATGCTGCTGCTCAACAAAGCATTGAGGCAGTTTGAACAATTTTGAAGGATAAAACTGAAGGACTCAGAGTATTCTGAGCCTAAGGCTATGGCACGGAGCAGCCACAATATTACCTTGCCTAGAAACCACAAAACAGTTTAAAGTATCGTTGTGGGAATAGAAAAAAAAAGTGCTTAGAAGTATTTGATTTTTAATATTTCTGAGTACACAAAAGATAAAAAGTATTGAAATGCAACATTACCATATCTGAACCTATTTAATGTCTGTATTACAAAATCTCTTTGGGTTTTTATAAGAAAAACAGTGGTGGAAACATCAAGGGAAAATAGTACCACTTTTCCCACATGAGAATATTCTGAGACTTTACAACTGAATATGTTTTTTCATTGTCATTTAGAGACACATAGACATAGGGAGAAAGACTAGCTAATGGCTTGCTTTCAAATTTAATGACATAGTTAATAGACTCACACATAATAAAACAAACTGTGAAGTTTTGTTCTTCTGAATTGCATTTTTGTATCTCATTAATCCATAGGGCTCAGTTGCACTTTCTTTGTATTTGTGGCTTTAGTTTTTTCAATGAGTTTCTGGCACCACAGGCTCTGTCACCTGGGAAGCTTTCTTAAAATGATTGTTGCCTAATAGTCGTCACGGTGAAGTTGTTTACTGCCAATGATTGAAATTAACTGTAGTGCCTGTTTGCCCAAGAGAAACAAAAATTTGAAATGAGAGCCTCAGCACTTCTGATTTCTCATGGAGTCCTTACATCAAACATATTCACAAACAGCTAGTAGAAAGCAATAAACAATTCAAATGACAGTCAAGTTTTAATATGATATATTGCTGTATCCTTTCTGTAAGTCTAACTTAAATAATAACAGCAAGAACATCAAAACCCAACCCTCCTTGTGTTAATATTCAATCTGGTTGGTAATCTTGAGCCTCACAAGGCAGAACAGCTGTTTTAATTTATTTTTTAAATAAGAAAACAATGCTGACATTTTTTCGCATACAGTGAGAAAATTATTATAGAAACCTTGTGCCCATTTACAGTCACTCTGTATTCTCAACCCTCTTCCGAGGTGACCACTAATCTACTTTCTGCCTCTTCAGATTTGCTTTTTCTTGTCAGTTCATACAAGCAAAATTATGTATGTATTCTTTTGTGTCTGGCTTCTTTTATCGAGCATAGTGATCTAAGAATAATTGAAGGCTAATTTATTATTAATATTATTACTGTTCAAATATCTCAAAGAGCCATACTCAATATTGAGTTCAAAGAACATTACAGCCACAGTCCTTCATATATATACATATACAATTTAGTCTATGTGGGAATATAAAATAATGTGTACCATTACAATTTAAAGATAGGGTTTACTTATTTCTTCTCATATTACAAGCCTATACTCATATTTAGTTGGTAATAGACTTGAGTGAAGTGTATTAAACACCAATGAATCCCTAAAAAAATTAGATAATTCTAATTTTTACAGGTTAATACGGGTTAGAATGAGCAGAAATTACATAAGACAATACTTTGAATATTCCCATTACTATAACTCATGTGAAGGTCCTTTCAATTTCTAAAATTCTACATTTTTCCAAAAGGCCTTTCTTTTATTATCAATTTCCCAACTTAGAAAATTTAGAGGGGGGAGGAGCCAAGATGGCCGAATAGGAACAGCTCTGGTCTACAGCTCCCAACGTGAGCAACGCAGAAGACAGGTGATTTCCGCATTTCCATCTGAGGTACTGGGTTCATCTCACTAGGGAGTGCCAGAGAGTGGACGCAGGTCAGTGGGTGCGTGCACCATGCATGAGCTGAAGCAGGGCGAGGAATTGCCTCACTCGGGAAGCGCAAGGGGACAGGGAGTTCCCTTTCCTAGTCAAAGAAAGTGGTGACAGACAGCACATGGAAAATCGAGTCACTCCCACCTGAATATTGCGCTTTTCCGACGGGCTTAAAAAACGGCGCACCAGGAGATTATATCCCGCACCTGTCTCAGAGGGTCCTATGCCCATGGAGTCTCACTGATTGCTAGCACAGCAGTCTGAGATGAAACTGCAAGGCAGCAGCAAGGCTGCGGGAGGGGCCCCCGCCATTGCCCAGGCTCACTTAGGAAAACAAAGCAGCCAGGAAGCTCGAACTGGGTGGAGCTCAACACAGCTCAAAGACGCCTGCCTGCCTCTGTAGGCTCCACCTCTGGGGGCGGGCACAGACAAACAAAAAGACAGCAGTAACCTCTGCAGTCTTAAATGTCCCTGTCTGACAGCTTTGAAGAGAGCAGTGGTTCTCCCAGCACACAGCTGGAGATCTGAGAATGGGCAGACTGCCTCCTCAAGTGGGTCCCCGACCCCTGACCCCTGACCCCTGAGCAGCCTAACTGGGAGGCACCCCCCAGCAGGGGCAGAATGAAACCTCACACGGCCGGGTACTCCAACAGACCTGCAGCTGAGGGTCCTGTCTGTTAGAAGGAAAACTAACAAACAGAAAGGACATCCACACCAAAAACCCATCTGTACATCACCATCATCAAAGACCAAAAGTAGATAAAACCACAAAGATGGGGAAAAAACAGAGCAGAAAAACTGGAAACTCTAAAAAGCAGAGAACCTCTCCTCCTCCAATGGAATGCAGTTCCTCACCAGCAATGGAACAAAGCTGGACGGGGAATGACTTTGACGAGCTGAGAGAAGAAGGCTTCAGATGATCAAATTACTCCTAGCTACGGGAGGACGTTCAAACCAAAGGCAAAGAAGTTGAAAACTTTGAAAAAAAATTTAGAAGAATGTATAACTAGAATCACCAATACAGAGAAGTGCTTAAACGAGCTGATGGAGCTGAAAAACAAGGCTCGAGAACTACGTGAAGAATGCAGAAGCCTAAGGAGCTGATGCGATCAACTGGAAGAAAGGGTATCAGCGATGGAAGATGAAATGAATGAAATGAAGCGAGAAGGGAAGTTTAGAGAAAAAAGAATGAAAAGAAACGAGCAAAGCCTCCAAGAAGTATGGGACTATGTGAAAAGACCAAATCTACGTCTGATTGGTGTACCTGAAAGTGACGGGGAGAATGGAACCAAGTTGAAAAACACTCTGCAGGATATTATCCAGGAGAACTTCTCCAATCTAGCAAGGCAGGCCAACGTTCAGATTCAGGAAATACAGAGAACGCCACAAAGATACTCCTCGAGAAGAGCAACTCCAAGACACATAATTATCAGATTCACCAAAGTTGAAATGAAGGAAAAAATGCTAAGGGCAGCCAGAGAGAAAGGTCGGGTTATCCTCAAAGAGAAGCCCATCAGACTAACAGCAGATCTCTCGGCAGAAACTCTACAAGCCAGAAGAGAGTGGGGGCCAATATTCAACATTCTTAAATAAAAGAATTTTCAACCCAGAATTTCATATCCAGCCAAACTAAGCTTCATAAGTGAAGGAGAAATAAAATACTTTACAGACAAGCAAATGCTGAGAGATTTTGTCATCACCAGGCCTGCCCTAAAAGAGCTCCTGAAGGAAGCGCTAAACATGGCAAGGAACAACCGGTACCAGCCGCTGCAAAATCATGCCAAAATGTAAAGCCCATCGAGACTAGGAAGAAACTGCATCAACTAATGAGCAAAATAACCAGCTAACATCATAATGACAGGATCAAATTCACACAGAACAATATTAACTTTAAATGTCAATGGACTAAATGCTCCAATTAAAAGACACAGACTGGCAAATTGGATAAAGAGTCAAGACCCATCAGTGGGCTGTATTCAGGAAACCCATCTCATGGGCAGAGACACACATAGGCTCAAAATTAAGGGATGGAGGAAGATCTACCAAGCAAATGGAAAACAAAAAAAGGCAGGGGTTGCAATCCTAGTCTCTGATAAAACAGACTTTAAACCAACAAAGATCAAAAGAGACAAAGAAGGCCATTACTTAACGGTAAAGGGATCAATTCAACAAAAAGAGCTAACTATCCTAAATATATATGCACCCAATACAGGAGCACCCAGATTCATAAAGCAAGTCCTGAGTGACCTACAAAGAGACTTAGACTCCCACACAATAATAATGGGAGACTTTAACACCCCACTGTCAACATTAGACAGATCAATGAGACAGAAAGTCAACAAGGATATCCAGGAATTGAACTCAGCTCTGCACCAAGTGTACCTAATAGATATCTACAGAACTCTCCACCCCAAATCAACAGAATACACATTTTTTCAGCACCACACCACACCTATTCCAAAATTGATCACATACTTGGAAGTAAAGCTCTCCTCAGCAAATGTAAAAGAACAGAAATTATAACAAACTATCTCTCAGACCACAGTGCAATCAAACTAGAACTCAGGATTAAGAAACTCACTCAAAACCGCTCAACTACATGGAAACTGAACAACCTGCTCCTGAATGATTACTGGGTACATAACGAAATGAAGGCAAAAATAAAGATGTTCTTTGAAACCAATGAGAACAAAGACACAGCATACCAGAATCTCTGGGACACATGCAAAGCAGTGTGTAGAGGGAAATTTATAGCACTAAATGCCCACAAGAGAAAGCAGGAGAGATCCAAAATTGACACCCTAACATCACAATTAAAAGAACTAGAAAAGCAAGAGCAAACACATTCAAAAGCTAGCAGAAGGCAAGAAATAACTAAAATCAGAGCAGAACTAAAGGAAATAGAGACACAAAAAACCCTTCAAAACATTAACGAATCCGGGAGCTGATTTGTTGAAAGGATCAACAAAATTGATAGACCGCTAGCAAGACTAATAAAGAAAAAAAGAGAGAAGAATCAAATAGATGCAATAAAAAATGATAAAGGGGATATCACCATCGATCCCACAGAAATACAAACTACCATCAGAGAATACTACAAACACCTCTACGCAAATAAACTAGAAAATCTAGAAGAAATGGATAAATTCCTCGACACATACACCCTCCCAAGACTAAACCAGGAAGAAGTTGAATCTCTGAATAGACCAATAACAGGAGCTGAAATTGTGGCAATAATCAATAGCTTACCAAACAAAAAGAGTCCAGGACCAGATGGATTCACAGCCGAATTCTACCAGAGGTACAAGGAGGAACTGGTACCCTTCCTTCTGAAACTATTCCAATCAATAGAAAAAGAAGGAATCCTCCCTGTCTCATTTTATGAGGCCAGCATCATCCTGATACCAAAGCCGGACAGAGACACAACCAAAAAAGAGAATTTTAGACCAATATCCTTGATGAACATGGATGCAAAAATCCTCAATAAAATACTGGCAAACCGAATCCAGCAGCACATCAAAAAGCTTATCCACCACGATCAAGTGGGCTTCATCCCTGGGATGCAAGGCTGGTTCAATATCCGCAAATCAGTAAATGTAATCCAGCATATAAACAGAACCAAAGACAAAAACCACATGATTATCTCAACAGATGCAGAAAAGGCCTTTGACAAAATTCAACAACCCTTCATTCTAAAAACTCTCAATAAATTAGGTATTGATGGGACGTATCTCAAAATAATAAGAGCTATCTATGACAAACCCACAGTTAACATCATACTGAATGGGCAAAAACTGGAAGCATTCCCTTTGAAAACTGGCACAAGACAGGGATGCCCTCTCTCACCACTCCTATTCAACATAGTGTTGGAAGTTCTGGCCAGGGCAATTAGGCAGGAGAAGGAAATAAAGGGTTTTCAATTAGGAAAAGAGGAAGTCAAATTGTCCCTGTTTGCAGACGACATGATTGTATATCTAGAAAACCCCATTGTCTCATCCCAAAATCTCCTTAAGCTGATAAGCAACTTCAGCAAAGTCTCAGGATACAAAATCAATGTACAAAAATCACAAGCATTCTTATACACCAATAACACACAAACAGAGAGCCAAATCATGAGTGAAATCCCATTCACAATTGCTTCAAAGAGAATAAAATACCTAGGAATCCAACTTACAAGGGATGTGAAGGACCTCTTCAAGGAGAACTACAAACCACTGCTCAAGGAAATAAAAGAGGATACAAACAAATGGAAGAACATTCCATGCTCATGGGTAGGAAGAATCAATATTGTGAAAATGGCCATACTGCCCAAGGTAATTCATAGGTTCAATGCCATCCCCATCAAGCTACCAATGACTTTCTTCACAGAATTGGAAAAAACTACTTTTAAAGTTCATATGGAGCCAAAAAAGAGCCCGCATCACCAAGTCAATCCTGAGCCAAAAGAACAAAGCTGGAGGCATCATGCTACCTGACTTCAAACTATACTACAAGGCTACAGTAACCAAAACAGTATGGTACTGGTACCAAAACAGAGATATAGATCAGTGGAACAGAACAGAGCCCTCAGAAACAACGCCGCATATCTACAACTATCTGATCTTTGAAAAACCTGAGAAAAACAAGCAATGGGGAAAGGATTCCATATTTAATAAATGGTGCTGGGAAAACTGGCTAGCCATATGTAGAAAGCTGAAACTGGATCCTTTCCTTACACCTTATACAAAAATCAATTCAAGATGGATTAAAGACTTAAACTTTAGACCTAAAACCATAAAAACCCTAGAAGAAAACCTAGGCATTACCATTCAGGACATAGGCCTGGGCAAGGACTTCATGTCTAAAACACCAAAAGCAATGGCAACAAAAGACAAAATTGACAAATGGGATCTAATTAAACTAAAGAGCTTCTGCACAGCAAAAGAAACTATCATCAGAGTGAACAGGCAACCTACAAAATGGGAGAAAATTTTCACAACCTACTCATCTGACAAAGCGCTAATATCCAGAATCTACAATGAACTCAAACAAATTTACCAGAAAAAAACAAACAACCCCATCAACAAGTGGGTGAAGGACATGAACAGACACTTCTCAAAAGAAGACATTTATGCAGCCAAAAAACACGAAAAAATGCTCACCATCACTGGCCATCAGAGAAATGCAAATCAAAACCACAATGAGATACCATCTCACACCAGTTAGAATGGCAATCATTAAAAAGTGAGGAAACAACAGGTGCTGGAGAGGATGTGGAGAAATAGGAACACTTTTACACTGTTGGTGGGACTGTAAACTAGTTCAACCATTGTGGAAGTCAGTGTGGCGATTCCTCAGGGATCTAGAACTAGAAATACCATTTGACCCAGCCATCCCATTACTGGGTATATACCCAAAGGACTATAAATCATGCTGCTATAAAGACACATGCACACGTATGTTTATTGCACATTATTCACAATAGCAAAGACTTGAAACCAACCCAAATATCCAACAACGATAGACTGGATTAAGAAAATGTGGCACATATCCACCATGGAATACTATGCAGCCATAAAAAATGATGAGTTCATGTCCTTTGTAGGGACATGGATGAAACTGGAAATCATCATTCTCAGTAAACTATCACAAGAACAAAAAACCAAACACCGCATATTCTCACTAATAGGTGGGAATTGAACAATGAGAACACATGGACACAGGAAGGGGAACATCACACTCTGGGTACTGTTGTGGGGTTGGGGGAGGGGGGAGGGATAGCATTGGGAGAGATACCTAATGCTAGATGACGAGTTAGTGGGTGAGCGCACCAGCATGGCACATGTATACATATGTAACTAACCTGCACATTGTGCACATGTATCCTAAAACTTAAAGTATAATAAAAAAAAATTTAGAAGGATATACTTGAATAATGACAGCTTATAATCAAAATTTCATGAATTTATTTGAAATGTAGTTGCATGGGATTGAAAATATGTAGGGAATGGTATTGAAAATTGACCTTTATAGTCATGGAATCTGAAAAAAGGACACATTTGTTTTTAGGCAAAAATATTGGTTAGTTGTTTTTCATAAAAAAATGTGTATAAATCTCAGTTCCTTCTAATTCTCCATTTGTAACACTTCAATTATATGGAGGTTGTATTTCTGATAATTACTGACAAAAATAATCATTATTAAATATAAAAAGATAAAAAATTACTGACAAGAAAAAAAATCAATGGAAAACAAAATATAAGAGAGATTTAAAACAAATTTATTTTTAAAATAAAAAAATCTGCTAAATGCATAAAGAAACACAAAATAATAAACAGAAATGCCTAGAAGTTTTATATTTCAGGTCTGTCTTAGTCCAGGCTGCTATAACAGAGTACCACACACTGGGTCAATTATAATGAACAGAAACGTATTGGTTCACAGTTCTGGAGGCTGGGAAGTGTAATATCAAGGTGCCAGCATCTAGCAAGTGCCTTCTTACCATGTTTTAATATGGTGGGAAGCATCACATGGCAAAGGGCAAAAAGAGTGCCACAGAGATAGCAAGAGGAGGTGAACCTGCACTCACAAAAAGGAAGCCACTCTCTTCATAGTGCTATTAGTCCATTCATGCAGGCAAAGTTCTCATACCTAAACACATTTTGAAGGTCCTGTCCCTCAATACCATTAAAATGGCAATTAAACTTCAGCATGAATTTTGGCCAGTACAAGCAGTCAAACCATAGAAAGGTTCTAAAGCAAACAGAGGTAGCCAAATGCTAGATTCCTTTTTTAAAATATGCCCTCACCTAACAGAAGAAAATGGACTGCCCATGGCTTACTGATGTGCTTATTAATGTAACAGGATCCGTAGGGTGTCAGTTCACCAGCTGGAAACCTCTTAGGTCCGCAGTGCCTCTGCCTGGGTTTTGCTCCTGCCCTTTGGGCTTGTTCTACCCACTCGGCCCAGCAGGCTGTGCTCAGCTCATGCTACCAGCTTGGATCCTACACCTGCCGATGGCGAGCCAGGCACTGAATAGCGAGAGGTGTATGAGCGAGCAAGCATGGAGTCCGGCCAATGCACACAGCCAGGCACAATGGCTGCTGTAGTGGGGAGGCAGCTCTAGCCACTGGCACAGGCATTGGCTCCATGCGAGGCTGCAGCTGGACCAGATCTGCTGCAAGCAGCTTCCACTATGGGCACTGGTGTGTGGATGAGGGGAATGTGGTGGTTCCAGAAAGCTTAGAGATGCCAGGAACTGCAGAGTCCCAAAGAGGGGGTTAGAGTGTGTCATAGCCCTGGCTTGGGGAGCTCCGAGGTCTGAGCTCCCAGAAGGTGGCCACAGCTCTTCTCCCCTTCTCGTCACCTGCAGCATGGTGAGCGGGGACTAAGGTGTGTTTCGGTGGGGCATGTTTCAGCCCATTTGTGTTACAGCTCTTTTAGTTCCACTGCCCTGCTCTGGCTCATGGCTCCTAGGCTGGCCCTGCCTTGCTGCTGCTTTCTATTGCGTGGGGCAGCTGCCCCGTGCTGGCAGAGGGCGGGAGGGCTATAGTGTTCCAGCAGCTGTGGCTTGGGGAAATCTCGAAGTCTGGGCCCCCAGAAGCGTTGCTGCTCTTCACCCTTGCAGTCCAGGAGCGTGTCACCACCCAAAATTTGCTGAGCTGGCCAGGAACGTGTAACGGTTCCTTTAGTTCCTGCCGTTTGGCAGGTCCCGAGTTCTTGTCCGGAGTCCAGGAAAAATGAGGTTACATAGACAACTGGAGGGTGAGCAAGGCAGAAAGGAGCTTTACTGACTGACAGAACAGCTCCCAGCAGAGACTAGACCTGCAATTGGTAGTTTGTATCCACAGGCAGGTCGCTCCAAGGAGAGTATGAGTGTGGTTAAGTCTGGGGTTTTTAAGGGCTCAGAAAGGAGGAAGTGCATGCTGATTGGTCCATGGGTGGCCCTGGGTGGTCCTGATAAAAGCACTACTCAATTGGCTGAAAGATATCCAGAAAGTTGTCACTCTGGGTCACAGACTTCACCCTGAATTTTCTGCCCAGTCTCCATGCTTCAGGTCTCCCTGGCTTGAAGGCTGGGTTTCACCAGGGACCTGCTCCTTCCCTCCTGCTCCTTCCCTCCTAGGCTGCCTCCCACAGCCATTATCATGCTGTCCACAATGCCCAGGTTGTCAGCACCAAGGGGCATCTGCAGGCCCACACTGAGCTGCCTTCAGCCCCCTGGCCTCCCTCCTGTGCTCAATGATGCCCAAAGTCTGGAGGGGACCAAGGCAGCATGGATGGGGCTGGCATGTCAGCACCACCCCAAGTATGCGCACACCGGTCCAGGTTGCAACAGCACCCGGGCTCGACCACAACCTTGCTCTGCACTGGAGCAGGTGCACAGAGTGAGAAGAGACCAGGAAGCAGCAGGCACTTGTGAGCATGTGGGGGCAGGGGGCTTCTTGGGCCCCCAAGAGTACAGGGATGCCTGGGTCCGGAGACACAGCTGGGTGGTTGCAGCTGTGCCCAGGAGCACGGGTTCCCGCACTGCCAGATTGGTAGGCACGGTGTTCCTGCTTGGATCAACTATTCCTGGACCCCGCTTGCTCCATGGGGCTTGAAGCCCCGCCACATCTCCCCTACTGAAGCTGGCAGCCGCCCCAGATGGGCTGTCACCGCCATCTAGACATTAAAACAGACAGAACTAGGCAGCCACAGCTGAATAAGAGAATGAGCATATATTCTGTATTCTCAGAAAAATGTAGAGATGTTACAGGACCTCCCTTGGGACAAGCCAAACTAGTTCCTGTTTTCTGTGCCAAGATAGACGGCAGCTGGAAATTCCCCAACTGACCACCAACAGACCACCTGAAGCCAGCCAGTAAATATAATTGTGAGTCTTGTTTAAAGGCCATCCAATCCAACCTAGCAACTGATTCCCTCATTCTATGGTTTTTGCATTTATAATCTTCTACTTTCCTACTCCTGCTCAGGGCACACTTAAAAGACTGCATCCTCCCAATCTGTAGATTGCTTTTAGAAAACAAAATTTCCCTTTTGTCTCTGCACATCTCAGGTATTTTATTAACATTTCATGGTGACAAGGATTGGATCTGAAGCAGCACCAAGCTCATTCCCAATGCCAACCAGACCAATACATTGACCCCTATGTGAGCTCTTTATGTTCAGTTGTTTCCCTGCTGTGTTGGGGAGGAATCAGGTAGACCCTCTCAGATCCAAGATCTGTTTTAAGCTGAGGTCTCAGCGACTTTATTTTCTTCAGACAGCCTTCCCATCTGGCTCCACAGGGTACCCATTTATGGACTACACTTGCACTTTGCAGGGTTTGCTCACCCTTTTGGGGGTACACTCAGGCTTTGTGGGGTAAGCTAGTCAAAACTTCAGTTTTGTGAGGATGCTCACACTTTGTTTGGACTTGAAGGGACATCTACATAAGTTGAGTGCTATGGGTAACCTGGGTTCTAAGGGAAAGGTCTCTAACCAGCTGCCATTTCGGTGGCTCAGTCTCTGACCAACCACCATCAGGTACTCTGGCAGTTTTTAAAATGTAAAACTTTAAAATCAAATTAAAACAAAGAGGAGTCTGCACCTCTCAAAGATAATAAGGGGATTTCAGCACTTCTGAAAGCTCCAGTTACAACTGGGAATCTGTCCAAGTTTTTTTTTGTTGGTTTGTTTTTGTTTTTGTTTTTGTTCTTTTTGAGACGGAGTCTTGCTCTGTCACCCAGGCTGGGGTACAGCCGTGTGATCTCACCTCACTGCAAGCTCTGCCTCCTGGGTTCACACCATTCTCCTGCCTCAGCCTCCTGAGTAGCTGGGACTACAGGTGGCCACCACCACGCCCGGCTAATTTTTTGTATTTTTAGTAGAGATGAGGTTTCACCGCGTTAGCCAGGATGGTCTCGATCTCCCGACCTCGTGATCTGCCTGCCTCGGCCTCCCAAAGTGCCAGGATTACAGGTGTGAGCCACCAAGCCTGGCCTCTGTCCAAGTTTTTAAAGGAGACTAATCTAAAGACAAATAATATCTCCAAATACTTGAAAGGCTCCCAGACACTAAGATGGAGAGCCCTATACCTCCCTGCCCCACCCACACCCTGCATTCCACTTCCACTTTTTTCTTCTCACCACCATCTTCATCATCTGGAACACTGTGGGAACTCAATGCCCCAGTTACAGCATAGGCCCTTTGAGCCCTTCTGACTCCTCCATGGTTGCAAACAACTGGGTGAGTCTTTCCTCGATTTCAGACCTCCCACTTCTTTGATGGTCCTGAGTTTTATTCAACTACTTGCTCTCCTTGGCAAAAGGGTAAGTTTTCCTTGTGATGTTTTGTTTTCTAAGAAGGGTATAATTGCTCTGTGGTTCTCCCCCATAAGCACATTAATACATTTATATGCTATTTCCCCCATAAATCTTCTTTGTGAGTTGGATTTTTCATTGAATATTCAGAGAGCAAGGGGGAAGCTTTCCCTTGGCCTTTACAGTTTTGGCACTGTAATCAGGATGAACAAAGCCACTCCATTTTTCTTAAAGCCACAGTGAAGGGAACTCAGGACCTGACAAGCCAGCAGAAGATTAAGATTCTCTTACTAGTCAGGCTCCCAGACTCTTAATACTCTGGGATCTAGTCAAGCAGAAGGTAAAAGTCA
The DNA here is from genome assembly GCF_000001405.40 of Homo sapiens. Taxonomy (NCBI): domain Eukaryota; kingdom Metazoa; phylum Chordata; class Mammalia; order Primates; family Hominidae; genus Homo; species Homo sapiens. The sequence goes on along the minus strand of NC_000001.11, from coordinate 104,930,406 downwards.
GTATGTCTTCTCTACAGTATCTTAATTAGTGGGAGAAAAGGATTGGTGTGAATAATCATGGGTATAGCAGCACTTGTGTTTTTTAGTAAGTTTTGTTATGAATATTCATATTGTTTAATCCATTTGAATCTCAGACATAGTCTATCCCATTGTCTTTGTCTTCCTGTTTTGTCCTATCATAATGAGGTATACCACAGCATAGAACATGAGAGGACAACTATTATAAGACCATTTTTCAAGCCAGCCCTGAAGAATGATCAGTTTGCAGACTTGATCAGACTGGTGTACAAACTTTGCCTTGGGTCCTCAAAAAAAAATTAGATGAGGTTCTTCTCTTTTCTTATGTCCTTGAGGGCTTGACTTGTGGCCAAGTAGGAGCACTTTCTTTCAATGTCTGCCATCGGGGGAGGGAATTATTTTCAGGTTATGTCAGGTGGCCAGTCTGAAAATGGCTGGGAAGCCAGGGCATGTAAGATTTTAAGCAACATGCTTTTGTTCTGAACGTGTCATGCTTTGGGGGCAGCCTGTCCTAAGAAACCCCATCCCTGAGGGCTTTTGTCATCTCAACGTTTTTTGCCCAGTTAGTCCTGGGAAAGTCCAATCCCAAAAGGACCTACATGGTGTCACAGATTAGTGGATCTGTGACTGGCAGCCCCAACCCCCCTTTCGGGTTGCAAGAGGTAATATAGTTTGAATATTTGTCCCCCCATCCACCCACCCAACACTCTCTTGTTTCCGCTTTCACAAAGTGATGTGCCTGGTCCTTTTTTGTCTTCCAACATGATTATAAGCCTCCTGAGGCCTCACCAGAAGGAGATGCCAATGCTTCCTGTACAGCCTGCAGAACCATGAGCCAATTCAACCTCTTTTCTTACAAATTACTCAGCCTTAGACATTTCTTTATAGCAATGCAAGAATGGACTAGTACAAGAGGTAATGTATGCATAAATGCCATTCTTAACCATGTGTGCCAACAGGAAATACCTTATCTCAACTGGCAAGAACTTATTCTAAAACTGGAAAATTACATCCTGGGCTTTTCATGAAGAAAGTATTGGAGTCTTCATTGAAATAAATATACCATTGAAAATTCCATTGTCAATGGCTAGAAGATTCTTTAAATTAGACTCTTAATAAAAAGATTTTAGAGCTCTCTCATAGTAAACAGTTCATTTATTTGTATTTATATAAAGTCTAAGTTGAATAAAAGGCACATAAATGTTACAGCTTGCCCTAGAAATTGTCTTGGCAAAATTAAAGAGCAAAAGTTTGACCTAAAACAAAGTTAAAATCTTTTGTATGCTTAAACTCCTTGCCTTGTATTCTCTACAGGATTTATTAGAAAGCACTCCATCCTATAGTCTAGTCACTAAGATTCTCTACTCTTATTGCTGTGGTCTTAGTTTGAGTCTCCATCAGGGTACCGATCCTATTTATTTTAAATTATTTGCATGACCCTTAAACTTTTGGGGTATCCATTTGTTTTTCTTTTCCCTTCTGTGGACAGCTTTTGATTTCTTATCTTTTACTTTCTGTAAGGCATGTGGGGACTTGGGGCCTTTATGATTGGACACTCAGCTGAGAAGCTGAGATGCCAGAAAATATGGTTGGACAGAAACGTGGGTTAGAATCCATCTGTGGAAGAAGAATTTTATTTCTTTGAACTGCCTTTAGGGTGGTTCTGGATCTTGTGAGGACTGTTTTGCACATCTTTAGAGATGACTAGTTTGCCATAACCTTAGTTGAGGCTTATTAATTTTCATGAATCACTTGAAAAGGTATTTTTGGTTTAAAAGAAAAAAGCCAAAGAAAGTGTTTGTAAAAGGCCCTCAGGTAAAGTAGTCGTGCTTAGTTTTCAGAGCTATTCATGCTAAGTTGAGGCATGAAAAATACCTTTGCTACAGTCAAATAAAACCAGTGAACCAGTTCCTGTTGTCCACGCTGAGATAGACTGTAGCTGGAAATTTTTCAAATGAACACCAACAAATCACCTGAGGTCAGCCAATAAAAAGAGACTTATAATGTCTCTCACAAAAACCATCCAACCCAGTCCTAGTACCTGATTCCCCTCCACATACCCATCCATCCTGTAGTTTTTGCCTTTATAATAATCTACTTTCCAACCCCTCCTCAGAGCACACAGTTTTTGCACTGAAGGCTATGACTTATTTCCAATCTGTAGATTGCTTTTGAAAAATAAAATTTTCCTTTTGTCTCCATTGTCTTTTCTTAACACCTTTATGATAAAAACAACAAGAAATGGTTAACATATTATGGAGGCTTACTGAAAGAAATTGTAACAAGACTTCTTACCAATGAAAGGAGGCTGAATAAAGCTGTGACCATTGCCCCAGATTATGGGGTATATAATACTGCCGTTAGAGAGAGTGAAATAAACCAGATTGAATGTCAAAACAGGAACTCAAATATTCCTAATAGTTTTCAGGCGTTCTGGATCTCTCCGCAAGACACTGAACATGTTGCAGTGATGAGTAGATCAAACTGTCGAAGAACTTGATAGGATGGAAATGCCTTGCTTATTCTGTAGCAGTGTGTGAATGTAAAATAAGACAAAATAGTTTGGGACTTAGCACCAAGGAGGTACTCAGTATCTGTGTGATTGGTATCAGGAGTCACCTGAGCTGGGAGAGAGCTGAGCTGCCAAATATTAGAATAGCCAATCAAAGCAACAAGCCAATTAATGACTTACTGCAATGTGACAGGCAAGAATTTAAAACTGAAAAAATGCCAACTCCGCTGTCCCATTTCCTTCCTGGAATGTGAGGCTGGTCCAGGGTCAGGTGGGTCAGCACAGACACGGAGGCTGCCTCACTTTTGAGGAAGTCTCAACAAAAGACTCCAGCAGTTCTATGGAATCTGAGTTGAGGGTAGAGTAAGAGGGAGATATAGGAGTAGAAAAGTACTAAGTACTGGGGAAAGTGTCCTCAAGGTTTCCTCCCTCCTCCTCCTATTAACAGACTTTGGGAGATACCTGAAAATATTTTTGTGCAAGGCCTCAGATAAAGAGACCTAGAAATGAAGGAGGCATGTAAACATGTGAAAGAGCATGACCTACCAGGGGGTTCAGAGTCCTTGACTGCAACTCCTTTCAGAGATTATAGTGCACTGGCTGTTTATCCCAGCTGGTTAGGGAGGGCAGGGTTTCCTGAGGAGAGACCCTGCAGTAAAGCCTTCATCATTGCCTAATGTCAGGCCTGAAAAATCACGCCTAGGTTTTTGTTGTTGGCGTTGTTGTTTTTTTTAACTTTTATTTTATTTTAGGTGAGATACCATCTCATACCAGTCAGAATGGCTATGATTAAAAAGTCAAAAAAATAACAGATACTGGCGAGGTTGTGGAGAAAAGGGAAGAAAAAGGACACTTATACACTGTTGGTGGGAATGTAACTTAGTTCAACCTTTGTGGAAAGAGTGTGGTGATTCCTCAAAAACCTAAAAACAGCACTACCATTCAACCCAGCAATCCCATTACTGGGTATATACCCAGAGGAATATAAATTGTTCTGTCTTAAAGACAAATGCACGTGTATGTTCACTGCAGCACTATTCACAATAGCAAAGACATGGAATAAACCTAAATGTCCATCAATGGTAGACTGGATGAAGAAAATATGGCACATATACACACCAAGATTTTTAACCAGAAGCCAGATTGCTCAATTATATAAGGAGGATGGGAAAATCTTAATAATGCTAGCTTTTACCTGTGGAATAAAATAGTTACTCTTGTAGGTAATAGGAGCATGCAAGGTGTGCTCTTGCAAGGTAGGATAATAAAATAATCCATTGGATTAAGTTTTTAAAGGACTCATAATGCTGTCTCATTATATATAAATTCGGTAGTTATATAATGAAAAGGGAACATCAAAATGTGGAGGCAGCACATGTATTTTAAATCTCAAAATCAAGAAGACTGTGAATATATAAGTAAAAAAATGATATGGTGGCAGGAATAATAGGAAGATAGGAGGTAAGCTATTTATTATTATAAGGTTACTAATGTGTTGTGGGTTTATGGAAGAGATAAATATGTGGAATAAGTCATAATCAGAGAGTATAGGACATGGAATGAATTTGCAGAGAAAGTAAATAAAATAGAACAAGCTCATTAGAGAAGAGAGTCTAAAGGAGAGAAATGATACTTTTCTGTCTAAGATGGAAGAGATGAAGCAAGAGGGAGAAAGAGAAAACTGAGTGAAAGATGTATCCAGTGGCCTCATATTTTTTGAAATAATAAATACTATTTGCAAAAATAAAGGAAGCATGTTGGAGATGCAAGGCTAAGGAGATTTAACAACAACGTTAAGAGGATTACTTCAGGAAATGGGATTGACAATCAATTATAGACAAATAGGATTATTGATCATCAATTGGGAAAAAGTGAGACTCACATATACTATTAATGCATTGCATATAGAAATTATAAAAGTGGAATTTTTATTAAAAGCTGGGGCAGAGGCCTGGCGCAGTGGCTCATGCCTGTATTCCCAGCACTTTGGGAGGCCGAGGCGGGCGGATTACGATGTCAGGAGATCGAGACCATCCTGGCTAACATGGTGAAACCCCATCTCTACTAAAAATACAAAAAAAAAAAAAAATTAGCCAGGCGTGGTGGCGGGCACCTGTAGTCCCAGCTACTCGGGAGGCTGAGGCAGGAGAATGGTGTGAACCTGGGAGCGGGAACTTGCAGTGAGCAGAGATAGCACCACTGCACTCCAGCCTGGGTGACCGAGGGAGACTACCATCTTAAAAAAAAAAAAAAAATCTGGGGCAGAGAGTAGGATACAGTTTTGAGACTTTCCCAAAATAGCACTGAAATCAAAAAATTTTCATTTTTGTAATATATGAGAAAGTATGCATATTTGAAATAAAAGAATAAAGTCAAATTATTTTGCATACAAGGCAATTTTTCTTTAAGTTTAGGGTTTCTTCAGAAAAGTTGTATTTTCTTTATATACATAGAAATGTGCAATCATTTAGAACAAAAATAAACCTATTTTTTATTTTATGTAGATTCAGTCATCTATTGAATATTTGTATGTTTGTTTATGTATTTTATGCACTTCGAACATTTATTTCTCTGAGGATGTTACAAGGATGGTTTGTTAAAAATGTGAATTTTTGAATGCTAATAATAGCAAACATTTACTGTGGTTACAATGTGCCTTATGATGCAGTTACTTTTTTTGTTCCCATTATAAATCTGGAAAAACGGAGGTTTAGAGTGTGTTTATGCCATATGCTAGTAATTATAATTCTGACTTCATCAGGAGTTTTGTTTTTATTATTCAGTCAGCTCACAAATGTTCGAGAAAAATATATGTAGTTTACTTTTAAATCTCTTTTTCTCAGTGTAACAAAACTGAAATGGTACATGTGGGACTCAAATTAAGAGCCATTTTCCTCTCTTTGTATTTTTAACAAACATAATAGTTTCCTCTTATGTGGCAATAGTCTTTGTACTACATTGTAGCTTTTTGCATAATTGCTGATTCCCTTCTTTTTTTTTCCCACAGGACATTTCACCCACAACTATAAACTGGGCAGAGAATGGGAGAAGAGCATGAGGAATCATATAACAGCAATGGATGCCAAAGAAAAATAATCCTCTGCAGAGATTTATGGTGGGCACCAAAACCAGCACAATGGGGGAACTCATTTATTCATTTATTCCTTCTTGACTACTCCTTAGATATATACTGAGCCTCATCTTGAAGGTCAGAAAAGTGTAGAAAGTGACTAAGACTGAACTTATTCCAGATGCTTCTCAAAATATTTAAAGCAGTACATGTCTATCAATTGCTTTCTTCTAATGTTCAGGCAATTTTTCTATATAATCAACTTTTAAAGAAAAAAATATATATAAGTTTTTTTAAAAAACTGAAGAGAAGAGAGTGTTACAAGAGGTGTCACGTCTAGATAAACACAGCATGCTAGTGTTTTGGTAAAAATAAATGTCATTAAAAGAGAAAATAATTTGCTGCAGAACACTGAGTGTTGCAATTCTATTAAACAAGGTTTTCCCTGTTTCCTTAAAGTGTCATAAAATAATTTGGATGCTTCCAATCTTAAAAGATTTGTATGCTATCTCATAAGAAAGAATCATGTGCATTGTTTCTTTAAAAGATATATATCTTCATCCTACATTTGTAGAGAAAAATGTTCATAGTTAACACAGTGTTTTATAATTTTCTCTACATAGAGGAGAGGATAAAGTCTAGTGAAACTCAACAAGTACAAAACAAAGAAAATCCTCAAACAGCTCCTAAATAATTCTTTGTAGGTTTTATTTATTTTTATTGACAAATAATAATTGTATATATTTATGAGGTACAATGTGTTTTATTATATGTATATGCTGTAGAATGATTACATCAAGCTAATTAACATATCCATCACCTGACCAACTTTTTTTGTAGCAAGAACATTTAACATTCATTATGTTAGCAATCGTGAAATACAATCTCACTTATGTCTGGGATCTAAAAATGTCAATTTCATAGAAACAGACTAGAAAGGTGATTACCAGAGGTTGAGAGGTGAGTGTGGAAATAGGGGAAGAGTAGATGTTGATCAAATGGTGCAGATTTCAGTGATATGAGAAGAATTAATTTTTTTGTTTTGTTTTGTTTTGTTTGTAGGGGGAACAGGGTCTCGCTGACTTACTGTTGCCCAGATTGGAGTGCACTGGAGCAATCATAGCTCACTGCAGCCTCAAACTCCTGGGCTCAAGTGATCCTCCCACCTCACCCTCTGGAATAGCTGGGACTACAGGCATGCACCACCACCATGCGTGCTAATTTTTGTATTTTTGGCAGACGAGGTTTTGCCATGTTGCCTAGGATGGTCTCAAACTCCTGGGCTCAAGAGGTCTACCCAACTCCCTCTTTCAAAGTTCTGTGATTATAGGTGTGAGTCACAGCACCCGACCAATTTTAATGATCTATTACACTGCATGGAGACCACAATTAACATTTGCAGACTTTACATAGTTCACGTTAAGTTTGAGAAATCTGGCTCCTGGTTAAAAAATCTACAGATGATTTCTTACGTCTGGCCATAAACAATTACAAAGGCTTTATTTAACTGACAGGCCTGATGGGGAAAACCCGTCTTCACATCCCCATACCAGACACGGTGAACAGATGATACCTTCCAGTGTCAAAGGGGAGCTGCAGTCAAACACTCAAGCCCCTCTGTGTGTCTGCCTTACACATATTCGCACTTTCAGCCCAGACACTTCCAGCCCTAGGTATCTTTATTTGGGGTCTCCAGAGACCTTTTTATAAAATTCGAGTAAGGAAGGGGAAAAGTTGAAGATACTTTTCCTCACTCTAACTCAGTACTTTTCTACTCTTTGCCCTTTGCTTTTCTCTCATCCCGTCCCAGGTCCATAAAACTGCAGGATTTTTTTTGTGGGGGAGCTCCCTGGGCGTTGAGATGACCCCCGTGTCTGTGCTGAGCCCCCTGACCTTCAACTGGTGTCCTTGGGGAGAAAATGGAATAGGGGTGGGGCTGGGGGTTCAGCATAATCTCTGGTATTAGCCTTCTGCTTATACTATCTCAATCAGAAATTAAAGGTCTGTTTGTTACTTTTATTTTGGGTTTGTTGCTTTGATTGGCTACTTGAGCATCTGAGATTTCAGCTCTCCTCAGCTCAGCGGAGCTCCTGACACAGTTACATAAGTTTTCTTCAGAGTTTTCAAAAAATAATTCTTAGTGTGTTAGTCACTCATTTAGATTCTGTCTCTTCACTTAGCAGATATTTAAGGAGCAAACCCACCGCCCTGCAGTATGCTAAGGTGCTAAGTTGTGTGCTGCAAAACAGGAGAAACCAACATTGTTACCCTTGAGGAAGTGTAGAAAGTGGAGAAAAGACTTCACAAAGGAGGAGATGCTTACTAACCCCATAGAAATTTAAAATAAATTATAATGGAGAAGTAAAGTCAGAAATGTAATGAAGGGGAATGCAGTGTTATCCCACAATCAGAATTGGGATACTTAGCCCAGAGAATGTGTTACTTGTACACAAAATAGGTGATGGCTTACCAGGCTAAAAAAGTCACATCACACTATCTCCATGTTCTGACATGGAGAGAAGAGTATCTGGGCAAAGAGTGAACTGATTGTAGAAGGCTTGCTTAGATAGAGAAGTCTTGGAAAAAAATGGGCAAGGGAGCTGGCACTAGACCCCAGTATTTTAAGAACAGTCAGGATGCAACAGGAAAAACATGGGAGGCAGGCATCCATGGGGAAGAGACAGAAACCAAAGGAAATTCAATGCCCTACCATTTTAGTAGGTCTTGCATTGTTTGCAGCAAAGAAAATGCATGAAAAATGTCAGTTATTACAGAGCTGAAATCTGAAAAGCTGCACTATTCTCATAGCAGTTAAATATTCAGTGTTAAGTTTGCTTATATGCTACATACAAACGTGTATTATGTATCTATATGTGTATATACATATACATATTTAATATGTGCATATACATAAATATTTATGTACATTTGATGTATGTATATACATATACATAAGTATTTAATTATGAGTAGTCATAGGCTTACAATGAGATCCACTCAAAATAGCAGTATCATACTGGTGCTTGTTTTCCTATAAAGCAAATCTCTAATTGATGAGTCATAACTGACTGAAATTCTCAGACTATTGTGATCCAAGGAAATTTTCTGGAGTTATGTGTTTGAAGGCTTATGTTGCCAATATTTATAACTCCTGTAACATCTGCTGTATTTCAGCTCTCCCAGACACACTGTCAAAATAATGAGATGGTGAAAATGTGAATACATCTCAATGTTCAAGACCCAAATCTGGCAATTCAGCTTTGCACATGTCAAAGGGAAGATAGGTCTATGGGATGATTTTGATTTGGCAGAAATCTCCTACCTGCTTATCTATCACAATTTAAAAAATACAAGTCCACTCTACGATATTTAAAACTTCTAGGTCATAGAACACAATTTGAGCATATTCGTGGACTCTAAATAAATATCTACAATTTTATTTAATTGCCAATGCACCTTTTTAAAAATTTAATTTTTATTTACTTTTTTTATTATACATTAAGTTCCGGGATACATGTGCAGAACGTGAAGGTTTGTTACATAGGTATACACGTGCCATGGTGGTTTGCTGCACCCATCAACCCGTCACCTACAATAGGTATTTCTCCTAATGCTATCACTCCCCTAGCCCCCCATTCCTGGACCAGCCCTGGTGTGTGATGTTCCCCTCCCTATGTCCATGTGTTCTCATTGTTCAACTCCCACTTAGGAGTGAGAACATGCAGTGTTTGGTTTTCTGTTCCTGTGTTAGTTTGCTGAGAATGATGGTTTCCAGCTTCATCCATGTCCCTGAAAAGGACATGAACTCATCCTTTTTTACGCCACATTTTCTTTATCCAGTCAAGCATTGATAGGCATTTGGGTTGGTTCCAAGTTTTTGCTATTGTGAATAGTGCTACAATAAACATAGATGTGCATGTGTCTTTATAGTAGAATGATGTATAATCCCTTGGGTATATACCCAGTAATGGGATTGCTGGGTCAAATGGTATTTCTAGTTCTAGATACTTAAGGAATTTCCACACTGTCTTCCACAATGGTCGAACTAATTTACCCTCCCACCAACAGTGTAAAAGTGTTCCTATTTCTCCACATCCTCTCCAGCATCTGTTGTTTCCTGAGTTTTAATGAGCACCATTCTAACTGGTGTTAGATGGTATCTCATTGTGGTTTTGATTTGCATTTCTGTAATGACCAGTGATGACTAATGTTTATTGGCTGCATAAATGTCTTCTTTTGGGAAGTGTCTGTTCATATACTTCACCCACTTTTTGATGGGGTTGTTTTTTTCTTGTAAGTTTGTTTAATTTCCTTGTAGATTCTGGATATTAGCCCTTTGTCAGATGGATAGATGGCAAAAATTTTCTCCCATTCTGTAGGTTGCCTGTTCACTCCAATGGTAATTTCTTTTGCTGTGCAGAAAGCACAACAATTAACTCTAAAATTTAGTTTAATTAGATCCCATTTGTCAATTTGGCTTTTGTTGCCATTACTTTTGGTGTTTTAGACATGAAGTCTTTGCCCATGCCTATGTCCTGAATGGTATTGCCTAGGTTTTCTTCTAGGGTTTTTATGGTTTTAGGTCTTACATTTAAGTATGTACGCCATCTTGTGTTAATTTTTGTATAAGGCGTAAGGAAGGGATCCAGTTTCAGTTTTCTGCATATGGCTATCCAGTTTTCCAAACACCATTTATTAAATAGGGAATCCTTTTCCCGTTGCTTGTTTTTGTCAGGTTTGTCAAAGATCAGTTGGTTGTAGATGTGTGGCATTACATCTGAGGTCTCTGTTCTGTTGCATTGGTCTATATATCTGTTTTGGTACCAGTACCTGATGTTTTGGTTACTGTAGCCTTGTAGCATAGTTTGAAGTCAGGTAGCATGATGCCTCCAGCTTTGTTCTTTTTGTTTAGGATTGTTTGGCTATACGGGCTTTTTGTTTCCATATGAAATTTAAAGTAGTTTTTTCTAATTCTATGAAGAAAGTCAATGGTAGCTTGATGGGGATAGCATTGAAACTATAAATTACTTTGGGCAGTATGGTCATTTTCACGATAATGATTCTTTCTATCCATGAGCATGGAATGTTTTTCCATTTGTTTGTGTCCTCTCTCATTTCCTTGAGCAGTGATTTGTAGTTCTCCTTGAAGAGGTCCTTCACATCCCTTGTAAGTTGTATTCCCAGGGATTTTATTCTCATTGTAGCAATTTTAAATGGGAGTTCACTCATGATTTGGCTCTCTGTTTGTCTATTACTTGTGTATAGGAATGCTTGTGATTTTTGCACATTGTTTTTTTATCCTGAGACTTTGCTGAAGTTGCTTATCAGCTTAAGGAGATTTGGGGCTGAGAGAATGGGGTTTTCTGAATATACCATCATGTCATCTGCAAACAGACAATTTCACTTCCTCTCTTCCTATTTGAATGCCCTTTATTTCATTCTCTCTCCTGATTGCCCTGGCAAGAACTTCCAATACTATGTTGCATAGGATTGGTGAGAGAGGGCATACTTCTCTTGTGCTGGTTTTCAAAGGGAACGCTTCCAGATTTTGCCCATTCAGTATGATATTGGCTGTGAGTTTGTCATAAATAGCTCTTCTTATTTTGTAACTCTGGTAGAATTCAGCTGATCCTGGGCTTTTTTTGGTTCGTAGGCTATTAATTATTGCCTCAATTTTAGAACTTGTCATTGGTCTATTCAGGGATTCAACTTCTTCCTGGTTTAGTACTGAGAGGGTGTATGTGTCCAGGAATTTATCCATTTCTTCTAGATTTTCTAATTTATTTGTGTAGAGGTGTTTATAGTATTCTCTGATGGTAGTTTGTATTTCTGTGAGATAAGTGGTGATCTCACCTTTATCATATTTTATTGTGTCTATTTGATTCTTCCCTCTTTTCTTCTTTATTAGTCTGGCTAGTGATCTATCAATTTTGTTAATCTTTTCAAAAAAACACCTCCTGGATTCATTGATTTTTTTGAAGGATTTTTTGTGTCTCTATCTTCTTCGTTTCTGCTCTGATCTTAATTATTTCTTGTCTTCTGCTAGCTTTTGAATTTGTTTGCTCTTGCTTCTCTAGTTCTTTAATTGTGATGTTAGGGTGTCGATTTTAGATTTTTCCCGCTTTCTCCTGTGGGCATTTAGTACTATAAATTTCCTTCTAAACACTGCTTTAGCTTTGTCCCAGAGATTCTGGCACATTGTGTCTTTGTTCTCATTGGTTTCAAATAACATCTTTATTTCTGCCTTCATTTCGTTATTTACCCCATAGTCATTCAGCAGCAGGTTGTTCAGTTTCCATGCAGTTGTGCGGTTTTGAGTGAGTTTCTTAATCCTGAGTTCTAATTTGATTGCACTGTGGTCTGAGAGCCTGTTTGTTATGATTTCCATTCTTTTGCATTTGCTGAGGAGTGTTTTATTTCCAATAATGTGGTCAATTTTAGGATAAGTGTGATGTGGTGCTGAGAAGAATGTATATTCTGTTGATTTGGGGTGGAGAGTTCTGTAGATGTCTATTAGGTCCACTTGGTCCAGAGCTGAGTTCAAGTCCTGAATATCTTTGTTAATTTTCTGTCTTGTTGATCTGTCTGATATTGAGAGTGTGGTGTTAAAGTCTCCCACTATTATTGTGTGGGAGTCTAGGCCTCTTTGTAGATCTCTAAGAACTTGCTTTATGAACCTGGATGCTCCTGCATTAGCTGCAAATATGTTTAGGATAGTTAGCTCTTCTTGTTGCATTCATCCCTTTACCATTATGTAATGGCCTTCTTTGTTTCTTTTGATCTTTGTTGGTTTGAAGTCTGTTTTATCAGAGACCAGGATTGCAATTCCTGCTTTGTTTTCCTTCCATTTGCTTGGTAAATATTTCTCCATCCCTTTATTTTGAGCCTATGTGTGTCTTTGCATGTCAGATGGGTCTTCTGAATACAGCACACTGATGGGTCTTGACTCTATCCAATTTGCCAGTCTGTGTCTTTTAATTGGGGCATTTAGCCCATTTACATTTAAGGTTAATATTTTTATGTGTGAATTTGATCCTATCATTTTGCTGCTAGCTAGTTATTTTGCTTGTTAGTTGATGCAGTTTCTTCATAGTGTCGATGGTCTTTATAATTTGGCATGGTTTTGCAGTGGCTGGTACCGGTTATTCCTTTCCATATGTAGTGCTTCCTTCAGGAGTTTTTGTAAGGCAGTCTTGGTGGTGACAAAATTTCTCAGTATTTGCTTCTCTGTAAAGGATTTTATTTCTCCTTCGCTTATGAAGCTTAGTTTGACTGGATATGAAATTCTGGGTTGAAAATTCTTTTCTTTAAGAATGTTCAATATTGGTCCCCACTCTCTTCTGGCTTGTATGGTTTCTGCAGAGAGATTTGCTGTTAGTCTGATGGGCTTCCCTTTGTAGGTAACCCGACCTTTCTCTCTGGTTCCACTTAACATTTTTTACTTCATTTCAACCTTGGTGATTCTGACGATTATGTGCCTTGTGGTCACTCTAGTTGAGGAGTATCTTTGTGGTGTTTTCTGTATTTCCTGAATTTGAATGTTGGTCTGTCTTTCTAGCTTGGGGAAGTTCTCCTGGATAATATCCTGAAGAGTGTTTTCCAACTTGGTTCCATTCTCCCCACCACTTTTAGGTACACCAACCAAAAGTAAGTTTGGTCTTTTCACATAGTCCCATATTTTTTGAAGGCTTTGTTTGTTCCTTTTTATTCTTTTTTCTCTAATCTTGTTTTCATGGTTTATTTCAGTTATGTAAGTTGATCTGCCTCCTCAAAGGGGTCCCTGACCCCTGTGCCTCCTGACTGGGAGATACCTCCCTACAAGGGTAGAGAGACACCTCAAAGAGGAGAGCTCCAGCTGGCATCTGGCAAGTCCCCCTCTGGGACGAAGCTTCCAGAGGATAGAACAGGCAGCAATCCTTGCTGTTCTGCAGCCTCACTGGTGATACCCAGGCAAAAAGTGTCTGGAGTGGACCACCAGCAAACTCCAGCAGATCTGCAGCAGAGGAACCCCACTGTTAGAAGGAAAACTAACAAACAGAAAGGGATAGCATCAACATCAACAAAAAGGACGTCCACACAATAACCTCATCCGAAGGTCACCAACATCAAAGACCAAAGGTAGATAAATCCACAAAGATGAGAAAAAAACATCACAAAAGGCTGAAAATTACAAAAACCAGAACACCTCTTCTCCAAAGTATCACAATTCCTTGCCAGCAAGGGAACAAAACTGGACGGAGAATGAATTTGACGAACTGACAGAAGTAGGCTTCAGAGGTGGGTAATAACAAACTCCTCAGAGCTAAAGGCGCATATTCTAACCCAGTGCAAAGAAGCTAAGAACCTTGAAAAAAGGTTAGAGGAATTGTTAACTAGAATATCCAGTTTAGAGAAGAACATAAATGACCTGATGGAGCTGAAAACAAACAAACAAACAAAAAAACAAACTGCACGAGAACTTCATGGAGCATACACAAGTATCAATAGCCGAATTGATCAAGTGGAAGAAAGAATGCCAATGCACCTTTACATAACAGTAACACATAGAAGAAAATTTTCAGCAATTATTGTACACTTTGGAAAGTATTACAAACCGTAATACTGCAGGCCAAATTATTTTGAATGCCTCAGGTTTTTATTTTCAAGAAATACGTTTTCATATACATAAAAATATTTAGGTTGATGCAGACGTAGTCATTTTTATATTGAAGATCATTGCATAACATTTCGTTTAATAAGCAGTCAAAATTGTCCTTATTTCTTAATTACTTTTCTAAACAATTTTAACGAAGCACAGTAGCTTGCACTGCTTTTCCTTTATTTTTTTATAAAAACTAAAATTGTCTCTCACCTTTGCTTTAGTTATTCCTGCACCTGGGTTCTCATTTTAAACAACCACAATTTTCATTATTTTCTTTCTTAATAGTATTTCACACTCACATCTTTATAACTTACAGTAATACTTATATAAAAACACAAAACTCCTTCAGTAGTTCTTTCACAATTGGCTTGTATCTTCCCATATTCTTTGAGACAGGAATCTATTTACTCTCGGTCTACATTTATTACTGGCCTCTTTCCAGATTCTTCCTTTAAACTTTGAATTTTATTCATAGTACTTTGACTTCCTGATAGTTACCCTGTCATATCTACTTGAAGACAAATTTCTCACACTTTTTAGCTTTTCTCTGATATATCATAACATTATAGTACATCCAATTCTTTTGAAAATAATATTTATTTTTTTACTTTCTCCTCTTTATCACATTATGCTGCTTCTCCCATCTTTTAGATAAACTGTCCCTTATTTCTAATTAGTACAGGGTGAGCGCATTGTTACCACTCTAACTCTGACTGTTAAAATGAATCTGTTTTTCTATACATTACACTTCAGTAAAACAAAAAAATCTGTGACCCTTCAGAGGTTGGAGCATGTGAGGAGGGAGAGGATCAGGAAAAATAACTAATGGGTACCAGGCTTAATACCCGGGTGATGAAATAATCTGCACAACAAACCTCCATGACAAGTTTACCAATGTCACAAAACTGGATTTGTACCCCTGAACTTAAAAGTTAAAAAAAAAAATTAAAATATTTATTTTTATATTTATATATAAAATTATATATTATATATTAAAATATAAAATATAATATATATTATGAATATATTTACATATGCATATATAAATATATCTTTATATAAATAAATATATATATATATATACACACACACACACACTGATAGTTAAAAGTATCATAATGAAAATAAAAATAATTCACTCCAGTGGCTAAATAGCAAACTTAAGCTAGCAGAAGAAAAAAATCAGCACATTTAAAGACACATCAAAAGAGATTTTCAATCTGAAGAACAGGAAAAAAATAAACAGTGTCTCAGAGACATGTTGTACACCATTAAGCATGGCAACATAATGAATATATCTGAAGGAGAAAAGACAAAGAGAGGAGCAAAAGAATATTTGAGAATATAATGACTAAAAACTAAATGTGAAGAAAACATTAATTCACATATCTAAGAAGGCCAAGAAACACCACATAGAATAAACATGAGATCCACAACTAGAGATCACAGTCAAACAGTTGAAAACCAAAAATAAAGAGAAGAATCATTATTGTCGTTATCGTACTTTTATATTCAGAATTTTCATTTGAATCTTTTTAATGTAATTTTTACGTCTTATTGATATTCTCTGTTTCCAAGAGTTCTGTTATCAAAATAACTTTTAAATTTTAAACGTGGTTTTCTTCGTACTTTGAACTTTTAAAATAATAGCTGCTTGAATCTTTTTGTTTGTTCGTTTATTTGTTTTTGAGACAGGGTCTGGCTTTTTTGCCCAAGTTGGTGGGGCAATCTTGGCTCACTGCAACCTCTACCTCCAGGTTCAAGTGATTTTCCTACCTCAGCCTCAAGAGTAGCTAGGATTACAGGCATGCACCACCATGCCTGATTAATTTTGGTATTTTTAGTAGATAGAGGGTTTTGCAACATGGGCCAAACTGGTCTCAAAGTCCTTGTCTCAAGTTATCTGCCCATCTAGGACTCCCAAAGTACTGGGATTACAGGCATGAGCCACTTTGCCCAACCACTGCTTTGAATCTTTTTTGCTAAGTTAAACATCAGCGCTTACTCTGGGCAGCTTCTCAAGTACAAAAAAACTATCTCAAAAAGTCATTTTAGAGATACCTAAATGAACATAAAGTCATCTATGCTAAAATTAGAGATAATAGGAGTAGTATATTTGTGGGACAATCTTTTAAAAACAATTTTAGGGATTCTTTCTCAGCATATTTTATGTATAGAGTCCCTCTTTTCTCCTACTAATAAAATTAAAAAAAGAAATAGAAATTATCTTCTGTAATCTCCAATCTCCTTCTCAAAACTTTTCTCAATGACTCCCTCTACTCTTTTGCAATCTTATTTTGCAAATGATTCTATGACCAAATATTACACTGATTTTTATATGTCAATAGTTTCCAGACATTTTACTTTGGATCAAGCAAATATACAACTGAAAATAAGAAACAAGTTTTCAAAGTCCAAGATGTATAATGTCTACATATAGGAATGCTTTGTGTATTTCAGATAATTAAGCATAAGCCATGCAACACTCTTGGCTGCAGTTCAGGGAACCAACAGTATTCAATTTTGCTTCATTATGAACTACTGGATAGCACTACATTCCACCCTCTAGTCCTAGACACACCTTCAAGTATAAAAGTTAGAGTCTATTTTCAGAATTATTTTCCCTAGTAGGGCCAAAGTTTCTGTTTGTGCCTTAGTTCATCTATGATAAGTACATTATTATAAGTACTCTTGTATGGATTTTATCATAAATTCATTTCTGACAAGTAAGCCCTAGAGTTGCTTTTTCTAAAGAATTGTATCCAAGGAGTGGATCTATCTTCAAATTCCAATTTTACACCATCTAAGTCTTACTATTGTGTTATCCTGTTTGACCTTTTTTTTTCCCTCACTCTCGAGGTTGACAGTATGATTTTACACTTTTTAAATGTAATACTGTGAACATTTTTGATGCGTCCTTTATTTTTCCATCCTTTAGATATTTGCAGTATCTAAAGAATTTAAGAGTATTTTACATTACAGGAGTATAGGGAGTGGGTGAATTTTTGAACACTGTGGATTTATTCACTAGCTAAATTGAGTACTTAACATATTTGTATTTTAAAAATTAATTTAAAAAACTACCTTGACACTATAATGAACATTTGTGTACATATTGCCATGTCATGTATTTTTATACATATATGCATATACATACGTGTATATGTTTATACTTATATACAACTATAGATTTAAATTTATGGAATTGAGAATAAACTGACATATACAGTTTTATTTCTCTGCATTTTCATATGATTTGTACTTTCAACAATTTGCTTATCATAAATTATTATCCATAACCTGATTTCTACTTAATACCTATATAATCATTTGAATATGTGTATTTTAGTCAAACATTTCCTTAGTGTTCACTATAGTTTCTTTCCTCCAGAATTTGCATTCACAAATTACACTCAGATAAACAGCCTTGAACACAACCCTTACCTTGTATCTCTGATTATTTTTAGCAGTAGTTCTAGGAAAAATAGTTGATTGGCTGTTAAAATAAATTATTATATATTATTTGAATTTTGGTCAGGTAGTATTTTATACTCCTAGTGGAAGATTATGTGAGAACTATTTTCCTCTCCTGGTTTTCCAAGATGTTTGGGTTTTATATAATACAAAAATAAAACAGTAGAACAGATCTACTTATTAATACTTTACACTACAATTAACTCTGCTTTCTCAAAAGAACTCCATATTCTCAAAGAAATGCATTTAAGTCAAACAGGAGAAAAGTAAGAAATGAAAGCTCAAATTACTAATATTTCTTTTCCAAAAGGCATGTAAAATTCTCTGCTGTTGTAAATGATGTAATTACATCTACTATAATCAGCAGTGGTTTATTAATTACACCAGGGATGCTGTCAAAGGGATAGCAGAACAATTGGGGCCCACTGGCCAGATGGCCTGGGAAAACAGAATAGCCCTAGATAGGATATTAGCTGAAAAAGCTGGTGCTTGTGTTATGATTAAAACTCAGTGTTGTACCTTTATCCCAAACAACACTGGCCCCACTGGGAGCACAACAAGGGCCTTACAAAGACTTACCACCTTATCCAATGAGTTAGCTAAAAATTCTGAAGTCGATAACCCTTTCTCAGGGTGGCTAGAAAGGTGGTTCAGTAAATGGAAAGAAATAATAGCCTCAATTCTTACTTCTCTTGCAGCCATAATAGGTGTTTATTACTCAACATTCTTGTTGAGTGTTGTGTCATACCATGCATCCGTGGGCTAGTATAAAGACTTACAAGCAGCACTTACTAAAACCTCCCTTAGCTCTCCTCCGCCTTACTCAGATCAATTTTTTTTCTTTTAGAGAATTAAGTCAAGCAGCAAAGCCAAGGTATGTTAGAAAAGTTTGAAGAGGAAGTACTATGAAAATTGAAAGGGGGGAAATTGTAGGATATAATAAATTCCTCTTCAAAGGTTTTAGCCTATAAATTGTTCTGTACAATTTACAGAATTCTGTACAATTCTGTAAACTGTTAAGTACAATGAGTTCTGAGATCCTCTCCAAAGAACCAGTGTATCAGTATGTTCAGCTCCCCTCTTCTTTGTTGTTCCTTTTAAAGTTTAACTTCCTCATTCCTCACATTTCCTTGCCCCTAGTTTCAGTAAACAACCCCATCCTAGCCTCTATCACTTGCTCTGACCTTGGTCACTCTTGGTCACCAGCTCTGACCTTACTTATCCTTGGTCACCTGCTCTGTTCTTAGCCATCCTGAGTCACCTGTTCTGTAACCATCCTTCCCACCAAACTACTCCCCCTGCTACTCCTGCTCGTACCCCTTTTCTCTTTAAAATAGCCAATCAGAATTAGTTTAGACTGTGTGGTCCAACCCTAGCCAATAGGGGAATGACACAGCAGAAGAAGCTACCTGAGTCAGATATGGAACCTCTTCCCCTCCCTTGTTCAGGTGTGCTCTTGCCATTGCTCCATCCATGAGACACACCCTTCCATAGAAGTAAAATTGCCTTGCTAAGAAAAATAAAAATTCTCTGCTATTTGTGTTTAGATTAGAAAACATCCATCTTAAATGTCAGTGAGCATGCCTGTCAATTGCATTTACTTAAGCATTCTTATTAATATTTCTAGTGTTAGTTTAATAAAACATACTTAATGTATTTTATATTTAACATAAATATTCTAGACAAATCAGAATATACTGTCACATACAAGCTTTCAGAAAATTAGAAATTGTAGAGGTACATAACTATCAATTTATTGAGATATGTCAGCCACCAAAATAAGCAAGTAATTGAGATCAGGTAAAATAATTATTCTAGGTAAATTTTAGTTCTATTTTAAAAATTATTGTGTAGAAAAGTAAACATACACAACTGTGACAAACTAATCTTTTAAGTAGAGCAGTCTCGGATGTGTTTAAAATATTTACATTTTGCTTAAAATTTTATTTATACTTCTTTATAAAAAGCAAATTTTAAAATACATTTTGGTTCCATTGTCAAAGGAAAACAACCATCAAGTGAGATTATTTATTTATCATTCTGTGTTTCTGTTAAAATGGCAGAGACACAGTGAGGCTAACAAATACTGTAAAAGAGTTCATGCTTTTTTAGTAACTAAAGATATTTTTGAGTTTTTTTTTTTTCCCTTGGGTGGTAGTGAGATGTCACTTTTGGGAAGCAATTTCTAACTACATAGAAATATTTATTTATAATTTAATATTTAGTAATAATTTACATTATACATTTATAGATTAGTATATTATTACTATATAATAAATATCTATATTACTAAGCACTTGTATATAATGTAATTATATATTTTATTTGCATAGATTTGTTTTAACCTCATTGAAATATAACTTCCTCTGCCATTTATTGAACTGAAGAAAGTAGTAAAAATATTGAAAACATTGACTGAAGGCAAATTACAGAATCTAATTTAATACCTCTACTTTATGACCTGAATATTTTAAGTTTTAATTAAATTGATACTAAATAATGTGTTCTTTACCATATTGAGCTGAGCATACTCAAACTTAATATATTGCCTAGAAAACACACATTATTCGCCTTTATAAATCTGATTGTGGAAAAATGAGAAAATAGGTGTGATTATTTAGATATAAAACCAAATAAATATGACTCATTCATTTGTTGATTGTAGATTTACTATGTGAGGTGATTAGGGCTAGAATTATAAAAGACATAATCCATATTTTCTTGCAAAATATTATCTAATCTAGAAGATGGGGTAGAGAATAAGAACATTTGCATAAAGATTATAAAATGACTTCAACTAATATTATTGCGTATATATATGTATTGAAAGGGGATATATATATAAAGTAGCTATAATATATATGTTTTATATAATTTGTTTTCTGGTGATATAAGGGTGAATATGAAATAAGAGAAAGAATGATTTTAGAAATGTACATTAAGAATCATAAATTGCTCATTCATAAGATTCTCATTTTTTTACCACTTCTCAATTCCATCTATTCCCCTGCCATTATGATTAATTGTGCAGACACACTAGATTGACAATTAATTAGCTACATTCTTAGGTTTGTCAGTTGCACAGACAAGAAATTAAACATTGCTTAAGCAACACTCCGACAATGCACCAGATCAAACAATAAAACAAAAGTATGTATCGACTGCTTTGGTATCAAGTTGACCAAATAAAATTGTTAATTAGTTGAGTTTTTCACTTATTTGTTAATTGGTTTTTCCTTTATTACAAAATTATAATTTTATAATATAGTTGTATAATCAAATAACATGAATCTTTTGAGTATTCACAATGATAACTAAATAAACCCTAAGAGCATGTTGAGTGTGTGTAGCAATTTCAAGTTTTAAACATTTTTATGCATTTTATACATTTCATAGTTTCTCAAAACCTTGCAAAATTAGCTTAAAATTAATTTTCAAAAATATGAGACGCAAAGATGTTTATTAGATACAGTCAAATTAATATACATTATGATGAACCCAGAAAATCTCTAAGACATGACACTGGACAACGCCTTTCATAAGTGTACGGGTAATTCTGAAGACACCACTTTCTAAAATACATCATTTTCTTACCAGGTGCTAGGCACTCTTATGTACATTTTGTATAATATACATAGGAGAAAAAACTATGAAATATTTGAAGTTTTTTGAAATTATGTGTTAAATTGAGTGATAAAAACAACAGTGTTTTGAAGAAATGGATAATTTGGGTTGGAGCCAGTAGGGAAGTCCTGGTGGAAGGGGGAGGCACCCAATTTTAGAAGAATGCCTGGTGATGTGCGAAAGTAAAGATCAGTGAAGATATCAAACCTCTGTACATATAAATGTAAAAAGTACCATTGAACACATGAGGAAGTCAGGAGAAAGATTGGAACATATTGGCTGTGGAGTAGTGAAAGAAAATATAGGTTAATAAACTCACGACTGGGTTGAAATGTTCTCATGATACAAATAAAATGTATCTGCAAATAAAAGGTATTATTATTTTAAATATAATGAAGATTTGATCTCAAGATCAGCCTACACATGCTGGATAGAGTAAAAGGGAGCATTAGAAATACATAATTTCAGTCTAATCTATTAAGCATATTGAGTTTAAAGGTTGATCTAAACAATGTTTATTCTCTCAGAATTATGACTCAATCTTTATTCCTCTCCACAGTGATGTCTTCGTGTATGGAATGTTGACTTTATGTTCTGCTAGCAGCAGAAAAAAGAAAAAAAAAGAGAATCTCAAACTCACACACAGTCCTCATGTTGCCTGTTCTTTGCTGTGGAGTCACTGATCTAATATGGTCTGTAAACTGGTAACCCCTTAGATGAAATTAGTCTTGACCACAAGTCTTTTGCATGGGTTTTGCTATTGCACCACTGCACTCCAGCCTGGGCGACAGAGCAAGACTCCATCTCAAAAAAAAAAAAAGAAAGGAAATTCTGACACATGCTACAACATGCATGAACATTGAGGACATTATTATAAGTAAAATAAGCAGTCACAAAAATATAAATACTACATTATTCCACTTATATGAGGTATCTAGAGAAGTTAAATTGATAGAAACAAAAAATAGAATGGTGGTTGTCAGATGCTGATGGGAGTGAGAATGGAGAATTGTTTTATGGGTATAGAGTTTCAGATCTGCAAGATAAAAAAAGTTCTGCAGTGGCTATACAACTATGTGAACACTGTTAACAATTACTAAACCATACTCTTCAAATAGTCAAAATAATAAATCATATGTTCTATTTATTTTATCACTAATTAAGTACAAAATATTTTAGAAATAAATTTAAAAATCTGAACATAAATGGAGGAACATACCATGTTTATGGATTTGGAAGCCTCTATCCTATAATCATGTCAATTCTTCATAAATAAATTTAAATACAAGGCAATCTCAACCTTAATCTCACTAATGCCCTTGTGGGTGCCTAACAAACTTTTCAAATTTTCAAATTTTCAAACTTTTGAAAATTTGTAAAAAACCTGAGGAGCTATGAATAGTCAATATATATATTAGAAAATGAACAAAAAGATCATGATAATACTGTACTATTGCCACAGCATAAGTAAATGATACAGTGGAATAGAGAGAACAAAAAGAGAGCTACATGTGTATGAACAACAAAGAAGGTAATATATTAGTTTGTTGCAAAAGTAATTGAGGTTTACTTTTATGGCAAAAACCACAATTACTTTGCACAAACCTAATAGATTAGTGAGAAACAGTTAAACATTTGTTTTTGTTGAAACAAAAAATAACAATTCACAACTTATAGAAACATATATATGAAGTGAACCATACAAATGCAGTTAGCTCCTAGTTGATTATATAAGAAATTGCTTCTCAGTTTCCAACCTAATAGTAAAGAAAAATTTGAAAAACAGGATTTAAAAACTACTAAGTATAGTACAAAATGAATAAAGCAGAGTGCACTAAAATTAAGTTTCTCTTCATAAGAAAAAAAAAAACACTACTGAGAGGAAAACTCCAAGCCACCAAGTCAAAGAAGGATTTGTATAACAGAAATAATCACAAGAGCTTTTATCCGTAATAATAATAATAATGTAGGTCAAGAAGAAAAAATAGAGCCTGTAAAAGAAGAATGAGATACTTGAAAATGTACTACACAAAAGACTATATTCATATGGGCAATAAACGTATGAAAATTTGGTAAATGCTATTATCATTCAAATTATGGACTTTTACTATAACACACCTTTATTATCCAGCAGAAAGGCTAAAATTTAAACAGTGAAAATAGAAATTGTTCACAAAGTTGTTGTTGTAGTCCATTTGTGCTGTTATACAGAATACTAAAGAGTGGGTAATTTATAATAAACAGAAATCTATTGGTTGGCAGTTCTGGAGGCTGGAAAGTCCAATATCAAGGTGCTTGCATCTGTTGAGGGCCTTCTTGCTTCACCTTGTGGCAGAACAAAAAAGAAGTAAAAGGAGGCTGAACTCGTTCTTTTATAACGGCTTTAATCCTACCAAGCAGGGCAGAACCATCATTCTTTCAAAGGCCCCACCTCCTAATACTGATAAAATGGCAATAAATGTTAAATATGAGTTGGAAAGAACAAACATTCTAACCATAACAGTTGTTGAGCTACCAAATCCTGAATCATTGCTGGTCATCATGTACATCGGTATCACAATTTTGAAAAATGTTTTGGCATTAACTATTATAGTTGAACTCAACCATAGAGTCTATATCATAGAACAGGGGTTAGCAAACTGTAACCCACAGCCTTTTTTTGAAAATAAATGATTTTTTGGCACACAACTTTACTCATTTGTTTATGTATTGCCTATGGTTACTATGACACTACAACAGGAAGTTTGTGTAGTTGCTACAGAGCATGTATCATGTAAAGCTTAAAGCACTTACTATCTTATACTTTAGAGAAAGTGTAATAACGTCTATCATAGATATAAATCAGAAAATAAAATACTGTGTAAACATCAAAACAATTGCAAAAACTAAGGAATACATACAGCAATAATCAGAGCAGTATTGTTTATAAAATAAAAAACTGAAGAGGATCAAAAGATCATTCATAATAATCAAAATCTGAAAATATATATAATAGTGGTATGTTCATATAATAGAATGTTATTGAGTAATGAATAATGAACAACTATCTGTTGCACAACAATATGCTTTTCTTCTGTTAATTTGCCTTATTTCAATTAAATTCTCAGGCTTAGCTGGGATCTCTAAGAGGATAAAGTTTTCTTCCCCTATGCTGTCAATGTGTCATTCACATATACATACATAGATATTTATATATATATATAGATATAGATAGATATAGATATAGATATAGATAGATACATATATAGATGTATATGTATCTATATATATATTCTGAGTGGTGCTTACATTTGTGATTCATTTATGATTTGCTGCTTACCTAAGTGAACATTTACATTATGCATTATGTTCTGTGCATTTGTTTCTCTTGAATGGTCTGTTGGCAATTCACCATCACTTTGGTCCCCTCTAAATTTTGTCAAAGAGAAGTAGTCACAAAATTTGGAAGATGAGAGAGAAAATAAGTAGTGGCTATTGAGGCAATAACGGATGTGAAACTCACAGTTGGCTACCAAAACAAAAGCACACTTTTGTGGTCCAAACTAAAAAATTGGTGAAGACTGGTCAGAGATTCTTGTAAACTGCAGCGACTTTCTAGAGAATGATTGACAACCATCTGCCTTCATGCTGCAGGGTGAAATTTTTGTTGGTGGCTCCTCTGACCTTTATTCCTGAAGTCATTCGATTGATTACACAAATTTCTATTAAAATGTTTATACTAGGAATATACAAAGTGGCTTCTGTATTCTTAAAGAAATATGGGCTGATTATATTTATATCTACATATATCAGATATTGATATGGTTTTGCTGTGTCCCTACCCAAATCTCATCTTGAATTGTAACTTCCATAATCCCACCAGTCCTGGGAAGTACACAGTGGGAAGTAATTGAATCACAGGGGTAGGTTTTTCCCATGCTATTCTCATGATGGTGAATATGTCCCAAAAGATCTGATGGTTTTATAAAGGGCAGTTCCCCTCATATACTCTTTTGTCTGCTACCATGTGAGATGTGACTGTGCTCCTCCTTCACCTTCCACCATGATTGTGATGCCTCCCTAGCCATGTGGAACTGTAAGTCCATTAAACTTCTTTTCCTTTTTAAATTACCCAGTCTCAGGTATGTTTTCATAAGCAGTGTGAGAACAGACTAATATAGTAAATTTGTACTGGTAGAGTAAGGTACTGCTATTAAGATACCCCAAAATTTGGAAGAGACTTTGGAACTTGGTAACAGGGAGAGACTGGAACAGTTTAAAGGGCTCAGGAGAAGACAGGAAAATTTGGAGCTTTGTAGACACTTACTGAATGGGTTTTACTAAAATACTGATAGTGGTATGGACAGTGAAGTCCAGGCTGAGGTGGTGGTCTCAGATGGAGATACAGAACTTACTGGGAACTGAAGCAAAGGTGATTCTTACTATGCTTTAGCAAAGAGACTGGAAGTATTTTGTCCCTGTCCTAGAGATTTGTGAAATTTTGAGCTTGAGGGAGATGATTTAGGGTATCTGGTGGAATAAATTTCTAAGCAGCAAAGCATTCAAGAGTTGACTTGGATGCTGTTAAAGGAATTCAGTTTTATTAATTCACAAAGATATGGTTTGGAATTGCAACTTACGTTTAAAAGGGAAGCAGAGCAAAATCATTTGGAAAATTTACAGCCTGATGATGTGATAGAAAAGAAAAACCCATTTTCTGAGAAGAAATTCAAACCAGCTGCAGAAATTTGCATAAGTAAAAAGGAGGAAAATGATGGACAAGACAATGAGGAAAATGTCTCCAGGGTATGTCAAAGGTCTTCACACCAGACCCTTTCATCACAGGCCTAGCGGCCAAGAAGGAGAAATATAGTTTCACAGGCCAGGCCCAGAGCCCTACTGCTTTGTGCAGTCTCAGGACTTGGTACCCTGTGCCCCAGCCAGGACTAAAAGGGACCAACATATAGCTCAGGCCACTGCTTCAGAAGGTGCAAGCCCTAAGCCTTGGTGGCTTACATGTGGTGTTGTGCCTGCAGGTGCAAAGAGGTCAAGAATTGAGGTTTGGGAACCTCTGTTTAGATCTCAAAGGATGTCTGGAAATGCCTGGATGTCCAGGCAGAGGTGTGCTGCACAGGCAGAGCCCTCATGGAGAGCCTCTGCTAGGACAGTGCAGAAGGGAAATGTGGGGTTGGAGTCCCCAGTCAGAGTCTCCACTGGGCCACTGCCTAGTGGAGCTGTGAGAAGATGGCCACCGTCCTATAGACCCCAGAATGGAAGATCCACTGGCAGCTTGCACTGTGCACCTGGAAAAGCCATAGGCACCCAATGCCAGGCCATGAAAGCAGCCAGTAGGGGGGCTGTACCCTTTAAGGCCACATGGGTGGAGCTGCCCAAGCTCATGGGAGCCCACCTCTTGCAGCAGCATGACCTGGATATGAGACATGGAGTAAATGGAGATCATTTGGGAGTTTTTAGATTTGACTGCCACACTGGATTTTTGACTTTCATGGGGCCTGTAGTCCCTTTGATTTGGCCAATTTCTCCCAATTGGAATGGGTGTATTTACCCAATGCCTGTACACCCATTGTATCTAGGAAGTAACTAACTTGCTTTTGATTTTACAGGCTCATAGGCAGAAGGGACTTGCCTTGTCTCAGATGAGACTTTGGACTGTGAACTTTTCAGTTAATTCTGAAATGTGTGAAAACTTTGGATGACTGTAGGGGAGGCATGATTGGTTTTGAAATGTGAGGACATGAGATTTGGGAGGAAGAAGGGATAGAGTAATATGGTTTGGCTGTGTCCCCACCCAAATCTCATTTTGAATTGTAGCTCCCCCAATCCCCATATGTCATGGGAGGTACTCAGTGGGAGGTAATTGAATCATGGGGCTGAGTTTTCCTCTGTTGTTCTAAAAATAGTGAATAAGTCTTATGAGAGCTGATGGTTTTGTAAAAGGCAGTTCCCCTGCACATGCTTTTGCCTGCTGCCATGTAAGATGTGTCTTTGCCCCTCCTTCACCTTCCACCATGATTGTGAGGCCTCCCCAGCCATGTGGATCTGTGAATTCATCAAACTTCTTCTTTATAAATTACCCAGTCTTGGGTATTTCTTCATAGCAGTATGAAAATGGACTAACACAAATATATACCTATTTCTCTACATATATAATATACAGTCTATTGTGTCCCCCTAAATTCATGTTCAAATCCAATCTCCATTGTGGTGATAATAAGAGGTGGGATCTTTAAGAATTTAGTAAATCATGAGAGCACCACCTTTACAAATGGGATTAATGTCCTTGTGAAAGAGGTCGAAGAAAGCTATCTCGCCCCTTCCATTATATGGGGACACAACATTCACCATTCTGCTATGTGAGGAAACAGGGAATGAGCTCTTGCCAGACACTGAATCTGCTAGCACCTTGTATTAGTCAGGGTTCTCTAAAGGGACAGAATATGATAGATGTATATATAAAGGTGAATTTATTAAGGAGTATTAATTCACACAATCGCAAGGTGAGGTCCCACAATAGGCCATCTGCAAGCCGAGGAGCAAGGAAGCCTGTCCAAGTCCCAAAGCTGAAAAACTTGGAGTCTGATGTTAAAGGGCAGGAAGCATCCAGCATGGGAGAAAGATGTAGGCTTGGAGACTAAGCCAGTCTAATCTTTCCAGTTCTTCTGCTTGCTTTTATTCCTGCCACACTGGTAGCTGATTAGATTGTGCCTACCCAGATTGATGGTGAGTCTGCCTTTCCCAGTCCACTGAATCAAATGTTAATCTCCTTTGGCAACCTCAAAGACATGCCAGGAACAATAATTTGCATCCTTCATTCCAATCAAGTTGACATTCAATATTAAGCATCACACACCTTGATCTTAGACTTCTCAGTCTCCAGGCCTACAAGATATCAATTTATGTTGTTTACATATTACTCAGTCTAAGATATTTTGTTATAGCAGCAGGAATGGACTAATACAGTCAGGATTATATATGAGTTATATACCAGTATAAAACGTGAAAATATTTGTAGCATGTTGTTTATTTGGAAATCATGGAAATTACTGAGAAAGTGAAAAAGGAAAAGTAATTCACACACATGGTTCTTTATACAGGCTTTCCTGTTATATTGTACTTATTTTCTCATGTGGTAAGAAAAATACATGCATATAGGCAGTACAGTCTATTTATTTATTTATGTAAATAATAAATACATATCTAAAATACATATGTATGTTAAAACAATTTTAGGTTCACAGAATAATTGGATGGGATATACATGGAGCTCCCATGTGCCCCCTACCCCCATGTATCCCCTACCCCCATGTATCCCCTTCCTCCATTATCAATATCTTTCACCAGAGTGGCACATTTCCTACAATTGATAAACCTGCATTGACAAATCATTATCATTTAAAGTACATATTTTACATTAAGCTTCACTTTTGATGTTTTATATTCCTTGATTTTTTAAACCACTGTATTCTGTATTCTAATTAATTATGCAATCTTTGCTAGTTGTTTCAAACACTGGTGAAAAAGTGGGTTCTTTCTGAATTGTCTAAACCAGATAATATAAATTGGTAATCTATGATATTTATTTAACTGTCACATTGTTCTGCATGTCTTATATACCACTAGAAAACTGTTATAAAGTGAGGTCTTGTATGAGAATTTAAGAATTTATTGATTATTCATACCAATCCAGAGATTGTTTCTCTGAGGGGGAAAAAAGAGATAAAGAGGAAAAGTCTATAAGCACTGCACCCACATTGCCACAGGTTAGTAATATATTGGAGCTGAATGTTTACAGTTTAAATGGCACCTGTATTCTTTAATTCACTGTGGTCTGCACCATTTGCTACTGTCTCTCTGTTATTTTCTCTATTAATATTTATTTAATCCCATTTCTATTGAAAGAAAAAAAATGAAACATTACCATGATTTTTCTAGTATGCAAATATCTTAAGTCATTTTGATCACCTTCCTGTACATGGTGGGTAAATGTTATATAATGTCACTTCTAGAAATAAAAAAAAGTAGTTTGAAACTTGCTAATTTAAACAGAAGAGGTATGTAGTCTTTTTCTATTAAAAGAACCCATGAAATAGAGCATGTACTGTACTTTTTAAAAAGTTATTTCTGTTTTGAGAAAATGTAGCTTAAAGATATTCACTTCGGAAGTCTTTTTTTTTAACACGTTAATAGTGGCAAGGACTCTTATTATAGCACAACTGAATTGAAACCACAGAGATAAAATATTTTAGTCAGTATTTGGTATACAAGCCAAGTACATAGTGCAAGATTATGTGGGTGTCCTTACTGACTTCTGAGAACTCTTTCAAAGGCTGTTTCTTTGTTTCTGGTATGTTACGGCTGAGAATCTGCTGTCCTAATGCTTTCGACCCTGAACTAAAGACCAATATTACAAGAAATTGAACACATCTTTGATCAATAGTTAGCATTAGTTTAAATAAAAAGTCACCAGGTATTTGCTGTAAATATATAAAAGGTTACAGTTGAAAATATGATAATTATCTTCTCTTTTACTCATTGAGACTTCCACACTATAATTAATTAATAAAGACAGTTGTAATATTCAATTACACTGCTTAGAAAACCAAAAAGTCCAGGAAGCTAAGGGAACTATGTTATTGACATAAAACTTTAATTCAGAAAATATAATGTTGGGTTAATATTTTCAGTTTTATAAAATGAACTGATCAAGTTGATGCTCATTTTAATGTGGTAAAACTAATTTTTCTGTTTTATTACAATCCTGGGAATAAGATTCTAAATGAATTCATTAATTTCTAAAAGAAAATTCAATTAACTGAACTGTGTATTTCCAGGTGATATATATAGTGACATTTAATAAAAATAATAGATGAATAAACAAAATTGTGTAAGATATATATACATCTATATTTTATTTTATATAATTTTCTATATGTATACATATCAAAAAACTTTATTCTAGGTTAGGAAGATTGATAAAATGGAGAAAAGTGTTTTAATTTTGAATGTAAGAAATATTTTCTACTAATCATTTTTTATTTCTATTTTAGTAAGGCAGACATTTGTTATAGAGTGTTATGGGTTATATTTCAACATTCTAATCCTGTTTACTTTTGGTTATACAGCCCCTTGAATTATAATCAAAACTATTACTCCATTTCAATTCAGGCTGTATCCTTGACTTTCTCACCTGAGGAAACAACAACAGTAACAGAACCAACTGCTATATACTTATGGGATGACCTGAGTTTTTCTTCCTTTTGAATTTTTTTTTCATGAGTTTTACAAAATCTTGTGAAGTAGCTGTCATATGAAAAAAAAACTTTTTAATCCTTTGGTATTAGTGCCTGGAGAAAAAGCTTCAAAACCTCATAAAAAATAAAAGATTCTTCCAAATATTTAATATTTTTAAATAGATCCAGTTCTTTTAAGTCTACAAATCTAGTTCCAAGATGCAGCCATTTTCTTCTAGTCTCATAATTATTCTCAAGCACTGGGATATTGAATGCAAATGGAAAGTTTCCAGTTGTGTCTTAACTTTTTCTCAATTAATTTGTATGGACTATGGCTTAGTTTGTGTATGTAGTAGCTACCTACATTTTAGAGTTTTTAAATTAAATGTTGAAATTATATTTATTTAGTGAAAGAGATGTGTTTGGTAGTTCAGTGGTGCTTATAAACAACTTGCTATGTTAAAGTGAGAGAATAATGATTAATATATTGTAATGTTTTACTGTGTCTTCATCCTCAAACTGATAAATTTAATTAAAGCAATTGATCACTAGCAAAATAACAATCTTAAGCATATACAAATAATCATTTAAATACATTTAATCTAGCCCAAGCAATTAGGCAAGAAAGAAATAAAGAACATCCACATTGGAAAGGAAGATGTCAAGTTGTCCCTGTTGGCAGACACAATCTTACATATAGAAAAATCTGAAGACTCTACCAAAACAAATTCAGTAATGTTGCAGAATACACAATCACATGCAAACATTCTAGAATTTCTATACAAGAACAGCAAAATAGCTAAAAAAAAAAAAGAAAAGAAATCAAGAAGGCAATCCCATTCACAGTATCTATAAAAGAAAAAATCACCTAAGAACAAATATAACCAAGGGGAAAAAAGACTTCTATAAGCAAAGGTACAAAATGCTAATGCTCATGAAAGAAATTCAAAAGGATACAAACCAATGGAATGGCATCCCATGCTCATGGATCAGAAGAGTTAATATCATTAAAAAGATAATATTACACAAAGTAATATATAGATTCAATGCAATCCCTATCAAAATATCAGTGACATTATTCACAGAAGTAGAAAAAAATACTTAAAATTTTTATAGAACCACCAAAGACTCTAAACAGCCAAATAAATCTTGACCAAAAGGAATAAAGCTGGAAGCATCACACTATCAGATTTCAAACTATACTACTAAGCCATGCTAACCAATACAGCATGGTACTCACATAGAAATAGATCAACTAAAGGAACTGGATAGAGAGCCCAGAAATTAATCTATGTATCTATAGCTAACTGATTCCTGACAAAGTCGCCAAGAACATCCACTGGGGAAAGGATTGTCTCTCTAACAAAGGGTGTTGGGAAAACTAGATATCTATATGCAGAAGAATTAAACTAGACCTGCATCTCTCATCTTATGCAAAAATCAACTTAAAATGGATCAAAGACCTACATATAAGACCTAAAACAATATAATTCTTATTAGAAAACACAGGGAAAACATTTCAGAACATTGGTCTTGGCAAATATTTTGGGGGTAAGACCTCACAATTATAGGCAATAAAAACAAAAACAAACGAACGTGATTTTATCAAACTAAAAAGCTCTTCACGGCAAAGAAAACAATGGAGTGAAAAAAAAAAACCCTACAGAATAGGAGAAAATATTTGCCAGCTATTCATTTGACAGGGGATTAATGTCCAGAATATACAAGGGACCAAAACATTGCAATAGCCAAAAAAGGAATAATCTGATTAAAAAATGGCAAATAATCTGAATAGACATTTCTCAAAAGAGATACAAATGATCATCAAATATATGAAAAAAATGTTCAACATCACTAATCATCAGGTAAATGCAAATCAAAACAACAATGAGGTACCATCTCTCCCCAGTTAGAATGGCTATGATCAAATAACCAAAAATAACAAATGCTGATGAGCGTGAGGTGAAAAGTAAACTCTTATACACTGTTGGTGGGAAGGTAAACTAGTAAAGCTACTATGGAGAACAATAGGGAGGTTCTTCAGAAAACTACCAATGGAACTACCATATGATCTAGCACTCCCACTATTGAACATTTATCCACAGGAAAAGAAATCAGTATATCAAAGAGACATCTGCCCTCACCCCCATGTTTGTTGCAGCACTATTCATAATAGCCAAGATATGGAATCAATTCAGCTGTCCAATGAAAGATGAATGGATAAAGAAAATATGGTGTATATGTAAAATGGAATACTCTTCAGTCATTAAAAAAATGAAATCCTGTCATTTGCAGCAATATGGATGGAACTAGGGGACATTATTTTAAGTGAAATAAGCCAGGAACAGAAAGTTAAACACTGCATATTCTCACATATATGGAAGTTAAAAAATGTTGATCTCATAGAAGTAAAAAGCAGAACAGAGGATACTGCAGGCTGGGGATGATGGGGGAAGGAAAGAATAGCGAGAGATCTGTTAGAGGACATAAAATTACAGATAGGAGGAATAAATTCTAGTTTTCTATACCACTGAGGGTATAGAACTAACCATAGTTTA
Source organism: Homo sapiens (assembly GCF_000001405.40). Classification (NCBI taxonomy): domain Eukaryota; kingdom Metazoa; phylum Chordata; class Mammalia; order Primates; family Hominidae; genus Homo; species Homo sapiens. The sequence continues at coordinate 104,897,279 of NC_000001.11, read as the reverse complement.
TAATAATATATAGTTTTAAATAGCTATAAGGAGAATATTGAATGTTCCCAACATAAAGAAATAGTAAATGTTTGAGATGATGGATAGGCTAATTACTCTGACCTAGTCACTATGCCTTATATGTATAAAAACATCACTATATACCCCATATGTATGTAGAATTATTATATGTCAATCTAAAAAAATAAAAATATGTTAAATCATTTTCATTAACTCAAACACCTTCAGGATTCAGGTAGGTAAAAACTAGGTACAGGAATTATTTATTATAAAAGCAGTGATAATTAATAGTGTCACTCACTGAGGGTCTCACATTAGCAGTGAGTCCAGTGACACAGGGGAGTCCAAGGTTTCATACGACCAACAGCAGTGGTGTTGTCTATACTGGCTTGTGGTATAATGTTTCTTTGTTTTCAGCGACTTAAAAAATTTTCTTGGTTTCTCTTTATTCTCTGAGCTTCTCTAAGTTTTCACTTATTCTGAGAACTATCTCTGAAATAAGATCCTTTTATCCAAAATTATTAATTTTCTTATTGACTGCCAAAGACAATGCCAAAAAAGAAGCATTCCATCGGATAATCAAAGCTTTATATTCTTCCATTCATAATACTGATTTCATTATGTAAAAAATACATATCAGTGCAAAGATTACAAAGATTATGAAAATAATTCCTTAAGTTGGCAAATGAGAGTCAAAGAAAAAGAGAATATTGATAAATCTGGGTGTATATTTCAAGTTATTTTTAATAGAGTACCATATGAACATAAATTTTTTTGGAAGTCTGCAGTGTTTAAGTTTGCACTACTGTATTCTTCTTTGAATTAATCAACTACAGGTATGAGAGTTAGCAGAAAGCTTCTTTATCTTTACTGTGATACTGGAAAGAGAGTGGGAAGAGACTTGTGTATGTTGTTAAAAGTAGGAGTGGAGACAGCCAGCACACCGAGCAAATAAAAGATTTACAAAATCTTTGTTTAGTTTTGTTTTGGCAGTCAATGTAAAATCCACATAACATAAAATTAACAATTTTAAAGTGAATACTTCAGTGTAAATTAATCAATTCAAAATGTTTTATCATCATGACCTGTATCTAATTACAAAATATTTTTATCACCCAAAAGGAAATATATCCATGAAGCAGTTGCTCCCCATTCCCCCTTTTCCCACTGGCTGGCAACCACCAGTCTACATTAATTCTTTATGCTTATACCTATTCTGGTTATTTCATATAAATGGAATTGTACAATATGTGAACTTGTGTGTCTGCCTTCTTTCACTTAGCTTGATATTTTCTGGGTTCATCTATATTGTAGCAGGTAATCATGTAAAATAGTTCAATTAGTATGGAAAAACAGTTTGGGGATTCCTCAGTTAAACAAAGAATTACATGTAACTCTGCAGTTCCACTCTGAGGAATATACTCTAGAGAATTAAAAACTGGTAGTCAAACAAATACATGCACACACATATTCATATCATCACTATTAATAATAGTCAAAATGTGGAAACAGTTCACATTTCCATCAGTGTACGAGTGGGTAAACAAACTGTGGTGTGTATACATACAATAGAAGTAAATGACTTTATTTTATGATTTTTTGTCAGGTGATAAAGGTTTTCTTACTATTTGTTGGAGACCCTTGCATAACATCAACTGGAATCCAATCTCAGTTCTTAGAAAGTTCTTATGGTTCTTTGTGTCTTAGGGTCTCCCAAAAAGGTCACTTGTTTTCTCAAAATCGGCAAAAGACAGAGGAGCTCCAGGAAGATGGACACTACAATCTTATTTAATGTAAGCACATAATCACCTACATGAAATCATATACTAGATCATCTCTAGATCATCTCTGACATATTCTATTTGTTAGAAGCAAGCCACAAGTCTTACACCCACTGAAGGAGGGGATCACACAAGAGCATGAATGTCAGGAGGCAAAGATGACGGGGGCCACCCTAAGAATCTGTTCACTGCACAACTGAATGCCAGTAGCTCTGTGAAGTTCAGAAATGTAGCTCTGCTGGAGAGCAGGGCTCTGAACTCAGATTTGAGCTCTGTCAGGAACCTGATGGATGACACTAGGGAATTTTTTTCTTTTCCTTTTTTTTAACTTTCCCTAATTTCCTAAGTTTTATCGCTTATAAGAATAAAAATATAGAAACAGATTTCAAAATGTTAACATACAAATACATTTTTCAATGTAAATTACATCTAATAAAGGAAATAGTGTGAAAATGTTTATCAGGCAAATTGTATTTCAGGTAAATCTGAAGTCTGCCATCCTTTTTGTTTTCTGTATGTCTTATGTATTTTTGGTTCCTCTATTCATCTTTGCTGGCTTTTCTTGCATTAGTGAACATTTTCTAATGTAATTTTTTAAATGATTTTTGTCATTAAATATGTTTAGTTATTTTCTTCATGTTGTTCTAAGGTTTCTTCTCATAGACAACAGAATTGACTTCAGATTTATCACACCTTAATTCAGTGATTAACGGATTAAATTAGTGATTTTTACATAGAAAAGTTACACCTATATATCATTATTAACTCTTCACCCTTTTTGTGAAAAGAACCCCACAATATTATATATGTTTATATGTATACATGTTTAAAGAAGCTGAGAGAAGAAAGTAGAGCAAGAATATATTTATAGTTTGCTAAAATAATCTTCTTTTAAGTATTAACCTTAATATTAACATTAATGGTTCTCTACTCTCTATGCAGTGTCCTTGGCAGAGTAAAATTTTTAATTTTAATAAAATCTAATGTATTTTTTTGTCTGTTTGTTTTTGGTGGCTTATTTAAAAATGTATGCCTGGCCGGGTGTAGTGACTCACTCCTGTAATCCCAGCATTTTGGAAAGATGCAGCGGAAGGGCTGCTTGAACCCAGGAGTTAGAGACCAGACTGAGCAATATAGGGAGACCCCATATCTACAAAAAAAAAATTAAAAATTAGCCAGATGTGATGATATACACTGTGGTCCCAGATACTTAGGAGGCTGAAGTGGGAGGATCACTTGGGCCCAGGAGAGCGAGGCCTCAGTGAGTCATGATTGCACCACTTCAGTCCAGCCTGGGTGATAGAATGAGACCCTGTCTCGAAAAAAAAAAAAAAAAAAAGTATTGCTAATCCCAAGATTACTTTGATTTTCTCTGTTATCTTCCAGAAATAACAAAATTTTGCATTTTACATGTTGGACTAGGATCCATTTGAGGTTAATTCTTGTGAAAGAGGTAAGGACTGTGTCTAGAATGATTTTTGTTTTGTGCATGTGAATGTCCAGTTATTCTAGCAACATTTATTAAAAGACTACCCTTTCTCCACTTAATTGCTTGTCAAAGATCAGTGGATCTATTATTTCTGGGCTCTCTATTCTGTTCCATTCATCTGTCCATTCTTTTGCCAACACTTTGATGGTTTTTGCATCTGTGTTCATGAAAGATGTTGGTGTGTATTTTTCCTTCATAACAATATTTAGTTTTGTTATTAGAGGTTTCACAGCATGAGTCAGGAAAAGTTCCATTTGCTTATATTTTCTGGAAGCCACTGTACAGAATTGGTATAATTTATATTTTAGATGTTTGGTAGAATTCACCAGTGAAAATACCTGGGCCTGGTGTTTTCTATTTTAGAAGGATATTAGCTGTTGATTTAGTTTATTTAATATATTTATAGATTTATTCAGATTATTTATCCTTATGTGGGTTTTGATAGATTTTGTTTTTCATGGAATTGATTCAACTTATGTAGACCATCAAATTTATGGGCATAGAACTGCTCATGAAATGCCTTTGTTATTCATCATATCAATAGTGATTTCTCTCTTTCATTTCTGATATTAATAAATCTTTTCTTCTTCTTTTTTCTTGATTACTCTGGGGACCAAGTAGGGGCTTCTAATTAAATTTTTTTTAATAATCCGATTTTGGTTTTCTTATTTTTAATTTTACTGATTTTTGCTCTGGTATTCTCTCTCCTATTTTCTTTATTTTGAATTTAAATTGCTCTTGTTTTTTGAGTTTCCTGAAATAGAAGCTTAGATTGTTAATGTAAGATCCTTCCCCTTTTGTGATATATGCATTCAATAAAAAATATCTCTTTAAGTACCACCTTTGCTGAATCAAAATATTTTTTAATTTCTCTTAGGCCTTTTTTTTTATTTATAACTGTGTTATTTTATCTCAAGGTATTGGGGAATTTTCTAGCTATCTTTCTGTTATTTATTTTCTAGTTTAATTCCATTTTGGCAAGAATTTCTACTCTTACATTTGTTAAAGTGTATCTTCTGTTTCTGCCTGTCTCAGTGGTTTGTCCTGTAACCTCAGGGCTCTGACAGATCTAAAGAGAGTTGTGGATTTTCAGCTTTTCAGATATTTTCTTGCAGCAAAAATAGTAATGAGAAATTTCAAACTCTTTGCATGTCGGATTCAGTTATTTAATTAGTTTGTTTTCCTACTGTTGAATGTTAATAAATTTAAACCACTTTGAACCATTTACATTATTGAAAGTTTTGCTAAATATAACATATTTGATTGACCTTTTATTTTTTTCAGTACTTTGAATATTTCATCTGTCTCTGACTTCTGTTGTTTCCGGTGGAAAGCCATATGTAATTTTTATAGGGGTTCCTTTGTACATAAAATTATTTTTCACTTCATTTTCAATGTTTTCTGTTTATCTTTGGTCTTAGTTTTGCTATTATGTGTCTATTTATGGCTCTTTTTGTGTTCATCCTACATATCTATTGAGCTTCTTGGATGTATAAGTTTATGTTTATCAAATTTGGGAAGTTTTCAGCCGTTATTTTTTCAAATATTTTTTCTGCTCCTTTTTTATCTCTTTCTTGATACTCTTCTTACTCATACGTTACTGTGCTTAGTCGTGCTCCACATTCTGATGCTCTTCTTGTTTCCCCTTATTTTATTTTCTCTCTACTTTTCAGGTAGTAAAATAACTGTCAATGTATATTTGAGTGCCCTGATTTTTCTGCTGGTTTAAATCCACCACTGAGTCTTCTGATAAATGTTTTATTTCAGATATTTTACTTTTCAATTATAGAATTTTTATGTGATTCTATTTTCTAATTTGTATTTATTATTCTATATTTGCTGATATATTATCGTGATACCTTCCATTACTTCTTTAATCATGGCGTCCTTTAGTTTTCTGAACATATCCATAATGGTTGCTTTGACATCTTTGTTTGCTAACTCAAACATCTGGTCCTCTCACAGTTTTCATTTTCTACTCTTTTTCCTATGCATGAGCCACCGTTTTATGTTTCTTTATATATCTTACATATCTATTTTTCAGTAAAAACTAGACAGTTTGGATAATATAGTAACTCTGGATACTGATCCCCCTCACCCTTGGGTTTTGCTCTTAATTTGTATTTGCTTGTTTATTAGTTTAATGACTTGGATTGATTACTTTAGTGATGTATATTTTCCCCACAGGATAGGGCCTATGATGTCAATCCTTAGAGGATACAACCTTGCCTGTGCACATGCTAACTATGGAAAAACAGTGATTTTAGCAGAACTCTCTTTGTCTCTTTTCCTAATCTCTCTGTTAGGCTGTCTGATTCTTTTGGTATCACAGCCAACTATTGGACACCACTAATTGCCAGTTGCTTGCCTTATTATTTTAGACACAATTGTAGAGCATAAACTAAATTTAGGACCCTTTATGTAAATATTTTTAAGGTCAATATTTACTCTGACCACAGGAGAGTTCTTAGCTGTTTCTATCCTTAGATTTCCTCGGCAAACTGCTGATTTGTGATTTATTTTGTTGCTCCCATAGAACCGCCGGCTTTATTTTGATTTATCATCAAAATCTCCCATGTTTTTTAATAGTATCCTAAGCTTGAACTTTATTACACTATGTTTCAACTACAGACAGTTTCTCTGAGAAGAGCTTTGATGTTCTTTATTCTTATGATTTATTTTTTCCCCTAAGCAAAAATCTTTCTTCTCTGGATCTGGCGATGGGGACAGAGGCCCATTTGTGTTCAGAATGACTGCTGTCTTTTAAGCAATGTCGAACACAGGTGGTTGACTCTGCTCTTCTCCAGCTGCCTTTCTTGGGGCTGTTGGGGTGCGGAAAATGATTCCCCAAAATAGGGAATATGGACATGCTGAGTGCTTTTGAAAATTGAAAGGTTTCAGAAATAAGCCTCAGGATTAAGGTGTCTCACTCTAACCTTGTCTTGTTCTTGTTTTCTTGTTTCTCCCTGCCAAGTGCAGGGAGGAACTCTCTGGGATTTCTTTAACTGACCAAAAACTTTTTTTTTTTTTGAGGTGGGGTGGGGACTGTGCCTGGCTCTTTCGCCCGGGCTGAAGTGCAATAGCTGATTTCAGCTTACTGAAACCTCCGCCTCCCGGGTTCAAGCGATTCCTCCGCCTCTGCCTCCAGTATAGCTGGGATTACAGGCACCCGCCATCATGCCTAGCTAATTATTGTATTTTTAGTAGAGACGGGGTTTAATCATGTTAGCTAGGCTGGTCTTAACTCCTGACCTCAGGTGATCCGGACGCCTTGGCCTCTCAAAGTCCTGGGATTACAGGTGTGAGCCACCGTCCCCGGCCCGAAAACTTCTTACCAAAGAAACGCAATTGCCTTTTATCCCCTCCCTGGAATTTCATTATCTATTGCAGAAAAGAGGACTGAGGAATGCAACCATATTTTTCACCGATATATAAGCATTGCACAAGTTTTAGGGGTACATGCGATGTTTTGATAAATGTATACAATATATAATATTCAAATCAGGTTAATTGGGACATCCATGACATCAAACATTTATCTTTAGTTTGTGTGGGTAACATTTCAATTTTTCTCATCCAGCTATTTTGAAAAATACAATCAATTATTGATCATTATAACCTCCCTACTGTACTATCAAATGCTAAAACTTATTCCTTCTATATAATTGTATTTTTGTACCCATCAACTAACTTCTCTTCATCCTCCTTTCTGTCCCTACCCTTCCTAGGATCTGGCAATCAACTCTCTTCTCTCTACCTCCATGAGATCCACTTTTATTGCTCCCACATAAAAATGAGAGTATACAATATTTGTCTTTCTGTACCTGGCTTATTTCACTTAACATAATGACCTCCAGTTTCATTCACTGTGCTGCAAATGACAGAATTTTATTCCTTTTTATGGCTGAATAGTATTCTATTATGTGTATATACCACATTTGTAAAATCCATGCATCTGTTGATGGACTCTTAGGCTGATTTCATATTTTGGCTATTGTGAATAGTGCTGCAATAAACACAGCACATCTGGGGGTGCAGATATCTCTTTGATATACTGATTTCCTTTCTTTTGGATACATATTCAGTAGTGGGATTGTTAGACCATGTGGTAGTTCTATTTTTAGTTTTTTTGAGGAACCTCTATAGTGTTTTTCATGATGGCTTTACTACTTTACATTTCTACTAACAATATATGAAAATTCCCCTTTCTGCATATTCATTTGAATTGTTTCAGTTGCTTATGCGTTCTGGTTTGTAATGCCTTGTTGAATGAATAGTTTACAGACATTTTCATCCATTTGTAGTTTGTCTCTTCACTTTGTTGATCATTGCCTTTGCTGTGCAGAAGGTTTTTAGATTGATGTAATCCTATCTTCCTACTTTTAATTTTGATTTTTGTGCTTTTGAAATCTTACTCTAAAAATTCTTTGCTCAAACAACACTCTACAGTGTTTCCCCAAAATTTTCTTCTAGTAATTTCATAGGTTCAGGTCTCATATTTAAGTATTTCATCCATTATGAGTTGATGTTTATGTATAGTGAGAAACAGGATCTAGGTTCCTCCTTTTGGATATTGGTATCCTGTTTTCTCAGCACCTGTTGTTGAAGAGACTGTCCTTTTTTCCCCAATGTATTTTTTAGTAACTTTGTCAAAAATGAGTTGGCTGTAAATTCATGGATTCATGTTTGAGCTATCTTTTCTGTTTCTTTGTGTCTATTTTTATGTCAGTACCACACAGTTAAGTTACTACAGCTTTCAGTATAATTTGAAGACAGGTAGTGCGATGCCTCCAGTATCATTCTTTTTTTTTTTTTTTGTCAAGATTGCTTTGTCTATCGGGATCTTTTGTGATTCCAAATGAATTTTAGGATTTTTTTCTTATTCTATGTAGAATGTCATTGCTGTTTTGGTAGGGATTATATTGACTCTGTACATTGCTTTGGACAATATGTTCATTTTAACAATATTAATTATTTCAATCTGTAAGTATGGGATATTTTCCTATTTTGTGTGTGTCCTCTTCAATTTCTTTCATAACTGTTTTATAATTGCCATTGTAGAAATCTTTCACTTACTTGGAAAATGAATTTCTACATAATTTATTATTTAAGCTAATATCAATGGGATTGCTTTCGTGATTTTATTTTTCAGATTTATTGCTGTTAACATATAGAAATGCTACTTATTTTTGTCTCTTGACTTTATATACTGCATATTTATGAAGTTATTTACCAGTTTTTTTTTTAGTTTTTTCTAAATATAAGATTAGCTTATCTGCCAACAATAATAATTTTTTCTTTTCAACTTGGAAGCCTTTTATTTTTCTTTATCTTGCCTAATTACTCTGACAAGGACTTCCAAGACTATGCTGAATAAAAGTGGTGAAAGTAGACATTCTTGTCTTGTTTGAGATCTTAGTAGAAGGGTTTTCAGTTATTCCCTATTCAGTATGATGTTAGATGTGAGCTTTATTGTGTTGAGAAATGTAACTTCTATGCCTAATTAATCAAGAGCTTTTATTAGGAAGGGATGTTGAATTTTATCAAGTGCTTTTTGTTTGCATCTATTTAGATGGTCATATGCTATTCATCCTTCAGTCTATTGATGTGATGTATCACATTTATTGATTTGCATATTTTGACCTAACCTTGCATTTCTAGAATGAATCTCATTTGATCATGGCACATGATCTTTTTATTGTGTTGTCAAATTATGTTTGCCAGTATGTTATTTTTTGAGGACTTTTGCATCTATGTTTATGAAAAATATTGGCCTGTAGTTTTATTTTTTGTGGTGCCTTTACCTAGTTTTGGTATCTGGTGAGTCTGGAAATATTTTCTCCTCTTCAATTTTTTGAAATAGTTTGAGAGAATTAGTGTTACTTCTGTAATTGTTTAATAGAATTTAGTAATGAATGCATCAAGTCTTGGTCTTGGGCCTTTCTTTGATGGGAGACTTTTCATTAGGTTGGAGCAAAAGTAATTGCGGTTCTTTCCATTACTTTTAATGGCAAAATTACTGCTTCAATTTTTTTATTCACTATTTGTCTGTTCAGGTTCTCTATTTCTACATGTATCAGTCTCGGTGGATTGAATGTGTCCAGCAATTTATTTCTTCTAAGTTTGTAAATTTGTTGTTGTATAGTTGTTCATAATAGTCTCTAATGATATTTTATATCTATGTCCTGACAGCTGTACTTGTTTTTCATCTCTGATATTACTTATTCAGGCCTTTTTTTCTTAGGCTAGTTAAAGGTTTCTTGTTGTCTTTGGACAGGCTTCTTTTTGCTTCAAATTTATCAAATTAATTAACTGCACCAAAATTTTGCTATTTGTAGTGTAATTTCTAAAAATATTGATGTGTACATATAAAAAGTGGCATCATTATTTCAGTAGTCATATATTATAGAAATGATTTTTGTATTATTCTTGTTACTTTTTATAGTTTTATTTTGGCTTAGCTTATCCCAGATATTTTCTCTAAAACTACATCTCCTCTATACATAAACAGATAAAAATGAGGGCTAAGCCACAGCGGTTCTTCTAAGATGCACAGAGAATCTAACACTGACCAATGTAATCAGAATGTAATTTTTGAAAAAATAAAAAAAACTAACTGTAAGAAAGATCTGAAAAGTAGGCCCTTTGAAGAAAACAAAATCAAAAACAGAAAAGACTCAATGAAAGAAGAAAATATGAAAATTTAGCCCAACCCACCCCGTCCTCAACTGAGAATACACACTTAAAGCAGTAAAAGTGTTCCAGTCTGTAGCATTGGTTATCTCTAGAATTTGTTACTGTGCTGAATATTAGCCAATTTAAGAAACCACATAATGTTAGATTTTATTTTTTTATTTGAACATTTAGTGGGGGTAAATATTTTATTTCTTTCTCAGGTCCTTTATAAATTTTTATATACATATTCTTACTGAAGGAACAGTGTGGCAGTAAATACAGACAACATATAACAAAGCTGGAAATATTGGGGGTCTGATTTAGTTATTAGCCTATTAGAAGACTAATGAAAAACAAATTCAAATTGTTGTTTCAGTTATTAAGCAATAGCATCAACAAACTTTTGCTATAGTATTATTAAGTCATCTTAGTTATTATTTTTTTCAGTGTATTCATTTCCTAAGGATCCCATAGCAAATTTTCACAAAGTGGATGCCTTAAACAGTAATTTATTGTCTCAAATTTCTGGAGTTTAACAGTCTAAAAGCAAGGTCACTGCAGGGTTGGTTACTTCCAAGGGCTATAAAGGAGAATTTATTCCATGTATTTATCCTAGTTTCTAGTAGTTTGTTGGCAATCTTTGACATTTACTAGCTGGTAGATGAATACCTTAGATCTTTGCCTTCATCTCACTTAGATCTCTTTCTTCATCTTTATATGGCACTCTTCTGATAAGCATCTGCTTCAGTTTCAAAATTTCCCCTTTTTATAAGGACACAGTTATATTGGATTAGAGCCCACCCTAATGACCTCTTCTTATTTTGATCATCAGCAAAGACCTTATTGTAAAAACGGTCACATTCACAGGTACGCAGGTTTAGGACATCCATATCTTTTGAGAAACTTGATTCAACCTTCAGTCCTTAAGAATCTTGGCATGACTAACATAAGTGAATTTGTATTAACTATGAGAAAATATCAAGGAAAAGGATTATAGATGTCCATGTTAGATAATCGGAGCTCATGTTTTTGTCTCTAATGACTCATTATTCTTTACAAATATTCATAACTAATTTATCTGTGACCAAAAACTATATTTCATCAATTCTAAGATGCATAATTTTTACATTTTAAAATATCTTAAATTATAGTGCATATGAAAAAGCAAAGGAAAATATCAACAGAGTAAACAGACCACCTACAGAATGGGAGAAAATATTCACAAACTCTGCATCCAACAAAGATCTAATATCCGGAATCTATAAGGAACTTTAACAAATCAACAAGCCAAAAAAAACAAACCATTAAAAATGGGCAGGCCGGGCGCGGTGGCTCACGCCTGTAATCCCAGCACTTTGGGAGGCCGAGGCGGGCGGATCACGAGGTCAGGAGATCGAGACCATCCCGGCTAAAAAAAACGGTGAAACCCCGTCTCTACTAAAAAATACAAAAAATTAGCCGGGCGTAGTGGCGGGCGCCTGTGGTCCCAGCTACTTGGGAGGCTGAGGCAGGAGAATGGCGTGAACCCGGGAGGCGGAGCTTGCAGTGAGCCGAGATCCCGCCACTGCACTCCAGCCTGGGCGACAGAGCGAGACTCCGTCTCAAAAAAAAAAAAAAAAAAAAAAAAAAAAAAAAAAAAAATGGGCAAAGTACATTAACAAACACTTATCAAAAAAAGACATACATGGAGCCAACAAGCATAGGAAAAAATGCTCAACATCAGTAATCATCAGATAAATGCAAATCAAAGCCACAATGAGGTACCATCAAACACCAGTCAAAATGGCTATTATTAAAATGCCAAAAAAATAACAGAAGCTGGTAAGGTTATGGAGAAAAGGAAATGCTTATGCATTACTGGAGGAAATGTAAATTAGTTCAGCCACTGTGGAAAGCAGTTTGGAGATTTCTCAAAGAATTTAAAGTAAAACTACCATTCGATCCAGCTTTGCCATTACTGAGTAAATACCCAAAAGCAAACAAAGCATTCTACCAAAAACACACATGCACTTGCATGTTCATTGTAGCACTATTCACAATAACAAAGTGATGGAATCAATGTAAGTGTCCATCAGTGGTGGACTGGATAAAGAAAATGTGGTACATATACACCATGGAATACTTTAAAGCCATCACATAGAATGAGATCATGTCTTTTGCAGCAACATGAATCATCTGGCTGGTATTATCCTAAGTGAATTAACACAGAAAGAAAAAGCTAAATAACACAGAAAGAAAAAGCCAAATACCACAAAACTCTTTAATCATGGCTGGACATGGTGGCTCATGCCTGTAATCTCAGCAATTTGCGGGGCTGAGACAGATGGATCACTTGAGGTCAGGAATTCGAGAGCAGCCTGGCCAACATGGTGAAACCCTGTCTCTACTAAAAAATACAAAAATTAGCCAGGCATGGTGGCACACACCTGTAATCCCAGCTACTCAGGAGGCTGAGGCAGGAGAAGAGCTTGAACCCAGAAGGCAGAAGTTGCAGTGAGCCAGGATCACGCCACTGTATTCCAGCTTGGGCATTATTTATTACCATTTTTATATGACTCTATGTTTTGCAAATATGAACTTCGTTCTCAAATTATTTTCTAAAAAATATTTAATTTGACTTAGAATATTTGGAAATATAGTCTGTTCTTCAGCTAGGTAACAAGTCAACCATGTGTAAACTATCTGCCATGTTTCACTTTCAAATCAGATTAGTGCATACTATTTCCACAAGCATCATTCCTTTGAAAGGAAGGTTAGACAAAGTACAAATAGGGAATTGTAATTTTCACTATATTCGTCTCCATTAATATTAGTTCACAAGTACATGTTTATTTTGTCTTGTTCTGGTAAATTAAGATCCAAAGAGGATTGATTTCTGAAAAAGTTGGGGTATGTTTTTTCAACACATTTCTCTCAGGGACACTTTGTTCTTAGTTAAGTCCAGAACAATGAAGCCAAGAACACTGTATTATTTTTTTGTTGTTTATTTCTGTGTTTGTGGAAGTGCTCTTTATGGTTGATGGATATTCTGCTACAGCCCCATTTTTATCTGGGACTGAAATTTTAATTAGTCCTTTGAGTTTTAGCCAGTTGTCTTTGGCAACTCAATGCACATCTCTAGTCATTCTCTTCGACATCAACTTAAGATGTCCTAATACTCTCCTCCCTAATTAATCAACTTTCATAGTTTTAAATAATTACTTTGCCACTAACATGAAGCTATATTTATAAAATTCTTAAGATTCACCTTTTTGTTGTCATTAGACTATTTGCTTTTAAAGTTTACTATTATTCAATTATGTTACACTTCATCATCATTTAATTAACTATTATTTCATGTAGTACTTTATTGCTTAGCTTGTTCATGTAATTCTTCTTTATGATAGTTACTGAAGTGTTAGTCTGTGGTTCAAATGTTCCTATAGATAACTGATAGGATTTTTTTTCCGTAAGAAAAATAGAGAATATTCCGTCAGTTTCAGTATAAAATGTTACAACAGTTGGCATACTACTCTGTTGATCAGTGAGACCCTTTCTTAAGAAACATAGAATTCCACTAAGGACATAATTAATTAAGTTGGTTTCTAACTTTGGAGTAGATGAACCATGAAAAGTAAGCTGTCAGGTCTGCTGTAAGAGTCATACTGAAGATGCTTCAATCAGAAGCATTCTAATTCTGAAGCAAGGAAGAAGGACACACATATACATGTACACACACACATACACACACATGCACACACACACACACACACACACACACACACACACACACACAGATCTAAGACCTAATCTGGGGTGGAATACCAGCAGATAAATTTTGCTTATTTAGATAATACTTTTAGATAACAAAGAGTATGCAAAAGTCTTTTCTAGAAATTACATATTAAAAAAGCTAAAAAGAGATAATAGCCATGCCATGGTCCACAACAGGGAAATGCTTGCTAAGCAATAACATCTGAATCATAATTACATCCTACCAGGGGACAGGGTTGGGAAGAGAAGCAAATTAGCAATTTATATCACATTTCTTTATTTTTGCCACAAGATTCAATTAATAAATTGATAATCTTCTTACTCTTTTTTTTTCTTCAATCATATGTCAGTCAGGGTTCTTCAGAGAAACAAAGCCAATAGGAGGGAGCCTATATGTATTTAAAATAATTTCCTTACATATTTATATGCAAAGAAGGTGATAAGAGAAGGAATAATAAGTCAGTACACATACATAATAAATATATATGTATAAGCCAATTCATATATGTTCAAACATATATGAATTAGCTTCTGTATTTTGGAGACTGGAAAGTCTGAAACCTATAGAGCTGGACATTAGTTTGGAAACTCATGGCCCAGAGCTGATGTTGCAATCTTGAGGCACAATTTATTCTTCCTCAGGGAAACCTCAGTTTTACAATCAAGGGTTTTCAACTGATTGGATGAAGCTAGAATCATAAAAGATATTTTACTTAACATCAATTCATTGTAAGTCCATACCTAAAAAGTACATTTACAACAGCATCTAGATAATTGTTTAATTGACAAATTGGGTATACTATTGCCAAACTGACCAGTATCACAGTTCACCCCTTGTCACCTTGGCACCTGTACATATGGTCTTAAAACATATTTGATCTCCAAATAAACACAATAACAAAGTCAAACTTGTAGCTAAAATAATATACTGAAAACTTGCTAACCTTTTCCCAGAAAAGGATGTGAAGTTCATGGGCCAGGTTTATTATTCTCCTTAATAATTCTGTAACTTAAATAATGTGATACAAATTCAAATAATATTAATATTTCTTATTTAAGATGAGAACAAAATAAGAGAAGGAATGTAATAAAACATGGATAAATATAAATAATATATACAAACACATATTTATAACAAAATAAAAAAGAACTATGGATAACAATTGCAGAATTACAGTCCTCAGTTTTTCAACTGGCCATCTGGTTGTCGCTGATATTTATAACTACCTTATTCTACTACTAATTTCATTTTCACTTTGATCCCACCAAGCACCTTAGATGGTCATTGCTTCTTTGCTTCTTGTGATATTCATTACCGAAGGGTCAGGGCCATTAGTAGCCCTCTTTGACTTACATTGTCATAGTTTTCCATTACCTTTAACTATAAGACATGACAACCTTAGAGATACCTTAAGACACCTCCTATATCCCAGATTTACTCCCCGTTACCTTTGTTGTGTAATAGCAGTTCAATTTTCTTTTGGCAGTCAGTATCAATCACCCAACACACTACAGTAACTCCCTTCTTTATCAGATTCAGAGGCACAAGGGATTCAAAGTGGCCAGTAATTTAACTAAATTAATCAATCAATAAAATTAATAAGATTAATTAGTTAATAATTTTCATTTCAAGACGGTAATTCTTGTGTCTCCTAGCAGAAACATTCCTCTCTTTGGAACTAACTGGAGCAATAAAGTAAAATGTTGCAGGCACAGAGACAGAAAACAAAAAGATTGCTAGTGGGTCACTAGGAGAAATAGTAAGTGATCCTTCTCTCATTCCCACTTATTGATTACTAAACCACAAAATCTTGGCTATGACAAAAAGAGTACCATATATAGGATACATATTTAGAACATAGGTATCCAGTGGTAATTGCCTTAGCCTTTTAATTACCACCTGGCTGATACATGTACCAATACTTGTTTCTTAGTTTTGATAAATTTTCCATGCCAATGTAAAATATTAACAATAATGGAAACTGGGTAAAGAACACTGGGGGACAATCTGTGCTATCTTTGCAACTTTACATGTCCAAGTTGACACACGAAACTAATCACGAAGTGTAAAGTCTCAGCTTGGTGGTATGAGGTAGTTGAACAAGGGTATCCTGGATCCTCATATCAGCCTAGAAAGCATTCTGAGGCAGAATTGTGATATTATCTAGACTTACCTCCAAATGTAGGATGGCTAGGTTAAATCTTCTTCCTACTAGTTAGGTGGTGTGAGAACTTCAACAAATTACTAAGTTTAGTCTCCTCCAAACATAAGTTTTCTTATCTCTAAAATGGAAGTATTAATAGCATCTACTTTATAGGGTTGCTACTGAACCTATACTAGTTAAATGCATGGGATATAATTTAGAACAGTGTCTGACACATATTAAGTGCTCAATCGACATTAACAATTATTAATATTATATCATGACATAAACTCTCTGAAGTCCGCAGATTAAAAAGTATAAAGAAGTATATGATATAGAAGAACTAATATGCCCTCAGGAGTGGATCATACCTCCCTTTTTTGCTTCCATATTAACACTACATTTGTGAACTTAGACAAGTACTTAACCTTTGTAAAATTTAGTTTCACCATCAGAAAAATAATATTAATACTTTTCTTGATGAATAGTTATAAAAATAAAAGCAAATATATTTATAGTGATATCATATAATATTACAAAAATATACAGGCATATGTCATAATATTATAATATATTATTATTAGACAAATTTCATTTGTTTAAATTACTGCAGGCAGATTTTATAGCTTGCTGTATCCTTCTTTGGAAGTCTTTATCTTAAATATGTAGTCAAACCATAAACAGTATAATTTTATTGTTAGATGCTTGTATTATTTCTGAATTAGGCTTATTCATGAATAAAATATTTTAAGAAAAAAGTCCACATGCATATATGTAAAAATGGAGAAATATGCATTTCAGAATTGAAGTCACATTATAATCTGTCAACCCTGTTAAGAGGATACACTTCTTCTCATGAATAAGAACTAGACAATATTTCTTAGGCTCATGGGACCAAACTTAACTTGACAAATTACTTTGATAATATTTCTACACAATCCACATAATTTAAAGAGATTCTTGTAGAAAAAATAGATTAATATGGTATAATTGGATTTATTCTCAAGTGTATATTCTGATACAGGACCAATTTACATTACATTTAAAAGCTAGATAAAAACATGTATTATCTATTTTTTACATAGTTCTTCATATAGAAATGGAAATACTAATTTAAAACAGTAATACTTTTTTAATACTGTCTGAATATGCCCAAAATACCAGTGGGATATTTTTTACCTTTAAAGATTCTAATTGTCTAAGGCATATTGTTAACAGGTGTTCAGCAGTAACATCAAAGTACACATATATATTAATCTCAAACATTCAGTGAATAAAGTTGTATCAATTGTCTTATTAATAAAAAGATGGTAAATTTAGGGAACAATATTTTGGTTATTAGTTAGGCTTTTTAAAATGTTTATTCATGTTTTAAAGATGTGGAAATTAATAACTAACCATGTAGGGAGATGAATTATTTTCTGCCTTCTCACCGCCCCCCCAACTTTTTAGTTTTTTTAATATAGGGAAATAGAACTATTTGAATCTCACCATCAAATAATTGTCAATTGAATTACTTCTTCTACACTACTACTACAACAAAACTACTTGTTCTTTTTCTCTTCTCATGTTGAGATGTTGATAAAATTTGAAACTAGTAGTTTTTACTGTTTTGATATGTCTTTTTCCTCTTAAATCCTTCCTCATGTATTCAACAATTTCCTTGCACAAGAAGTTACTCTGTAGTTATGATTCAATCTTTTAAAATTTTTATTATAGCAGATCATGAAATAATATAAAAAACCTGCTCTCTCTCTCTCTCTCTCTCTCTCTATATATATATATATATATATATGCATATATATAATTTAGTTTGTTTTCACACTGCTGATAAATACATACCCGAGACTAGGCAATTTACAAAAAAAAAAAAAAAAAAAAAAAAAGAGGTTTATTGGACTTACAGTTCTATGTGGCTGGAGAGGCCTCACAATCACGGTGGAAAGTGAAAGGCATGTCTCACATGGCAGCAACAAGAGAGAGAATGAGAGCCAAGCAAAACGGGTTTCCCCTTATTAAATCACCAGATTTTGTGAGACTTATGCACTACCATCAGAACAGTATGGGAGAAACCACCCCCATGATTAAACTATCTCCCACCAAGTCCCTCCACATATGTGGGAATTATGGGAGTTACAAGATGTGATTTGAGCGGGGACACCGAGCCAAACCATATCATTCTATCCCTGGCCCCTCCCAAATCTCATGTCTTCACATTTCAAAACCAATGATGCCTTCCCAACACTCCATCAAAGTCCTATCTCATTTCAGCATTTTCTCAAAAGTTCACAGTCTAAAGTCTCTTCTGAGACAAGACAAGTCCCTTCCACCTATGAGCCTGCAAAATCAAGACCAAGTTAGTTACTTCCAAGATACAATTGGGGTACAGGCGTTGGGTAGATACAGCCATTCCAAATGAGAGAAATTGGTCAAAACAAAGAGGCTACAGGCCCCACACAAGTCAAAAATCTAGTGGGGCAGTCCAATCTTAAAACTCCAAAATGATCTTATTTGACTCCACATCTCACATCCTGGTCATGCTGATGCAAGAAGTGGGCTTCTATGGTCTTGGGCAGCTCTGCCCTTGTGGCTTTGCAGGGTACAGCCTTCCTTTCAGCTGCTTTCACAGGCTGGCATTGTCTGCGGCTTTTCCAGGTGCATGGTGCAAGCTGTCAGTGTTTCTACCATTCTGGGGTCTGGAGGAGAGTGGGCCTCTTCTCACAGCTCCACTAGGTGGTGCCACAGTAGTGACTCTGTGTGGGGGCTCTGGCTCTGCATTTCCTTTCTGCACTGCCCTAGCAGAGGTTCTCCATAAGGGCCCCACCCCTACGGCAAACTTCTGCTTGCGTATCCAGGCATTTCCATACATCTTCTGAAATCTACGTGGAGGTTCCCAAACCTCAATTCTTGACTTCTGTGCACCTGCAGGCTCAACACCACATGGAAGCTGTCAAGGCTTGGGGCTAGCACCTTTTGAAGCAACAGTTTGAGCTTTACCTTGACCACTTTTAATCATGACTGGAGTGGCTGGGACACAGGGCACCAAGTCCCTAGACTGCATACAGCAGAGGGACCCTGAGCCTGGCTCACGATACCAGGTCTGTGATGAGAGGGCCTGAGGTGAAGACCTCTGACATGCTCTGAAAACATTTTCCTTATTGGCTCACTGATTAACATTTGGCTCCTTGTTGCTAATGCACATTTCTGCAGCTGGCTTAACTTTCTCTTCAGAAAATGGGATTTTTATTTTCCATCACATTTTCAGTCTGTAAATTTTCCAAACTTTCATTCTCTGTTTTCTTTATAAATCTGAATGTCTTTAACAGCACACAAGCCAGCTCTTGAATGCTTTGCTGCTTAGAAATTTCTTCCACCAGATACCCTACATCATCTCTCTCAAGTTCAAAGTTCCACAAATCTCTAGGGCAGGGGCAAAATGCCACCAGTCTCTCTGCTAAAACATAACAGGGGTCACCCTTGCTCTAGTTCCCAACAAGTTCCTCATTTCCATATGAGACCACCTCAGCCTGGACTTTATTGTCCATGTCACTGTCGGCATTTTAGGCAAAGCCATTCAACAATTCTCTAGGGAGTTCCAAACTTTCCCACATTTTTCTTTTTTTAACTGGGCCCTCCAAACTGTTCCAGCCTCTGCCTGTTACCCAGTTCCAAATCACTTCCACATTTTCAAGTATCTTTTCAGTAATGCCCCACTCTTGATACCTATTTACTGTATTAGTTTATTTTCACACTGCTGCTAAAGACATACCTGAGACTGGGCAATTTACAAAAGAAAGAGGTTTATTGGACTTAACAGTTCCACGTGGATGATGAAGCCTCACAATCATGGCAGATGATGAAAGGTATGTCTCACATGGCAGCAGCAAGAGAGAGAATGAAAGCCAAGAAAAACAGGTTTCACTTTATCAAACCATCAGATCTCATGAGACTTATTCACTACCATGAGAACAATATGGGGGAAAATGTCCCCGTGATTCAATTATCTCCCACCAAGTCCCTCCTACAACACATAGGATTTATAGGAACTCCAAGATGAGATTTGGGTGGGGACACAGAGCCAAACCATTTTATATATACAGTGTATATACTATCGATACATTATGTACTAAATATGTATATAAGATATGTATACATTATATCCAATATGCATTCAAAAATACATATTGGAGACATATGTATACAATATATACATATATACTAGTATATTATATATACTCTATATAAGGTACATATAGTATAATATTTATATATATAACTATAGATATATATACAATATGTATATAGACGTATACAACTATATATATTCACATATATACATGTATTATATAAATAATAGTGTATATATATAATATGTAAATATATATATTTATATGTGTGTGTATATATATGTATATATATATTCACAGCTAAATCATGAAGGGTGTTAATCTGCATAGGTAAATTTCAAGAAAAATTTGCCAAAACCAAATATATATTTTTATCATAATTGAAACCAAAATGTCCTCTGAAAACATAAATTCAAGGAAAAAAAGCCACATCAATCATATCAAACTCTCTGATTAAAAAATTGAAAAATAAGAAAATACACCTTCTAACCATATACAAATTTTTGGTACACTAATACGTATTTGATATTTAGTTAGATGTTCTGGATTAAGTATTACTTAATACTTAATGGATTAAATAGTAATGGATTAAGTATTACTCATGGTAATGCTCTTAAAGGAATTTATAATTAAATAGAAAAGTTGGATAGAAATGCATGTATTTAGAAGAGTATAAATTATTGATCATGCTAAATTAAAACAACAAACTGTTGCTGTGTCTTATTTCAGAGGTAACAAAGAGATAGCCATGCTTGTAGAAAGCTGGTAAACAATAGGGCTATTGCTTGCATGTATTGGGAAAGACTGAAATTCACATATATGGAAAGTTTGTAATATATATTTCAATTATTTTGTTGTGAATAGTTAGCAGGGCTTGGGATTTGAATGCAAATTAGTATAATCAATATAAGCTTTCTGTAGTTTATGTCACTACTGTGTGTAGTCTTCTAAAATGATAAACCACTTAGGACATTCCGTTTCCCTTTTACTCAAGATTAGTGTTTAAAGTACAAGATCACAGTTGCTAAAAGAAACGTTCAATGCACCCCTCCACAGAAATAAAAAATATATAAAAACATGGTTGTGCCTTTGGGAAATGGAAATATTTATATCAGTTTTTCCCAAAACTTATTGCACAAACCAGAGGAAGAGAAAAATACTACAAACAAAAATATTTGGTTTTCAAATAAAGAGAAATAGTGCATAGTATATTTTTACTTATAATGAATGATGAAACGTGACTATATTAAAGTCCTAGGAAGTTCTGCAGTACAGAATTCTGTTTTAAATTTTTGAACTAAATATTTTCTAAACTTATTTGACTGTGGAATATGTCGTCCTTATGTTTGGCTTTACAAGTTAGCAAAAATATTTTCTTGTTTTATTGCAAAAATCTGTTGCCATCATCACATCATCATTATATTTTGTTTATATAATAACAGTACATAGAAAAAATAAAAATAATAGAATTTCGTTAAACGTATTAATGACAAATTCTAGAAATTAAAAATAGATTAATTAATGATAAGCATATACAACTTATATGTAGACAATCTCTTATTTCACAGGCTCAGGCTCATGGTAAATTACTAAATTTTCCATTAACAGAATCGTGAGAATTTCAGCATCGTCTAGGTTCAGGAAATTTTTTTTGATCAATTATATGAAATATAACTATATAGTTATATATAACTGATATAAATAATATATTATTTGTAACTAAATATAATTATATTAATATATAAATTATATTTCATATAATTGATATGAGTTATATCAGTGATTAATTCATATCAAATGACTCAAAAGAGTCATCAGATTGATTAAAAAATAGGTAATAATTGTTATTTTAAAACACAATTTTTTTATTTTTGTAAAGTTTTCTAAAATCAATTCCATGGGTGAATTAACATAAAAATATGTACCAATTAGTTTTCACAGCTGTATATACTGAGCTAACAATGGAGACACTCAAGATAGAGAACATTTCAATATCCCAGAAAGTCCTTTTAGATCCTTTTAGTTAATCCAAACATCAACGCAGCCCCAGACGATCCATGACTAGAAAAAAAAATAGTAAACACAGGACTTGATTTAAAACATGAAATTCCTTCTATAAATCATATACATTAAGAGCTTGTATCTATTGCAATGACAGCAACAAATAAGTAAAACAATGTGAATATTGCTAAGAAGTGACATTGATTTCTACATAACCTTAAGTAAGACATCCATCTCTTTTGAGTTTTCTGAATATTTTAGAATGAATTCTCTGTCTTCACAGACTACAAATTCATGTAAAAGTGGTACCTGTAAGATTTGTACAGTCTCTTTTATTTGAGTATACTTTTCTCTTTATGTCTAGAAAAGATTGGATTCAGGTTAAAAGATTGTAAGAGTAAAATGTTAATCACATGTTTTAAAAAGTTAAGAAATTTAGAGATTTTTCTTAGTGGGAAAGCATGAGAATGGTGAAGAGTTTTTAATGGGGGAAAAGTAGATGAAGTATTTATTTATGCATGTTATAGTTAATTGGAGATTAAATAACCTCAGAATTGTCTTTCTCTTTTTTATTTGAGATATTTAGGCTACTTATACTTTGATTTTGCTTCATTTTTGTTTTTTCTTCTAAGAAATTAAGTATTGATTCCTTCTCTCTAACCTCTAGAAAATTCAAATATTATAAATATCCCTAAATTTCATTATTTCTTATCAATCTTGAAACAGGTGTTATTCACATCTTTGGATCTAGTTTCTCATAAAAATTTGTATAATTTCCTTGAATTTCTCTTTTCCTGTACGTTGTCACATAAAGGGTTACACTTAATTGAGTAAACAACAACTCTTGTTTTTCTCCTCAAATGATAATGGTATAGAATATCATCTCCTGTAACGTTATTTTACCACCAAATATAAACTGATTTTAAGTATAATGATGGCATCAAATATTACAGGGAGACCTATGATTCCTCAGTCAGAGTGGAGTTGTGTTCTCAGTAATTGCATCTCATATAAAGAATCGACTGTTATTCAGGAGCACTCTACTATGACTAAGCATGAAGTAGTTGTGAGGAAGTTATCTGTTTCATATCTTGAAATGAGGAAGTTATCTGTTTCATATCTTGAAAATGGTAAGTTCCCAACTGTCAATATAAGAAGTGCATCATGCTGGGATTAATACCTACGTGATGGCTTGATCCGTGCAGCAAACCACGTTGGCACACGTTTACCTATGTAACAAACCTGCACATCCTGCACATGTATCCTGGAACTTAAAATAAAATAAAAAGTAGCACTCAATGCAAATAGTGCAAAAGGATACCTTTTAAGTCAAATTATTAAACATTTTGAACGTTGATTTAACATTTAATGAAATTTAGATTGGTGGGAGTATATCCATTGAAGCTCTATGCCCAACCATCATGAAGAAAGCAATATTAGATTGTCTAGAATCAGAAAATTCAGCATTCATCTTTGACATATTTGTAGTCTCAAAATTACTCCTAAAAATTAATATTTAAATTAATTTAAATTTAAATAAAATTTTTAAAAAGTGTGGGAGAAGATATTAAATGTTGAGTATGTTTTTGCAAAAATAAAGTGACAATTGTGAATATTTAAATTTTTTATAAATTAAAGAATTGTATTTATTAATTTATTTTAGTTTTATTTTTACAGGAAAGTTGTAAATATAGTACAAAGATTTTTTTAAACCTTATACCGGTTTCCCCTATTTAACATATTAATGTTGTAGTTTGTCATAATTAATGATCATATACTATTATTAGTTAACTTCATACTGTATTCAGATTTCCTTAGTTTTCACTTAATGTCTGTTTTCTATTCCAGGATTCCATCCAAGTTACCACATTACATTTAGTTGTCATATTTTCTTAGGCTTTTCTTGGCTGTGACAGAATTGTTTCTCAGACTTTTCTTTTCTTTTCCTTCCTTCCTTCCTTCCTTCCTTCCTTCCTTCCTTCCTTCCTTCCTTCCATCCATCTTGACAATTTTGAGAGTACTGATCAGGTATTTTGTAGAATATTCCTCACTTGGAAATTTTTTAACGTTTTCATCAAGATTTGACTGAGGTTATATGTTTTGGGGAGGAAGACAACAGAGGCGAAGTGCTGGTCTTACTACATCTTATCAAGATTACAAACATCAACATGATTTATCACAGTTAGTGTTAACTTTGGGTGACGTAGTGTTTGTCAGGGTTCTCCTCTGTAAAGTTACTCTCTTTCTGCCTTTTCATACTGTACTGTTTGAAACGAAGTGGCCAGACCCACTTACACAGTGGGAAGTTATTCCCCATTTCCTTGAGGGTAGAGTATCTACATAAATGATTTAGAATTCTCCTGAACAGATATTTTTGATTCTCCTCTATTTATTTATGTATTCAATCATGGACACATTGATATTGATTATATATGTTGGGTCATAATTCAACACTACTTTATTTACTTTGGTGCTCAAATTTTCCCATGTTGGCCATTTGAAGCTCTTTCAGTTGCCTCCTTTTGTCCCATTGACATCCACATTATCATGGTTTTTATATGATTTATTTATTTAGGTGTGTTAGTTGCTACTGTGTTGTCTTTTCTTCTAGACTCTCTTAGCTGATGGAGAAAGAAAATACTAACCAGTATATAAAACATATCTATAAATATTTCTAATGCATCCATACCTAGCTGCATTAAGCTAAGCATGAGTTCATATTACGCCAACCCTAAACACTTGGATCATTCTAGCTTTCTCACCATGTTTGTCTGAAACTTTCCACTCAAAGAGTGAGAAACATTCCCTCATTATCTGCCGTCCATTTATTTCATTGTCTAATTCTAATACATATGCATATTGGCTTCAGAATTCTTCACCCATACCCGTGCAGGAAATAACTTTACAAAATATAATATTGTGCTTTTGTACTATTCTGTTCATCTTTTGTCTTATAGTTTTTCCTCATTTCCAAAGTTACTTCAGTCAACACCTTTTTCCACTACTCCATTGTGTTTGTTTACTTTATACACTTAGATTATTTGTATCTAAATGTATTATAATCTGCATTTTAACCTGGGAATCTCTGAACTCCTAAATGCTTTACTAAAATTTTCATACATTAAGGTTTACTTTTCATATTTTAAAATTCGATGGACTTGGCATTCATAGTATTATTAATCTACCATTTCAGTGTCATATAGAATAGTTTCACTACCCTATAAAATTCTCCTGCATTGTAACTTTTCAACCCCCCATGTTCGCCCCAAGCCCCACGCAACCGCTGATATATTTACTGCCTCCATTGTTTTACCTTTTACACAATCTCATAGAAATTAAATCATGTAGCTTGCAATGTTTTCAATACTGGCTTCTTTCATATAGCAATATGCATTCAAGATTTACCCATGCATGTAATTTTGTATCTTGAAAACTCATTTTTTAATTGCTGAGTAATATTCCATTGTAAGGGTGTACACAGTTTCCAGTTTGCTTACCCATACATTTTTGAGTAACATCTTAGTTGCTCCTAGCTTTTGCTAATAATGAGTAAAGCTTCTATAAACTTTCACATGAAAGTTTTTTGTGGACATGTTTTCAAATCAGTTTGGTCAATACCTAGGAACACGGTTTTTGAGTGGTATGATAAGAATATGTTTAAATATTGTAAGAAAGTGCCAAACTGTCTTCCAAAGCAGCTGTATAATTTTGCATTCCAACCATCAAGAAATGAAAATTCCTATTGCTTTTCATTTTCACCAGAAGTTGGTATTGTCAGTTTTTTTAAATTACTTCAGCCATTCTTTTAGATGTGTAGTTATAGGTCTTTGTTGTTTCATTTTACATTTTCCTAATACCAAAAATTTTGAGTACTTTTATTTTTTATTAGTATACAATATATTCATTGGCAAAATGTTTGTTGGGCTATTTCACTCGTTATTTAATTTAATTTTTTTGCTTTATTTTTGAGTTTTAATCATTTTTAAATATATCTTGGATAGAAATGTGTATTGCATATATGTTTTGCAAATATTTTCTTCCTATCTATGGCTTGCCTTTTCATTCTCTTAACAGTGTTTTTATAGATAAATTTTTAATTTAGATTATTAATATTTAAAAATTAAAATTCTACACTATCCAATTTTTATCTGTCATGTGTTATTTTGACTAAATATAAAGCATGCAATAAAAGAAATATTTTAAAATACTTTGCTAAATACTTCAATGCTAAATTATCTTTGTGTAAATTTTTGTGTATATTTCCCATTATATATTTTTAATTTCATGGTGGTACATAATGCAAGTTGTGGAGCTTTCATGCACGGCAAGAAATATAAGAAAATTCATGAAGCAAACAGCATCTAAGCAACTTCAGTCATTGTGTGAAATATAAATATGGAGTTTGCATGCAAATTTTTATATTTCTAGTACACATATCATAAAAAAACTCTATGATTATTAATATAATAACTAAATAAGAAGTTTCTTTGGTATTGATTTTCCTCTTTGGTTCAACACAATTTTAGAAATAGTGGTTTCAAAGTATTTCTAAGCAGCATCTTTTGCATTGAGAGCTCACAAATTTCACTTTCATGTACTTATAATTTTCTATTATTAACCACACTATAAAAAACTCTGATATGCTCAATTACAGAAAATATATAAAATTTTAAATTGATATATAGGGTTTTATCACTCAACTAGAATATGCCTAGCTAGAACCTTCAAATATATATATATTTATATATTCTATTTATATATTATATATATTATATATTATATATATTATATCTTATATCTTATATATTATATATAATATATATTATATATATTATATAATATATATTATATATAATATATATTATATATATTATATAATATATATCATATATCATATATCATATATTATATATATCACATATTATATATATTATATATTATATATTATATATTATGTATATATTATATATTATATATAATATATCATATATATTACATATCATATATCATATATATCATATATTATATATATCATATCATATATTATATATATCATATCATATATCATATATATCATATATATCATATATCATATATATCATATATATCATATATCATATATATCATATATATCATATATCATATATATCATATATCATATATATCATATATATCATATATTATATATATCATATATATCATATATATCATATATTATATATATCATATATATCATATATTATATATCATATATATCATATATTATATATATCTTATATATTATATTTTTATATATATTATATATTATATATATTATATAATATATATGTTATATAATATTTATAATATATATAATATATATTTGTAATATATATATTATATAATATTTATAATATATAATATAATTATATATATTATATAATTATATAATATTATATATTATATTATATTATATAATTATATAATTATATTATATAATATATTATATATTATATATTATATATAATATATGTATTATATATTATATATAATATATAATATATATAATATATGTATTATATATTATATATATAATATATGTATTATATATATAATATATAATATATATAATATATTATATATATTTTGATATAGTTTGATAAAATATATCTCACCAAAACATATTGGATTATATAATATATATATATATAACTTTTTTTGAGACGAAGTGTTGCTCTGTCACCCAGGTTGGAGTGCAGTGGCTTGATCTCGGCTCACTGCAAGCTCTGCTTCCCAGGTTCAGGCCATTCTCCTGCCTCAGCCTACCAAGTAGCTGGGACTACAGGAGCCCACCACCACACATGGCTAATTTTTTGTATTTTTAGTACAGACAGGATTTCACCGTGTTAGCCAGGATGATCTCGATCTCCTGACCTCGTGATCCGCCTGCCTCAGCCTCTCAAAAACTTATTTTTCTGAGTTGTAGCATGCTATGTAGAAAACCTTATTATCAGTGTTTATGCTAACTTAAAAAACAACATAAAAACATCTGTTAGAATTACCCTATTTTCAAAATTTCAGACATGTTTGTTTCTAAATGCTACAATTTAAATATACTATTTTCATTCTGGGACTGCATACTTTATAGATGTCTTCTGTGTATATGATTAATGTGCGTAAGTATCAAAGGTGAGAGACTTCTAGTAAATATAATTACTGTGCTTCACAAACCTTGAAGAGCTCCAAAATGTCACAGTGCTGTAACCTCGGGTAGTAATTCTACATCACAAATGTTTCCTATGAGAGAGTGAGTGAAGCCTTAAGTACAGAAATTATAGGCAATTGAAAGTTAGACTGAAATCTCCACTGAAGTGATAAAAAGCCGTTACCAGTGATTTTTGTTATGCTTCAGTTAGTTACATTTCGATTACACTTGCTGTCCCTTACTAGCTCTCCTCTTCTTCCTGTTAAGTACACATTTCCATAGCTGTTCTTTTCTTACTAACCATGTACTGGAAATAGCAAAATATTTTCTCAAAGGCCTGTGTAGTTAAGAGGAATGATGGTAGACTAAAGTGATGCTTATATTAGTAGAGTATTTGAAATCAATCACAGACCCTTATAGATACTGAATAGTTATCATTGTTTATGTGAAACTTATTTTGAAAGATGTTTCCAGTAAAGTAGTCGTATCAGTTTAGGAGAAGCAAGGATTTGTCCAAAGCTCATTGCCCTGCAAATTAAAATAAACATGCAGATCACAATCATGATCTGGGAACATTAACCAAGCTCAAAATATCCAGTACCATTTATGTCAAGTCATTTAGTGTATATCTTTTATTCTTCATATTTTAAAAACTGTAAGGTAATACCTAATTTTCATATGTATGAGATGTGATCACTCATATAAAAATCTTTAGAAAAATATTTTCCTACCATTATTTCTCAAGAATATTTCTAGAACTACTTGAATCTGTATTACCTTAGAGAATTCTAACAAAAATATCTGTGCCTCTAACAAAAATATCTGATTCCCACGGAATCAGAAACAGGTTTTAGTGCCCTTAGAGTCTGCATTTTCACTAGTTTGCGACTTATGTAAAAGAGATTGGTAACCATTCTCCTAAAAATTCTGATTGAGAGTGTGTGGTTTTAAACCTAAGTTAGGTAGTGCAAATGTTACTTCACTTGTTAATGTAGTTCATTGTATCTTAAAGGTAACTGATATAATATTACCTATTACAGTAATAAGTCCTAATTTAAAAAGGAAAAAAATTATTTCAATTCCTTTTTTCATTGTGGAATGTCCTGGGTCTGTTGAATATGAAAAATAGATTTTTTATAACTTCCCCATATTTTCTTTAATTCATAGTTATTGTCAAGAAGCAAACAACAAAGCATTTTACAAGCAGCTGTGAGATTTTTGAAAATAATTGTGCAGTAGCATATGCTAAGCTCAACATAAATTCTTTTTATTTTAATATTTAAGAAATGTGCTATTTTCTTGATAAAACCCAGGTTACCCCAAAATTACACTCACAGGTATATGCATTTAATACAAATATTCAGACAACGTACTTAAGTATGTGCAATTTGTGACACAAATTATGCATAGATAAAATTAATTTAACTAAATGACCTCGGAATATTTTGTGAACCTGAACATTTCTAGTATTTTTCTGTCATTTCACAGGCTACCAACCATTTGAGTAAAGTAAATATTAACTTAATAGTTATTGACAGTTTGATAAAATATATCTCACCAAAACATATTTGGATTTTGTTAAATGCGAGTAATACATGTGTATATAATCTGTAAAATAAGAAATTTTCTATTTTAAAAAAAGCTGGAAAGTTTGTGGCTTATGCTTTTTCTCTTATATTTTACTTGTGATTAATAGTTATTTAATATTTATATTTTTTAAATATTGTGGAAAAATTTTAAATTTTTACAAAGAATATTTCCAGCCTCAAAAGGTAATTTAGTAATACACAAGTATTAGCACCAGTGATGCCCACTGCTGCCAACAGCATTTTCATTTTATAGTATCACGTATTAAACATTTGATTTCAAATGAATGAAATGTCTGCAGTTAGCATAATAAGTCACTTAAACTTATACTAATTATAATGTCTAGGATCCAAGAGGTGGCAGGAGATAACTAAATAGATCAAAAATTCTCTCTGGGGATTTGCCAGCAAAACAGGCCTATCTTGAATAAACAGGAAATAGTTCAAAGAGATTGAGTTGAACCTAGGACCAAATTAGATCATGGTAAGAAATCTAGAAAATGTCAATCCAGAGTCCTTAAGCAAAACATCTTAAAATAGACCAACAGCCAAAAGATCAGTTAACAGAGACTAGGGGAGAAGAAGCTGTTCATAAAGCAAGTAGTCAAAATCCAAATCCTTTTTATAATAGTGCCTAAAATTGAAAGCAATCAGACCGAAATAAGGTATTCGAATTAATCATCAATTGCTAAGTGTTTCAATACTTTGCATTATTTTCATGCCATCTTGAAAGATGTTTATTTTATATTGAGTTTAGAATTACTTATCAATCTTTTATACATAAAAACTTAACAAGTCTACTCTTCCTTTAACAAAAACAGCATGAGTTCTTATGATTAGCTCAGCAATGTAATTTATGGTGAGGAAATAAAGATAAAGTTTTATTATTTTTAGATGAATAACTTTAGACTTAAAGCATCACTGGGAATACAGTAGAAAATATTGTGACAAACAGTTAAATTTGTGTCACCATTCTAAAAATTGTAAGTATAGATATCTGAAAATCATATCAAAATAATTAAAGATGTAAAATGCAACAGAAAATACTGAGGAATATAACATTATGGTATAAAATTTTAATATATTTTCTCAGATATTGATTGGTTAAGCAGAACACAATCAGAAAATATAAAATAACAAAATGAACGAGCTTTTCTTAATGCATGCATATAGAAGTCTAAAAACATACATAAACATAATTATGTGATCAGCAATAAAGTAAATCTCAATTATTTTAGAGAATTGGTATCATGTAAATCTATTATCTTATGCAACAAAAGGAACTTAAAAGTTAATAAAAAGAGACTAGCCTGGAAAACATAGCAAGAATTCATCACTAAAAAAAATGTATTATTTTGAGCTTTGTTCCGTCAATACCTAGTTTATGGAGAGTTTTTAGCATGAAGGAGTGTTGAATTTTATCAAAGGCCTTTTCTGCATCTATTGAGATAATCATGTGGTTTTTGTCATTGGTTCTGTTTATGTGATGGATTACATTTATTGATTTGCATATGTTGGACCAGACTTGCATTCCAGGGATGCAGCCAACTTGATCATGGTGGATAAGCTTTGTGATGTGCTGCTGGATTGGGTTTGCCAATATTTTATGGAGGATTTCCCCATTGATGTTCATCAGGGATATTGGCCTGAAATTTTCTTTTCTTGTTGTGTCTTTGCCAGGTTTTGGTAACAAAAATTGACTAATATGGATTAATGACTTAAATGTAAAACTTAAAGCCACAAAAACTCGAGAAGTAAACCTAGGCAATACCATTCAGGACATAGGCACGGGCAAAGATTCGTGACTAATACATGAAAAGCAATTGCAACAAAAACCAAAATTGACAAATGGGATATAATTAAACTAAAGAGCTTCTGCACAGCAAAAGAAACTATCATCAGAGTGAAAAGGCAACCTATAGAATGGGAGAAAATTTCTGCAATCTATCCATCTAACAAAGGGCTAATATCCAGAATCTACAAGTAACTTAAACTAATTTACAAGAAAAAACAAACAACCCATCCATCAAAAG
Source organism: Homo sapiens (assembly GCF_000001405.40). Taxonomy (NCBI): domain Eukaryota; kingdom Metazoa; phylum Chordata; class Mammalia; order Primates; family Hominidae; genus Homo; species Homo sapiens. The sequence continues at coordinate 104,865,506 of NC_000001.11, read as the reverse complement.
GTAGGCGGTGGATATAAACAGACACCTCTCAAAAGAAGACATTTATGTGGCTAACAAACATATGAAAAAAAGCTCATCATCACTGGTCATTAGAGAAATGCAAATCAAAACCACAATGAGATACCATCTCATACCAGCCAGAATGGCGATTATTAAAAAATCAGGAAACAACAGAAGCTGGTGAGGCTTTGGAGAGATAGTAACGCTTTTATACTGTTGGCGGGAGTGTAAATTAGTTCAAACACTGTGGAAGACAGTGTGGATCTAGAAACAGAAATACCATTTGACCCAGCAATTCCATTACTGGACATGTACCCAAAGGATTATAAATCATTCTACTATAAAGACAAATGCACACATATGTTTATTGCAGTACTATTTACAATAGCAAAGACTTGGAACCAACCCAAATGCTCATCAGTGATAGACTGGATAAAGAAAATGTAGCCCATATATATCATGGAATACTATGCATCCATAAAAAAGAATGAGTTCATGTCCTTTGCAGAGACACGGATGAAGCTGGAAACCATCATTCTCAGCAAACTAACACAGGAAGAGAAAACCAAACACCACATGTTCTCACTCATATATGGGAGTTGAACAATCAGAACACACTGACACATGGAGGGGAACATCACACACTGGGGCCTGTTGTGGGGTGGGGGGCAAGGGGAGGGAGAGCATTAGGACAAATACCTAATGCATGCAAGTGCTTAAAACCTAGATGATGGGCTGATGGGTACAGCAAACCACCATGGCACACGTATACCTATGTAACAAACCTGAACATTCTGCATATGTATCCCATAACTTAAAGTAAAAGAATAATAATAAAAAAGAAACCATTATATCAAAAAGACACTTGCACACTTTTGTTTATTACAGCACAATTCACAGTTTCAAAGATATGGAACCTATTTAAGTGCCCATCAACTGATGAATAGATAAAGGAAATGTGGAATATACACACCAGGGACTGCTCCTGAGCCATAAAAAAGAATGAAATAATGTCTTTTGTAGCAATTTGAGGCCAGAGACTGGAGGCCATTATTCTAAGTGAAGTAACTCAGGATTGGAAAACCAAATACCATATGTTCTAACTTATATGTGGGAGCTAATCTATGGGTGAACAGAGGCAAACAAAGTGGTAAAATGGATATTGGAGACTCTGAAGGGGGAAGGATGGGAGACAGATAAAGGATTTAAAACTACATATTGGGTACAAAGACACAACTTGGGTGATGGGTACACTAAAATTTCAAACTTCATCACTATAAAATTCATCCATGTAGTCAAAACACTTGTACCCCTAAAGGTATTGAAATAAAATAAAATAAAAATTACTGGTTTCAAAAATTGTATGTTTTTTAATTAAAAACAAAAAGTTATAAGAAATTTTATATATTTGTAATTCTTAATATATACTTAAAACAAGTCATGGTTAAAGAAGCATTAATGGAGATAAGGAAAAACACAATTGCATGGCAATGAAATAAAACACATATAAAATCTGCAGACTAAAGGAATAGTTTAAAAAGAAATATAAAGCCATAAACACTTATTTCATATCTATCTTAATTTATTACTGAATAAATGTTAATCTTTATAAATCAAGGTGACATTCTATTTAATTTCTGATGATATTCTTGATGTGTTATAAAATAATCAAGTTTTACATATCACGGAAGTTTGTTCCTACGTGGAAAATTAAAATATATACTGTTATCAAAAGAAGCACCATTGAAGTTAATATAATAAAAAACAGGCAGGGCATGGTGGCTCATGCCTGTAATCCTATCACTTTGGGAGGCCGAGGTGAGCAGGTCACCTGAGGTCAGGAGTTCGTGACCAGCCAGGACAACATGGCGAAACCCCATCTCTACTAAAAATACGAAAATTAGCCTGGCGTGGTGGCCTGTAATCCCAGCTACTCAGGAGGCTGAGGCAGGACAATCCCCTGAATCCAGCGGGCAAAGGTTGCAGTGAGCCGAGATCGCACCACTGCACTTCAGCCTGGGCAACAGAGCAAGACTCCGTCTCAAAAAAAAGAAACAAAAAAATTTCTCAATTCAAATAGAGTATCTCATTGATAGAAAATTCCTTCTGATTTCAAAAATGTAAAAATTTTAAAGACAAATGTTTCTTAAAATTGATAAAATACAGCAAACTTATATACATCTGTAAGGGCTATCCTTTTGCTTTTTAAACTGTTTTACATTCAGAGGGAATTAAATATTATTTGTTAGTAATCAAAATGTCTAGCCAGATATCCAAACGCCCAGGATAAAAAAAATTAACGTAATTAGTCTGTATCAGGTTGAAAAGTCAACAAAAATTCACAGTTTTCTTCAAATGGATAAAGATAGTATAATCTAAACATTTAAATCTGAAACTAATAATCAATAGCTGGAAAAACTATCAGTTATATATTTTCAGTGTATACTATAAAAATAGATCTGAAAAATAAATACTAGGAAGGCCTCTAGCATTACAAGTTTATTAAAAACTTATCTGACATGTAAACCTAATATTAATTATTATTTCACAATTTGCATGCCATTATTTTCTGTGGTGAATTGGACATTTGTGATTGCTTATCAGCCATCATTTTTCATTTTTTCTCATTCTTTTTTTTGTTTGTTTGTTTGTTTTGAGATGGAGTCTTGCTCTGTCGCCAGGCTGGAAGGTAGTGGCCGCTTTCGGCTCACTGCAACCTCCACCCCCCAGGTTCAGTCCTATTCTCCTGCCTCAGCCTCCCAAGTAGCTAGGACTACAGGTATGTGCCACTTTGCCCAGCTAATTTTTGTATTTTTAGTAGAGACAGGGTTTCACCATGTTGGCCAGGATGGTCTCGATCTCTTGACATCATGATCTGCCCACCTCGGCCTCCCAAAGTGCTGGGATTATAGGCGTGAGTCACTGTGCCCGGGCCATTTTTTCTCATTCTAAATAACATGCATATTTTTCTTTGCAGTCATCATCCTCATGTTGTGTTGCAACAGAAGTATATGGGTATGAGATTTATTAGGGAAACCAAGACTAAGTGTAACTGCGAACAGCATTCCCTGCTCACGGAAACTCATTTGATGAAGTTCACGCTTTATAATTCTCAAATTTCAATCATGAACTCTTAGGTATTACAGACATCATTTTTTTCTGTGTGAAATTTAAGATAGTTTTATCCAAAAATTGCATTGAAATCATATTTCTTTGTGATTGATTTTTTAGTGTTGGTTTTTTAAACCAATGTCTAGGTTTTGTTTTATAAGCTTGACTGAAATTGTATAGTTTCATGAAACTATTTTATTAGATACATAGTTTAAATTAATGCTTCTTATAGGACTATTGGTTCCACATACATTTCTAAGTAAATTATATTTGTTAATTTTAAATGTGAAAAAATATTTAAATATTTGAAAATAATCTCCTTGGCAATCTATATATTGTCCTGTTGATACAGTACTATAATCAATAAACTCTTACTTTATTTAGATTTTTTTACTTCTATATTTATAAATTAGTCTACAGTTTTGACTTTCATTTTTCATTGTCTTATCAAGTTTCAGTGCTAAAGTAACCCTAATAAAAACATTAGAGGAAGCTTTGCATGATTATCAGCCAAAACTTATGTTTTAGATTAGGAAAAATATCTTCAATGTTAACTGTATCTAGAACTTTCTTCATTTCACTATCTCTTTAGGTTATTCAAACTTAGTATTTCTAACTGGGTCAATTTTGACATTTTGTATTTTGTTGAAAAATTACCTAATTTGTCTAGATTTTCGAATGTTCATACTGGAATATCAATGATATCCTCAATATTTTAAATTATCTTTAGGATTGAAGTTTTTATTTTATAATTATTTGTTTATTTATTATTTATTTATTGATACAGAGTTTCTCTCTGTCGCCCAGGCTGGAGTGCAGTGGCAAGTTCTCGGCTCACTGTAACCTCCTCCTCTCAAGCGATTCTCCTGCCTCAGCCTGCTGAGTAGCTGGGACTACAGGCATGCACCACCACACTTGGCTAATTTTTTTGTATTTTTAGTAGAGACAGGATTTCACTATGTTTGTCAGGCTAGTCTCGAACTCCTGACCTCAAATGAGCCGCCTGCCTCAGCCTCCCAAAGTTCTGGGGTTACAGGCACGAGCCGCTGTGCCTAGCGTATTTTAATATAAAATGTCATGTGTTTTCTTTTTTATACATATTTTACTGACTTTTATATGTTCCAGTATTATTAAAAACGAATTTACTGATCTTTGTATTTTTTAGTATTATTTAAAAACAAATTTTAAATGTGCTATTTATGTATTTACGAATTTTTTATTCTGTTTATTGTTTTTATTATAAATTTATTATAAATTCTTTATCTCCATTTCTATTTGTCATGTCTTTTCTAAAATCGAATGATTATTTATTTTTAGACTTTTCTTATTTAAAAAATAGCTCATGAAAGCAAAGGCATACTCTTTGTAAATAATAACTTATTGAAGGGCTTCAAGATGGATGACTAGAGGCATCTGATAACCACCCCTTCCACAAAGAAGAAACAATATAGTGAGTAAATAACCGCGCTTCAAGTAAATCTCATAAAAGAAAGCTAAAATTCAAAAGAAATGACAGGAAACACCTAAGTCAAGGGAGGAGAGGGAAGTTAGTCAGCCTCTTCAGACAGAATTGGCTGGGAGCTTGGAGAGGCTCCATACCGTGGGGAAGCCTCAGTATGTTAGTGGCCCACAGCGTCCACGTTTCTACGTGGACTCCTCCAATTCTAGCCAGGAGAGAGTCCCAGGACCCTCTTGGTCCCTAAGACTATATAGAAAGTTTCCTGAATACCACATAAAAGAATTGCTCCAGACAGGGAGCTCAACACCCCCCAATGAGTTCTAAGCAGCTGCAGCAAGACACCATCTTGAAAGCCACACCCTCATCATATTGCATCCTTACCTGGAGTCAAATAGCCCCAGCATCTTCCCATGCCTCGAGCCCCAATGACATCTGTCATCTGCAGCCGGGCACTGCTGCTGGCTGCCTCTAGATCCTAAGTGTGAGCTATTGGAAGCAATTCTGCCATAACCAGGAGAAGGTTTGCTACATATTTACAAGCACCCTGAGAACAGGCTACCCTACTTGCAGCAAGCACCTGGGGTCAAAGTGCGTGCTTCTCATAGATCTGTTTACAGCTGCTACCTAGGAGAGCAATGCCACGCTCTCTAGTAGCAGGGATGCAGCACAACCACTATACCCCTACCCAAGCATTCTATCAGGATGTGGGGATCATCACCTTACCACTGTCTATCACAGGCACCCTGACACAAATGGCTGGCTGAGGCCAAGCCTGTCCAGGTCAGTTCCACACCCGAATACCCAAGAATGTCACCTAGAGAACTGGGGATTTTCCAGGTCTACTTACCATCCTGTTTACCAGGATGAATACCACCTGAGCATTCATCCAAGGGCCTGAGGCCAGGCTCACTCAACCTGATGCTACCACCATAACTGGCACAAACACATGTCCCACATGCGGGCCAGGAGATTGGAATATGGAGCCTGTTGCAGTCACTCCCAGTACCAGCACAGACCACACTGAAAGCCAGAGCATTACTTTGCTACTGCTACTGCCATCACCCCATCACCCACACCAAACCTGCTGCCCAAGGGCCCTAGGATCTGCCCATTCACTCAACCCACTGCTGCAACTGCTGGCACTCTAGCAAGCTACCTCGAGGGCCAAGAATTGGCCCTCCTAAACCTGGTAACATTAGCGCTAGTGTACAGTCCCCCAGGACCCAAGAATAGGTATGCTCAGCCTACCGCTGCCACCACCAGGGCCCAAGGACTGTCCCACCTGACATCTCCATCTACAGTAAAATTTTACCACAGCCTCCGCTAACAACTGTACCCCGAGGAAATTAAAGGCTCCACTAATGCTGTTAATAGTCAAAGAAATCATATGAAGAATACACTACTGAATCCACTCACTCAGAATCAAAGCTAAAGTGCCTTACCAAACCAATACCATAGATACAACTTCCCTACATACTCCCCTGTAGAAGCAAACTCAAATATTGGAAGATGCAATCTTTATGTCAGATATGCAGATATCAATGTAAGGCTATAAGTAACATTAAAAACAATAAAATATGACACTTTCAAAGGAACATAGTAATTCTGCAACAGATTCAAATGTAAAAGAAATTATGAGGTCTCAGAAAAAATTTAAATATTGATTGTAAAGAATCTCAGTGAGACACAATGAGAATTCCAAAAAAAAATACAAAGAAATTAGAAAAACAATCAGAATATAAATTAAAACTTCCCAAAGAGTTAGACATCATCAAAAAGAACAAGACATTCTGGGACTGAAGAATTCATTGAATTAGCTATAAAAGGCTTTCAATATCTTCAACAATGCACTAAATCAAGTAGAAGAAAGAATTTCAGAAGTTAAAGATAGGTCTTTTAAAATAACCCAGCCAGACAAAATTTAAAATAAAGAATAAAAGAGAATGAACAAAGCTCATGTGAGATATGGGACATCATAAAGTGAGCAAATATTTACCATTTGTTGTCGCAGAAAGAGAAAAAAATGAAAGGGATAGAAAACCTATTCAACAAAATAATAGCTATTAATAAAAACTTCCAAGTCTAACAGGAGATTTAAACATCTATATACAAGAAACTCAGAGATTCCAAAATACATACAGTTTAAACAGGTCTTACAATTTATGAATAGACAATATTCTATTTTTTAAAGGATAAAATGAATTTTCTTATTAATGTCAATAATAAATATAGCAGATGTTACGAATTCTAAGGGAAAGATGTTTAACATTTTTCATTTTAGTTTTGATTCAAAAAATAAGATAATGTAATTGACAATGTTTCAACAAAATTACATTTTATATAACATTCTGTTATAAACGTTTTAACAACCATCACATTTATTTTTAATTTTTATTTCCATTTAACTATATATGTTTAATACATACAATACAGTTTGGCTGGGTTCCCACCCAAATCTCATCTTGAATTGTAGCTCTCATAACCTCAAGTGTCATAGGAGGGACCCGGTGGGATGCAACTGAACAATGGGGGTGGGTTTTTCCCATGCTGTTCTTGTGATAGTGAATAAGTCTCATGAGATCTCATGGTTTTATAAACGGAATTTTCCCTGCACACACACTCTGATCTGCTGCCATGTAAGATGTGCCTTTGCTCCTCCTTCACCTTCCACCATGATTGTGAGGCCTCCCCAGTCATGTGGAACTGTGAGTCCATTGAACCTTTTTTTCTTTATAAATTACCCAGTCTTGGGTATTTCCTTATAACAGTGTGAGAATGGACTAATACAGTAAATTGGTACTGGAATTGGGGCTGTACCCTGCAAAGCCACAGGGGCAGAGATGCCCAAAGCCACGGGAGCTGACCACTTGCATCAGCATGACCTGGATGTGAGACATAGAGTTAAAGAAGATAACTTTGGAGCTTTAAGATTTGACTGCCCTGTTGGATTTTGGACTAACATGGGGCCTGTGGCTGCTTTGTTTTGGCCAATTTCCCCTATTTGGAACAGGTGTATTTACCTAATGCCTGTACCCCCATTGTATCTAGGATGTAACTAACTTGCTTTTGATTTCACAGGCTCGTAAGTGAAAGAGACTTGCCTTATCTCAGGTAAGACTTTGGACTGTGGACGTTTGAATTAATGGTAAGATGAATTAAGACTTTGGGGGACCGATGGGAAGGCATGGTTGGTTTTGAAATGTGAGGACATGAGATCTGGGAGGGGCCAGGGGCAGAATGATATGGTTTGACTGTGTTCCCACCCAAATCTCATCTTGAATTGTAGCTTTCATAATTCCCACATGTCATGGGAGAGACCTGGTGGAGGTAATTGAATCATGCTGTTCTTGTGACAGACTCATGAAAAAGTCTCATGAGATCTGATGGTTTTATAGAGTGCAGTTTATGAACACACACTGTCTGGCCTGCTGCAATGTAAGATGTGCCTTTGCTCCTCCTTTGCCTTCTGCCATGATTGTGAGGTTTCCTCAGCCCAGCCATGTGGAACTGCGAGTCCATTAAACCTCTTTTTCTTTATAAATTACCCAGTCTAGAGTATTTCTACATAGCAGTATGAGAACAGATTAATGCACATACTGATTACGGAGGAGGTTAAAATAAATTTTTCAAACAGAAAAGTACAAAGAAGAATGTTACCATTGATACATTTTCTATGTAAACTGGATAATTTGTAGAAATAATAATAAATAAGCATCCCGATTAAATGAAGAGTCTTTCTTTACTTCTAGATAATTTATTTTTTTATTTATTCATTGTACTTTTATTATCTTTTTTGAGAAATTCTATTAGGTAGATTTCAGCACTTCTGAATGATATCTTCGTTTATTTAACTTCTGTCTGGTAATTTCCATATTTCTATCAATTTACTCCTAATAGAAACAGGAGTTTTGGACGGGCATGGTGGCTCATGCCTGTATTCCCAGCATTTTGGGGTAGATCACTTGAGGTCAGAAGTTTAACACCCATTTGGCCAACCCGGTGAAACCCTGTCTCTAATAAAAAAAAATACAAATATTAGCCATGCATGTTGGTGGGAACCTGTAATCTCACCTACTTGGGAGACTGAGGCAGAATTGTTTGAACCTGGGAGGCAGAGGTTGAAGTGAGCTGAGACTGCACTACTGCACTTCAGCCTGGGCAACAGAGTGAGACTACTTCTCAAAAAATTAAATAAATAAATAAATAAATAAATAAATAAATAAATAAATAAATAAAGACTTAATGTAGAGTTCCCCTACAGTGACTCTAGTTATTATAAACAAAAGTTCTAGTTATTATGACGAAACAGAAAATTTCCCCAAAACTCACTGGCAAAAACCAGTTATTTACCATGCTCATGGATTTTGTGGATCAGGAATTTGAACAGATCATGACTGGGAAAGCTTGTCTCTGCTCTATAATATGTATGACCACAAACTGGGAGGTTCAAATGCTTGGAGCTGGAATTATCTGAAAGCATGCTTACTCACACTGATACGGGAGGCAGGCAGGGAAGTTCTGGGTACAGAAAGGCAGGGTCCCTGGAGAGGGCTCCACCCTCGGGCCTGTGCCCACAGACCTAAGTGAGGACAAATGTTGCATTTTCCAGGACCACTCTGGCCCGCCACGGCCCATTCTATGCATATATAAAAACCCCAAGACCCTAGCCGGCACACACACAAGTGGCTGGACGTCGAGAGGATCGCACCAGCGAAAAAACACACAAGTGGCTGGACATTTGAGAGAAACACACCGATGGAAAAACACACCGGCAGATGCGTGGAAGGATGTGGATGCCGAGGTGAATTGGATCAGAGGAGGGCCGGGCCACTGAGCGGCCCGATTCCAGGAAAAGACCACCTGGCTCCCATCCCCCTTTTGGCTCCCATCCATCTGCTGAGAGCTACCTGCACCATTCAATGAAACCTTGCACTCATTCTCCAAGCCCACATCTGATCTGATTTTTCTGGTACACTAGGCAAGAAATCAGGATACAGAAAACCCTCTGTCCTTGCAATAAGGCAGAGGGTCTAATTGAGCTGATTAACACAAACAGCCTGAAGACAGCAAAATTGAAAAAACACACTGTAACACACGCCCACTGGGGCTTTGGGAGCTGTAAACACTTAACCCTAGACGCTGCCGTGGGGCCAGACCCCAGCAACCTGCCCATCTGCATGCTCCCCTAGGGGCATGAGCAGTCAGGCACTGTAGAAGCAAGCCACACCCCCATTGCATGCCCTTCAAGGGGGATAAGGGAACTTTTCCCATTACAGCATGTCTCTAGGATGAAACTGGCTGGGGGCTGACATTAGTTGGGGCAAGTTGATCTCTTGCTGTTTCCACATACCCTAGGCTTCCTTACTGCAGGGTGGCTGAACCACAGGGGTAAGTAGGTAGGTAGGTAGGTAGATAGATAGATAGATAGATAGATAGATAGATAGATAGATAGATAGATTGATAGATAGATAAATAGATAGATGATAGATAGAGCATATATATAGATAGATATGGATAGATATAGTGTATATATAGATATATATAGATAGATAGAGTATATCTCTCTCTGTCACACACACGTACACACACACACACGCTCTCTATATATAGATATATCTATATATAGGTTGATATAGTATATATATACTATATCTATATATAGATATCTATATATACTATATCTATCTATATAATATAGTATATAGATAGATATCTATCTATATCTATATAGATATATACTATATATAGATATATACTATATCTATATATAAATATATACTATATCTATATATAAATATATACTATATCTATCTATATCTCCCATCTTCCACAGTAATAATAAAAAACAGAGAGAATGTTGTTACAGTTACATATAATCTGTATATACTATATAGATAGATACTACAACTGTCTAAATAGATAGATAGATATAGTATATATATAGATATCTATATCTATCTATATATCTATAGATAGCTATATCTATCTATAGATATATATATAGAGAGAGAGAGCGTGTGTGTGTGTGTGTGTGTGTGTGTGTGGGTGTGTGTGTGTGTGACAGAGAGAGAGAGAGAAAGAGAGAGAGAGAGAGAGAGTCAGGTGAAAACATATCACTTTTTATTACCTACACAGAGAAGTCACATAACATCACTTCTTACATTCTCCTCACAGACGCATTAACAAAATACCACTGAGTTCAAGTAGAGGTGAAATAAATCTATCTTTGGATGGAATTAGTAACCTTATGTAGTTGCAAGTGGAAGCAGAAATATTGCTGTGGAAATTTTTAGAAAATGCCACAACTAATCTTTAACAACTAATCTCTTTTTAGGAATTTGTTGTCAAGGAGAAAATATAAATGAGTTGGTAGGTGGAAGGAACAGAGTGACAACACAATTTTTTATTAATTTGAGAAGCAACAGAGAATATTTGTATACTAGCAAAAATTATCAAGAAGAGTGGAAGAAACATGATAGTGAAGAAAGGGAATGAATGTAAAAATGAAGCTTTTATACCCCAACCAGATCTAATCCAAAGCCAAGAGCAGGAGTTGGCCTGTGAAAGGGCCACTTCTTCCATCTTCCACAGTAATAATAAAAAAACAGAGAGAATGTTGTTACAGTTACAAATAATCTTCATTTAACAAACACTAATACTTATTATATGTCACACCATTTTTTAAAGTGTTACACATGTATTAACTTAATGTTTACTATCACTCTATGAACTATGTATTATTTCTATTTTACAAACAGAAAAACTGAGATACAGAAAAAAAATAAATTGCTGAAGATTACACAGCTCTGATGATTAGCAGAGCAGGGACTCAACCCCCAGTAGATGAGCTCCAGAAAACACACTTTCAAGCACAAGGTTAAACTGCTAATGAGCAGTTTAACGAAACTACTAGGGGTATGAGCAGCATACGAAATTAAAGAGACTAGATTTGGTAGAAAAATAATATGCAAGTTTCCAAAGGGTTGTTATTATTTCTTACTTTTAACAGTAAAAATTGTTGTCATCCAAGGGCATTATGAACACTTGGCTGAATAGAGCAGATCTAATGTATCATTTATCGGGGAAAATCTTATAAGCAGAAACATGTTAGACTGCAGTAAGTCCCCAAACCTGTCATTCTTCCACAGGACAGGCTGAGTAAAGTTCAATACACAGCATGGCTATGGTTCCAATAGAGAAGGCTGTGAGGGCTGCAGGTGGACCCATGACAGAGGGGGCTCCAAGACAGTGACTATGCCCGCCCCCTACCACTGCGGCCCCCCCAACACACAGTGCTACATTTTTAGAGGTGTAGCCTGAAGTGGACTACAGAACATCTATTTTCTCTAAATAACAAGAAAGTTTTCAAGGCAACTTGAGGAAGACTGGGAGGTGCACAAACTGAGGTCTAAGTTGTATATACCAAGGGCTCTGGGTGAAGCCTGGCCTGCCAGAAATGCTGACATCAGCCAAAGGCCTTCCTTGCTGCCCAGCTAAGAGAGCTTCCTGTTGAACTGCGAAAAGGGGAAAAAATGAACTTCCAGATAATCTAAGTTTGTCAATGACCAGAGATGATATTATTATCAGAAAACAAAAGTGAGACTGTATTGAGAAGTGGAAAATGTGAAAGTAAATATATTAAGGAAGTTTAGTTTTATAATGTTTTAGTGCTGAATGCCAATACGAGACTGATGGCCATGAAATTAAAGAGACTAACTAATACTGTTTTAATATGTTCTTAGCTAATATCTAGTTTATTGGGAGCATACCTAACTTATGGCTTTGTCAACTCAATATTATTAACTAACAAGGGTCAAAAGTATTAATAGTATTTGTAAGAAAATGTTACATCATAGAATCTAGGAAGAGGAAATATGAAGGTAATGATGAATAATGAAAGAGAAGTAATTTAGCATTAGTTTAATGGCTTGCTGTGAATTTATTTTGGCACTATTTTTCCCCTAAAACTTCAGAAAACTTAATTTTAAATAATTACCCTAGATTATTTTCTGTGAAATTCTTCTGAATTATAGTCAAAGACTTGTCAAATACTTCCCTTGTTTTGACATCAAATCCTAGAGAATTTGGAATGAAATTAGTACGTTCACACATTGCTAGTGGCCATAATGGTAATAAGTAGCAAGTTATTTTGAAATCTCACTCCTTGAAATTTGCTTATTCCAAAACAAAGATATATTTTAAGAAAAAGTAGTATCGCAAATGTAAAGGAGAAACATAAATATGTCTAAATATTTGCTTAGAGCTCTCAGGTATCTTTCCAATTTTTAGGCTTATAATTAATCCTATTTCTAGTTTTCTCACTAACCTCAAATGGAGAGATTATAGCACATATGCTGACATCTAGATTCTGAAACCAAAACATTATTTATTGGAACAATGTGATCAGAAGAATAAGAAAAAAGGGGGACAACCCTCCTTTACATGTCCTCAATAATGTAATCTTAGAAAAGGACATTGGTTAGAGATTGAATATTTCTGCGTCCCTTTGATGCAAGCAATGGATACAATATAATTAGCACCTTATAGATTGGTCCCAGGTTAACACCTTGGACAGCAGCAAGGAGAGATCCCCAGTAATCTGGGCCCAGAAGAGTTTTCTGCTCCTTCCCCAAAACTCCTTAACACTTCTGTTCTTTAGTGGAAGAGGTACCAGGTAGGTAGTAGAGATTCCTCTCCTCATCCAGCCCTGTATCACCAAGGAAAGAATTGACTTGTATCTTGTGTTGCCCCAGTCTTCCTTGAGAGAACTCTGAGTTCCGTGGAGAAGAGCCTGTGAGGTTCTACAAACTCCCCTTGCATCTGAATCACTTAGAGATAATATATTCTCATGCCCTTCTCCCCTCAGCCTTTAGTAATTCATTTTAAAAATGCTGAATTCTTACAATCTACTTTTATGGAGACCTTGTCTTCCTCCTATTGCCACAGACTAGTTAATTCTCATATCCCATATCTCTTTTGATATTTTTTTCATTCTTTAGAGTATAGAGTAGTCAGTTGCATTGTGACTTCAGCTCTTAATGACTTTGTATATTATTTGGCTGTTGTTAGAGTAGATGTGACACTTTTTCCAACTTTTTTGTACAACATGGAAGCCAGAAGCCTTGTATCATTTGGTGGTCACAGGGGAGCTTTAACTAACAACATATTAAAAAAATTAACTTTTGCTTATTTAATAAAGATCATTTTATTTATATTTGAAAAGAACTTCCGGATATATCCTTGGATAGCATTTTGGGGAAGAGCTATTGCTCTTCCTATTACATTTTTTTTTTTTAAGAAACAGTTTAAGATATACAATTCCTCCTAGTTAGGAGTGGCCAGATTATATTTACATGAGAAGGGTTGGGACCTCTTTAAAAAAGGCTTATATTACACTTTTGAACACTGAGCAATGTAATGATAATAACTAAGTTAACACTTCTACTTTATTTACTTCCAGGATATATTTCAACTTGTTTTGTTTTTAAATAATTTCATGGCATCGATACTTTCAATATTCTCATTTTAGATAAACAAAATTAAGGAAGGTGGAACTTAGGTTACTATGCCAGCATTCAAACAAGGAATGCTGGATCAAGAAGTAATATTCTTAATCTCCATAATAACTGCCTCCTGAAAGAAATTATTAGACAAAATAAACAAGGAATGTTCTTACAAGTTTTTGCTTGTGTCAAGCCTGCAGTAGGAGCTGAGAACACAACATTATCCAAAGAAACCAACGAAGCCTTTTTAAGATATATATAAACTTATGTTTCCTAGGTAAAATATAATGTGCTTTTACACAAGCCTCTGGTGATAGAATGCTTTATAGCATAAGACAGAAGATAAAACCGGATGAAAAGGTAAATTTTGATGAACATTGTCTTCCAGGACTAGAAATGTCATTCTATATACCACTGATAATAGAAGTTAATTATCTCTATAATGATATAGAGATACAAAACTCATTTCCTAAAAATAATGCATGTTCATTAAACATGTATTATTAATATTTGTCTGTCAATATAAGTTTCTAAAAACAATTAAATACTCAGATCTTTCCTATAAGATCAGTATCAATTTCTCCATCTTATTGATAAGGAAACTGGATTAACTGGGGTTAATATAATTTAGTAAAGATTACAGAGGTTATCCTATGTTAATTTAAATTCAGTTGATTAACCCCTTAATAAAAAGCTTCCAAACTTGAGAAAATTACATGTTGATTTGTGTTAGCAAACATACTAAATGTTAACAAGCATTGCTCAGAGGCTGATATAAATAATTACGGTCTTAAAGGCCAATAGGTAATAGCTCTGACAAAAAATGTGTAAGCTCATTTTTACTTTATAAATAATGTATTCCTGTTTTTTCATGTCTGGACAGGAAATTCTGGAATTACATTCTTTTATTTTAATGACAGATTGACTACAAACAATAGGATTGTAGCAGAAATGTGAATATGGTAAAATACTAAATTATCCAAAAATTATATTCAGTAATGTTCAGTAGTAACTGGTTTGGGACTATTTACTGGTAGAATAATAGATAGAAGTAATAAAACAACCACAAATGTTTCTTGTGTTCCTCGGATCAACACTTTAGGATGTCAATTAAAAGACACAATCAGCTTTGTAACCTCACTGCAGGGAAGCTTCTGCTATTACACAGTTTCTTTCAGATACTCAAATATAAATATCTTTTAATACTACATATATGTAGAGAAACAGACAAATAAATATATGCATACATTTTTGAGAGAATTCGTATTACTTTTATTGTATTGACTCAGTCAAGGTTTATTTTTAATTTTTTAAATTTTATTTTATTATGCAATTATTAGAAGAATTTAGAGTTTTAGAAATTTCCTGCTTTAACACACGAGATCTTATATACTTCTAAATCACCTGGAAAATATTTAAAAAAAATATTTTCCAATCATGGCCAGCTACTTGTGTGAGCCTAAATGCAATGACAGGCTAAAATGCAAATATAAGTAGTAGGGTTTGGGGATAATCATTCATTAAGGAACAAATAGAGTAAGATTCTGTTTGTTAGAATACTATGTATCTGGGGAGGAGCCAAGATGGCCGAATAGGAACAGCTCCGGTCTACAGCTCCCAGCGTGAGCGATGCAGAAGACGGGTGATTTCTGCATTTCCATCTGAGGTACCGGGTTCATCTCACTAGGGAGTGCCAGACAGTGGGCGCAGGTCAGTGTGTGCGCGCACCGTGCGCGAGCCGAAGCAGGGCGAGGCATTGCCTCACCTGGGAAGCGCAAGGGGTCAGGGAGTTCCCTTTCCGAGTCAAAGAAAGGGGTGACGGACGCACCTGGAAAATCGGGTCACTCCCACCCGAATATTGCGCTTTTCAGACCGGCTTAAGAAAAGGCGCACCACGAGACTATATCCCGCACCTGGCTCAGAGGGTCCTACGCCCACGGAGTCTCGCTGATTGCTAGCACAGCAGTCTGAGATCAAACTGCAAGGCAGCAACGAGGCTGGGGGAGGGGCGCCCGCCATTGCCCAGGCTTGCTTAGGTAAACAAAGCAGCCGGGAAGCTCGAGCTGGGTGGAGCCCACCACAGCTCAAGGAGGCCTGCCTGCCTCTGTAGGCTCCACCTCTGGGGGCAGGGCACAGACAAACAAAAAGGCAGCAGTAACCTCTGCAGACTTAAGTGTCCCTGTCTGACAGCTTTGAAGAGAGCAGTGGTTCTCCCAGCACGCAGCTGGAGATCTGAGAATGGGCAGACTGCCTCCTCAAGTGGGTCCCTGACCCCTGACCCCCGAGCAGCCTAACTGGGAGGCACCCCCCAGCAGGGGCACACTGACACCTCACACGGCAGGGTATTCCAACAGACTCGCAGCTGAGGGTCCTGTCTGTTAGAAGGAAAACTAACAACCAGAAAGGACATCTACACCGAAAACCCATCTGTACATCACCATCATCAAAGACCAAAAGTAGATAAAACCACAAAGATGGGGAAAAAACAGAACAGAAAAACTGGAAACTCTAAAACGCAGAGCGCCTCTCCTCCTCCAAAGGAACGCAGTTCCTCACCAGCAACAGAACAAAGCTGGATGGAGAATGATTTTGACGAGCTGAGAGAAGAAGGCTTCAGACGATCAAATTACTCTGAGCTACGGGAGGACATTCAAACCAAAGGCAAAGAAGTTGAAAACTTTGAAAAAAATTTAGAAGAATGTATAACTAGAATAACCAATACAGAGAAGTGCTTAAAGGAGCTGATGGAGCTGAAAACCAAGGCTCAAGAACTACGTGAAGAATGCAGAAGCCTCAGGAGCTGATGCGATCAACTGGAAGAAAGGGTATCAGCAATGGAAGATGAAATGAATGAAATGAAGCGAGAAGGGAAGTTTAGAGAAAAAAGAATAAAAAGAAATGAGCAAAGCCTCCAAGAAATATGGGACTATGTGAAAAGACCAAATCTACGTCTGATTGGTGTACCTGAAAGTGATGTGGAGAATGGAACCAAGTTGGAAAACACTCTGCAGGATATTATCCAGGAGAACTTCCCCAATCTAGCAAGGCAGGCCAACGTTCAGATTCAGGAAATACAGAGAACGCCACAAAGATACTCCTCGAGAAGAGCAACTCCAAGACACATAATTGTCAGATTCACCAAAGTTGAAATGAAGGAAAAAATGTTAAGGGCAGCCAGAGAGAAAGGTCGGGTTACCCTCAAAGGGAAGCCCATCAGACTAACAGCGGACCTCTCGGCAGAAACCCTACAAGCCAGAAGAGAGTGGGGGCCAATATTCAACATTCTTAAAGAAAAGAATTTTCAACCCAGAATTTCATTTCCAGCCAAACTAAGCTTCATAAGTGAAGGAGAAAGAAAATACTTTATAGACAAGCAAATGCTGAGAGATTTTGTCACCACCAGGCCTACCCTAAAAGAGCTCCTGAAGGAAGCGCTAAACATGGAAAGGAACAACTGGTACCAGCCACTGCAAAATCATGCCAAAATGTAAAGACCATCGAGACTAGGAAGAAACTGCATCAACTAACGAGCAAAATCACCAGCTAACATCATAATGACAGGATCAAATTCACACATAACAATATTAACTTTAAATATAAATGGACTAAATTCTGCAATTAAAAGACACAGACTGGCAAGTTGGATAAAGAGTCAAGACCCATCAGTGTGCTGTATTCAGGAAACCCATCTCACGTGCAGAGACACACATAGGCTCAAAATAAAAGGATGGAGGAAGATCTACCAAGCCAATGGAAAACAAAAAAAGGCAGGGGTTGCAATCCTAGTCTCTGATAAAACAGACTTTAAACCAACAAAGATCAAAAGAGACAAAGAGGGCCATTACATAATGGTAAAGGGATCAATTCAACAAGAGGAGCTAACTATCCTAAATATTTATGCACCCAATACAGGAGCACCCAGATTCATAAAGCAAGTCCTGAGTGACCTACAAAGAGACTTAGACTCCCACACATTAATAATGGGAGACTTTAACACCCCACTGTCAACATTAGACAGATCAACGAGACAGAAAGTCAACAAGGATACCCAGGAATTGAACTCAGCTCTGCACCAAGCAGACCTAATAGACATCTACAGAACTCTCCACCCCAAATCAACAGAATATACATTTTTTTCAGCACCACACCACACCTATTCCAAAATTGACCACATAGTTGGAAGTAAAGCTCTCCTCAGCAAATGTAAAAGAACAGAAATTATAACAAACTATCTCTCAGACCACAGTGCAATCAAACTAGAACTCAGGATTAAGAATCTCACTCAAAGCCGCTCAACTACATGGAAACTGAACAACCTGCTCCTGAATGACTACTGGGTACATAACGAAATGAAGGCAGAAATAAAGATGTTCTTTGAAACCAACGAGAACAAAGACACCACATACCAGAATCTCTGGGACGCATTCAAAGCAGTGTGTAGAGGGAAATTTATAGCACTAAATGCCTAAAAGAGAAAGCAGGAAAGATCCAAAATTGACACCCTAACATCACAATTAGAAGAAATAGAAAAGCAAGAGCAAACACATTCAAAAGCTAGCAGAAGGCAAGAAATAACTAAAATCAGAGCAGAACTGAAGGAAATAGAGACACAAAAAACCCTTCAAAAAATCAATGAATCCAGGAGCTGGTTTTTTGAAAGGATCAACAAAATTGATAGACCGCTAGCAAGACTAATAAAGAAAAAAAGAGAGAAGAATCAAATAGACACAATAAAAAATGATAAAGGGGATATCAGCACCGATCCCACAGAAATACAAACTACCATCAGAGAATACTACAAACACCTCTACGCAAATAAACTAGAAAATCTAGAAGAAATGGATACATTCCTCGACACATACACTCTCCCAAGACTAAACCAGGAAGAAGTTGAATCTCTGAATAGACCAATAACAGGCTCTGAAATTGTGGCAATAATCAATAGTTTACCAACCAAAAAGAGTCCAGGACCAGATGGATTCACAGCCGAATTCTACCAGAGGTACAAGGAGGAACTGGTACCATTCCTTCTGAAACTATTCCAATCAATAGAAAAAGAGGGAATCCTCCCTAACTCATTTTATGAGGCCAGCATCATTCTGATACCAAAGCCGGGCAGAGACACAACCAAAAAAGAGAATTTTAGACCAATATCCTTGATGAACATTGATGCAAAAATCCTCAATAAAATACTGGCAAACCGAATCCAGCAGCACATCAAAAAGCTTATCCACCATGATCAAGTGGGCTTCATCCCTGGGATGCAAGGCTGGTTCAATATATGCAAATCAATAAATGTAATCCAGCATATAAACAGAGCCAAAGACAAAAACCACATGATTATCTCAATAGATGCAGAAAAAGCCTTTGACAAAATTCAACAACCCTTCATGCTAAAAACTCTCAATAAATTAGGTATTGATGGGACGTATTTCAAAATAATAAGAGCTATCTATGACAAACCCACAGCCAATATCATACTGAATGGGCAAAAACTGGAAGCATTCCCTTTGAAAACTGGCACAAGACAGGGATGCCCTCTCTCACCGCTCCTATTCAACATAGTGTTGGAAGTTCTGGCCAGGGCAATCAGGCAGGAGAAGGAAATAAAGGGTATTCAATTAGGAAAAGAGGAAGTCAAATTGTCCCTGTTTGCAGACGACATGATTGTTTATCTAGAAAACCCCATCGTCTCAGCCCAAAATCTCCTTAAGCTGATAAGCAACTTCAGCAAAGTCTCAGGATACAAAATCAATGTACAAAAATCACAAGCATTCTTATACAGCAACAACAGACAAACAGAGAGCCAAATCATGGGTGAACTCCCATTCACAATTGCTTCAAAGAGAATAAAATACCTAGGAATCCAACTTACAAGGGATGTGCAGGACCTCTTCAAGGAGAACTACAAACCACTGCTCAAGGAAATAAAAGAGGACACAAACAAATGGAAGAACATTCCATGCTCATGGGTAGGAAGAATCAATATCGTGAAAATGGCCATACTGCCCAAGGTAATTTACAGATTCAATGCCATCCCCATCAAGCTACCAATGACTTTCTTCACAGAATTGGAAAAAACTACTTTAAAGTTCATATGGAACCAAAAAAGAGCCCGCATTGCCAAGTCAATCCTAAGCCAAAAGAACAAAGCTGGAGGCATCACACTACCTGACTTCAAACTATACTACAAGGCTACAGTAACCAAAACAGCATGGTACTGGTACCAAAACAGAGATATAGATCAATGGAACAGAACAGAGCCCTCAGAAATAATGCCACATATCTACAACTATCTGATCTTTGACAAACCTGAGAAAAACAAGCAATGGGGAAAGGATTCCCTATTTAATAAATGGTGCTGGGAAAACTGGCTAGCCATATGTAGAAAGCTGAAACTGGATCCCTTCCTTACACCTTATACAAAAATCAATTCAAGATGGATTAAAGATTTAAACGTTAAACCTAAAACCATAAAAACCCTAGAAGAAAACCTAGGCATTACCATTCAGGACATAGGCGTGGGCAAGGACTTCATGTCCAAAACACCAAAAGCAATGGCAACAAAAGACAAAATTGACAAATGGGATCTAATTAAACTAAAGAGCTTCTGCACAGCAAAAGAAACTACCATCAGAGTGAACAGGCAACCTACAACATGGGAGAAAATTTTCGCAACCTACTCATCTGACAAAGGGCTAATATCCAGAATCTACAATGAACTCAAACAAATTTACAAGAAAAAAACAAACAACCCCATCAAAAAGTGGGCGAAGGACATGAACAGACACTTCTCAAAAGAAGACATTTATGCAGCCAAAAAACACATGAAGAAATGCTCATCATCACTGGCCATCAGAGAAATGCAAATCAAAACCACTATGAGATATCATCTCACACCAGTTAGAATGGCAATCATTAAAAAGTCAGGAAACAACAGGTGCTGGAGAGGATGCGGAGAAATAGGAACACTTTTACACTGTTGGTGGGACTGTAAACTAGTTCAACCATTGTGGAAGTCAGTGTGGCGATTCCTCAGGGATCTAGAACTAGAAATACCATTTGACCCAGCCATCCCATTACTGGGTATATACCCAAATGAGTATAAATCATGCTGCTATAAAGACACATGCACACGTATGTTTATTGCGGCACTATTCACAATAGCAGAGACTTGGAACCAACCCAAATGTCCAACAATGATAGACTGGATTAAGAAAATGTGGCACATATACACCATGGAATACTATGCAGCCATAAAAAATGATGAGTTCATATCCTTTGTAGGGACATGGATGAAATTGGAAACCATCATTCTCAGTAAACTATCGCAAGAACAAAAAACCAAACACCGCATATTCTCACTCATAGGTGGGAATTGAACAATGAGATCACATGGACACAGGAAGGGGAATATCACACTCTGGGGACTGTGGTGGGGTCGGGGGAGGGGGGAGGGATAGCATTGGGAGATATACCTAATGCTAGATGACACATTAGTGGGTGCAGCGCACCAGCATGGCACATGTATACATATGTAACTAACCTGCACAATGTGCACATGTACCCTAAAACTTAGAGTATAATAAAAAAAAAAAAAAAAAGAATACTATGTATCTGATAAGAGTTGCTTTATTGTGAGCTTGAGTATAATAGTCTTTAAAAATTTAATCAAGTCAGAATTAGATGGTAAAACAGCACAATTAACTTGTAATTATGAATTTAGTATTACTGACATTGGCAAGGTTCAGGAAGATTTATTTACCTTGATGTATCTGCTTTTGTGTCCTCAAGCCATCTATGGTCTACCTTGGGATAGTGTTCTAAATCTTTCCAGTTATATTTCATCTCTCCTGATTAATTTTGTCTGCTATTTTTTTTTCTCAGCATGCTCATATGTTTTTAAATCTCTTTTTTTTTTTGCTAAGGGGATATAGCTCCTCTTTAAGTTAGGTGATAGTTTAAGTATTATTATTAGAAAGATTTTTTAAAACTGGGCAACTTAATGCTTCACACAGTGAGGAGAAAGCATAAAATACAAATATAATAACTACAACTTCAGTGAAGCTGGACAGAGCACATTTTGTTTATAGCATAGGCACTAATCCTTATGTCTTTTCATCAGTCATTGAAATACTTCTTTTCCATTTACTCTGTAAAGGAAGGAAGTGACTTACTGAGCTAACAGCATTCAACTTTTCTAATTAATTGCGAGGTTGAAAATAGAAATCCAGTTTCTTGCTCTGTACTGCAAACACAGTAGATTTCTTCTTGGAGGCAGAGCTTGTTTATATCTAAACTTCTCCCTTTTGATGCCTGCAACAATATAAGACTTAAAACAAGAGAGATGTTTGCCTGACAAAGAAACAAGACTAAGAATCAGATTCACCTGTGGAAGCAACCTACTGAGGGGCTTACTCTGAGTTTTGAATGGAGCTGTGTGCCTCTGTTTCTAGCAACTCCTTGTAGAATGACCTTCATGCCAAAATTTCAGGGGTGTTGAGAGCATCAGTCTGGTACTATAATCATTAAATTCTTCCCCTGGAGTGCACTTTATATGAAGGATATTCAAGTATAGAACAGACTTTCTATTCCTAATGACTTTGAAGTTGCAGCTTTATATTTTCAGATACGATAAAATAGAGACAGGTAGAAGTAAACAACAGTTTACTATGCAGAAGGGGTCTAACTTTGCTCAAGGCTGTTTTCTTCTGAGAGAGATTTACCAGAAGACAATAAATCTATAATATATAAAACAGTGATAGGACTAATTAGTTATATTTTAAAGGTGTGCATCCCCTGCAATTATTTGACCTGAGAAGGGTCTAAAAAATTCCATCTCCTGTAAGTAGAATGAAGTGAAATGTAATTGGCCATTCACCGTATTTCTACACATGATAATATTACTTCAGAAGGAATGAGTCTCTGTTGCCCAGGTAATAAAGCACAGACTCCATGACCTCCATGAAGTGCAATCAAACATTCTTTCAAGCTATTTTTCTACCATTACTTTCTTATACAGACGTTCTGTTCTAGGACAGGCGATTAGAAACATCACACATCGTGTTGCCATACCTATCCTTTTTTTTCTTGTCTTTTATTTTCCTCCTTTACCAAAGTTATCTTCTTTCACTAAGACCCACTCCACTACTTTTATCTCTAATTTCAGATCATGAGGTCAAGAGATTGAGACCATCCTGGTCAACATGGTGAAACCCCGTCTGGATTAAAAACACAAAAACTAGCTGGGTGTGGCGGTGCACGCCTATAGTCCCAGCTACTATGGAGGCTGAGGAAGGAGAATCGCTTGAACCCAGGAGACGGAGGTTGCTATGAGCCGAGATCGCACCACTGCACTACAGCCTGGTGACTGAGTGAGACTCCGACTCAAAAACAAAACAAAACAAAACAAAACAAAAAAACCCACAATTCTGTCATATAATAACAATAGCCAGGAACTGTACAAAATAGTGACTGTTTTATATGCATTATTTTTAGTATGCAAAATAATCTTATATATTTGATGTTATTATTTCCCTGTTAGATTATAAACTCCACAAAGTCATTGGAAGTACTCAATAAATAATGAAAGAAAAATGTCCTTTTTAAAAATTTTATTATTATTATTTTTGAGACGGAGTCTCTCTCTGTCGCCCAGGCTGGAGTTCAGTGGCCTGATCTCGGCTCACTGCAAGCTCCACCTCCCAGGTTCACGCCATTCTCCTGCCTCAGCCTCCCGAGTAGTTGGGACTACAGGCACCCGCCACCACGCCCGACTAATTCTTTGTATTTTTAGTAGAGACGAGGTTTCACCGTGTTAGCCAGGATGGTCTCGATCTCCTGACCTCGTGATCTGCCCACCTCAGCCTCACAAAGTGCTAGGATTACAGGCGTGAGCCACCGTGCCCTGCCAAAAATGTCCATTTTACATATAAGAAAACAATGATTAAAATATCAACTAATTTGGCAAAGACACACAACCGTCTTGGGACAGAGTGGGTTCTATTTGACAATGGCAAGCAGGTTCTGGATCAGCAGGTTGCTGTAGTAACCCTAAAATTGGGAGCAACTCAAAAATGGGAGTTATTATCTCCATTTTACAGATCAAGACACCAAGATTTAAAAGGCTTCTGAATAGCCATAGAACCAAATTTTATATGCAGAGAGATCTGATTTCAGAATAGACGTTATTTTTACTTCGATGTTTTGCATCTCACAGTATGAAATAAATAGATAAAATATCTTACAGTATTTGAAGCACTCACTAAGAAGTTACCATTCTATATTTGAGTGTTAATTCTGCCTGATATCGTGAACAGAAGTTTGGACATTCAGAGACATGTTGAAAGGTAGAATACACTGGCTGCAAAACAAAACATCACTGTCACTTTTCATGACTTAGTGACTGCATTAAATCAGTTGCAGAGGTGATCACATTGATCATGAAAAAGAGGTTATTATGACATAGAAATAATATTAAATAGCAAAAAACAAATTTGACAGCAACTCAGAGATATAATCTGGGTATTTTCCAATCATATTTTGAGTACATTTGCCTGGCATTATGTATGTTTTATGACAATTGTCTTTCTTATTGTATCACTGGAATGAAAGACATTTCTTTCTGTTGCCATGATGCAAATTTCCTTAGTGAGCAATTGGTTTGATTTGCTGGTTATACCCTTTGTTAAGTGATGGAAAATGCTAAATTAGGCTCAGTAAAGAAATGGCCATAAAATGCATTGTGTCTTATCTTATAGCTAAGATAAGCAAGCAGTAAGAAAACAACTAAATTATAATATCTGGAGGAGAAATATCTTTCAGCAGCCTTATCATTGATGCTTTTATCAACTAGTTTTTCATTTGTGAAATTAAAGTCTCTGAATAGTAACAGATGGTATGGGCACAATGTATTCCATTATCATTGATATAATTTCTGTAAACTGCCAATGTAAAAGTCCATAGACCTAAATAACTCTATTTTGTTGAAATTGCTGGCCTTATTTTATTAAATACATATTCAAGGAACTGTATATCAACTGACATTCTGTCAACTAGAAATCTCAAATACCATAGTCCATTACATAGTTAATGTTAATACCTGCTTAAATACCTGCTGACTTAAATCTTTACAGTGTATACACTGCAAATTCAGATATTCCCTGTATACGGTCAAATAAATATAAACAAGATATATATTTACAACTTTTGTTCTTTGCGTTTTAAATCTTTCATTGAGTCAAATCATTACATTTTTAGGTAATGGTTCTTTTTCTAAAATAAAAACCACCTTGTATAAGCCTTTTAAACTGCTGTGAGACATAAACAGCTGAGACTACAATGGCGATCCTTGGGCCCTAAAAAGATTCTGAATTACAGCATTCTGACTATTCTAGGTTGCTCCAATTCTTAGAATACTTGAGTTGTACAGCTCAGGATTTTTATCTTTCTGACCTAGATTTTTAAGGACACTTGAGTATAGCTATACTAAACTACTATCCTTCCTAAATGTGACATCTTCAAACATGATTTGCTTTTTTTCTCCACCCAAATTATCCTTTCTCTTTCTGTATACAGATTACTACTTTTAGTACAACATTTTAGTGTTATTCCTCAATTTAATCATTCCTCAGTTGAATTCTTGCTCTCAGCCTTAATCAGTCCTGTGACTTTTAGAAATCACTTAATATTTCTGAGCAATTTCTTTTACCTTTAATAGGAATTATAATGTTACTTTACAAGTTTATAAAGCTTAAATGAGATAATATGTTAAACTACAGTGCTTGTTTGGCATATAGTAAGCACCCAACAAATACATATATGTTTTTTCTTTTTAGCACAGTAAAGGCTTAAAAATTTAGACATCATGACAAAGTAGAATACAACTTCCTCTACGCTTCCAAAACACTTTGTACAATCCTCTGGTATAGTCCTTATTATACTAATCTGGACCCAGTAACTTGATATTATAACTGTTATATTACCTTTGTGTCTATCTCCAGCCATAACATAAGTAAGACAATTAATAATCCATAGTTATTTATTAAATATGCATGCCAGGGTTAAGGGAAAACTAGGTACACATAAAACTGTTAGAATTTTTACTTGAGCAATTAAATAAATCATTGTGCAATTTAATGAGTTGAAAACATTAAGAAATTGACAGATTTGCATTGAAAGGACATGGAATTCTGCTATATTCATGCTATGTGTAAGTTAGCTATTAACAGATAAGTGGAGATAGAGGTCTAGGGTGATCGAGGTTAGATTATTGTTAGGAAGAGTTTTTCTACTTATGAACCCATTTGTTAACTGTGTGCAAAACAAAAAATCAAAAACTGCCTTTTTCTCTTCAGACAGGAAAACTCCTTTAGTTGCATATGTAAATACAAGTCATTCTATTTCATAAAATGTGTTTATAATGTGTTGTGTTAAAATCAGCATTATACTCTGATTGCTTATATTTTGTATTAATTTAATGGTCTGCCTGACATTTTGAATTTTACCGCATTGCATTTTGATATATCCATTCATTATTTATTCTATTCATTCAACAATACATATAAATATGAATATGATATGGCTCCATGTATTCAAAGACCTCACAGATTAATGTTGGAGATCAATTACTGCAGTGTAGAGGGATAAGAGTAAAAATAAATCAAAGAAGTCTTTCAGAACCATGTAGGAAGGATATGTAATCAAAAATGTGTTTGTTGGGGGAGAAAAGGAGGTAGAGAGAATAAGCAGTTCCTTTGCAAAAAAGATGATACTTGAGCTGATCGCTAATAAAATATTAAGGGTGAGAAAAATAAGCTAGGTAAAGGAAATTGTATTTAGAGGAAATCATGTACAAGGATCTAGAAATTTAATTTTTGGCACTGGAAATATTTATGTGGCTAGAAGACACCAACGCTACAAAGATGAAAAGTTTAATTATGAAGTTTCTTTATATTGTGCTATTTCATTTATATTTTCTCTTTAAGGCAATGGGGAATTATAAAGGAGTTAATCAGGGGAGATATATGATCAGGTGTAAAGTTGATAAACATTAGCCTATTTGCAAAGTATAGAATGTATAACAGGGGAAATGTTAGATACCAGGAAGTTAAGAAAGAGACTATTGTCATAATTAGCACAAATTGGCTTCAGGAAAGAACAGTGATGATAGAGATGTGAGAAATATTGGAAAAGGATGAATCAAGGAAGATTATCTGGCGCAAGTAAATGAATAGATAATGGAATCATTAGTAGCAGGAGAGATTGCAAATGGAAGGTTAGATTTAGGGAGGTAGTATAGATACAGTGGGAGGAGGGTATTGTCAAGAGTGTTTGAACCAGAGCAACTCCATCTTGAATAGGAGCTGGGTCAAATAATGAAGAGACCTACTGGGCTGCATTTTTAGAAGGTTATGCATTCTTAGCCACAGGATGAGACAGGAGGTCAACACAAGACACAGGTCACAAAGACTTTGCTGATAAAACAGGATCTGGTCAAGAGTCCAACCAAAACCTGGCAAAATTAAGATGGCAACGAAAGTGACGTCTGGTCATCCTCACTGCTCAGTATACTCTAATCCTAATACATTAGAATGCTAAATAACACTCCCACCAGCACCATGACAATTTACAAATGTCATGGAAACATCAGGAAATTACCCTATATCGTCTAAAATGGGGAGAAACCCTCAGTTCTGGGAATTGCTCACCCCTTTCCTGAAAAACTTTTGAATAATCCACCTCTTGTTTAGGATATAGTCAACTATAAGTATACTCAGTTGAACACCTCATGCCACTGCTCTGCCTATGGAGTAGCCATTCTTTTATTCCTTTACTTTTTTTTTTTTTAGAATAAGTTCTAGGATACATGTGCACAACATGCAGGTTTGATACATAGGTATACATGTGCCATGTTGGTTTGCTGCACCCATCAACTCATCATTCACATTATGTATTTCTCCTAATGATATTCCTCCTCAGCCCCGACTCCCTGACAGGCCCCGGGGTATGATATTCCCCTTCCTGTGTCCAAGTGTTCTCATTGTTCACTTCCCACCTATGAGTGAGAACATGCGTTGTTTCGTTTTCGGTCTTTCTGATAGTTTGCTGAGAATGATGGTTTCCAGCTTCATCCATGTCCCTGCAAAGGACATGAACTCATCCTGTTTCATGGCTGCATAGTATTTCATGGTCTATATGTGCCACATTTTCTTAATCCAGTCTATCATTGATGGACATTTGGGTTGGTTCCAAGTCTTTGCTATTGTGAATAGTGCCACAATAAACATACATGTGCATGTGTCTTTATAGTAGCATGATTTATAATCATTTGGGTATATACCCAGTAATGGGATGGCTGGGTCAAAGGGTAATTCTACTTCTAGATCCCTGAGGAATCACCACACTGTCTTCAACAATGGTTGAACCAATTTACACTTCCACCAACAGTGTAAAAATGTTCCTATTTCTCCACATCCTCTCCAGCACCTGGTGTTTCCAGACTTTTTAATGATTGCCATTCTAACTGGTGTGAGATGGTATCTCATTGTGGTTTTGATTTGCATTTCTCTGACGACCAGTGATGATGAGCATTTTTTCATGTGTGTGTTCACTGCATAGATGTCTTCTTTTGAGAAGTGTCTGTTCATATCCTTTGCCCACTTTTTGATGGGGTTTTTTGTTTTTTTCTTATAAATTTGTTTGAGTTCTTTATAGATTCTAGATATTAGCCTTTTGTCAGATGGATAGATTGCAAAAATTTTCTCCCATTCTGTAGGTTTCCTGTTCACTCTGATGGTAGTTTCTTTTGCCGTGCAGAAGCTGTTTAGTTTAATTAGATCCCATTTGTCTATTTTGGCTTTTGTTGCCATTGTTTTTGGTGTTTTAGTCATGAAGGCCTTGCCCATGCTTATGTCCTGAATGGTGTTGCCTAGGTTTTCTTCTGGAATTTTTATGGTTTTAGGTCTAACATTTAAGTCTTTAACCCATCTTGAATTAATTTATGTATAAGATGTAAGGAAGGGATCCAGTTTCAGCTTTCTACATATGGCTAGCCAGTTTTCCCAGCACCATTTATTAAACAGGGAATCCTTTCTCCATTTCTTGTTTTTGTCAGGTTTGTCAAAGATCAGATGGTTGTAGATGTGTGGCATTATTCCTGAGGCCTCTGTTCTGTTCCATTGGTCCACATATCTGTTTTAGTACCAGTACCATGCTGTTTTGGTTACAGTAGCCTTGTAGTATAGTTTGAAGTCAGGTAGCGTGATGCCTCCAGCTTCATTATTTTTGCTTAAGAGTGTCTTGGCAATGTGGGCTCTTTTTTGGTTCCCTATGAACGTTAAAGTAGTTTTTTTTTCCCCCAATTTTGTGAAAAAAGTCATTGGTAACTTGATGGGGATGGCATTGAATCTATAAATTACTTTAGGCAGTATGGCCATTTTCATGATATCGATTCTTTCTATGCATGAGCATGGAATATTCTTCCATTTGTTTGCATCCTCTTTTATTTTGTTGAGCAGTGGTTTGTAGTTCTCTTTGAAGAGGTCCTTTACATTCCTTTTACGTTGAATTCCTAGGTATTTGATTTTCTTTGTAGCAATCATGAATGGGAGTTCACTCATGATTTGGCTCTGTGTTTGTCTGTTAATGGTGTATAGGAGTGCTTTTGATTTTTGCTCATGGATTTTGTATCCTGAGACTTTGCTGGAGTTGCTTATCAGCTTAAGGAGATTTGGGGCTGAGACGATGGGTTTTCTAAACATACAATCATGTCATCTGAAAAGAGGGACAATTTGACTTCCTCATTTCCTAATTGAATATCCTTTATTTCTTTCTCTTGCCTGATTGTCCTGGACAGAACTTCCAACACTCTGGCCAGGACAAGAGTGGTGAGAGAGGGCATCCTTGTCTTGTGCCGGTTTTCAAAGGGAATGCTTCCAGTTTTTGCCCATTCAGTATCATATTGGCTGTGGTTTTGTCATACATAGCTCTTATTATTTTGAGATACATTCCATCAATACCTAGTTTATTGAGAGTTTTTTGCATGAAGGCCTGTTAAATTTTGTCAAAGGCCTTTTCTGCATCTATTGAGATAATCATGTGTTTTTTGTCACTGGTTCTGTTTATGTGATAGACTACGTTTATTGATTTGCGTATGTTGAATCAGGCTTGCATCCCAGGGATGAAGCCGACTTGATTGTGGTGAATAAGCACTTTGATGTGCTGCTGGATTCGGTTTGCTAGTATTTTATTGAAGTTTTTCACATCGGTATTCTTCAGGGATTTTGGTCTAAAATTCTCTTTTTTTGTTGGGTCTCTGCCAGGCTTTGGTATCAGGATGAAGTTGGCCTTATAAAATGAGTTAGGGAGGATTCCCTTTATTCTATTGATTGGAATAGTTTCAGAAGGAATGGTACCAGCTCCTTTTTGTACCTCTGGTTGAATTCGGCTCTGAATTTGTCTGGTTTTGGTTTTTTCATTGGTAGGCTATTAATTATTGCCTCAATTTCAGAGACTGTTATTGGTCTATTCAGAGATTCAACTTCTTCCTGGTTTGGTCTTGGGAGGGTGTATGTGTCCAGGAATTTATCCATTTCTTCTAGATTTTCTAGTTTATTTGTGTAGAGGTGTTTATCGTATTCTCTGATGGTAGTTTGTATTTCTGTGGGATCGATGGTGATATCCCCTTTATCCTTTTATTGTGTCTATTTGATTCTTCTCTCCTTTCTTTTTTATTAGTCTTGCTAGCAGTCTATCAATTTTGTTGATCTTTTCAAAAAACCAGCTCTGGATTCATTGATTTTTTGAAGGGTTTTTTTGTGTCTCTATCTCTTTCAGTTCTGCTCTGATCTTAGTTATTTCTTACCTTCTGCTAGCTTTTGTATTTATTTTCTCTTGCTTCTCTAGTTATTTTAATTGTGATGTTAGTATGTCAATTTTTGATCTTTCCTGCTTTATCCTGTGGACATTTAGTGCTATAAATTTCCATCTACACACTGCTTTAAATGTGTCCCAGAGGTTCTGGTACATTGTGCCTTTGTTCTCACTGGTTTCAAAGAATTCTTTATTTCTGCCTTCATTTTGTTATTTACCCAGTAGTCATTCAGGAGCACGTTGTTCAGTTTCCATGTAGTTTTGTGGTTTTGAATGAGTTTCTTAGTCCTGAGTTCTAATCTTATTGCACTGTGGTCTAAGAGACAGTTTGTTGTGATTTCTGTTCTTTTACATTTGCCGAGGAGTGCTTTACTTCCAATTATGTGGTCAATTTTACAATAAGTGTGATGTGGTGCTGAGAAGAATGTATATTCTGTTGATTTGGGGTGGAGAGTTCTGTAGCTGTCTATTAGGTCTGCTTGTTGCAGAGCTGAGTTCAGGTCCTGGAAATCCTTGTTAACCTTCTGTCTCATTGATCTGTCTAATACTGACGGTGGGGTGTTAAAGTTTCCCATTATTATTGTGTGGGAGTATAAGTCTCTTTCTAGGTCTCTAAAGACTTGCTTTATGAATCTGGGTGCTCCTGTATTGGGTGCATATGTATTTAGGATAGTTAGCTCTTCTTGTTGAATTGATCTCTTTACCATTATGTAATGGCCCTCTTTGTCTCTTTTGATCTTTGTTGGTTTAAAGTCTGTTTTATCAGAGACTAGGATTGCAACCCCTGCTTTTTTTGCTTTCCATTTGCTTGGTAGATCTTCCTCCATCCCTTTATTTTGAGCCTATGTGTGTCTTTGCATGTGAGATGGGTTTCCTGAATACAGCCCACTGATGGGTCTTGACTCTTTATCCAACTTGCCACTCTGTGTCTTTTAATTGGGGGCATTTAGCCCATTTACATTTAAGGATAATATTGTTATGTGTGAATTTGATCCTGTCATTATGATGTTCGCTGGTTATTTTGCCCATTAATTGATGCAGTTTCTTCATAGCATCTATGGTCTTTACAATTTGGCATGTTTTTGCAGTGGCTGGTACCTGTTGTTTCTTTCCATGTTTGGTGCTTCCTTCAGGAGCTCTTGTAAGGCAAGCTTGGTGATGAAAAAATCTCTCAGCACTTGCTTGTCTGTAAAGGATTTTATTTCTCCTTCACTTGTAAAGCTTAGTTTGGCTGGATATGAAATTCTGGGTTGAAAATTCTTTTCTTTAAGAATTTTGAATACTGGCTCCCACTCTCTTCTGGCTTGTAGGGTTTCTGCCAAGTGATCCACTGTTAGTCTGATGAGCTTCCCTTTGTGGGTAACTTGACATTTATCTCTGGCTGCCCTTAACACTTTTTCCTTCATTTGGTGAATCTGACAATTATGTGTCTTGGGGTTGCTCTTCTTGAGGAGTATCTTTGTGGTGTTCTCTGTATTTCCTGAATTTGAATGTTGGCCTGCCTTGCTAGATTGGGGAAGCTCTCCTGGATAATATCCTGAAGAGTGTTTTCCAACTTGGTTCCATTCTCCCCATGACTCTCACGTACACCAATCAAACACAGATTTGGTCTTTTCACATAGTCCCATATTTCTTGGAGGCTTTGTTCATTTCTTTTTATTCTTTTTTTTTCTCTAACCTTGTCTTCTCACTTTATTTCATTAATTTGATCTTCAATCACTGATACCCTTTCTTCCACTTGATCAAATTGGCTATTGAAGCTTGATTTCACTTTACTCTATGGACTCACCCCAGATTCTTGCATGAGATCCAAAAGTTCTCTCTTGATGTCTGGATCAGAAATGCTTCTCAATATCAAAACTACAATGTGAATTCAGTGCAGACATACTTAGGTTTGACATGCCTGAGGAACTCAGATGGTTTGTATCTGTGTCCTCACCGAAATCTCATGATGTAATTTAATCCCCAGTCCTAGAGATGGGGCCTGGTTGGAGGTGATTAGATCATGGGGGTGGTTTTTAAATGTTTAGCACCATCCTCCTAGTCTGTGTTCATCATATAATTTTCATGAGATCCTGTTGTTTAAAAGTGTGTAGCACCTCCACCATCTCTCCTCTTCCTGAGCCAGCCGTGTAAGACATTCCAGCTTCTCCTTTGCCTTCTGCCATGATTTTAGGTGTCCTGAGACAACCGGAGAAGACAAGTGGATGCCAGAATTATGCTTCCTGTACAGCCTACAGAATGGTGAGGCAAATAAACCTCTTTTCCTTATAAATTATCCAAACTCAGATATTGCTTTATAGCGCTGTGAGAACAGACTAATATAGGGACAGTAAGCTAAAGATATATGTAGCTGAATATCTAGAACTCAGAAATATTGATGAGAGATTTAGGAATTGGCAGTCCTTACTTGTGGCATAACAATAAGGATGCCCACTTCCAGTATTATTTTTATATGCTAAAATTAAATAAAAATAAATATTTATAATTAAAAAATAGTACTTTTTTTTTCTTTTTTTTTTTTTTGAGACAGAGTCTTGCTCTTTCACCCAGGCTGGAGTACAGTGGTGCCATCTTGGCTCTGTGCAGCCTCTGTCTCCCAGGTTCCAGTGATTCTCTTGCCTCAGCCTCCTGGGTAGCTAGCATGACAAGCGTGTGCCACCACACCCAGCTAATTTTTGTATTTTAGTAGAGACGGGTTTCGCCATTTTGGCCAGGCTGGTCTTGAACTCCTGACCTCAGGTGATACGCCCATCTCGGCCCCCCCAAGGTGCCGGGATTACAGGCATGAGCCACCATCCCTGGCCAAAGATGCAGTACTTTTAAATGATTTACTATGTATTATTTTAGGTGTTTTTACACAATTATCTAACTTAAAATTTACAGGTGTAATGCAGGGGGAGTGGAGAGACGTTTAATTGAAATTGCTATTCTACAGATGAATATATTGAGATCCATAGAAGTAAACTTAAAAGTTACATTAAACTAGTACCTGCAGATCTAGGAGGTAGATTCAGATCAATTGACTTCAAGGCTAGTCCTTTTTCAATGTCATTAGTTCCCTCTTATGGGCATTGTTTATATTTTGGTAGTGGGATAAAACTCTAGCAGTGAATATCATAACAATCATACTAACTATAGATTTTAAAAGTAAATTAATATTTTAAAAAATTGATTCAGGGGATACATGTTCAGCTAACTTAACAAAAATATATTGCCCAGGGGTGAAGTTTGGGCTTCTAGTGTGCCTGTAACCCAAATAGTGAACATTGTACCCAACAGGTAATTTTTAAAACTCCTCTAATCTTCCCTTTTTTGGAGTCCTCAGTGTCTATTATTTCCATCTTTATGTCCATGTGTACCCTTTCTTTAGCTCTCACTTATAAGTGAAAACATGTGCTATTTGATTCTCAGTTTCTGAGTTACTTTATTGAAGATAATGCTCTCAGGCTGTATCTATGTTGCTGCAATAAACTTGTTTTCATTCTTTTTTATGGATGCATAGTATTCCGTGAAGTATGTATACCATATTTTCTTTATTCAAACATCCATTGATGGATACTTAGATTCCTTTTATGATTTTGTTGTTAGAAATAATGCTGCAATTAACATATGAATGTAGGTGTCTTTTTTATATAACAATTAATTTTCCTTTCAGTAGATACCCAGTAGTGGGATGGCTGGATTTAGTTAGTTCTATTTTAGTTCTTCGAGAAATCTCCATCCATACAGGTTGTGCTAATTTACATTCCAACCAACAGTGTATAAGCATTGCCTTTTATCCACATCTTCACGAACATCTGTTGATTTTAGTAATAGCCATTCTGACTAATGTGAGATGGTTTTCTCATTGTGGTTTTACTTTGCATTTCTTTGATGATTAATGATGTTGAGAATTTTTTGTATTTTTTTTTGGTTGTTTGCATGTCTTCTTTTGAGAAAAGTCTGTTCATATCCTTTGTCCAATTTTGAATGTAGTTATATGATTTTTATCTTGTTGAGTAGAGTTCATTGTAGATTTTAGATACTGGTCCTTTCTTGGATGCATAGTTTGCAAATATTTTCTCTAATTTTTGTAGGTTGTCCGTTTACTCTGTTGATTATTTCTATTGCTGTGCAGGAGCTATTTAGTTTGATTGTGGTCCAATTTGTCTATTTTTGGTTTTGTTGCATTTGTTTTTGAGGTCTTAGTCCTAAATTTCTTGCCTAGGCCAATGTCTAGAAGAATTTTCCTAGATAATCTTCTAGAATTTTTATATTTTCAGGACTTACATTCAAGTCTTTTATTAATTTTAAGTTAACTTTTGCATATAGTGAGATATAGGGAGGGGTTCAGTTTCATTCTTCTGCATGTGGCTAGATGGTTTTCCCAGCACCATTTATTGAACAGGATGTCTTTTCCCCATTGTATAATTTGGTCAGCTTTTTTCAAGATTATTTGGTTTTAGGTATGTGGCTTTATTTCTGGGTTCTCTGTTATGTTCCATTGGTCCATGTTTTTATTTTTGTACCAGTAACCCATGCTGTTTTGGTTACTATAGCCTTGTAGCATCATTTGAAGTCAGGTGATATGCCTCTGGCTTTGTTATTTTTGCTTAGGATTACTTTGGCTATTTTTATTCTATACGAATTTTTAGAATTTTTTCTAATTCTGTGACAAATGACATTGGTAATTTTATAGGAATTGCATTGAATCTGTACATTGCTTTGCGCAGTGTGGTAATTTCAATGGTATTAATTCTTAAAATCTGTGAGCATGGGATGTTTTGCCACTTCTTTTTGTCATCTATGATTTCTTCTATCAGTATTTTGTAGTCCTCCTTGTAGATCTGTTTTGTTTCCTTCGTTAGGTATATTCCTGGGTATTTTATTTCATTTTATTTTTTGTGTGGCTATTGCAAACAGGATTATTGATTTCATTCTTAGCTTGAATATTATTGTTATATAAAAATATTACTGATTTTTGAACATTGATTTTGTATCCCAAAACTTTACTGAAGTTATTTATCAAGTCTATGGGTCTTTTGGAGGAGTCCTTAGAGTTTCCTAGGTTTAAGATCATATCATCAGGGAACAGAGCTAATTTGACTTCCTCTTTTCCAATTTGAATGCCTTTTAATTCTTTCTTTTACCTTATTTCTGTAGCTAGGACTTCCAGTATTATGGTAAATAGAAGTGGTGAAAGTAGACAACTTTGTCTTGTTCCAGTTCTTAAGGAGGAATGGTTTCAACTTTTCCTTGTTCAATATGATGTTGGCTGTGGGATTATTGTATATGAGTTTTATTATTTTGAAGTATGTTCCTTCCAGTCCTAGTTTGTTGAGGGTGTTTGTCATGAAGAGGAGTTGAATTTTATCAAATGCTTTTTCTGCATTTATTGAGATGATTATCAGGTTCTATACCATCTGCTAAATTGAGGTCACAGCAACATCTAAAGAAACATCTAATTGTCTGCAATGGATTCAACATAGGCTATCGTGCTTGGTAACTTAACAAAAAAAAATACATTATGTAACTATTCCACAAACATTGCAACTTCTCTCAATAAGCTATTTAAGGAATAAACTATCTGAAATTTGTATAATTTCCGCTAACAAATACTCTTGGAATAGTTCTTTGTTGACACATCCTGACTCTGCTTACTGTAGTTTGGAGAGTAAATGTGGAAAAAATAACCTCATTTGTTTAAAATTAGCAATTATAAACAAGGAAGAAAGTAGAAATAATTTATGTCCATGAAAATTAATAATATTGATGGGGGCCAACCAGTGGGGGCTAATCATACCTTCATTAATTTATATATTTTATTTTCATCATGTAATGAATTTGATAGGCCTTGGGGTGTTACAATAATGAAAAAGAAATTTTCTCTGAAAGATTAATTGCAGAGGTGGAAAAGGGAACATGGGACAAAAGGGACAAAAATTATAATGTGTGTCAATATTAAATTTAGAACAAAAAGATAAATAGGGTAATAGTGGAAGCGCCATGAAATCATCATCAATAACTCTGTAATACAGACAATCTTTAGATATGGAAGGTCTGATAAGAATATTATGATAGCTAAGTAAATCAGTTAAGCCATCAGTCAAGATATTTAATAGATGGGCACTGAAATGTAAAATTAACCAGATTCAGAGCCACATGTTTACAATATATTCCAATTTACCCATGAATGCCTTTCTGTGGTTCCTTTTTTTGTCCAGGCTTTTATTTATTTATTTATTTATTTTAAGAGAGTTAATGGCATGCTGTACTTTATGTGCTAAGCTTCTATCCTTTTTACCTTGTGACTAAGACTAGTGTTAGCCTCAGTAACTCCATACTACTTAATGGCAGACATATCTTCACTTTGTAGTATAGAATTGATACATTACCATCTCTGAGCCTTACTTTTACTTTTTTTGATATAACGACTTCCATGAAACACTCAAAAATATCCATAATGTATTTTTTAATAGGTAGACATATGATGAAGTCACAGTTATGTCCCTAAGGGTGTATTCAAAAGAACTAGCATTAGTTCTTTCCTAGTACACTTTCAACTTTTTCAATGAATAAACCAGACTTCCTTTCATTATAATGTATCAAAGAAGCAAATTAGTTGCAAGTTTTGAGAACTTTACTGTTTTATGCATACTATTCACTTTGTAATATTAAATTACTCAAAATAATATCCCTAATGATGAATTAAATTAACAAGTTTTACTCAGAGAACACCTTTGATTTTAGAACAATATGGTAAGTACCTGGATTGTAATATTAAATAATTATTTTTTATTACTTTGACATTATGGAAAGCAATTTCATTTATTTATTGGGATTGTGCATTTGAATAGGAATATTTCATGGGAATAATATTTTATCAAAAGTTTAAAGATTTGAGAAAATAGGAATACTGAATTATGTAATTAAATATTCTAAATATTAAAGTATATTTATATATCTAAATTTGACATATTCTTACATGAGTAACATGTTTTTCTTTCACATATTTCAGCTGGACATGCACACCCTTTCAAACTTGTACATTTTATAAAACAAGCATCTTGAAATTTAATGTAACTCAGCCTGAATGTGATGTCTGAGTCCTAATATGGGTTTTAATTCCATACTAGTTTTAAACTTTAAAATTTTTTATTTCAAAATTAGCAGCTGTAAACAAAGTTTCTATAGCACTTAAAATAAACAGTCTCAATGTTGAAAACCAGTAGAGAAAACAAGAGTCAATGGAGAAGTATCAGAATTTGAGACATAGATTTCGTGATGTGATCAGTGAAGCCATGAGAGTAAATTAGTTATTTTAGGCAGATACTATGGAGCATGTAAAGAAGAGAGAGGGGTGGAAAAAAGGAAATTAAAAGAAAAATGGAAAAGAAGGGAGGAAGGAGGGAGGCAAGGGAATTAATCTACAGTGAAACTCTCTGCCTTTCACCAAT
Source organism: Homo sapiens (assembly GCF_000001405.40). Classification (NCBI taxonomy): domain Eukaryota; kingdom Metazoa; phylum Chordata; class Mammalia; order Primates; family Hominidae; genus Homo; species Homo sapiens. The sequence goes on along the minus strand of NC_000001.11, from coordinate 104,827,122 downwards.
TTTAACAGGAATGAAAACAACTAAGATTCTCTTGTCTCCTATATTAAAGTTGTTTTACACATTGTTGAAAAGCATGAAAGAAACATAAACTCTAAGCTAATATATCCACTGTATAGGATGGTTATTTTTGAGGTCTAAGTTGAAATAAGTGAGTGCTCAATTTTAAGTGAATTCATTTTTGCAAAGACAACAATTTGAAAACAAATAATTCATAAATATCTAACTTAATTAGACTGTTATAGCCAAAATAAATTCTGATTTATCATTTAAAATATCATTATCTTATTAAAAATGATTTTAAATAATACAAGAAAACATTAATGTCAAGTATGATGGGTTTTCAGTGCCCTTTTTCCCACTAGCTTGATGATATGATTCGTTTTCTTTAACTATGGTGAGAAAACAGGTTACTTGCACTATTTCTGTTATGAACAGAGTTAGCTTCTTGACCTTTTCTAACTAGTAATTTTCCTTTTTGCCTCTCAAGTGTGTTTTTTCCTCTGTATAAAGCATTTAGGATTTATTAAAGTGCTTTGTTTTTTGCAAAATGTGAAATATAGCATAAGGATACCACCAACTTGTTTAAGAAGATATATTAAACATTTTTCCTGTAACTATTAAATACTAGTACAAAACACCATGTAGCATTATTATGCAAATTGGAGTAAATAGCATATTAAATAACCCACAATATAGAATCAAGAATTTTCTGAGCCAGAGAATGTTACAAATTTATCTATATATAGAAACACTTTTTCTTTTATTTTTCTTTGGCTAGATTTAGCCTACGTATCACCACATATTGGGCTCAAATTTATGTGACAAACTTCTGCTTATTATTTTATAGTCTTTAACCCTTTAATAGTCTATGAAACACTTTTTGTAAGGTTGCTATGCTTTTGTAAAGAGAAGGAACTCTAAATTCCTAAAAAGAGTTTAGAAATTTCCTATCAGTGCATTCTACTCTTCCCTTCTGATTTTAATGTTCCTTTAAAAATAAGCTAATTAATGACTTGAGCAGGACACAGAGGATTTTGAACAGGTTGTACTTCCCTGTGACAGTATTTTAAATAATATGGAGCATCTTGCACTTGTTATAGAGCTATCAGGCTTGCAATTCTTTAGAGAAAAAATATATGAACAGGCTTTCCCAGAAGGACTGCCTAATGAAATAGACTATCTCTTTGTGAAACATGCATAGCTAACCAATTTAGCAGAACTTAATATAGTATAAATATTTTAAATATTGCATATCAATGTGTGTCTTCAAAAGTATATACAGCTGTATATATTATGTGTATGTGCTATTGTAAAAACGTGAAACAATAAATTAGTGAACTATCACTGATTGCACTGATAGTGAATGGTATATTATTTTGTCATTGAAGTGAGGCTGAGGGCAAAGAATAATTAGGTTGGCATGGTATTGCCTCCTGATTCAGGATTTGTAGGGTCCTTGGAGAACAATGGTAATAACCTTTCAGAAGTACTGATTACAAAGAGAGATGATCTGCATATTAACTACAGATTTTTACCCAAGAGGGTCTAGAAAATAACTAACAGTGTTAAAGAAACAAAGTGGAGGGAAGCCAAGAATGCTTTGAGGGTGGGGGAGTCGAGCAATTGTCTTTGAATATAATGATTAAGATGCACTTGGGTTTGAAGCAAGTTAGGTTGCTGACATTACAAGACAGAAACAATGTTAAAATCAATTATATCACTTCTCACTTAACAATTTAGTAGTTCTCTAAGTGGAAATGTGGGTTGTTAAAGGTGAGATTTTTATCAGTGTACGCTGTCACTGTACATTATTTATTACATACTTATGAAGACTAAGGGCTTATTTATGTTAAAATACAAGGACTCAGTTTTAGGAATAAAGCATAGTTTAAAAAGAAATATTTAATGTATTTATAATTTATGAGATAAGCACTTCATTTTTGAAACTTATGAAACTATGGAATATAAAAATATCAATATGAGAATGTCAGATTAGAAAATGATAGACATTTGTGAAAGATGATACATATACACTTAAAGTGATTGCATGTCACTTACATTTGTAAAAGCAAATGAACATGAGAAAAATTATCCTTACTATTTAATTTGATAATTGTTTTACATAGAATGTAATTATGCACCCAGAGTTTTATTATGGTACCAAAGATATGGAATATGTAAGATGGAACTAAGATATAGGATATCTAATATGGAATTAAGGTCTTTAAAGGTAGGATTAAATGATTAAGATCAGGGTTTTTTTTTTTTTTTTTGGATGGAATCTCACTCTCTCCCAGGCTGGAGTGCAGTGACGCGATCTCTGCTCATTGCAACCTCCGCCTCCTGGGTTCAAGCAATTCTTCTGCCTCAGCTTCCCGAGTAGCTGGGACTACAGGTGTGCGCCACCCTGTCCGGCTAATTTTTGTATTTTTAGTAGAGATGGGGTTTCACCATATTTGCCAGGCTGGTCTCGAACTCCTGACCTGGTGATCTGCCTGCCTTGGCCTCCTAGAGTGTTGGGATTACAGGCGTGAGCCACCGCGCCCAGCCAAGATCAGGTTTTATGCATAAAGTTGCCGTATCCTAACTTCCTAGATTAAATTTAACAAAATATATTTTCAATATATGTGAAGGTTTTTTAATACACCAATAAAGATATTTGTATTTTATAATGTAGAAAAAACACAACCGAAAATTTATATTAAATTAACAGATTTTTCTTTATTAAATATCATTTATTTAACAAACATTAACTTATCACTAAATGCTTTGACCAAAACAATTATACATTCAAGAAAAAGTAAGATTTAAATGTCTCATTCATGTTCTCTAGACTCTTGGGTTTCCAATAGGAGATGGGCAACCAACTAGTACAAAAATATTAAAAAAAAATTCAGCAGTAGAAGCATTTAATAAATTGAGGAAAACATAAAAAAATTACCTACTTCTGATGGACTAAATTACTAAATGTTTCACAAAGTGGATACTTGAAGGATGAGTACCTTTGATTTAAAGGTGGGGTTGGAGATGGGAATGGAACTGCACGTAGTAAAAGAGAAGATTTACAAAGATTATGAATATTTCTCATCCATATCAGGCACAATGCACCTCTTTTTAAATAATAAGTAATTTCAAAGACTTCCTTTGTTTTTCTGTATTAAATTAATAGATAATATAAACTTCCCCCCAAATTACAAAACAGAAATGATATACTGTCCTAAGAGGGGAAAAATAGCAAAATTAAAGAAAGTAATTTATAATAAAATAATACGCATCTTAGTAGTTACATCCTCAAGGCTTAACTACATTAACAGGCAATGAAGTGATTGTATGCATGGGCCAATATACAGGACCATTCATGATTCTGAGAGCTGCAAATGCAGACTGATAAAGGTGACTTGTAGTTATCATTCAGCTACCTGGGTTGATATTGTGTTAGACAATATGGACTTCCAGATGGAATAAAACCTTTATTAAGCTACGGAGAAACAAAGTAAAATTTTTTCTGAATTTACACTATAAATTTTTATGATGGGATATAAAAATTTAATACCAACCTTATATTTTATTCTCTCTTTACTGGTATATAACATTTTAAACAAAGAAAGGTGACCTAGATTAATTTATTACTAAATATACTAAAGACAGAAGTCCAGAAATACACATTTATTCACTAGCTGGGGAGTCTTCTTATGGACTACTTTTTTAACAGCTATCTTGTTTGTCTAAAATTGCTCATAAAAAGCAAACCTAGAATCTGCTGATTAAAATTTTATTGAATATACCACATTTTACTACTAAAAAAGTACTACTACTACTTAAAACCTATCCTAAAATTCCTAGGAAACTAATAGTCAAAACAAAATTGACAAAGATGATCAAATCTTTCTGATTTCAAAACATATTCCAAAGCTACAATAATTATAACTCTCTAGAATTAGCATATTAATAGACAATAAGATTATTAGAACAGAATAGAGAACACAGAAATAAACCCATACATGTACGATTAAATAATCTTTGACAAGGAGGCCAAGAATATACAATGGGGAAATGATAGTCTCTGCAACAAATGGTATTAGGAAAATTGGGTAGCCACATGTAAAATAATGGAATTTGACTCATATATCATATACAAAAATTATCAACAAGAAAACATTGAAGACTGAAATGTAAGACCTGAAACTATAAAAATCCTGAAAGAAAACAAACAAACAAACAAACAAACAAAAACCTTAATGGGATTGATCTGGCAATAATTTTTTGGATATAATACCAAAAGCATAGGCGTCAAAAGCAAAAATAGACAAGTAGGACTACATTAAATTAAAAACCTCTGCATAGCAAAAAACTTATCAAAATTAAAACTGTATGCAATGGGAGAATATACTTGCAAATTATATATCTAATAAGAATTAACATCCAAAATATAGAAGTCCTACAACTGAATACTAAAACCTGATTTTTTTAAATGAACAAAGGATTTAAATACATATTTCTTTAAAGAAGAAGATACAACTTGCCAAAATGTATATGAAAAGATGCTCAGTTCACTAATTATCAGTGAAATGCAAACCTAAACCACAATGAGATGTCAACTTATACTTGTCAGGATGACTATTACCAAAAAGTCAAAAGATAAGTGTTGGTGAGGATGTGGAGAAAGGGACCCCTAGTACATTGTTAGTGAGAATGTATATCAGTAGAGATATTATAGAAAATAGTATAGAAATTTCCTCAAAACATTAGAATTGAACTACCATATGATCCAACACCACCACTTCTGAGTACTGGGTATATATCTTAAGACATTTATATCAATGTGTGAAAGAAATATCTGCACTCTCATGTTCATTGCAACATTACTCACAATAACTAGGATGTGGAAGCAACTCTAGTGTTCACAAACATATGAACGGATAGAAAAAAATGTGGCATATACATGCATACAATGAAATATTATTTAGCCCTACAAAAGAGGAAAATTCTATCATATTTGGCAACAAGAAGAAACCTGAAAGACATTAGGCTAAGTTAAATACACCAATCACAGCAAGATAAATATTGCATGATTACACTTATAGGAGATACTGAAATAGTCAAAGTCATATAAGTAGGAAATAGAATGGTTGTTTCTGGGGACTAGGCAGCGAGAAATATGGGAAGTTCCTGTTTCATAGGTAGAAATTTTTAATTATGCAAGATGAATAAGTTCTAGGGATTTGCTCTACAGCATTGTGCCAATAGATGTCAATACCATATTGTACACTTAACATTTTGCTGTATAAAGTAGATCTCATGGGAATGCTTCCAGTTTTTGCCCATTCAGTATGATATTGGCTGTGGGTTTGTCATAGATAGCTCTTATTATTTTGAGATACGGCCCATCAATACCTAATTTATTGAGAGTTTTTAGCATGAAGGGTTGTTGAATTTTGTCAAAGGCCTTTTCTGCATCTATTGAGATAATCATGTGGTTTTTGTCTTTGGTTCTGTTTATATATTGGATTACATTTATTGATTTGCATATATTGAACCAGCCTTGCATCCCAGGGATGAAGCCTACTTGATCATGGGGGATAAGCTTTTTGATGTGCTGCTGGATTCGGTTTGCCAGTATTTTATTGAGGATTTTTGCATCAATGTTCATCATGGATATTGGTCTAAAATTCTCTTTTTTGGTTGTGTCTCTGCCCGGCTTTGGTATCAGAATGATGCTGGCCTCATAAAATGAGTTAGGGAGGATTCCCTCTTTTTCTATTGATTGGAATAATTTCAGAAGGAATGGTACCAGTTCCTCCTTGTACCTCTGGTAGAATTCAGCTGTGAATCCATCTGGTCCTGGACTCTTTTTGGTTGGTAAGCTGTTGATTATTGCCACAATTTCAGATCCTGTTATTGGTCTATTCAGAGATTCATCTTCTTCCTGGTTTAGTCCTGGGAGGGTGTATGTGTCGAGGAATTTATCCATTTCTTCTAGATTTTCTAGCTTATTTGCATAGAGGTGTTTGTAGTATTCTCTGATGGTAGTTTATATTTCTTTGGGATCGGTGGTGATATCCCCTTTATCATTTTTTATTGCGTCTATTTGATTCTTCTCTCTTTTCTTCTTTATTAGTCTTGCTAGTGGTCTATCGATTTTGTTGATCCTTTCAAAAAACCAGCTCCTGGATTCATTAATTTTTTGAAGGGTTTTTTGTGTTTCTATTTCCTTCAGTTCTGCTGTGATTTTAGTTATTTCTTGCTTTCTGCTAGCTTTTGAGTGTGTTTGCTCTTGCTTTTCTGGTTCTTTTAATTGTGATGTTAAGGTGTCAATTTTGGATCTTTCCTGCTTTCTCTTGTGGGCATTTAGTGCTATAAATTTCCCTCTACACACTGCTTTGAATGTGTCCCAGAGATTCTGGTATGGTGTGTCTTTGTTCTCATTGGTTTCAAAGAACATCTTTATTTCTGCCTTCATTTCGTTATGTACCCAGTAGTCATTCAGGAGCAGATTGTTGAGTTTCCATTTACTTGAGTGGTTTTGAGTGAGTTTCTTAATCCTGAGTTCTAGTTTGATTGCACTGTGGTCTGAGAGACAGTTTGTTATAATTTCTGTTCTTTTACATTTGCTGAGGAGAGCTTTACTTCCAACTATGTGATCAATTTTGGAATAGGTGTGGTGTGGTGCTGAAAAAAAATGTATATTCTGTTGATTTGGGGTGGAGAGTTCTGTAGATGTCTATTAGGTCCACTTGGTGCAGAGCTGAGTTCAATTCCTGGGTATCCTTGTTAACTTTCTGTCTCGTTGATCTGTCTAATGTTGACAGTGGGGTGTTAAAGTCTCCCATTATTATTGTGTGGGAGTCTAAGTCTCTTTGTAGGTCACTCAGGACTTGCTTTATGAATCTGGGTGCTCCTGTATTGCCACAAGACAGGGCTGCCCTCTCTCACCACTCCTATTCAACATAGTGTTGGAAGTTCTGGCCAGGGCAATTAGGCAGGAGAAGGAAATACAGGGTATTCAATTAGGAAAAGAGGAAGTCAAATTGTCCCTGTTTGTAGATGACATGATTGCATATCTAGAAAACCCCATTGTCTCAGGCCAAAATCTCCTTAAGCTGATAAGCAACTTCAGCAAAGTCTCAGGATACAAAATCTATGTACAAAAAGCACAAGCATTCTTATACACCAACAACAGACAAACAGAGATCCAAATCATGAGTGAACTCCCATTCAAAATTGCTTCAAAGAGAATAAAATACCTAGGAATCCAACTTACAAGGGACGTGAAGAACCTCTTCAAGGAGAACTACAAACCACTGCTCAATGAAATAAAAGAGGATACAGACAAATGGAAGAACATTCCATGTTCATGGGTAGGAAGAATCAATATCGTGAAAATGGCCACACTGCCCAAGGTAATTTATAGATTCAATGCCATCCCCATCAAGCTACCAATGACTTTCTTCACAGAATTGGAAAAAACTACTTTAAAGTTCATATGAAACCAAAAAAGAGCCCGCATTGCCAAGTCAATCCTAAGCCAAAAGAGCAAAGCTGGAGGCATCATGCTACCTGACTTCAAACTATACTACAAGGCTACAGTAACCAAAACAGCATGGTACTGGTACCAAAACAGAGATATAGATCAATGGAACAGAACAGAGCCCTCAGAAATAATGCCGCATATCTACAACTATCTGATCTTTGACAAACCTGAGAAAAACAAGCAATGGGGAAAGGATTCCATATTTAATAAATGGTGCTGGGAAAACTGGCTAGCCATATGTAGAAAGCTGAAACTGGATCCCTTCCTTACACCTTATACAAAAATTAATTCAAGATGGATTAAAGACTTAAACGTTCGACCTAAAACCATAAAAACCCTAGAAGAAAACCTAGGCATTACCGTTCAGGACATAGGCATGGGCAAGGACTTCATGTCTAAAACACCAAAAGCAATGGCAACAAAAGCCAAAATTGACAAATGGGATCTATTTAACTAAAGAGCTTCTGCACAGCAAAAGAAACTATCATCAGAGTGAACAGGCAACCTACAAAATGGGAGAAAATTTTCACCACCTACTCATCTGACAAAGGGCTAATATCCAGAATCTACAATGAACTCAAACAAATTTACAAGAAAAAAACAAACAACCCCATCAAAAAGTGGGCGAAGGATATGAACAGACACTTCTCGAAAGAAGACATTTATGCAGCCAAAAAACATATGAAAAAATGCTCATCATCACTGGCCATCAGAGAAATGCAAATCAAAACCACAATGAGATACCATCTCACACCAGTTAGAATGGCAATCATTAAAAAGTCTGGAAACACCAGGTTCTGGAGAGGATGTGGAGAAATAGGAACACTTTTACACTGTTGGTGGGACTGTAAACTAGTTCAACCATTGTGGAAGTCAGTGTGGCGATTCCTCAGGGATCTAGAACTAGAAATAGCACTTGACCCAGCCATCCCATTACTGGGTATATACCCAGAGGATTATGAATCATGCTGCTATAAAGACACAAGCACACGTATGTTTATTGTGGCACTATTCACAATAGCAAAGACTTGGAACCAACCCAAATGTCCAACAATGATAGACTGGATTAAGAAAATGTGGCACATATACACCATGGAATACCATGCAGCCATAAAAAATGATGAGTTCATGTCCTTTGTAGGGACATGGATGAAATTGGAAATCATCATTCTCAGTAAACTATCACAAGAACAAAAAACCAAACACCGCATATTCTCACTCATAGGTGGGAATTGAACAATGAGAACACATGGACACAGGAAGGGGAACATCACCCTCTGGGTACTGTTGTGGGGTTGGGGGAGGGGGGAGGGATAGCTTTAGGAGATATACCTAATGCTAAATGACGAGTTAATGGGTGCAGCACACCAGCATGTCACATGGATACATATGTTAACTAACCTGTACATTGTGCATATGTTCCCTAAAACTTAAAGTATAATAATAATAAAATAAAATAGAAAAAGAAAGTAGATCTCATGTTCTTACCAAAATAAAAATAATTGAACTGTAGTATATTCATTGACTATATCACATTTTATTTATCTGTTTACCAGCTGATGAACTTTTTAGTTCTTTCTGGTTTGGGAACAACACTATGAATAATGATGTTATAATTATGAATGTATAATTCTTTGTGTGGACATATTTTACCATCACTGTTGGGCAGATATCTAGGATTAAATTACTAAGAAACATGGTAAATATATGTTTATCTTTTTATGATACTTACTGTTTTTACTTTGTCATCAGCAATGTAAGATAGTGCCTTAGTCCATTTGGGCTCCAATAACAAAATACCTTAGACTGAGTAATTTAACAACAGAAGTTGATTGCCTACAGCTTTGGAGACTGAGAAGTCTGAGATCAAGGCATAAGCAGATCTAATTCCTGTTAAGAGCTCGCCCTCTACTTCATACATATTATGTTGTTGCTACATCCTCACATGGTGGAAGAGGCAAGGAGGCTCACTTGAATCTCTTTTATCAGGTTACTTATTATAATCATGAAGGTGGAGACCTCATGACTTAATCACTTTCTAAAGGCCCCACCTGTTAATACTGTTACATTGGGTATTGGGTTATAAAATATGAATTTTATGGGTGACACCAAGATTTAGATCATAACAGATGGTTTTAGCTCCTCCATGTATTCTGCAACACTTGATACTGTCTTTTTTATTATTATTCTAGCATTTGCAAAGTAGTATCTTACTGTAATCTCCCTGTTAACTAACAATATTGTATTTCTCATGACTAATGAATTGCACTTGATTACACGTGCTTATTTAACATTTGGATATGTCCTTTGGGGGAATATACATTCAAATCTTTAGCCTAGTTTTAATTGGGTTACTCATCTTGTTATCATTGAGTTGTAAGAATTCTTTTTATGTTCTTGATGCAATTACTTTATAAGATACGTGATTTGTAAATATTTTCTCTTACTGTGTAGTTTGCGTTTTCCCATTGTATTGATTCCTTTTAAAGTATAAGTTTTTGTAATTTTAATGAAGACCAATTTTATGATATTTCTTTAATGGTCTGTGATGTTTGTGTCCCAAGAAATCTTTGCCTAACTTAAGATCAGAAAAAATATTATTTAAGATTTCTTCTAAATAAATTTATAGCTTTATTACTTAGGTTTGGGTCTGTGATTCATTTTTTTTATTATACTTTAAGTTCTGGGATACATGTGCAGAACGTGCAGGTTTGTTACATAGGTATACACGTGCCATAGTGGTTTGCTGCACCCATCAATCTGTAAATAATTTCAGAGTAATGTTTATATGAACATTGGGTCTTCTCATCTTTAAACATTGAATATGTCTGCATTTAATTAGATCTTTACTATCTCTCAGCAATGTGTTATAGTTTGCAATGTACAAACTTTGCACTTTGTTTGTTGAACGTATACTTAAATATTTGTCTTATGCTATTGTATGATTGCTTTTTAAGCTAATTTTCTCTGCTTACTGGCACATAAAAATAAAATATATTTTTGTATACTGATCTCTCATCCTGTACAATTATTAATTATAGTTGTTTTCTTGTGTATTTGTTGCAATTTTTAACGTGTGGAATAGTGATATTGGTAAATGCAATTTTTCTTCTTTCTTTCCAATTCTAAAGCTGTGGATATGATTATTTTTCTTGTTTATTACACTTGCTAGTTTTGAAAGATTTTTTGTCTTTCATCATTAATTAAAATTTAACATTAGGCTTATTCAAGTTGAAGAAGCTTCTTTCTGTTAACAGTTTCTGAGAATCTGAACTACAAATGGATGTTGGGTTTTTTCAGATGCTTTCTTGTTGCATCAGTTGACACAATTGTGCTAATTTTGTCTTTGTTCTATTAATATGGGTTATCGCATTAATATATTTTAGATAGCAAGAAAGTGATGTATTCTTGGGATAAATCTCACTTGCTTTACACGTATAATAATTTTTATATATTGGTAAACTTAGGTTGCTACTATTTTGTTGATAGTTTTATATTTATATTTATGATGAATATTGTCTATTATCTCTTTTCTTGTGATGTCTTTCCCTAGCTTCGGCATAGTGCTATTACTGGTCTCATAAGATGAGTGGGTATGTATTCCCTTTTCTTTGGTTTTCCAGAATAGTTTGTGAAAGAATAATAATATTTCTTCTTAGAATGTCTAATACAATAAAACCATAAAGCAACTTGGTCCTGAATTTTCTTTGTTGGAACACATTAAACTACCAACTTAATTTCCTTACTTGTCATCAGCCAATTCAATTTTCTGTTTTTTCTTGAGTCAGTTTCAATTTTTGTCTTTTCAATTATTTTTCTTTGATTTAGATTTTGCAATTTTTTATATAAAGTTGTTTATAGTATTTCCTTATCATCTTAAATTTCTGTGAGGTCAGTAGTGACATTACTTTTTTTGCTGATTTTAATAAATTGTGTCTTTTTATTTTTTTCTTGGTCAGTCTAGCTAATTTAACAATTTCGTTGATCTTTCCAAAAATCAAGTTTGGTTTTATGGACTTTATTGCACTATTGGTTCTAATTTTGAGATTTAGTTCATTTTTTCTCACTTTTTAAAGTGAAAGCTTAGGTTTTGGATTCAAGGCCTTTTAAATTTTTCACTAAATGTGCTTTTACTTTTAAATATTTTATATGTACTATGTTAGCTTCTCTTGTGAATGTTAATATTTTATTTTTATTTTCATTCAGTCCATAATATTTTCTAATCTCACTTGTGATTTCTTTTTTGGATTATTTAGACATTTAATTTTCTAAATATTTATAGATTTACTTCTGCTTTCATTTCTTATTGGTTCCTAATTTAGTTCTTTAGATATTAAATTGATTCCTAATTGTTTATATAAATTAAATTCTTTTAAAATTTTGGCCTACAGCATGATATACCTGGAAAATGTTTCAAGTATAAGTGAAAAGCATGTCCATTTTGCAGTTGGTTGAAATGTTCTATAAGTGTCAGTAGGTCACCTTTCTTGATAGATTTGTTTAAGTCTTCTGTGTCATTCCTGACTTCCTATCTAGTTATATGTGCTGATGTAAATGGAGGTTTCTATTACCTTAATATTTTAATTGAACTAATTATTTCTCTTATTCATTCTGTCGGATTTTTTTCTCACATATTTTTGGGTTTATCGTATTTTAAACATTTGCTTGATTTTTAGAGCAGTTTTAAGTTCCCAACAAAACTGAGCAGAAAGTACAGATAATTCCCATATATTCTCTGCCTCCGTACATACATTGCCTCTCCCATTAACAACATCCCCCACCAGAGTATACATTTGTACAATTCATGAACCTACATTGACATGTCATCACACAAAGACCATAGTTTACATTAGAGTTCATTTTGGTGTTGTATATTGTATGTTATATATACTTATTTAAACAAGTGTATAATGATATGTATCCACCATTACAAGACTATACAGAATAATTATTACTGCACTGAAAATCCTCTATGCTCTGCCTATTAATTTATCTCTTCCCCATTACCTGGCAAACACTAATCTTTTTACTGTCTCCATAGTTTTGCATTTTCCAGGCTGTTGTATTGTTAGAATCATACAGTATGCAACCTTTTCAGGTTGGCTTCTTTCACTTAGTAATATGCATTTAGGTTTCTTCTATGTCTTTTCGTGGTTTGTTAGCTTATTTCCTTTAATGTTGAGTACTAGTCCATTGTCTGAAATACTATTGTTCTTTTAACCTAGTTATTCATCTTTTATCATACTACAGGACAATAAGTTATTCATTATTTAATGGTTCATTCATCCTTTAACCTAGTAAATGACATCTTGGTTGTCTAATGCTTCTTCACAGCAAAAGAAATAATCAACAGAGTGAACAATCTTCAGAATGAGAGAAAATAATTGCAAAATATGTGTATGACAGGGGAAAAATATCCAGAATTTACAAGAGTCTTAAACAATTCAACAACAAGCACAAACACAAACAAATTTAAAAAAACCATTAAATAGTGGGCAAATGACATGAATAAAGAACTTTCAAAAGAAGATATGCAAATAGCCAACAGGCATATGAAAAATGCTCAACATCAGTAACCATAAGAGAAATACAAATTAAAACAACAGTAAGATATCATCTCATACCAGTCAGAATAGCCATTATTGAAATGTTAACAAACAAACAAACAAAACCAAAAAGATATTGGTCAGGATTCAGAAAAATGGGAACTCTTAAACACTCACTGTTGGTGGGAATGTAAATTAGTACAACCTCTATGGAAAATAGCATGGGATTTCTCAAAGATATGGTTCTAAAAATAGAACCATTACTTGATCCAGCCATACCACTACTGGATATCTACCCAAAGAAAGATAAATCATTATATAAAAAAGATTCCTGTACTCATATGTTTACTGTAGCACTATTCACAATAGTAAAGGTATAATTAACCTATGTGGTCATCGATGGATAATTAGATAAAAGAATATGGTATATATATATGCAATGGGATACTATTCAGTCACAGAAAATAATTAAATCATGTCTTCTGCAGTAACATAGATGAAACCTGAGGCCATTATTGTAAGTGAAACAACTCTGATTCAGAAAGTCAAATACTGCATGTTCTCACTTATTGGTGGGAACTAATATAAGGTGAGAACTATGGACATAGAATGTGGAATAATAAATACTGGAAAATCAAAATTGTGGGAGAACGAGAGGGAGTGGTACAGTGTACATTATTTAGGTGATAATTACACTAACAGTCCAGACTTCACCAAAACTCAGTATATTAATGTAACAAAAGTGCACTTGCACCTCTTAAATTTATATAATTTTTTTAAAAAACAAGTTTTTGCAATTATGAGTAAATTGTAAACAATTTTTACAACTATGTAAGGCTGCTATAAATATCTTCATGCAAGTTTTTGTGTAGACATATGTTTTAAATCCTTTGAGTAAACACCAAAAAGCAGGTTTGCTGAATGATATAAGAATATGTTTAGCTTTGTAAGGAAGCATAAAACTGTCTTCCAACATGACTATATCATTTTGCATTCTCTTCAGCAATGAATGAGAAAGTTTCTGCTGCTTTAAATCCTCACCACCATTTGGTGTTGTCAGTATTCTGGATTTTGGTCATTCTAACTTATATGTAATGGTATCTCATTGTTCTAATTTCCATTTTCTTGATGACCTATGAACATCTGTTCCAATGATTATTTATCATCTGTGTATTTTCTCTGGTGAGCTCTCTGTTAAGGACCTTGGCCCACTTTTAAATTTTTTCTTTTCCAAAATGGTAGATTAGAAGCATTGCTGGCACACCTCTCCAACTTGGAAGAACAAAATAGTTGTGTAGAGATTAACACCGTGAACCTTTTTTTTTCCAAGAAGCTATGCAGGAACTGAACAGGAAAACCAAAAGAATATACAGACACTTTGAAGGAAGCAGGAAGCTGCATGCTACATAGTAGGTCAGGCTGAGAGTCCCAGAATGTGAGGAGGGGAAAGACTGCCACCAACATATGCATGCCCACGGGGGACCCTAAAAGTCCAGGCCACAGGGAAAAGCCTCAACCCTACGCACTGCAGGAACTGACTTAGGGAGTTTCGTGGAATATAATAGTAGAAGCAGCAGCAAGAAGATACTTGCATGCACTCCTAGATCCCTGGGCAGACTGAGATCAGCCATTCCTTGCTGTTCCTCACAGGGTACATTTTGGAAGACAGCAAAAAAATTCAGGCAGTGGTCACAGATTGAAAAAAGTCCCCAACTGGGTCTCACATTATAACCACAAGTGGAGACAAATTCCCCTGGCCTGTGCTGGAGTGGGGGTAAGTAAAACGTGGGCTGCAGCTGTGAGTGCAGGAGCTACCACTGCAGGAAAATTAACTCTAGTAATATGACAAAATAGGGTTCTATAACACCTCCAAAAGATCACACTAGGTTTCCAGCAATTAATCTAAACGAAGATAAAATATTTGAAATACCAGATAAGGAATTCAGAGGTTGATTATAAAGCTACTCCAGCAGACATCAGTGAAAGGTGAAAACCATTATAAATCAAAAGAGTAGTTCAGGATACGAATGACAAAATTTCTAGAGAGATCGATATCATCAGGAAAAAACAATCAGAACTTATTGAAATAAAAGACAGAAGGAATTACAAAATGCAGTGGAAAGTTTTAATAATAGTCTAGAAAAATAGAAGAAATAATTTCAGAGCTTGAAGACAAGGTGTTTTTTTTTTAATTAACCCAATCACACAAAAATAAAGAAAAAAGAATCAAAAGAAATAAACAAAGTCTTCAAGAAATGTGGGATTATGTAAAATGGCTAAACCTAAGAAGGGTGTTCCTGAGCAAGGAGAGAAAATAATAAGTCTGGAAAACTTATCTGAGAGATGGTTGAGGAAAACATTCTAAGAGCAGTAAGACAAAGGCATCAGGTAACCTAAAAAGGAAAACCTATCAGAATAACGGCAGACTTCTCGGCAGAAACTTCACAAGCCAAGAGCTACATAATTGAGAGAGAAATAAAGTCATTTTCTTTCAGACAAATAAATGCTGAGGGAACTTGTCCCTATGAAACCAGCACTACAAGAAATGCTAAAAGGAATTCTAAACCTTGAACAAAAGCTTAATATGCACCAAAGTATAACCATTGAAATCTTAAAACTCTTAAGGCCTATAAAACAATAACACAATGGAAAAAACCTATCTAGTTAACAATTAACATAGTGAAGAGAATAGTACCTTACTTCTCAATATTATCACTGAACTAGGGACATTTCAACCAACACCATGGAAATATAATAGATTATTTTAAACTTCCATGAACACCTTTATGGGCAAAAACTAGAAAACATAGAGGAAATAGATAAATTCTTGGAAACATACAACCCTCCTAGATTAAATCAGAAAAAAATAGAAATTTTGAACAGACCAATAACAAGCAGTGAGATTGAATCAGTAATTTTAAAATATCCAATGAAAAAAAGCCCAGGACCATGTGGATTCAGAGCTGAATTCTACCAGTCATTCAAAGAAGAACTGGAACCAATCCTACTGAAACTATTCCAAAAGACTGAGAGAGGGAGTCCTCACTAAATCATTCTATGAAGACAGTATCACCCTGAAACCAAAACCAGGAGAGGATACAAAAACAAAAACAAAACTACAAACCAATTCCCCTGATGAACATAGATGCGAAACTTGTCAACAACATACTAGCTAACCAAATCCAACAGCACATCAAAAAGATAATTCACCGTGATTAAATGGGTTTTATTCCAGGGATGCAGGGATGGTTTAATGTATGCAAGTCAACAAATGTAATACATCACATAAACAGAATTAAAAACAAAAACCATATGATCATCTCAATAGAGGCAAAAAGAAGCATTTGACAAAATCAAGCATCCCTTCATGATAAAAATTCTCAACAAACTAGGCATAGAAAGGACCTACCTCAAAATAATAAAAGCCATATATGATAAACCCACAGCCAATATCACACTGAATGGGGAAAAGTAGAAAGTATTCTCCCAGATAACAGGAACAAAACAAAGGTGCCCACTTTCACCACTCCTATTCAACATAGTTCTAGAAGTCCTAGCCAGAGCAATTAGGCACGTGAAAGAAATAAAGGGCATCCAAGTTGGAAAAGAGGAAGTCAGACTATTGTTGTTTGCAGATGATACGACTGTATACCCTGAAAATCCTAATGATTCCTCCAGAAAACTCCTAGCTTTGATAAATGAATTGAGTAAAGTCTCAGGCTAGAAAATTAATGTATACAAATCAGTACTTCTATTCCCCAACAATGACCAAGTTGAGAATCAAATCAGTAACTCATTCTCATTCACAATAGCCACAAAAAGAATAAAATACTTAGGAATATACTTAACCAAGGAGGTGAAGATCTCTACAGAGAGAACTGTAAAGCACTGCTGAAATAAATCAGAGATGACACAAACAAATGGAAATGCATCTCATGCTCATGGATGGGTAAAATCAGTGTTGTGTAAATGACCATTACACCCAAAGAAATCTACAGATTCAATGCAGCTCCCATCAAATAACATAATTTTTCACAAAATTAGAAAAAAAATCCTAAAATTATCTGGAACCAAAAAAGAGCTTGCATAGCCAAAGCAATTCTAAGCAAAAAGAACAAATCTGGAAGCATCACATTACTGGACTTCAAATGATACTATAAGGTTATAGTTACCAAAATAGCCTTGTACTGGTATAAAAATAGGCACGTGCACAAGTGGAACAGAATAGAGAGCCCAGAAATAAAGCCAAATATGTATAGCCAACTAATCTTTGACAAAGCATACAAAAACATAAATTGGGGAATGGACACCCTATTTAATAAATGGTGCTGGGAAAACTGGCAAGCCACATGTAGAAGAATGAAACTGGATCCTTATTTCTCATCTTATACAAAGTCAACTCAAGATGGATCAAAGACTTTTATATAAGTCCTAAAACTTTAAAAATTCTAGAAGACAGTGTTGGAGAACCTCTTTTAGACATTGGCTTAGGCAAAGAATTTAATAGATGGGACCTAATTAAACATAAAAGCTTGTGCATGGGAAAAGAAATAATCAGCAGAATAAACAGATAATTTTCAGAATGGGGAAAGTATTTGCCACCTATACATCTGACAAAAGACTAGTATCCAGAATCTACAAGGAACTCAAACAAACCAGCAAGAAAAAGCCCAAATAATCCCATTAAAAATTTGTCAAAGAACACAAATAGACATTTCTTAAGAGAAGATATACAAATGGCCAACAAATACAGGAAAAAAATGCTCAGCATCATTAATCATCAAGGAAATGCTAATTAAAACCACAATGAAATAACACGATATTCCTGCAAGAATGACCATTATTAACAAGTCAAGAAACAATAGATGTTGGTGCAGATGTGGGGAAAAGAGAACGCTTATACACTGCTGGGGGTGAATGTAAATCAGTACAGCTTCTATGGAAAATAGTATGGAGATTCCTTAAAGGGCTAAAAGTAGATTGCCATTCAGTCCAGCAATCCCACTCCTGGGTATCTATGCAAAAGATAAAAAAGTCAATATATATATATATATATATATATATATAAACTTGCATATATTTTTATAGCAGCACAATTGACAATTGCAAAGGTGTGGAACCAAGCTTAGCACCCATTGACTAACGAAAGGATAAAGAAAATATGGTATGTGTATATCTCTATATAAATACCTGTATATCTCTCTATATATATATCTATATATAGCTCCCTCTATATATCTATATATATCTCTATATAGCTCCCTCTATATATCTATATATATCTCTATATAGCTCCCTCTATATATATATCTCTATTTATATCTCTATATATATCTCTCTATATATACATATACATACACACACACATACACACCATGGAATACTATTCAGCCATTAAAAGGAATGAAATAATGTATTTTGCAGCAACTTGAATAAAGCTGGAGGCCATTGTTCTAAGTGAAATAACATAGGAATGGAATATCAAAAACCTTATCTTCTCACATGTAACTGGGAGCTAAGCTATGAGTACACAAAGGTATCCAAAGTGATATAATAAGCTTTACAGACTCCCAAGGGGAAGGTTGAGAGAGGGGTGAGGGACAAGAAACTATACATTAGGCACAGCAAACACTACTTGGGTGATGGGTGCACAAAAAATCTCAGAATTCACCACTATACAATTCATCCATGTCACAAAAACTACTTGTATCCCAAAAGCTATTGAAATAAATTTTTAAAAAATAAAAAAGTATAAATAAATTGCATTTTTTGTTTTCTTATTGTTGAGTTTTAAGGGTTCTTTGTGTATTTTGAATGAAAGTCTTTTATTAGGTATGTTTTGTGCAAATATTATCGCAGTCTGTTTCTTGTTTTTTTTTTTTAATTCTTTTGACAGTGCCTTTTATAGAGAAGAAAATTATAATTTTAATAAAATCCAGCTTCTGTATTATTTCTTTCATAGATTATACCTTTGATGTATCTTAAAAAGTCATCACCAAACCCATGGTCATCTATAATTTCTCCTATGTTATCTACTAGTAATTTTATAGGTATACACTTAGTTTTAAACATTTTTTATTATTATTTGTTTGTTTTTTAACTAAGACTGTCTTTCTAGCTACCATTTCTAGGTCAGCATAGCTTAGTCATCAGCCAGGATTGCCCAGAAGTTGTGTTTACCTTGAGCCAGTAAGGGTTCTTCCCTGTGCTACTATACTTTTTGAAGGACGGTGATTTATTCACAATTTGGTAACTTAAAATTTTCTCTTGTCTTTCACTGTCTCTGTGTATAAGCTTTCGTGTTCAGCCAAAAACTATAGACAGAGTGTTTTCTTTGGTGACTCATGAACTTACTATGTGTCCTTCTACATTTGCACAGTTTCCCAGACTAACAGAGATATATGGAGGTTTGTTAAGGTCCACTATAGTTTTCAAACTTCTTAGATCTTCCTGTGAAATTTTTGGCCAGCATCTTACAGTCCCTACTAAATATTGAAAATTAAATAAATTGCAATGTTGGCTCTTCCCTGATTATTTGATATCACATATCTGATGCCTGGATAGGAGAGACAAGACCAGCTTGGGGGCTGGAATAGCTGTGTGTCCTTTGGCGTCTTTCATTGCCTCTCTATTGTCTTTCCACCTAATCTTTCCTGCTGGGCATATTCAGGATAACTGGACTTCTCAGATGTTGGCTTTGAGCTTTCAGGGCATGAGGTACATTAAGAGAAGCCAGGTGGAAGCTTTTACAAATTAAATGTAACAGAGTTTATTGTTTTTTTCATTATAATCTATACTCGAATATTATAAAGTGCCACATCTACCATATTCTATTTATTAAGATAGCCACCCCGGGTGTGGTGGCTCACGCCTCTAATCCCCGCACTTTTGGAGACTGAGGTGGGTGGATAGCTTGTGCCTAGAGTTTGAGACCAGCCTGGGCAAGATAGTGAGACACCGTCTTTACAAATAATATAAAAATTAGCCACGCGTGGTGGCATCCCCCTGCAGTCCCAGCTACTTGGGAGGCTGAGGTCTGAGGAATCGCTTTTGCCTGGAGAGGTAGAGGCTGCAGTGAGCCACGTTCATGCCACTGCACTCCAGTCTGAGTGACAGAGTGAGACGCTGTCTGAAAAAAAAGAAAAAAAAAGTCACAAAACTCCACCCAGATTAAAGGAGAGGAGATGTAAAACCCACATTTTAGTGAGGGAGCAGCAAGATTCTACAACGCCATGTAGGAACATAAGTATTGCTTTGGGGAAAAATAGTACTGAGATGTCAATAACAGTGGCCCTAACTTTATATAAATGTTGCTGCTCCAAGATGTACCAGTTTCTTGGTTCTGGGATCCAGAAGCAAGCAATTAATTAAAAAATTCGTACCAGGCTGATGATATGTATTGTTATGGGCTTTTATAAGTTCCTTTCACTAAATGGATTTTAAAGAGTGTCCAAAAATAGGAACAGACCTAAAACAGAACTCTTGTTAAACATTATCGAAGACAAGTGGAAACAATACACCATCATGGAATGATAAATACACAAAAATTAAGCCCTTATAAAATGACCATACAAAAGGAAAAACAAAATGAAAATTAGAAAAAGTGATTTAAATTATGCAGCAAAAACAGGAGAACAAAATAGTGAAAACAAAAAAACAAAGATATTTAAGTACGATTAAAATAGAATCCTAGTAATGAAAACAAATTTTTATTGAAATTAAAAGCACTAGT
The DNA here is from genome assembly GCF_000001405.40 of Homo sapiens. Taxonomy (NCBI): domain Eukaryota; kingdom Metazoa; phylum Chordata; class Mammalia; order Primates; family Hominidae; genus Homo; species Homo sapiens. The sequence goes on along the minus strand of NC_000001.11, from coordinate 104,806,313 downwards.
AAGATGTTAATAATAAAAGAAACTGTGGGTCAAAGGAAGGTATTTAAGGGACTCTCAATACTTTCTACCTAACTTTTATGTAAATCTAAAACCACCTAAAAATAAAGTCTATCATAAAATAAGTAATATTAATAAAATGTCAATGGAAATTAGCTTAAGAAGGAATTTAACTGGAAGATTGGCTTGCATTAATGAGATAAAAATCTAATTGATGGAAAGCATGAAGGTGATGTTAAGAAAATAATCAGAAGGTAATGAAAACATTAAGCATATATATGAAAGCCTTCCAGAAAGATATAATAGAGTAAAATATAGAGAGCTAAAAATAAAGGTTAAATGGTGAGAAGTTTTTATTTAAACAATATAAATTTATAATGATGGGGGAATCTCCAAAGGATGAATAAAGCTAAATAAAAACCTAGACATATTGTGTTGAAACTACAGAAAAATACGACACAGAAAAAAGAGACTAATTAAAAAGAAGCACATAGAAAAGTGAAATATTACTTAGAGAACACATAGAAAATGGAAATATTACTTTCAGAACATACAAATACAAAGGCTTCTCAAAAACAGTAAATATAACAGGCTTGGCTTGATTTATAAAAAAACAAAAAATACAAAACAAAACAGACAAGCAATCTCATATGGATGTATTATTTTAAAATATAAATTATGTAATAAAGAAATAATAAACATTGAATGAGAAACTAAGACAGCAGCAAAAGAACAAACTAGCGCTTGCCTCATACTTCAACTCTGCAGTATTAACTATGTTGAACTAAAAAGAACATAGTAATCCTGGTTCTACCTTTTTAAGTTTCTAGACTTTTATTTTCCATATCTGATAAAAAATACAGTTGAAACAAATATATGTTTTGGAAATATTGTTTCTATTAACAGTTGTAACTGGGGGGCTCTTCTTTTTACTGAGCTAATTGGCCCAATATGGTATGCATTTTTTCCCACTATGTACAGAAGTTGAGGATACCTCATTAGAATGATGTTACTCATTTTTATATAGAATGATTGCCATTCAGATTTGTTACATTTTTGTTAAACTCACTTGGTATTGATTGTGTAGGCTATAGGATGTGTTAAAAGAAGATGAAACATAAAAGATACGAAATAAAATGGTTTTAGTTGTTAATACTATTAATACTGATAAAATATTTTTAGTTATTAAATAACCCTTCAAAAATAATATAACAGGTAATTATATAGTCAACACTCAAATTTAACAGATATTAAAATATTGTCATATTTGTTTTTAAAAAATAAAATGTTGAAATCAGAGCTAAGGCTACCTTACTTCTCCTGTTTATATGGATACCTGTTACATTATTTCCTGAATGGTGAAAGTATGTAGTTATTAATGATTCTATTTTATTAAGAAAATAGCTACACTAGACCACTTTGTAAACATGTGGATGTGATATAACAGCAATGAGATACTTGATGGAGTGTCTGTATAAAATATTTTTAATAGAACATATTTAATTGATTTTGGTTATTTATTGTAAATAAACCTGGAATGTAGATTCATGTGATGCAGCTGTTTGGAAATTCAGTGTGTCAACTAAGAAACCCCAATATTAATATATCCTCTAATCTATCTTATGTCAGACAGTTATGTCATTGATTCTGTTATAAAGAACAACTTTGACAAATTAAATGTAATAGAGTTTATTTGAGCAAAGAATGGTTTATGAAACAGGCAGCACTCAGAAACAGAAGTCGTTCAGAGGGATCTACACAGCCATTGAGCCTGGAGCTTTAATAGGCCTCATAGGGAAGCAAACAGAGGTATCATTTAATTGGCTACAGATAGACACTTGCCTTGTTCGAACATGATGCGATGAGGCATTTGCCTTCTTTGGGCATGGTCTGATAAGTTGGATGCTCAACTGTTTTCAATTGGCTGAAAGTCAGCTGTTACAAAAATATACTCCTACATTAGGTTTTTGTTTGTTTATATATTAACTTAGGTTTCAGTTTGATAGAGAGGAACTTAAAGTACTGAGATAGCTTCAGGCTTATGGCCTCCTGCTTATTTAATTTAGAAACTCCAAAATCAAAATGTATACCAATACAGAGAAAGAGTATTCTGGAGGCTGCATCTGACAATTCAGAGTCTTCCAGAAACAGATTGTGATATATCTGTGCTTTCTTTTTACTGGCATTCTTCATTATTCATTAGTAAAGTTTGTTTTGGGTAAGATCTATGATTCATGTTGAGTCTGCTCTGATAATTCAGCCTTCTGTGATACTGCAATATACAAGCAGCAGCCACCAGCATGTGGATTTTGATGAAACAGATCCTATCCATGATAACAACAATAAAAACCGTAAATATTTGGAAAAGATTTTAATATAAAATATATAATACTCAAATAATCAACCTATGAATATTTCCTGACAAACGTAAAAGTCTTGAATAAAAAGTGAGATAAAGAGATTTTTAGAATGAGAAGATTGAATATTATAAAGACGTCATCTCATGGTAAATTATTTAGAGATTAATGCAATTCTAATAAAACTCCATGCTGGATATTAATTTTAACCTGAAACAACTATCAGTGAATGCAAATAGAAAACACAATAGAGAAAGACAGCAAAGACATCTTTAAAAAATAATTTTTTACTATTTCCTACCAAACTGTCAAAACTTGGCAGGACATTGGCCATTCTGGCTGTATCTAGCTTACATTTTTAATACAATGTCCAAAAAAATATACAGTCTAAGGAGTTATTAAGGAAAGACACTGTCAGTAGCCAGACTAAAGTAAAATTGTGAAGTATAGGTTTAAAATTGAAAAACACACAAAATAAGGATTTTTGTGAAAATAATATCAACTTTTTTTCACACTACTTTACCTAGAATTTACTGTCAGAGTGTTGGCAGTGTACCTTAGAATGAGGCCCCCTAAAATAGTAGTGTAATCTAGTTAGACTGTTCATGTCTTAAGGCGATCCTCAGCTGTTTTAGAACACACCCTTTTGGAGACCCATAAATTATATTTTTTGTACACGTTTTCTTTAACAAATACATATATGCCTATCTTAGCAGTTATCAAGCAGTATTGTGTTTTTTTGTTCTTCCCTGCAAAAACAATCTGACATCTTAGGAAGCAGGGCAATTTCTTTAAAAAATGCTTTTGCTAACATATTCTCAATGCCTGGCAGAGTGTCTGAAACTGAACAGGCACCAAACAAATTTATATTCTATTAAGCAGATTCATGAATGGATGAATGGTAAGAGATTATCACTCCTTGATTCTGATAGTGGACATAATATAGATGTACGGTTCATTCTCCCAGTAGGATTTAAATATAACTATGATAACACTTTTCAAAATAGAAAATTTAGTTATATAAACTAGCTATGCAAGTTTACTCAAGTGTCAGCCCCATGGTGATCTGGGTTTCAAACTAATGATTTTATTGAAATCCTTGATAATATAGACAAAACAGAGGTGTTGAACAAATAAACTCACCAAAACATATTTTATTTTTTAATTTAGTTTTTAATTGACATATAATAAGTACATATTCATGGGGTACATAGTGATGTCTTCATACATATGTATAGTCATCAGATCAGGGCAAAACAGATTTAGAAAATATAATAACATGATAAAGGAGAAATAAAAAATTAATAGGGATGAAAGGTGATATTTATTAAATAGCAGAAATATTGGCTTGAGATTTCAGCAAAAAAAATTAACAAAAATTAGTTTTGATTTAATTAAAAATTACATTTTAAAACAAATAAGCAAATTAAATGCTATGGTTCTCAAATGTTTGGATGAGAAGGTATTAAAAACTAGAAGTGATCAAAATTATAAAGGAAAATATAAAGAATTTATACATATGCTTTTCAATATCTGCCCTATTTTTTCTTTTGTATTTAAAAAAAATAAAATTCTAAAGAGAGTAAAAATGTACAATGTAAACATGTTGGTACAAAGAAGCTGAGAAGAGGATTTATTTTATATGTTATGAAGTATGAAATTTAGATATATAAGTAAGGTCTTGGAGAGAAGTTGTACCTAAAAAGAAGGTATGAATTTAGGGCCAGTGAAGAAAAATCTCGAGGGTATGGTTTGAGTGAGCAAAATCCTAGAACCTTATTACTGTGTAGATGTATGAAGTTATGAGGAAATGTTCAGACCACCAATTCATAAGTGTTAAATGAAATGCCAGGGCTCAATTATAAATTTTCTTTTCTTTTTTGCTAAGAGGTTTAGATTGATTCTGTGAACTAGACCATGAAGATTGTGAACTTTATAATAACAAACAACAAAATATACTTGTGAAGTAATTAACATGAAGATAAATAAAAATGGAAAAATAAAAATGAAAAATCAGTAATCATATAAGGAATGTATATAAATGTATGAAGAATGAAGGATAAAGTAATGTCTATTATAAAACACTAAAAATATAGCTATGATAATCTGTATCATATCATATATCATTTAATTTTGAACTATAGGTAAGATGGAGAAAACATAAGTATTGTTATAAGCAGATTCTTGAATCCTCTTCAAATATTTTCAATATTTTGATGAAAAGATAAATAAGACAGAGATATTTTCTCTGAAAGTAACAGATTCTGTTGTCATAGCTCATTTATCATCTCAAGTTCTCTACAAGCAGTCAAAGCAGAAAATCTATTTCTCTCTTGTGTGAACCATATTCCGTCTACCTCTGTCTTTTGTCTGAAGCCTCGGCAAATTCATTTGAAAAGATGTTTTGTCAGTTTTACACTTCTGTGGGCTGATGCTATGAAAGGATAGGTAATTTGCTCAGAGAAGCAGTGGATTCTGTGTCAGTACTTATACTAATGGCTAATTCAGAAAACCTTACATACTTCAAAACAGAAGTCTCTGATACAGGTCATCATTAGTAGTAAGCAAAATAGAGAACATACATCAGAGTTCGTTAATAAACACTGTTTATGCTGGGCGCGGTGGCTCACGCCTGTAATCCCACCACATTGGCAAACCGAGGTGGGCAGATCACGAAGTCAGTAGTTCGAGACCAGCCTGACTAACATGTTGAAACCCCACCTCTACTAAAAACAAGAAAATGAGTCAGCCATGGTGGCGTGTGCCTGTAATCCCAGCTACTCAGGAAGCTGAGGCAGGAGAATCGCTTGAACCCGGGAGGCAGAGGTTGCAGTGAGCCAAGATCGCACCACTGCACTCCAGCCTGGGCAACAGAGTGAGACTCCGTCTCAAAAATAAATAAACAAACAAACAAACACTGTTTATTATTCTGATCAGATATTCCATGGCTTTCACATTCAATTACCTGTCTTAGGTCAGTTTCCTCAGAGAACATCCAAAGACTGAGCTTAACATGCAGAAAGTTTATGAGGAAGCACTCTCCTTAACAACATTGGAGAAACCAAACAGGGAGATTAAGGAGAGAAAGAAGTGGAACTGAGAAGTATTGCAACAAAGACCTCAGCTAATAGCATATGAAGTTACTAGATCTGGTATGGCCTTTCATAGTTATCCTTCCCTGAAGAAATAGTTCTTCCAGGCCTTCATATTCTATATGCACTAGTCTTTAGATGGAGGCAGCCTTTGAAATTGGAGTGTGAGTTTGAGTAAAGTAGTTTACATCTCCTGAAGGCAATGTCTGGACAGGGACTCCCGAGTGGTAAGGAAAAGGAATTATAAGAGGAATACAAGGCATCACCTGTATGCCAAATTTTTCCCTATTGTAAAACAACAGCCTACCTGCTGGAATGGTGTGATGGTTAAATTCATGTGTTAATCTGATTGGGTTAAGGGATATCCAGATAGCTGGTGATATGTAATTTCTGAGTGTATCTGTGAGAGATTAGCATTTCAATCAGTAGACTCTGTAAGAAAACGCACTCTCATGCCAGGCATCATCTAATCAGTCAGCAGCTCAAAAAGAACTAAAAGGCAGAGAAAGCACAAATTTCTTCTCTTTCCTGGAACTGGGGCATTCATCTTCTCCTTTCTTTAGACAACAGAGCTTCAGGTTCTCAGGACTTCAGACTCTGGGACTTATACTAGCACCCCACTCACGATTCCTTTCTCAGGCATTCAGCCTTGGACTGAGAGTTACACCATTTAATATTCTGATTCTCAAGCCGTTTGACTGAGACTGAATTATACCACTGGCTTTCCTGGGTCTCCAGCTTTCCAAAGAGCATATCGTGGGACTTCTTGGCCTTATTGCATGAGCCAATTCCCATTATAAATCGCCTTTTATCTATCTATCTATCTATCTATCTATCTATCTATCTATCTATCTATTCTATATCTATCATCTATTTATCATCTATGTATTTATCTCTGTCTATCTATCTATCTATCTATCTATCTCTATATATCATCTGTTTATCCTATTGGTTTTGTTTCTCTGGAGAACCCTGACTAATACATTAATACAGGTGATAACATTTTTCCTTGCTTGAAGTGATCAAATGGCAGCTCAATGTTTAGTGGGGTACTTGATTTGCCTGGTAGAAGTATTCCTTATCTGGGACTGGAATATCTAAATCTGCAGAGATCAGTGTTTTAGTGTCATAAACTACAAATTTTCTGAGATGGATCACTGAGAATAAGAGACACTCTTACTCCATCCCTTGGTTCTTGTTTCCTAGAGAAACAGCGTCATATCAGGATCATTAATTAAAGGTATAGTCTGTGTCCTGGAGGATGGCATTCTATCCTTGCATGACAAAAGAGGGCAACTCAGTTGTAGCTTCAACACATCATTTTATGAGGTTGATATTTTGAATGGTGCTGTATGTGCTTGAACCAGTATATGTAATCATGTGTTGATTGCTGCACCTTCTTGGCTATAAAATAGACCATCTAGTCTTTTACATTTTAAGGGATTTTGTGTATTGGGGAGTGTTATGAGAGATTCTATGTCAGTGAATCAAATTCTTCGTAAGCCAGTGGTTAACAGTGCTGGACAAGGTCTTGTGGGCCAAAAAGGTTGTGTTATTGGAATATATGTAAGTTCTAGTCAAGATGAATCCTTGTGCTGTTAAGGGTGGAAGAGATCCAATGTAATCTGCATACAATCAAGTAGCTAATGGATCTCACTAGAGAAGATGTTAAATTACAGACAGTAAGAGTGAAATCAACCTTGGTCAATGGGAGCCCATGTAAACCCTCTGCATTAGTTTGCTAGCACTGCCACAATAAAATATCAGGCTGCTTGGCTTAAAAAATAGAAATTTACTGTCTCACAGTTCTAGAGGCTAGAAGTCCAATATTAAGGTGTCTTCAGGTTTGGTTTCTTCTGAATTTTCTCTCCTTGCCTTGCCTTGCAGATGGATGCCATCCTACTACCTCTTCACATGGTTGACCCTCTGTGCACACATGTCTGTGGTGTCTGCCTGTGTCTCTTAATTTCCGCTTTTAATAAGAACGCCAGTCGTACTAAATTAGGGCCCACCGTAATGGCTGCATTTTAGTTTGGTCATCTCTTTAAAATCTCTGTCTCCAAATACAGTCACATTCTGAGATACTAGATGTTAAGACTTCAACAAAATTTATATCCTGCCTCCCAGAGCTCCATCTACCTTATCCTTACTACCCAGCAATGTAAGCAAAACTTCTCTAGGAGGGGAGGGAGACATTTTCTATCTTTTACAAGGTAAATGAAGCTGAATAAATGGGTTACTAATGCATGAGCATAAAGAAAGAGAATTTCATGGAGAATTATTTTCTACAAGATACAAGTTGGATTTGACGGTTAATTTTGGCTAGGGTTTCTGTGGCAAAAGATTTTTCTTGGCAATCCCCCAAGTAATAACTCTTTCCTCCCAGGGCAAAGAAACAATGTGGCGTTTATAATAATTACCAATATGTCCATTCTAGTTATACATTTTGAGTTACTGTGCCACATAAACTCACTGTGAGTTGTAACTGGGCCAAGTCCTCATTATGTACCTTGTCCCCATGTTTTCTCATTTATAATATAGGACAGGAAATCACTTTGAGTCTATGGGTATCAATGTTAAATTGGATCTTGTGTCTAACAATCCTTGAAATATCTGGGTGTGTTCCATTCACAGGTGAATGATTAACTAAATATAGGGCTGTAGTTTTGAGGAAGTAATGGAGAACACGTCACCATGAAAATTGTGGTGTGACAGGATTCCTCTTCTTGCAGTGTCTACAGCAGTCAGAGATTCCCAGCTCTTTAAATTTTTCAGCTTGAAAACAGGACTTTTTAAAGTGATTATCCTCAGCCTCTTCATCATCTTTTCATTTCTTTTGATTGATTACATTGAGCAATGCCCTTGTCAGCTTCCCATCGACCTTGACCATAGAGATATTACATTGCTTTAACCATCCCCTTAGCTCTCTTTGGGTCATGTGCTGCTGAGTGTCACTTTGATTTTTACCATTTATTATGATAATAATGTTATTTTTGCTTCTGATAGTTAAGTACTCCCACCTAGATTCTACCACTTGAGATATCATATACTACTTTACTATTGGAAAACCCAGCCCTATAGCAGCAGCATCTACCACCATCAACTTTGGCTTGTAGATGACACCCAATAGTAAGTTTCTCAGTGATGCTGGTGTCCTTCTTACCAGTGCATTCCTTACTGCTTTGGTAAATAGCATGTCCTCACAGCTCTAATACAGAACACAAACTGCAGGTTAGTTTTCTGGTTTTATCTAGTATAGCAGCCATTCTAGCATGCCAATATATTTGAGACATTTATTTCCTTTCTCAGAATCTGACATGGAAATTATGACATTCCTGCTTCACTTAAGAGTTCATTACTTTCTCTAAACGTCCAAAAACTAAGCTGACACTGTGTTAACACCAGCTCTAAAGTTTTTTCAGATGAAATCCCATGCAGAGGAAGAATACTCACACATCCATAAGTGCTTCCATATATCATGTTACTTCTTGATCCAATAGTACTTTCTTTACTCCTGTACAGCTTGGTTAGATTTTGCAGCTTCTTTGAACAATTACTTATTTCCTCTTTTAATATACTCAGAAATTCTTCAACTGGGTTATACTGTAATTTTTTTTCTACTTAATAGCCTGTGGGTGTAGATCTTGAGAAAAGTAGGTTTGGCTTTCAAAACAGAGAACTTTCATCATCTGCAACAAGGAGATAATGCTTGCCTCAAACAATGAACCACCTCTGCAAGGCCTGAACATTCAGAGTTATATGGGGTTTTAAACTTTTCAGTCAATTGTCCCAGATTTCCTAGTCTCACTCATTCCCAATTAGAGGCCTGATCTTTGCATAGCATATGTGCAGGGGTGAGTAGCCAACCTGCTTCAGAACCTTGCTACCTACAAGTGCACATGAAACATTCTCTGTGATTGATCACCTATTACGCCATAAAAGAAATGTTAACAAATTTAAGAAAACTGAAATCATATCAAGTATCTGAACACAATTATATAAAACTAGAAATCACTAACAGAAGGTAAGTTGGAAATTCATAAACATCAAAACACATCCCCAAACAGACAGAGAGAAAAAATAAATCAAAAGGGAATTCAGCAACTATTTTGAGGAAAATAAAGATAAAAACACACAATATACCAAAACTTATGAGATGCTGTAAAAGCAGTACGAAGAAAAAAGTTTATAGTGATAAATACCTAAATTATAAAACAACTCAAACAACCTAACTTTAAGTCTCAAAGATCTAAAAATATGTAGAAAATAAACAACATTAGCAAAAGGAAGGAAATAATAAAGATTAGAGTAGAAATAAGTGAAATGGAGACTAACAAAACAATAGAAAATTCAACAAAACCAAGAAGTGTTTTTTGTTAAGATAAAACTAGCAAAACTTTATCTAGACAAAAGAAAAAAAAGTGGAGGGCAGAATTAAGAAAATCAGAAATGAGAGAGGAGGCACATGATGCTGATGCCAGAGAAATATAAAGGATCATACAAGAATACTGTGAATAATTATACTCCAATAAACTGGATAACCTAGAAGAAATGGATAATAAATGTCCAGATACATATAACCTATCAAGACTGAATAATAAGGCAGTAGAAAATCTGAAAGTCACTAACAAGTCAAGAGGCTGAATCAGTAATCAAAAATGTTCTATGTCATTCTATTCCAGCTGCTATGAAAATGCCATAGGGCTGGGCACAGTGTCTCATGCTGGTAATCCCAGCACTTTGGCAGGACGAGGCGGGTGAATCATCTGAGGTCAGGAGTTCGAGACCAGCTTGGCCAACGTGGTGAAACCCCATCTCTGTAAAAATACAAAAAAAAAAAAAAATAGTTGGGAGTGGTGGCGGGTGCCCGTAATCCCAGCTACTAGGGAGGCTGAGGCAAGAGAATCACCTGAATCTGGGTAGAAGAGGTTGCAGTGAGCCAAGATCGTGCCATTGCACTCCAGCCTGGGTGACAAGAGCAAAACTTCGTCTCAAAAAAAAAAAAAAAAAAAAAAAAGCCATAAACTGAGTGGCTTATACACAACACAAATTTATTTCTCATAGGTCTGATTTGTTTCTCATAGTTCTGGAGGCTGGGAAGTCCAAGTTCAAGGCATCAGCAAACTAGGTTTCTAGTGAGGGCCTACTTACAGTTTCACAGTACTGATGCCTTCTTGCTGTGTCCTCACATGGTATAAGGTAAATGAGCTTCTTTGGGCCTGTTTAATAGGGGCAGTAATCCCATTCATAAGGTCTTCTCCCTCATGACCTAATCACCTCCCCCAAAACCCCACTTCCTAATACCATCATCTTGGAGTTTAGAATTTCAACATATAAATTTGAGGGCACACAAACGTTCAAAATTTAGCACCTCTCAACAAAGAAAACCCCAGGGACAAATGGCTTCACTAGGGAATTCTACCAAATGGTTGAAGAAGAATTAATGCTAATCTTTCTCAAACTTTTATAATTATAATTAAAGCAGGGCCAAGTACTCAGATTTTCTGGCCTCTAAATAAATGATTCTCATCTACCAAGAAGGCCCTTTCAACTTTTATATTTGTCTCCAATTGTTGATAAACCACCTTGGTTTTCTGTGTGTGTGTGTGTTTAATATACCAATGAAACTCAGTAAAAGCCATCCAATTCCACTGGCCTTCTAATCAGTATCAACTTACCTCCCTCAAACTTCACAATAAATATTTTTTATTACAGTAAATCTTTTTCAATGTGTTCTATTCAAGTTCAAGCCTAGCAAAATTTTTGACAATTGCACCATCACTTCATGGTAAGCTCTACCATTAGTGATGGAGTCTTCATTGTCAGCTGGCTGGTGGATGATTCAGCTCCAAATCTCACATTAAATTTGGGTTCTTCCGACTACTTTTAATTTAGGTCAAGTTTCCTAGGAAACTAATTTTGAAAAGGACATTTGAATCAGGAGCATAACTGGAATGCTTTTACGCATCGATAATTAGAAGATTATAGTAAGTAATCACTAGCAGAAGAAAGATATACTAGTTTCCTATTACTGTTATAATAAATTATAACAAATTTAGTGGCCTAAAACAGTACGAATTTATTCTATTATATTTCTGGAAGTCAGGAGAGCCTTCCGTAGGTTCTCGCAGACAACCAGCTTTCTTGACTCATTTAGCTTATAGAAGAAATTTGGATTCCTTGGTTCCTGTCCTCATTCTCTGTCTTCAAAATCAGAAGCATAGCATCTTCAAATATCTGTCCTGCTTCTGTTATCACAATGCCTTCTGTATCTATGACCATCCTGCCTCCCTCTTATAAAGACTCATGATTCAATTGGGCCTACTACATAATCCTGAACAATGTCCCCATATCAATATCCACAAAATTTATTTAATCACACATGATAACACATTTATAGGATCTGGGGACTAGAATATAGACAGCTTTGATGGACCATTATTCAATGTATCACAGTCTACCCTCTGTGATATTTTCAATGTATAACCCATGGAACCATTGAAGGTTAATGACATTTTTGTGATATCCCAAATATAGGATATCCCTAAGAAAGGGGATGATCTCTGCAACATGAACACAATTTCCTTACAGATAAAGTAATAATGAATCTTAGCATGTGGTTTAATGCCACAAAATTCTTTAAACATGTGCCATTTATTACTGTTTGAATTTTGAAATGTTTATATTATTATAGTTTCTGAAAATGGCTTATAAAATATTTACTCAAAACACAATTTTTACATTGTGTTTGTGCTAAAATTTATTTTATATCTAAACTTTAACAATAATTATATTTTACATATTTTTCATAAGTAACAAGGGATTAATTTTCCCTTAATGTTTAGAGCCTTTGAGTCTCTTTTCCTCTGTATACTTCCAATAAACTTTGTATTTTGCTGGATTACAGAGTAAATTATGAAGCAGAAATATTGTATAAATATCAGAGTTAAACAGAATTAGGTAAAAGCATATTTGGGGATAAGTTGTTTATTTTGTAAGATTAACCTTTTACTACAATTATCTACTTCTTAGTAACTTTTTATTTTATTTTTAGTTTATATATATTTTTTGAGACAGAGTCTTGCTCTGCCACCCAGGCTGCTGTAGTGTAGTGGCGTGATCTCAGCTCACTGCAACCTCCACTTCCCAGGTTCAAGTGATTCTCATGCTTCAGCTTCCTGAGTAGCTGGGATTGAAGGCACATGCCACCACACCCTACTAATTTTATTTTATTTTTTTTAAAGTAGAGAGGGAGTTTCACGATATTGGCCAGGCTGGTCTCAAACTCCTGACCTCAGGTGATCCGTCTGCTTTAGCCTCCCAAAGTGCTGGGATTATAGGCATGAGCCACCTTGCCCAGCATGATTTTATTTTTTTTAAGTGTTACAAATGTTACATTTTAAAATAGCATGTAAACAATGGCCAAAGAAATGGAAAATTAATTTTAAAGCAGTTTTCAAAACAAGCATTATTTTTTCAGTCATTCTTTATTCTGAACCATTAAAGTATAAGATTAAATAGATTTACTATATGAATGACCCACATAAGACCATATTATCCTTGTCATATGCTCCAGTGATATATGCAAAATATACTATCAGCTGAAAGGCATACAGATTGATGGATGGTCTGATGTATTGATATTAATACCTTCGATATTGATTTTAAAGTGACAGTGAAAGAGACCCAGAAATTTCATAAACTTTTGCACTGATGTTCATGTTTATAGGTTTAACTTTTTGACCCTTGAATTTTAGTTTACACAAACTGGAAATATTTCCTGTTTTTTTTTAACATTTTGTTTAAATCTGAGGTTATAGAATTGGCCCTTGTGGCATTTAAAGTAATGTCATGGGAGAGGGAAACTTCATTTTCAACAAAGTGTGGCACTGAGAGAATATCAATATAGATCTAAACTAGAATAAATGCATGTTAATTGTCATATCCTCACCTTTAATAAAGTAATATATTTACCATCTTTATTTTTATACATGAGAAGGACCCATAAGCAATCTTTTGAACATATGGCCTCAAAATTGTCAGCAAAAATGTAATAACATTCAGACCAAAAACACTGATAAAGATTATATCTTTTAGATGCAAAGTTTGATTTATATTATCACAAACAACTACATGTAATGGAAAATACATTATTTTGCATCTGCCTAGAGATTCAGTCTAAACATATATTTTAATGGTTTTACTAATTCATTAATCAAGGCTCATAATGATCTTAGAATAATATAGTAAATAGTTTTCATTCCTATATGACCACCATATCTGTTACCTGGGACAGTGTTTATGACATTGCTGTATTTTACAGCCAGTTCTATTCTACACATATTTTATGAACATTAAGTGATCACTTCTAACCTAGATATGTTTAGAGAGTGTGTGCTTTGCCTCATGGAACTGAGACCAAAGCTTTCAATAAAAAGCCATTGGAGAACAATACAACATAAATGACAATAAAATAATATTTATTGAATATTTGAATTGTTCCCATATAAAGTGCTTTATAGAGGCTTTATAATATAGTATTCTAAAATTATAATGGGCTTTTAAGTCAAACAGAACTTAGATTAACTCTCTGAGGTATGCAGCTGAAGCTGTATTGCCTTGGGCAGTTCAATTATTTTTTCATATATTGAAGAGGTTTAATATTAGTATCTATACCATAGATTATTTGTGAGGTTAAATTTGATGAAGTCCATAAGGCACTTTTAATGTTATACACTATTTAGTACTTGCACATGATTTAGTACATATTAAGCATTCCATATGTGTCAGATCTTGTTACTGCTATTGTCTCTTTTAGGATATTTTTGTTAGTGTTAGTATTTACATCAGTATTATTTTGACTATTGGTTTATCTGTTATCTGAATTGAAAGAGACAAATATCTGAAGGTATCTCTTGGCAATGTATTCATAAAAGTGGTTATATGATTCTTGTAGCACACATAAGACTAGGGTAAGAATATGGGAGGTAAATATATTTTATTAATCAGTTAATTTTTTGAACATGTATCACATAGGAAGAAATATGTTAATTCCTGAGAAAATCGAATCTCTTCATGAGTAATTTTGCTTTCAAGTAATTTATAATCTGTGACTAGAAAAATATAAGTAAATCAAGGATTAATATGCCAAAGAGTATATTCAGAAGCACAGAAAAAGAGAATTAAAATTCAGATGGCTGCTCAGAGAAGACTTCAAGAAGCAAAAGAAATGGATTGTGTTCTACTTAGGTGGGGAAAATAAGCCTGTCATGTACAAATGAGGCTAAAGAGTCCAAAATGATGGGAATCAAGTCAGGAGATGTGTTTTACAAAGAATTTGGTTTGACAGATGAAGTAGAGCCAGTTTGCACATGACCTGGAGATCGTGGATATGTGGGGTTCTGCAGATAACAGCGTGCTACTGGAAAATTGGAGGATGGGACTAATAAGACTAACGCAAACAAAAGTTATTTGGCAAGGTATATGTGCATTTTATTACCAAAAGCTTCTAGTATTTTAAAAATACATACTAGATTGACTGCGAAAGATAAACGGAAGCCCATTTACTGCTCTCTACCTTTGCAACTGCCTTCAAGAGAAGTTGTCCGAAAGTCACATCTAACCTAAGCAGTTGGGCTTTGTCAGCAATATTGTCTATGTAAAAATGCCAATAAGAAGTCTCATCTTCACTCAAATGACAGCTTTCACCTGGCCATTGTCCTATAGCTTGAATGCATTCTTTGTGAATTAATCACTTAGCTAATAATCTCTTTGAGATGTAAAATAAACATTCTTATAGTCAATATTTCAGAAAAAAGTGTTAGCTGTTTTGATCTTGAATATCAATACAATTTGAATCTTTCTGCTTAGTGTCCCATGTCAAATACAATAAAATATTTCCTCTTTTCCTTTGCATCCTCATACGTCTAAGAGACTTTAAAAAATAAATCTCTTATCACCATCATCAAACTTTTATGAACAAAATTGCAAGAAAAATGAATGCTAGTAGATACTATAATGGTGAAAGAATTTAGGGTACAAATTGCCCTGAAAATCAAACACACACACACGCATACACAAATATGAGCCCAAATCACACACTTTACAGCATGTGCATTAAAGGTACAATTATATAACTTAAACATAGATTTGAAAGAACAGGAAGAATTTACATTTCTCTTCAAACAGATAACATTTTATCCGACTGTCTCAGTGTTTTGCCTTATAGAAAATCTGACAAAGTGAGGCTTTTTTTTTTTTTTTTTAATAAATAAAGGATTCTTCCCTTTACTGGCTACATTATGCATTATAGGCTCCACACTGAGATACTGAGCTTCTTACCTCATAAAGTGATTTATTTATGGAGCAATTGTAATCTGCTGATATAAATTCCATTTTTAGTGGCTCATAGAAAATTATGGGCTATGTTCCTGACAGATAGGAAAAGGTCTGGTGAGAACTCTGACTTTAAAATGATGGGGAATGTGGCAAAAATGATACTCAGATAAATGGAGACATTATTTTATTAAAGTTTTAAATTAACATTCAAAAACGCAGAAAAAGCTTTATGAAATGTTTTATACAATTTAGTTCATGCTGGAAACTTTATTTTTATTGTAATATTGCATTTTGCTTAATATTTTCTAAGATCTTAGCCCCAAAAATGATTTTAAGTAAACATGTACAATATATTTACTTTCTAAAATTACTACAATTTATATTATGCTTTATTTCAGCTTATAACTGCATACAATTCTTTATTTAAATGCAAACATAAAAACATATATTATTTCATAGAGAGAGTATTCCAGTTACTTAGCTACAATCTACAAAACTTCAAAACTAAAACTGTAAGTAGCATTTTAAAATTTGAATAAAAGATAATAGAAAATAATTTTGGTAGATATAATTATATTCTAAAATATGTAAATGGCTTGATGAATCTACAATTTTTTTATGTTTCTACTTTGTTTGTGGGACTTGTGCATTATATCTTCTAAATTTATATTTCCTTTGGGCCTTATTTTATTTTTATTTGAAACCTGAAAATACAGATTATTTCAGTTGAATGTCATGTTCTTACTTTTAAATGATGAAGAATTAAAATATGAACTAGACTATCACCTTACACATTAAAACATATTGCATGGTAAGACATTATTTTTGTTAATTTGATTGTTATTAAAAGGTTGACATGAAAAAGCAAGATGTTGATTGCTCAAGCAGGTTCTTTGGGAGACAGCAGAAGGGAAGTCATGGACTCAAGTTTAGTAGTTCACCTAGTAATAACCAGGTTGATCTGTTATCCAGAAGGGTATTTGGGACTATTAAGATTAATTTATTTAGCTGTATTGCTTTCCATAGATTCAACATGAAGGACATCTACTTTATTATTTAGTGACTTTAGGAACAAGTTAGTAATTCAATGGATTCAGTGAATATGAGATTGAAGGAAAAAAATTGGCTCATCCTATGAACCTTTCCACCTATGTATTGTAGATCTTATTATATTATTTCTATTATATGAGAAAATAAGTGAGCAGGACACCTATATCACTGGTAGAGAATATTTATTTTCCCTGGACAGGTTTGGGTGCCTGTTCTTAAATTATTTTATTAAACTTTTACAATGTCTTTTATCTGTCAATAGAATCAAATTTTTGTATCATTTGACACTTCCACTGAACAACCATTTCACAATTCACTGCATCATTTTTACCTTTATAATATTTTAACTTAATAGCACTCTCTCGGAAGACATAATAACCATCTTACTAAGTTTTAAGTAGTGTTGTCTACTCTTTTTCTGGGATCTAAGTTCCTCTATGTGATGGCAGCAGGAAACAGGCAAGTTCCTAGGCGGGAAGGGGCAGATCCCCAGTGATGCCTGACCTTCAAGCCAGGGATAGGCTGAAGCCTGAAATCTAGGTTGCCAATTCCAGGTGTAGCCCATGACCCAAAATAATAACTTTCTTGATGCCTTTCAGCCAGTGGGATGGTGCTTTTTACAGGCCCAACCGTGAACCAATCAGCACATACTTCTTCCCACCCATGTGCCAATCAGCATGCAGTTTCTCCGTACTGAGCCCATAAAAAATCCTAGACTCAACTGAACTCAGACACACATGGAGACTAACTAACTGAGGGTAGGAACTACCTACTTTGGATTTCCTCTCCACTTACAGCTGTTCTGCTGCTCAATAAAACTGTTCTCTGCCTTGCTCACCTGCCCGTTGTTCATGTAACTTCATTCTTCCTGGATGTGGGACAAGAACTTGGGACACACCAAATGGCAGGTGAGAAAAGGGCTATAACACTTTCCTGGCTGGCATGCCAAGCTGGCGGCAGTGAAAAGAGATGTAACATATTCCTGGCTGGCTTGCCGAGCTGCAGGTGGTGACAGCTCCTGTTTGTCGGACCGCAGGAGTAAAGACTGGTGACCCTTCAGGCAGCCCACACCTTGGGATCCCCTGAGCTAGAGCTGTAACACTTTAGCCCTCCTTCCCTCCACCAGCATCAGGCAGCTGTCCCACATTATGGGAAGCAGCTGCATGGCCGGACCAGCCCAGGAACCGCGGGCCAGAGCAAGGGAAAGGGCTGAAAGAGCTGTTAACATGCCCCTGTCTGCCGAGCTGCAGGTGGCAGGAAGGAGAGAGCTGTAACATGCCTCCCTCAATCCCTTGGATCTCTGCGGTTGCTAGCATCTCTGAATTTTCAGGCTCCACTGCATTCCCCTCATCCGGGTGCCAGTGTCCGCAGTGGAAGACACTTGTGGCACACCTGGCCCAGTCACAGCCTCAGATGGAGCCAGTGCCTGTGCCAGAGCCTGGAGATGCCCGCTGTGGCTCAGCAGCTGCTGCACCTGGCTGTGTGCAGTGACCAGACACTGCGCTCACTCATTCACACAATCCTTGCTACTCACCTGGCTCACCTGGTAGTGTGAGCCGAGTGCAGCCTGCCAGGCCGAGTGGGTAGAAAAAGCCCAGTAGGTGAGAGTGAAATTCAAGCAGAGGCACCACCACCCACAGTGGTTTCCAGATGGTGAAGCCACACCCAAAGGATACTGTGACATATGCATTAACCTTAACAGTAGTACGCTTTTAAAAATATGTTGATAGTAAAGAGATTAGCCATTCCTGAAATTACACCAGTATATGGATATTTATTTTGTTTACCCACTAATGCTTTGAGACTAGATAAATGGTATTCAATTTTAGGATAAGTTAAAAAAAAATCCAAACTAAGAATAAAAGCCAGTTAGAGGGAGAGTAAAATCCAAGTATTTTAATCCCATTTTTTAAAAGTGATTATTAGTTAGCTTTTTATGTAGAAATGTAAAAGAGGCTTTATTATTATTTGCCATTCTTGACTCAATAGAGACTCATATATGACAGACATTAATGGGCCCTTCTCGCTTAAATTTTTTTTTGTTAATCACTTATTACTTGCTGTTTAAGTTTATTTTAGATAATGGAAATGATGTTAGACAAAACGCAAATTCGAATGATTTTCTTATTCAAGTTCAAAATGGGTCGTAAAGCAGCAGAGACCACTGGCAAGATCAACAATGCATTTGGCCCAAGAACTGCTGTCAAACATACAATGTAGTGATGGTTCAAGAAGTTTTTCACGCCGGGCGTGGTGGCTCACGCCTGTAATCCTAGCACTTTGGGAGGCCGAGGTAGGTGGATCACGAGGTCAGGAGATCGAGACCATCCCGGCTAACATGGTGAAACCCCGTCTCTACGAAAAATACAAAAAATTAGCCAGGTGTGGTGGCGGGCGCCTGTAGTCCCAGCTACTCGGGAGGCTGAGGCAGGAGAATGGCATGAACCAGGGAGGCGGAGCATGCAGTGAGCGTGATCGTGCCACTGCACTCCAGCCTGGGTGGCAGAGTGAGACTCTGCCTCAAAAAAAAAAAAAAAAAAAAAAAAAAAAAAAAAAAAAAAAAGTTTTTCAAAGGAGACCAGAGCCTTGAAGATGAGGAGCATGGTGGCTGGATATTGGAAGCTGACAATGACCAATTGAGAGCAATTATCAAAGCTGATTCTATTACAACTATAGGAGGAGTTGCTGAAGAACTCAGTGTTGACCATTCTATGGTCATTCAATATTTGAAGCAAATTGGATAGGTGAAAAAGTTTGATAAGTGGGTGCCTCATGAGCCGAGTGAAAATCAAAAGAATTGTCATTTTGAAGTGTCATCTTTCCTTATTCTATTCAACAACAATCAACCATTTCTCAATCACATTGTGATGTACGATGAAAAGTGGATTTTATATGGCAACTGCTGATGAAAAGCTCAGTGGTTGGACTGAGAAGAAGCTTCAAAGCACTTCCCAAAGCCAAACTTGCACCAAAAAAAAAGGTGATGTGACTATTTGGTGGTCTGCTGCCAGTCTGATTCTCTACAGCTTTCTGAATCCTGATGAAACCATTACATCTGACAAGTATGCTCAGCAAATTGATGAGATGTAATGAATACTCAATGCCTGCAGCCAGCATTGGTCATCAGAAGGGGCCAATTCTTCACAACAATGCCCGAACACACATTGCACAACGAATGCTTCAACAGTTGAAAGAATTAGCTATGAAGTTTTGCCTTATCTGTCATACTCACCTAACCTCTTGCAAACCTACTACCACTTCTTCAAGCGTCTCAACAACTTTTTTCAGGTAAAATGCTTCCACTTTCAGCAGGATGCAGAAAATGCTTTCCATGAATTTGTCAAATTCTGAAGCACAATTTTTTATGCTACAGGAATAAACATTTCTCATTGGCAAAAACGGGTTGATTGTAATGGTTTCTACTTTGATTAATAAAGATGTGTTTGAGCCTAGTTATAATGATTTAAATTTCATGGTCTAAAACCGCAATTACTTTTGCACCAACCTAATATAAGCTCCATCTGACAAACTCTGGGCCAAGATAAGAATAAAATAATATGTATTAATGATCTATTCTGTGGTATTTAAAGTCCTGAAGCTCCCCTGGTGGCCTGGCACCATTCTTTATAGAAAATGTACAGACAGATGAGTTGAACTTGATTTAACTGGTTACCAAGGGTGGTTTTGGCTGTATGACTAATAAGGTATTAAAAAGAAACAAGCACTCTCAGTAAGCTTTGCCTCAGTTCCCCTGACACCAAGATACACCTTCAAGGTTTCTGATCATGAGATGTAGCATTTTTCAAGAGAATGAGATATCTTGAAAATTTTTGCCTGAATGTCTGGGAACTCCATGATGTTTGCCTGTGTTTTCCTTCTCCTGTTTTATCATACACATTGTCATTATTAACATTTCACTTGAGTATACATTGTGTAGTCATATGAGTCCTTTCAATAATCCAAAATACACATATAATAATTGCTAAAATGCTATAGAAGTGATCCTTAGAATGTTTTTATTACATAAGTGAATCAATGAACTAATGAGTAAATAAAAGAAGTGTCAACTTAAATAAAAGAAGTGCACAAATGAGCTTGATTCAGTGATTTCATGGGGAAATTTGTTATTATTAGCATTTGGGTGATTAAAAATCTTTCTGCTTGTTTCAACAATCTCTCATCTACAAGAAAGATTATGTACAGGTTGAGTATCCATTATCTAAAATGCTTAGGACCAGAAATGTTTCAGATTCCAGGTTTTTTCAGATTTGGGAATATTTGCATATATGGCGTATCTTGTGGATGGAACCCAAATCTAAACACAAAACTCACTCGTGTTTCATATACAAGTAATACACATAGCCTAAGGGTAATTTTATACAATATTTTAAATAATTTTGTGTATGGAACAAAGTTTTGACTGTGTTTTGACTGTGACCTGCCACATAAGGTCAGGTGTGAGATTTTCCACTGGTGGTTTCGTGTCAGCACTCAACAACTGGAGCATTTCGGATTTTTTATTTCATATTAGAGATGTTCAACCTGTAAAAGTGATTTTTGTATTGATTTCCTAAGTTTTATTTATATGTTCAGGAGGATGCTGCAGTATTTTTTTTAATTTAGTACAAACCATGTAAAAATGTTTTAAGGCACATAAAAAGTAATATGAGCCATCTGTCTTTGCTGCTGTTTATGTAGGTTAGTTCTAGATGAAACCAGAACCCTGATTATTAAATGTTACATAACCTCATGCTCAAAATCTTTGCTGACCCAGTTATCGGGCTAACATATATTCTGTCGAATACAGGTAACTGTCCTTAATTGAGCTCATTAAATGATTTCCATGCCTCTCCTCTACCATTCATTCTTAGTCTTTAACCTGTCACATGCCAATCCATAAATTATATACTATTTTAGGAAAATGAAAGGCATGTTTTGGAGCTTAAAAATAAGGGCCCATCAAATTCTGTTCTGAAGCAAAGTAACCCTGCTTCTAAGTTTCCCCAACACTGACTGGCTCCTTGAAATTTTTAAATATCTCAGTGTGTTGACCTGCACAAGCTCATATAAAGGGCACCTCTTCTGTTGAACATGATCACTGATGTCTCTGACTTGCTCTACTTGGCTTCCCTGTATATGTACCCTGAATTCTTGGACTCTCACAGATTATGTAGTCTTTCTCCTTTGCAGAAAGATTTAAATCTCCTTTTTTAAAGAGGAGGAAATTTAAAAATATCTTCTTAAGACCCACATTGCTGTCGGAATGAACGGATTCAATCAGCTCCTACCATTAATGTGAATTTTTATTTTCAATATTATCTCTTACAAGGTGACTACAGATACATTCCTAAATAATTTTATGAACAAAGTTTATTTATTCACAGTTTAGGAAAGTGTGATCTGAGTGAGTTCTTTCTAGTTTCTGATTTGTAAGTAAAATATCTCTTTCTAAATTGGATACAAAATGGTGCAAATATAGAGGTTAAGGTGGGGATTTGAACCAAAACAAGGAAGAAAGACCTGACAAGTAACCCTCAGAGAAATATCCAGTAAAAAACAAATAGCCAGACAGAATTCAGTAAATAGGTGTGAACCTAAAATCAGGATTTAAGCAAGAGACTAAATATTATTGGTGGAATAGAAGTTTTCTTTTCCTCTTTTTGATGACTGTTGATGTACTTTGTCCTGATACAGTCAGAAACTTGCTTTTCCATAAAAAGAAATGAAACTGTTGAAACTCTATTACAGAGCAGCTTATGCATGCTAGAAAATGAACTGCATAGTATTAAAGCTTTAAACTATAGAAAAATAATACAGACCCTTCCGTATGCAAAGCTTTGCCTCAAAATCTATATAATTAACAAAACCTGGCCTTAGCTTTGGCTATTGTCTGGTATAATGCTGCAACAAATTCAAGATAACAGGGTCCCATTTATCTTTTCTCC
Organism: Homo sapiens; assembly: GCF_000001405.40. Classification (NCBI taxonomy): domain Eukaryota; kingdom Metazoa; phylum Chordata; class Mammalia; order Primates; family Hominidae; genus Homo; species Homo sapiens. Next base: position 104,783,534 of record NC_000001.11, on the reverse strand, counting down.
AAAGCTGGGGAAATCTGCCTGTGTAATTTCATGCTAGCATGAGTATCTGAGACATATGACTGAGAGTTGACTTTATTATTCTAAATATAGCTTGATATTTAAAATAGAACCAAGTGGAGATTAAAGCTAGGATTTACTTTATTTTAAAAACGCTTAGTGAAAATATGTAATCAAGACAACTATAGACCTACAAAACTGACTGATATCCTGATTCCAATAATACCTGATTACAAGATACCAATAAATTTCTCAAATATACAGAATGAGTACAAATCTAATTTTATCATAACATCAAATGTTGAATGTATCGCTGCATTGCTAAAAGAACCATAAAAATAATTAGGTCTCTAATTTACCAAATATCAATTTCTCTTAGATCTCAATTATATTTAGTGGTCCTTAAATTATCTACATGTGTGCGTCAAATGTCAATGATATATTATCATGTTTTCAATAATACCTTGGTAGAATAAATTGGTAGATTGACTATTTAAACTTGGAGTTTTCTTCCATTTTGCAATTATATGTAAACACTTGATAAATACATTTGAGTGGTTTTCAGATAGAAATATGCCACATACAAAGGGCATGTACAAAGGACATCAGTACAAAGAGCATCAAACCTTTGGGGAGTGTTGGCATCTGACTTCAAGGACAGGAGTTGGCAAACAGTATGCAAATGTATTTCAGAAAGCAGGAGTAGCCTTCACAAAGACACAAGAGAAAAATCTGATAATTAAGAAAACTGAGATATTTGGCATATAGTAAATACTAAATGTTTGTATTATATTAAAATTATTGTTAATACAGCTGGAGAGAAGCATATAAGAGTCAGAGAGGTGAGAGCTCTGAGAGTTTTTTGAAGAGTGCAAATAATAAAATTTAAGAACTTTATACATTTTTGCATACATTCTGTGGAATAATTAAAGAGAAATATATGGGTAGTTAATTGATTAGATGCACATTGTGGATGATTGGAGAAGAATAGATAAAAATAGGGTAAAACAGATTATTGAAGTTTCATTGTAGTAATCTAAGGGAGATACAGTAAGTCCTAACAGCAATAGAGATGATGGGAAGAAGAGTATCATTACTTTTGGAGATAAATGAAGGGAATGGGACTTTTTGTGAGGAATGAAAGAAGGAAAGTAAAGCAAGGAATTTTAAATGACTTCATCATTCATGCTTGTAAAAGTAGGGGAATAATTCTGTAAACAGAGTGTCCAATTTGAGAAATATATCATGGTTAGGGAAGAAGATGCTACATTACATCTTGAGCATATTTGAGGTACCTGATGACTTTTAAGTGAAGACATCCATTAAACATGTAGAGATAGATATAAATTTGGGGAGTCTTAAGCTTGTAGATAGAAGGTGAAATCGTGAGAATGATCCCAGCACCTAGAGAGAGGAGGAAGAGAGAGAAGTAGGAAGACTGACATCAGAACTCTCCTAAATATCAATATTTCATTATTTACTTGTAGTCAGAGAGGACACAGAGACAGAAGTAGGAAGATTGAGAAATGAAATCTCCTAAATACCATTGTTTCAGAATTTTCTTATAGTCAGAGGAAGCTGACAACACACACACACATACACACACACACACACACACACGAGAGAGAGAGAGGACATGAGAGAAAAAAGAGGATGGAGAACTTTAAATGCGGTAGAAGAGAACATTCTGAGGAAGATGAGGTGAGTAGTTTCAAACACCGCAAAAACAAAGTATATCGGAAAGATTCACTGGACTTAGTAAAGAAAGGCTATGTCATAGAGAATGTTAGTTTCCTTGGAAGAGTGGGCCTGAAAACCAGGTGCCAGTGACTCGAGGACTAAATCATGGGCAAGCAAATTGTGAGAGAAGGTGTAACCTAGTCTATGGAAAACATTAGCAAAAACTCTTGGTTGTATCTATTTTTAATTACTAATGGTTACACTCTCCAAGGTTAGTATCATTGAAGTCTTGAGGCATGAACAAAGCAATAAGGCTATCACATTTCCAGGTTGAGGTGTCATTTATGAACTAAAATTAATGGGGTTAGTAACAGCATCCAAACTTGGCAGATGGTGTACAAGGAATCACGATTAACCAAAAGAGCAAATATAGAAGTCATATATTTTTGGTGAAAGGTAATGAGTTTGGTTTTTGACATGTCTGCCACATATTCTAGTGTACATGACTGGTTGGAAGGTAATTACAGAGTCTTAGTATTGGAAGACTGTTTAGTGATGGGTATTTGTGAATTTCTAACATAAAACCATGTTTATTTTATTGGTTTGAAGTCTGTGCCTTTGCCTAGGGGAAAAGAAATGAGACTGAAGACGGCCATTGGTTTACCCAAGAGGTTATTAAAGTCTATTAGGGGCTGGAGAAAAAGAAGCAGATTTAAGTAAAAACAGGGGTAGTTACTTGAAATCATACAATAAAAGGTGGCATGATTTCCTAACTCTCACCAAGGCTGTCTCATGTGCTAGCAGAGGCTCTCTCTCAGAATGTTCATGGTAATTATTACTGTGGAAGTGGATGAGAGAATATACATTAAAATAAAGAGACGGCAAGTATGGAAAGCAAGAATAAAGTAGATGAAGACCAGAATCCTGGAAAACAAATATATAATTGTTACATAGAGAAAAGAGAAACAGGCAAGAAAACTAAGACATACTCAGAGAGACAGGAAGAAAACCAGGGCAAAATAACATCTAGTAGGTCAAAGGTAATCTGGGTCCATGACTCTGATGGGTTTGACACCCTTTTGGAAGAGCATTTTCTGTGTAATTTAACACAAGGTAATCTTCTTTGGCTACTTTTCAAATTGGATCTTCTCTGGCCCAGATAGCTCTTTGCTGCCCCCTTCTGATTTTTTCTTGCTACAACTCCTGCAAATTAGAATTAACTGTGAATTTAGATCATCAACGTTATAAATTGAGAGCCTGACAGCACGTTACTACTAGAGGGCCTGATTTCTATACGCGACCCTTCTAAAATACGAAATTTAGTTGATGCACCCCTGGCACCTATGGTTATGCTAAGCCCATCTTTTACTAGTTCTACCCATTTTAATTACTAGTAGTTATCCTCAATGAGGATATCCCCATTGAGGCTAACCTCAATGAAGTCTTGACTGACATAAGCAAAGCAATGAGGTTATTAGATTTCCAGTGAAATTTGTGGTCTAATTCTATAGATCTGATGTCTGTGCACTTGAAAAGAGCTCTGAATATCTTAGTGTCCACTTACCTGAATCTACTCTAAAACTAACTCCTTGTTTTTATAAGAATGAGATTCTGCCTTGGGTTCCTATTCAGCAATTTAAAACCTGAATGATCTGATGTTAGGCACTCTGTTGTGCACTTCTAAATGGTTGGGCAAATCAAAACTACATTGCAATTACTTTTTTAATCATCAGTCTTTAATGATAGCCTTTGTTATACATGATCTCAATTCTAGCCATTCTTGTCCACAGCTGTATTCTTGATGCACTAGAAAATTTTAGAAAATACTAGGCTTTAATGGTATTTAAGTGAACTAATGGGTAAATGAATTTGGTTAAATACATACAGTAAAACCTAGACCCTATGTCTGATGTGTTTTCACTGTTGATATTAGATCTGTTCTGAAATAATTGTATACATTATGGTGTTTCACACAGACTTCAAGTGTCATCCAATATCAGAATGTCCTCTCTCTAAACTGAAATCTAAGCTAAATACATCGAATTTTTAATGCCCTTTTACACAAAGTTTGGACTTCAGCATATCTCCAAAGAGCCAGCACTCAGCTGGGTCAGTAGCTTCTCCATATCCAGTCAATTTCCAAATCCTCTCCTTCTACCATTGATCACAGTGGTATGGTCCTGGCATTCCTAGCAGCTGAACACATGAAAATTTTTCTTATCAAGTTTGTTCTCCTTGCAATGTAACAAAATAGTATACACATTTATCAGGATGTGTATTTTTTTTTAACTATTTTTGTCTCTTCCTATTGCTAACTTTGCTCTTTCTGGACCTTCTATTATGGTTCTGTCCATCCCTACCTCCTAGTAAACGTGAAGTGTCAAATGTTTACATTCTCTGAATGCTTATTTTCTGGGTGTGTGCATTCTGAATTTTACATATGAATTAAAAATCTTAATTCCTTTCTTAATCTTCTACAGATTGTGAAGAAACAAGCTGCTCTAAGTCTCAAGATTTTGTGAAGTCAGTGGAACTCTTGTAGATAATGTGGACTCCAACAAAGACAAAGCAAAAAATAAATAGACTTGAAACATCGAATCAATAAATCAAGATGTATTTCTGAAATATCCCAGGGAAGGAAAATACATGACTAATTCTATTTTTTCTCTTTGTAGTATAATTCTAATACCATTACTAATACTGCCAGTATTACTAGCTAGCATGTGTGGAGCTTGTAGTATGCAATGGACTGTCTATATAGAAACACAATTTATATATTATTTAATGTCTTTCTCATAAAAATTCTATTCTGATATGAAATAGAGAAAGAGCAAGAATCTTGCTGAAAATCAATGACCTGGGAAGTGGTGAGCTGGGATTTTCATCCATAAGTGAATAATATTTAAAGTTCTATAGAGCAGTTTTCTGAGGTTTGACAGAGATAGATAGGGTCAGGAAAGGAGCATGCATGGGGCTTCAAGGATTATGTTTTACTTTGTAGCGTGGCTGGTGGGTAAGTGAGCTCTCATATTTTTAGTCTTCACATTCTAGGCATACACTACAAATAGTTTCTGTATTATTTGTAGATACTCTGTATTCAGTTTGTAATAAGACTATTTAAAAAGGAAAAATTAATATTCCTCTAAGCAACAAGATATGCTCTACTTGGCAGTTTTAATTGACATCATGTGAATTTATAAAGAAAACATAAGTGTGCTCTTTTAATGATAGGTTTGCTAACCCCAAATTTCAGCTTACACCACAGGAAACATTGTAAAATATGAGACGGTATTTTAAGTGCATATTCACAGTTGTGATGGCCTGAAATTCACTTTTGTAAAAACGATATATTAAGCAAATATCACACATAGTTACGTGAGATTTTTTTTTATCATGTGCTGGGGAAAATCTGATTAAAATAATGCAGATTACTATATCAAGATAATCATTCATGATATAGAGATCTTATACTAAATTACCCAATGAAAATATAAGAATTAACTGTTAAATGAAGATATAAATTTAGAACTTATTTAGCTCAACAAAACTGCACAATTACAGCAAGTGCAATAGTTAAAATTAGAGTACATACCATTAAAATCATTTTCTAGTAACAAGTGAACTTGAATGTCATTTCATGTTAACTGAATATTAGTATTTCTTCATCTGTAATGTGCCAGTTTATATGTTTTGCCAATTTTTTTCTATTACATAGTTCTTGATTTTTTTAAATAGGTGTTTGATATGGTTTGGCTGTGTCCCCACCCAAATTTCATCTTGAATTGTAGTTACCATAATTCCCATGTGTTGTGGGAGAGACCTGGTAGGAGGTAACTGAATCATGGGGGCAGGTCTTTCCCATACTGTTCTTGTGGTAGTGAATAAGTCTCATGAGATCTGATGGTTTTATACAAGTTTCCCCTTTTGCTTGGCTTTCATTCTCTTTGCCTGCTGCCATGTAAAATGTGCCTTTGTTCTTCCCTCACCTTCTGCCATGATTGTGAGGCCTCCCCAGCCAGGTGGAACTGTGAGTCCTTTAAACCTCTTTTTCTTTATAAATTACCCAGTCTCGGGTATACCTTTATCAGAAGCATGAAAACAGACTAATACAGTGTTTTGTGTATCTTGAACACTGTTATCCAAAAATCTTCCTCATGATCATTCTGAGATTTACAGCATCTTTCTGAGGCTCTGGCTCATCTGTTTTCTAGATCTCATGTCTTCTCTTTCTTGGGTTACACTCTCATCTGAGAAGTTCATACTCCCTTGAGGCTTCCTGGAGGGAGGAGTTTGATAGAAAAATATCTGAGAATATACATGCATGAAAATGCCCTAATTCTCATATTCTTTTAACTTTGACATCAGAATGAAAATGTCTAGATTGGAAATCCAAATTCCATTTTCTTTGCAACCTGAATGATCTAGGATATCAAATCTAAATTAACTATTATGTATCCCTTTGTCCAATTGAAATTGTTCAAGAAAGGGCATGTTACTCCAAACAGACATAATTAGAAAAAGAGAAAAGTGCATTAGGAATTTCTAGAAAGCATGGTTTTTCTTTTCCAGTAATTGATGGATGCCAGCCTTCTCCATCCCTCTGAATAGTGTGCTGTGCAGAGTGAATTTCTCTGGCCATTTTCCCTTGAGGGACTTGAAATCATGGAAGGCAGAGCTCACAGGAAAGAAAGTACCAGCTCATCAGTGAGTCAGTGAATAAACACAACCCTGAAACCTATTTTGTGTCTGGACTATCTAATAATGCAAACCAATAAATGTCCCTTATTATTTAAGTTGATATCAATTGTGCTGTGTGTTAATTTACACACAGAGAATCCTAAGTAATGCATTGGGCATTACTATTTATTCTAGGAAGAAGCTGATATTTGATTGCCCAAATCTCTATCATTTACAAGGGTTATTTTTAAGATGATAATCTAATTAGAGTAATGGTTTCAAGTAGAATGGAATGGGTAAAAGAAAGAAATTAGTAACCGTGGTATCTAGCCAGTAGAACATAGACTCAGACTTTGAGTCAAGTTGAGCATCCTAAATATTTAAGCTATTTAAGACTCTCAGAATGCCATGGAAAAATGATTGTCTGAGTGGTAGAATATTTGTCATCACCAGATATTCTCGGCTAAAAGTGGGTTGGCCAATAATCAAAATGTAACATTTCTGGAGCAATTTGTTGTTCATAAATTTTAGAAGATATTTTTGCTGTGGGCACTATTTTTTTTTTTTTTGAGACAGAGTCTCTCTCTGTCACCAGGCTGGAGTGTAGTGGCACAATCTCGGCTCACTGCAACCTCTGCCTCCCGGGTTCAAGAGATTCTCCTACCTCAGCCTCCTGAGTAGCTGGGATTACAGGTACCCGCCACCAGGCCCAGCTAATTTTTGTATTTTTAGTAGAGACATGGTTTCACCATGTTGGCCAGGATGGTCTAGATATCCTGACCTAGTGATCTATCCACCTCAGCCTCCCAAAGTGCTGGCATTACAGGCATGAGCCACCACGCCCGTCCATGGCCACTCATTTTAAAGCTCTCTTGGACTTGTGGTGTGTTTTAAAAGAACTTGGCGGAGGAGCCAAGATGGCCGAATAGGAACAGCTCCGGTCTACAGCTCCCAGCGTGAGCGACGCAGAAGACGGGTGATTTCTGCATTTCCATCTGAGGTACCGGGTTCATCTCACTAGGGAGTGCCAGACAGTGGGTGCAGGTCAGTGTGTGCGCGCACCCTGCGCGAGCCGAAGCAGGGCGAGGCATTGCCTCACCTGGGAAGCGCAAGGGGTCAGGGAGTTCCCTTTCCGAGTCAAAGAAAGGGGTGACGGACGCACCTGGAAAATCGGGTCACTCCCACCCGAATATTGCGCTTTTCAGACCGGCTTAAGAAATGGCGCACCACGAGACTATATCCCGCACCTGGCTCAGAGGGTCCTACGCCCACGGAGTCTCGCTGATTGCTAGCACAGCAGTCTGAGATCAAACTGCAAGGCGGCAGCGAGGCTGGGGGAGGGGCGCCCGCCATTGCCCAGGCTTGCTTAGGTAAACAAAGCAGCTGGGAAGCTCGAACTGGGTGGAGCCCACCACAGCTCAAGGAGGCCTGCCTGCCTCTGTAGGCTCCACCTCTGGGGGCAGGGCACAGACAAACAAAAAGACAGCAGTAACCTCTGCAGACTTAAGTGTCCCTGTCTGACAGCTTTGAAGAGAGCAGTGGTTCTCCCAGCACGCAGCTGGAGATCTGAGAACGGGCAGACTGCCTCCTCAAGTGGGTCCCTGACCCCTGACCCCCGAGCAGCCTAACTGGGAGGCACCCCCCAGCAGGGGCACACTGACACCTCACACAGCAGGGTATTCCAACAGACCTGCAGCTGAGGGTCCTGTCTGTTAGAAGGAAAACTAACAACCAGAAAGGACATCTACACCGAAAACCCATCTGTACATCACCATCATCAAAGACAAAAAGTAGATAAAACCACAAAGATGGGGAAAAAACAGAACAGAAAAACTGGAAACTCTAAAACGCAGAGCGCCTCTCCTCCTCCAAAGGAACGCAGTTCCTCACCAGCAACAGAACAAAGCTGGATGGAGAATGATTTTGACCAGCTGAGAGAAGAAGGCTTCAGACGATCAAATTACTCTGAGCTACGGGAGGACATTCAAACCAAAGGCAAAGAAGTTGAAAACTTTGAAAAAAATTTAGAAGAATGTATAACTAGAATAACCAATACAGAGAAGTGCTTAAAGGAGCTGATGGAGCTGAAAACCAAGGCTCGAGAACTACGTGAAGAATGCAGAAGCCTCAGGAGCCGATGCGATCAACTGGAAGAAAGGGTATCAGCAATGGAAGATGAAATGAATGAAATGAAGCGAGAAGGGAAGTTTAGAGAAAAAAGAATAAAAAGAAATGAGCAAAGCCTCCAAGAAATATGGGACTATGTGAAAAGACCAAATCTACGTCTGATTGGTGTACCTGAAAGTGATGTGGAGAATGGAACCAAGTTGGAAAACACTCTGCAGGATATTATCCAGGAGAACTTCCCCAATCTAGCAAGGCAGGCCAACGTTCAGATTCAGGAAATACAGAGAACGCCACAAAGATACTCCTCGAGAAGAGCAACTCCAAGACACATAATTGTCAGATTCACCAAAGTTGAAATGAAGGAAAAAATGTTAAGGGCAGCCAGAGAGAAAGGTCGGGTTACCCTCAAAGGAAAGCCCATCAGACTAACAGCGGATCTCTCGGCAGAAACCCTACAAGCCAGAAGAGAGTGGGGGCCAATATTCAACATTCTTAAAGAAAAGAATTTTCAACCCAGAATTTCATATCCAGCCAAACTAAGCTTCATAAGTGAAGGAGAAATAAAATACTTTATAGACAAGCAAATGCTGAGAGATTTTGTCACCACCAGGCCTGCCCTAAAAGAGCTCCTGAAGGAAGCGCTAAACATGGAAAGGAACAACCGGTACCAGCCACTGCAAAATCATGCCAAAATGTAAAGACCATCGAGACTAGGAAGAAACTGCATCAACTAACGAGCAAAATCACCAGCTAACATCATAACGACAGGATCAAATTCACACATAACAATATTAACTTTAAATATAAATGGACTAAATTCTGCAATTAAAAGACACAGACTGGCAAGTTGGATAAAGAGTCAAGACCCATCAGTGTGCTGTATTCAGGAAACCCATCTCACGTGCAGAGACACACATAGGCTCAAAATAAAAGGATGGAGGAAGATCTACCAAGCCAATGGAAAACAAAAAAAGGCAGGGGTTGCAATCCTAGTCTCTGATAAAACAGACTTTAAACCAACAAAGATCAAAAGAGACAAAGAAGGCCATTACATAATGGTAAAGGGATCAATTCAACAAGAGGAGCTAACTATCCTAAATATTTATGCACCCAATACAGGAGCACCCAGATTCATAAAGCAAGTCCTGAGTGACCTACAAAGAGACTTAGACTCCCACACATTAATAATGGGAGACTTTAACACCCCACTGTCAACATTAGACAGATCAACGAGACAGAAAGTCAACAAGGATACCCAGGAATTGAACTCAGCCCTGCACCAAGCAGACCTAATAGACATCTACAGAACTCTCCACCCCAAATCAACAGAATATACATTTTTTTCAGCACCACACCACACCTATTCCAAAATTGATCACATAGTTGGAAGTAAAGCTCTCCTCAGCAAATGTAAAAGAACAGAAATTATAACAAACTATCTCTCAGACCACAGTGCAATCAAACTAGAACTCAGGATTAAGAATCTCACTCAAAGCCGCTCAACTACATGGAAACTGAACAACCTGCTCCTGAATGACTACTGGGTACATAACGAAATGAAGGCAGAAATAAAGATGTTCTTTGAAACCAACGAGAACAAAGACACCACATACCAGAATCTCTGGGACGCATTCAAAGCAGTGTGTAGAGGGAAATTTATAGCACTAAATGCCTACAAGAGAAAGCAGGAAAGATCCAAAATTGACACCCTAACATCACAATTAAAAGAACTAGAAAAGCAAGAGCAAACACATTCAGAAGCTAGCAGAAGGCAAGAAATAACTAAAATCAGAGCAGAACTGAAGGAAATAGAGACACAAAAAACCCTTCAAAAAATCAATGAATCCAGGAGCTGGTTTTTTGAAAGGATCAACAAAATTGATAGACCGCTAGCAAGACTAATAAAGAAAAAAAGAGAGAAGAATCAAATAGACACAATAAAAAATGATAAAGGGGATATCACCACCGATCCCACAGAAATACAAACTACCATCAGAGAATACTACAAACACCTCTACGCAAATAAACTAGAAAATCTAGAAGAAATGGATACATTCCTTGACACATACACTCTCCCAAGACTAAACCAGGAAGAAGTTGAATCTCTGAATAGACCAATAACAGGCTCTGAAATTGTGGCAATAATCAATAGTTTACCAACCAAAAAGAGTCCAGGACCAGATGGATTCACAGCCGAATTCTACCAGAGGTACAAGGAGGAACTGGTACCATTCCTTCTGAAACTATTCCAATCAATAGAAAAAGAGGGAATCCTCCCTAACTCATTTTATGAGGCCAGCATCATTCTGATACCAAAGCCGGGCAGAGACACAACCAAAAAAGAGAATTTTAGACCAATATCCTTGATGAACATTGATGCAAAAATCCTCAATAAAATACTGGCAAACCGAATCCAGCAGCACATCAAAAAGCTTATCCACCATGATCAAGTGGGCTTCATCCCTGGGATGCAAGGCTGGTTCAATATACGCAAATCAATAAATGTAATCCAGCATATAAACAGAGCCAAAGACAAAAACCACATGATTATCTCAATAGATGCAGAAAAAGCCTTTGACAAAATTCAACAACCCTTCATGCTAAAAACTCTCAATAAATTAGGTATTGATGGGACGTATTTCAAAATAATAAGAGCTATCTATGACAAACCCACAGCCAATATCATACTGAATGGGCAAAAACTGGAAGCATTCCCTTTGAAAACTGGCACAAGACAGGGATGCCCTCTCTCACCACTCCTATTCAACATAGTGTTGGAAGTTCTGGCCAGGGCAATCAGGCAGCAGAAGGAAATACAGGGTATTCAATTAGGAAAAGAGGAAGTCAAATTGTCCCTGTTTGCAGACGACATGATTGTTTATCTAGAAAACCCCATCGTCTCAGCCCAAAATCTCCTTAAGCTGATAAGCAACTTCAGCAAAGTCTCAGGATACAAAATCAATGTACAAAAATCACAAGCATTCTTATACACCAACAACAGACAAACAGAGAGCCAAATCATGAGTGAACTCCCATTCACAATTGCTTCAAAGAGAATAAAATACCTAGGAATCCAACTTACAAGGGATGTGCAGGACCTCTTCAAGGAGAACTACAAACCACTGCTCAAGGAAATAAAAGAGGACACAAACAAATGGAAGAACATTCCATGCTCATGGGTAGGAAGAATCAATATCGTGAAAATGGCCATACTGCCCAAGGTAATTTACAGATTCAATGCCATCCCCATCAAGCTACCAATGACTTTCTTCACAGAATTGGAAAAAACTACTTTAAAGTTCATATGGAACCAAAAAAGAGCCCGCATCGCCAAGTCAATCCTAAGCCAAAAGAACAAAGCTGGAGGCATCACACTACCTGACTTCAAACTATACTACAAGGCTACAGTAACCAAAACAGCATGGTACTGGTACCAAAACAGAGATATAGATCAATGGAACAGAACAGAGCCCTCAGAAATAATGCCGCATATCTACAACTATCTGATCTTTGACAAACCTGAGAAAAACAAGCAATGGGGAAAGGATTCCCTATTTAATAAATGGTGCTGGGAAAACTGGCTAGCCATATGTAGAAAGCTGAAACTGGATCCCTTCCTTACACCTTACACAAAAATCAATTCAAGATGGATTAAAGATTTAAACGTTAGACCTCAAACCATAAAAACCCTAGAAGAAAACCTAGGCATTACCATTCAGGACATAGGCGTGGGCAAGGACTTCATGTCCAAAACACCAAAAGCAATGGCAGCAAAAGACAAAATTGACAAATGGGATCTAATTAAACTCAAGAGCTTCTGCACAGCAAAAGAAACTACCATCAGAGTGAACAGGCAACCTACAACATGGGAGAAAATTTTTGCAACCTACTCATCTGACAAAGGGCTAATATCCAGAATCTACAATGAACTCAAACAAATTTACAAGAAAAAAACAAACAACCCCATCAAAAAGTGGGCAAAGGACATGAACAGACACTTCTCAAAAGAAGACATTTATGCAGCCAAAAAACACATGAAGAAATGCTCATCATCACTGGCCATCAGAGAAATGCAAATCAAAACCACTATGAGATATCATCTCACACCAGTTAGAATGGCAATCATTAAAAAGTCAGGAAACAACAGGTGCTGGAGAGGATGTGGAGAAATAGGAACACTTTTACACTGTTGGTGGGACTGTAAACTAGTTCAACCATTGTGGAAGTCAGTGTGGCGATTCCTCAGGGATCTAGAACTAGAAATACCATTTGACCCAGACATCCCATTACTGGGTATATACCCAAAGGACTATAAATCATGCTGCTATAAAGACACATGCACACGTATGTTTATTGTGGCACTATTCACAATAGCAAAGACTTGGAACCAACCCAAATGTCCAACAATGATAGACTGGATTAAGAAAATGTGGCACATATACACCATGGAATACTATGCAGCCATAAAAAATGATGAGTTCATGTCCTTTGTAGGGACATGGATGAAATTGGAAACCATCATTCTCAGTAAACTATCGCAAGAACAAAAAACCAAACACTGCATATTCTCACTCATAGGTGGGAATTGAACAATGAGATCACATGGACACAGGAAGGGGAATATCACACTCTGGGGACTGTGGTGGGGTCGGGGGAGGGGGGAGGGATAGCATTGGGAGATATACCTAAGGCTAGATGACGAGTTAGTGGGTGCAGCACACCAGCATGTCACATGTATACATATGTAACTAACCTGCACAATGTGCACATGTACTCTAAAACTTAGAGTATAATAAAAAAAAAAAATTAAAAAAAAATAAAAATAAAAATAAAAATAAATAAAAAAAAATAAAAAAAAATAAAAGAACTTGGCAAGTAATATAGCATCAATCAAACTATTAACATTAAGTAACATCCTGGAACAAGCCTGACTTAAGACAAAGAGATGGAAAAATTTATTGCATAATTGACATATATTGACTTTTTAAAATTATCCTAATAACTACCTCCCTGGGAATTGCATACAACCAAAGGGTGAGAGGATGTTCCTGATAATATCTTATCTGTAGACTTATTTTTTTCTCATATTCTACAATTTTTAACATCAACCATAGGTTTAGCATTTGGCATTCAAAAACAAGTATATGTATTTGGAGAGATAAATATATCTATATATGTGTGTATATATAGTATGTATAGATATACACATATATGCACATACACAGCTCATGTAAATTTCTCTAAAATATCTAGAGATAAATATATCTATATATGTGTGTATATATATAGTATGTATAGATATACACACATATATGCACATACACAGCTTATGTAAAATAAAGACAATAAATATCAAGTATATATATGCTTGTGTTTTTGTGATGGTTCTGTGAATGTATTACAAGTTCAAGTAGAATGGATAATAAATTTCTATGAGTAAAAGGAGTCAAGTTTGATGACATTGAAGATGATACTTTGAGATTTATTTTTAATTTATTAGTATTTAATTTTATCTGAGAATGTCTTCATGTACGCCATACATAAAAATTTATGCCATCTATAAACAAAAAAAAAATTTACACAGTGTATAAACAACAACAAAAAATGTATGCCATGTATAAACAAAACCATTACAGCTCACTGCAGCCTCAAACTCCTGGACTCAAGTGAACCGCCCAACCTCAGCCTCCCAAGTAGCTAAGACTATGGTCATGTGCCACTAGCCTGGCTAATTAAAAAAAAATTGTAGAGGTGGTGGTCTCACTATGTTTCCCAGGCTGGTGTTGAACTCCTGGTATCAAGCCATCTTCCTGCCTTAGCCCCTCAAAGTTCTGGGCTTACAGGTTTGTACCACTGTGCCTGGAGAAGTTTCCTATTAATGGTATTTTTCTATTGCATATGTATACAATTATTATCCGTCAGTGTTTACAGGTAGTCATTTCATGTAATTCTCACAAAAGCCTTGGTATGTATTCTTATGTCACAATAGATTAAAATCTATGGGGACTTTCCCAAGCTGCACAAACATCAAGCATAATCCTGGGAACTTTTATCCAAGGCTTTAGGTTCAAGCTCATTGCCCTGTTAAATTTACCACACTCCAATGCTACAAAAGGAATTTTACACATTACATATGGAATGAGAGATGTAGATCACCTTATGACCTGGATGATTGTACAACATGCTTCTCTAGATCCTTAGAATGAGATGAGACGTGGCACTTGCAAAAGATTCCCATGCCCTCTTTGGCAAAGTGCTGAGCTGCTATCTAACTTCTAGTATATATGCTCCTGTTGGTATGACAGGAATAGAAACAAGTGCACATACACTGAAGGAAATTGAATTATTGAAAAATGTGACAAGCTCAAAGCAAAATTTTCAGGTTGAATCACGACATGCTAATCATTTACAAGAGTGTCTACAACAAAAGTTATAGTTTAATCATTAGTAAGCCATAGCAGAACCGAAATAGTATTTTAGTTTAGCAGGGTGAATGTTTAGGAAGTAAGCCTTTAAAATTTTGAAGTCAACATTTTAATATAATTTGAATAAGTGTTACAACCTAAATGAAATGATTAATTCTATATCTTGCTCAATAGCTGATTCTTTCTCAATGCTAAATATAAAATTTTCAAGTTGATTATTTTTGGAGGATTATGGTATTTATATATATAACATAAACATATGTTTCACATTCTTAGTGGTTTTTTTGTTTTGTTTTTTGTTTTTTTTTTTTAAGACAGAGTCTTGCTCTGTCGCCCAGGCTGGAGTGCAGTGGTGCCTCGGCTCACTGCAATCTCCACCTCCCGGGTTCATGCCATTCTCCTGCCTCAGCCTCCCGAGTAGCTGGAACTACAGGCGCCTGCCACTACGCCTGGCTAATTTTTTGTATTTTTAGTGGAGACGGGGTTTCACCATGTTAGCTAGGATGGTCTCGATCTTCTAACCTCATGATCCGCCACCTCGGCCTCCCAAAGTGCTGGGATTACAAGCCTGAGCCACCGCGCCCGGCCCTCTTTACTTCTAATTTGAATCAGTTTTGTATTTTGTGCAGGCAAAATAATGTGTAATATGCATTATAACATTTCCCAGAAATATGCCTATGGCTTTCTCAGTAACTCACAGTAAGAATGGTAATGCAACATACACATACAAAGGAGGGAACACTCTTTATTGACAGATTTATTTTTAACATTGAGAATGACACTGAAAACAGAATATCTTGGAAATTTCCTCATAGTTTAACAAACAATAAAATTATAAAAAGTGTCCAATCCTTATTTTATGAATGAGAGCTTTATGTTTATTTCACATGGACCTATAGAAGGCTGTAAAAAAAAGTCAGCATTATATCAGTTGCCAGTGCTATATATTTTATTTCTTATGACTTTGATTTCCTATATGTTTTGTTTCAAAAAGTAAAATGGAACTAAATTTTCTAATACTTACACTTAAAATAGTAATTTCTTGTGCTAAAAATAGCAATAATACTTGTACTGAAAACAGTAATGTTAAAAATAACAATATTTTAATAGATGTTTATATGTAATAGGTAATACACTAAAATATTTGTGTATTATCACTTAATTATATAATCGATAATGACTTTTAAATTACAAATATTTTCTTGATCAATATAAATTCAAAACCCTATAAAAAGAAACAGGTACTGCCAACCTTTTAAGTCTTTATTATTGTATAATTTAACCTATACAGTCTAGTAGTCATCATGTTCTTTTCCAAGTTGCACTTTGAAGATTATTTCTCCTGTGTTCCTTAATCTAAGTAGCAAATACTTTTAATACACATGGAATCAGAATATGTCTTTGCTTTCCTTAGATTTTCAGAAGCTCTTCTGAATTTCTCACAGATTAAATTAAATATCCTTTTCCACTGAAGAAATAGGTTTTTAAGAACAGATTTTTAATGTTCTTTTTTGTTTTGTGGGTCTCGCTCTGGCTGGAGCTCAGTGGCGTGATCTTGGCAACCTCCGCCTCTTGGGAGGGAATGTGATTCCCACCATATAAACCACTTTCCGAAGAATAACTCGGTCCCTGAATGAATTTGGTTCTCACGTATCTCTTTATTACCAGAACGTTTTCGGTTTTAATTCTGTTCTTGAAAGATTATTATTATTCTTTTAGTTCATAGCAATATGTTTCTTAAGAAAGAAAATGGGCGCTTTATCTAACTAGAAGGGAGCAAGACCAAAGAAAAGAAGTTGCCAGACTGTGTGATTTCTTTCACCTTCTCTGAGCTCTGCACAGAAGTTTTTACCCTTGCTTTAAGTTATCAGAGCTAACAGAACAAATTTTTAAATAGTCTCTCTCCAGCTGTCTCCTTGTTTGAGTCCCTGGATGATTTCTCTATGTGAAATTGTCTTTCATCTTTTTTCAGGTGAAAAGTTTACTTATAGGTTTTCCACAAATGAAACCAACTAAAATCTCCTAAGCTCAGAAATGAAGCTCAGAGTCTTTGAAGGAGGCTGGCTCATCAGAGCTGCTCAGCTGCAGAGCATACACTGAGGCTCTGCCACCTACCACTTGAACAAGGGGCAGGTTCCAATTAAAAAGAAGCCAAGCAGGTAGGATGTACATAGGCAACGAGATACCTAATGCTTCATCTTTGCCAAATAGACACAGTCTGGCCAATGAAACATGTCAGATGGAACTATGAGACTTGTTTTCACAGGTTATCAGGGCATATTGAGCCAGAACTAACACATGTGACCTATTTTGTCTGTGGTACCCTGGATTCTTATTTCACTCCTATCTGAATTGGCATGGCCCTCTTTTCCCATAAGACTTCTTCCAGCTTATCAATGCACTCGTCATTTTTTCTTTCCTATTATAACCTGTTATTTGTTAAAAAAAAAAAAGTGGCATTTATTCATTTACTTTAGGATGAAAATTATGGATAAGGCTTAATCTCTTTTATGACTATTTGCCATTTTGTATGCTACAGAATCTAAGGCCAAAGTAAAACATATTGAAATGATAAACTATGTGGCAACAGCAACAAAGAGAAGAATAGTATTTGGAAAGTTAGTGAATCCTGAATGTCCTCAACATTTAAGATTTATTTATTCTATACATAAATCATATACACAATAGTGCAAAGTAGGGGTGTGTGTTATGTATATGTGTGTGTGGTAGTGATGGTAGTGGTGTTATGCAAGAAGAGCAGCATTTGTCAATTTCTTTTGGTAAAAATAGTCCTAATACTCTGATAAGATAAACAAGCGGTGTCAGTTAGTTTCCTTGTCTCTCTACATTACTGTTCATTGACTTTCATCCCAGACAGTGTGACATATTACACCTCATAAATGACCTACCCACTGAAAGCATCTAGAACTGCTCAATAAAATATTTTTAAAGTTTTTTAGAAGAAAAGCCGATATGGCAAGGAAATAAGAAATTCTAAATGGTTAAAAACAAAGAAAGTAGGAAACTTGGAAGGTGAACGGGAGGCAAGTATGTTTTGAAGTTGGCTTTTGCCCTGAGGGTTTCTGCCAAATGCTTGTGCAGCAATTACTTAGGGTCACATAATTGAAAGGGCTTGCGATACTCCATAGGGTATACACACATAAGGCTTTAATAAAGGTAAAATATATGGTTCAGCAGAGAAGAAAAGTCAAAGGCAAACATCACAGAGGTCCAAGACTTATAGACACAGCTCCTAGGGACTGTCCTTAGTTGCACAACTCAAACACACTTGGTCTTCAGATCATTAATCACCACAAAGTGGGAGGAACCTAAGTCTCAGGGGAAACTGTGTCTCATCAGAGGAAAACCCCAACCAGTGTGCATTAATGTGCTCAATAGCAGACGCCAAGAGAACAAAACAGCAATCCAGTGCAAACTATCAGCCTGTTCATATTTTATAAACAATGCTGATAAACTGATGTCAAGTTGCCTCCCAGTCTGTCTCACATCCTAGCACAGGACTACACTAATCATTAGTTAGTACAATGTATTCAGGCTTGGCTAAGTTTCCCAGAAAGCTCCAGGCAATCTGGATGTAAGCACAGGGTTGCAATATATTAGCTGAGATTAATCCTACACTTACACAAATCACAACTTTTTGAGGGACCTATGGAATTGAAGAGGTGGAAGGTAGTAAAGTCTTGGGCTCCACAAAGTTGGCAAGGAATCTAATGGGAAAAAAAAATGTGTTTTTACATGAAATTCCAAATGCTATATTCCCATTGTAAAGATGAAATAGAACTTGACATACAAAAAAAAAAAAAAAAAACACAGCCAAAAAGAAAAAAGTTTTTATCTCAACCTGGGTGTTTGACCGAAAAGGAAAGGTCTTTGTTGAGGACTCCTAATTTCAGGACTCTCATGTGAATTCATGGTCTAAATTAGGTGAAATGAATTAGATTAAATACAAGAATCATTATTGAATACAACAATCAAAATATAAATTCTACAGTTCATGAGCTCTAAAATCACAAAGCACATAAAGATACAAAGAACAACAAACGTTTGGCCAGCAGAAAAGCAGCAGCAAACATAAAATATGTCAGACACAGATGCAAAGTAAATATGTCTGTCAAATTTTGTTTAAAGAAACAAAACATAGCTACTATTTTAAAAATAAAACAATGAAAAATAAAATGGCACACCATATTATGGATTAAAAAATATAAAAGTGTCTAAAAAAAGGAGATAGAAAAAAATAATCAAGGGAATTGGGAGAGTGAAAATACACCTTCATATGGGGGAGAAGATTTCAAGGGAAAAATAATATTCCAGGATAGATGAGGAATTTTCTCATATTTGGACATCCTAATGAATTCCAAACAGATTAAATAAAAGCAAATGTATATTATGGAAATGTAGGTGGCCAACAAGATATTTTCTAAAAAGACAAAACGTTGATTATCTAAGAAGGGAAGAAAGGACACTGATAGCCTAACTTTTTAGTGTGATAATGGAGGCCAAAATAAAATCATAAAAATATATTTGATAGGCTGTGACAAAATGACTCTGATATAGACTTGTATGCCAGCAAAACTGTCTTTCAGAAATGAGGTTAAATTTTTAACAGTTCAGATAAGCAAAAATTGAAAAAAGATTGCTACCACTAGATACAAAAGCTTGTAAAGAATGAATTTTAGTGCCTCTACCACCCCCCAGAAAAAAGATCCGAACGGAATTGTTGAAATGCAAAATATAAGTTAGTAAAGATATCAATAACTGTATTGGTCAATCAAAATATTAATTTATCAGATCTATCAAATTTAGTTAAAAAGCTAAGACAACTAAAACATGTGATATATTGAAATACACAGTATATCTAAGTTGGGGAAATTTGCAACTAGAAGGAGTTCAGAGAATTTCACAGATACATCATTGTTCTATTACCGAAGTCTAGATGGTGCGTATTTAATGTTAGCTCTCTTAACAAAACATTTCCTAATAAACATATAGGTTATACACATGTTGAGGTTGTGTAGCTAACAAATTTAAAATAATGTATTTTGTTAGTCTTAGCTGATCCTTTTTCCTGCTTCCTATTCTTAGAACCTTTGCTTCTTATTTTTGTTCCTAACAATCAATTGAAAAAAAAAATTAAAAAGCAGGTATAGGGGAGTCTGCTCAAGTAAAAATATTTCCATGGCTTTCTTACCAATATTTCACTTCTGTTGTAGGGTCAAAGACTTTTATTCTCATAACGCCGCGAGGAGACAATATATATTTTTTTAATTCACGCCGATGTGGAAATGACTTGTCATTTATCTTCTCCACAGAATGGGTTTGATTTAGAGAAGAAAAGCATGATTTTTCTAAATGTCTTAAAGGAAGTTAGAGACCAAAGGCAGTTAAGTAGTAGGAGGTGGGGCGGGTTAGAAGAGGGAGGAAGGGATAGAAAATGAAAACAATTTTGCCTAGGAGGCAAACTCTTTTCAAATGTTGGCCTGGAGATTACTTGATCTACAATCTTAAAAACCTGATAGCCACTGAACCTCAAAGCCGTGCATGCTAGGTTCTCAGGAATGAAGCTTGTATATTATCCTAATATAATCTTTGTCTCGGTCAAATAACAGAGAAACCCTACTTTTAATGCCTTGACTCAAAGAGAAATAATCTTTCCAATCAGTGTTTTTTCATAGCAGGTAATGTCATTGTATCACATAAGTACCAGGAGTATCAGTGATTCTCTTTGCATATTATAGACTGTTAAAGCATTCTTTGCTTGTCAAATCTAAATAGTGTCATAGTACTGTCACCACATATTATTAATTTACCTTTCAACAAGACAAAGGTACCATATTTACTAAACACAAAGCTAAACTGAGTTTTTTTTTTTTTTGCAACCCAGATAAATATATCACTGCCATTTAGCAATCATCTGTGTTCAGTTGAACTTTTTCCAGCACTACTAGAAAGTTAAAGGATGGTGAAAATAGAGAGACAGTTCACTGACTTCCCAAGCATATATCTATACCACTTTAATCTTGCACATAAAAGGTCAAGCATAAAATTATTTTCTTGGAGCAGCTGTCCTCAGAGATTTGAATTAACATAGATGGAGAGTACCACGGGGAAAAAAAAGTTAATTTTATCTTAATTGGATTAAGCCAGGTCCCATCCATACTGAGGGAATGAGGTTACAAAAGACTAGAAACTGCTAGGTTGACAGAAAGGGATTAATTCATGGGCTAGCGTCAGGATGTTGACTAATAACATATTGATCGTATCTGTAACATATGCAGAATGTCTGTCAGGAGCAGATGCACTTTGGAATTGAAGATGGCTAGGATATCTGACACGATCAAAGTCAGATTAATATTATTAAGGAGCTGCAAGTGAGCTGCCAATTACCTTAGCAATCACAGACATTTTCTACACGTGCCTGTGATTGACCGTCCTAAACAGTAGCAGTACTTGCTGCTTAGAGGGAAGTGACAGATTTGTGTAGCTGCTTCTCCCTCTGCCCCTTCTTTCCTTTAATGTGTTCCATCAGACATATGGAACGGTCACAGTTTAATCCCAGTGGAGCCTGCAGGTGGTATTGTCCTTGCATTGAAGAGTTATTAAATTCTTAAGGTCACCATAAAAAAGGCTCCATTAAATTGAGTTAATAAAAACATTGAGCAAAGGTTTGCAAAGAGCACAAATGTCAAAGCTATGGGAATTGGAATCTATCATAATATCAGACTAAAATAATAATTTAAATCATACTATAATATAAAGATAAAACTTCTGCATTATTTTAAAATATATGAAATGTTTGTACCTAATACACATGTGTATATGTGAATACTTATATGAAACACCCATTTCTTTAGTTTTTTTGGTTTTTTACATTTCACTTTTTTTTCAGTTGAGACTGACTGTTTAAAAACTGACATAGCAAGAAAATAGTACCCTGATAGTGAATACCCAGTGAATTTTTTGGATGTTTTTGTGTATGTGAAAACTCTTTTTTTAAGAAAACATAGATAAAAGAAGGAAAACATGGCACTTGATTTAGGATGACTTTTGTACTTGCCTAAATGGAGTATGTGAATGTGGATTAGGAAACAGTGTTTAGTACTTAGGTGGAAAGTTGCAGCTACTGAGATTCTTCGTTTTACATCCTATACACAAGACTATGCTAATGGCATAAAAAGTATGGAAATCCAGTTATGCCCCACGCACACCACTTGCCTGCGGTTTGCAACAGGCTGTTTCCTTTCCACATTTCATGGAAGAGGAAGTAGGATACATTAGTTTGACAGTACTGTGATAAACATTCTAAAAACTGCTTGTTACCAAATCTTTCCACATATTAAATTTTAATATTCTAAATTTTCAGGAAAAAGTAAAAAGGACTCTTACAGAGATTCATAACTTGTAGCTTTCTAGAATGAATTTACCAAACTCATTTTATGACCTGCTCAAGAAGTAACCACTATTTCTTAACTAAAATCTCATGTACTGTTTTTTTCTGGAGCACAAGCATGTCCAAATACTCTATCTTCCTAGGGTTCATTGCAATTTTTAATAATATGACTATGTTCTCCTTTGGGGATATCTCCACATTTGTGAGGCTCCGTGTAATATGAAAATATGTAGAGTTGGGAATGGAGAAGAGGATGTGTTGAAGAAGCAGGAAAAAAAAGCTCCATTAAAGGTACTGTTAATAATTTATAAGGCTTTCATTTATCTGTTTCTTCCTCTCAACTTATCACATATTTGTATTTGCTAATTAGTGTCTTTTAAGAAAAAAAATAAACAAGATTATTATTATGTCTTGTGACAGGGCCTCACTCTGTCACCAAAGCTGGAGTGCAGTGGCACAAACACAGCTCACTGCATCCTGGACATCCTGGGCTCAAGCAATTCTCCTGCCTCAACCTCCCAAATAGCTAGGACTACAGGCATATGACACCATGCCTGGCTATTTTATTATTATATTTGTAGAAACAGGGTCTTACCTTGTTGCCCAGGCTGGTCTCCAATTCCTGGTCTCAAGCAATCCTCTCACCTTGGCCTCCCAAGTTGCTGGGTTTACAGGCATGAGCCACTATACTCAGCTATAACAATTTTAATTATTAATATTAATTTTTCTGTTTACATTCATTTTGTTCAACTCCAGCTTTCAATGTAAGTATTAGGGCATTTAATGCTTATGAAGAATAACAGAAATTACAAAATTCATGTTTCATAGTCTATACATATGTATTTCATTATTATCAGAACAGTGGAAACACTTCACAAAATCAACTCAACTGCTTTTTTTTTCACTTCTTGATAAACATGCATACTCTCAATGCTCTCTATTTTTGGCTTACTGATGAGTAAAAAAGGACTGAAATGAAAAGAAACTATAGGTTGCTTTTTTACTTCCCCTTCCTTTCATCTTCAGTGTAAGTGAATACAAGGAAGTAAAACTGGTAAGAAAGGATAAGGTAGACTTGCTTGTTGTTCCTGTTTCTTGAAACACCATAGCCTTCATTCTGCATATCAAGAAAGTCCTGGTTCAATAGAAAAGTTTCTCAGGGCTGAGTGCTCCCACTTAAATCAGTCTCAGAACTACATGTTAACCTTGCTCTTGCCCTGAGTCTTGCTGAATTCCCATCCGCCCAGGGTCCATTGTAATTGTGTGCTCATGGAATGTTGCACAATTTATCTGTAAATGGTGCAGCAAGAAACAGTAGACACACATATTATGTTTATCTCCTCTGCTCACATGCATGCTCAATTTTCCCAAGAGCATGCAAAAAGAGTCCAAAAATTTAAGAATTTCAAAAAAGTGACAGAAGAGCATTAATTCCAGCATGGGGCCCTTCTAAGTGTAGGTTCCTTTGGCACTGCATAGGTCACATGCCCATAAAGCTGCTCTTGTTTTTATTAAAATAATGTGAGTGGAAGTGATACACGCATTTTAGCCTAAGTCTTAAGACATTAGGCAAGCTTCCATGAAATTTTGCTCCTTTCACTGAGGTGGCAGGAAAGTAGACTAGACAGACATGGCATTGTACATGCAGATGAATATAAGTCTTAAGGAATAACAAGCAGGAAATAAAAATATAAACCTAAGCACTTTGGCCGGGTATGGTGGCTCATGTCTGTAACCCCAGCACTTTGGGAGGCCGAGGTGGGTGGATCACTTGAGGTCAGGAGTTCGAGAGCAGCCTGGCCAACATGATGAAACTCTGTCTCTACTAAAAAAAAAAAAAAAAAAAATACAAAAACTAGCCGTGTGTGGTGGCACGTATCTGTAGTCCCAGCTACTCTCGAAGCTGAGGCAAGAGAATTGCTTGAACCCGGGAGGTGGAGGTTGCAGTGAGCTGAGATGTTGCCATTGCACTCCAGCCTGGGTGACAGAGTGAGACTCTGTAAAATAAGTAAATAAATAAAAATAATAAGCCTAAGTACTTGAATAACCATAATGAACAGAGCTGGCCACCCTAAAAAAGTGACATATTGCCATTTGCCATAAAATGAATGAAACTGGAGGGCACTATGCTAAGTGAAATAAGCCAGGTGTAAAAAGAAAAATATTTCATGATCTCTCACTTATATGTGGAATCTGAAACATAAATCAAATATACAAACATAGAGAAAAGAACAGTGGCTACCTGGGCAGGATTGGGGTGGGACTGTAGCAAATGGGGAAGTGTCGGTCAGAGGATAAAAAGTAGCAGATATGTAGGATGAACAAGATTAGAGACCTAAGGTACAATACAAGGAGTCTAAGTAATAAAATTGTAATGTATATGAGATTCCTGCTATATGAGTAGATTTTGTGGAAATCTGTTGTTTCCACACACACAAAAAAACATAAAATGGGTAACTATTTGAGATAATGCATACATTAATTTGCTTTACTGTAGTAACCCTTTTACTATCTGCATATAATTTGTAAAAAATCATGTTGAACACCTTAAATACGCACAACACTATCTACAAAAGAAAATGACAATAACTTAGAAATTTTAATAAAAAAAGAACAGATCTTTCTACTACATGGACTGCTCATATTGGGAAATTTTTATGGAACGGACATAATGATTTACAAAAGGAAAATCTTAGGAGGTAATATAATCCCCCAGGGCTACTAGCCCTGGGATTATTAGCACACCAGTTCTGAAGGCCAAGGAGAAGTAGAGTAGTAGATGGAGACAATGTTTAACATGAATCTCTTTTCTTTAGTTGAGGAATCCAGCAAGCCTAAGGTGCCCCTGCTGAGAAGGAGTCAGGGAAAAGCCATTGGCCACATTTTACTCCCTTTATTCAATTTCCTACCCAGATTCCAGACTGCAGACCTCCCCCTGCACACACACCCCCCTCCCCTCCTCCCCCCATTCCCCCCCACCCCCCCTCTTCCCCATACCCCCACGCTGTCCCCCATACCCCATCTCCCTGTCCCCCTATCCCCCCACCTCCATCCCCCATCCCGCCTGCCTCCCCGTCTCATCCCCCCACCCCCATCCCCCCACCCCCTGCCTCCCCACCCCCTCCCCCATCCCCCCTCCCCATCCCCCTCCTTCCCCATACCCCACCTCCCCCATCCCCCTCTTCCCCATCCCCCATCCCCCATCTCCCCCCTCCCCCCCCACAAGAAAACAGAAGCAGCAGAATCGCAAGGAGCCATATTCATCAACCATAATAAGTAGAGGAATGGTAAAGGGTGGAGTGTGGATATGGAGAAAAAAGAGTAAAGATTTCCCACATGTTCTGTTCCTTTTGGTCCACAGCACTGGTCTCATCTATTATCTAACTAAAGATAATTTGTCCAAACGAGGAACCACATGTCCCAAAAGCTCTTCTGCTATCATAAGATGTTGTCAATGTGTCATCATTCTTCATGTGAACTTGAAATGTTAGCCATCACAACTGATTTTTCACTAGAGAAAAAGTATTAGGGGCAGGGGACAAAACAAGTAACAGAACTATCATTGTTCCTGTGTCCATAGCAGTTTCTATAGCCTAAGCAGGTAATCATTGCTTGATAGTTTTACAAGATTCCCTATCCTCTGCCAGGCATTCAGCTGAACCTAACTCCAAACATGATGAGTGACCCAAATACACATTCGTGTAGGAAATTAATACAAGTATGATGGTCGATTATGCATTGGGTTGCTGAAGTTTTGCATTGACCAGGAATGTTGAGCAAATGAGAAAAGAGGTGTTGGTAAATCTCCTAATCTCCATCCTTTCCCCTACTTTGTTGTGGTGAGACACTTTCCCCAGGCAGTGGTGTCATAATCAGGAATTCAGCATTAGAGTCAGTTGTGTGAAGATTGAGTCTTCAGCAGTGCTAGATGCTATAACAGCTGTGCAGAGGAAAAAACCATACTAATGATTAAATAGATACCTTTTATGCTTGTGATCATTAGTATTTTGTGAACAACACTGTTAAGCACTGGGAAACTGTGGAGAAAGAGTGTAGTGCAGCTACAGATTGCATTCCCAACTAATATATATATTTTTTGATTTTTACAATTATTAATTTTCAGACAGGCTGTCGCCCAGGCTGAAGTGCAGTGGCCACGCAATTATGGCTCACTGCAGTCTGGACCTCTCAGGCTTGATCAAGCTATATTTCCACCTCAGGCTTCTGAGTAGCTGTGACAACAGGCACATATCACCACGCTTGGCTAATTTTTTTTTTTTTAGCCGGTACGGGGGTTTTTGCCAGGTTTAAGCAATCCCCACACCTCGGCCTCCCAAAGTGCTGGGATTACGGGGGTCAGACACCACGCCCTGTCTCTCAAATTTTTGATAGCTTGCTTTGCAATACAAATCTTCTGGTAGTTTTTATACAGTACAATAATATATTTCACTCTGAGAACATTCAGAGGAGTCCA
The DNA here is from genome assembly GCF_000001405.40 of Homo sapiens. Lineage (NCBI taxonomy): Eukaryota > Metazoa > Chordata > Mammalia > Primates > Hominidae > Homo > Homo sapiens. The sequence continues at coordinate 104,756,743 of NC_000001.11, read as the reverse complement.
TCTACATAACTCTCCCTTGTAGACAGCGTAACTAATTTTCTGATTTTATTTTATCCAAGTTCTGACCAGCTGGACAACACATGAGAAAACTTCACAAGAATCAATGTAGATTCTTACTACAGACATCTGTCTTTCTCCAACAAATGAACAATCAGATATATCACCCAAAGTTCCAATCTGAAAATATAATTTATCTTCATTATGTTTTCTGGGCCAAGGTAACAAACACTCTGTCTAGATCCATCCATTAAGTAAACTGAACTATTTCTCCTTCCATGAACTGATCATTGGGAATGCTACATGAAGGCAGAGATGTGAGTTGAAAAAGAAATGGGAAAACAATGGAAGGGGTTTTCTTGAGAGTGAGTCACCTGTCTGTGCAGTTTCTTCAGGTGTTCCAAATCATTGAGCGAAGGTTCATATATAATACTTCTATATTAAAAAAATTCTCTACCTGAATTGACTGTAGATCGGAGAACAGACTGATCATAACTGGCAATTCAGGTTACTTTATCACCTAGAGTATTGTGACAGGCATAAAGTTTCAACCAAAACCAATCACAAACCAGGATCTGCTTTTTAAATGGAGAACAGCAGATGCCGTAACTTTGATTTTTCATGTTTGTACTATTATTTTCTCATTGGGAATTTCCAAAAGCCCATACAGTATTTCTGTCTACTAGAGAAACTCACAGTAGTATTCAGCATGCTGAAATTATAGAGCCCAAAGGTAGAACATTCATTGCAGCCAGGAACTAATGTAGAGCTCTGTCGTTCTTGAGGCTCAACTGGAATGTGGAAAATTTATTTTATATTATCTCAATATTAGATAAGTTGGTTAATGAGAGACCATAAAATATGATATGCATTGCCAGCAAGATATGAAGAAGCATACTAAGTATGTGTCCCTTTTCATAGTTTGCTGTTAAACCTACCTTTGACTGCATGTTTCAAATTATTTTTTTTTAATTACGGAATTTCAGTTTATTTTTTAAATTCTAGTTTTTGGCAGAAATCTCCATTTTACCATTTATTACCTGATATTATTACTCATATTTTAAACTTTGTGCCTGATAATGCCAAAAATGTAATATCTGGGATTTCCTTGAGTGTCCTTCTATTGTCATAGGTTGTGATGTTATATTTATCCTTAGAGAATTTATGCACTATTTAATTCATTCATTTTGGTGGCAGAAAGCTAGCCTTGGCAAAAAGACAATATATTTTGATCTTCAATTTATATTAATTAAAGGTGGGCTTCAGTACTTGCTAGAGATAACCAAAATTATTTCTATATATTTTTTCACACAGTGCTTAGTACACAGTGAAAAATGACCTAGTACATAATGAAAAATACCTGACTGGACATCAAAAGAAAAATATGTTGGTAAACGTAAGTAAATAGTGACTATATAACACAACTATAGTAGTAATGTTTTATGTGGTATACAACATAAATAGAATTAAACAACATAAAAACAATAACTCATAATGTGGCAGCAGAGTGTGAATGAAATTTCAAGTTTTCTAGTGCCCTTGCTTTATATGAAAAACAAAAAATATTTCTTTGTTTTAGATGTTAACAGATTAGGGTTGCATGTTGTATTCTGTAGAATAAAACTACAGAATATTTGAAGAATATTTACTTCACTGGAAACAGGATAATTCCATAAACAACTGTTTCAAAATGCAAAGGAAGAGGGTGAAAGAGAGAAAAAAGTATATAAAATAGTTTGAGAAAGTAAAAACAACTAGTGAGATAGTAGATTTAAATCCAAATTGAGAAATAGTTATATTAAGTAAAAAGTGGCTGAATGGTGCATAGTAAGATAGTAGATTTAAATCCAAATTGAGAAATAATTATATTAAATAAAAAGTGGCTTAATGTTTCAACTAATATTACTGCTAAGTGGATAAGAAAATGAAACTTGTAGCTAAGAAGTGACACCCTTCAAATGTCAAGTTGAAATTCTATGAATGAAAACAGAAATATGTGAAAAAATTAGCCAAGAAATGGTGGTGTAGCTATGCTATTACTAAATGAAGAACAATTTAAAGAAAACAGCATTGGTAGAAATAAAATATGAATATTGTATTATAATAGACGAACCTGCCACACATATATACCAGTTCTACAAATGTCAGAGCAAAAGATGATGTAAGAGGGAACAAGTCAGTTATCACAGTGGGATATTTTAATTTACCTTACAGTAACTGATAGAACATACAAAAACAAATCAGCAATGACAGAAGATTTGAATAACAGGATTACCTGACTAGATGGACATATTTACAACATTGCACCCAACACCTGGAGAATATCTAGTTTTTTCAAATGCAATTAGAGCATTTAAAAAAGGACAGTAAATTGCAGGGATTACTATATGCTATAAAAACAAAATGGATAGAAATCAATTTTTAAAGCAAATTTAGTAATCTTTATGTGTGTAGATAACAATAAAAATCTAAGTAACCTATAAGCCTTAGAAGTAATCAAAAATTTTGAACATATTTTAAAATGAAATATATAATTAATATATGATAAATCCTGTGAACTATATGTAAAAATATTTGGGGGCGATTTCTTTTTTCATTAAATGGCTATAGGAGAAAGGGAGGCTGAAAAATTGATGATAAAATCATCTATTAAAATAAAGTAATAACAAATTAAGCCCAACTTTGTTGAAGATGTGACATAATAAAACTAAAAACAGAAATTAGTAAAATAAAATCAAACAACTACAGAGAGAGCAATTAAAGCCAAAATAGTTGGTTCTTTGTAAAAACTAAGAAAGAATTGTATCAGCTCCCAATAACCTAGATCAAGACACATGAGGGATGGTACAAATAATAATTATCAGTGTTACACAAAGACTGTCAATAAAGATTCTACTTTTTAAAAACAAATTAGTCTGGGTGCGGTGGCTCACGCCTGTAATCCCAGCATTTTGAAAGCCTGCAGTGGGTGGATTGCTTGAGCCTAGAAGTTCGAGACCAGCCTGAGCAACATGTTGAGACCCTATCTCCACTAAAAACACAAAAAATTAGCCAGACATTGTGGCATGTGCCCGTAGTCCCAGCGACTCAGAAGTCTGGGGTGGGAGAATCACTTGAGTCTGGGAAGTCAAGGCTGCAGTGAGCCATGATTGTGCCAGTGAACTCCAGCTTGGGTGATGAGAGTGAGACTCTGTCTCTAAATATATAAATAAATAATGAAGTATACATTATGAAAAAAATATGATAATACATTTGAAATGTGGGTAGAACAAACTCTTAAAACTTTGTCTACCATAACTAATATGCACACAAAATATGAAGACCATGTTTACCAAAAAGCAAATTTCTAATTAAAATCCTTAACACAAAGAAAATTCCAGAATCAGGCAGCTTTAACAGAAACAATGAAAGTTCAAACATCAAAATAAGATAAAACACCAATCCAACAAAAATCCTCCCAGGGAGAAGAAAAAAAGTGGGCACTATGATACTTATTTTATAAAAAAAGAATAACCTTGGCACAAAAATTGACAGGCATATTATAAGAAGAAAGAAATAGGCTGGTTTCCTTCAAAAACAAAAAATAATCCTAAACATAAAATCAGCAAATTAAATCTAGCAATACATAAAAATCACTATACCATTCCAAGTTGGAACTATTCCAAAATTATAAGATTATTTTAGTATCCAAGTATCAATGAAGGCATTTAATCACTTTAACAGAATAAAGTAGGGAAAATTATCCAATCATTGAAATAGATGCAAGATAAACAAAAAAATTTAACTTCTGTTCTTTAAGAAATTTCAACAAACAGGAAATAGAAGTTTAGTTTTTAACTTTCGATGAGATTATTTATTAAAAAACTATAAGATTAATCATAGTTAATGAATTATTGAAAACTTTCCATATAAAATTGAAAATTAAACAAGGATGCTGCAATCACCATTTATTGACCTAAAAGAGACAATTCCAGAGTCACCGACAGTTACTACATGCAGCTCAGTGACTGAAAAATAGCCATTCCAGTCCAGATATGGCTCCTGGAATGTGGTGAATTACAAAGTAAGACATAAGTAATATCCCCACTTACCTATACAACCAATCTAAAATATAAAATATTGAAACAAACATTTCTATAAACATATTCATACATAACAAAAAGGAATCATATGGCAGACATTGATCCATAGCAGATTTGAAATCATCACAGGCAACGATTTTAAAGACTATGTGGTGTCTGATCCTGACCTCTGGCAGGAACTCATTTTTTCTGTTTCTTATTAAAACCTGACCTCTGAAGGGAACTTCCTTTTGTCTGCATAGGAAATGAATCTTGAAGTGTTTATTCTCTTTCTGGGCTGCACAGTTTTTCAGTCTCTTACCTGAGGATGGACTTTTGAGAACCCACATTAATGGTTAAAAAATCACAAGCTTTTTCAGAAAATTTATATAATTTATTTCTCAAAACACACAAGCTTCTGTTCTCTTTTCTTGTAGTCTGTTCTGTGCATAAGTTACTACAAGGAAAAACGTTGTCTAGATATAGTCCTTACTTTAGGAGAGGGATTTGGGGAAGTAGCCGGGTAGGTAAAGTGAGTTTGTGACATAATTCTTTTGAAGTGGCTATAGAACATCCAAAAAAGCCTAAATGTCCTTCATCTATGCACAGCTGGAACTCAGGAGAAAGACTTGAGTTGGAGGGATAGATTTGTTAGTCCTCAGAGAAATCAAGGTCTATTTCAATTGTGTAATTTGAATAAGGCATTCAAGGAGACTGATAAAGAAGAACACTAGAAAATACTTATATAGGCTTTTATAAAACAGTATCAAAAATCAAGTATGACATTAACTTATAGCTACTTTTCAACAATTACTGTTTTTTCTTATTACATTCAACTTTTCATTTTGACAGATGTTCTCCATGATTCAAAAACACCAAATTTTCTAATAGTTATTATTTTAGCTCTGGTATAGCAGTGTTCATTTTACTCAGCAGCAAAAACAGATGAAGTAAAGAATGTTGTTGGATCCTGGTTAGCAGCTTTTATACTAGGGTCAAAAGGAACTTTTCCATATACTTATTTGTACAGGCTCAGAATGAAGGACAGAAATTTATGATTTTAAAAAAAAGTATTGGCAAATTCAGGTAAATTGACTAAATATTGAGCTCCAATTCATCTAGTAAGCAGTATGGACCATAATTTATCAGTCATAGAATAATTTAACAAGTTATCTCTGTACTCTGCACCTTAAAACAATACATATAGTCAGTTTTCACATTAAATGGCAATGCAGGGCTATAAAAATGACTGTGCAAACTGAAACCATGAAACATAATTTTAAGAATCAACAGGAGAAGTTACAATTTTTCACTGATGTTTTAACATTTTAATCAAAACATTAAAGGCTCTTATTTTGACTATAAACGTAAAGGGAAATGAAAAAACAAGGTAAAGGTAACGTTTAATATGTTAACATAGAATCTGTGATAATGCTTATTTGCAAAAAAAAAAAACAAAAAAAAAACTTGACAATGGTAGGTTGAATAGCATTTGCCTTTTGAGCTTATAACATATTTTCTATACATTGGCAAATTGTTACATTCCTTTCTAAATATGGATACACTTGTATTTTATTCTTTGTTGTTTTAACATTGTAAAATATCTGAGAGTTACCTTAATGTGAAATATTTTGCTCCCATCACTTCCTCTAGGGCATCTCCATTCTTTTCATCAAAATAACTTTTTAAATTTAAGTTGAGAAGTTCACCTTAACTAAGTTTCCCTGGCTGCATATATATTCTTATAAATGACAGCAGTGTCAACATCTCCATGGTAAACTGTTTCTTCTATAACTCTATTACATTTTATTTTTATTCTGCAGTTATTTGCACAGTGAAATAAAATATTCAGTTTTTTCTTTGCTGCACTTTCATCTTTGTTGCCAATTATCTCCTAAGTTTATTCATTTTTGTAAGACGTCACATGATTTGATCACTAGAAGACAAGAAGCAACACAACTACATGCTTTGCTGTGTGTGAGTGAAGTGAATAACAGACGTGCACTGGCCAATCAGTGACAGACACACAAAAAAGTGACAAGATTAGTCACTGAACCTGATACATACTTCTTAATTACACATAGATTTCTGTGCTGAAGAGCTAGCAGCAAAGTATGTATTTTACGTAATAACTCATAGCTAATATCCTATGGTAACTGAAACTTAAACGGTATTGTAAGCCTGTTGTTATTTAACTAAATTGCAGTTACTGATATTTGTACGTATTGGAACCATGCAAAATGCAGACTGACTATATTTGTCTCACATTTCTATGGTGTCAAAATCTGTAAATGGCTTACAAAGCTGGTCCAGGGGTTATTATGAGGTTGGAGTCAAGATGTTGACTTGGACTGTGATCAAGTGAAAGTTTACATAAGCTTAGATTATTTTTGATATGGTTTGGCTGTGTCCCCACCCAAATCTCATCTTGAATTGTAGTTCCCATAATCCCTAGATGTCCTGGGAGGGACCCGGTGGGAAGTGATTGAATCATGGAGGCAGTTCCCCCCACACTGCTATTCTCATGATAGTGACTGAGTTGTCATCAGTTCTGATGGTTTTATAAGGGGCTTTTCCCCCTTTTGCTTGGCACTTCTCCTCCCTGCCACCATGTGAAAAGGAGGTGTTTGCTTCCCTTTCTGCCAGGATTGTAAGTTTCCTGAGGCCTCCCTGGCCATGCTGAAATCTGAGTCAATTAAACCTCTTTCCTTTAAAAATTGTCCAGTCTTGGGTATGTCTTTATTAGCAGCATGTGAACAGACTAATATAATTTATTTGCTAGGACTTCTGGAAATTTGGAGCTGGTTGGCAGGAAAACTCAGTTCCTTCCATGGACTGTGAGGATATCCTCATGATGTGTCAGTGGGCTACTACAAGAATAAAAGATCCCAGAAAGAGAAGATAGTATAAGGTAGTAGTTACATTGTCCTATCATCTGCTCTGAGAAGCCACACCATCACTTCCACAATATTCTACTGTTTACAAAGGTTAACCCTACTCAATATAAGAAGGAAGTCTAGTTCATTGGGGAATCATCTTGGAGAATAAATCCTATACACAGCAACTGAGAATTTAGGAGACGGTTTAGAAAAATTAAAAAGACCAAAAAATAAGCAATATGATTCAAATGGGTTAGATTGAAGGTTATTTTTATTTTTATAATATTAATACTCTCTTAAGGCTTTTAGTAGACAAACTCATCTTCATTGCAGACATTTAATAAACTTAATTGAATATAGTATTATTCACCCCTTTCCTCACATATACTAAATTTAAAGGCTCCTTGAATCACAAGCAAAATATTACTTGCCTTTATATGTATAGAATTTAAAATAGGACCTAGCAAACATACCTAATAGATACTTTGCAATAAGGCTGTCAGTTGGGGAGAAAAACTTTTTAGTTCTTTCAGTTGTTTGGATAATGCTGGTGACTTCATACACTTTAATTATTTAATATTGTTGTAGCATATTTTCCCACAAGAGAACTTTTTATACATAAAAGATTTTGAGAATATCAATATATTTTTTCTTTATAAAGATTGTTTCCTACCTGAGTGTACAAAGGTGTTCATTTCCACGTACATTCACCAGCATTGGTCATTAGTATTACTCTTTATTATAAAAATCTGCAAAGTGAAAACCGGTTTGCACTTGTTTATTTTTCAGTTGTTTTATTACTGGTAAAGTTGAGTATTTCCCTAATGTACATTCCATGCTTTTTATTTTGTAACTTGCCTAAAAATATATTGTTATATTGAATAAAAAAGTTATCTTATAATAGCATTATTATATATTAAAGTACAAGATTTTGTCTCTAATACATGATGAATGTGTTTTTATAGTTTGATTAACTTATTTTCAGTTGTGGAAAAGATGATTTTGGAATTTATTTTTTTTAATTTGTATGTAATAAAATGTACTAATCTGTTTAGAATTTTGTTTATTCTTACAAAGTTACTCTAATAGTAATTAATTTGTGTAAATATTCCCATAAAATTTAGTGTTTATATTAAAACTTTTAATGAACATAGAATGAATATTGATGTGTGATTTTCATCAGGCATACACATTTATTTTTTGTCTAGAATGTCAGCTAGTTTCCTTACCAATTGAACAATCCATCTTTAATATTTCAGAAATAAGTGTGATTTTTATCTGAATGTATATTGTACGCCAGTTTCACACTTTTATAATTGTTTTTAGATTTTTTTTAATCAGTAATTTCCTAAATTAGTTTTAGATTTAATGCCTCTTATGGGTATAATTGGCAACTGGCTTTTACCACATTTGAAGAGTGCTGAAAGTGAAAATCAATAATACTTCTTCCTTACAAATGTGTCACTGACCTTGAAATATTCACTGTTAAATTCTTTCTGCCAGGCTCATCTCTTTTTACAATAAACATTTTCAAATAAAATTATATCATCTAGAAAGAGTGTGAAGATTTCTTTATATTTAATTTTATAAAATTGTATTTCTAAAGATACATTCTGATGCATGTCAGTGTAATTTAAAAAAAAATTTAGGTGGTGGGAAAGAGTAGTACTGTATATAAAACAGTTTAGAGAAGTATATATACCATTTAATCAGAATACCTCACTAGCCATGTGAAGATGTAGTGCTGGTATAAGAATGTGCATAGGAAAAAATTAGACTGTTTGATGTTATCAAAAAACAAAGAAAAAAATGTGCTAAATTTGAAATATATTTTTCCAGAAAATTATAATACTAATTGAAAATTTATAATGTGTGGGGATCTCTCTCTCGATCTCTCTCTCTTACTGGAAAATTATAAAGAGAATAAGAAATTAATGGAAACAGCTTTCCAGAATTTTGAAAATTAGGAAGCAGACACATGCATTTTGATCCTGCTTTATCCCACCAGCTGAAGATCTGAAATTGTTAACTCCACGTTATGTGCAAAAAAAAAGGAAAATCTTATATTTGTAAACAATGCCTTAATCATATAATATATACAGAAAAATAGAAATTGATATTATATATAATTCATTTCATTCTTGTAGAATGATGTAAACTTTAAGTATAAAAGGGTAGTGTCATTTACAAATGGAGCTTCAGAAATCCAAAAAGACACAACTTCATTTGTACAGTGTCACTCGCAAATTAGAGTCCCCTCCCACTGCTATCCCCTCATTCTGCTATTACAAACCTTTGAAACCAAGAAAGTTAAACTAAAAAGTCCTGTAGTTTTTTTAGGTCTATATTATTTCCAAGATGATTTTGTATCCTTGGCTAATTAGTTATACTTACTCTAAATTTACAACTGTGCCTACAGGTTTTCCTCTTATGTAAATATCTAAAGTACCAGAAATACTATAGCTGGCATCAGAAATGAGATGAGAAACACTACCAGTGTCATTAGAATTTAGCTTTATAGCCCTGTCAACATAATTAAATATTAAACGTTCTGACAGTTAAAAGAAGAACTGAAAACTGATTCCTTAGCAATTTAGGGTAGTTTCTTTAGGGGATTATATGAGAGATTCACGTACATTCTTCTACTCATAAAGGAAGACTCAAGGTTAGAGGTGCCCAAGGCTCAATCCTTTGGTTTCTCAGGTTTCCAAAGGCAGAAAAGTCCAGAGGATTGCAGATGTTTAGGTGGCTTTGCTAGATGTTAGAAGCAATGCTCTGGCATAAAACTAGTCAACAACCAAGATTTTAAATGTGGAAGTGAGAAACAGAATTAAGAAACAGTTTAATTCTTTATAATCACATTTACTTGCTAAGCAGAATATGAAAATATTTTTAAATGTCATTATTTTCCCTTTCCAAATGCAAGAAGGTGTCATTTTATAAAATAAGCAGTTTTTCAGTTAATCTCCTTTTCTTGAAAAACCTACCCCCAAAAAAGAACTATTGTAATTTAAAGATTTTAACAGAATAATTATCTTTTAACATATGTGTTCATTGCTTTTCCCTTGCAAACATCTTTGGTCTTGCACTTTAGCAACTAGGGCAAACACGTTGTGAACAAATAGCAATAAAATAAATAAAAAGCGCTCACAAATATTACTTAAATGGAAACCTGGTAGTTCTGCTTTTACAATGATCTTAGTCCATTTGGGCTGCTAATAAGTTACCTTAGACCAGGTAATTTATAAATAGAAATCTATTGTTCACAGCTCTGGAGGCTGGGGAGTCCAAGGCACCAGTAGATTCATGGTTTGGGAAAAGCACACTGTCTGCTTCAAAATGGTGACTTGTTGCAGCACCTTACATGGCACACAAAGTGCAAGGCAGCACACTTCAACCACTTTTATAAGGACACTAATCCCATTCATGTACCCTCATGACTTAATCAGTTATCAAATACTTCGCCTCTTAATAGCATCCAAATGAGGACTAGGTCTAAAACATGAATTTTTGAGGGACATATTCAGGTAATAGCAAGTGGCAATGTACTTCTTTATGAAATTTCTGCTTGAAACAGCTAAATGATTCAGCTGAAGTAGAGTGGTTTACATTTTATCATTTCCTAGATAAGGCATAGTCCTCAGATATTTGATTTTTAAGTAGTATGTGGTGATTCTACTAAAAAGTTAAGTGACTAATTTCTGAGTTTCAAAAAGATAATTTTAGAAGAGCTAATGAACTTGAAACTGAACAAAAGGCTGTCGAGCTACTGGCCTTCTCAAAGTTTACAAGGCCTGACTCCTTTTTCCTTTCCCCCACATCAATTTTTGAGCTTTAAATCTCATTGTAAGATTATGTTACGTTACCACAGAGTTCTTAGATTCTTCCATCTTTAATATAATCAGGTTGGGGGGAGGAGAGGAATCTGCAGAAGATTTTTTAAAAATCCAGAACGAAGACAATGGAGAACTTCGAAATGGACAGAAAAGTAATATATGGTATTGTGAGAAAAAATGTATCTCTGTAAGTTCACAAAGAAAATGGGACCCAGCAGACCTAAAGGGAACTATCAGGAAGAGTAGGAATGAAGTAAAATACCCAGAAAAAGAAGAATCTGCCCTCTTCACCTTCCAGACAAGTGAAAATCTATAGAATGGAGATGGAAAGCGAGGCTTACATAAGGATTGGAAAGAACACCATGCCCCCAAGTGATAAATCATTGATTACATCTGCATCTGATGGCTGAAAGTCAGGAGTTTACCAATTTTCTTGCATCAGGAAAAAATTGTTGACATTATCCTCTTTACCAATGATAGATCCTGCATATTTCAAACTCATATCTGCTGAATGGCCAGGGCACAAGAAAGCAGGAATTTTTCTATAAGGATCAGGTGGAGTCAGTTCTTCTACCTTAATAGAGTGGTAATTTAGAAGTTTTTGTTTTGCTTTATTTTTTTAAAGAACGCTTTAAAATTATCAGCCCCCTAAGCAGATAATCTGAAGCAGTTGAATAATTGAACAAAGTATGAGTGGCTATGGAATCACTGGGAATTTTTTTCTGTCAATGAAGAATAAATTACTACCTGTGAACCAAATCGTGTACAAGCAGGAAGTCAAAAACCACTAGGGTAGTTTAGATATTCCTGAAACTATGTATCAAATGTGGGGGTCTTTTTTTTTTTTTTTGAATCCTAAAAACTAAGCTACCAAAACACAGAGTGATTCTGCAATTTCTTCTCTGGGATAAATACAGCTACCGTAGAAAGCAAAATTGGAAGGATAGACAAGAGGCCTTTAATTTATGGAAAATTTGGATTTTTACAGTAAATTTGAAATGGCTACAAAGCCATATATCTGTGCTGTGCTGTCTTTTCTGAAAAAGAAACAAAAAATAAAGGACAGGGCTTCTAAAACCACTTTGTCCATTGACATGAAGGTGAGGACGGTGAAGTGAAGAGAGTGTTATAGAATATGACCATAAAGTTTAATGTGCAGTAGATTATTAACCAAATGTTTTGGTGTATTTTATTAAATTTGTGAACTCCAGAAAAACCATGTGAATTATTTTGACTTTTCCTTTAAACTTGATGTGAAGATTAAAGAATATGATAAAATCTTGACATAATGTCATGTATTTTCTGACATTCTTTATTGGTGTTTGAAAGTATAATTACTGAGGTAATATCTGTATATTTATAATACCCTCTCACAATTCAAGCTCTAAAACCGCCTATAATAATTATAAATAATTAGTAGTAAGGGAAAATTTTAGACCTAATTTAGACAAATGCTAAGCAAGCCCTAAAATGTCTATCTTTCATTTTTGACCATTGCTTGGATTTTCCTTTCTTGAGCGCATTTGTGCATAAGTCTTGGTCTTATTTTTTATTTTTGATACATGACTCTGGTCAAAATTATAAAAATGATCTTAAAACCTGAACCTCATAGACCCAATTTTAGAAGACTTTAGAAATTCTTAACATGGGTAAAAGGCAAAGGAAGCCTTTCACCTTTGAGGATAAATTGATTTGATCACATTTGGAATAACAAAGCATACAGCATTATACAATGAGTTGTAGACAAAGCAAAAAATAAAGACAGATTCTCATTTGAGAATGGCATGAAATGAGGTAATTTGAATTATTAAGATAAATTACTGCAAAATTAAGCATTGCTCCCTGGTTTATATAAGTGTCTAGTAGCCTTGTAGTCTGCTGCACTGCTGTTAGTACTCACATACACAAGGCATGCTTCTGATATCTAGATATTAGTTTAGTCACCCAAATGCATCAATTCTGTTTTGATAGTAACTAGTTCTAGCTTTGTGGTAGGTCTGGAGGACCTTACACCACCTGATAGGTTGTAAGAACAAAAAAAATTTAGCTAGATTAGATAGATACACACAAATGTTCACACACTCGTACAATTATGTGTATATTTACACAAACCCAAATGCATATATATTTATAAATGGCTCCACTAATCAACCTGTGGTAATTTAGTAATTACATAATCTAATAAAATATGATTTTATACTACTAAAAAGTTGTTTTTGAAAGTGTAATTCCATAATTTTCAAAAAGGTCCAATACTGTACAACTTGCCAAAGTTGTTAATTCCAAGTACAATGACTGATGCCTAGTTGTAAAATATTATTTAGCTAATATTTCTGAGATAAAAGACTACCCACTGGTCAGAGATTGAATTCTAGGGAAATAATTTTGTGATTTTTATTGTCAAACCAAATGACATTCGAAACAACTAAATGGAAGAGTTTTGCCTCACAGACTGAAAAAAGAGACTTTCTTATATATTAAAATCCTAGAGACTGATGAACAACTTTCTACGTACAGATTCTATTCCCTCGCACCACCTCAGATGAGAATCAGATCTTACTAATGTCAATCCCAATTCAGAACCTGGAAAGTTTAACATCCGGAAATACATGTTGTAAACTCTAAGAAGGGCAGTGGCATAGCTAGATAAGCATCTCTCATGTATGCTGCATCCTTATCTCATGTGTACAATATCACTGATAGATGCATGACTCCCATAACAGAATATGGTGTATAAAAGTATCTACAGGTGTTTCAGCATCTGCTTTTGTGTAAAAAAAAAAAATAAAAAAATAATTGATTGATACAACAATTAAATGTGTAATTCAACTTTAGCGTATGTGTTTTCTCTTTTGGTTAATCTGTAATGTACCAGAAATGTAAAAGTTTAAGTAATCAAAATCTAACCTAAATAGTAGAGAGATTTTTAACATATAAGATATTTAAGGAAAAGAAAAATGAAATATATCAAGAGGAATTCATACTCAGAAATTTCAAAAACAGAAAGACTCTACAAAGTTGCATAAAATTTTCAGGAAAAAAAATCTGGTTTACTCATGCTTGTTGGTGGTATTATAGAGAAAGAGTTGGATAGAGGACAAGACTGAAATTATTTAAATGTAATCCCATATTATTCTTTCTAAACTGTAGTCCCATTCAATACGGTACCAGAAGGGGGCTTCTGCTTCTGTATAATTCAGGGAATATTAGAAAATAGAATCTTGAGCAAGATCAGTTCACATATACAAGGATCACTAATAAAGAAAAATTAAAAGTTACCCTTTGGCTCATTTCTATCAAGGCTGGTACCAATGAAATTCACCGTCTATATTTTCCTATTGTCTGATAGTATGTAGGACCTGTGATAAATGAGGGAGCAAGAAGGAGAAAGAGATGGGGTCTGGGATAAGTGAGGGAGAAAGAAGGAGAGAGGAGATATGTACTCTCTGTATGTCCTTGGCAGAAGAATTTGAGGACAAAAAAATAGAATTTGTCTTTTCTCTCAAAAGCTTCTGGAACACTACTTCAAAAAAAAAGTTCATAGGATTTCTTCTGACCATCAGAGGCAATATATTAATGCCTCTTTGCTTTTAAAACCATCTTGGAAGAAGAGCAACAAAATGCTTTAAACTTGTATTTCAATTTGTACTTTACAAGATTTTTATATGTATAGTTCCATTTCATCTTTTTACTACAAAGTATGCTTATGATGTACGTAAGAATAATTCATTTTTATTAATCTACTTGAACTAAAGGATGAAACAGTATAAAACAGGTTAAATGCTATTTCCCAAACCACAAATCTCAGAGGTAAAAGCTCCTTAACATCTAAGTTTTCAGACTCCCCCACTTCAGGATGATTGTTTTTATTTGCTCACATTATTTCCTATATGATTTTCTTTGACAATTCTTTTGATCTTTTTGTGTGTGTGTTTGTGGTGTGTATCTTCATGTGAAATGAGAAAGAAAAACCGAGGCATTATTTTTCAAAAATATATTAGCTACAATTAAATGTATTGTATAAACCACTATTACTTAATAAGTACTTACATTGTATAGAGAAGGGAGCTGTAGCAATTACTAAAGACAACATATGGCAGGTGTCTCAAAGCTCTAGAGTGACAACAAAAACATATGACTTCAGCTCATTATAAGTATTTTCTAAGATCTTCTTAATTGCCATAGTAATTAAAATGTACCAATATTTGTGAATATGCCAACTGACTTGAATATATGGAATGAATATGTTTTGTACTATTAAATTTACATGAAATATACATCTTAAGAAAATGTAGTCTGAACCTATACATGTATGCATATATTATCATATAAAGAAACCTTAGAAACTGAATCTCTTACAAAGCTGTCATGTATCATTTCTATTTTCTTCACATGATAACATTGTCTCTGAACATTTTCTGATTAGTAATACATACTGTGTGATGATTGCGATCTGGTGGAATAGAGTAATAATTAGCATTAAGAAAATGTATTCTTTCAAATCAACATGACAGTTTAGCTTTCCAGATCACACAGTACTGCTAGTAACACCACTGTGATTAAAAGAAATGCTTGCTGGATTAAAACACAAATGAAAAATAATATGTAATAACATTTTAATTCTGGGATCCCACATAATAGAGAAAACTACTTTCTAAGGGAAATTGGATTTTTTTTCTTTAAACCTTTTATGTTAGATATTAGAGGTTCTTGGATACCCTTGAGGAAAGTTATTTTTAAAAAAATATATAATTTTAAATTCATGACAACATAACCACTTGAAATTACCTTTCAAGTAAGGATTTAATTTTTATTTGTTTAATCAATCCAAGCTTTATGAAACACTTGAAGGTATATAAATAGCTAGAAACTTTAAGAAAAGAATATTAAATATCCTAAGAAAACTGTTTTTCATAAATTCTGTTAAATTTAAACAATGGTTCTAAGTTACAGGTCAAAATGGATCAGGTTAAAAATGTAAAATGTTTTAGAATGTAATGTAAAATATAATATGTTAACCTAAGGTTAATTTCTTTATTTTTAAACACTCAGAT
The DNA here is from genome assembly GCF_000001405.40 of Homo sapiens. NCBI lineage: Eukaryota > Metazoa > Chordata > Mammalia > Primates > Hominidae > Homo > Homo sapiens. Next base: position 104,740,916 of record NC_000001.11, on the reverse strand, counting down.
TGTATCCAGTAGGATTCAATGTGGGAAGAGACTCTACTTTAGGTTTTTTATTTATTTCCTTTGTTTTTTCCACAAAGAGAAAGTGCTTACAAAATCAGAAGTCACCACTGGAAATACGAAGTTTGATAACATATTCCCTTAGATGCCTTGTATATATCTGAAAACTGAGACCAAAAAGCTGCTGCTAGATCTGTAGCTCAGCATCAACAAAATAATGACTATACTCTGGAATTCTGAGCTTAGCTAGTTCAACTGATTCTTGCTATAAATTAAGCTACAGACACTAAACACTCAGTTCAGTTGTAGCAACATCTATCTACAATTCAAATACCTTGTTTGATAGCAGAAATGTCAAACAAATACCAGAAGTGTTTCAATGTAATCAGGAATACAAAAACCAATCTAAGTACCTAAAATAGTGGAAATTTAATTAAGGCAATTTGATTAATGCTGACACTGACTCTTTCAATATAAGTTGAAACTCAGGTCTACTGTCTCAGTATTGAATGAAAAACTCTTTAGAAGAGATACTGTACTAGATCACATAGCAGGCATGAATCTGTTATCATTGATATCAGTAAAAAAAAAAAAAATAAAGGAGAGTGTTAAATACATCCTGCTTTTAAATAATTGACAGAGATCAATGATTGTCAAAGAAGGATGATTTTTTCCCGTTATAGGACATTCAGCAATATCTGGAGATACCTGTGATTGTTAAAACACCAGAATGGAGTGGGATGATATATAGTGGGGAGAGGTTACATTGAAAGAGTCAATGTCAGCATTAATAACTAAGTATGCCAAATTTTAAAATATCACTAGCGTGCCACTTGTGGTAGATAAAATTGTCCTTTATTCTTTTTCTTTCTTTTCTCTCTATATTGGTTATGACTTCCCTGTGGGCAATTTATACCTCTTGGCACCTATGTCTTTGGTCCTGGATCTGTGAAATGCTTTGTTTTTTAAGAGTGTGTGGGAAAACTTTGCAATATACCAGTTTCCATCTGAGGCCTTAAAATATCTGGCAATTTTTTATCAGCACTCAGAGTTTCTAACTTGTGAAATGTTATAAGCATATTTCAAAAAGCCATTGCTCTGTCAGCCTTGGATCTGTGGAACAGACATGGACCCAACCAAAACTTGGAGTCCTGCCTAGCCCATACAAGGCTGGGGAAGGGTAACCAAGATTATCAAACTGCAGTCATGCAGACACTTGGGTATAAGATAAATTACTGTTGCAGTAAGCCACTGAGATTTTGTTATTGTTTTGTACTGAACTTCATCACAAAAGAATGCTTGGATATACAACATAGTCACTATAAGCTCTCTAACTTAGGGGAAGACATTATTTTATGTGTTGTAAATAACTATCTACAAAATGAGGCAATTTGAAAGATAATTTTAAATGTTTTCTAACACAAATATTATACTTTCTCTGATTCTAATTCATTTATAACATTATTGATTTATATCGTCACCTCAAAAAAAGTATGTAAACTGTGAGTTTTAAACATTCTCCATCTGTGAGTGAAAGAGTGATACATTATTAGTGTTATTTGAAAAGAGAGAGCCTGCAACTGCCATTAAAAATTAAAGAAATGGGTGGTTCACAGGCATATCCACTGATATCCTAAGCTAAACTGTCAAAGAATTAGAAAAAATTTACTTTAGGCAGAATTAGTATTGAGAGCCACAGGAGGAGAAGAGAGAAGGAAGACAGGAGAACCTATTCATCTTCTTTGGAAAGGGGGAACAGTTGGCGGAAGAACCACAATTATAATTTTGTAGGACATAGATTATGAGAAAGACTACCTGAAATATCAGATGAAGTAATCCAAGAAGTGTGATACTATCACATAAGCCCTTAGGAGAAAATAATTTTGAGTGTATTTTCTACAGGAAAAATGTATATATAAGAGAAAATGGAAAATAGTAATAATGTATTTCAAGGATATTATCCTCTTTGCTATCTTCATAAAGGAAACAGGGGTTATAAATGTTACATGGTTTGTTTGAATATCTAATATTGTAAAGCCCATACAAATAAAGATTTGAATCTAATATATTAGGTTACCTTTATGTATGTTTGCTCTCTATTTCTCAAATTCCTAGATGACTATATCATATTTTCACTTCTTTATTCAAATATCAAACACCTCTTATACCATCTCCACTCTTAACTGAACATATTGCTTTCAAGTTCACATAATGATTGAAGTGGTCATATTCAACTGTGGCCAAATTGAAGGTCTTTCTAGGGAAAGTGTGGGATCCCAGAATTAGAACAGGGTATCTTTGTCAATAACTTATAAATATTAAAACCTCTTCATCTACTTTCCTAGCTGTATATGTCCTAAAACATCCTATACTCTTTTAAAATGGGTGACCTGAATGTGCTTCCAGCGAATCACAGAACCTCCATCTATGTCCATCTATGTACCAGATCACACAAATATTCTCAGTTTTGTCTGCATTATGCTTTGTTTCTCTCCACTAAATTTTTCTCATTAGCCTACACTTCACTGTTCAGTCGTTGCCTAGTTTTGCTCTTTGCCTTATAGTATTATCTTTGAAATCATTGTCTATACTGTATCAGATATTTTTCTTGCATTTTCTCTCAAATCCACTAGAGTCTGGTTCGGTTGTCCCACCAGAACTGTTTTTCTTAACATGATTAATAATCTCTATTATCAGTGAAAATTCATCTCTCCTATTATTTGCAATATCAACAACAAACATATTTGATTTCTCTCTTCTCTCAGACTCACTTTCATCTTTCTGAGCATAAGACTTCCTGATTTTCCTCCTACCTTGTAGTTGCTCATTCTCATTTTCTGCTCAATTTTCCTCATCTCCTTGACTCTGATACGTGGTAGTATCCCAGTAACGTTGAACTTCTTTCTTAATATAAAATCTGCCTGAGAATGTTGTCTTTAAAAACTCTATTGAGATGCAATTCATGAACATAAAATTACTCAATGTATGTCTCAACTTTTTTCCTGTATATTTAGAGTTGCACAACCATTGCCATCACAATCTAGTTTTAAAACATTTTCTTTGCTCCCAAAGAAATCCCATATGAATTCACTGTCACTTCCCATTCATCGCCCTCTCCCCAAGCTCTATTTTCCTATTCTGGAAATTTAATATAATTGGAATTCTAAATATAGGGCCCTTGTGAATTGTTTCCATTGTTCCTTTTTTTTTTTTTTTTTTTTTGAGACAGGGTCTCCCTTCTCTGTTGCCCAGGCTGGAGTGCAGTGTTGTGATCCTGGCTCACTGCAGTCTCAAACTCCCAGGCTTAAGTGATCCTCCCACCTCAGCCTCTGGAGTAGCTGGTACTATAGTCATATGCCACCACACCTGGCCAATTTCTGTATTTTTTCCTAAAGACAAGTTTTCACCATGTTGCCCAGGCAAGACTTCAACTCTTGAGCTCAAGCAATCTTCCTGCCACAGACTTCCACATTGCTGGGAGTATAGCCATGCACCACCATGCCCAGGCCCAGCTGGAAATATTTTCTAAATATCATTTTTACAATGTCTATTTTAAGCATATAATTATATAATTCTATTCTACATATCCTTTATCCTAAAACTCATTGAATTTCTTCTAAGTTCCAATTTTGTTTTAGTTAATTACCTAGCATTTGTGTATATGGTCATCCCTAGGTATCCATGGTGGATTGGTTCCAGGACAATCCTCTCCCCTGCAGATATCAAAATATAAAAATACTCAATTTCCTTTTAAAAAATGTCATAGCATTGAATGCCAGATTCCACTTCAAGAAGGCTGACTAGAGATATCAAAAACCCATCCTCTGTAGAAATGAGAACGAAAATTATAAATCGGTAATGATTCCTTGAATAGAAGGTCTAAGAGAGAACACCAGAGTTTAACCAAGAACTCATGGGAAACACCTAAGGCACAGGAGAAGGAAGCAAGCAGCCAGCTTGGCCTAGATCAGGCTGGAGCCACGAGGAGTTCATGATACTATGGGGAAAGAGTAAATGAGAGTGCTTCGGTGGTCCACATACATGCCATGGGCTGCTGCAATCCGAACCATGAGAAAACTTCTTTACTCTTACAAACCCTGAAGCTAGCAAGGCTACTGATTTCAAAACCAGTGAAAGCATTAATCAGACTGGGAACTTGCACTGGGTCATTCACCATCCCTCCAGACTTGAGCAGCTGTGGCAGAGCACCATTTTGGAAGCATATCTGTCATAAGATTACAATCAGCACTGAGAAGGATAGACCCCACGTCTCTACATCCCAGGAACTCCTGCTGATATTGCCCTGTGTCCACTTAGAGAGCTGCAGCAACACAGCACTGGCTGGACCCAGAGGTGCTGCAGGCTCCTCAGTAATCTAGCCCATAGGGAGTGTTATTCTCCAGGGAAAGGATTATGAAGTGCAACAAAAAAGCAGACCTCAGGATAAAATAAACCAAAGGGCACTTTCATCAGGCCTGCAAGCTATTTGTCTGTAGCTATGTAAAATTATTTTCCATCCCATCCCTAGCAGCCATAAAAACTCTGTGTTCATCTTTGTAAGCAAACGGTGAAATTCCCTCCCACCAGCAAAACAGCCTCTGTACTAAAACACGCACATAGAGAACAGGATACCTCCTCTCCTACTGCATACTTGCTCCTACTGCCACTGAAGTCTGGGGTGGATGAACCTGAGGGCTCCCTCTCTGAGTCTGTGAGTGACAACTGTTACCCTACTGTTGGTGTGGCCTCTGTGTTGAAGCTCAGGCTTGAAGAGTGGGATCCCTCAACACCATGTGTGGTGCTACCGCACTGTTGCTACAGAGAGCAGGAGAATCTGAGGGTACTATGTCTAGGCTGTGGGTGGAGACACTGCCATCACAGCTACCACCAACACTGGCCTGCAATTCTCAAGGCACAGAGGGTTGTCCCACAACTGCTACTGCCATCACCAACAATACACCAGCTTCGCAGGGACTTGAGAACCCACTCACCCGTCTAGGCCACTTCTGCCACTACTGATATCTGGGTAAGCCACTAGGAGGCCCGAGAATCAGCATTCTGGTAACCACCAATACAGGTGCAGTTGGTGAATAAAATAGGGGCATAAAATAGGCAATGCTCAACCCACCACTGCCACTATAGGGCATACAGATTGGCTCACCTTTCCTCCCAGTTCCCAGCACAAGTTCCTTATAGCTTCTACTGATAACTACATCGTAATACTCAGGAAATCACAGAAAATATTAACAATGTTTACAGCCAAAGAAATATAGAGACTACACTAATGCACATACTCAGGATCAAAGCCAAAGGGCCCTACCCAGCCCAAAACCAAAATACATTTATAAGGAAAATCCTACTCTACAAAAGTAAATTGAACCATAGGAAGAAGTGGCTGTTACACCAGAGGTGCAGATGTCAATGTAAGACACAGAAAACATAAAAACACAGAAAGATATGACACTTCCAAAGGAAACCAATAATTAACCAAGAATAGATCTTAATTAAAAAATCAATTTTCTAAATCACAGATAAAACATTTAAAATATTGATTTTAAAAGACACTCAGATACAAGATAATTCTAAAAAAAAAAAAACGAATTAATCAAAAACAATTCAGTACATGAATGTTACATTTACCAAAGAGAAGATATTAATGAAAAGGAAACATAGACATTCTGGCACTAAATAGTTAACTGGTAAAACACATTGCAAAGCCTCTAAAGTAGATTAGATCTGGCAGAAGAAAGAATCTCAGAACTTATAGACAGGTTATTTGAAATAATCCATTCAGACAAAAACAAAGGCAAAAAAAAGTAAAAAGGAGTGATGAAAGATTTCATGACATTTGAGACAACATAGAACAGTTAAACATTCAAATTATCAGCATCCCAAAGTGTGTAGAGACAAAAAGGAGTGGTAAAACTATTTAATGATATAATAGATAAAATTTTTCCAAATCTAGCAAATGATTTAGATGTTTAGATACAGGAGGATCAGTGATCCCTCGTAAGATACATTGAAAAAATATCTCTTTATAGCACATTATAGTCAGATGGTATAATGACTTATAGTCAGATGGTATAGTCAAATATAACCAGCAGATCCTAAAAACGACAAGAGAAAAGTCCCTAGTCACCTATAAAGGATTATCAGATTTAAAGCTTCTCAACAGAAACTTTAAGGGCTAGAAGAGAATGTCACTGTATATTTAAAAGGCTGAAAGAAAAAAAAAATAAAACACTGCTAGTCAAGAATATATTAAAGTCTTTCCCACACAAGCAAATTTTGAGGGAATTTATTATCATTAGACCAGACTTACATGAAATGTTCAAGGGAGTCCTAAACTTGGAAGCAAAAGAATGACATTTATTATTACAGAAACACATGAAATTGTAAAACTCATGGGAAAATAAATCACACAAATGAAGGAAAGAGTCAACTGGTGCCACTACAGAAATCCACCAAACAAAAATGACAATCAGTATAAGACAAAGAAAGGAACAAACAATACATAAAACAATCAGAAAACAAATATGACAGGAAAAAAGTCTCACATCAATAAGAACCTGGAACATAAACAAATTATCTATTTATAAGATAAAGAATGATAGAATGCAAAACACATCATCCCACTATATACTGCTAAAAAGAAACTCAACTAGTAAAGACACATATTGACTAAAAGTAAAGAGATGAAAAAAAAAAATCCATGCTAATGGAAACCTAAAGTGAGCATGAATAACTATACTTAGAACAGACTTTAAGTCAAGAACAGTAAAACAGGACAAGGAAGCTTGTTATGTAAAAGGATCAATCCAGAAAAAGTATGTAGAAATTATAAAACACACACTCCAAATACTGGAGCACCCAGATTCATAAAGCAAATATTACTAGAGTGTTGGAGGTTACACAAGTGTTTCTTATGATTAGGCGTAATTGAAGCCTGTTAACAATATGAACCTGTGATCAATTAAGCAGCTGGCCACTCATTACCTTCTCCTCCTTGCTCTTGTTACATAGAGAAGGGTACCATTTACAGGGAATAATCATCAGTTGAGCAACATATTCTCCTGGTTCAAAAACCCAAAGATCTTGCGACATTACCACTACCTGAATTTCTCCTTCACAATCAAAATCAACAACTCCTGGGCCTGTAAGTTAAGACAGCTTTTACCAAAATCAATCCCATGTATCTTGTTGGCAAAAGTCTCCAAATACCAGTATAAATCTTGGTCAGTTTGTTTCTTTCAATTAACGTAATTTGTTCTCTAACTTGGAGATCTAATCCTGCGTTTCCAGGTGTTCCTAGGGAGAGAGAATCAATATGCAACGACGGCAAAGTCCTGGTGTTTCTATTGAGAAATAGGGAAACTGTGTTATAAGATCCCTTTGGCCTAGAGTTATAGAGGTATTTTTTTGAAACGTCCAATTTTTCTACACTTATAACACTTTCCCACTTTAGGGCTCAAACCTTGGCTTCTTTTAGATCTGTCAGTTACCAAATTAGCAATTGCCTGAGTCAATACTGCAGAGCAATGAAGCTCAGTTCCCACATTTTGACAAGCTCTGAGAAAACCTCCCAAGTGCTCTGCACATCTCACAGGTGCCAGTGCACATTTACAATCCACGAAAGCCAAAGCTAAAGTTAGCCTTTCTGTAGCCACAAAAGACAGTACATCCAATTTCCATTCTCTCTCTCCTGTTCACCGCATTCAATAGGTGCTGTAGGTGAGGCAAAAAATTCTCTCAAACCCTGAACTAATGATAAAAATATGGTAGGTAACAAACTCCAAACAAAACAGAAAAGAAATAGCCAAATTCTTTCCCATGTTATTCTGATTCAAAAAGTTCCCATTCTTTGTACCTCTAGGGCACTGATCAGTACCTTTTTAAAGCACTCACCTCTTGTTGCTGCCGGCAGACTTGTAGCGGCATTTCTCATTCTTCTAGTTGGTTTTAGTCTTTTCTGTTCAAGCAGACCTTCTTCGTCCAAGTCCATATCAGGTCCCTCCAGGTCTCTGTCCCTGTTAGTCCCTGTTCAGGTGCCACTTGTGGCTGACTGCCACTGTTAGTAATTCAGACTGTCGTTACGGCAGTTACTACTCTTACTACTTGAGACCATCATTACAAGACTGAATGAAGGGACGAATATAGAAATAACAAAAAACGAACGTAATCATTTTAAGGAAAGGCTAGGATGCTGAAGAAGAGAGCTCTCTGCTCCTAGTGAGCAAAGGCAGCCACCCGGCCTTCTACAGCTCTTCCTATTTGTTAGGTAACAAGAGCAAGGAGGAGGAGGTAACGATTGGTCAGTTGCTTAATTGATCACAGGTGTGAACAGGCTTCAATTATGGCTAATCATAAGAAACACTTGTGAAGCCTCCAACACTAGTGCTAAAGAAAGAGACACACTGCAATACAATGATAGCGGAGTCAATGGGGGAAATTAAGATGGCAATAAAAATATTTTGAAACAAATGAAAATGGAAACACAACATTAAAGAAAAAACCTGTGGCAGACAGCAAAAGCAGCGCTAAGAGTTAAGCATATAGCAATAAATGCCTACATCAGAAAAGTGAAAAAAAATTGCAAACTAACAATCTTACAATGTGCCTTAAAGAGCTAAAGAAACAAGAACAAACAAAACCCCAAATTAGCAAAAGAAAATCAGTAAAAAAGATCAGAGCAGAATTAAATGAAATAGAGACCTAAGAAGCAATACAAAGGATCAACACAACAAATACTGATTATTTGAAAAGATAAGCAAAACTCATAAACCGCTAGCTAGACCAAGAAGAGAAAGGAACCAAATAAAATCAGAAATGAAAAAGGAGATATTACAACTGATACCACAGATACACAAAAGATCATCTGAAACCATTATGAAAAACCATATGGGAACAAACTGGAAAACCTAGAGGATCTGGATAAATTCCTGAAAATACACAACCTACCAAGATTCAGTGAGGAAGAAATAAAAAACGTTAATAGACCAACAATCAGTAGTGACATTGAATCACTAATAAAAAGTCAACAATGAAAATTCCGAGACCTGATGGATTCACAGCCAAAATCTACCAAACATACGAAAATACTAATCCCACTGAATTTATTTCAAATAGTCACAGAAAGAAATTCTACCTAACTGATTCTACAAGACCAACATCACTCTGATATCCAAACTAGATAAGAACACACAAAAAAGAAAAAACTGCAGGACAATATCCTAGATTAACAGTCACAAAAATCCTAAGCAAAGTACTCTCAAGCTGAATCCAGCACCATATCAAAACTATGATAAGCCACAATTAAGTAGGATTTACATCAGGAATGCAAGTATAGATCAACATATGCAAATCAAAAAAGTGATACCTAATATAAACGGAATGGAAGACAAAAATATGATTATCTCAATAGACATAGAAAAATCATTTGATAAAACTTAACACCCATACATGATAAAAATTCTCAAAAAACTAGATGTAGAAGAAACAGATTTCAAAATAATAAAAGCCATATATGACAAAACCTCAACTAACATTGTACTGAATAGGTAAATAATGAAAGCCTTTCTAATAAGAACTGGAACAAGAAAAAGATGTCCACTATCACCATTCTAATTCAACATAGTACTAGAAGTCCTTCCCGTATAAATTATTCAAGAGAAAGAAAGAAAAGACATCCAAGTTGAAAGAGAGGAAGTCAAATTATCCCTTCTTGGCTGATGATATGGTTTTATATCTGAAAAAATCTGGTCTCCAACCAAAGTAAATCCTAAATTTAATAAATAAATTCAGTAATGTTATGGGATACAAAATCAAATGTGCAAAATCAGTAGTGTTTCTGTACACCAATAACGATCTAGCTAGGAAAGTAATAACATTTACAATAACTACAAAAAGAATTATCTAAAAATATATTTAACCAAGGAGGTGACAGATGTCTATAAAGAAAATTTCAAAACACTGATGAGAGAAATTGAAGATGATGCTACCAAATGGAAAAACATCCCATATTCATTGATTTAAAAAATTAATACCACTAAAATAAACTATTGAACTTTGGGAGGCCAAGGCAAGGGGATTGGTTTTGGCCAGGATTTGAGAACAGCCTGGGAAACACAACGAGACATCATCTCTACAAAAAAAATGTTTTTTAAAAAAGTATCTGGTGTTGTGGCACAAACCTGTATTCCTAGTTATTTGAGAGGCTTAGGTGGGAGAATTGCTTGGGCCTAAGAGTTTGAGGCTGCAGTAAACTATGATTGTCCCAACTGTACTTCTACCTGGGTGAAAGAATGAGATCCTGTATCTAGTTTTTTTTTAATGACCATATTGCCAAAAGCAATTTACAGATTTCATGAAATCTCTATCAAAACACCAATGCCATTTTATGTAGAACTTGGGAAAACAAACGCTGACATTTATATGAAACCAAAAAGAAGCCCAAATAACCAACCCAATTCTAAGCAGAAAGAACAAAGCTTGAAGCATCATGTTACCTGAAATAAAAATATATAACTAGCCTATAGTAACCAAAACAGTTGAGTATTGGTATAAAAATACACATATAAACCAATGGAAATACACATATAAACCAATGGCCACAGACTTGTGGCCAACTGATCTTTGACAAAGCTGGTAAGAACTCACATTGGGAATAGAATATTCTGTTCGATATATGATTCCAGGAAAATGAGATACTCACACACAAAAGAATGAAACTGGATTTGTATCTCTTATCATATATAAAAATCAACTCAAAATGGACTAAGGACTTAAATTGGAGACCTGAAATTGTAAAAAGCTAAACCTAAACAACAACAACAACAAACAAACAGGGGAATCTCTTCTGGATTTTGGTCTGGGCAAACAACTTATGACTAAAACTACAAAAAACACAGGCAACAAAAATAATAGACAAATGAGACATAATTAAACTAGAAAGCTTAATTACAGCAAATGAAATAATCAACGGAATGAAAAGACAGTCTTCAGAATGGCAGAAAATATTTGCAAACTATTCAGCTGAACAGGGGATTAATATACAGACTCTACAAGTAACTCAAAGAACTCAACAGGGAGAAAGCAAATAATCTCATTACAAAGTGGACCAAGGGCATAAATAAACATTTCTAAAAAGGAGACATACACATGAACAACATATATATATAAAATACCCAACATCACCAATCATCAGATAAATGCAAATCAAAACCACACTGAGGTATCACCTTACACCAGTCATAATGGTGATTATCAAAAAAGACAGAAATTAACAGATGTTGGTGAGGATGCAAAAGAAAGGAAACTCATACACTGTCGGTGAGAATGTACCTAGAACAGCCACTGTGGAAAAGAGTATGAAAATTTCTCAAAAACCTTAAAATAGAATTACCATTCTATCCAGCAATCCTATTACTGGGAATGTATCCAAACTGGCGGGAATATACATATATATGGAATGCCTGCAATCACATGTTTATTGCAGCACTATTGACAATAGCCAAGATATAGAGTCAACCTAGGTGTCCATCAATGGATGAATGGATAAAGAAAATGTGGTTTATATACATAATGGAACACTATTCAGCCATAAAAAGAGTGAAATTATGTCATTTGCAGCAATATGGATAAAGTGAAATAAGCCAGACATAGAAAGATAACACATGTTCTAACTCATAAGTAGAAGTTAAACAATTTGATCACATGGAGGTAGAGAGTGGAAACATCTATAACAAACAAAGGAAAGGGCAAGAGTGTGGGGGGAAGGATGAAGAGAAGTGGGTTAAAAGGTACAAGCACACAGCAAAATATGACTAAATTCTATGTTTGATAGTAGAATAGGGTAATTGTACTTAAAAATTTACTGTACTTTGGTGATAGACACCCTAAATATCCTGATTTGACCAGCATGAATTATATACATAGAAAACATTTTATATGTAACCCATACATTTCTACAAATAAAAATTCCATATCATTTGCATATAACCTATGCACATTTTCTCACATAGTTTAAGCCATCTCTAGATTACTTATAAAACTTAATGTAATGTGACCGTTATACTAATTTTTAAATTTCCATTACTTTATAATATTTTGAACTACTATTAAACTTTGCTGAACACTTTTAACATGAATGGGTGCATGATTTTTCCAAATGCTTTTTCTGCATCTATTAAGACTTTCAAATATTTCTTTATCTTAAATTTATGTAATGTATTACACTGATTGATTTTTATATATTAAGTCAAATTTTTAATCCTTCCATAAATCCTACTTTTTCATAGTGTATGACCATTTTATATGTTGCTGGATTCAGATTGCTAGTATTTTATTAAGGATTTTTGAATCTATATTTTTAAGGGATATTGGCCAATAATTTTCTTGTGAAACCTTTGGTTTGGCTATTAGGGTAATTTCAGCCTCATAAAATGAGTTTGTTAATGTTATTAATCTTTTCAAACAATAAACTTATGCTTTCATTGAGTTTTTATATTGGTTTTCTGTTTTATTTATCTTGCTCTTTTTTTTTCTCATTTCCACAGGGAGAAGATTAGATTATTGATTGAAATCTTTTTTAACGTACACGTTTACAGCCGTGTATTTTCCTCTGAAGACTTGTTTAACTGCATCCCATTATTTTTTGCATGCTATGTTTCTATTTTTATTTATCTCTAAATATTTTCTATTTTCCTTGTGAGTTTTCCCCCGTTTCCTTGGTTATTAGGATTACATTGTTTAATTTTTACATAGTTAATAATATGCATTTTCACTTTCTTTCATTACTGATGTCTAATTTAATTGTATTTTAATCAGAAAACATACCTTGCATAATTTCAATATTTTTAATTTTGGGGGGCTTGTTTTATGTCTTAGCATATGATCTAGTCTGGAGAATGTTATGTGTACATGAGAAAAAGGTGCATTCTATTGTTGTTGAGTGAGGTGTTTTGTAGTTTATTTTTCATCTTTTTCTTTGGGTAAAAGGTTTTTCTTATGTTCATAGTCCCAGTGAGGTTCTGTTCTTTATTGATGATTCTGAGCATAGCTTTGAGAATATTGTCAAGTCTGCTCCACATCTGGCTTACTCTGCTCCGAAACAGGTGTAACCTGGCATTTATGTGCAGCCTTCCTAACCACAGGGTTGACTGTGATACCAGGAGTATTATTCTTGGCTCTTTTCTTTGTTGTCTCTGATTAACTTCTGGTTATTCTGAAGCCTGCATATTCCTACTAATTGCAGAGTTACGAGTGCCCTCTTAATTGCTTTCCCACTTTCCTTCTGTTTTTTGTTGCCATTGTTTTCTGTTTTTGTTTTTGTTTTTGTTCTTTGTTGGTGGTGGTGGTAGGGTTGCAATTTTTTGATTGACAAATGACGGGATTTTTTTTCTCATATTTATGGTACTCACTATGATGTTTTTGTATATGCATACTTTGTAGAAGGGCTAAATCAAGCTATTTAACATATGCATTACCTCATACATTTATCATTTTTGGAGGTGAGAACACAAAAATCTACTCTTACTCTCAGAAATTTTTACATATAGAATATATTGTTATTAACTGTAGTCACTACTGTGATGAACAACAGATCTCTGGAAATTATTCTTTCTGTCTCATTGACATTTTGTGTCCTTTGACTAACATCTCCACAATGTGCTCAACTCCCAGCCTGTGGTAATTACCATTTTACTTTCTGTTCTATGAGTTTGAATATTTTTACACTCCAAATATAAATGATATCATGCAGTATTTATTTGTTTCTGTGCCTGGCTTGTTTCCCTCAACATAATGTTCTCCAGATTCATCCACAGTGCTGCAAATCACAGGATTTCTTTCTTTTTAAATAATGAATAGTATTACGATGTGTATACATACCACATTCATTTTCTTTATCCATTCATCCTTTGATGAAGACAGGGTGAACCCATATCTTGGTTATTGTGAGTAATGCTGCAGTGAACATGGGAATGAAGATATCTCTTCAACTACTGATTTTATATCCTTTATATATATACTGAAGAGCAGGATTGCTGGATCACATGGTAGTTCTGTTTTTAATTTTTTGAGGAACCTCCATACTATTTTCCATAATGGCTATACTAATTCACATCCCCACCAACCATCTATAAGTGTCCCCTTTTCCTCTACATCCTTGCCAATATTTTCAATCTTTTATGTTTCTGTGATAAAAGCCATCCTGGGCAGGGTGTGGTGGCTCACTCCTGCAGTCCCAGCACTTTGGAAGGCCGAGGAGGGTGGATTACCTGAGGTCAGGTGTTTGAGACCAGCCTGGCCAACATTGTGAAACCTGGTCTCTACTGAAAATACAAAAAATTAGCCGGGGGTGATGGCAGGCACTTGTAATCCCAGCTACTCGGGAGATTGAGGCAGGAGAATCACTTGAACCCAGGAGGTGGAAGTTGCAGTGAGCCAAGATCATGCCATTGCACTCCCGCCTGGACGACAAGAGTGAAACTCCGTCTCAAAAAAAAAAAAAAAAAAAAAAAAGCCATCCTAATCTATGAGGTGGTATCTCATTGAATCTCATATGAATTTCCCTGAATCTCATAGGAATTTCCCTGAAGAATGTATAAACATTTTTTCCATATATCAATTGGCTATTTGTATGTCTACTTTTGATATGTCTATTTAGGACCTTTGTCCATTTTATAATTGTGTCAGTTTCTCACTATTGAGTTGTATGAGTTCCTTACATAGCTTGGATATTAATCCCTTATCAGATGTATGGTTTGCAGATATTTTCTCCTATTCTGTAGGTTGCCTTTCCACTCTATTGATTGTTTTCTTTGCTATGAATAAGCTTTAAAGTTTGATGTAATCCTATTTGTCTATTTTTGCTTTTGTTGAATGTGCTTTTTGGATCATATCCGAAATACCTCTGCCAAGACCAATGACATGAAGCTTCTCCTTTAAGATTTCTTCCAGTAGTTTTACAGTTTTGTATCTTATATTTAAGACTTTAATCCATTTCCAGTTAATTTTTAGATTTATTTCTATATTTTTAAGTCGAGATCGGGTTTTCCTATGTTGCCCAGGCTGGTCTCTAGCTCCTGGGCACAAGCAATCCTCCTGCCTAGGCCTGTGAAAGTTCTGGTATTAAAGGCATGAGCCAGTGTGCCTGGCCCATTTTCAGTTATTTTTTAATATGATATCAAATGAGAGTTTAATTTCCTTCTTCTGCATATGGATATCCAGTTTGTCCAGCACCATTTATTGAAGGCCCTCTCCTTTCCTTGTGTGTTCCTGCCATTTTTGTTAAAAATCAGTTGACAGTAAATGTGAAACTATCTTTCTGGGCTCTTTATTCTGTTCCATTGGTCTGTGTGTGTTTTTATACTAGTGCCATGCTGTTTTGATGACTATAGCTTTGAGGTAGTGTGATACCTCTGGCTTTGTTCTTTTTTCTCAAGATTGCTTTTGCTAGTTGCCTGTCTTTTGTGGTTCCATACAAATTTTAGAACGAATTTTTTATTTATGTAAAAAGTCATTGGAATTTTGATAGAGGTTACTACGTGTGTGTGTGTGTGTGTGTGTGTGTGTGTGTGTGTGTGTATTTTTAAGGCAAAGTCTCTCTCTGTTGCTCAGCCTGGAGTGCAGTGATGTGATTTTGGCTCACTGCAACCTCCACCACCCAGATTCAAGCGATTCCCTGCCTCAGCCTCCTAAGTAGCTGGGATTATAGGAGTGAACCACCACACCCGACTCATTTTTGTATTTTCAGTAGAGACAGGGTTTCACCATGTTGGTCAGGCTGGTTTCGGACTCCTTACCTCAAGTGATCGACCTGCCTCGGGCCTCCCAAAGTGTTGGGATTATAGGTGTTAGCTCCTGCATCCAGCCAACATTGCATTTTTTATACTGCTTTGAGTCATATGGACATTTTAATAGTATTAATTATTCTAATACATTAACATGGATTGTCATTTCACCTAATTGCGTCTTCTTCAACCTCTTTCATCAATAATTGACAGTTTTCAGCGTACAGCCCTTTCACCTCCTTGGTTACATTTAGTGCACATTCTTTTTAATGCTATTGTAAATCAGATAATTTTCTTAATTCCTTTTTCAGATAGTTTATTGTTACTTGACAGAAATTCTGGTGATTTTTAAAGCTCATTCATTACCTCGCAACTTTACTGAATTTTTATTTCTAACCAGTTTATGGTAGGGATTTTAGGGTTTTTTATATATAATATCATGTAATCTGCAAACAAAGACAATTTTACTTCTTCCTTTTTAATGTGATGCCTTTTATTTCTTTCTCTTGCCTACTTGCTCTGGCTAGGACTTCTAGTACTATACTGAATATACTTGTTTCTGATCTTGAATTAGAAAGCTTTGAACTTCTAGCAGTTAGCCATGGGCTTGTAATATATGGACTATATTTTGTTGAGGTACATTCCTACTATATCTAATTTGTTGAGAATTTTTATCATAAAAGTATAGGTTAGTTTTTGTCCTTCATACTATGAATGTGATATGTCACATTTATTGGTTTGTATATGTTGAACCAATCTTGCATGCATGGGATCAATCTTACTTGGATGTGGTAAATGATGTTTTTAATGTGCGGATGAATTCAGTTTAATAATATTTTGTTGAGAATTTTTTCATGTAAGTTCATCAGGAATAATGGCCCATACTTTTCTCATCCTGTAGTGTCCTTTCCTGGCTTTGACATTAGCATAAGCAGGCATAGTAAAATGGGTTTGGGTGTTTTTTCCTCAACTTTTTGGAAGAGTTTAACAATGATTAGTATTAGTGTTTCTTTCAATGTTTGATAAAATTCATCTGTGAAGCAATTAGGTCCTGGGTTTTCCTTTGAGGGGAGAAATTTTTTAAATTACTGATTTGCTCACGTTCTCATTATTTTTCTGTTCAGACTTTCTATTTTTTTGTTTTAATTTTTCAGTTATTCTTTGGTTTTAGTTTTTCAGTTTTGGGAGGTTGTATTTGTCTCAGAATTTGTTCATTACTTCTAGATTATCCAAATTGTTGGTGCGTAATTTTTTCACAGTAATCTCTTATGCACCTTTGTGTTTCGTTAGTATCTCCTCTTTCTTTTCTGATTTTTATGTGAATTTCCTCTCTTTTCTCTTACTCCTGCACAAGAGTTGTTAGTTTTGTATATCTCTTAAAAAAAACTCACTTTCATTTATGTTTTCTACTGTTTTTCTAGTCTTTATTTTATTTGTTTCAGCTCTGATCTCTATGATTTCCTTCTTCTACTAATTTGGGCTTAGTTCATTTTTATTTTATTCTAGTTCCTTGAGGTGTAATGTTAGGTTGGTTGTTTTACATCTTTTTTTTTTCCTTTTTGACCTAGGCATTTATTGTTGTGAACGTCTCTTAGAATGGCTTTTGTTGTATCTCATAAATTCTCATATGTTGTATTCCCTTTTTTGTCTGTTTCAAGGTATTTTTAGAATTTTCCTGTTTAATGTATGACCCATTAGTTGAAGAATGTCTTTTAATTTCTACATACATAATTTTTCAACTTTTCTATTATTTATTTTTATTATACTATTTGTATTTAGAAAATATAGTTGACATTACTTTTAATTTTTCTAAATTTATTAAGACTTGTTCTGTGAACTAACACATGATTCATCCTTGAGAAGGTTCTGTGTATGCTTGAGAAGAATGTACATTCTGCTGCTGTTGGATGGAATGTTCTGTATATATCAGTTAGGTCCATTTTGTCTAAGTGCAGCTCAAGTCCAATATTTCCTGATTGATTTGCTTTTTGGATGATCTCTCCATTATTAAAAGTGGGGTACTGAATTCCCCTATTGTGTTGCAGTCTATTTTTTTCTTCAGATCCTTTAGTATTTGTTTTACATATTTATGTGTACTGATATTAGGTGCATATATATTTACAGTTGTTATATCTTTTTGATGACTTTATCCTTCAATCATTATATAAGATTTTTCTTCATCTTTCGTTTTGGAAATCTCCTCTCCGAAGTTCTCCTCTCTGATTACCTCACTGTCAGGATATACCAGGGTCTTCTTGCTGAACAGGCCACTGGGGCTGCAGTGGTTTCTGCCACATTGCTAATACTGACATCCTCCATCTTTCTTCTTTGCTCCTGGCCATCTTCAACAGTCTTAGGTGTGTGGATCTTACCAGTGAACTTTTCTATGTAATATTCTTTTTTTTTTTTTTTCTCTATGTGTTGCTCCCGATTATCTGGTGAAGTCCCTTTCTGGGCTCTTTTTATTAGTGAATAACTGTTTGTTTGTTTGTTTATTTATTTATTTATTTTGCACAGGATCTGATGATGTCTTCAACTAGTATTGAGAGATGAAGCCAGCTGGACTTATGGGTCAGGTGGAGACTTGAATAACTTCTCTGTCTTACAAGAGGTTTGTAAAATGCACCAATCAGTGCTCTGTGGCTAGCTACAGGTTTGTAAAATGGACCAATCAGCACTCTGTAAAAGGGACCAACTTGCATTCTGTAAAATGGACCAATCAGCAGGACATGGAGGGGGGGAACAAAGAAGGGAATAAAAGCTGGCCACCCCCAACCAGCAGTGGCAACTCACTCGGGTCCCCTTTCACGCTGTGGAAGCTTTGTTCTTTCGCTCTTCACAACAAATCTGGCTGCTGCTCACTCTTTGGGTCCGGGCCACCTTTAAGAGCTGTAGCACTCACTGGAAAGTTCCGCAGCTTCATTCTTGAAGTCAGTGAGACCACAAACCCACTGGAAGGGACAAACTCCGGACACAGTATTAGCAAGACAATGAGAAAGTGCACATTATTGAAGAATGGAGAATGACTGTGTTGCTGCTGCTTTAAGGAGGACACTATAATTGGAAAAATAAAAGAAAGAAAGAAATGAGATTTTTATTTCATTGAATTTATGGGAATATATAATGTGAGTAAGCATTTCACCAGTTTAATTCTATCTTAAGTGTTTGGGAAAAATGTAAATTTTTATCACTACATAAATGAGATTATAATACATAAGCTCAGTGACACAATTTTCCATGATACTTTCATTTGTAGAAGATTCGTTCAAGGAATACACACATGACAAAACCTCAGTTAAGATTTACTGATGAAAAAGAAAAACAATAGAAATAAACAGAATGTAGAAAATAAAGCCAGAAATGCCGAAATGTCAAGTGTAAAACATTTCTGAAATAAAGTTTAATTTCTAAAAGTATATTCTCTGAGGCCAGGTTGCCTAGATTTGAATCAGTTACCAGTGTGATATTGTGCAAGTGTATTTACCTTACCTTGCTTGGTCTTCTCAGCTATAAAATGGGAATTCTCACTATATCTCTCTTATAAAGGTAATAACATAATTTAATTAAGTAAAGCATCTAAAATACTTTTCAAACTGACTGTAAAACTGTTCAATAAACACTTGCTGTAATTAAATATTCTATTATTACTAAATCTACCTCAAAACTTTGAAGGTAATATTTTAATGTTATACTTTTATTAAGAAATAATTCACAAACCATAAAATTTATCAATTGAAAGTTTACAGTTTAGTGGTTTCTTGCATATTTACAGATCTGTACAACTATTACTACAATCTAATTTTAAAACATTTTCAACACCCTCAAAGGATAGCCTATAAACTACATTAGCAGACATTCCCAATTGCCACTTCCTACCCCTACCCCAAACCTCAGCAACCACTAATCCAAATCCACTTCCTCGCTTTTACAGACTTACAAATTTCACATATGGAATTCAATAACATGTGGTCTTCTGTAACTGCCTCCTTGTATTTAGCATAATGTTTGCAAGTTTCACCCATGTTGTATTATGTATCAAAACTTTATTCATTTTATTACCATATAATAATCCATTGTGTGAACATACTGTTTAATTTATTCATCAGTTAATGGACATTTGGTTTGCTTCCACTTCTGTGCTGTTATGAATAATGCAGCTATGAACACTGTATGAATATCTGTTTTCATTTCTCTTGGATATATACTTACAATTGGAATCGCTGAGTCATACGTTAACTCTACATTTAGTAATCATGGAAACTGCCAAACGGTTCTCTTAAGTGACGGCATCATTTTACATTTCCAATAGCGACAAATGGAGGATTTTAATTTTTCCACATTTTTGCCAATCCTTGTTCTTGTAAGTGGGAAGCAGTTTTTTACTGTTCCAGTTTAATTTACATTTTCCTAATGACAAATTAGAGTGAGGATATTTTCATGTGTTTATTGGTCATTTATATATCTTGCTTGGAGAAATGTTTATTCAAATCCATTTTTAATTGGATAATTTGTCTTTTTATTATTGAGTGGTAAGTATTATTATTATTATATATATATTTTTTGAGATGGAGTCTCGCTCTGTCGCCCAGGCTGGAGTGCAATGGTGCAATCTCGGCTCACTGCAAGCTCCACCTCCTGGGTTCACGCCATTCTCCTGCCTCAGCCTCCTGAGTAGCTGGGACTACAGGCGCCTGCCACCACGCCCAGGTAATTTTTTGTATTTTTGGTAGAGATGGGGTTCCACCGTGTTAGCCAGGATGGTCTCGATCACCTGACTTCGTGATCCTCCCGCCTCGGCATCCCAAAGTACTGGAATTATAGGCGTGAGCCACTGTGCCCGGCTGATAAGTATTGTTTTTATAGTCTAGAATTATAAGTCCCTTTTCAGGTATATAACTTGGAAATATTTCCTACCATTTGTGTTTTTCTCCTTTTTTAAACAGTGTCTTTCGAAGCTGCAAATTTTAATTTTTGATTAAGTCCGATTTATTTTCTTCATTTGTCATTTTTTCAGTTGGTGACATATATAAGAAACTATTATCAAACTCGAAATCACAGATATTTACTCCTATTGTTGAATTTTGTGAGTTTAACTCTTACATTTATGATTCATTTTGAGTTCATTTTAGACATAATATCAGTAGAAAGTCATTATTTTGCATGTGACTAGTCATCCAGCACCATTTATTGAAAAAAAACATTATCCACTAAGTTTTCTGGGCATTCATGTTAAAAATGAATTCATCATAAGTGTAAGAATGTATTTCTTAACTCCTAACTCTACTCCATGATCTACATGTCTATCTTTATGTCTATCCAAGACTGTCTTGGTCACAACAGCTTTGTAGTATCAATCAGAAAGAGTGAGTCCACTAATTGTGTTCTTTTTTGTTCAAAATTATTTTAGTTCTTCTAGGTCCCTTAAACTTCCATACAAATTTTTGAATCTGTTTACCAATTTCTGCAAAATACCAACTGGAGTTATACAGGGATTGCTTTGAATCTATACATCAATTTGGGGAGTATTTCTATCTTTGCAATATTAAGTCTTCCAATTTGTCGTTTGTGGGATGTCTTTGCATTTGTTTATATTCTTTAATATCTCTCAATATGTTATAAAAATTGTTGGTGCACAAAACTCACATTTTTTCTTAAATTTATTCCTAGATATTTTATTTTTGTTGCTATTATAAATGAATCTGTGCCTTTAATTTTATTTTTACATTTTTGATTTCTAGTATATAGAAAGACAATTTTTGTAAATTGATCTTATATCTTGCCACATTACTGAACCTCTTTATTATTTTAATAATGTGTGTATATGGTGTTTATGTGTATATGCATGTGTGTGTTTTCCTTTGGATTTTCTGTATCCAAGATTATGTCATCTGCAAATATAAACAGTTTTACTTATTTCTTTATAATCTGGAAGCATTTTATTTTATTTTTCTTAGCCAATTACCATGGTTAGAACCTTCAGTTCAGTGTTAAATGGAAGTGGCAAGAGTGGGTATTCTTTTCTGGTTTCTGATTTTAGGAGATTGTATTCAGTTTTTCAGTTTTTCTCTATTATATATCATGTCAGTTGTAGTTTTATTTTGTTTGTTTGTTTTGGATACACTTCTTCGACACTTTGTTAGGGTAAAGGAGGTACCTTATATTTCTAGTTGCTGAGTCATCTTATTATATGATATTTTTTAAATGATTTTGCTGTGTCTGTTGAGATAACCATGTAGTTTTTATCATGTATTTTATTTGATATGCTGTATTATGTTGTTGGGCTTTTGTATGTTAAATCAACCTTTCATTTTGGGTGTACATCCCACTTGATCATAGTGTATAATCCTTTTTACATGTTGCTGGATTCAGTTTTCTAGTATTTCACTGAAGATATTTTACATATATACTTAAGGCTATTGATCTATAGTTTTCTTTTATTGTGGTGTCTTCTAGTATTGGCCTCAAGGAGTCAGTTGGGAAGTGTTTTCTATCCTTTGGAAGAGTTTGTGAAGGATACATATTAAATCATCTTTAAATGTTACTAAGAATTCATCAGTAAAGTCATCTGGGCCTGGACTTTTCTCTGTCTCTCTTTTCTCTTTAAGTAATAATTTAATCACTTTGCTTATCTACTCAGATTAGTTAGTTCTTTTTGAAGTCAGTTTTGGTAGTTTGTGTTTTTTCTAGAAAATTGTCCGTTTCACCTAAATTACCTAATTTGATGGCATTTCTCCATATTATTCCTTTCTATATTGTTTTCTTACTATCCTTTTTTTTATTCCGTAAGGCCAGTAGTGATATCGTTGCTTTCATTCTTAATTTTTGTATTTGCTTCCTGAGTGTATGGTACCCACCTCTACACTACCGCCCCTCTTGGCTGAGCTTAGTTCTTTGTCAAATCAAAGTCATAACCCTCTGAACATACAAATTTCCCAGGGAGGAAACTACAAATTGGATAAAATATTGACTATGCTCTGGGGATGATGCTTTTAAACAAGCTCCTTAAACAGTTAGATATTTCCATTGACTGCAGTGTTGCTGGCTTTTGGCTACTGTACAACTGAGCAGGGAATAGAGAAGGAATTTGAATAGCCCTAAGTTAAAGAGTCACAGATTCTGCTGTTTTGACAAGGTGCAGTAGTTCCTCTTGGAGAGATTATTTTTATCTTGTTCTGTGGCTTTAGCTAATTGCTAGATTTTTGAAATAGTGATTTTAGTTGATTTACCATATTTTTATCATTTTACAGGGAGTTTACTGACATTTTCACTCGCTATTCTGTAAGTCAATCTGGGCCAGCAGAATTTGGTTCTGCTTTATGGCTGTTTTGAATTTTGAGTCAGTAATAAGTTATTGAAAAATTTCTGTAAAAAAGGAGTGTAACATTTTTGAAATATCTAATAAAAAAGTTAATTGATAATTATCAATGCAAATAGAAAAGTATAATAACTTTAATTTTATCATCATTTAATTATTGCAAAGGAAGACAACAATTAGATAAATAATTGTTGCTAAAATAATGAAAACCACTTCTAAAAAATAAGATGGTCACAAATGTTTGGCTACCTCAATTATTCTATTAAATATCTAAACTTTTCATATGACTTTTTATAGGTAAACATAAACTTATCCTAAAGCTTTCAGCATCAGCTTTCTACTGCAGATGATAAATTAATGCAGCTTTGATTACAGATTTAATAATTCATTTGCCTGTTAGTGCCACCATAAAGTCCCAGAAGCTCTTTACAAAATTTGCAGTGAAATAGAGTTAGCAGGTGCTATTAAGAAAATATGCAAGTGTGCTTGACAAAATACCAGAAGTTGATTGTCAACCAACTTGGGAAGACCTGTGAGATCTTTCCAGTATACACAAAAGAAATGAATTTATAATTAAATTACAGTTAATCACAGATGGTTATTTTACAGCAGGTGCTCAGCTTTGAAAGTATAATTCTAGACTACTTTTGTTCCAACATGGTGCTTAATCCTTGTTGATTATCTGGCAATATTTTACAGTTAGAAAAATGTTGATTTTGTGGTTAAAATATTATTTATTTCATAAATATAGTAAATATTGTCTAATATTAACTTTCATGTATGTTTTGTGAGCATGTGCACTTTTTTGGTGTTTAAAAATCTCACAGAAAAGACTCATTTTAAATATTATTTATCATATCTATAAACTACCTTTATTTAGAAATAATTGCCTTTCAATGGTATTCATGGAATGACATGAAAAAGCAGCCAAATTTTAAGAATGCTAAATTACTAAACTTGGACAAAAAAAATTACTCGTATTAATAACGGCACGTTTAGTGGCAAAATACAGGCTTATTCTGATCACATTTCACTTTCAAAAAAGTTAATAATAGAATTAAAAGATAACATTTAAAATGTATATTAGTCATCACAATGTCCGAAGGGAAAGAATGGAATAGAGTATATATACATATTTTATTTTTACAGTGTTATGGGATACATGAGAAATTTTGTGTAATGCATAGTGATTAAGTCAGGGCTTAGTGTCCATCACCCAAATACAATACATTTTTGTTACATCTAGTCTCTCTAATCTGCTATATAGCATTGAATTTTTTCCTTCTATCTTACTGTATGTTTGTAACCTTTAAACCAGTTCTCTTCATTCTCTTCCCTTATCTCCACTTACTCTTCCAAGTCTCTATTAACTCTATTATCTTTCTACTCTCTACCTACATGCCACCAAATTTTTTAGTGCCCACATATGAGTGAGTACATGTGGTATCTTTCTATGCCTGGCTTATTTCACTTAACAAATTTCATGTCTGCAAATGACAAAATTTCATTTCTTAATGCGGAATAGTATTCCATTGTGTATATATACCACATTTTTCTCATCCATTTATGTGTTGATGAACACTTAGATTATATATTTTTTTACATCTTTAAAATTAACATTTAACCTTCTCACATTCTGTAAACATCTTTGCCTTGCAATGCTCTTCCCTCTTCAGAATATCATAAATATAAAGCTTATATAAGTACCTATATTACAGTGTCTAATTATTAAACAGCTATTAAATGCAAGAATCTAGAGTAGATGCAAGTTGCAGTTAGCTCTTTTAGTTCTGGCATTTTATTGTGGATGTATTAAATTTCTACATTCTTATAGATTACGGCTAATATCTTTCAACTCCCTATATATGCCTCCATTAACTCAGTTTGTAGAGTGGAATAGAATACCCCTAATGGCTTTGACATTGCTTTCTGACAACACTGTTTTCAAACCTATTATTTTATGCAGTGATCCTAATAGGCATTTCTCCTGAATAGGGGATGAAAATATGTGTGCATACGCACTCACACACACACAAATATGCAGATGCACACACAAAATAAGAAATGAAATATGGAATGTCATCCTCAGTACACCAAAGTAGGACAAAGGCCTTGTTTAGATTTTTGAAAAAAAATTATAATACCTATTTATAGGCACAAAAATAGATAGAATAATAAAGACACTATTATGTTTCAGATCTAAGAACATAATTGCCATATGTGAGAAAATGGTTGGAATTCAGTTGAATAAACAGAAACAAATGAATCGCAGGTATGATCAAAATGTATAATTCAGCAACTACAAAATAAAAGATTCATGGAACTGATAAACGTGTTTCGAATCAAGACTTTGGTGAAAGTTCAAAAACAATGGTTTAGCCTCTGACCTCCTTTCCCAAAGGAACATTCTTGGCCCAGCTAAACGGAGCCATAAACATTCCATTATATAGGCTATTTTTTCCCACTTTCTTTACCACTTAGCATTTGCACAATTCTTCTTGGGTCTTCTCCTTTCTCCATCCTACAACTTGACTATCTCTCTGCTTTCCCCATTCCCAGTTTAGCTTAATACCTCTAACACCTGTTATGCCAGTTACAGGTTGTATCCAGCATTCCTCGAAAACATTTTTATTCAATATTTAACTATGTGATTTTCCTGTGCTACTTGTAAAGTACTCTGTATTTATACTAACATTACACTTTTGTTCCCTCTTGAAAATGTCTTTGTATTCGATCAATGTGTGCTCCTAATGCATCCTGTGATTACATTAGATCCCATGGTGCCTGTCACATAGGCACTGAATAACTTTCTGGTTTCTTTGAATGAGTAAATATGATCTAAGAGGCAACATTTCTGTGGCTTTAAAATTTTTACATAAGCATATGTCACTTGTTTCCTACCGTTAATTACAGACAATAAATGCAAAGTAAGAATACTACATTATAATTGTAAAATAACTACCACTTGAAAACCTCAAGGTCTTTAATATATTTTTAGTGGGCACTCATACATTTTCAAATTAGATCAAAATGTTGAAAAAAGCATAGCTTATCTAACTCATACAAAAAACACATATGGAATCTTTAATAGATTCAATGCGCAAAAGTAGTTACCACAACAGGGTAAATTCTATACCTCAAAGAAATCTCATACAAAAGCAAGTGAATATGATGAGATTTGACATCACCAATTTCACATGACCTACCTTTGAAGAACACCCTAGTGAGTTACATGCTTTGAAGACAAATATTGTGTCTCAAAAAAACTACCATGGCGACTGATTTCCTATTAGAATACATTTCATTTATTTATAGAGTGTGTTTTATAGGAAGTATCCTAATTTTTAAAATTGCAAACCTATTAGTCATCGTGGTGATTGAGATGTAAGCAGATCTACCTGTAAGTTTGCAATGACAAAATTATTGAGGTGTAAATTAGTAAAACACCTTGCCTATATTTCATCAAATATGGTGGAAATTGTCAACTTATATTTAAAATTTAGTCACTAAACTGGTGTGTGGGGTGGCAAGGGAATGCTATGATCATGCAACAGAAGCACAAACTATGGAATAGTATATATAGAACTATTGTATAGTACTCCGGTCCTCAGGAGTTTTCATGTGACTGGGCAATGCAGCATTCTAGTCTATGAAGCAAGGATTGTGACTAAATTATATCCAAATGAGTTATTTTTAATGGAGTTTTAAAGCTAGTATTTTGGACATAATTGATAACATATGGTTCTCAATATGAGAAAGTTCAACTATACTTGGAAGAATTAAAAAATTAAAAGGTGTACATATTTTAAAAATAGATATATTCACTTTTATAAAATGTGAGAAAAATGAAGATCTTGAGTTATAATCTCTTAAATACAGTGTCTCTTGATCCTCTTGCTCCTCTTTTACAGAAACTCTTAATTTATGGATTTTTTTTTACTTATTTCTTAATGAAAAGCTCACAAATTGATGGCCCAATGGACAAATATTAAGGTGATTTTTTTAAGAAATTAAGCCAAGAGAAAAAGAATTAGAAAACTAACAGAAATATGTAAATTTATTCCTTCTCTTGAGGAAGAAGATTAGGTTTGTGTCTCTTTTATTGAATATTCATTCTGTGGTTTATAAACTATTGTCTATCTGACACGAAGAGTAATTATCATTGCCCACTTACTACAGCTCTTTCTCTATTATGTTTTTCATACATGATAAATATTTTTCTAACTTATATATCTACTAAGAGTTAGAAAAAAAGATAGTCAAAGAAAGTCATAGTTTTTTAAAGTAATTTGCATAAAATATATCTTTACAAAAATGAACAGTTATACTATAGGTTTTGGAAAATGTTAAGTGGGTTACCTGGGGTATAGTGAACAGAGTAAAAAATGAAAATATCAAGAAATTTCTTGCATAAATCATTACAAAAGTAGATAAAAATATTTCTTAAAGAAAAAAGCATAACAGAAATTGTATCATAAGTAAAATTAAATTAAGCAGAGAATCAGTCCTGCCAAATATTAAATCAAGTGTTGTGAAGTGTAATCTCAAGAAAACCTTAGAAGCTGTGAAAAAAATTATATCAAAAAATTTAGAAATAAAGACAAAGATGATAGTTATAGAGTCCACACAATGGAAATATTATATGGATAATATATCTGAAGACCGAAAATAAAATAAATAATAGATAAAGATTTTAAATTATATTACAAAAATAACATTTCTGTACAGATCTGTTTATGAAAACCGAGACATAAAAAAATTAAAAGCAGAAATTGCAAGTATACTTCTACAAGTATGTGTTATGGATAAGCATGACAGTAGTTTTTATGTAAATTTAAATCTAAGAAACTAGTCACAGGTGGTTATAAGTTTATAAGTTACGGGTGGAAACATACAGAACATTATAGAGTATTCAAAATTACTAAAAATAACAAACTGCCGACCCAAATTAGAAACTAGAAATGTGAAAGGTGGAAAAAGGTGATAAGTTGGAGACTTTCTTTATTGACAGAGCTGAGATGCAGAATTGATTCTAACTAGGAAAAGTAAAAGATAATTAAAACAATACATATCTAAGTATTCTTAGCATTTGACAAGAGCCACATATTTTTATTTATTTATCTAATAAAGAAAAATAGTTTAAGCCCTTACTATGTGCCAGAACTCTTTTATGTTCTGGATAAACAATGATAAACAAAATGTGTGTGTGTATATATGTATATATATAAAATATACATGTTACACATATATATGTATATGTATACATATGCATAACATGTATGTTTTATATATATGTATTTTTATATATGCATAAAATGTATATTTTACATTCTTCAAGAGTAGTATATGTATATATATGTATATATGCATATGTATATGTATATATATGTATATATGCATATGTATATGTATATATGTATATATGCAAAGATCATTATTGTGTTTAAGGATACAAGATTTCTAGGGATCAGCTGGAGAATGGGTGAGTATATGAGATGAGAGCTGAGGTTCAAACCTAAATGTCATGCCCTTGGTTCTGACATTTAAGGTACAAAAAAAAATCAAAACAAATTCAGCTCAAAGTGATTGAAAGGAGAAGCATATGAAGTTAAGGAGTCTGGGGGTATGGGTGAGAGAGAGGGGAAGACAGAGGAAGAAGGGGAGAGAGAACGCCGAGGAAGCTAGGGATGTATATTTCATCTGAATGTGGAGGATAAGAAAGGACATAAAAGACTTATTGAAGTAAGTTCAAGAGAGAAAGAGAAAAGAGGTAAAGATAGTGGATACAGCATCTAATTATAAAGATTAAATTTTCCTGTAAGATGAACAGAAAATCAGGCCGGTTGTGGTGGCTCATGCCTGAGGCCAGGAGTTCGAGACCAGCTTGGCCAACATGGTGAAACCCTATCCCAACTAAAAATACAAAAAATTAGCCAGACATGGGGGCACATGCCTGTAATCCCAGCTATTCTGAAGGCTAGGGCAGGAGAATCACTTGAACCTAGGAGGTGGAGGTTGCAGTGAGCCAAGATTGGGCCATTGCACTCCCGCCTGGGCAACAAGAGCAAAACTCTGTCTCAAAACAAACAAACAAAAAAAACCAGAAAATCCAGTGCGTGGAGGGGACTCTAGTTACAAGATGTTTTGTTGCCTGTTTTTAATTGCTCAGTATGAGCGACATTGAAGCATGCTTTTAGCTGATGAAGGTAAGCCAACCATGAGTGTTAAAAATGGTGATGTAGGACAGAGCAGGGATTGATCCAGCAATGAAATTCTTCTGTGAATTCAAATTCATGGATCCATTGAACAAGTGGAGAACAGAGCCTAAAATAGGATTAGGAATGATGTATAGTAACAAAAACAAAGGAAAAACATATCTTACACATGGAGAGTCACAGATACTAACATGGACCATCATTAGTGACATTTAAAATTTCTAAGAGAATCATGGCTCTGTCATAGAGCCAACTGGAAAGGTCATGTAATTCTACCATGGCCTAGAAAACCATTTATACTGTGGTAGTTCATAATGAAGTAAAGATCTTTGTAGTTGGGCTATCAACTCCCGAATTATTTTTATACATCAAATTGATGTTTTAATTAATGTTTGTGTATCTTTTATAAATGCTTGAAAGTAATTTATATTTCAATTGAAGTGATGACAGAATTTCTTTTTAAATTGAAACTCACAAAAGCAAGAGAAAGAAAAGAAAGTAGAAAATGTTATTAAACTATAAATGTAAAGATATAAATCAATCAAGAATGCAATTGAGACATTTGCCTATTTTTAAAATGGCATAATGAGTTAAAACTCAATTGTTCTACAGCTGAAATATACTAAGAAGTTTTCAAAAAGTAAAATCACTAAATTTAAAGGATGGTCCAATATCTATGAAACAAATAATAAAAAAGAAAACAGTTTATCTTAGAAATAATGTATTTACAAGAAACAGAATCCACTCAAATCAGCTATAAAAAGAAATGGGGAATAATTATACTAAAAAGTGATGTTATTAATGTTTTTAAAATATATAACATATTAAAAAACTGATTTTTTGGGAAAAATGAAACTCCTAAAAAGTAATAAAGAAAAAGCGGTCACATTGCGATTTATGCATGAAAAGCATATATAACCACAGATGAAAAATTGAAATATTTAGAAGATTATTTTTTATAAATATGTGGTAACAAATGTGCAAATCAGTATAAACTTTTGAAGGGAAGCCTACATTGCAAGAAGTAATAAGAAACCCAATTAAATGAATAATAATATGGTAACATAAAAATATTTTAAATTTAACCTCATTAAGCATAACCAAGTCATCATCTACACAAGTAAGTTATTTGAACACTCAAAAATTACTAGATCTGTATTCTAGCTGTTTCAATGCAAGGAAAGAGAGAAATTCCTTCACTTAGTTTTGGAATGTTAATATAAATTTTACGTCAAAACTCAGCTATAAGAACAATTTTTAAAACTTTGCATACTAATATTACTGAAAAATATGCAAAAATTTAAAATAGGAATTTAAAAAATTAAAACTTGAAACACATGGTAAAAATGATATTGATAAATGTTATCCAAGTGGCAGAATAGAAAGCCCTGGAACTTCCTTCTGATTAAGAACACACAGATTGAACAGTAATACATGGACAAATTCCCATGGTAAATTCAAATACTAGTTGAGAGATTTCTGCGCTTTGGGTGAGTGTGAAATCAGATTCATCATAGTTGGTAGAAAAACTTCAGAATTCCTTTAGCCATAATCCCTAACCCCATCACAATGCCATAAGATCAGAAGGAAAGCTTTCAGATTCTCCCTAGAGAAGAAGGACATTTGACGACATGACCAATGCTCAGATCTTTCAAGGATGTGCCCAAGGTACTGATTTCTGTCTCTGGTCTCAGAACACTGATGGATCCTGACATGGGGCTAGTAAGAAGAAAGAAGATGGTTGAAAGTAGAATGCAAGCAGTAGCCATAATCCCTGCCCCTCAGCTCAACCTCAGATTCCTTCTTTTCTCTGGAAAAGGAAAGAGTTGGACTGAGCATAGAACTCTCCAACTTTTCTAGTGACTACCCGAGGGATTGGCTATTGTCTCACCTGTTTTGAAGCACTGACTGATCAGCATGCCTAAGAATAAAAACAGTGGTTTAGACTAACACAAAGGTCTGCCAGACCCCAAGAATCTCTGGCTAGGCTGATTGGTGAAGGTCCTACATGAATGAAAACTGGGAAAGATGGCTGTTTTTTACTAGTGCACAGATACCAACAGAAAGAATCAAAGAAAATGAAGAAATAGGGAGTGACATCCCAAACAAAGTAACAAGATAAAACTCCAAATCAATCCTAATCAAACAAAGTTATGAAAAAAGAATTTGAAATAACACTCATAAAGATGCTCAATAAGATCAAGAGAGCAATGTGTGAGCAAAACGAAACTTTTAACAAAGAGATCAAAAACCTACCAAAGAAAAATCTTGGAAGGAACCATTAATCCTGCTTTTTGTCTCTCAAGATAGTCTTTTTCTCATATTTCTATAATTATAATCATACAATATGTGTTCTCTTGGAACTGCTTTCTTTCACAGAGCATACTGTTTTTAGTATATTATAACAAATCTTTTTTATAGCTGATTAAAATTCCACTGAATATGCCACATTTCATTTATATATTAAGAAACAATTCTAAAATTTGTATGGAACCACAAAAGACTGAATAATCTAAACAACCTTGAAAAGGAAGAATAGAGCTTCCTGATTTCAGAACATATTACAGCACTACAAAATTAAAACAGTAAGGTGCTGGCATAAAAATAGACATTTCTAGCAATTCAACAGAATAGAGAGCCAAGAAGTAAACTCATACATATTCAGTCAATTTATCTTTTACACGGATGCCAAACATACATAATGGGAAAAGGATATATCTTCAACAAATGGTATTTGATAAACCACGTATAACATGCAAAGAATGAAATTGAACCTTTATCCTATACTATACACAAAAATCAACTCAAAATAGACTAAAGACTTAAACACAAGATCTGAAACTGTAAACCTCCTACAAGAAACAGGGAGGAAGCTTCCTGACATTGTTATTGGCAATCATTCCTTGGATATACACCAACAGCGCAAGTAATGAAAACAAAAATAAAGTGAAGCTATATAAAAGGAAAAGCTCTTCACAGCAAAGACAAAAAAATCAAAATGGTGAAAAGGCAATCTAGGTAATGGGAGGAAATATTTGCAAACCACACATCTGATAAGAGGCTAATAGTAAAAATATATAAGAAACTCACACAACTGAAAGAAATAATCCAATTAAAAAATCAGCAAAAGTCTTTAGTAAATATTTCTTCTAAGAAGACAGGCAAATAATCAACACATATGAAGAGATACTCAACATCGCTAATCCTCAGGTTAATACAAATCAAAATTGTAATATCATCTCACATCTGTTAGAATGACTATTATAAAGCAAAGAAAAACAGGAGAAAATATAAGTTTTGATGGTGTGCAAAAACTAGAATCTTTGCACAATATTGCTGGAATGTGATCTGGAGCAGCTGTTATGAAAAACAGTGTGCAGGTTCCTCAAAAAATTAAAAATAAAACTACCAACAATCCCACTCTGAGTATTTGTCCAAAGGAATTAAAATCAGTATTGTGAAAGATATTTATAATCCCATGTTCATTGCACCATTATTCATACTAGCCAAGATTTAGAGGCAACTTCAATGTTCAGTAGCAGATAAAGATAATATCGTGTAAACATACAAAAAAAATATTATTCAGCCTGGCCAGTTGTGGTGGTTCCTGCCTATAATCCCTCCCCTTGGGAGGCCAAGGCAGGAGGATTGTTTGAGCCCAAGAGAGTGAGACCATCCTGGGCAACAAAGGGAGACTGTGTCTCTATAAAAAATTAAAAAAAAAAAATTAGCTGGGCATGGTGGCTCACACAGATCCTCCTGTCAGCCTCCCGAGTGGCTTGAACCTGAGAGGTGGAGACTGCTGTGAGCCATGATTATGCCATTGCACTTCATAGAGTAAGACCCTGCCTCAAAACAAACAAACAAATAAAAAAAACCAACTGTCTGGCTTTATCAACAAGAAGAATAAACCGGGAGGAAGTTATGCTAAACAAAAACAGCCAGTCACAGAAAGACAAATACAGCATAATCCCAGTTTTATGAAGTATCTAAATAGTCAAACTCATAGAAGAAGAGAGTAGAATGTTGGTTGCCGGTGCCTGGGGAAGGGGGAAATTGGGAATTGCTATTCAACAAGTATAAAGTTTTAGTTTCATAAAATGAATAAGTTCTAGAGATCTTCAGAATATGAATCATGCATTTCCAAGTTTTAAAATTGTTTAGTAACATAATTTAATTATTTTAATAACCAAATTGAAAGCAAAATCTTTTTACTAATTGTCAGTGTCATATTTCAGGACAAATATTGAGAACGCCTCTATTGAAAGCAGAAAGAAGAATATCATTACTAGTAAGTTTTTAAATTATTGTAGTGCTGGCCAATTCTATTAGGTTTGTGTAAATGGCATAATTATTGCAAATATTTCTGCTTAAAAATTAAAAATCTCTTAATATTATTGAGGGTCTAAGTGGCTAAGTTGGCTGGACTTCCTGGGTCAATAGGGACTTCCCTAAGGGGACTTTCCCCTAAGCCAAAATGAGTGCAAGCTAAAGGATTGAAACTTCAACCAATCAAAGGGGACTTTCCCCTGAGCTAAAATGCGTCACGGCTACAAGCTAAGGGATTGAAACTTCAACCAATCATATAGGGAGTTTAAACTCTAGCTGCAGCCCCATGTTTTTAACCAATCAGGCCCACCAACTCACAAGCAGATAGACAATAAGCTAATTCTATAGGACAGAAAAAGGAAAAGGGGAGGGGTCATAAGATGATATAAGCAAAAGACACCCAAGCCAGAAATGGCAACCCTTGGGTCCCCTTCCAGCAAAGTTTTACTTTCGCTTTCGCTTTACTTTTGCTTTTGCTTTACTTTTGCTTTGGCTTTAATAAATCTTGCCGCTGCACACTCTTTGGGTCCACGTGTTTCTCTAATCGAGCTGTAACACTAGCCTCTGCGGTCCATGGCTTCATTCCTTAAAGCCCATAAGACTTACCAACCCTTTGATCGAGAAAACCCTTTGATCAGGAAGCAGACTCGGCATCTCATTTCGTCCACGTGTTTCTCTAATCTAGCTGTAACACTCGCCACTGAGGTCCACGGCTTCATTCCTTGAAGCCCTTGAGACCACGAACCCTTTGATCAAGAAAAACCTTCAATCAGAAGAAGACTTCTCGTCTCATTATTAGCAAGAAGCATTGTGTAATCCTATAGAAAACTCCATTCACAATATCAAGAGTATGAATTAACTAGTATTAACTTAAGAAGGATATAGAATTTATATTATTATAACCTATTGTGAACTGAATTAAACATATATAACAAACAAAAAAATAAAACAAAACAGAGTAAACTGTGTGACATATCATCTTTTGTATGAGGACACACATTTCTAATAAGCTGTAATTATACATTTAATACAACCTAATAAAATCATAATTCTATTTTTGTCTGTGTTGGTGCTACTTGAGTCTAAATAAAATATTCCAAATTTCATCTGAAAAAATAAACATGTGACAAGTTTCAGGATAAATGCTTTCCATCCAAACATTAACATATCCTTAGTATTCTTCTATGAATTATGGATAAACCTCAAGGAATGTAAACATACCCCTCTATTTTCAAAGAGCTTAAAATATGTATTGTGAACTCAGAAAATCTGAGATAGGTCTCAGTTAACTTAGAAAGTTTATTTTTCCAAGGTGGAGGACGCACCCATGACACACCCTCAGGAAGTCCTGAGGACATGTGCCCAAGATGGCCGAGGCATTGCTTGGTTTCATACATTTTAGGGAGATGTGAGACATCAGTTAATATAGGTAAGAAATATATTGGTTCGATCCGGAAAGGTGAGACAACTTGAATTAAAGGCAGGAAGACTCAAAGGAGGAGGGGGGGATAAGTGTGACAAAAGGGTTGCATTCTTTTTGAGTTTCTGATTACCCTTTCCAAAGGAGGCAATGAGATATACATCTGTGTAAGTGAGTGGGGAGAGAGGGATAACTTTGAATACAATGGGAGGCAGGTTTGCCTTAAGCAGTTTACAGATTGAGTTTTCCTAAGTGATTTTGGAGGCCAAAGATAGTTTGCTTTCACAGTATTATAAATGAAATCAGACAGAATTATGTAAATTCTGTGCTATAATCAATTATTACCTATAATGTTTTTCAAAACTTAATGCCAATGAGAGAAAATTAATCATTCACTTGTTTTTTACAAGGTAGAAAAGATCACCTTTAGACTCTTACAAGGTATGTATAAATAAAGATTTAAGGGTAAAACCAGAAAATACGGAAATACTGAAACAAAATGCAGGCTTATCCAAATTATGACCCAGATGAAAAAAAAATTAAGAAAAGTATCTAGAAAAAAATGAAAAGAAAATTTTAAAGTAAAGTAATAAATTTTAATGCAAAAGACAGAAGCTACTTTCCAATTGGTTAAATTGTATAATGTTTTAATACATTCTTCAAACTAATAAGAAATAAGCAAAAGATAAAAGACACTTTCCAATTGGTTAAATTCTATAATATTTTAATGTGTTCTTCAAACTAATAAGAAATAAATTACATAAAATAAAAGGAAAATGAACAATTATTGTTTTGCTGAAAATGAAATACAAACAACTGACAAGTAAAAGTGTTCTTAACCTTCATTCTAGGTGAAATAAGAATGGGTTACAATATATTGTTAGAAGAATGTATTTCCAATCTATTCCTGAAAATTTACTATATTTTCCCCTTACAACTGGGGTGAGATTATACCTCATTTTAGTTTTGATTTGCATTTCTGTGATTATCAATGATACGGTTTGGCTGTGTCCCTACCCAAATCTAACCCTGAATTGTAAT
Source organism: Homo sapiens (assembly GCF_000001405.40). Taxonomy (NCBI): domain Eukaryota; kingdom Metazoa; phylum Chordata; class Mammalia; order Primates; family Hominidae; genus Homo; species Homo sapiens. The sequence continues at coordinate 104,704,808 of NC_000001.11, read as the reverse complement.
AATCCCCACATGTCAAGGGCAGGGCCAAGTGGAGATAATTGAATTATGTGGGTGGTTTCCCCCATACCGTTCTTGTGGCAGTGAATAAGTCTCAGGAAATCTGATGGTTTTATAAATGGGAGTTTCCCTGAACAAACTGTCTTGCCTGCCGCCATGTAAGAGGTGACTTTGTTTCTCTTTTGTCTTTCACCATTATTGTGAGGCCTCCCAGCCATGTGGAACCGCGAATCAATTAAACCTCTTTCCTTTATGAATTACCCAGTCTCAGTTATATCTTTATTAGCAGTGTGAGACCAGACTAATACAATCGATGATGTTAAGCATCTTTTAATATACTTGTTTTCCATCTGTATGTTTTCTTTTGAGAAATGTCTATTCTGATCTTTTGTTCATTTAAAAAATTGGATTATTAGATATTTCTTATGGAGTTGTATGAGCACCATATATTCTGATTATTAATCCCTTGTCAGACAGGCAATTTCTCCCAATCTGTGGGTTGTCTCTTCACTTTGTTCATTGTTCCCTTTGCTTTGCAGAAGGTTTTTAACCTGATGTAATCTCACTGGTCCACTTTTGCTTCGGTTGCCTGTGCCTGTGGAGTATTGCTCAAAAAGTCTTTGCCCACTCCAATGTCCTGAAGAGTTTCCCCAATTATTTTTATTAGTAGTTTTATGGTTTGCAGTCTTATACTTGTCTTTAATCCATTTTGATTTGATTTTTGTATAGGGTGAAAGATAGGGTTCTAGCTTTATTCTTTTGCATATAAATATCTAGTTTTCCCAGCACCATTTGTTGAAGAGACTGTCTTTTCCTTCAGTGAATGTTCTTGGAACCTCATCAAAAATGATTTTACTGTAGATGTATGGATTTATATATGAGTTCTTTATTCAATTCCACTGGTGTCTGTTTTCATGCCAGCATTATGCTATTTTGATTATGATAGCTCTGCAGTATAATTTAAATCAAGTAATGTGATTCCTCCAGTTTTGTTTTATATGCTTAAGATAGCTTTGGCTATTCTGGGTCTTTTGTGGTTCCATGTAAATTTTAGTCCTGTTTATTCTGTTTCTGTGAAGAATATCATTGGTATTTTGATAGTGATTGCATTAAATCTGTAGATTGCTTTGAGTTCTATGGACATTTTAACAATATTGATTTTTCCAATTCATGAACATGAAATATCTTTCCCTTTTTTTTAAAGTTTGTCTGGCTAAAGGTTTGTGTCTAGCTAAAAGTTTTTGTGTCCTTTTCAATTCCTTGCATCAAACTTTTATAGTTTTCATTGTAGACATTCTTCTCTTCTTTGGTTAAATTAGTTCCTAGGTATTTTATTTGTAGCTATTGTAAACGTGATAATTTTCTTGATTTATTTTCCAGATTGTTTGCTGCTGGCATATACAACTTCCCCTTATTTTTTATGTTGAGTTTTTATCCTCAGCCTTTCCGAATTTGCTTATCAGTTCTAATAGGTTTTTGGTAGAATCTTTAGGTTTTTCCAAATATAAGATCCTATTGTCTGCAAGCAAGAATAATTTTACTTATTTCTTTCCAATTTGGATACACTTTATTTCTCTCTCTTGTGTGATTGCTCTAGCTAGGAATTCCAGGACTACACTGAAGAACAGTGGTGACAGTGGTCATCCTTGTCATGTTCCATATCTCAGAAAAAAGGCTGCAGTTTTTCCATTTCAGTGTGATACTAGCTGCAAGTCTGTGGTATAGGGCTCTTAACATGTTGAGATATCTTCTTTCTATACTGTTTTCCGATGGATTTTATTATGAAGGTATGTTGCATATTATCAAATGCTTTTTCAGCACCAACTGAAACAATAATATGATACTTGTTACTCATTCTGCTGATATGATGTATCACACTGATGGGAGTTGTGTGTGTTGAATCACCCTTGCATCACTGGGATAAATCCCACTTAGTCATGATTAATGATTTTTTAAACATGTTGTTGAATATAGTTTGCTAGTATTTAGTTGAAGATTTTTGCATCAATATTTATCAGTGATATTGCCCTGTAGTTTTTTGTTTTTTGTTTTTGTTTTTGTTTTTTTGATGCGTCTTTGGTTTTGGTATCAGGATAACACTGGACTTGTAGAATGTCATTGGAAGTATTCTCTCCTCCTCTATATTTCACACTGGTTTGAGGAGGATTGATATTTGTTCTCTAAATGTTTGGTGGAATTCAGCAGTGAAGCCATTAGGTCCCAGGCTTTTCTTTGCTTGAAGCCTTTTATTATTATGTGTTCAATAATATTACTTGTTGTTCTTCTGTTCAGGTTTTGTTTTTTGGTTTCTTCATGGTACAATCTTGGTAGGTTGTATGTGTCTAAGAACTTGTCTATTTATTCTAGATTTTCCAATTTATTTTCAAATTTATTACTTGTTTATAGTACCCACTAACGATCTTCTGAATTTCTGCATTATCAGTTGTAATGTCTCCTTTTACATCTCTGATTTTATTTATTTGTATCTTCTCTTTTTTTTTGGTAAGTTGGTCTGGCCAAAGGTTTGTTGATTTTGTTTAGCTTAATACTTTTTGTGTTATCGATACTTTGCTTTTTTTTTATTTCAATTTCATTTATTTCTGCTGTAATCTTTATTATTTATTTCAGGTAGGACCATCAATGGAGACTTTTACTTCACCATCTTGCTCTACCTCTCTCTCCCTTTCCTCACTTTTGTAGGAGCCCATACCCACTGATTCTGATGTGTACGTGGTTATGCCAATTTACCTGTTTCTAGTTACTGAAATATTGCTCTACATTGGATATCTTAAAGTGTTGTAGAGTAACAATATTCAATTAAATTGAAATATATAAATATACATATGACTAGATCATACAAAGGTAGACTTTCAAGCTCCACTTTAGCTATTTCAGGAGCCAGGTTACTAGAATTACTCTCTAGAGTCATGAGGATAATAAAGAACTGTAGTCCCTTTTTACTCATATGATCTTGACAGTTAATATTGACTTGAATCCTTTGCTGTGCACAGGAGATCAAAGTATGCCCTCTTTAAACCTAGCTCTGTATATTTTGAAAGATTTCCAGTGGTCTAATATTAAATACCTTCTCCAGGCTTCTCTGAGTGGTGTCTATTCCCATTTTAATTACATTCCACATAAAAAAGAATGACCATACAATTTATTTTCTGAATTGAGACACATGAGCATAAAAAGAGACATTATAGTCTCATACCAGATATAAAACAATACATAACAAAGAGGTGGAGGATGATCATAATACTGGATTATATCCACAATTTGGTTAGTCTATGACTTTCTATTATATAAAACTCTCCCTCACTTCCCATTACCAGTTCAAGAGCTACTTTTGATAACTTCAAACTACCTAAATATTAAATATCAGAGAATCTGTGTTTCTCTTAGAGGGATAGGGAAGTGGGGAATAACACTGTTATTTTAAGCCATTATATTTGAAAGCAGAAGAAAAAAATATTTACAATATTTTTGAACATTTCCATCATCAAAATCTAACTAATTTTATCCATAATCTTTGATTTTTTGCAAAGAAGTGGGAGGGGGATTGATTAAAAACTTTTGCCAATTTGAGTTCACTTAAAATCTATATAAAAATTAATCATCTCTGAGACTAATAATAGTGCTCTGTAGTATATGGCTCAAGAGAATTTTCACATTAATAATTCTCAACAACATTTAACTAATGCTATATATATATATATATATATATATATATATACATTGCTTAAATGAAATGTAACATGTTTTGGTTAAATCTTTTGAATTACATATATAGCTATAGTAAATATTATTATTTGTATAAAATCCACTAAAATGCTATGAAACACCAATTAAAACAGTGTATTGCAATGCAAATAGCTACAGAACAAATATTAATTTCATAATTTGAACTGCTAATTTGTTTTGTAGCTTCTAAGTTTGTTGTTTTTGTTTTTTCTCTAAAATAAAATAGCATTGCCAAAACTTAGGGTCATTTTTTTAATGTGCATTAAAATTAAATATTTGTAAGACAATCATTTGTAAATATAAGACCATGAGTAAAACACTTAGGATTATGACTGGTTCATAGAAAATATTTATTAAAAATTAATCATAATTATTTTCATTTTAATTATCTACTGCTGCCTGAATTTACAACAAAAATACAAGTAACTCAAATAAAAATTCTTATAAAATATTGTTTTTATTTTAGAATGGCAATTAAATAAAAAAGTGTCAATAATAATAATAAATAAAAAAGTGTCAATTAAATAAAAATGAACTGTCCAATGAATGTTATTAGCTATGTCTGACATCATATATTTCTATGATGAAATTTTTATTGGCTCTACTTGGTTTTAGCATCAGAATTTTTAATGTGAACCTGATTGCCACTATATATATAATTTTTTAAAATTTTTATGTTAAGCTCATTTGTTGCCCAGCAAAAGACACGTGTGCCAATGAAATGAATGAAACATCAGGATTAGTGTTACAAAATTATTCTTCTAGCACAAATATTAACAGTAGTATTATTAAAACATTTTAGGAATTTGGATCCTGCTGCTTCTTATCATAAAATGGTGCTTCATTTCTGGGATTGTTAGTGAAGCTAATTTAATTTTGAATATAATAATGGTGATGTACTTTATAAATACACAAACACACACACGCACACACAGCGTTGACCCTTGAACAATTCAGGTGTTATGAGTGCCCACCTCCACTCTGCTGAAAATCTACCTATACCCTTTGACTTCCCCCAAACTTAACTATTAATAGCTTATTTTTGACTAGGTAGCCTTATCTGTAACATAAATAGTCAATTCACACATATTTTGTATGTTACATATAGTATATTGTATTGTTACAATGAAGAAAGCTAGATAAAAGAAAATGTTATTAAGATAATCATAAGGAAGAAGAAATACATTTACTATTCATTAAATGTAGTAAATGGATATAAATGGATTTATGAATATAAATTATATTCATAAATGGATATAGACTATCATAACAGTATTCACCTTCATGGTGTTCAGAATAAGTAGGCTGAGGAGAAGGAGGAAGAGGAAGGCAGTCGCCTTGCTGTCTCAGGGCTGGCAGAGACTATCAAAAGGTGGAGGAGGTGGAAGGGGAGGCCAGAGAGGCAGGCACACTTGGTTTAACTGTATGGAAATACACTGTCATTTCCAACTGACTCTTTTGCTTTCTCTTTCTCTAAAAATGTTTCTAGATGGTGCCCATCCCCCTTCCACTGTTTGCTTTGGTTTCAGTGCCCATATCATATAAGGATCTATGTCTTAAAAGAAATCAAAATCAGTTTTGAATAATCAGACTGCTTCTGACAGATTGTCTAATGTCAATTTGTTTTCTGACACTACTTCTAAGTTTTTTCCTCATCCTCTGGCACTGGTTCAGAAGCACTTATTTCCATGAAGTAATTTATGTTACTTCCTCTGGTGTAGTGTCTATGAGCTGTTGAATTTCTTCAAGCTTCATATCTTTTTTTTCTTTTTTGTGAATTATTATTGTTATTATTATACTTTAAGTTCTAGGGTACAAGTTCACAACATGCAAGTTTGATACATAGGTATACATGTGCCATGTCGGTTTGCTGCACCCATCAACTCGTCATTTACATTAGATATTTCTCCCATTGCTATCCCTCCTCCAGCCCCCCACCCCCTGACAGGTCCTGGTGTGTGATGTTCCTGGCCCGGTGTCCAAGTGATCTCATTGTTCAGTTCCCATCTATGAGTGAGAATATGCGATGTTTGATTTTTCTGTTATTGTGATAGTTTGCTGAGAATGATGGTTTCCAGCTTCATCATGTCCCTGCAAAGGACATGAACTCATCCATTTTTATGGCTGTATGGTATTCCATGGTGTATATGTGCCACATTTTCTTAAACAAATCTATCATTGATGGACATTTGGGTTGGTTCCAAGTCTTTGCTACTGTGAATAGTGCTGCAATAAATATATGTGTGTATGTGTCTTTATAGTAGCATGATTTATAATCTTTTGGGTGTATACCCAGTAATGGAATTGCTGGGTCAAATGGTATTTCTAGTTCTAGATCCTTGAAGAATCACCACACTGTCTTCCACAATGGTTGAACTAATTTACACTCTGGCCAACAGTGTAAAAGCATTCCTATTTCTCCACATCCTCTCCAGCATCTGTTGTTTCCTGACTTTTTAATAATTGCCATTCTAACTGGTATAAGATGGTATATCATTGTGGTTTTGATTTTCATTTATCTGATGACCAGTGATTATGACCATTTTTTCATGTGTCTTTTGGCTGCATAGATGTCTTCTTTTGAGGAGTGTCTGTTCATATCCTTTGCCCACTTTTTGATGGGGTAGTTTGTTTTTTTCTTGTAAATTTGTTTAAGTTATTTGTACATTCTGGATATTAGCCCTTTGTCAGATGGGTAGATTGCAAAAATTTTCTCCCATTCTGTAGGTTGCCTGTTTACTCTGATGGTAGTTTATTTTGCCATGCAGAAGCTCTTTAGTTTAATTAGATCTCATTTGTCTATTTTGGCTTTTGTTGCCATTGCTTTTGGTGTTTTAGTCATGGCGTCCTTGCCCATGCCTAGGTCCTGAATGGTATTGCCTTGGTTTTCTTCTAGGGTTTTTATGGTTTTAGGTCTATGATTTAAGTCTTTAATCCAACTTGAATTAATTTTTGTAGAAGGTGTAAGGAAGGGATCCAGTTTCAGCTTTCTACATATGGTGAGCCAGTTTTCCCAGCACCATTTATTAAATAGGGAATCCTTTTCCCATTTTTGTTTTTGTCAGGTTTGTCAAAGATCAGATGATTGTAGATGTGTGGTGTTATTTCTGAGGTCTCTGTTCTGTTCCATTGGTCTATATATCTGTTTTGGTACAAGGACGGTGTTGTTTTGGTTACTGTAGCCTTGTAGTATAGTTTGAAGTCAGGTAGCATGATGACTGCAGATTTGTTCTTTTGGCTTAGGATTATCTTGGCAATGTGGGCTTTTTGTTGTTGTTGTTGTTCCATGTGAACTTTAAAGTGTTTTGTTTTTTTTTTCAATTCTGTGAAGAAAGTCATTGGTAGCTTGATGGGGATGGCATTGAATCTATAAATTACCTTGGGCAGTGTGGCTATTTTCACGATATTGATTCTTCCCATCCATGAGCATGGAATCTTTTTCCATTTGTTTGTGTCCTCTTTTATTTTGTTAATCAGTGGTTTGTAGTACGCCTTAAAGAGGTCCTTCAAATCCCTTGTAAGTTGGATTCCTACGTATTTTATTCTGTTTGTAGCAATTGTGAATGGCAGTTCACTCATGATTTGTCTCTCTGTTATTGGTGTAGAGGAATGCTTGCGATTTTTGCACATTGATTTTGTATCCTGAGACTTTGCTGAAGTTGCTTATCAGCTTAAGGAAATTTTGGGCTGAGATGATGCAGTTTTCTAAATATACAATCATGTCATCTGCAAACAGGGACAATTTGACTTCCTCTTTTCCTAATGGAATACCATTTATTTCTTTATCTTGCCTGATTGCCCTGGCTAAAATTTCCAACACTATGTTGAATAAGAGTGGTGAAAGAGGGCATCCTTTTCTTGAGCTAGTTTTCAAAGGGAATGCTTCCAGTTTTTGCTTATTCAGTATGATATTGGCTGTGGGTTTGTCATAAATAGCTCTTATTATTTTGAGATGTGTTCCATGAATACCTAGCTTATTGAGAGTTTTTAGCATGAAGTTCTGTTGAATTTTGTCGAAGGCCTTTTCTGCATCTATTGTGATAATCATGTGGTTTTTGTCATTGGTTCTGTTTATGTGATGTATTATGTTTGTTGATTTGCATACGTTGAACCAGCCTTGCATCCCAGGGATGAAGCTGACCTGATTATGGTGGATAAGCTTTTTGATGTGCTGCAGGATTTGGTTTGTCAGTATTTTATTGAGGATTTGGCATCGATGTTCATCAGGGATATTGGTGTAAAATTCTCTTTTTTGTTGTGTCTCTGCCAGGCTTTGTTTTCAGAATGATTTTGGCCTCGTAAAATGAGTTAGGGAGGATTTCCTCTTTTTCTATTGATTAGGATAGTTTCAGAAGGAATGGTACCAGCTCCTCTTCATACCTCTGGTAGAATTTGACTGTGAATCCATCTGGTCCTGGACTTTTATTGATTGGTAGGCTATTAATTTTTGCCTCAATTTCAGGGCTGTTACTGTTCTATTCAGACATTCAAACTCTTCTGGGTTTAGTCTTGGGAGGGTATATGTGTCCAGGAATTTATCCATTTCTTCTAGATTTTCTAGTTTATTTGCATAGAGGTGTTTATAGTGTTCTCTGATGGTAGTTTGTATTTCTGTGGGATCAGTGGCGATATCCCCTTTATCATTTTTTGTTGTGTCTATTTGATTCTTCTCTCTTTTTTTCTTTATTAGTCTCGCTAATGGTCTATCAATTTTGTTGATCTTTTCGAAAAACCAGCTCCTGGATTCATTGATTTTTGAAGGGTTTTTTGTGTCTCTATCTCCTTCATTTCTGCTGTGATCTTTTTTTTTTTTTTTTTTTTTTTGAGATGAAATCTTGCTCTGTCACCCAGGCTGGAGTGCAGTGGCGCGATCTCAGCTCACTGCAAGCTCTGCCTCCCGGGTTCACACCATTCTCCTGCCTCAGCCTCCCAAGTAGCTGGGACTACAGGTGCCCGCCACCAGGCCTGGCTAATTTTTTGTATTTTTAGTAGAGACGGGGTTTCACCATGTTAGCCAGTATGGTCTCGATCTCCTGACCTCGTGATACACCCGCCTCGACCTCCCAAAGTGCTGGGATTACAGGCGTGAGCCACCGCACCCAGTCTCTAGTTCTTTTAATTGTGATGTTAGGGTGTCGATTTTAGATCTTTCCTGCTTTCTCTTGTGGGCATATAGTGCGTGAATTTCCCTCTACACACTCCTTTAAATGTGTCCCAGAGGTTCTACTACATTGTGCTTTGTTCTCATTGGTTTCAAAGAACATCTTTATTTCTGCCTTCATCTCGTTATTTACCCAGTAGTCATTCAGGAGCAAGTTGTTCAGTTTCCATGTATTTGTGCAGTTTTGAGTGAGTTTCTTAATCCTAAATTGTAATTTGATTGCAGTGTGGTCTGAGAGACAGTTTGTTTTGATTTCTGTTCCTTTACTTTTGCTGAGGAGTGCTTTACTTCCAATTATGTGGTAAATTTTAGAATAAGTGTGTTGTGGTGCTGAGAATGTATATTCTGTTTTTTGGGGTGGAGAGTTCTGTAGATGTCTGTTAGGTCTGTTTGGCGCAGAGCTGAGTTCAAGTCCTGGATATCCTTGTTAACATTTTGTCTCATTGATCTGTCTAATATTGACAGTGGGTTGTTAAAGTCTCCCATTATTATTATGTTGGAGTCTAAGTCTCTTTGTAGGTCTCTAAGGACTTGCTTTATGAATCTGGGTGCTCCTGTATTGGGTGCATATATATTTAGGATAGTTAGCTCTTCTTGTTGAATTGATCCATTTACTGTTATGTAATGGCCTTCTTTGTCTCTTTTGATCTTCGTTGGTTTAAGGTCTGTTTTATCAGAGGCTGAGCTTGCAACCCCTGCTTTTTTTTTTTTTCTTTTCTTTTGCTTGGTAGATCTTTCTCCATTCCTTTATTTTGAGACTTTGTGTGCCTCTGCACATGAGATGGGTCTCCTGGATAAGCACACTGATGGGTCTTGACTGTATCCAATTTGCCAGTCTGTGTCTTTTAAATGCAGCATTTAGAACATTTACATTTAAGGTTAGTATTGTTATGTGTGAATTTGATCCTGTCATTATGTTTGCTGGTTAGTTTGCCTGTTAATTGATGCAGTTTCTTCATAGCATCGATGTTGTTTACAATTTGGAATGTTTTTGCAGTGGCTGGTACCAGTTGCTCCTTTGCATGTTTAGTGCTTCCTTCAGGGGCTCTTGTAAGGCAGGCCTGGTGGTGACAAAATATCTCAGCATTTGCTTGGCTGTAAAGGATTTTATTTCTCCTTCACTTTTATGAAGCTTAGTTTGGCTAGATATGAAAATCTGGAATGAAAATTATTTTCTTTAAGAATGTTGAATATTGGCCCCCGCTCTCTTCTGGCTTTTAGGGCTTCTGCCGAGAGATCTGCTGTTAGACCAATGGGCTTCTCTTTGTGGATAACCTGACCTTTCTCTCTGGCTGCCCTTAACATTTTTTCCTTCATTTGATCCTTGTTGAATCTGACAATTATGTGTCTTGGGGTTGCTCTTCTTGAGGAGTATCTTTGTGGTGTTCTCTGTATTTCCTGAATTTGAATGTTGGCCTGCCTTGCTAGGTTGGGGAAGTTCTCCTGGATAAAATCCTGAAGAGTGTTTTCTAACTTGGTTCCATTCTCCTCGTCACTTTCAGGTACACCAGTCAAACACAGATTTGCTCTTTTCACATAGTCCCATATTGCTTGGAGGCTTTGTTGGTTTCTTTTTACTCTTTTTTTCTCTAAACTTCTGTCTCATTTTATTTCATTAATTTGATCTTCAATCACTGATACCCTTTCTTCCACTTGATCAAATTGGCTACTGAAGCTTGTGCATTCATCACGAAGTTCTCATGCCATGGTTTTCAGCTCCATCAATTCATTTAAGGTCTTCTCTACATTGTTTATTCCAGTTTGCCATTTGTCTAATCTTTTTCCAAAGTTTTTAGCTTCCTTGCGATGGGTTCGAATATGCTCCTTTAGCTCAGAGAAGTTGGTTATTACCGACCTTCTGAAGCCTCCTTCTGTCAGCTCATCAAAGTCATTCTCCATCCAGCTTTGTTCCATGGCGATCCCTTGGAGGAGAAGAGGAGCTCTGGTTTTTAGAATTTTCAGCTTTTCTGCTCTGGTTTCTCCCCATCTTTGTGGTTTTATCTACCTTTGGTCTTCGATGTTGGTGACCTACAGATGGGGTTTTGGTGTGGATGCCCCTTTTTGTTGATGTTGATGCTATTCCTTCCTGCTTGTTAGTTTTCCTTCTAACAGTCAGGTCCCTCAGCTGCAGGTCTGTTGGAGTTTGCTGGAGGTCCACTCCAGACCCTGTTTACCTGGGTATCACCAGTGGAGGCTGCAGAACAGCAAATATTGCAGAAGAGCAAATATTGCTGCCTGATCCTTCCTCTGGAAGCTTCGTCCCAGAGGGGCACCCACGTATATGAGGTGTCTTTCGGCCCCTACTGGGAGGTTTTTCCCAGTTATGCTACTTGGGAGTCAGGGACCCACTTGAGGAGGCAGTCTCTTCATTCTCAGAGCTCAAACACTGTGTTGGGAGAACCACTGCTCTCTTCAGAGTTCAGTTGAAAATGCAGAAATCACCTGTCTTCTCCGTCGATCATGCTGGGAGCTGCAACCAGAGCTCTTCCTATTCGGCCATCTTGAAACAGATCTCAAGTTTCATATCTTGAAACCTTTCATCCCTTACCTTTTTTGACATATCAGCAATGTTTTCCATAGTTTCCATTTTTGGCTCTGTCATAAATCCTGAGAAGTTATCAACAATATCTAGTCTCAGTTTTCCACGGTAGGAATTTATTGTTATGGGTTTGATGGCTTTCACAGCCTTTTCTATAACAATGATGGCATCGTCAATAGTGTAACCTCTCCAGACTTTCATGATGTTCTCTACTGGAGTTTTCTTTCATAATATTGACAATCCTTTCCATAGAATACTGTGAATAATATGCCGTAAACATTCTTATGAGCCCCTTATCTACAGGCTGATTTTGAGAACTTGTGTTTGGGTGCAAGGAAACCACTTTGATGTTTTGGTGTTAAAATCATGGGATCCTGGGATGCCAGGGGCATTGTCTAATATCAAAAGAATTTAAAAGTCAATTCCTTACTGACAAGGTAATTTCTGACTTCAAGGACTAAGCATCAATTGAAACAACCTAGAAAAACAGTTCTCATTGTTCAGGACTTCTTGGGGTACAACCAAAAGATTGGTGGCTGGTGTTTTTCATTTTCCTTCAAGGCTCCAGGGTTAACCACTTTATAGATAAAGTCAGTTCTGATCATAAACCTGTTTGTATTTGCAGAAAACAGGAGAGTTAGCATGTGCTTTCCTGCCTTAAATTTTAGTGCTTGCTTTTCTTCCTTACTAATAAGTGTCTTCGGTGGCATTATTTTACAGAAAAATGTTCTTCTGTCTGCATTAAAACTTAGGTAGGCAGTTATTAGTTATACTTTCTTCTCAATGCTTTTTTATGTGGCGTCTAGGAACTCATCTGCTTTTCTTTTTTTTCTCTCTCCAGCTGCTTCTCTTTTTATCTTGACCTTTTTTTAGGTCAAACTTCTTTCCAAAATTATCAAACCATTCTTTGCTGGCATTAAATTTACCAATCAGATCCTTCACCTTCCTCTTGCTTTAAGTTGTCATGTAATAATTTTGCTTTTTTTTTTTTTTTTTTTTTTTTTTTGAGACAGTGTCTCTGTCGCCCAGGCTGGAGTGCAGTGGCGCGATCTCGGCTCACTGCAAGCTCCGCCTCCCAGGTTCACGCCATTCTCCTGCCTCAGCCTCCCGAGTAGCTGGGACTACAGGCACAGGCCACCACGCCCGGCTAATTTTTTTGTATTTTTAGTAGAGGCGGGGTTTCACCGTGTTAGCCAGGATGGTCTCGATCTCCTGACCACTTGATCTGCCTGCCTCGGCCTCCCAAAGTGCTGGGATTACAGGCATGAGCCACCGCTCCCAGCCAATAATTTTGCTTTTTTTGTCTTATTATCATCTATAAGTATGCCTTTCTTATAGGAATCATGCACCCATGTAAAGGTTCATATTTAATATAAGTTAAAAAGGTACTTAGCAAAAAGTGCAAGGTATTGATGCATGCAGCTGTAGCTGCAGCAATGGCTTCACAAATTTTCTTTCATTTTTTTTACAATGGTCCTTGTGCTGGATTCATTTATCATGAAATATTGCCCAACTGCAGATACAGACCTCAATCTACAGTACCTATCAAGCAGTTCAACTTTTATTGTGATGTTGTGACTTTTCTTGCTTCCTGGACCCACTTCTAGCATCACCAGTGACAGTTCCTATGGGTCTGATGGTATTATTCAAGACTCACAGTATTGCATGAAATGTTATGAAACATGAGAATGGTGAAAAATCCTTTTTTACTGCAATATGCAATTTACTGGAGAGAAGAATTGCTTATGTGATAATTAGCACGACTTGGCATTTTAAGTGGATAGTCTCAACACGAGCTCATTGCAATAGCAACAGGAGGTGGCTATGAAATTAATATTGTAGTATAGTATGTATTACAATTAATTTTATGCTGTTATGATTTAATCCATCCTCATTAAATTTCTTTATATTTGTTTTGATTGTGAATGGGCCATATAAGACCTGTAAATATTTGTGTGAATACATTTTGATAAATTTTAAATAGGTTTGTATACATTTTGATTAGTGAATAACATTGACTAGTGTCTACATATACTAAAATTTTTTATGCATACACAACATACCAAACTTTTTAATCATTATTTTCAATATTTATAGGCTACATCATTTCTCTGAAAGTGGTTTTCAAATTATTGCAAACCTTGAAAAATATTCCAATTATTTATTTAAAAAAAAATTATGTGTTAGTAGGCCCATGTAGTTCAAGGGTCAATTGTTTGTTTACAAACACACACACACATATGTGTGTATATATAATAGCTAATATCTAATACATAGTTTTTTTAAGTTCTGCCACTTATGCCATAATTTAATTAAGACATTAGAGAAAAATATATAAATTTATATAATATATGCATATAAAGATATATGTAACATATAAAAATATATGTTATATGTTCTCAAATATTTTAATTAAGTAATAGCATAAGTGGCAGAACTACCAAGGTGAAATTATATCCAGGCATATTATCACTAACTATATCATCTAAAAGATTTATGACACAATTTTACTCTCATATTTATTAATGAAGGAAAAGAAAATGAATCCCTCCTGTACTTTAAAGGTGATTGACATTATTAATCAAAGTATAAGGTTGCTTCACAACTACTTTTGGAATATTCAGGAAGCAAAGTAGTCATTTATTTGAAATAAATAGATTCGGACACATTCAAACAATCTAAATTATGATTTATAAAACTTTCCTCTGTTTTGGAGGAAATAAAATTTTTATCAGAATTTGATAACCTGTAAACTTATGTTTGTTTTTCATTTATAACACTTTTTCTTAATCATTATGTTGTATAAGAAAAAAGTCTATATCTAGGTCTGTATTGTTGTACATTCAATATATTAGGGTGCATTAAGGTAAATGATGAATGAAGTTAAGAATATGTGACTAAATAAAATACAGTAACTTTAACAAGCTGAAGCTAGAGTTGTACCCATAGCAATACAAATGGAACCCACTGAATATTCAATAGACTCAAATGGTCACAATACAGACAATCAAACCCCTGCTAAATCGAGATTGCAAAGAATTTTGAGTATGGAATAATATTTAGTGTGGAATTCAGTGTATTTATTGATTTAGTGATGTCAATTAGTTTTCACTTCACCATAAACAGATATTTCCTGCCCTCTTCAACTGTGAACAAATATTTTCCAAGATTGAAAAAGTTGAGGATGATATGTAATAAAAATTAAAATATATACTAATACAAAACTGTGGTTCAATCTTTTTATTTTGTTCATTAAATAATCACTGATAAATTATTCAGGAATTATCTTTAAAATGTTTTGAAATTAGACTTTAATTACCAATTTTAATGTAGTAAAGAATTTTGCTTTGATAGATCAAAATTCAATGTTAAAAAATTACTGTAATATACATTTATATTATGCCACTATTAGAATTACAATTTTGAATTTATAGTTAAATCAAAGTTTACTAAGAATAACTTAGGGCCAAACATGTTTTTTTCTAGTTGGTTAAATAAAGCAAGTGAGCTCTTATATGCATATAATTTAATTAGCATGTAATTTGTTAACAGTTAATATACTTTCATATAATAGTATTTTGATGCTGTGTGCATTAGTCAGGTCAGGCTGTCATAACAAGACACCATAGAGTGGCTTGAATAACAGACATTTATTTTCTCACAGTTCTAGAGGCTATTCAAGATCACGATGCCAGCATGGTCAGGTTTGGATGAGGGCTTGTAAGATGGCTATTTTCTTCTTGTGTGCTCACAGGCAGAGAGAGGGCAAGAGCAATACCTCTGATGCCTCTTCTTATAAGGCCACTAATCTCATCCTAAATCCCCCATTCTCATCTAAACCTGATTACCTACCAAAGACCCCATTTCCAAACATTATTATATTTGAAGTTAGGGATTCAGCATATGAATTAGGGTGAGTGGAACAATTCAGTCTATAGCACTGTGTATACAGTTTATCTGTAAGACTACAATAAAATATATCCTCCAAGTTAGAATACTTTTTGAGCAAGAAATGCATGCTGTTAATAATCATAATAGGAAGAGTTGCAAACCTGAATATTTCCAGGCAAATAGCTGTGATTATCCTTTTATATGTTATTACACTATAGTTAAAAACAGTTATATGGTTTGGCTGTGTTCCCACTTTAATCTCGAATTGCAGTTCCCATAATTCCCAGGAGTCATGAGAGGGACCTGGTGGGAGGACATTTAATCATGGGGGTGGATTTTCCTGTGTTGTTCTCATGATAGTAAATAAGTCTCACAAGAACTGATGGTTTTACAAAAAAGCAGTTCCCCTGCACAAGCTCTCTTGCCTGACGTCATGTAAGACATGCCTTTGCTCCTCCTTCACCTTCCACCATGATTGTAAGTCCTCCCCAGCCACATGGAACTGTGAGTCTGTAAAACATCTTTTTTTTTAATAAATTACCCAGTCTCGGGTATTAGCAGTGGAAGAACTGGTTAATACAAACAAAGATCATATTTTTCAGTTTGATATTTCTACTAAAATTTCTGTTTGACTATCCAGAGTACCTGGTACTATAAACTTGAGTCTCTCCGCACAGAAAGCAGATACTATTTTTGCATACAGTAGGACAAGATAAAGGTAAAAGAGGAACTAGTTGAGTGTTTATGCTAGATGCTGTGTTATGTGTTTTATAAACATCATGAACTAGAGAGATAGCTCATGATGTCTAAGCAGTCTCTGTTTCTACTTATGAGGTAATACAGAAAAATATAACATGCTGTTTAAAATTATGGATCATGGGAACAGACTTCCTGGGTTTAAATCATAGCTATACTTCTACTACTACTAGTGATGTTACTGGGTTTAAATCATAGCCCTGCCTCTATTACTACCATGTGACATTATTCAAAATACTGTTACCTTGATAAAGTGCCTTAATTTTTTTTTGCTTCAGTTTCATCATTTCCAACATACAGGTGGTAATTGCACCTATACCACAAGATTAAATCAATTAAGTGTGTTTGTGTGGGGGGATGCATTTTAAAGAGGGCCTGACAAATGCAATAGGTAAGTGTTTCCTATGAATATTACTTTTGTTTTCTCTTAATGTAAGCATACCTGTACATACTTATCCTTGGTTTTATTTTTGTTTCACCTCATAGTACCTCATGCCAGAGCTGATTTTTGGAGTCTTTATCAATTATTTGTTCTGGCTTGAAAATAAAAACTGGGTTAATTCATTTCACAGTACACTGAATAAGAAAACACCTAAGGATTGTTGTAGAATAAAGGATACCTAACAGTATGTTACTTATTGTAGCATGTGTAAACATCATTGTCATACAGTTATTTGACACAGAAATCAGATGTCTCTATGTGGAAATTATATGTGAGAACCAATTAAAAAATACGTTAACTTAGAGTGAAATTATCATTGTGATTCATATGGTCTACCTCTGTATTTAGATTCACATATAGCTGAGTGAGATTTTTCTAGTTTCGCAACATATTAATATTGTTAAAACTTTCACAGTGTAGAGAACTTATATATAGAAGACTTGAGATGTAGACACATTGTTTCAAAATATAAATTGACTTAATGAATTTTATGACCTCACATTCATCAAATAAAACAGGAGGAAGTAATCACATATTAGCTTCAGAATGTTAATGTTTCCAAAGCCTTGGACAGTGAAATTCCATATGTGCTGATGTGCGATATTTACATAATATAGTGTCGAACCTGGGACAAAAATAGTATGTTGAAAAAAAAGAAGATAAAGTTATTTAAGCTTAGCAAAAGGAGATGTAAAATAGTAAAAGCAAAAAATATACAATTAGGGAACAATTTTGTCTATTAATCTGTTTAAACTACTTACTAAATGTGTATTAGATGACAGTTATTCACTGTGTTTGTGGAGAGCCTCATAATATATACTATGAACACGCTCTTGGGAAGAGACTACAATAGTAATACTCCTTGTAAACTGGGGGTGACTCAAAGATACTAGGTAACACAACTATGTTTTAAATCGCGTATGATTTTTAAATAGTTCAAAAAAATAAGATATAAATATTAAAAATATAAATTGTTCTACCATAAAGACACACGCCTTCATATGTTCATTGCGGTACTGTATTCATTGCAGCACTATTCACAATAGCAAAGACATGGAGTCAACCTAGATACCCATTAACGATGGACTGGATAAAGAAGGTATGGTACAGGCCGGGCGCGGTGGCTCACGCCTGTAATCCCAGCACTTTGGGAGGCCGAGGCGGGCGTATCATGAGGTCAGGAGATCGAGACCATCCTGGCTAACACGGTGAAAACCCGTCTCTACTGAAAATACAAAAAATTAGCCAGGCGAGGTGGCGGGCGCCTGTAGTCCCAGCTACTCCGGAGGCTGAGGCAGGAGAATGGCGTGAACCCAGGAGGCGGAGCTTGCAGTGAGCCGAGATAGCGCCACTGCACTCCGGCCTGGGCGAAAAAGTGAGACTCCGTCTAAAAAAAAAAATAAGTATGGCACATATACACTATAGAATACAAAAGAACATAATCGTGTCTGTTACAGCAACATGGATGCAGCTGGAGACCATTATAGTAAGCAAATTAATGCAGGAACAGAAAACTAAATACCTCATGTTCTCACAAGTGGGAGCTAAACACTGAATACACATGAAGCACAAAAAATAAAGCAATAGACACAAGGGCCTACTTGAGGGCAGAGAGTGGGAGGAGGGTGAGTATAAAAAAAATTACCTGTCAGGCACTGTGCTTATTAATGGGATGATAAAATCATATGTATACCAAACCCCTGTGACAGGCAATTTACCCATGTTACAAACCTGCACATGCACCCCCTGAACCTAAATTTGGAAAGCAAAATAAATAAAAAATAAATTTTAAAAATAAAATATGTAGATTATTAAGATGTACATTACCTGAAAATTGTACCCAGGGTAGAGTAATAAGAAACAAAAAATAAGTAAGTTGCAATAAATTATCTTCTCTATCAAGAAAAACCTTTGAGAAAAACAATATATGATATTATATTCAGATAGTCACAGGACTTATTAAAATACATTTGAAATTAAACTTAGTAAGGACTCTCTCCAGAAGCAGAATAATAAAAAGTTAACTAGGAATTATTTTAATGAATAAATTGTATAATATAACAAGTGCCAGGATGGGAATTGTAAAAATGACCATCCTCTATGAATTAATTTATAGACTTAATTCAATTAGGTGAAAAGCCAGTGGGATTTTCTTATAAAAAGATAAAATAACCTCAAAGAATAGAGAAATAATGAAGATGTAAAACCATCCAGAAAAAAATTAATTTTAAAAATGTTTTTATTTAAATATAAATAGTGAAAAGTACACATATTATGTTTGTCTCACATTTATCTCACACAAGTCTATTTTTAAAATTATTTTTTTCTGTAGTTTCCCAGGATTTTTTTTTTTTTTATTCACTCTGCCTTTCATGTAACTAATGTTAGCTTCTTCTTTGGCCACCATGCTGTGAAACAAATCCATTGGCTGCAGAGTTTCAAATACAATGTTTATTTTTTAAGGTCTTCAATTTCTAGCATGATTATTGATTATTTCAAAAGTGAACATTCTAATAGTTTCTTCTATTTTGTCACTTTTTAAAGTTTTGTGGAACATATGTGTCATAGTAATTTTAAAGTCTTTCTGTGGTAACTCCAGACAAGGTCTCTAAAATTACTAAAATTACTTATTTTGGTCTGAGCATGGTGACTCGTGCCTGTAATCCCAGGACTTTGGGAGGCCGAGGCGGGCGAATCACCTGAGGTCGGGAATTTGAGACCAGACTGACCAACATGGAGAAACCCTGTCTCTACTAAAAATACAAAATTAGCCGGGCATGGTGGCGCACACCTGTAATCCCAGCTACTCGGGAGGCTGAGGCAGGAGAATTGCTTGAACCTAGGAGGTGGAGGTTGCAGTGAACCGAGATTGTGCCACTGCACTCCAGCCTGGGCAACAAGAGTGAAACTCCGTTTCAAGAAAAACAAACAAACAAACAAATAAAAAACTTATTTTGTCATTTTTTCCCTTGGTTACTGGTCACATAGTCTGCCCTCTTGTATGTATAATAATTGTTTAATTGTATGCCAGCTGCATAAAATGTATGTTTTATTTTGTATTAAGGTGGTATGGAGGCAAAATTCCCAACCCTAAAAAGGACAGAGCTGCATCAGGGCTGATTTGAAGTTTCATTCTTTCTAATTTATTCCTTGGTTCTGGGGTTTGTGCTCTGAGCTCATTGCTTAGATTATGGGAGATTTAATTCTACCCCAACCAGTGATCCTACGCAGCTGCAAATTTTGACAAATGCCTTACGATGGAGCATGCCATGTTTTGGGGAAGGCCTCTGCCTTGACAGATCTTTGTTTCCAATTGACACTGGGTTGTAGATGAAATTACTGTGTGTAGCTTTTCAAAGCTTTTGGCCTAGCTCCTCTGTCTTCCAAATAAGCCCTGAACTCGGAAAATGTTCTTTTGAAAGAACTGGAAAATATCCATTACGAAAACAAACAAAAACAAACAAACAGAAAACCAACCAGCTATACATTATCAGTTTACATCAAAACAGTTCTTCCCCCTCCAGAAGTTTTGATCATGTTTCCCATTGTTTATGCAATGCTCCCTGATGCCTTTCATAATATATTTTTTTGTAACTAATCTGTCTTTCTTTTTTTCTAGTTGTGACATCAGAAGTTTCAAGCTGCCATAATATACTGTATTTTATCAAGAAAGGGCACCCACTCCCTTAATAACCAAATGCAGTAATAACTGACTCCATAGTAACTTATGATGAGAAGGCTTCTATTCTATCACTTCTTTTCCTGAGGTCTTTTTTCTCATTAAGAAATGATTACAGGTTCGAGAAGTTTATCTTGTCTTGGTTTATTTGTTATTTAGTTCTTTGCTCAACATTAAACATTCCTGCAGGATACTCCTCTGCGCTTCAGAAAAACTGCTCCTTGTGTGTTGTATTTCCATCAGACCCTAAGCTAATGCCACCCATTTCTATACACTTTTGTCCCATTTGACACTTAGGCCCTTCTCAATCTTCCAAATATAATTAAAGTTTTAAGGGATAAAAAAATTTTAATGATGATTTAAGATTTAAGTATAACAGAAAACGTGACAAAGCATAAATAAAATATAAGCCACATCTAGATGTAACTGTTTCCAGAGTGCATACAGTAATCTTTTACATGGTATTTCTCACCAAATATCATTGATATTTTTCCTGTCTTTGCTATTTTTTGTTAGCTTGTTTTGTTTTTAATATGTTCTTTTTGATTATATCTAAACTTCCTAAAGCCCAATACCTACTCCAGTGTTTTAGGCTCAGTGAGAGGTTTTGTTTTCTTTATTTTTTTTTTCCGCTTTTCATTAAATACTGAAGACCATTTTTCCCAGTCAACATATTTTCCTTGAGGTGTTTCTTTAGCCAAAACAATTTAAATTATCAGGCATGAAAGATGTATTTGCCCTATCTTAACACTCTGCATTCTAGAATAGTGTTTCCTTTTTACTGTGGTGTAATCAAATTTCCAATGGAAACATTGTTGCATAAAATAAATTGTTTTATAATTAAATCAAAACTTTTAAAATCAGTTTTAGAAAGTGGAAGATTGCTGCAATTCCCCAAAATATTAAGGATTCAGTCACATATCCTCAATTCTAGCCACTCCTTGTACATAAACCTTTGTTGAATTATCTGTTAGTTTGTGTTTCCCAAGGTAGAATTAGAATTGAAAAACAAAACTATTTTCAATAAAAATCAGTACAATAATATTCTCCATATTCTTCTGTTAAAAATTACATTTTCACAGAGGAATATGAGGGTACCAATCCAACACAGAATGCCAAAGTTGAGTATAGTAATACTTAAGTTCATTTGAAAATTATGCTTGCTGTTTTTATTATTTTATTTTATTCACAGTTGGATTAAATGTATTAATATATTTCTCAGTCACTTGTCATTCCTCTATGATTTTGTGTGCATTGCATTGCCCGTTTTATTGAGTTTATAGTTTTATGATATGTTTGTGAGATACTTAGATATAAAGATTCTAATTTCTTCTGTGACTTCTGAAATGAATATTTAACTAATTATTTATTGTTTGTATATGTATTTCAGTATTATAAGATAAAGTTTGTTGTGTTATTGTGTGTGCATGCATTTGTATTTAAAATAAAATAGCTCTATTATAGAAAGTTTAAGTTTTCTTTAGAAATTGTCTGGAGGTGAAGTGAGAATCAAATTGCATATATATGTATATACACACATATATAAATTGTATATAATTATATATACTTTATCTTGTGTCCATATGTGCATATAAAATTATATATATTTATACATAATTGTATACATATGTGTATATATACATATAAAACTACATATATTTATATATAATTATATACATATGTACATATGGACACAAGAAAAAGAAAATTATATATGTGTGTATATATATATCTTAAGTGTCTGATTTTGCTAGTGTCAAGTATTGAATAATATTCTCTTTCATTAGTGATTATTACACAACCTTTTCCCAATACTAGGTTATTATTGTGTATACCTGAATCTGAACTGTTCTGTACCATTTACTTGTCTATGCTTTCAATGGTAACACTCTTTTTATTTTAATTATAAAATACTTCATATAGAACAGAAGATAGTAAAAATGTATCATAAAATATGGATTAATACTCATCATAATTATTAATTTATATTGAAAAGGTAATATACTATCAGTTGTCTTTTCCAAAAGTGTGTTGGCTTTTATCTCCTTATTATTTATTTTTGGATTACTTTCTTTTCATTGCTAAGAAAATACTATACTGGATTTTCTATTGGACATAAAGAAACCAGGAATACTCTCCATATTTCTTATAATCAGTGTTGACTGTAATGTGTAAGTAATGAGCTGAGACGTACAAGCATTTTTCAATTGTTGACTTCTACTGCCTTGACCTATAGGTTTGAGTGGGTTTAAATTTTCTCATAATCTAGCTATCAGATCACTGCTATTTCAAAGAATTCAAATCCAGGTGATGGGTTGATAGGTGCAGGAAACCACCATGGCACATGATTACCTATGTAACAAACCTGCACGTTCTGTACATGTATCCCAGAACTTTCAATTACGTTTTAAAAAAGAATTCAAATCTAATTTCCAGCCACTATCCTAGGAAATGTATTTCATCGATTTATATTCACGTGGTAAAAGTCACTCATAGAGCTTGGTGGCAACTGGAACGCACAAACATGTAGTTTATGTCATCTTTGGACATGTTAGGGGGAGGTCTGGGGATTTTGCATTAGACAAGTTGTTTCAGAGCATGGAGACCTAATAAAATTAATCTTATGTACAACCCCAAATCAATCTCTCAAAGTCTCTTTTCTTGGTACTATGAACATCCTTTCAAAGAATGAACCAGTTAATCTTGCCAGTTATTACTGTTTACTCTAGTTTTCATAGATGTGGGAAGTTATCCTTCTTCAAAGGTAACTGGGAATGACATGTGACTTCTGGTCTTTTTTGAGATTTTTGTCCTGCATCTGTTCTTACTTTATTTCATTCTTGTTTTAATAAAATCAACCTATTTGTTCATACAAATTATGATTATGATTATTATTATATATCTGTAACCAACCCCCAAATTCTTGTTCTATCTCTCTGACTGACTTATACATATTTTTCTGAATTCATGGTCTTATCTTGTTTGGTTCCTACTGAAAAAAACCAATAAAATACTCCCCCGATACAGTAGATTTGCCTCACGAATAATATCACACAAAGGAATAATTACAACTTGATATAAGAATGTATGCTTGTTTCATCAAAATGTAGGCCTACTTTCTTATTCATTAATTAGGAAGCCAGTGTTCAGATAAGTTATTTACTCTGGATATACTAGCTGACAATATAAAACCAGAATTTGAACTTGAAGACAAGATTTTTATTTCCTATTACTAGCATATTTTTAAATGTAAAAACATAATTTAAAAAGAAGAGGTTCCTTAATGTTGCACACATAAAAATTAAGATCAACTGTTTTCTCATCATATAATATTCCACTGCTCTCTGTTCAAATGCCTGTTATGAGTAACCAAAGTAAATATTATTTTATTGTAATATTTGTATAATAACATCCTATTATTTTCATTCCAATGACTTTTAAAAAATTATTTTAACTGACAAGTAAAAATTGTATACATTTTTGGTGTACAACATGGGGTTTTCATATATGTATACATTGTTGAATGGGTAAAACAAGCTATTTAACATATGTATTGCCTCATATATATATTAATCACCATTCTACCCTATTTCCATTGCTTCTACTTTTTAAGATTTCACTCATAAGTGAGATTATGCAATATTTTCTATGACTGATTTATTTCATTTAGCACATTGCCCTCCAGGTTTAGGCTTCTTGTGGTTAATGACAGGATTTCCTTATATTTTAAGGCTATTATTCCACTGTGCATATGTATCACATTTTCTTTATTAATTGACCCAATGATGATACAGGTTGAATTCCATGTCTTGGATATTATGAATAATGCTTCAATGAACATGGAAGTGCAGATAGCTCTTCAACATACTCATCTTATGTCCTTTCAGTGTATACACAGAAGTGGAATTGCTGGATCATATGATAGTTTCATATTCAATATTTTGAGGAACCTCCATACTGTTTTCTATATTGGCAGTACTAATTTACATTACCACCAATAGTGTATAAGGGTTTCCTTTTCTCCACATCAGCTCCAACATATGCTGTCTCATCTTTTTTGATAACAGCCATTTTAACATGTGGAAGATGATAACTCATTGTGGCTTTAATTTTTATTTCCCTGATACTTAGTGATCTTGATCATACTTTCAGATACCTGTTATTTACTTGTATTACTCCTTTTTAGAAATGTCTGCTTGGTCCTTTTCTTCCTTTTAAAATCAGGTAATTCATTTTCTTACTATTGAGTTGTATAATTTTCTTATATATTTTGAAAATTAACCTCTTATCAAATGTATAATTTGCAGATATTTTCTCGAATTCTATAGATTGCATTTTCACTCTGTTGATTGTTTTCTTTGCTGTGCAGAAGGGTTTTTGTTTGATGTAATCCCGCTTGTCTACTGCTTTTGCTGAATGTGCTTTTGGGACCATATTTAAAATTATTCGCCAAGACCAATATCATAGAGCTTTCCCCCTATGTTTTTATCTTGTCTTTCTACAAATTTGGGTCTTCCATTTGAGACTTGATCCATTTTTAGTTGATTTTTATATATTATGTGAGATGAGGGCATAATTGTATTCTTTTGCATGTGGATATCCAGTTTTCCTACCACCATTTATTGAAGAAACTGCTTTCCTCACAGTGTAATTTTGGCTTCTTTGTTGAAAAACAATTGATAGTAAATGTGAAGATTTATTTATGGGCTCTTGATTCTGTTCTATTGGTTTATGTGTGAATGTTGTGTTTTTATGCCAGTATCATGCTGTTTAGATTACCATAACTTTGTGGTAGATTTCTAGGTCAAGTAATATAATGCCTCTGCCTTTGTTTATTTTGCTCATGCTTGCTTAATTCTTTAGGGTTTTATTTCTGATTTCATCAAAATTTTAGAAAATGTTCATAGATAATTTATCTAATTACAATTTGATCAAGATAGTGTCACTAATATATATATCCCTTTTACCATTTAAAATGAGTTTATGTATATTTTAAATTTTACTCTCAATAATGCTCTCTACCAAGAATTTTATAAATATTTTGTAGAGAGACAAATGAGGCTTTAAGAATTTAGGTCTCTTGCTCATTATTATATTCACAGCATTTAAATAAAAATTTTCCCCATGTTTAGTGTTTCTTCAACTAAGGAAGTCATATAATAAAAATTTAAAAATAAAATTATTGCTCTGAAAAAAAGCTCATTGTGACATGTAATAATAGTTTCTGTCAATAAGTCCTTTTTTAAAGCTTAGGGCAATGTTTATAAAAACACAAATATAATTGAGATAACACTAAATTTAGAAAGTAAGGAATCTAAGATTTCATGAATATTCCCTATACTATATTTTAAAAAGTTCACAACACTTTCTATTATATTTTACTCCTATCATGGTATGTCATATTTAAATACATATATATTTTTTTATAATTTATATTGAGAATAACTGTTTTAAAAAATGACGGTTTTAACAGAATTAATTTATCATTCCAGATACAAAGACTTGAGTAATATAGCTGAAATTGGCATTGAGTGTGTGAATTAAAAACTGTATTTAGGCATTGAGATACAAACAAGATGATAATAGAAAATAATTACTTTTCTTTCCTTTTCTCAGTAATATTTACCTCTGATAAATTTCGAATGCAATGAGTAATTTATTTTTAGAATGTTTTGGTACTGTAAGTGCCTTGCATCTCAAAGAAAAACAAATAGAAATAATTGTATAAAGGTACAGGAGGTAAGAAAAAAATATAAAATTGATTTCAAAATTCTGGCATTATTTACTCTTAGTTTTTATTTATAATCAGTAAAATATTAAGCAGTTACTTTGACACTGATATTTAGGGATTTATGTAAGAGAAACAGAAAGGGGAAAATATGGTTCTACCTTGCTAACATTATCAGATAATATAAGATGGTCTAAATTATTATGAATCCCTTATGTTGCATGCATTTGCAAGGCAATTTAAAACCATGACCCATTTAAATATCTTTACTGAATTCAGAATTGTTTGCTTTTTCTTGTATATATTCAACAGCAGTGTGCATTAGAGAAATGTATTCTAATTATTATTTACTTTTCCCTGTGAGATTTTTGAATCCTAGAAGAAATTCATCAGTCATGCTTTTATCAGTCTAACTTTGAAAATTCTCTTGTGTAATTTTCTTATTTATTTTCTGTTTTCTGTATTTATAGGAATAAATTTTAATAACAGCCAATCTCCTACCAACTCTTCATACTAGAGTATTACAAAGGACAGAGGGAACTATATGCCATTCTCTTGGCATTTCAGGAAACTACTACCTGTGGCGTTAAAAAATAATAAAACAACCAACCAAAAGTTAGTCTATTTATTATTACTACCATACATTGACATTTCTAGACAACATCGGTAATAACATTGTGGCAGAGAGATGCCGATATTCCTCCCCTGTTTGTGAAACAGTGTCATACAACTACCAGATTAATATTCTTGTAGTATATATCTAGTCTTAGCATTCCAATACTTATAAAACTTGTGTAGACTTGTTTTACTCTTTCTATAGCATTTTCTTCCAACTGTAGTCCCAATTATTCTTTTCTTCAATCTCATATTCGATATCCTGTACTCAAATTAAGAACAAACATAAAACCACATATTTAGAGAAATGTATATCATTTCTAACTATCCAATTTTTTATACTGGTTTGGTATTCTTGTATTTTCCTAAATAAAGAGAATGTTCTCGTCTTAAATAAATTTAAGACCAATATAAAATTATCAGCAATCTCCCTAATTGGTAATAATAAGATTAATAGTGATAATGATAATATGCACATGTATTAAGAAATTAAGAGGCAAAAGCATTGTGCAAAAATCAGTATATAAATTGTCTCATTTAATCTTCACAGAAAATTTAGGGGTGTGGACATTATAGTTGAGAAAACAAACTCATAAATTTAATAATATACTCACAGTAAAACAGCTAGCAAATATAAAAACAAGAATTCAAACACAGATATGCATGAATCTGTATTTGAGAGTTCATGCCCCTAATAAAGAAGTTTTATGTACTACCTATTTGTAACAAAGCATTATGTTCTTGATCATGGGAAAATGTAGAGATGAATCTATTGTGGTACTTATTACAGTGTGCCTTATGCCATATTCTGTATCTATGTCTCTCCCATATATTGTACAGAAAGCAACTGGAGGACAAGACTTTGTTATCTGTTTTGTGTATGTCTAACATCAGCTGAATTTATTATATTCGTTGATGGTATAATGGATGAATGAACATCTGTAGGACACCTTTGATATTTAGATTGCTTGTTCAATAGGAATAAACATAGAGACAGATTTAAAATTAGTTATAAGACAGGGAGCCAGAAGGGGTAGATAGTTTCAATAATCACTACCAACCGAGGTAAAACTCTGCAGATGAAAAGTGGAAGAGAAGGTAAAGACAGACTAAGAATGTTACTGAGACAATTATAAAAACTGAACTTTTCTCTACAAGTCCACATGAGAAATCAGGTGTTCTAAAAGTAAACGTAGTACAATTTTAGCCTTTTAAAAATGAATCAGGAATAGATTCTATTTTAAAACTGGAATAAATTGCCATAAAAATATTTAATTATGATTGGTTTCACAATTCTCCAAAACTTCTGTCTCATTGAAAGAACAGATCACACAGATGACAGTCATAGATAAATGGTGAGCTGGTTCAGAAGGGATCTGCTATTTTTAATGTAAAAGTTTTAAAAAAGAACATGCATAACTTTCATTATTAGTATTGTTACCTTAACAACACATTTTATAAGCATGGACAATTACAATCCTTGGAGATTTGTTGCTATTACTATTTATTACGAATATTTGTTACTACCAATAGTTATCTGTATATATCTAACTAACTAGCTAAGATTCATAATATGGTGCTTTGCACTGGGACTTTTTGTTGAAACACAGAAGAGGGGCAGAGCTTGCCTCTAAGGCAGTTGGCTGGTGAATGCGCATGGTCAAAATTTGTGAATTTTGTTAATGATATTAGCAAATAATTAGCATTTATTTGTACATATGATGTCATTCTTTACATGTCTTACATTGCAAGCTTATTTTGAAGATAACATTTTATGAATATAAAAACATGGGTTGAAGTAAAAACAACTTTATTTTCTAAATAATGTAAAAGAATGGGGGATTAGAATTGATTGAGAATTGTTTATTCAAGTGACAACAGTTAATTTATTTTAAAAGAAAATAATTTTTTATATATTTCCCTATATTTTAAAACAAATTAAGAAAAGTAATACTGAATAAATATTAATAAAAGAGCTTGAAAACTAAAAAAATCTACAGAATAAATTTGCCTGTATCTTACTAACCATTTTTAGTTTAATAGCTAATTTTCATATGATTTTTTTCCCTAAAATACTAGGCCATATGTATATAGACAGTACATAAAAGTTCAATACCCTTCTATTAAAATCAAGTGGCATTTTCTATTTTTCCTTTTTTGAGTGATAAGAAGTCAAGTGTTCTTGTGGTTTAAATAAGTGGAACAGCAATTTCCACTCATTTAAAACTTACCATAGTGTAAAAGAATATAGTAGCTAAAAAAAAAGTTTGTTTCCAAATAAAATGGAAATAAAAATCAAAATCTATAGCTCTCATGCAAGTTATATGTAGCAAAAGTCATTTAAAAATAAAATTTTCAGATTTAGTCATGTAGCCAACATATTTCATGTATTTCATTATGATAGAGTGCTAAAATGCTTTTGTAGAATAAAAAAACTTTTTCTGTTGCTGTTTGTTTTGTTTTGTTTTGTTTTTTAGAAGGAGTCTGGCTCTGTCGCCCATGCTGGAGTGCAGTGGCGCGATCTCGGCTCACTGCAAGCTCCGCCTCCCGGGTTCACGCCATTCTCCTGCCTCAGCCGCCCAAGTAGCTGGGACTACAGGCGCCCGCCACCATGTCCGGCTAATTTTTTTTTTGTACTTTTAGTAGAGACGGGGTTTCACCGTGTTAGCCACAATGGTCTCGATCTCCTGACCTCATGATCCGCACCCCCTAATCCTACCAAAGTGCTGGGATTACAGGCGTGAGCCACCGCACAGCCTCAAAAAACTTTTGTCTATTATTTCTTATTACCACCACTGAACCACCACCACTATTATGAGCAAGGCGAGATAATGGAGAGGAAACTGATACTGGACTGATTCATATATATATTTGAGATGGAGTCTTGCTCTGTTGCCCAGGCTGGAGTGCAGTGTCATGATCTCGGCTCACTGCAACCTCTGCCTCCCGGGTTCAAGGGATTCTCCTGCCTCAGCCTTCTGAGTAGCCTGGATTACAGGCACACACCACCACGCCCAGCTAATTTTTATATTTTTAGTAGAGACCGGATTTTACCATGTTGGCCAGGCTGGTCATGAACTCCTGACCTCAGGTAATTCGTCTGCCTTGGCCTCCCAAAATGCTGGGATTATGAGCGTAAGCCACCGTGCCCAGCCGTGATTCCTATATTTGGAATTACCATCACCACTAATGAACCACCACCACCATTAGGAGCAAGGTGGGATAATGGAGAGGTGGGATACTGGACTGATTTCTTTGCATTTAATAGATGTGCAACATTAGTCACTTACACTCATTGCCTTTGTCCTACTTTGTCTTTTATTAGGTGAGCATAAAATAACACCTGTTCAGTTGACGTCACAAAGAAGTTGATAAAGTCTGTAACTATCTTGGACAATAAAATTTTTAAGACCTAATGAATTTGTCAATTTAGGGTTAAATATACTATTTTTGGACAGCTATAGTGGGCCATATATAAGCAATACAGAGTAAAAGTGTACATAGAAGGAAAAAGAAAAAAGATACCACATTGAGCCAAAGAGATATAAGGTAAATTCTGACCCAGTTGCAGCCAGCTACACTTAAATCTTTCTTGGACTTTAGTTTTTAAGTTGAGAATGCTTAAAAATATTTCTTTATATTTTAACAAAAAATTATCTCAATAAATAAGTACTAGTAAGAATCCATAAATAATTGAAATTTATTTCCAGACTTGAATTTGGGAGAAAATTACATCTGATAAACTAAAGCATTAAAAGTGTTTTCTCCAATAATGTTAATTTGAATGTATATCTTGAACAGAAGCTGATTTTATGTTGATGTTGTCCCCAAGTAAAATGAGTAGTTTTATTCATCATTAAGCTACTATTTATTAAACATAAGTTTTTCAAAAATTCTTCTTCTATTATCTCAGGTAGTCAATTATATTCCTAATTATTCCATTCATTATTCTTTTTTTAAATGAGGAAAAGTACACTCAGAAAGGCCAAGGAACTGGTCTAAGATCACACAGCCAGTAATGAAAAGATGGCCCAGAGCTTTCTGAATCCCTAATGCATATACTCTTTCAAATATAATTAGCTTTCATTTAGTCAATTTTGGTGTACAAAATAATGACCTAAGATAATCCTAATTAATCTAGAAAAAAATAATATTCTTCAATAAGCTGTACTTAACCAAGATTTCACATTTTATTGAAACTATTAAGATTTGTAGCAGCAAGATGTTTTCTAAAATAGTTTTCTACACAAAAAAGTTCATATATAGAAAATCCAAACAAAATTACTAATTATTTTAACATGCTACTTAGTTAACAAAATGGGTGCTTTTAAATATTGATTAAATTCTGTATATTAAATACTCCTTATAAAAATGCACAGTTTTATGACTATGACCAACTTTATAATTAGAATTCAGAAAATCAGGGGTGGGATACTGACATTTAAATTATTTTAAAGGTCCACAGATGATTCTCAGTTGCAAACATTGAGGACCATTGGATTCTGTTGTTTAAGAAAAGGAGAAAGTTCATAAGACAATTGTACACACATGAGGTGAACTATGTGTGTTCATTCTATTGCTTTATTTTTGTTTATTTAACACCCTTGAATTATCTCATTATTTAACTGTGAAAAGGACCCTTGGAGATACCGTCTTAGTCTGTTTGGGCTGCTATAACAAAATACTATAAACTGGGTAGCTTCTAAACAACAGAAATTTATTTCCAGTAGTTCTGTTAGCTGAGAAGTTCAAGATCAAGGTACAAGCTAATTTAGTGCCTGCTGAAGGTTCACTTTCCTGTAGATAGTACCTTCTACGTCCTCACATGATAGGGACAAGCAAGCTTTTAGAGAAACAAATGTCATTCATAAGGGCACTAGCCTCATGACCTAGTCATTTCCCAACAGACCTCACGGCCTAATATCATCCCATTCGCGATTAGGTCTGTCACATAAATTCTGGGCTACACAAACATTCAGACCATAGCAGATACACACTAATATTATTTTATTCCAATTTTATAGAATAGAAAATTAGTTTGAAGAGGTTACGACCTTGCCCAAAACTCAGCTAGACTCAGCTAGAAAGCTAGAATGTAGCTTTGAACCAGGCAGTCTTATTCTAGATTGCACATTCTTAATCAATATAATAAATAGCACCCCTCACTTCCATTGCCCTCACATACATAAGAAATAAGTGATTCATAAATGAAAATTTCCTAAGTTTCTAATAAATTTCCCAAGTTGCCTCCTGGAATATGTTTCTCTAGAATATCTTCTGGGAGAAAATGTTCTGATTTCTAGATAACTAGAATTTTCTATTTTGACATAAATGTCCTATAGTGGGCATTTCTCTATGAAGAAATTGACAATTTCCATAATCATAAAGAAGTTTTTTTTTTTTTAAAAAGGTCTCATTTAGCTTTTATCTTTTCAAATCTATTGCCACTGACATAGTTCTTTTTTTTTTTTCCTGGAATTAAATTCAAAATTTTATCCTGTAAGTTAATTTCTAAGTCATAATTCTCATGTTGTATAAAATAATAAAGTAGACAATGACTTCAGTCATGCTGGTAAAACAAATAAAGAATCATTGAACACTTAGAACTTTTTATCCCTGAGGTAAAAACTTAATGCCTACTGTCTATCTTTTCTTCATGACACAACCCTAGCAGTTAAGTGATTTGCTCCAGACAGGAAGCTAGGTAGTGATGGAGCTGGATTTGAACCTCAGGCTGTTTGGTGTCAGAGCTGGTACTACTAGATTGTGACATGTTTGACACAGCTTCCATTGTAACCCCAGGGCACAAAGAGTCATTCTTTATTATCTTAATGAGTGTTGTTCCTCTGTATCCAGACATCTTTCCATGAGTTTCTAGAATTAATGTACAGACAAAAGCCAAGCCCCAGAATTCAGGCAAATATGCCTAGGGATTGTCATTCTAGTTACTTTACCCAAACCACCCTGTCAAGCAGCAGTCAGTCTCACGTGGTGAATGTTTATCAGCTTCAGTCAGTTCTGCCTAAAGAGCAGATCTAGTGGTGGCATGGTGATCGAGCTATTGCTCTCTTTGTGGCAGTGTCGTGTTCATGAGGCTGTGCTTCTCAATAGACACGCCGTATTTTCTGCTTCCTGCTCTGTGATCCTGTGGAACGCACATCGTTCTTGCTATGATTAGGTCTAGCCACTGTGAGATCCAAAATCCTTTCAATAAATTCCTTTTGTAGGTTAGTCTGTGTTGCTTTCTGTTTTTTGTAATCAATACTTCTAAAGTGATAGACTCTGCTTGCCCTCAGCAACAACTTGGAATGTTATGATAGCGATGTGTCTCACGTAAAGGGCCTGATTTACGGGGTCGTAAAGAGGCTAAACACAATCCGTAATAGATTTCTTACAGGCTTCTGGCTAGGTGCCCAAGTTACTAAAGGAAGCTTGATGAAACAGAGGGAGAAAAGATAATGGGTCTAGATTACTTGCTAAATTCTTATTTATCTACTTATTGGGAAGAGTACATAGTGAGACTGATAAGATATTTTTACAAACATTGGAAGAGTCTCTGGGTGTTACATGCATTTGGCCTCACAAGGGCTTCAGGATATTTTATCACCTTAGCTAAATGAGAAATATTAATAGCTATTCTAGAGTAGACCGTTGCCGAAATAGGCACCAAACAACTAGACTATTACCTTTGATACCTATATGTTTGTTTCAATAAGTCTTTATAAGTATCTATATTTCAAGATGGTAACAAAATTAATTGCTAAATTGGAACTGTCTGAAGCTAAGAAAAAAACTGATTAAATCACATTTAAAGATATGCTAGCCACTTCTGTGTGTCTAGTGTTTCTAGACTGTTAGGTCTTTGAAAGCAAAGCAGTCATCTCACCACTACAATTCAGCTCTGGCACATAGGAGATATTCAATAATATATTGTTCAATGGATTCTGGAGAAGCTTGAATAATAGAGTCCTGTTCAGTCTGTTCAGTCTATTAACATTTATTTTTTTGAAACGGAGTCTCATTCTGTTGCCCAGGCTGGAGTACAGTGGCGCGATCTCAGCTCACTGCAACCTCTGCCCCCTGTTCAAGTGATTCTCCTGCCTCAGCCTCCCGAGTTGCTGGGATTATAGGCACCTGCCACTGCACCCAGCTAATTTTTGTATTTTTGGTAGAGATGGGGTTTCACCATCTTGGCCAGGCTGGTCTTGAACTGACCTTGTGATCCACAATCCTCGGCCTCCCAAAGTGCTGGGATTACAAGTATAAGCCACCACACCTGGCCTACCATAAAATATTTTATGTGGCTCATAAATATATCTCAAATCCATGCACTGCTCCAGTTTTAACAAAATCATCCTTATCCTAGGTGAACTTCTAAAATATTTTAAAATTTATCTACCTGCAGCCATGTTTGCTTTTCTACAGTCTGTTATTTTTACTACAGCCATAATAATAATTTAAAAATATAAATGCGATTATAACACCTCCTTAATTAAAAGCCTTTGAAACTTTATAATTAAAAAAATAAAGATGAAGTCTAAAAAAGCTGTTCATCTGACTGTATATCCTCTTGAAGCTTCACCTCTCACCACATTTGACATTACTCTCTACCCACCATTCCTACCAGCCTTTTGAGGAAACTTGGAGTGCCCCTGCCTGCCTCTACCCCATCACATACGCTGTTCTGTACCTCTCATTCTCTTTAGACAACAAATTTCTTTTCCTCATTCTGATTTCAGTGCAAACATTATTTCCTCATAATCATCTTGCACCTATAAAATTATGACATCTCTGTAATTGTTTCTTCACAGTACTTTTTAGGGTTGGAAACTAGATGATAATTTGTGTGAATAGTTGTTGATAACTCTCTTTTATCACTCGAATTCAGGTGTAATAAGGTCAAGAATCATATCTATTTTTGTTCCTTATTAGATACCTAGATTCTGGTACAGTACTTCGTATATATAATAATTTTGTCTGAAAAAAAATTGAATGAACAACCTCCTTACATGTTTCAACTAAACTAAGCATTCTAAATAGACATCTCAAAAAAATGTCTTTTTATTTGAACAGAGAGGCAAACAGCATCAACTTTCTAAATCCACTTTTCTTTCATGTCCGGCCCCAGAGTATGAATATTATGAACAAGTTTTTCCTTTATATGGAACAGATATGCCTTAAAGTAGATGAACTATTAATGGTTCTTCAATGAGAACAACTTACCTGGCTTTATGTCTTTTTTTTCTCTCTCAGAAATACCAGAGGAGTAGTAATGAGTTTTAGAAGATTAATCTAACCAGTATGAATTTAGCATCAATTATATGAGCCTACATCTGTGATTAGAGTTCAATCCTTTTGTAGTACTCTCTTCAAGATTTGTTAAAATCTTCGAATAAAAAAAAAGGATGAGGACTGGACATAGTGGCTCATGCCTGTAATCTCTGCACCTTGTTAGGTCATTGTGAAAGGATCATTTGAAGTCAGGAGTTTGAGACTAGCCTGAGCAATACAGTGAGACCCCCCCCACTCCACCTCTACCAAAAAAAAATTAAAAATTAGCTGGGCATGGTGGTGTGAACCTGTAGGCCTAGGTATTCTGAAGGCTGAGACAGGAGGATTGCTTGAGTCCAGGAATTTGAGGTTACAGTGAGCTATGATCATGCCACTGCATTCTAGCCTAGGTGACAGAGCACTACCCTGTCTTTAAAAAATAATAATAGTGATGAACAGTGGATTCAGGCACTGAAGGAGGCCAAATTTTAAATATACAATGTAGCAATTGTATGGGGAATTATACAAAAAGCTACATAATACATATGAAACATACTCAAAGATGTTTTGGAGGAAAATTATATTTAATAAACATACATATGTTGTGAAATAGATTGCAAAGTGGCATGATTAATGTATCCTTTTAGACAGACTTTTTACTTTTTCTGCAAAATATGTCTTTAGCTAAGTTTAGGAATGGGAAAATATTCTACAATATATCTGTTTTGTACTCTTCTAAAGATCAAAATCAAGAAAGACAAAGGCTAAGTAATCATTTCAGAATAAAGGAGACTACAAGGAAGTAATAACTAAATGTGTGGCTTTGGATTCGATTATATGGAAGAAAACAGTGTAAAGGACATTACTGAGCAGTTGATAAACTGTAATTATGAAGTAGGAATTAAAATACAATATTAGATTAATAGTAAATTTTCTTCTTTTAATTAGTGTGTGATCAGGTAAGAGAATATTCCATTTTTGTATTGATAAGCATTTAAGTATAAAAGAGTTAAGGAGCATGATATCTCCAAATTTCAGTATCTATAAATTGATAAACACAGAAATAAATAGAGAGAAGCGATCAAAAGACAAGATGGAAGGGAAGAAAGAGAAGGGACAGGACAGAAGAAGAAAGTGAATAAGGCAAAATATAAGTAGTGGGTGAAATATAAGTGGGTGAATCTGGATCAACGATATAATTGTATATATTTTGCAAACTTTCTTTAAACTTAAAATTATATATAATCAACAAGTTACAAAAAATGCATAGCATACTACCAGTCCTATGACATGCATATAATAAATAAAGCTCTCAATAAGTAGGTTTGTTATGTGCCGCCTGTATTTTCTGTAATTTTAATTAAGCAACAAAAAAAACTAAATCATCACGTGAAACTTTTCATTCATCAAGTTTGTTCACTAATCCCAAAGTACTATTAAATATGAACCTACATATTTATGACTATAATTACTTCTGCTTCTCTTTCTGTGTTTGAACATTTATTTTAAGACACTGTTGTGTTGAAACACAGCTATATAAAATTATATAAAATATTCTTATTTAAATGAGATTTATATATAACTAATAACATGCATTTTGCTATATTAAAATAATGACTATTATAATTAATTACTTATTTAATTACAGATCATATCATCTATTTTTATTGTAATTAGGTTCAAAAATATATTAAAGAATAATGGGCAATGATTTTTCTCCTAACTTTAGGAATTTATAAGTAATTTCTAATGAATTTCCATGTATAATAATTAATCAAACTTAGTCTATAAGAAATAGGTGTCTTTACACATACAAATACACAAAATTCAGCATAATTATTTTGATAAACAAAAAGTATTTACTTTAAATAAATTATTACTTCTTTTTAACTCATGATTATGGCATAAGTATTTACAAAAGATATATACTTGTCAATGTATAAGATACATTTTCTCCCATGACTTGACTATTTCTCTTCCTCTCATTTTATGTGCTTCGTTTGTTCTTCACAATGAATTTGAGATTTGAGGTGGTTTTGAAAAATACGTTCTAGAGTATTTCAGCCCTATTACTGAGGTCAGCCCTATAATACTGCTCTTTATGTTAAGGATGATGTTCTATTTTTCCTTCTACCTGAAGGTTATTTCATCCATAGTTATCTTTGAACTTTTCTTTCTTAAAGAAGCATGAATTTTAATGCTGGAAATATTCCTTGGGCAGATTGTGGATATTAGACATATCTGATATATTGACTATTTTAAATAAAATTTAATTAGTCCTTTAACCTTGAACTTTAGTGCCTTCCTTATACAAGGCAGTTGACGAAATGAGGCATAACCATATTATTTAGGACAAAACCATTTATACAACAAATAACAATTGCTATCCCTTTTACTATTAGCTCCCAAGTTAGAAAACAATATATCTTATGTAATTTATAGCAACTATAACCAGGCAAGGTAAATATATGACCCATATTTTAATTTTTTAATTATTCAAGTAGAAGTTTAATAATAATTATTATACCAAGGTGGATGGATCACTTGAGGTCAGTAGTTTGAGATCAGCCCAGCCAACATGGTGAAACCATTTCTACTAAAAATACAAAATTTATCTACTTGGGAGGCTGAGGCAGGAGAATCACATGCACCCAGGAGGCAGAGGTTGCAGTGAGCCGAGATAGCACCACTTCACTCCAGCCTGGGTGACAGAGTGAGACTCTGTCTTAATAAATAAATACATAAATACATAAATACATACTTTCATATATATTTTTTCAATAAAATATTTGAGGTTAAGCATATGTAAGTATAAATAATCTGACTCATTGTGATTATAATAGATACTAAAATGTCAGACTTTTTACAAACAGATGAAATAAATTAGTGTATATATACATATTTATACATTTTCATATATAGTATGCTATCTATGTAAAGTATATATAGTATATATTTGAAAAATACAAATAAAGAGGCAATTAGATGATACAGTGTTTTATACATGAACAGGAAATTTATAACATAACTCTAACACTTACAGCTTCTTATAAAAATATTTAGATTGAAATTGAAAAGGTAATAAGAGGGAAATTATTATGCTTTTTGAAAAAGCACTCTTCTTAAACCAAATTTTCAGAGGAAGTAGTTTTCCTGAACATTTATTTTATTACATATGGGACTCATATTGAAATAGTGCTCAATAGTAAAAATAATACTTTGGCTCTTGCTCATGATTGGATGGCTATTCACATAATATTCTTTGGCTACTCAGCCTGCAGAATTGTAGCCCACCTGTGGGACAGATTTTATCAGTCTTTAAATTTCATAGTAAATCATAAAAATCACATTAGTAATATGTTTGCTTTTCTGAGGTCAGTCACGGTTGACTAGAGAAACAGTCTCAAGGTAGATTTGGGCATAACACAGTTCACTGCTGGTTATAATTAACAAAAATGGTTGCTTGTGTTTCATACTAGTTTAGGGAAAAGAGAGGTATACCTTGTGTCCACATTTAGAGTGATGCATTAACCCATAACATATGACCATGGGCCATTATGGACAGGCATGATGGGCAACAGTGCAAAATGCATCATATGAAACTGATTCCCAAAAGATTTTTAGGATAGAGTCCTTTAGGTAGTAGGCATTTGAGATCGTACTTGTGGATAAATTAGAGTTGATCCCACCAGAAGAGTTACTGGAATTGTAAAATTGTATTATATATCAGTGTAAGTACAATAAAATGTGAAGTTATACTTAATGGAGCCAGCAAATGAATACTTTTGTTTTTCTCAATTCACAGGCAACTTCTTTTTCTATTATGCAGTATAGGTCTTTATAAGTTTTGCTTTGCATAACTTAACGTTCAACATTATGAATACTAAAATGCAGGAGGACAAAAATGATTTTTTAAGGGTCAGTTATTCAAGCAGCAAAGAAGTTAAGATCTAGAGTGAATGGAACGATAATCATACTTTTAAAGGATAATTTTGTTTCCAGACATGAAGAACTAATTGCTACAGAACTTTACTGCCTAAAACAACTAGAAAACATGGCAAAGTTTATGAAAGCTCTTTTCAGTCACTGTGAAACAGACATTTTAATACTGATATACATCAGAAAATGAGCCCAAAAATGCCCTCAAATTTCTTTCTGGAGAGAATTTCCAAACCATATTTTAAGTTGGAAAAATACACATGCACCAAGTGGTCTTTCTATGTTGGAGATAATGTTCTTGGATTCTAGAGATGTCAACATGTCTAAAATTTGGGGATAGCATACAGAGAGAAGGAAATGCCATAGAGAAAGAGCTATAGAGTTAGTCAAAGGGATGCTGGAGTCTTTGAATATCAATATGACAATGGGTAACATACAATTCCATAAGGCTAAACATAGAAAAGCTACTAGAGAAGGAGATATTACTGGATAGTTGTAAGCTGCAATTTTTTTTCAGTTCTCACAGGACTAGGAATCATTTGGGTTGCTGTGAGTCAGAGTGAAAACAGCTCACTGAATATACAGAGTATTAAGTAGATTTCTTAAAAGCCTTATGAAATTTTGTTTGGGCTAAAGAAGCACTAGAATCAAGGGTACTCTAGACTCAGTCTGATAAATCTTCTCACAAAATGATCAAAGTGTTTTGTGAGGCAACTGTGTGATGAACAAAGATCAATAATTTAAAAAGGAATAAAACAAGACCTTTCACTTAAAAACATAGAATTCACAGTGCCAAAGATACAATAATATTAGGTATGAAAAGAAGTGGAAAATGTGACCAGTAATACAGGAAAAAAAAACAAGTCACAATACAGTCAGAATATTTTAAAAAAGATAATGAAATTAGAAGACAAGGGTGTTAAGTATACTCATTATGCTTAATACTTTAAGGTTGACCATAATAATAAAAAAAAAAAAAACAAATGGAAGTTTTACAAACATACCTAAGAGAAATAATAAAGATGAAACTAAGATTATCCATAGTGAAAATTTTCTGTAAGTAAACAACTGCAGGCAGCAGATTGGATGTTCTGGAAGAAAACATTAGTCAATCTGAAGAGGGGCAATCAAAACTATGAAAAACACAAGACAGTAAGATAAAAAGAGTGAAATAGGAGGAGGAGCCAAGATGGCCGAATAGGAACAGCTCCGGTCTACAGCTCCCAGCGTGAGCGACGCAGAAGACGGGTGATTTCTGCATTTCCATCTGAGGTACTGGGTTCATCTCACTAGGGAGTGCCAGACAGTGGGCGCAGGTCAGTGGGTGCGCACACCGTGCGCGAGCCGAAGCAGGACGAGGCATTGCCTCACTTGGGAAGCGCAAGGGGTCAGGGAGTTCCCTTTCCTAGTCAAAGAAAGTGGTGACGGACGGCACCTGGAAAATCGGGTCACTCACACCCGAATACTGCGCTTTTCCGATGGGCTTAAAAAACGGTGCACCACGAGATTATATCCCGCACCTGGCTCGGGGGTTCCTACGCCCACGGAGTCTCGCTGATTGCTAGCACAGCAGTCTGAGATGAAACTGCAAGGCAGCAGCGAGGATGGGGGAGGGGCGCCCGCCATTGCCCAGGCTTGCTTAGGTAAACAAAGCAGCAGGGAAGCTGGAACTGGGTGGAGCCCACCACAGCTCAAGGAGGCCTGCCTGCCTCTGTAGGCTCCACCTCTGGGGGCAGGGCACAGACAAACAAAAAGACAGCAGTAACCTCTGCAGACTTAAATGTCCCTGTCTGACAGCTTTGAAGAGAGCAGTGGTTCTCCCAGCATGCAGCTGGAGATCTGAGAACGGGCAGACTGCCTCCTCAAATGCGTCCCTGACCCCTGAACCCCGAGCAGCCTAACTGGGAGGCACCCCCCAGCAGGGGCACACAGACACCTCACACGGCAGGGTACTCCAATGGATCTGCAGCTGAGGGTCCTGTCTGTTAGAAGGAAAACTAACAGAAAGGACATCCACACCAAAAACCCATCTGTACATCACCATCATTAAAGACCAAAAGTAGATAAAACCACAAAGATGGGGAAAAAACAGAACAGAAAAACTGGAAACTCTAAAAAGCAGAGTGCCTCTCCTCCTTCAAAGGAATGCAGTTCCTCACCAGCAACGGAACAAAGCTGGACGGGGAATGACTTTGACGAGCTGAGAGAAGAAGGCTTCAGACGATCAAATTACTATGAGCTACGGGAGGACATTCAAACCAAAGGCAAAGAAGTTGAAAACTTTGAAAAAAATTTAGAAGAATGTATAACTAGAATAACCAATACAGAGAAGTGCTTAAAGGAGCTGATGGAGCTGAAAACCAAGGCTCAAGAACTACGTGAAGAATGCAGAAGCCTCAGGAGCTGATCCAATCAACTGGAAGAAAGGGTATCAGCGATGGAAGATGAAATGAATGAAATGAAGCGAGAAGGGAAGCTTAGAGAAAAAAGAATAAAAAGAAACGAGCAAAGCCTCCAAGAAATATGGGACTATGTGAAAAGACCAAATCTACGTCTGATTGGTGTACCTGAAAGTGATGGGGAGAATGGAACCAAGTTGGAAAACACTCTGCAGGATATTATCCAGGAGAACTTCCCCAATCTAGCAAGGCAGGCCAACATTCAGATTCAGGAAATACAGAGAACGCCACAAAGATACTCCTCAAGAAGAGCAACTCCAAGGCACATAATTGTCAGATTCACCAAATGAAGGAAAAAGTGTTAAGGGCAGCCAGAGATAAATGTCAAGTTACCCACAAAGGGAAGCTCATCAGACTAACAGTGGATCACTTGGCAGAAACCCTACAAGCCAGAAGAGAGTGGGGGCCAATATTCAACATTCTTAAATAAAAGAATTTTCAACCCAGAATTTCATATCCAGCCAAACTAAGCTTCATAAGTGAAGGAGAAATAAATACTTTACAGACAAGCAAATGCTGAGAGATTTTGTCACCACCAGGCCTGCCCTAAAAGAGCTCCTGAAGGAAGCGCTAAACATGGAAAGGAACAACTAGTACCAGCTGCTGCAAAATCATGCCAAAATGTAAAGACCATTGAGACTAGGAAGAAACCGCATCAACTAACGAGCAAAATAACCAGCTAACATCATAATGACAGGATCAAATTCACACATAACAACATTAACTTTAAATGTAAATGGACTAAATGCTCCAATTAAAAGACACAGACTGGCAAATTGGATAAAGAGTCAAGACCCATCAGTGTGCTGTATTCAGGAAACCCATCTCACGTGCAGAGACACACATAGGCTCAAAATAAAAGGATGGAGGAAGATCTACCAAGCAAATGGAAAACAAAAAAAGGCAGGGGTTGCAATCCTAGTCTCTGATAAAACAGACTTTAAACCAACAAAGATCAAAAGAGACAAAGAAGGCCATTACATAATGTAAAGGGATCAATTCAACAAGAAGAGCTAACTATCCTAAATATATATGCACCAAATAAAGGAGCACCCAGATTAATAAAGCAAGTCCCGACTGACCTACAAAGAGACTTAGACTCCCATACATTAAGAATGGGAGACTTTAACACCCCACTGTCAACATTAGACAGATGAACGAGACAGACAGTCAACAAGGATACCCAGGAATTGAACTCAGCTCTGCACCAAGAAGACCTAATAGACATCTACAGAACTCTCCACCCCAAATCAACAGAATATACATTTTTTTTAGCACCACACCACACCTATTCCAAAATTGACCACATACTTGGAAGTAAAGCTCTCCTTAGCAAATGTAAGAGAACAGAAATTATAACAAACTATCTCTCAGACCACAGTGCAATCAAACTAGAACTCAGGATTAAGAATCTCACTCAAAACCGCTCAACTAACATGGAAACTGAACAACCTGCTCCTGAATGACTACAGGGTACATAACGAAATGAAGGCAGAAATAAAGATGTTCTTTGAAACCAACGAGAACAAAGACACAACATACCAGAATCTCTGGGATGCATTCAAAGCAGTGTGTAGAGGGAAATTTATAGCACTAAATGCCCACAAGAGATAGCAGGAAAGATCCAAAATTGACACCCTAACATCACAATTAAAAGAACTAGAAAAGCAAGAGCAAACACATTCAAAAGCTAGCAGAAGGCAAGAAATAACTAAAATCAGAGCAGAACTGAAGGAAATAGAGACACAAAAAACCCTTCAAAACATTAATGAATCCAGGAGCTGGTTTTTTGAAAGGATCAACAAATAGATAGACTGCTAGCAAGACTAATAAAGAAAAAAAGAGAGAAAAATCAAATAGATGCAATAAAAAATGATAAAGGGGATATCACCACCGATCCCACAGAAATACAAACTACCATCAGAAAATACTACAAACACCTCTATGCAAATAAACTAGAAAATCTAGAAGAAATGAATAAATTC
Organism: Homo sapiens; assembly: GCF_000001405.40. NCBI lineage: Eukaryota > Metazoa > Chordata > Mammalia > Primates > Hominidae > Homo > Homo sapiens. Next base: position 104,661,602 of record NC_000001.11, on the reverse strand, counting down.
CTCGACACATACACCCTCCCAAGACTAAACCAGGAAGAAGTTGAATCTCTGAATAGACCAATAACAGGAGCTGAAATTGTGGCAATAATCAATGGCTTACCAACCAAAAAGAGTCCAGGACCAGATGGATTCACAGCCGAATTCTACCAGAGGTACAAGGAGGAACTGGTACCATTCCTTCTGAAACTATTCCAATCAATAGAAAAAGAGGGAATCCTCCCTAACTTATTTTATGAGGCCAGCATCATCCTGATACCAAAGCCGGGCAGAGACACAACCAAAAAAGAGAAATTTAGACCAATATCCTTGATGAACATTGATGTAAAAATCCTCAATAAAATACTGGCAAAACGAATCCAGCAGCACATCCAAAAGCTTATCCACCATGATGAAGTGGGCTTCATCCCTGGGATGCAAGGCTGGTTCAAAATATGCAAATCAATAAATGTAATCCAGCATATAAACAGAGCCAAAGACAAAAACCACATGATTATCTCAATAGATGCAGAAAAGGCCTTTGACAAAATTCAACAACCTTCATGCTAGAAACTCTCAATAAATTAGGTATTGATGGGACGTATTTCAAAATAATAAGAGCTATCTATGACAAACACACAGCCAATATCATACTGAATGGGCAAAAACTGGAAGCATTCCCTTTGAAAACTGGCACAAGACAGGGATGCCCTCTCTCACCACTCCTATTCAACATAGTGTTGGAAGTTCTGGCCAGGGCAATTAGGCAGGAGAAGGAAATAAAGGGTATTCAATTAGGAAAAGAGGAAGTCAAATTGTCCCTGTTTGCAGACGACATGATTGTATATCTAGAAAACCCCATTGTCTCAGCCCAAAATCTCCTTAAGCTGATAAGCAACTTCAGCAAAGTCTCAGGATACAAAATCAATATACAAAAATCACAAGCGTTCTTATACACCAACAACAGACAAACAGAGAGCCAAATCATGAGTGAACTCCCATTCACAATTGCTTCAAAGAGAATAAAATACCTAGGAATCCAACTTGCAAGGGACGTGAAGGGCCTCTTCAAGGAGAACTACAAACCACTACCCAAGGAAATAAAAGAGGATACAAACAAATGGAAGAACATTCCACGCTCATGGGTAGGAAGAATCAATATCATGAAAATGGCTATACTGCCCAAGGTAATTTACAGATTCAATGCCATCCCCATCAAGCTACCAATGCCTTTCTTCACAGAATTGGAAAAAAGTACTTGAAAGTTCATATGGAACCAAAAAAGAGCCCGCATTGCCAAGTCAATCCTAAGCCAAAAGAACAAAGCTGGAGGCATCACACTACCAGACTTCAAACTATACTACAAGGCTACAGTAACCAAAACAGCATGGTACTGGTACCAAAACAGAGATATAGATCAATGGAACAGAACAGAGCCCTCAGAAATAACACCGCATACCTACAACTATCTGATCTTTGACAAACCTGACAAAAACAAGCAATGGGGAAAGGATTCCCTATTTAATAAATGGTGCTGGGAAAACTGGCTAGCCATATGTAGAAAGCTGAAACTGGATCCCTTCCTTACACCTTATACAAAAATCAGTTCAAGGTGGATTAAAGACTTGAACATTAGACCTAAAACCATAAAAACCCTAGAAGAAAACCTAGGCATTACCATTCAGGACATAGGCATGGGCAAGGACTTCATGTCTAAAACACCAAAAGCAATGGCAACAAAAGACAAAATTGACAAATGGGATCTAATTAAACTAAAGAGCTTCTGCACAGCAAAAGAAACTACCATCAGAGTGAACAGGCAACCTACAAAATGGGAGAAAATTTTCACAACCTACTTGTCTGACAAAGGGCTAATATCCAGAATCTACAATGATCTCAAACAAATTTACAAGAAAAAAACAAACAACCCCATCAAAAAGTGGGCAAAGGACATGAACAGACACTTCTCAAAAGAAGACATTTATGCAGCCAAAAAACACATGAAAAAATGCTCATCATCACTGGCCATCAGAGAAATGCAAATCAAAACCACAATGAGATACCATCTCCCACCAGTTAGGATGGCAATCATTAAAAAGTCAGGAAATAACAGGTGCTGGAGAGGATGTGGAGAAATAGGAACACTTTTACACTGTTGGTGGGACTGTAAACTAGTTCAACCATTGTGGAAGTCAGTGTGGCGATTCCTCAGGGATCTAGAACTAGAAATACCATTTGACCCAGCCATCCCATTACTGGGTATATACCCAAAGGACTATAAATCATGCTGCTATAAAGACACATGCACACGTATGTTTATTGCGACATTATTCACACTAGCAAAGACTTGGAACCAACCCAAATGTCCAACAAGGATAGACTGGATTAAGAAAATGTGGCACATATCCACCATGGAATACTATGCAGCCATAAAAAATGATGAGTTCATGTCCTTTGTAGGGACATTGATGAAAATGGAAATCATCATTCTCAGTAAACTATTGCAAGAACAAAAAACCAAACACTGCACATTCTCACTCATAGGTGGGAATTGAACAATGAGATCACATGGACACAGGAAGGGGAACATCACACTCTGAGCACTGTTGTGGGGTGGGGGGAGGGGGGAGGGATAGCATTGGGAGATATACCTAATGCTAGATGACGAGTTAGTGGGTGCAGCGCACCAGCATGGCACATGTATGCATATGTAACTAACCTGCACAATGTGCACATGTACCCTAAAACTTAAAGTAAAATAATTAAAAAAAAAAAGAAAATTAAAAAAAAAGAGTGAAATAATAAATGTTTAAAAAAACAAGTAATTTCTATTTAGCCTAATATATGTGAAATTATAGTCTTAGAAAGAGTGAGGGGCAAAATATTTAAAAAGTAATAGAAATATTTTCCAACTGTTATAACCTAAAAACCTATAAATACAATGAACTCTAAGCAGGAAAGAAATTCAAAGAAAACTGCATCAAGACAGATTATAATTATCTTGATGAAAACCAATAATAAAATTAAAAATTGAATACAAATAGAGGAAAAGCCATATCTCCTGCAAAGGAACAAATATAAGTGAGTGCAGAATTTCTAACATAAATGTATAAGGCTAAAAGACAATCAAATAACATCTTTATATTACTGAGAGGAAAAGCTCACCTAAAATTCCATACTAAGTGAAAATATATTTCACTTACTTCTGTAGAATACTGGGAGAAAAAGTTAACTTACAATTCAATACTAAGTGAAAATATATTTCGGTATGAGGAAAAAGGTCTATCTTTCATACATACAAAGGCTGGGAGAATCTATTTCTAACAAACCTGCAGTACAAAAAAAATGTTTAATGAAATTCCTCAGGTGGAAGAAAATACTATATGATGAAAATTGAATATATACACATAATTAAATAAATATAATCATCATCATCTCAGAAATGAAAGTTTTACCTGAAATTCAGAAACAGTTAAGGGAATTCCCTATATTAAAAGAATAAGAGCAAAACATTTTTATTAAATAATTTGGCACAATTCAAATTTGTTTTAAGATTAAAAAATAAGAAAAGAGATTAGGAGAGGAGCAAGATAGCGGAATAAAAAGCTTTGATTGCTCCTCCTGCGGAGCATCTACAAGGACACAAAATTAACAACTATCTACCCAGAAAAACTACCTTCATAAGAACCAAAAATTAGTTGAGCCCTCATGGTAACTGGTTTTAACTTCAAATGACTTAAAGAGTCACTGAAGTGATTAAAAAAAACAGTTTTTAATCTCCTATGCCACCAATCTTTTACCCTCAGTGACAGTGGTGCACTGTGGAGTGCCTGTGGGCACTGGGGGAGGGAGAACACAGCAACTGTGAGGCATTAAACTAAGTACTGTCCTGTTAGAGTAGAAATAAAAACTGAACCAAACTTGACTGATGCCAGCCCACATAGGGAGCATTTTAACAAGCTCTAGCCAGAGGGAAATCTTCAATCCCAGAGGTCAGAACTTGAGTGCCCATATACCTTGCCACTGAGGGCCAAGGTGCTGTCAGTCTGTAAGTAAACTTGAAAGGTAGCCTTGGCCATAAGGACTACAACTCTTAGGTGAGCCCTGGGGCTTAAGTACACCCAGAGACATTGCACTGGGGAGGGCATGAGACATACTGAGAAACCAGCTGGGGCAGCCAAAGGAGTGCTGGTCTCACTCATTCCTTAACCCAGGTGCACAGGTCATGGCTCCAAAAGAGACCCCTTTCTTCAGCTTGAGGAGAGGAGAAGAAAAAGTAGGGAGGACTTTGTCTTGCATCATACATACCACCTCAGCCATAGCAGGATAGGGCACCAGTCAGAGTCATGAGATCTTTGTGGCAGGTCCTTACTCCCAGATAACATTTCTGTACACACTCTCGGCCAGAAGAGAACTCACTGCTTTGAAGGAAAGGACTCAGTTCTGCCAGAAATAATCAACTGCTAACTGCATGTTGTGCACATGTACCCTAAAATTTAAAGTATAATAAAAAAGAAAGAAAAAATACACTAAAACTATAAGAAAAAAAGAGAGAGAGAGAGATTTGAGCCTTAAGGAAGTATCAACAGTAGTCTGACAGTACTCCTGATAGCCAGGAGTGGCAGTGCCTATGGAGTGAAGCTCTTCTGCCTTTGGAAAGAAGAGGGAAGAATGGGAAGAACTGCATCTTGTGGTTCCAGTGCCAGGTAAGCTGCAATACAATAGAATACCAAGTAGACTTCTAAGATTTGTCTCTCTAGTCCCTGACTTCTAGACAGCATGTCTGGACCCAGCCAGGGCTTGTCGTCCAAGATTATCAAGGTAGTACCTCTATGAGTCTGTAAGAATCACATTATGGACTTGGGGTGGTCCCTAAGGCAGACACAGCTTAGATCACAACATCCAAGTTCTTTCAAATATCTGGGAAGTGTTCCCAAAAAGGATGGCTACAAATAAGCCTAGAAAGTGAAGACTACAATAAACACCTAAATATTCAACACCCAGACACTGAAGAACATCTACTGACATCAACACCATCCAGGAAAACATGACCTCACCAAAGGAAGTAAATAAGGCACTAAGGACCAATCCTGGAGAAATGGGGACTTTTCCAACAAAGAATTCAAAGTAGCTGTGTTGAGGAAACTCAAAGAAATACAAGATAACACAGAGAAGGAATTCATAATTCTATCACACAAATTTAACAAACAGATTGAAATAATTAAGAAGAACCAAGCAGAAATTCTGGAGTTGAAAAATGCAATAGGCATACTAAGAATGCATCAGGACTCTTTAATAACAGAATTGATCAAGCAGAAGAAATCATTATTGAGCTTGAAAAGAAGCTATTTGGAAATACAATCAGAGGACATAAAAGAAAAAAGAATCATAAACAATGAAGCAAACCTACAGGATCTAGAAAATTGCCTCAAATCTAAGAGTTAACTGGCTTTAAATAGAAGGTAGAAAAAGATAGTAGTTGAAATGTTATTGAAAGAAATAATAACAAAGAACTTCTCAAACCTAAATAAAGATATTAATATCTAAGTACAAGAAGGCTATAGAACAACAAGCAGATTTAACCCAGAGAAGACTACCTCGAGCATTTAATAATCAAACTTACAAAAGTCAAGGATAAATAGCAGAAGGTCCTAATAGAGCTCCAATACATCTGGCAGCAGACTTTTCAGTGGAAACGTTATTAGGCCAGGAGAGAGTGGCATGACATATTCAAAGTGCTGAAGAAAGAAAAAGAAAAACAACTTTTATTCTAGAATAATATATCTGGTGAAAATATCCTTCATACATGAAGGGGAAGCAAAGACTTTCCCAGACAAGCAAGAGTTGAGGGATTTCATTAATACCAGACGCATCTTGCAAAATATGCTAATAGGAGTACTTAAATCAGAGAGAAAAGGACATTAATGAGCAATAAGTAATCACCTGAAGGTACAAAACTCACTGGGAATAGTAAGTGTGCAGAAAAACAGAATATTATCACACTGTAACTATGGCATGTAAACTATTCTTATCCTGAGTAGAAAGACTAAATGATGAACCAACAAAAAATAATAACTACAATTTTCCAGACATAGACAATACAACAAGAAGATATAAATGAAATAATAAAAAGTTAAAAATTGGGGGAGACAAAGTTAAGAAGTAGAGATTTTCTTAGTTTCCTTTTTGCTTCTTTGTCTGGAGATTTTCTTAGTTTCCTTTTTGCTTCTTTGTCTGTTCATTCAAATACTGTTAAGCTGTCATCAGGTTAAAGTAATGAGTTACAAGATAGCATTTGCGAGTCTCATGGTAACCTCAAACTGAAAAACAATAATGGATACACAAAAAAATAAAAAGCAAAGAACTAAATCATATTACCAGAGAAAATCACCTTTACTAGAAAAAGACATGAAGGAAAGAAAGAAGGATGAGAAGATAAAAACACAAATCAACAACAATCAAAAACAACACAGAAAACAAATAACAAAATGGCAGGAGTATGTTCTTACTTATCAATAATAACATTGAAAGTAAATGGACTAAACTTTTTATTCAATCAAAAGACATGGGTTGGCTGTATGGATGAAAAAAGAAGACCCGTTGGTCAGTAGCTTATAAGAAACACACTTCACCTATGAAGACACACATAGGCTGAAAATAAAGAAACAAAAAAGATAGTCCATGCCAGTGAAAACATTTTATCCAAGAGCTGCAGAATACACATTCTTTTCCTCAGAGCATGTTTTATTCTCAAGGGTAGATCATATGTCACATCACAAAACAAGTCTTAAAACATTAAAAAAATTGAAATAGTATCAAGCATTTTTTCTGACCACAATTGAATAAAACTAGCAATTAATAACAAGATGAATTTTGGAAACTGCACAGATACGGAAATTAAACAATATGCTCCTGAATGTCCAGTGAGTTAATGAAGAAATTAAGAAAGAAATTCATAAATATGGGATATAGCAAAAGCAATACTAAGAAAGAAGTTTATAGTTATGTGTGCCTACATCAAAAAAGAGGAAAAATTTCAAATAATCTAATGATGAAACTCAACCAGAAAATGAAAAGCAAACCAAACCCAAAATTAGTAGAAGTAAAGAAATAACAGGGCAGAAATAGATGAAACTGAAATAAAGAGAATAATATCAATGAAACAAAAAGTTGATTTTTTGAAAAGTTAAAAATTGACCAATCTTTAGTCAGAATAATTAAGGAAAGAAAGAAGATCTAAATACAAAAAATCAGAAATGAAATGATACTACATAAATTCAAAGGATCAATAGTGGCTACTATAAGCAACTATTTGCCAATAAGTTGGAAAATATAGAAGAAATGGACAAATTCCTAGGTACATACAACCTACCAAGATTGAACCAGGAAGAAATCCAAAACCTAAACAGACAAAAACAAGTAACAAGATCAAAACATCTCTTATACCCCATAAATATATAAACCCACTATGTACCCACAAATTTTTTTTAAAATTTAAAATATAAAAAAAGAAAAGAGGAATAGAAGAAAAGTTGCTTAATGAAATAAAGTACATCAAGGAAAACCTGAAGCCAACATCTTATATACTGCTGAATGACACAATGCTTTCTCTCTAAAATTATGCCCATTTCTATTCAGCACTATACTAGACATCCTAGCTAGTACAATATAGTAAGAAAAAGAAAAAAAAAAGAGTCTTACAGATTGGAAATAAGGAAGTTAAATTGCCTTTTCTTCACAGACAACACAATTATATTTGTAGAACATTTGAATCTTCCAAAAAGTTACTTGAATGAATAAGCTTCTTTAGCAATGTCTTGGAATATAATTGTCAATTAAACAAAATTTTAATTTTATATGTTAGCATTCAACAATCAGAGGGTTAAACTTTAGAAAATGCAGAATATCATATAATAAATACTTAGGTAGAAAGTTAAACATACATTTCTTAGAACTTTATATGAAGAAGTATAAAGCATTATAATAATAGGTAAAAAAAGAGGTATATGATGTTCATGGATCAGAAGGGTTAATCCTAAGATATCAATTCTTTACCAATTAATTTTCTTGTTCATTGCTATCTCAATCAAAATGCCAGCAGATATTTTGACAAAATTGACAAAACAATTCTAATGATTTTAGAGAAATGTGAATAACCTAGAATAGCAAAAACCATTTTGAAATATAAAAAGAATAAGCTGGAAGTCTGTTTTCAAGACTTACCACTACTATAAAGACATAGTAAACAATTAAGTCTGGTATTGTCATAAGGGTAGGTTTACAAATAAAATAGCATAATAAAGAAACCTGAATTATGCCACACGTAAAAGCCAATTGATTTTTCAACAGCAATACTAAGGTAATTCAATTGATACAGTCCTTACAACAAATTATGTTGTAACAACTGCAGATTTTATATATATTTCAACAGTTAATTCAAATCATGCTTTAAAAAAAACTTGAAATGTAACATACACCTAAAAGTAAAAGCTAAACATTTGAAAATTCTAGAAATTCAGAAAATTTACAGAAAAATAACCTAATATATGATTCAATTTGAATGAAACCCTACGAAAAATAAAACTAGTTTATAATGGCAGAAAGAAGATAGTGGTTTTTCTGGGACCAGATATTTCGTGATTAACTGCAGAAGGGCAATGGAATCTTTTTGGAATAAATATAAGTATTGTGATTTTGTTTGTTATATACACTCATGTTGTTATATGAATGTATAGTTTTAAAAATTCATCAAATTGCACACCAAAAATGAAAACATTTTATTTTATGCAAAATGTATCCCTGTAAAGACAGTAAAAAAAAATAGAAAAATAGTTTATAAAATTCCTACAGAAATATGGCAACATCTAGAGCAATGAGGTTTTAAAAGTAGGTCATTTATATTGATTATGGTCAATATGCAATATTCCTATATGCACTATTTCTATATTTATTTTCAATATGCAGTATTTATATATGCAGTTTCTGTATGCAGTATTTTGGAGCTTAGTCAGAGGAAGTGACCAATTTGAGGGAAAGATTGATGCAGGTGAATTTGTCCTTCTTTTTATATGCAAACTTCTAACAAGGGGATGCTTTTTGGTAAATACTACATCATAGAGAAAAATGCAAGGGGCAAAGAAATGACAAAATAAGTGCAGAATCAAGAAGAATCTTACTAACATGTTTCTTTTCATGGGAAGTTCAAATTAGAAAGTAGTACATGAAAATACAAAGGTGTATTTAGAGAAATACGTGTAATTTGGAAACACAGAAATGTAATCTATTATATAGACGGAAGCAAGTGATTTAATTTTAGCCACAGGAAAATAAAAGAACAACATATTTGGGAGAATTTTTTTTAGCCCCACCAGTTTTTTTCCTGGGAAAGAGACTAAACAAAATTAGAAAGCAAGACAAAGTTGGAAAATTTTACATGTGTAAAATTAGCCAAAACCAAACAGGAAGCACAATCAAGGATAAGTAAAAACCTGCTGCTTAAAAGGAAATTCAAAAACTAGGACAACACTATGGAAATGTGAATACAAATTGTCTTGTTGCCCTGTTAAATGGCTCAATGAATTAATGTCAATAGGTTTTTATTATAATATTATCAATAGGTTATTATTATGGTATAATCACTCCAGATAATTACACAGAGGAATCAGAACGCAGGCAAAATAGAAAGGCCAACAGAAGACAGTGTGACAACTTAAAAATAAGAAACACAAGCAAGCTTCCACTATACCTTGGTTTAGAGAGTAACAGTAAAAGATGGTGTTACTGGACCCCAAGACTTGTGGTCACTCATTTGGAACTGTAGATATGACAAAGTGCTTCCTGGTTGGAGCTGGAGCTATACAGGAGAGGGTTGTCTTGTAGGCAGTGGAACCCCAAAGGAGATTCAACCCCTGCTGGAAATATTGCCCAAAACAAGGGGACAGAGTATGGTTTACTTAATGTCCACGTGTATAGAGTGATAAGTCTGTGCCTGAGCTCAACTGCAGGAACTTTAGTTCTCCGAGATTGACCTGGCTACCACTATTGGTGAAACCTCAGCCTGTCAATAGCACCTATCAGTTTTTAGTGGAAGAATGGCTTTATTTCCCTGGAAGATTAGGCGTACACCTGATAGCAAGTTAATTACAACAAACCAGTTCCGTCAAGGAAGTATCCATGATTGGTTATCACTGAAAAAGCCACTTCATCTGAATATGGATTTGCCTTCCCTGCAGCATCATCTACAGATACCATCCTGATGTTGTACAATATGTTGATTTTGATGAAGAACTCGGATCACAGAATTGTAAATGCAACTTAGTGTTTCTTCTCATGAGAATCTAGCCTCCATGGTACATTGATGCAATAGCTTAAGACTCATTTACATTACTAACTAGCAAAGTAAATTTCTCAGATGTGGAGATGTTCTCCTTCAGCATGCATGACATTCTTTGAACCAGAGCTCAATAGGTGCGTTTTGTTTTGTTCTGTTCTGTTTTTGCCTTCTCTCTCTAATATTTATGACGTACTTATTCAGCTGCCACCCAGCAACTTGTTTAAAAGTGCTTTTGCTTCCTATCTCCAGAAGAGTTAGAAGAGAAACCCTTGAGAGCTCCCAGAGAAGAGACCAAACAATACTTGAAGTGGCAAAAGTAGGAGAAAAAAATTCTGGCAATTAGAGGACCACTTTAGGAGGACTAATATTTGAATAATAGGGAAATATCAAAGCAAGGCAATAACCAAGGAAACACATTTTTCTTTCACACATTTTTACAACTGAAGGATAAGAGTTTCCAATATGAAATTGCCTACTGAGTCACATCACAATTCATGAAGATAGAGCAATGTATTATCATGAAATTAAAAATTAAATTAAGGCTAGAGGCAAAGATAAGCCATTTATAAGTTCCAGAAAGTGGGAAACATTAGGTCTCATGAAAGACCATTAATCAGAATGGCTTTGGAAATCTTAGCAGCTTAAGTTATACTATAATACAGATTTTTTTTCTCTCTCTCTCCCCCAGATGCATACACACACACACACACACACACACACACACACACACACAACTTTCTGAGTATTCAATTTGGTTCCATTGTAAAATCAACTTTTGCCATAAAAATGAAAGCAGAGAAGCCCCTCATATATTTGAATCATGTAGATGAACCAGAATAAGAGAGAGCAAGGAGGCGGGGGGCAGGCACAGAAACTAGGTCATAACTAGGTCTCAGTAACATTATTTGTCTTGGTAACATTATTTGTACCTCTGAATCAATTAGAAGTCAGAATCAATACCTACTCTTTTCTTTTATTTACATTTAGTTAAATGAGTCAATGCAACTGATATTCTTTGAGCTATTTTGTTTTCCTGTTAATTGAAATAAAATAGTCCTAAATTATGTAAGAATTTTGTTTAGAGCAGGTCAGCCTCAGTTAATGTCACGATGCATATCCTAGAACAATAATAAAATGTAAAATTAATTACAAAAATGTGAGGGATAATAATTCCATATCTGAGACACTATAGCCAGGTTTAATCACAATGCGGTAAGACATAGAGTAATGAAATGTGTTGTATTCATAGAAGTTAGCATATAAAATGATAAGTAGGGCAACATAATACAAATTCATGGCATATTTAATATATGCAAGGCACTGAGATAAAGATTTTTCATGAGTAACATGTTAATAAATTCTCAAATGAAACTATAAGGTAGGTAATAATAAACATCTCAGTACCAGGTGATATTGCTATAACTGGAAATCTATTACAATAACATGATTGCTGTTATAACATGTTGAAGTATTTTGATGTGAAAAATGTATTTTGTATATCTACTAAGTCCATATCTGGGGCTACATTGAAGTAGCAAATGAAAAGCATGTTTTAAGTCAACGTTACTAGGATAAGTATAGCTGGTCAAAAATAGAAAGCTGTTTTGTGAAGTAGTGAACTAGAAATGCTCTGGTAGTATATCACTTCCATTTTTATAAGATGTTAAAGTATGTAAACTAGCAATTAATTCTACATTAGGTAGGACAATAGAATAAATAACCTTAGGACATCTTCCAGCTGCATAAATTATTGTTAATATTTTATTGGAATGACTAGGCTGTGGCACGTGTGATCATTATCAGTGGCCTCATTGGGAAATTCAAGTTACTTAGGATGAGAACTAAAAACTCTTTTGAGATTCTGAAAGTTCGAAGTGCTGTACAATTTCTTTTTTATATTACTTTATTTAACCAATTTAATTGTTCTAAGATATTGGTGTTTTCTTATTTCTAGATTTATAAAAAGCTGTATATAAGAGAAGTTATGTAGTTTAAGCCCACAAACTTAATGATTTGTAGAACTAGTATTTGAACCCAGGATTTCTCTAATTTTATTAGTTTCATTCATAGTTTTGTCCAAAGGAGGTGTGACCAATCCCATTAATATAATAAATTATTTACCAAAAGAAGAATTTTACCTGAAGAATAATGATAGATTCTTATGTATTCACTATATGACAAACTATTATAATATGTGTTTCATTCACTATATGACAACTAATATGTGTTTTATATCCAACTAACAAGAATTTGATATTTTCTTCTTACAGAGTATACCATATATATGAGCATGTGGTACACACACATGCACCTTATCTCTCTATATATACATTCCAGAAATAATACCTTAATTCCGGACATTTATTTTTTAAATTATTTGTTTGCTTCATAAATATCTCACATCAGTAACATTTCCAAAATGTTACACCCTAAAATATTATGAATGCTTTGAGTAATTAAAGGTAGTAAATTAACAGGCCTTGTCGATTCTTAGTTGATCGAACTCTAGTTTCATAAAAGAAAAGAAAATCATTCGAAAATTCAGGCTTAATTTTCTCACTGTCTTCTAGATACTCTATGTATCTTCTAAGAGAAACAAATGGCATGAATCATCAGCCTAATTATAGTAATGTCAGAGCTTGGTTTAGCTTACAGCAACATTTATTTTCTGTGCCTGGCTACATCTCTGTAATAATTACAGAGATTTGGCAATGCTGCTTATATAACCATTGACCATAAATTATAGTTAGACCAAACAGCTTTGGAAACTGATGGCAAAGCAGCTGACATTTCTAATTTACTGATTCTGTTGTCATTAGTGTAAAGTAGGTGGGGAGGTGAAAAGAGGGTCAGGGCTTAATCCTTCACTTGTTGAAATTCTGCCCACCACCATAGGGGACAATTACCCTTCAGGAACGATTACTCAGTCTTTTAACAAGAGTGACATCTGCTGGCCCACATATGCAATTCAAACTATTCCATTTTTATAATTCTTTGCAATAGCCTAGCTTCATTTCCACAGATGGCAAATTAGCTGGGTTTATAATTACAAAGGACAATATTTAGCACAATGGAGTCTTATTTAGTTATTTTAAATGTGTGGTTTAAACAAGATGACTCTAAATTTGTTTGCTTTTCATTGTGACATTTTAATTGCAATTTTTTTCATGTGTTTTTCTCTTCTTGCAAATGCTAGTTTTTTTCAAGTTTGAATGTAAGATACTTACGGTCTAGATATTTTCTGGAATTTATTTTTAAGATGTTAACTGTAATACTCCAAGACAATATTTTAAATTGAATGAAACAATTAAATTGCAAAAATGTCCTGTGTTTATTTTTTGTTTGTTGTGTTATACATTTTTTCTTTTTTTAAAATGTGTATTATATTTTCATTTACAATGCAGTATTCTCCTGATTAGTTGGTCTCTCTCAGGTGAATGTGGGTGTGCATACTTGAAAATGATATTTTTGTATTAGAGTCAATATGTAAATACTGTGTTATTTATTGTGAATACTCGTATTCCTTATATCTCTATAAACTGGTTGCTTTTATTTCTAGTAATCATGACCAAAAAACTTTTTTGTTGAAATAGACAAGTAAATATTTATCGTAATGCATTTTACACTTACGATGATTATTATGGAGTTGTATTTTTAGTTGACAAAAGTATTTTTTAATTTCTAAATACAAAATTCTTACATCAGGCAAATATATGAGCAAGTACTTAAAAAAGTAAAATAGTTGTTATAGGGATATTTAATTCTGGAATGTATTCCTATGTAAAATTATAGAAGTGGAAATATACTGGAATTTTTAGTTTTACATGAAAATAATGGAATTATAATGTTCTGTAACATTTTTAAACCGATTAAGACTGTATCAGATTAATAAGCATTAATATTATTATTTTGTGATCCATACCTTAAGATGCTGTATAAAATAATGGAGCTATCTTTTAAGTCCAATATATACAAAGGCATACACACTAAAAGCATCTAAGCATTTACAATGATTACGTTCTTACGCCTCTCCAATTAAAATTAAATATGGCATCTCAAAAAAGTCTTAACTTCCACATTTCACATTCTTGATTTTCTGTTTATATGTTACTTTATTTTCTATTAGTCTAAACAATTATGTTGGAAACATAATTGAACAAAGAAGTAAAAATTGGTATGATATCCTTAGGTCTATTATTAATTATCTGAGTCACTCAACCTTTTTCGTCTCTATTTTCCTACCTGTAAAGCTCATAATATCTACGCAGAAGATTCATGTAAGGATCAAATTTTAATATACTATATAGAAAAGTGTTCTATATACCATTAAGCACTTCTAGAAGTTGGTAGTAATTATTAATTGATCTCATGGCTATGTACATTTCCTCATTTATTCTCCAAAATAACATTATGACATAAGTAAATCTATTTTACAGGTATTAAAAAAATCAAAACCTTTAGATCACACTCAGATTAAAAATTCAAATGATGGAACTAAGAGCCAAATCCAAGTAATTTTGTCTCTAAAGCCAGAAAGCCATGTGGTCAAATACTTTTAATATAAACTGACTCAGAAACATGTAAATAATAACAAAAAATCCAATCAAGCAACATTAAAAAAATTCTAAGTAAAATAAACATGTAATATACACCAAAATTTCTATCCTATAAATAATTCATAGTTTAAAATATGCTTTCAGCATCATGAAGTAAAATGTCTAAACACTTTGTCTTTTTCTATTAAAAATACTAAAAAAATTGCACAGCATTTACTTGCAGGTACATCTCAAATATATTGTGGATTCAGTTCCAGATCATTGCAATAAAGGGAACATTGCAATAAAGTGAGTCACACAAATTATTTGGTGCATTGTCAATGTAAAATTCATGTTTACATTATAGAATAAATAGACTGTAGTCTATTAAGTGAGCAGCAGCATACATCTAATAAAACAATGAACATACCTTAATATAAAAATACTTGATTGCACAAAAATGCTAACAATCATCTAAGCCTTCAGCCAGTTGTCATCTTTTGCTGGTGGAGACTGATCAGGCTAGTGGTTGCTGAAGAGTGGGGTGGTTATGGCAATTTATTAAAATAAGACAACAATGAAGTTTGCTACATTGATTGGGTCTTCCTTTTTATTTTTTTTTTGAGACAGATTCTCACTTTGTCACTCAGGCTGGAGTGCAGTGGCACAATCTCAGCTCACTGCAGCCTCTGCCTCCCAGGTTCAAGCGATTGTCCTGCCTCAGCCTCCCGAGTAGCTGGGATTACAGGCAACTGCCACCGCGCCTGGCTAATTTTTGTATTTTTAGTAGCGATAGGGTTTCACCATATTGGTCAGGCTGTTCTTGAACTCCTGACCTCGTGATCCACCCACCTTGGCCTCCCAAAGTGCTGGGATAACAGGCATGAGCCACCGCGCCCAGACGGCTCTTCCTTTTACACACACGCGCGCACACACACACACACACACACACACACAGAGCATTCAATGCCGTTTGATAGCATTTTATCCACAGTAGAATGTCTTCAAAATTAGAGTCATCTTCTCAAAAACTGCTGCTGCTTTATCCATTAAGTTTATGGAATATTCAAAACTCTTTGTTTTCATTTTTAAAATGTTCACAGCACCATCACCAGAAGACCATCAAGGAAACACTTTCTGTGCTCATCCAACAGGCAACTTCTTATCCATTAAAGTCTGATCATAAGATTTCAGAAATTCAGTCACATCATCAGATTCCACTTCTAATTCTAGTTTTCTTACTGTTTCCACCACATCAGCAGTTACTTCATTCACTGACATTTTGAGGCACTGAAAGTCAATCCTGAGGGTTGGAATTAACCTCTCCTAAACTGTTAATGTTAATATCTTGACCTCCTTAGATGAATCACAAATACTCTTAATAGTATCTAGAATAGTGAATCCATTCCAGAATGTTTTCAATTTATTTTGCACACATAAATCAGAGGAATGACTATCAGTGGCAGCTATGACCTTATGAAGTGTATTTCTTACATAATAAGAGTTAGAAATAAAAATTAGTTTTTGATCCACGGGCTGCAGAATTGATGTTGTGTTAGGAGGCATGAAAACAACATGAATTCTCATGTACCTCACCATGAGAGCTCTTTCTTGGGTGATTATGTGTGCTGTCATTGAGTAGGAATATTTTGAATGAAAACTTTTTCTGAGCAGTGGGTATAAATCGTGGGCTTAAAATATTCAGTAAACCACGCTGTGAACGGAGGCGCTATCACCCAGGCCTGGTTTCATCTCTGAAGAACAGGCAGAGTAGATGCAACTTAATTCTTAAGGACCCTCAGACTTTCACAAGTGTAAATGAACACTGGCTTCAACTTAAAATCACTAGCTTCATTAGTCCCTAATGAGAGTAAGCCTGTCGTTTGAAGCTTTGAACAAACGCTGACTTCTTATCTGTAGCTATGAAAGTCACAGATGGCATCTCCTTCCAATAGAAATTTAATCTATGTTGAAAATCTATTGTTTAGTATTGCCACCTTCATCAGCAGTCTTACCTAAATCTTCTGGATAGCTTGCTGCAGCTTCTACATCAGCACTTGCTGCTTTACCTTGCACTTTCATGATATGAAAGTGGCTTCTTTTCTTAAACCTTGTGAGCCAACCTCTGCTAGCTTCAAACTTTTCTTCTGCAGCTTTCTCACTGCTCTCAGCCTTTACAGAATTGAAGAGACTTGGGCCCTTGCTTTGAATTAGGCTTTGGCTTAAGGGAATATTGCAGCGGATTTAACTTTTTATTCATGCCATACAAACTTTCTCCCTGTCAGCAACAGTTCTATTTTGCTTTTTTATCATCCATGTGCTCCCTGCAGCACTTTAATTTCTTTCAGTTTGGCTAACTCTGGTGCAGGAGGCCTGGCTTTTGACCTATCTTGACTTTTGACATGCCTTCTTCACTAAGCCTAATTGTTTCCAGCTTTTACTTTAAAGTGAGAGAGACGTTTAACTCTTTTTTTCACTTGCACACTTATAAGTTACTGTAGGGTTATAAATTGGCCTAATTTCAATGCTGCTGTGTCTCAGGGCATAGGGAGGCCCAAGGAGAGACTGAGAGAGAGGAAAAGAGTGAGACACAGGGAGGAGCCAGTTGGTGGGTAGAGTGGTCAGGACAAAAACATTTATGGATTACATTTGCTATGTTATAGAAGCATAATTTGTGGCACTTCAGACCCATTACAATAGTAACATCAAAGATCACTGATCACATATTACAATAACAGATCAAATAATAATAATAATAAATTGAATTGTTAGAATTACCAAAATGTGAAACAGGAACATGAAGTGAGCATATGCTGATGGTAAAATGGAGCCATAGACTTGTTAGATGCAAAGTTGACATAAACCTTTAATTTTTAAAAAAAATCTCTCTCTCTAAAGCACAATAAAGTAAAGCTCAATAAAATGAGGTGTGCCTATCTTTGCACACATTAGTTTGAATTAAAAATGTTAAGACTTTTCATATGAAAAACGAATATCATAATAGGAACAAAAATAATATGATTTAGATTTTCCATGCTAGTTGCAGTCAAATTTGTTTTCTGTGTAATTAAGTGGAGAAATATCTACTAATTAAAGAAGCTACAATCAATAAATTGACTTAGTTTCTTATATTTTGAGGACATTTCAAATTAATTTTGGGTTCACTTAGCTTAAAAATGTCTGTCATTTTCTTCACATTATATCTCAAGGATGATTTAGACAAATTACCTACCATTTACAGCATTGTACCTAAGAGGAAAAAAAATACCATATGTTATGGTGTGTGACAAGCATTGAATGTGGTCCTGTCCTTTAACTTTTGTGTCACCCTAGCCACAGGTTTCTTCCAGGAATGAGAGACAATACCTTGTGAAATGTCTCACCTCATTTGGCTTTGGGCACTTCTATGAAACAATTTCCGAAATACGTTTTCAATTTACTTTAATTATTTTAATTATTTATTTAATAATTCTATTTTGTTTTGTTTTATAAAATAGAGAATCTATTTTTCTGATAGTTTAGTATAACTAGGATAATATTTTATAAGCATTTAATAATCTAAAATTGTAAACAATATTATAGGTTTACACATAATATTCTAGATCAATGCTAAGTTTTATGATGCATATAATATAAAGATTTAAAACGTATAAAGTGGCACATTGACTTGAAATTATTGAGATGTTTTGAAAATATCCAAAAACATGTTATAGTACAGTTATTCTTGTTTCTTACTTCTCCCACAGATGATTGGCTGGAAAACATTCAGTTTGTACAACTTTATTTGAAGTGATGGCATGTAACACACATATAACCTTCTTCACTTTTTAAATCTAATTTTAAACCATTCTTTTTGGGATTTTTGTACTATTTTCTATCAAACTCTTTTCTTATATTCTGTTCTCGGATTTTTATGACATCTGGTTAGTGGCATACTTTTACTCACTTCAATATGTAAAAGTGATTCTATTTTAAACATACTTTCAGTTAGATAAGTGTTACATATTGACCCAGCAACTTGAGTCCTGTTTTACATGATATTTTTCTTGCATTACATATATATTTTCTATTATTAGCATTCAAACTCCAGTTCATACACTCTAGCCTAGAAACTTTAATATCAATACTCTTCTAATTAAATGCATTAATTATATAATCAATAACATTTTCACATGGAAACACAAAACAAAAAATATTATATTTCAGAATGGTCTTAGGCTTGATTAATTCACTAGTGCAAACCAAAACATCTGATTTCTTTCTTTTTTTTTTTTTTTTTTTTTTGAGATGGAATCTCGCTCTGTTGCCCAGGCTGGAGTGCAGTGGCACGATCTCGGCTCACCACAAGCTCTGCCTCCCAGGTTCACGTCATTCTCCTGCCTCAGCCTCCTGAATAGCTGGGACTACAGGCACCCGCCACCACGCCTGGCTAGTATTTTTGTATTTTTAGTAGAGACGGGGTTTCACTATGTTAGTCAGGATGGACTCGATTTCCTGACCTCCTTATCTGCCCGCCTCGGCCTCCCAAAGTTTACAGGCTTGTTAACTTACAGGGATTACAGGCGTGAGCCACCACACCCAGCCCTAATTTCATTCTTAAACTTCATGGGAGTCATTAAATTATAGATTTGTGAGATCTGTGCTCTTAAATAGGTGGCCATTTACAGAAGAAGAGAAATCAAAGAAGACACTTGATATAGTCTTTCGTCTTACCAAAACCCTCAACTTACTTGTTTGGTCTTAAAATCAAGGACCTTTTCATAAAGGAGTCTGTATCTTCACAAAAAGGTCAGTTCTCATTAAATGTCACTATAATAACCCATTATTTCCATCACAACACAATTTAACTACCTAGTATTACATGAGGATTTTATGTTTGATGTCCAGTTATTCTCATCTGAGATAAGCAGGTTAAAGTGATTAGATACATGTTAGTGCCAGATATCAGTCAGAGTTTAGTTAAAAGCAAAAAAAAAAAAAAAGTATATCTGAGTGATTTTACTATAAAAGAAAATTATTAATTCACTAAAAGGATATGGATAGCTTATTGAGTCACCCAAATGGTTGTAGAACAGGCATGGCAAAAAGGAAAGCTGTCCAGATTCAAATTGAGAACTGCTCCAGACAGTAATCTGCCATGGCCCTTCCAAGTACTAGCTACTGCTGTGGAAATGCTCAACACTGTTATTAGGGAAGCCTGAATGCTGCAACTAGTACATCTGCCATTATTGCCTGTGGACTGGATTCTATCTTGTTGCAATTAGTACCATCCCTAGAATTATTTGCATTCCTGATTCCCTGATTCAGTAGTCATGTGCAAATAAGCCTGATTACTATTGTTGCATCCTAGGTCAAATGCTTATGCATTACTTTTAAGAAAGTCTACAAAAATGAGTATTTACCATTTTGTAATTTATAGTAGAAAATAACTGTCTCTCACAAATACTCAAAAAGAGAGACATTCTCAACCAAGTGGGAGCTTTATATGTTGGAAACTAAGAACAATGACATATGTTTACTACGAGGCACAAAATAAATGGCAGACCATTCCAGATAAGAATACCCCGAGCCATCCATTGGATAAGAGCTGCCAAGGAGAGCAGCCTGATTCAACTAAGACTTTGATATAAGTTAAAAATTAACTTCTACTTGGTTATGTCACTGAGATTTTGATCATTGTTAATGGAGCATTTCTTACTGCAGCATACTTTAGCATATACTGATTAATAGATTGAATATATTGTAACAAGAATACAAAATATATGAGAATCATTTAGTGATTCGGTAATGGGTAACGAGAATATATATATAACAGTCTGAATAACCCTAGATCCATGATAGGCACAATATTTAGCAGAAATTTTGCCTGCTGTATTTTAGACAGCAAATCATGTGTCTCTTCATCCTGCAGGCTGAGATTGGAAAGGCAGAGTTTCTCAAAGCAAGTTTCACAAAACGCTAGTCTTATAAAATTATTTCATAGGAAATCACATATATTTCATTAATTAATTAAACATTTTGCCAAGTTCTTTGTACTGTATCTCCCTCTTATAGATCCACAATGCCTACGTAATAATTAAAAGCTCTGAATTACTCAGTGTTACAAAATCAAAAACAAGCATTTAACCAGGTGTTTCCCAGTATTTAAAATATAATGTAAATTGATAGCTCAACTAACTAATTTTGAGCTGAATATACCTCAGAACATCCTATATTGGTGAGAAAATTATAATGTATAAGGGAGAGAACATGGATTGCTGCTTGCACCAATGTGCTGTTGCATCATTAAGATTTCTGGACCTTGAAATCTTCTGTATCCATTCCCCCAGAAAAAAAGATTAAAAAGGCCGGGCGCTGTGGCTCACGCCTGTAATCCCAGCACTTTGGGAGGCCGAGGCGGGCGGATCACGAGGTCAGGAGATCGAGACCACGGTGAAACCCCGTCTCTACTAAAAATACAAAAAAAATTAGCCGGGCGCAGTGGCGGGCGCCTGTAGTCCCAGCTACTCGGGAGGCTGAGGCAGGAGAATGGCGTGAATCCGGAAGGCGGAGCTTGCAGTGAGCGGAGATCGCGCCACAGCACTCCCGCCTGGGCGACAGAACGAGACTCCGTCTCAAAAAAAAAAAAAAAAAAAAAAAAGATTAAAAAGAAAGTTAAATGGAGTATGTGGTTGAATTGCATGAACTAAATGATGTAAACTCTCTAATCTCTCTCCATTTTTAAATAAAATCCTCTTTGCTGAATAGTATATTTGGTAGAGCCTTTCTGAGGCCTGCAAAGAGGAGTCCCATATACACATTGGTGGACTTGTGAATAACTGCTCAGAAGCAGCAAAATTCTTAATTAAACACAGAGAATAAATGACATAAAATACATCAGGGTATTAATTGCCCTGCTCTCTCTCTCTCTGGTGAAATTATTTGCTATTTTAATTTTCTTCTTTATGCTTTTCTAAACATTTCACAATAAAACTGAATTTCTCTTATAACTTTAAGAACACAATATATTTTATAGAGAGCAAGGAAGGTATGCATATGATTTGGGTTTGGAAGGATTATATGGCTATATGCAGAGACAGAATAAATAATTTTGTCATGTAATTCTGATTTAGAATGAGTTATTTCTACACTCTGTAGATACTCAAATGTCATAGTCATTCTGATAATCACTACCTCCTAAATTTAGAATCAAAGTATACAAAATTATCTACCTAGAGATTAAGAACATAGACATAAATCCAACAATTACTGCATTCTAGTTTACCTGAAATGTAGATTTGCTTTACTGTTTGGTTTGATTAGAAGTAATTATTACTAGAATCTTTATTACCATTCTACCATCTGATGACTACACACAGTATTTTTGGTTCATGTGAAAAGGATGTCAGTTTAAGACCTCAGCTCAAACATTAAAGCACCTTATGGAAATATATTTTTCCCATCATGATTAAGAAAATATGACCACTAGAGCTGAGAGAAAGTTTTAGAATAAGTCAAACTTAAAATTTCTAATGGGAAATAGTATCACAGAATTAATTTAAAATAAGGCTGAGCTCTTTTCTCCTAGGGGCAAGAAAAATAGGAATGCTGGCTTTAAAGCTATTTTCCATTTCCAATTTCAAAGTTCCAAGTTTTACACCACAAAAAGTAACTTTCTGGTTAACTATCCTGTCTTTATTCTACATTTTCAAAATATTAAAATGTTATTCATGTAACCTCCTGAAATTGCTAAGATACTTGCTAGCTTTTTACCCTAGTGATTTCTAAAAGGAAATTTAAATATCTACTCAGGCAAGAAAAAGAAACATTTAGGGAACTGTGCATGGCAGTTGATTGATTACAGAGGCCTAAGATAAGATTTCTAAATTAAGAGATACACTTTTGTTGAGCCATTCATCTGAACAATGAGAAAAATCTATAGAAAAGAAAACATAATTCAACAAAATGGTCACGGGTAGTTAAACCAATAATTTGAAAGTACAATATTGGAACATGTAGCTGCTTTCACTTAAGATTAAAGGAACTCAATTGCTTTACAAAGTATTCTTAAAATCTGAGGATTTTAAACTCTTTAAAAATAAGCTTACTTTCATTTAGCAGTTTGAATCAACAGAACCCTGTGATTATGTACTAATGGATATTAATAGAGAAGGAGGAGTTATGTACTAATGGATATTATGGATTGTGTACGAATGGATATTAATAGAGAAAGTGAGGTAAAGTATTAGGTGACCTGAAATAATTCATTTATTTATTTATTTATTTATTTATTTTTGAGACAGAGTCTTGCTCTATTGCCCAGGCTGGAGTGCAGTGGCACGATCTCGGCTCACTGCAAGCTGCGCCTCCCTGGTTCATGCCATTCTCCTGCCTCAGCCTCCGGAGTAGCCGGGACTACAGGTGCTCACCACCATGCCCGGATAATTATTTGGTTTTTTTTTTAGTAGAGATAGTGTTTCACCGTGTTAGCCAGGATGGTCTCGATCTCCTGACCTCGTGATCTGCCCGCTTGGACTCCCAAAGTACTGGGATTACAGACGTGAGCCACCACGCCTGGCCTCATTTCTTTATTCAAATACGTGCTACTGTAGAATCATGATGAAAAGGCTTTTTGGGAAGATGATATTTGAGGTGAAATCTGAATGACAAGAAAGGGTCACCCAGAAAGACAAGGGGGAAAAGCATGACCAGCAGAGACAACAGACATTTCAAGAACCTTTGGTGGGGCGTGCTTTGACTTTTGAAGAAATAGGCAGATCAAGGTGGATAGAAGGTAGTGGAGAAAAAAAGCAGAATGAGGTTAGAGAGTTAGGACAGATCAAATTCTACTGCATCTAATCCAAGGTGTATGATTTGATTCTAATAAAAGCCATTTAAGGAAGCAGAGAAGCAGAGGAATGCTATGATCTGATGTGGATCTTCAAAAGACTGCTGTGGTTTTGCTTTGGAAATGGCTTGTTGAGAGGCTTGGATAAATGCAAAACACCAGTAAGGAATTTTTTTCTGCGGTATTCAAGTGGCCTACACTGTGTAAGACATTGTGCTAAGCACTTCAAAAGCCCTTCTGGGATACTTGCAAGATAGGTATAATTTAGTACATATGTGAGTCAGGGAAGTTATATCATGTGCACTAAGTCACAGAGGTCATACTTAGTGGCACATTAAATCCTGGTTGAATCTGGTTTCAGGTTTGTACAGCTCTGCTGTGTTGCCAGAGTGCAGCCCCTTTACTTTATGCTGTGACTTATTTACCAAACATTCACAAGATATATTTGGCGGGTATACTACAAGGTGTGAAGACTGCCCAGATACGCAACTGCAATTCGTGAATTACAGACAATATCTAATTAAGAATGGGATTTTCTTTCTCTTTGCCGTCTTCAGCCTCTGTGATGGTGACTTTTCATGTGTCAACTTTACTAGGCCATGGAGTTCTCAGATATTTGGATCAAAAATTATTCTGGGTGTTTCTGTAAGGGTATTTTTGGATGAAGTCAACAGTTAAATTAGCAGAATGAATAAAGCAGATTTCTCTCCTTAATGTGGGTGATCCTCATCCAATCAGTTGAAGGTATGAATAAAACAAAGGACTAATCCCACCCCCTGGTAAGAGAGGACTCTTCCTGCTGGACAGTCTTCTGAGATATCAATTCTTCCTCACTCTGCAGCCGTTTCTGGCCTTTGGACTTGAACTGGGGCATTGAGTCTAGAGATTTTGAACTTGGCAATTTTCATAATCCTATAGGCCAATTCCTAATAATAAACCTATTTATTCATATATATCCATATTACCTACTGGTTTTGTTTCTCTGGAGAACCCTGACTACTACATCCTGCATAGAAGCAAGCATACAGGTGTGTCTGATCAATTAAGCCTATTAGATGAAAGGAGTACTGAAGAGCAGAGTTTTACAAATTAACACATGAAATTTCTCCAGACAGTCTGATGAGGTCACTATAGAGGTAGTTTCACAGTCCATGCAATCACACAGACCAACTAGGGATGACCTGACAAAATGTACTCTTAGTCATTTAGGCAGACAGCTGTAGTGATGGCATTTATTTTCCACCTTCTGAGCAAGGCTGAACTACAGTTAGAAATTTATGTCCCTGGAAGCAAAATAGGCCTTTGAGTCTTCAGAACCATTTATGTTTCCATCTGAGAGGAAAAATATATGTTCATCTGTCACTTTATATATTTTCCTGGATTCCAGAACAGACTAAAATAAAATTGTTGAAACCAAAATTGCTTCTTCTGAAAGGTCAATAAAATTAATAAAAGTCTAGCTTTACCAATCATGTAAAAGTAGAAGGAAACCAAAATATCACTATTAGGAATGCAAATGGAGACATCACCATGTTTACTAAAGATCTCAGAAGAATAAAAAGAAATGTAAAAATTTTATACCAAATATATTCTACAACTTAGAAGAAATGGACAAATAATATGAAACTTACAAGTTATCAAAACTGAAACAAGAAGAAATTTAAAAATCTGAATAGGTTTATGAGAATTAATAAATTGAATTATGGATGAGATTTTTTCTACAAGAAAAACACTAGGCACAGATCGCTTCGCTGGATAATTCCATCAAATATTTAAAGAAGAAATAGGACTGATGTTATACAAATTCTTTCAGGAAAGAAAAGGGTACACTTCCTAATTCATTTCATAAGGTCGGGATTATCCAGATACCAAAACTAAACAAAGCTGTTACAAGAAAATTGCACACTAATGTATTTCATGAATTAGTTAAAAACACTCTCAAAAAATTTTAACTAATTGAATCTAGCAATATATAGCAAAGATAATCGCTACAATGACAATGGATTTATTTGTCCAGTTGGTTTAACATTAAAATAATATAACTTACCTTATTAGCAAACTAAAAGAGGTAAATTATATGCTCATATAAATAGATGCATAAAAAGCATTTTTAAAAACAAAATTCAACATTCATGCTTAGTAAAAGCTCTCAGGAAAGTAATGAGAGATTTCCTCCACAATCTAAGTAGTATCCCTGAACAATCTTCAGTTCATATTGTAACTTAATGGTGAAAGACTGAAAAATTAACCTCCCAAAACAGAACAACTGCGAGGATATATATTCTTACCACTTCCATTCTATTTTCTACTGGAGGTCCTAGCCAGTGCAAGAAAGCAAGAAAAAGAAAGTTTGGAGCAGAATTAGAATAATTTTCTTCCCTTTATTTTAGACAATATGATCATGTAAATAACATATTTTAAGTATTTTATGAAAAACTGAAATTAATAAGCTAACAGCAGTTTTGTAAAAAATAAGGTTAAAATAAGAAAAGGTACAATTTCTAGGCATTAGCAGTGAATTATTATAAAACAAAATTCTAATATGCGTTAGTTTTACAATAACAGGAAAATATACCTAAGGATAACTTATAAATTTAACAAAATATTTGTGAGACATACGCTGGAAGTTACAAAATGTTGCTGAAAGAAATATTAAAAGTCCAACCAGATACATTATGTCAACGGGTTGAGAGTCTCAGTATTGTTAAGACGAGAGTTTTCCCAAGATGATCTATACATCAGTGAAATAGCAATGAAAATCCCAGCTCATATTTTGTAAAAATTATTATACTAGTTCTAAATGTTATCTAAATGCAAAAGTGCCAGAATAGTCACAGCAATTTTCAAGATGAAGAAGAAAGCTATCTGATTTCAATTTTTACTGTAAAGGTACAGCAACCAAGAGAGTGTACATTGGCATAAGAATTTTCATATAAATCAGTGGAAAAGAATACAAAGTACATAAAATGACCCACATACATAGTTTCAAAGACTCACTCTGTTGCCCAGACTGGAGTGCAGTGGCGCGATCTCTGCTCACAGCAACTCCGCCTCCCAGGTTCAAGCGATTCCCCTGCCTCAGCCTCCTGAGTATCTGGGATCACAAGCGCCCGCCATCACGCCTGGCTAATTTTTGTATTTTTAGTAGAGACGGGGTTTCACCATGTTGGTCAGGCTGGTCTCGAACTCCTGACCTCGTGATCCGCCCGCCTCGGCCTCCCAAAATTCTGGGATTACAGGCGAGAGCCACCACGCCCGGCCTGGTTCAAATAATTTTTAACAAAGATGTCAAGGTAATTCAGTAAAAAAAAAAATCGATTAATTTAAAGCCTACCTCAAACCATGCACAAAACGAAATAAAAGTGGATTAGAGATATAAATAGTAAGACAAAATTACAAAATTTCTGGAGGAAAAATAAAAGAAAATATTAATGATCTTGGAACAGGTAATAAAAAACAGCAATTATAAAATACAAAGTTCGAAAGCAGGAGTTAACCAAAATTAAAATTAAATCTTTCTTCAATGATATTGTTAAAACTGAGAAGGCAAGCAACAGGCTGGTAGAGCACTATATGTGTGTGTGTGTGTTTGTGTGTGTGTGTGTGTATGTGTAGCTATAAAAAATATATAAAACTCTTACAAATAATTAATAATGCAGCAGACAACCCAACAGAAATAGGCAAACTATATGAATACACAAATTATAAACATTTATAGCTACCCAATAAATAAATAAATTGATGCTCAATATCTTTAAACATCATGGAAATTCAAACTCAAATCATGAGACACCATTTTATACACTGCAGAATTACTAAAACTACAATGCCTTAGAATATGAAGTGTTAGCAAAGATGTGAAGATAAAAAGCCTGTCACATTTTACTAGTGAGACTGTAAAACTTTGTAACCACTTTGAAAAACATTTGACGGTCTCTTACAAATTAAATATATACTTAACATAATGACCTAGCAATTAAGCTCCTAAATAATGATCCAAGAAAAATACCAAAAATACATTCATAAAAATCTTTTAAACAAATTTTCTTATGAATATTATTTATAATACAATAATGAAAAACTAAATATTTACAAACTGTTGAATGGATAAACAAATTTTGAAATGTTGAGAAATGAAATAATTTTCAGTGAAATGAGAAAAACCTACTAATATACACAACATAAAGACATTAAGATAAGTCAAAACAGACATAAAAATAATACATTCTCTATTATTCTGTTTATATAAAGTACTAGAGTAGTGAAATCTAATCTATAGTGCTAATTGTCGAATCTAGTGGTTGCCTGGACTGGTGATGTTTGAGGAGATTTCCTGCAAAGTATTATGAAGAAATTTTTGCAGGGAATAGCTTAGATGAAACTTGCCTTACTCAATTTTATACATTTGTCAAAACTCAATGAACTTTATATTTTTACTAAGTGCATTTTGTCATTTTTACCCAGTGCAGAGACTTCATTGAAAATGACCATAGAAATAATCCATCACCTGCCACATATAAAGAAAATATTTTCCAAGGTGATTATTATGTATTGATTCAAATTTGCTTTTTTCTCGATCACTGTTACTTCTTTTTGTCATTCAAAAACAATTCTGTATGAATCAATCTCTATTACGGAAAGAGAAAATAAAAGAAACAATTGCAAAATGCTACAGCACGCTGAGTAAATCATCTTTGTATACGAGAGATAGCGTAAGTGTTTCTATGGCCTAAAAAAGAAGCATGCTTATGGAGAATTGAATATATCTGTTGAATATATGATGAGATGAAGAGCCATGGAAGCCTCTTTTTACTATTTTTTTTTACAACATCCAACTCAGAGATATAAATGATCACAGCCAACATATTTTTTGTGGCTTCTTGTGTAGATATAATTCCTATCCCTTCAATATCTATTAAGGCTTTTATAATCCATGACTGTTTCATAGACATTAATTTATAAACTCCTTGGTTTGAACTCATTACTTCAGTGATATAATTTGGATATTTGTTCTCTCCAAGTCTCATGTTGAAATGTTATTCCCACCCAATGCTGAAGTTAGGCCCTGGCAAGAGGTGGTTGCGCCATAGAGGCAAATCCCTCATGAATGACTTAGTGTTGTCCTCCCAGTAGTGAGTGAGTTCTCACTTGTAGTTTCCATAAGATCTGGTTGTGAAAAAAGAGTTTGGCACCTTCTCTCTTCCTCCCTCTCTGGCCATGTGATCTGTCCGCACAGGCTCCCCTTTGCCTTCCACTGGAAGCTTCTTGAGGTCTTCAACCAGAAGGAGATGCTGGCACCATGTTTCTTGTACAACTTGCAAAATGGTGAGTGAAATTAGCCTCTTTTCATTATAAACTGCCAGACTCAGGTATTCCTCTATAGTAACACAAATGGACTAAGACATTCAGGAAAAGCAAATTAATGATTACATTTTATTTCTCTGATTATTATCTCAATTCTTTTTTAAAAACAAGTTCTTTCTAAAAAAAAAAGTCATGTATTTCTAGACTGTTCTGTATAAAGAGCCTAAGAAATGGCTAAGGTAGCATGGCTACATCAATATCTTTGTATGTAAGCAGAGAAAAGTTTTAGGTACCGAATAGATTATAACGCCAATCAGTTACCTGAGACTGGAATAGTCATGGCCATTATGTTCACTGAACTGTATCCAGTTGGCAGAAGTTAAGCTAGGGGGAGAAAGTCTAAATATCAACAAAATGTGTTTCTGGTTAGATAATAAAACCGTGGTGGTGCTGATTAGAGGGCAGTCTTCCAATTCTGAGTCTGTCTCACACCTGCTTCATCTATTTGTTTTATGTGGTCTCTGGTTTACACACTGTCATATTTAGGAAGAGCACTCTGTTCCAGTAATCAAATTGCCAATGCTGATTTCTTGATTTAGTTCAAGACATTCCAGCAAGTAATGCCAAAGATTCTTATATAAAGTATGATCTTTTGCCAGGACATGCAGGGCAATTAGGAATGTACCAATTTTTCAAACAAAAGGGTCCTTTCTACAAAAACTTATAGACATTTTTTCTGCTATGGGCTAAGCCTGATTTATAGGTTTTATGTTCAACTCAGCAGGTTTGAGATATCAAAGGAAACAAAAATATTTGGGTTTAGATTTGACCTTTTCGTGTGTGATTTATATGTATTTTAAAGAATGTAAAGTAATAGTCTAAAAGCAACAGAGGAGGCTCTTAGTATTTTATTATTTCAACAATTTATTTATGATTATTAACAAGTCAAATATAAATCAAAATTAATGGACAAATTGTATGTAGCTGCAAACCTCAAATCATCATAACACTTCATTATTAAATACCATAATATTATGGATTAGCAACTGTTGTATCTGTATTATGTTATGATACCAAATTTAAAAATATTTTATTTATGGAAATGACTCATTATTTCATCACTGAGCATGATTTCTGTAATTGTTATTTGGAAGAAAATGTGTGAGGTAAATACTCTTTAAGAAACATAATTGATTGTTTATTTTGCCTTGTTTATCCTGAATAACAAATAAGTGAATGTAAGACACTGACTTAAAGATTAAAAATAAATACAAATAAAATAAATAATATAGTTCAAAATATTTTGTCATGATAGTTCATGACAACTCATTTTATCTTTTTTCATAAATTGAATGGTTGTATTGAACTCTACAGAGAATCAGAGCAAAAAAACAGTGGAATGTTTAAACGATATTCAGTGTGTTCCTTAATATAGACCTGGTCTTCGTCATAATATTAATGTGAATACTTTTCTTCCTTAGAATAGCAGTAAAATTAAGGTAAAATTATTTTTCAAAATTTTTTCTAAAAGGAAAAGAGAAAATACAAGCTTAAAGTTGATTCAACCATTGCTTACGTCTTTTACTCTGGCTCTATTTCCAATCCTAGGATAATTGTTTACTTAACATTAAGGAGCACCTGCAGTGTACTAGATTTTATTGCTGAAGTCTAGAGACAAAAAATGTAAATAAGACACGGTATGTGTGACTTTAAGATGTTCCAGATCCAGTTGAGGGGTGACACATTAGTGGAAAATTTCAGTGTTATCTGGTAAATGAAGTAAAAATGGATTCCTCTGGGATGTTACAGTAGCGTGGAGGTGGTGAATATTTTCCAGAGGAGAATTCAGCACTGCAAAACGACATTACTTCCCAAGGAAAATTTAAATAATGAGATGGAAAGATATACTATGCAGATGATGGAAATAGCATGAGCCATGTATAAATGTTTGGAATGGCAAAGAAGGGTACAAGGAAATGTTAGCAGTGTAGTACATTAGGTTTTTATTTTTGGACTATACTGTGTTCTTTATGCGTGATTGACACAATGTGTAGGAAGTATCTCTGCCTATTTTACACCTCACGATCAAATATTTAAGAGAATTGACCAAAACTTTTCATCTAACAAATTGGAGATACAGAATGCAAAGCTGTTGTATTTCAACAAATATATTAAACCACATCCACTTTTATAGCTAACCAAATTGAACAGTGATTTGTTTATACAGATTTTAAAATGAGCTTATACATCTACCAAAGTGATAGGTATATATGGGGATTTTGTAATTCTTTTTGAAGTATCTCATACACACATTACACCATTACCTCATTAAGGAGGATATACTGGAAATTTCCATTTTTACTGCTAGATTTTTTTTTGCAAAATATTGGTAATGTGAAATTCCCTGAATATTAATAATCATATGTCACATTCATTCTTGCAATAAGTCCTAACCTAAGTTGAGCTATTTGTCTTCATTTTATCTTTAATTGTGTAATCTCAATCTACTCTCCTATCACAGAAGAAATTCCTTCTCCTCCACTATTAAACAATAATGTCTAGAACAATTTAAAAGTCAAGGTGATTTTTACATCGAAAATGAAATGGATTAACTGTTTTCTACTGCATTTCTAATTACTTATTCAGCTAATTGTATATCCATTTGGGAAGATTTAGCATTTCTGATCCAACATTTAGCTTTGTTCTAAATGACTGCATTTGAGTTTAGAGAATGAGAGAAATTGGGAATTACCTTTCTTTGTGATACTATTTGAACTACAGCTGACTGACCACTGAAAGAAAAGGGAAGTAGTTGTCAAGAAGGCTTAAAGTTACTGTCAAGTTTACACAGATACACTGAGAAGTTTGTATGAGGAACGTGATTTTCTTGAAATCAGCTACCAACAACTACTGGACCATGGAAATGCACACTGGTTGTTATTAATGTCTGACATCTGCATCTTTTTGGAGATGTCCACATTGTTTTTCTTGTTAGAAACAAAGTGCTCTGTATGGTGGTCTTCATCAATTTTTTTTTTAAATTTAGGGTACAGGCCAAGCGTGGGGGCTCATGCCTGTAATCCCAGCAACTTTGGGAGGCCGAGGGGGATGGATCACGAGGTCAAGAGATAGAGTCCTTCCTGGCCAACATGGTGAAACCCTGTCTGTACTGAAAATACAAAAATTAGCTTGTTGTGGTGGTGGAAGCCTGTATTCCCAGCTATTCAGGAGGCTGAGGAAAGAGAATTGCTTGAACCTGGGAGGTAGAGGTTGCAGTGAGCCGAGATCGCACCATTGCACTCCAGCCTGGTGACACAGTGAGACTCTGTCTCAGAAAAAAAAAAAATCGGTACATATTGTGTCTGTGAACCTAACATTCAACAAGAGTACGTTTCTTTCTTTGTTAACTATTTAGCATATTGAAGATCACAGAGTAGACTGCTGAGTAATAAAATACTTGTGCTTTCTTGCAGTGTGAAATTATTTGGCTTAAATTGGCGATAAAAATTTAAATATATATATACACATATATAAGGCTATATATACATGTGTTTACATATATATATATATATATATATATATGATGAGAGAGAGAGAGCTACCTCTAAGCAATCTTCATATATTTGATAATTTTGTTCTTCTTCTTGGTATTACAGCTATGTATATGAAAGGTCCTAGGAGGCTGGTCAAATTATGAAGAATTAAAAAGAAATTGAAACTTCACATTTCTATAAATCAATAAGTGCTTATTAAATTCTTAAAATATGTCAACATATTCTAGATTTGGAGGTGAAAAAGATAAATATTTTCTATTTCCCAACTTAAAAGAGTTTACAGCTTAACAGTTGTAAGAGGATTGTTTTTCTCTTTCTGATAGCAGGTGACAAGGATTGTACAAAAACAGACTACTTACCTAGTTTTTATATGTGAAACAGAATGTTCAATTTCTGAAGTAACTGCATCATAAACTGATTGCTAAGGTAAGCAAGAGATTAGATTTTCATTGTAGTGCTCTTAATTTCAGAAATTTGGCCTATAATCTATAAATTTTTTAGATACGAAGCTATAGACCTATTTCTAATTTGTTCAATGGCTTTAGTATTGATTTTTTTAATCTTGTCCTTCTTGGTAGGACTTAGCACTGCTCCCTAGTTTCTCTAATTAGATAATAACTACTATTTTATATCTCCAATATATAAATTATTGGGGTGTGCGTGTGTCTTTTTTACGTATCTGGCTTGCTTTTCCAATGTTAACTTCTCAAATGACAACTATAGGACATTTGATTAGTATCAGTATGAATATACCTTTAATCTGAACATTGTTCACACCTTCATTTTTACCATCTGTATACCAGTCACAATATCTCATGCCTGAAGCACTGTTACGAGCTTTACAAAAACAACATTACTGTGTAAGAAAACGTGAACACAGTACTTTTGCCCAAGTATCTTGGACAGTACCCAGCATACAGTAGGTACTCAAGTAGTTGACAGAATGAAATAATAATAAAAGATTATTCTGCATCTCTACCTATCAAAAATGTTTCAGAGTCCTAAAATATCAAAAACTGAAAAACTTGTGGCTCTTCTAAAAATATAAGAGATCATAGATAATGTTAGAGTGGTCTAATTATGTTCACCAACTAACTTCTATCTCTATTTTGATAACATGCAGTAGTCTTTAAAGTGTGAAAATCTAAAGACAAATAAAAGGGAAATGATGCAGATTTTCTTGTCAAATATCTGTGAAGTGCTTAGGTGCTACTAGTAGGCAACTTTGTATACAAGATGCATATATAACTTATGAGAAGATGTCACTGCCAGCAATTAATGACTATGGACATTCCTCTTATAAAACCAACTTTTATATAGCTGCTACAAGAGTTTTAAAGGTTAAGATTTTTATATGTGAAATTTGGAGCTTCAGGTTGGGAAAAACAGGGCAGAAGCTCAACTCCAACTGTTTAAAAGACTTTACCAGAAACATAATTACCTGTATTCCTTGATGAACAACATATGTCCCCTTGATGCTATCCATCTGGCCCTAATGTACTGTCCATCTTGCAAACTGATCAGAACACAGCCTCTGTATTTTTATAGCAACATAAGAGATTAGTAGCCTTATGTGTAGTTTGAATACCAAGCATTCAAAGTATTGCCAGCAAAGCATACTGTCTGACATTTATCTCTGAAAACTTGCCTCTATAGATGCATATGGTTAACAGTGGAAGTAGTAAACTTGGATAAAAACTGTTTTATTTTGTTTTAAATGTTAAAAGCCAAATATGAGCTATCAAATAGAGAAAAATAACACATAATATGGCTTGACATTATATAGTTCAATGGTGCTTGACTCTCTCTATAGGGCTACATTTTTAGAATGACTATATCCACAAGAATGGCTATTTAAAAACGGACAGACAATAACAAATTTGGGTGAGAATGAGAAGAAACTGAAACCATCATATATTGTTGCTGGAAGTGTAAAATGGTGCAGCCACTTTGGAAAACAGTTTGGCAATTTTTTAACTTGTTAAACAGAGTTTTATGACATAGGAATTCCATTTCTAGGTATTTACCTAAAAGAAAAAAAAAACATATCTCCTACAAAGACTGAGATGTGAATGTTCATAACAATGTTATTTATAATGGCCCAAAGTGTAAACAAATGGATACTAATTTTATGATTTGTCCATACAATGGATTAATATTTGAAAATAAACTGGGAGAAAATACTGGTACACATAAAAATGGATAAATTTGTTAAAATGTTACGCAAAGATAAAGAAAACAGTTGCAAAAGATTACATATTGCCATACATACAAGGAATTGAGGAAAGATAAATCCATACCACAGAAAGTGGACTGGCAATGGCCCGGGCAGTGGTGAGAATAGGGGCTGACTGACAATGGGCACCATATTTTTTGTGGGGGTATGGAAGTGATGTAAATTTAGAGTATGAGGATAGCAGTAAAACTCAATAAATTTACTAAAAGTCATTAAACTGTATATAATTAAAATGGGATCATTTTATGGTTTGCAACTTACACCTCAGTGAAGCTGTAAAAATCATTACAGTAACTCTTTCCCCCTCAATTTTCTACTAGAAATTAATTACTTTGGTAGGATCATAGTCTATTCACTTCATTAATAGCTTGCTTTCTTCCATGATGATCTCTTTTTGTTTGTATGTTTCTATGCACTCGTGTGTTAGGTTATGGCTAAAGTGTACTTTTATACACATATTCCTGTTTTGTGGTATTACAGAGAATATTGGTAGAGGTTAAATACATAGAATTTCTGAGATTTTAATAGATCATTTTATTATCTTAATAGAAAGTTTATAGAAAATAATAAGGAAATTGAAATGCTGTTAGTATGGAAGAAATTAAAAAATTAATATGTTTAAAACTCTAAAAAGTCAGTAAAAACTTATTGTTTAACAGTTTTCACTACTGCTTTTAGTTTTCTAGTGTATTGCGGTCTGATTTAAAATGTCACTTAGTCTTCTACAAAACTCAAATATAATCCATTTATATTTGTCTATGAAGACAGCATTATGGAATGAAATTATAACTGTTCAAGACATTCTCTCTCTAAAATAATCAGTATTATTTAATGACACAAGGTATACAAACAATATTATCTTCCAGAATTCTCCATGTTAAATAGTATCATAGTAAAACAGGTAGTATGTTAGTCGTAAATGGGTTATTATGTTTCTTCAAGTCATAATTACCATTTTATAGTAAGTATTACAAAAGTATTACAAACATAAAGAGATTACTGGTGACTTGTCCCCGCTTATCAACAGAAGATATGTTCCAAGACTCCCAGTTGACGTCTGAAACCGTGTATAGTATCAACTATACACGTTTCTGTTCAAGTCTTCTACCCACAAATTTAATGTCTTTTCCATCTTAACTAAGTACTTTTCTTGCACTGTGATACCAGCTGTGTCACATCTCAAACTGCACTGTGATACGACGACAGTCGACCTGATAAAAACGAGCAGCCTACTAAGTTACTAATAGGTGGGTAATGTAGACAGTGTGGACACACCGGAGAAAGGGAGGATTCACATCCTGGGTAGGATAGAGAGGAACTGCACGAGATTTCATCACGTTACTCAGAACAGTGCATGAATTAAAATGTATGAATTGTTTACTTCTAGAATGTTTCATTCAGTTATTTGTAAACCATGACTGACCTTGGATAACTG
Source organism: Homo sapiens (assembly GCF_000001405.40). NCBI lineage: Eukaryota > Metazoa > Chordata > Mammalia > Primates > Hominidae > Homo > Homo sapiens. Next base: position 104,625,402 of record NC_000001.11, on the reverse strand, counting down.
AAACCATGGAAAGTGAAATTGAACAAGGGGAGACTACTTGCACATGGTCATTAATCTTGAGAGTAAAGAAAGTTTTGTGGAAACTTAATCTCCACATAAAAATCAGTTATTTTTAATGGTTTTGATTATTCTTCATTCATGATTTTTCACTTTCCATTACAATTGTACTATATTACATCAATCCCTCTATTTGTTTTAATGACATTTTAGTTGAATTTCTACTGTAAACTTGAAAAACATAGTATATATTTTAATAAGTAGTGATCATGGTATCAAGGGGTTATTAAATCAGATCTTGGGAATTTCATAAGAGAATTGAAATTAAATTGAAAATCTCAAATATTTATAGAATTCTTAACTGTGTGCCAAGCACTGTCTTGTACAGAAACGTGAGGTCTCTTTTTCTAAATCACACTTAACCACAAAATAAAAGTAGTTTTATTTCTATTAAATATCATACTCATATGATGATGAACCTGATTTTCTTGCAACTAAAAAGTTTTATTCATTCCACAATGATAAGAAATAATTGAGAATTGTTCATCTCAATTGAATAAAATCTGTGAGAAATACTCTGTGAGAATATGTAAAAAAAATGAGCAACTTTCGTCATTCAGTTAAATTTAAAATAAAAACAATGTAATGCAAATTTTTATATTTATGTTATTGTGCAATACAAATTTAAGAACATGTATTTTTCTTGCTTGTATTGTTTTTCATAGCTACTTTGCAACACCTCCTTTTTAAGCTTCCTTGTCATGTTCACATTCCCCTTACATGATCACAGTACACAAATTCAGTAATTTCACCTTCCAGTTTCTACTTTCTCATAATCCCATATTTGTATCTTATTTCCCTTTCTTCTGTTTAATGATTATGTGATATTTTCCCTATCCTTTTATTTTCAACCCTTCTTTTGCTGAATATTAAAAGCATGTTTGGCATAAACAATATGTAGTAAAATATATTGTATTATAAATAAAAGTCCTGCTTTTTTATGCTGCTTAACAATATCTAGCTTTTAAGTGCAGTTTTTATTCCACTTATGTCCAATAACAGTTATTGTTTAGCTGTGTTACATACAGATCTTGCTATCTGTTCTCCTCACTCTTCATCTGCTATCTTTTTCTCCCTTACCTTCCTGTCTTGCTTTGGGTAAGGTAATTTTTAGTTTTTAGTTATTGAAATTCTATTTCATCTTATCTATTTCCTGCCTTTCTCTACATCTTTGTTTTCTGATTACTTGAAATATTATATGTAGACTTAAATTATCACAATGGACCTTTAAATAATAATCTACTCCACAGTGTAAAAACAAATAACAACAGTACAATTCTGTTTATCTCTATCATAGTTTACATTCTTACTATTATTTTACTTTTATGTCTGCTCTGAAACCAAAGGTTTATTATTATTGCTCTAAATAATTTAACTTTTAAAAAATATATATGTTTATGCATACACAGATATTATAAAGATAAAATATATTTTAATATTTACTCATGTACTTAAACTTTTAATGTGTTCTTTTCCTCTTGCTTGACCCTGTTTTGATCGAGAATGTTACTCTTTAACTCAAGAATTGTTAGCTGTTTTTATATTGTAGCTATGCTAGAAATGATTACTTTCAGCTTTGATTTTGCAGAAAATGTCTTTATTTTGTTCTTTATACATAATATTTTTACTGGTATAGAATTTTAGTTGTGCATTTCTGTTTTAGATTATTTTCTTCTTTTTTTCATTTTCTGGAATAGATTTTGCACAGTTGATGTAATTCTTGTTTAAATATTTTGAAGCATCTGGATCTGAAGATTTTGTTTAGGAGATTTTATGTTGTTAATAAGATGGATACTTTTACACAGCATATAGTAGGGACCTATTTTTTCAACCCACTCTGAATCTATGCTTTATAATTGTTATTTTAGGACATTTATAATAAGGTAGTTATTTATCTATTAGTGATTAATTCTGCATTGTATTAATTATTTTCTCTATTTTCTCTGTTTTATCTTGCCTTTCTGTGCATTATGTATCCATTTTTTAGGATTTTATTTTTATTTATTTATTTCTTTATAATGTATTTAGATGTATTACTTTTGATAATTTTCATAGTGGTTACTCTAAATGTTTCCATATATATGTGATTATCAAAGTACTAAAATCAAAATGTACGACTTCAAATAAAATGAGAAAGCCTTACTTCTATTCATCTTTCTTTATCTTCCTTACTTTTAAATATTGTTGTATCAGATGGCGTTACATCTCTGTCTCTAGAAAAAGTAAGAAAAATATAGTCTATTTTATTTACTCACATGTGTATTATTTTTATTTTTCCTAATACTTTAAGATTGTTTTATTTTTCTTTTCCTTTCTGTTTCAAAGAACTTTGTTAAGACATTTCTTAAGGATAGTTACATATTCTGTTTCTTCATGGGATAATGTCTTTATTTTCTCATCATTCCTGAAAAATAGTTTTGCTAAATAAAAATTGATAGCAAATCTTTTTTATTCAACACTTGGAAAATATTATGTCAATTCCTTTGGCCTCCATAGTTTCAGACAAGAAATTCACTGTCATTCAAATAGATTTTTCTCTATAAGTAATGTATCATTACTCTTTGTTGGCTTTCATCGTGTCTCCTTTGCCTGTAGCCTTCAGAAGTTAATTATTATGTGTCTTAAAATATATATTTCTTTAACTTTATTCTATTGGGTTTGGCTCAGCTTCTTTCATATGTAGATTTTTTTTTTTTTTTTTTTTTTTTTTTTTTTGCCAAATTTGGCAAGTCTTAAGCCATTATTTTCTTGAATATTCTTTCAGTCCCATTGTCTTTTTTCTTGCCTTCTTAAATTCTGATATCGAGGTTTGATTTTTGGCTGTTGTTCCTGTTCCGCAGGTCTCTGAGGCTCTGTTGCTTTTTTTTCCCAGTTCATTTTCTCTTTGTTCAGATTTGGTAAACTCTATTGGTTTTTCTTTATGTTTACTGATTTTATCTTTTTATTTTCTCCACTTTACTCCTAAGTCCACCCATCAAATGTCTTTATTAAAACTGTTTTGGCACTGTAGTCCTTTTCAATTGTATACTTTCACTTGCTTTGTTATAACTTCTATTACTTTGCTAGATTTTTCTAACTTTTTATTTATTTTGTGAAAGGAATATATTTTGGGCCCCCGGAAATCACTAAGCTAAAGGGAAATGTCAAGCTGGGAACTGTTTAGGGCAAACCTACCTCCCAGCCTACTCAAAGTTACCCCTCCGTTCACTGAGATAAATCCATATCTGATTGCCTCCCTTGGAGAAGCTAATTAGAAACTCGAAAGAATACAACCATTTATCTCTTATCTATCTATGACCTCGAAGCCCCCTCCCCAGTTCGAGTTGTCTGGCTTTTGCTTTGAGTTGTCCCGCCTTTCCAGACAGAGTCAATGTTCATCTTACATATGTTAATTGATGTCTCGTGTCTCCTAAAAATGTATAAAACCAAGCTGTGCTCTAACCACCTTGGGCACATGTCATCAGGACCTTCCAATGCTGTCACAGGCAGACATCCTCAACTTTGATGAAATAAATAAATTAACTGAGGCCTGTCTCAGATTTTCAGGGTTCATAATTTCAAGAGAATTTGTAATTGCCTACTGAATTGTGTTTATGATGGCTGCTTTAAAATCTTGGTCCGAAAATTCAAGCATTTTAAAAGATCTTGGTGTTAGCATGAGTTGATTGCTTTTGCTCATTCAATTTTGATTTTTCCTAATTCTTATTAATATGGGTGACATTTTTATTTGTATGGTAGATATTTAGTCCATTATGATAGGAGACTTTTGGTTCTACTTAAAGCTTTAGCAGGAAGTCGCCCTGCTTAGGTTTTGCATGTACGTCTTGGCTTTATCTTATGAGTTGTTTTTTCCAATGCCAATGTCATTTTCAGTCTTTGAAGTACTATTTTATCTGCTTTCTTTATCTCATGCTAATGGAGCTCCTAGTTTCCTGTTGGTGCTACTTGAGGGGATAGAAGAATCTTCATTTGGCTGGGCTGTCTGGTGCTACTAGGTGAGAGAAGGCAATCTCTAACCCATGGGGACAAAGAGCACTTCCTTGGCAATATATAGTTGTAGCAGAGTCACTCCTGTGGATGCTTCTGAGCTTTGCTTGGTCTTTGGGTGGGAAAGGAAAGCATCAGACCCAATAGGAAAAGAGAGTATTTCTCCTAGTGGGTTTATTTTATTTTATTTTATTTTATTTTAGACAGCGTCTAGCTCTGTCACCCAGGTTGGAGTGCAATAGCGGGATGTTGTCTTACTGCTACCCCTGCTGTCCAGGCTCAAGTGATACTCTTACTTCAGCCTCCTCAGTAGTTGGGCCTACAAGAACTTGCCACCACACCTGGCTAAATTTTGTATTTTTTGTACAGACAAGGTCTTATCATATTTCCCAGGCTTGTCTCAAACCCCTGAACTCACGCTATCCACCAGTCTCAGCCTCCCAAAGTGTTGAGATTACAGGTGTGAGCCACCGCTAGTGTTCTTTTATTAGGATGTATTCCAATTGATTATTTTTTGACAATTCTGCCTTGCTTGCCTGGTGTTGGCAACTGAATTCCTTCCTGTTTGACCTTGAGTGGGGTGGAAGTGTAGGATGGGGAGAAAGAAATGAGCCTACTTGGTCTACCTTCTTTTGGTAGTTTGGGAGTGAGGAAAGCCAAATCTGGTCAGTTCTTCTGTTGGGTAGAGACTTGTAAGAAACTTGTACTGTGTTTTTTGTTGTTGGTTTTCTTGTTTGTGTGTTTATTTCTTGTCCTGGGATCCCTAACCAATATACCTTCCTTTTGAAACCTTTCTGAGTTCATCTTTGGTTGTCTATGGCCCTGGAAAAACATGTCTGTGACATATTATTTGGATCAGAAGTCTCCATTATTTATTTGTGAGTCTATATTTTGTGTCAAACACTGAGCTAGGCCTATCTCAGCAATATAAGCATGAATGAAACACTTTTCCAAGATCTTGTGGCATTTAAAATTTAATAGGAAACAAATACTAATACATGATTATAATAAAGTGTGAAATATTCTGTGATAATGGTAGTATGAGGTATTGTCAAAATACATAGCATGAACAACTCATCTTTTCACCTGGGATAGTTGAAGATATTCTAGAATAAATGGCGCTAAAAGCAAGAACTAAAGTCAGAAAGTCAGCCAGATAAAATAGGGATTGAAAGAATGTTCCAAGCAGAGGAATGATCATGTGAAAAATTTCGGATGCAATAGATCAAAATAGGTTAAAAATGCAAATAGTAGATTCAAATCATTGAAGTTTATAGTGTGAAAAGAATAGTAGTGGGAGCAGACACTGGATGTCCTTAAAGAACTATGAAGCTAAAGCCAAAGAAAGATTTTAAGAAAGAGAATGATATGTATTTTTCTTTTTCTCTTTCTTTTTTCCATTCTTTCTCTTTCTTTTTGTTTTTTGTTTGTTTGTTTGTTTGTTTGTTTTTTGAGAAAGGGTCTGTCACCCAGGCTGGGGTGCAGTGGCATGATCACAGCTCACTGCAGGCAATCTCTACTTCTGAGGCTCAGATGATCTTCCCACCTCAGCCTCCCAGGTAGCTGGGACTACAGCACATGCCGCCACATCTGGACATATATATATATGACATGAGGAGGTTTCACCATATTGCCCAAGTTGGTCTCAAACCTCCGAGCTCAAGTGATCTGCCTGCCACAGGCTCCCAAAATGCTGGGATTGCAGGCATGAGCCACCACACCACATCTGGTGAAAAGTGTTTTTCTGTATCATTTTGAATGTCCTATCAATTACTGCAACAGGGGATTGGACAGGTACAGATGATAATAGTGTTCCCTTTTTTTGTTTGTTTGTGTTTAATCAGGAAACATAGGTCCTAACAGATAGTAGGAATTATTGAGTTACTTTGTAATACATTTCATCAAAAAACTTTATCATGAAAGGCTGCTTCTACTGAGCCAGAACTTATTCCACACCTTCTTGTAGAAGGTCCATACCATTAACACTTTCAAACACCATTCCTTGTCTGTCTTCCAAAAAAAAGACACCTGACCCAACTCTATTTTTCAACATGATTGATAATCCAGAGCTGGCATTAGAGTTAATGACATAGAGTCACCATAAACACTTAATAATAGCACCATTATAAACACATATAACTAAATATCTAATTTAAATTTAATGAAATTTTTTTATGTTATAAATATTAATGGGCCTGAAGGAAGCATTTTGCTAAATAAAAATGTTAAGTTCAGTAAAATAATACTAAGAACATAAAATTCAATATTTTCAAAAGGCTAACCATTTACTATCAATACTCCTTTTTATTTATGTGGTCAGTGACTAGATTTTTAAGCTTTTGGTCAAGGAAGCATTTTTATGCTCATCTGGAATTAATTGGCCATTAAAGAGTTTATAGACACATCAGTTTCTGTTGAAGCAGGGTGGATCTAAACCAATCTATATTTGTTTAATGGACAGTATACTTGATGTCACACCACTTGATTTTCCAACTATATAAAGGATGAAATCTACAATTTACTACATGTTTTGTTTGGAAGGTGGCAAGAAAGAAGAGAGGCAGAAAGAGGGTAAAAATGATGTTAGGAAACTAGCATTTGTGAGCAGTCATTTCTAATAGTATATTATATAATTTATTTATGATATTAAAACTAATCCTTATATAAAACTTACTCCTAATTTATAGATAAGGAAATATGTCCAGATCACATAGCTCTTCATACATATTGTAGTGAGAGATTTGAACCTACAGTCTAATTAGTTCTAACCTTCTCTTTTTCACTAAAACATATCTTCCCAAAAATATATATTCATATTTTAAAGAAGAGGGGTGTAATTTGATTATTTTTATAATGCATTTCTAAAAGCTGATTAGAATTATATTTCTTCTTGTAGAATAAATGGGATAAGGATAAAGGTATTAAGTAAAAACTTGCTTTTTATATTTATTATTTCTTTCTCCCTTGTATTTTTCAAACTTACATAATGAGAATGTTTATTACTGTGAATGGAATTATAAGGTAGATTAATTGATTGATATGTACTGCAGATTGAGTTCTGTGGCTATGGTTGCCAGCCATTCCAGACAATTCATGCTGTAAATAGGTGATGTAAATCTATGACATTCATGAATCCAATACAGTACTGTAAATGTATGGTATGGTTTGGCTTTGTGTAACCACCTAAATCTCATCTTAAATTGTAATTCCACATGTTGAGAGAGGAACCTCGTGGGAGGTGAATGGATAATGGGAGCAGACATTCCCCTGGCTGTTCTCATGATAGTGAGTGAGTTCTCATGATATCTGATGGTTTAAAAGTGTGCCACATCCCCCCGATATGGTTTTCCAGTGTCCCCACCCAAATCTCATCGTGAATTCCCACATGTTGTAGGAGGGACCCAGTGGGAGGTAATTGAATCATGGGGGCAAGTCTTTCCCATGCTGTTCTCGTGATAGTAAGTCTCACAAAATTTGATGGTTATTATAAGGGAGAGATTTCCCACACAAGCTCTCATTGCTTGCTGCCATCCATGTAAGATGTGACTTGCTCCTTCTTGCATTCTGTCATGATTCTGCGGCTCCCCTACCCACGTGGGGCTGTAAGTCCAATTAGACCTCTTTCTTCTGTAAATTTCCAAGTCTTAGGTATGACTTTATTAACATCGTGAAAACAAACTAATACATTAAATTGGTACCAGGAGTAGGGTGTTGCTAAAACGATACTGAAAATGTGAAAGTGACTTTGTAACCGGGTAGCAGGCAGATGTTGGAACAGTTTGGAGAACTCAGAAAAAGACAGGAAAATGTGGGAAAGTTTGGAACTTTCTAAAGAATAGTTGAATGGCTTTACAAAAATTCTGACAGTCATATGGACAATAAGGTCCAGGCCGAGGTGGTCTCAGATGGAGATGAGAAATTTGTTGAGAACTGGAGCAAAAGTGACTCTTGTTATGTTTTAGCAAAGAGACTGTTAGCATTTTGCCCCTGCCCTAGAGATTTGTGAAACTTTGAACTTGAGAGAGATGATTTAGGATATCTGGCAGAAGAAATGTCTAAGCAGCAAAGCATTTAAGATGTGACTTTGGTGCTGTTAAAGGCATTCAGTTTTAAAAGGGAAGCAGAACGCAAAAGTTCAGAAAATTTGCATCTGGACAATGCAATAGAAAGGAAAGTCTAATTTTCTGAGGAGAAATTCAAGCCAGCTGCAGAAATTTGCATAAGTAATGAGGAGCCAAATGTCAATCCTCAAGACAGTGGGGAAAATGTCTCCAGGGCATGTCAGAGGTACTTACTGCAGCCCGTCCCATCACAAGCCCGGAGGCCTAGGTGAAAAAGGTGGCTACGTGGTCCAGACCCATGGTCCTCATGCTGTGTGCAGCCTAGGGACTTGGTGCCCTATATCCCAGCTGTTCCAGCCATGGCTAAAAGGGGCCAATGGAGAGCTCAGGCCATTGCTTCAGAGGGTGCAAGCCGAAGCCTTGGCTGCTTCCATGTGGTGTTGAGCTTGCAAGTGCATCAGAGTCAATAATTGAGGTTTGGGAACCTCCACCTAGATTTCAGAGGATGTATACAAATGGTTGGTTGTCAAGTTAGAAGTTTGCTGCAGGGGAGGGGCCATCATGGAGAACCTCTGCTAGGGCAGTGCGGAAGGGAGATGTGGGGCCCAAGTCCCCACACAGAGTCCCTACTGGGGCACTGCCTAGTGGAACTATGAGAAGTGGGCCACCATTCTCCAGACCCCAGAGTGATAGATCCATCAACAGCTTGCACTATGTGACTGGAAAAGCTGCAGCCGCTTAACACCAGCCCTTGAAAGGAGCTGGGAGGGATACCAGCCACAGAGGCGGAGCTGCCCAAGACCATGGAAACCCACCTCTTGCATAAGCATGCCCTGGATGGGAGACATTGAGTCAAAGATCATTTTCAAGCTTTAAGATTTGACTGCCCTGCTGGACTTTGGACTTGCATGGGGCCTGTAGCCCCTTTGTTTTGGCCAATTTCTCCCATTTGGAATGGCTGTAATTATCTAATGCCCATACCCCCATTGTATCTAGGAAGTAACCAACTTGCTTTTGATTTTAAAGGCTTATAGGCTGAAGGGACTTGCCTTGTCTCTGATAAGACTTTGAAATGTGAACTTTTGAGTTAAAGCTGAAATGAATTAAGACTTTGGAGAACTGTTGGGAAGGCATGATTTGTTTTAAAATGTGAAGATGTGAGATTTGGGAGAGGCCATGGGTGGAATAATATGGTTTGGCTGTGACTCCACCATAATTTCATCTTTAATTCCCACGTGTTGTGGGAGGCACTTGGCAGGAGGTAATTGAATCATGAGGGCAGGTCTTTCCTGTGCTATTCTTGTGATAGTGAGTAAGTCTCACGAGATCTGATGGTTATTATAAGGGGGAGTTTTCCTGCACAAGCTCTCATTGCTTGCTTCCATCCATCTAAGACGTGACTTGCTTCTCCTGGCCTTCCACCATGATTGTGAGGCTTCCCCAGCCACGTGGAGCTTTAATTCCAATTAAACCTCTTTCTCTTGTAAATTGCCTAATCTTGGGTATGTCTTTATCAGCGGCATGAAAACAGACTAATACATCCCCCCACTTCCTGCTACCATGTAAGACCTGCTTGCCTCCCCTTCATCTTCCACTCTGATTGTAAGTTTCCTGAGGGTTCCTAGCCATGCTTTCTGATAAGACTGAGGAACTGTTGTGAGTCAGTTAAGCCTCTTTATAGATTATCCAGTTTCTGGTAATTCTTTATAGTGGTGTGAAAATGGACTAATGCAATGTATTTTCTGTTTCTTTGATTTTCTTAACATTTTCTTTTGTCTAAGTTACTTTATGGTAATAATACAACATATGGCTGATTGACTTTTTATGTTATTGGTAAGGCTTCTGGGTAAACAATGAATTATTAGGAAAGTTTTGGGAAGTCAAAAGTTATACATGGATTTTCAACTTCATGGGGAGTCATTACCTCTCACCTTCACGTTGTTCAAGAGTCAACTATGTGTCTTAGGTCTTCCCTAGACGCTTAGCCCAGTGTCTGTGGACCTATCTTAATAGCTCTCTCAAATGCTGACTTACAGAATTGGAATATTTCTGTATCATTTAACTCTTCTTTTTCTTTTTTTTTTTTTTTTTTTTTTTTTTTTTTTTTTTTTTTTTGAGACGGAGTCTCGCTCTGTTGCCCAGGCTGGAGTGCAGTGGCGGGATCGCGGCTCACTGCAAGCTCCGCCTCCCGGGTTCACGCCATTCTCCTGCCTCAGCCTCCCAAGTAGCTGGGACTACAGGCGCCCGCCACTACGCCCGGCTAATTTTTTTTGTATTTTTAGTAGAGATGGGGTTTCACCGTTTTAGCCGGGATGGTCTCGATCTCCTGACCTCGTGATCCGCCCACCTCGGCCTCCCAAAGTGCTGGGATTACAGGCGTGAGCCACCGCGCCCGGCCACTCTTCTTTTTCTACTCACCTCATTTTACCTTCCCGTCAGAATTTATAAAATGCCACACTCTTTTCTATTCCACTTTACAATAATAATTATTTCCTAGTAACTTCAGGCAAATCTCAACATAATTTTACCTGCATGTGTGGACATCATTCAGTACCCACAGCATATAATACAAGATAGAATTAAATTTACCTTTAACAACTTTAATTTTCACATGAAAATTGTAAGTTAAGAATGAGAATTGTTATTTTCCAGATGAAGAAACAGATTCAAAGATGAGGCAGAATCATAATTTAAATCTAATTTTGTCTCCATAATCTGGACTCATTCCACTTCACAACAGTCTTGCAGCTATAGATGAGTCTGTCATTTGCCACATCCCAGTACTTGACCCATTTCAGTGGAACAATATAGTACTTAGATGAGCAGTTATTCAGAAAATTACTATAGTCAAAATGATTTTATAAGAAAGAGAGTTAACATCCGAGTGAAGCCAATGATGACATTTTTCTGGTAATATGCAGAATGGACGAAATAATGCTGTACTGAAGTTGGCTTGTACCAGCTGCAAACAGCCATTTTTTAGTATCTCTTTGCAAGTTCTCATTTAGGGATGTTACCCAGATAGCTTGAAATGGGATATGGTGAGATTATTTATACAACAGATATTGGCAAAGGCTGTAAATATTGAAACATTCTTTTGAGAAAGGTGGTTGTTAAACATTGACTGGGATACCATTACCTGAGGGTTTTATTAGGGTAAATTTATAATAGACTAGTGGTCAAATAGATTTAGATTGCAATGCAGTAAAATAAAATACAGAACAACAATGCAGGTAAAAATTATCAAAGTAAAGAATGTACAGAATTATTAATTAACTTTAGGAAATTAAGAAGCTATAAGGAGTCAAAAACACACAGGTATATATTTAGTGATTAGTGCTAACTCATTCAATATTCAGTGACCTATGTGTATGTAAGTTACTCTTACAAGTATAATCCTTATGAGAGGAATATTGATTGAATTATTCCATGTTCACAAGTCAGTTTATGCCATAAACAATGTGTGCTTGGGTGGTGGAACAGCAATGCCCTTAGAGCAGGCAAGAGAGGCTGTGATCAGAGTCTTAGAAAGGGCCACACATTTTACAAATACATGCAAAATAATATGTATATTAAAGTGTATAGCATATTTCTGTCATTAGATAGCCAGGACTCAGTTTATCCAAGAGAAATGCATAATCATAAATATCTTTTCTTCTGGCCAATACCTTAATGCTGGGAAACATTTCTCTATATGTTGTGCCTTATATCCTCAAAATGGGAAGATTTGTGAATTGCACTGCTGTCAATATGGGAGATAGAAACTGCTTTGAAGTGAGGGAAAGATAAAAGGCAATTGATACAGCTAATTTAATTAAATTATGAAACATCTCCTGTAAGATAGCATGAATCCAACAAATCCTTGCACAAAAAAATGTATCATTTCTAAGTACTGCCAAACATTTTTCTTACTTTCTTTGTGATCCAACTACATATGAAACATAGAGATTTACATGTATGCATTAGTTTTGTTTCTATAGGGTATATTTATTTAGGTAAGGGTCTAGATAAGTCATACTTAATAGTTATTAGCTTTATTTATATGTTTTGATTTTTAGATATATTTTTCTCTAATTCTGAGTTCCCCAAATTACAGGGGCAGATATTTGTGGCAATAGAGAGTGGAGGGTTAGGTGTATTTCTAGTAAATACTGTTGTTCTTATTTAAAAGAAAGGCATTAGCCAGAAAGTTATTATTGATTCAAATCATCTCTCTAGAGCAATGTTGGAAGTATTGCTCCATTCCACACTGCTTTCACATTAGAGGAAAAGAATCCTAGTTTCAAGACGTTTCACTGTTTTATTTATTTCCAACTCTTTTATCTCAGTCTTCTACTTTTGCATTTGATTTTTGCAGTAAATACTTACGCAGACTTTTTCTTTCCCATGTGTGTGTATGTGTGTGTGTGTTTGGGTGTGTAACTATACCAGTATCACAGCTTCCTGCTTCCTTTGGATATATCTCTTCTTCCAATCGTTTTAAAATGTAATCTTACTTTTTCAGATGTATTGGGGTATAATTAGCAAATATTATGTATATTTAAGGTGAACAAACTGGTGTTTTGGTATATATATATATATATATATATATATACACATTATAAAACAATAATCACAACAGTGTTAATTATCATATCTGTTATTTCACACAGTTATGTTTCTGTGTGTGTGTGTGTGTTAAGAGTATTTAACGTCTACCATCTAAGCAAATATCAAGTATAGAATACAAACACATTATTACAAACTATGGTCACAATGCTGTATATTAGGTTTCTAGAGCATACTCATTTTATATGTGAAAGTCTATACCTTTATTATTACACATTAAGTTCTGGGGTACATGTGCAGAACGTACAGGTTTGATACATAGTTATGCATGTGCCACAGTGGTTTGCTGAACCCATCAACCCGTCATCTACATCAGGTATTTCTCCTAATGCTATTGCTCCCCTAGACCCCAGCCCCTGACAGGCCACATTGTGTGATGTTTCCCTCCCTGTGTCCATGTGTTCTCATTGTTCAACTCCCACTTATGAGTGAGAACATGCAGCGTTTGTTTTTCTGTTCTTGTGTTAGTTTCCTGAGAATGATGGTTTCCAGCTTCATCCATATCCCTGCAAAGGACATGAACTCATCCTTTTTTTATGGTTGCATAGTATTCCATGGTGTATATGTGCTACATTTTCTTTATCCAGTCTATCGTTGATGGGTATTTTGGTTGGTTCCAAGTCTTTGCCATCGTGAATAGTGTGGCAATAAGCATATGTATGCATGTGTCTTTTTGGTAGAATGATTTATAATCCTTTGGGTAAACAGTAATGGGATTACTAGGTCAAATGGTATTTCTGTTTCTAGATCCTTGAGGAATCATCACACTGTCTTACGCATTGATTGAACTAATTTATACTCCCACCAACAGCATAAAAGCATTCTTATTTCTCCACAAACTCTCCAGCATCTGTTGTTTCCTGACTTTTTAATGATCGCCATTGTAACTGGCGTGAAATGGTATCTCATTGTGGTTTTGATTTGCATTTCGCTGATGACCAGTGATGATGAGCTTTTTTTCATATGTTTGTTGGCTGCATAAAAGTCTTCTTTTGAGAAGTGTCTGTTCATATCCTTCACCCACTTTTCAATAGGGTTGTTTTTTTCTTGTAAATTTGTTTAAGTTCTTCGTAGATTCTGGATGTTAGCCTTTTGTCAGATGGATAGATTGCAAAAATTTTCTCCCATCCTGTAAGTTGCCTGTTCACTCTGATGATAGTTTTTTTTTTTGCTGTGCAGAAGCTCTTTAGTTTAATTAGATCCCATTTGTCAAGTTTGGCTTTTGTTGCCATTGCTTTTGGTGTTTTAGTCAGGAAGTCTTTGCCAATGCCTATGTCCTAAATTGTATTGCCTAGGTTTTCTTTGAGGGTTTTTATGGTTTAGGTTTTACATTTAAGTCTTTAATCCATCTTAATTTTCATATAAGGGGTAAGTAAGAGGTCCAGTTTCAATTTTCTGCATGTGGCTAGTTTTCCCAGCACCATTTATTAAATATGAAATCTTTTCCCATTTGCTTGTTTGTGTCAAGTTTGTCAAAGATCATAAGGTGGTAGATGTGTGGTATTATTTCTGAGGCCTCTGTTCTGTTCCATTGGTCTATATATCTGTTTTGGTACCAGCACCATGCTGTTTTTGTTATTGTAGCCTTGTAGTATAGTTTGAAGTCAGGTTGCATGATGTGTCCAAGCTTTGTTCTTTTTCTTAGGATTGTCTTGGCCATGCATGCTTGTTTTTGGTTCCATATGAAATTTAAAGTATTTTTTTTTTAATTCTGCGGAGAAAGTCCATGGTAGCTTGATGGGGATAGTATTGAATCTGTAAATTACTTTGGGAATTATGGTCATTTTCACAATATTAATTCTTCCTGTCCATGAGCATGGAATGCTTTTCCATTTGTTTGTTTCTTCTCTTATTTCCTTGAGCAGTGGTTTGTAGTTCTCCTTGAAGAGGTCCTTCACATTCCTTGTAAGTTGTATTAATAGGTATTTTATTCTCTTTGTAGCAATTGTGAATGGGAGGTCACTCATGATTTGGCTCTCTGTTTGTCTGTTATTGGTATATAGAAATGCTTGTGATTTTTGCACATTGATTTTGTATCCTGAGACACTGCTGAAGTTGCTTATCAGCTTAAGGAATGTTGGGGCTGAGATGATGGAGTGTTCTAAATATACAATCATATCATCTGCAAAAAGAGACAATTTGACTTCTTCTTTTTCTATTTGAATACCCTTTATTTCTTTCTCTTGCCCGATTGCCCTGGCCAGAACTTACAATACTATGTTGAGTAGAAGTGGTGAGAGAGGGCATCCTTGTCTTGTGTCAGTTTTCAAAGGGAATGCCTCCAGGTTTTCCCAATCAATATGATATTGGCTGAGGGTTTGTCATAAACAGCTCTTATTATTTTGAGATACGTTCCATCAATACCTACTTTATTGAGAATTTTTCGCATGAAGGAGTGTTGAATTTTTTCTAAGACCTTTTCTGCATCTATTGAGATAATCATGTGGTTTTTGTGATTGGTTGTGTTTATGTGATGGATGCATGTATGTTGAGCCAGCCTTGCATCTCAGGGATGAGGCTGACTTGATGGTGGTGGATAAGCTTTTTGATGTGCTGCTGGATTCGGTTTGCTAGTATTTTATTGAGGATTATTGCAAGGATGTTCAACAGGGATATTGGCCTCAAATGTTCTTTTTTTGTTGTGCCTCTGCCAGGTTTTGGTATCAGGATGATGCTGGCCTCATAGAATGAGTTAGGGAGGAGTCCCTCTTTTTCTATTTTTTGGAATAGTTTCAGAAGGAATGGTACCAGCTCCTCTTTGTACATCTGTTAGAATTCGGCTGTGAATCCATCTGGTCCTGGTCTTTTTTTTGGTTGGTAGTATATTAATTACTGCCTCAATTTCATAATTTGTTATTGGTCTATTCAGAGATTTGACATCTTCCTGGTTTAGACTTGGGAGGGTGTGTGTGTCCAGGAATTTCTGCATTTATTCTTGATTTTCCAGTTTATTTGAGTAAAGTTGTTTATAGTATTCTCTGATGGTAGTCTGTATTTCTGTGGGGTCAGTGGTGATATCCTGTTTATCATTTTTTATTACATCTATTTGACTCTTCTTTCTTTTCTTCTTTATTAGTCTGGCCAGTGGTCTATTTTGTTCATCTTTTCAAAAAACCAGCTCCGGGATTCATTGATTTTTGAAGATTTTTTGTGTCTCTATCTCCTTTAGTTCTGGTCTGATCTTAGTTATTTCTTGTCTTCTGCTTGCTTTTGAAGTTATTTGCTCTTGCTTCTCTAGTTCTTTTAATTGTGGTGTTAGAGTGTCAATTTTATATCTTTCCTGCTTTCCCGTGGGGACATTTAGCACTATAAATTTCCCTCTAAACACTGCTTCAAATATGTCCCAGAGATTCTTCTATGTTGTGTCTTTGTTCTCATTGGCTTCAAAGAACATCTTTATTTCTTCCTTAATTTCATAATTTAATCAGCAGTCATTCAGGAACAGGTTGCTCAGTTTCCACGTAGTTGTGTGGTTTTGAGTGAGTTTCTTAGTCCTGAGTTCTAATTTGATTTCACTGTGGTCTGAGAGACTGTTATGATTAATGTTCTTTTGCATTTGCTGAGGAGTGTTTAACTTCCAATTACGTGGTCCATTTTATAATTAGTGCAATGTGGTGCTGAGAATAATGTATTTTCTGTTGATTTGGGGTGGAGAGTTCTGTAGATGTCTATTAGGTTTGCTTGGTCCAGAGCTGAGTTCAAGTTCTAAATATCCTTGTAAATTTTCTGTCTCGTTGATCTGTGAAGTATTGACAGTGGGGTGTTAAAGTCTCCCACTATTATTGTGTGGGAGTCTAAGTCTCTTCGTAGGTCTCTAAGAACTTGCTTTATGAATCTGGGTGCTCCTGTATTGGGTGCATATATATTTAGGATAGTTAGCTCTTCTTGTTGCATTGATACCTTTACCATTATGCAATGCCCTTATTTGTCTCTTTTTATCTTTGTTGGTTTAAAGTCTGTTTTCTCAGAGACTAGGATTGCAACCCCTGCCTTTTTTTTTTTTTTTTTGCTTTCCAGTAGCTTGCACCCACTGTCCAATCAGTCCCAATGAGATAAATCAGGTACCTCAGTTGGAAATGCAGAAATCACCCACCTTCTATGTCAGTCTCACTAGGAGCTGCAGACAGGAGCTCTTTCTATTCTGTCATCTTGCCAGCAATTCAAGCAGTTTATACCTTTTAACCAAAATCTCCCTATTTCCTCCAACCCCCAGCCCATAGCAATCATAATCCTACTCTCTGTTTTTATGATTTCCATTTTACAGATTCCACATATAAGTGAGATCATGTAGTATCTGTCTTTCTATGTCTGGCTTATTTCACTTAGCATAAAATCCGCCAGGTTGATCCATGCTGTTGCACATAAATTTTCTTATTTTTTTGACTGATCAATATTCCATTCATCTATAAATGAACATTAGGTTGTTTTCTTATCTTGGCTCTATGAATAATGCTGCAGTGAATATGAGAGTGCAGATATTTCTTTGACATTCTGCTTTCATATTCTTTGATTATATACTAAGAAATGTAATTTCTGAATTATATGGTAATTCAATTTTTTAGAAAAATTCTTGAGTAACCTCCATAATGTTTTTCGTAATAGCTATGCCAACTTACATTCCCACCAGCAATGTTTAAGGAAGAAAACCCTTTCCTCCACTTCCTTGCCAACACTTGTTTTCTTTTGGCTTTTTGACAAAAGACATCCTAACAGGTGTGAAGTGTTATTGTAATTTTGATATGTGTTTCCCTGATGATTAGTGATGTTGAGCACCTTTTCATGTATGTGTTGGCTATCTATATGTCTTCTTAGAAAAAAAATAAAAAGCCTTTCAGGCATTTGCCTATGTTTTAATCATGTTGCTGTTATTATCATCATCATCACCACCACCACAACCACCATTGAGTTGTATGTTTTTTATAATTTTGGATATTATCCCCTTATCAGACATACAGCTTATGAATATTTCCTCCAATCCTGTGCATTTTCTCTTCACTCTGTTTATTATTTCCTTTGTTGTGCTAGTTTTCAATTTGATTTAGTCTTACTTGCTTGTTTTTGCTTTTGTTGTCTGTGATTTTAGTGTCATATCCAAAAATTATTGCAATGAAAAATGTCATGGATCTTTTCCCCTATGTTTACTTTTAAAGGTTTTATGGTTTCATATTCTATGTTTCAGTCTTTAACACATTTTGAGATGGTTTTTGTTTATGGTGTAAGATACAAATACAAATTTTTTTGTTTTGGTTTCTTTTTTACCTATGTGGATATCTAGTTTTTTTTTTTTAACAGTAATTATTAAAGAGACTAACTTTTCCCCATGGTGCACTCTACATTGCTTTGTCAAAGGTTACTTAACTCTATATATGTGTCAGTTTATTTCTGTGCTTTCTCTTCTGTTCATTGGTCTATGTGTCTGTTTATACACCCATAACATACTGCTTTGATTACTGTAGCTTTATAATATAATTTAAAAATCAAGCACTGTGATGTTTCCAACTTTGCTACTCTTGATCAAGATTACTTTAGCTATTCTCGATTTTTGGTAGTTTCTATTATAGAATTGCGTTTTCAATTTCTGTGAACAGTATCATGGAGATTTTGATAGGCATTTCATTGAATCTTATTATTTTAAGTAATGTAGACAATTTGATAATATTCATTTCTCCAATCCATGAACATGGGGAATATTCTCATTTTTTGTCTTCATTTTGTTTCATTAATGTTTTATCATGTTAATTATACAGAATATTCACCATTTTTGTTAAATTTGTTACTAAGTATTTTACCCTTTTTGATAATATTGTGAATGGAGCTATATTCCATTAAGCCTAATGTTAGCTGTGGACTTGTCATACATATACGGCCTTTATTTCATTGAGGTATATGTTTTCTGTATCTAATTTGTTGAAAGTTGTTAATTATGGATAAAATGCTGAATTATGTCAAATGTTTTTTTTTCTGTATTTTTGAGATTATCATATGGTTTGATCTTTCATTCTGTTAATGGGGAGAATCAATCACATTTATTGATTTAATATGCTGAACCATTCTTGCATCATGGGAATAAACATCACTTGATCATGATGTAGGATCCTGTTAATGTGCTGTTTAATTATGTTTATTACTTGCATCTATGATCACAAAAAAAATGGTTTGTATATTTTTTTTCTTGTGGCCTTGTCTGCCTTTGGTATCAGTGTAATGCTGGCCTCACAAAATGAGTTTGGAAGGGTCACCTCCTATTCAAGTTTTTGAAAAAGTTTGAAAGGATTGGAAGTAATTCTTCTTTAAATATTTGGTAGAATTTACCAGGAAAGCCATCAAATCCTGTGCTTTTATTTGATGGAAATTTTTTTATTATTGCTTTAAGGCCCATTAATGGTGTGTTCATTATTGGTCTGTTCAAATTTTTTCTTTCTTTCCAATTCAGTCTTGGTAGTTTGGATGTTTCTAAGAATTTATCTTTTTTTCTGAGATTATCCAATTTATTGACATATAATTGACCATAGTAATTTACTTTGTGTTTGTGTATTACCAGTTGGAATGTATCCCAGTTTATATCTACTTTTTAAAATTGTCTTCTTTCTCTTTTTTTAGTCTACTTAAAAGTTTGTCAATTTTGTTTATCTTTTCAAAAAATAAGCAATTCAGTTTTGTTTATCTTTTTTGTTGTTTTTCTAGTATCCATTTCATTTATTTATGCTCTGCTTATTATTTTCATTTTTCCACCAACATTGACTTTAGTTTGTTCATTTTGTTTCTAGTTTCTTCAGGTGCAGAGTAAGTATTTTTTACTTAAAATTTTATTTTTCTTTATGTAAGTGTTTATTACTATAAATGTCTCTCCCAGAACTGCTTTTGCTGTATTTTATATTTTGGTATATTGTGTTTCCATTTTTATTTGTCCAGAGATACATTTTATTTTTTGATTTCTTCTTTGACCCATTAGTTATTTCAGAGCATGTTGTTTAATTTCCATGTATTTGAAAAGTGTCCAGGTTTCCTCATTATTGATTTTTAGTTTCATACCATTATGGTCAGAGAATATGCTTGATATTATTTCATCCTTCTAAAGTCTGCTAAGATTTGTTTTGTGGCCTAACATATGATCTATCCTAAAGAATGTTCCATGTGCTCTTCAGAAAATGTGCATTCTGCTGCTGTTCAGTGTGCTATCTGTATATGTCTGATCGGTCCATTTGGTCTGAAGTGTAGTTCACATCCAATGTTTCCTGGTTGATTTTCTGTCTGGAAGATACACCTATTGTTGAAAATTAGATATTGAAGTCTCCAACTATCTATTTCTTCCTGCAGATCTGTTAATATTGATGTTATTATTTAGGTGCTCTGAGATATACATAATTGCTCAGAGCTCCTAAACTTATTTATATTTCTATATTTAAGTGCTATGAGATATATAAATAGATAGGGAGTTATAGATCTATCTATGTGTCTATGTATATGTGTGTGTATATAGATAGATATACATCAGAGCACCTAAATATAGATATCTATCTATACACATACATATATGTCTGATATATATTTATGTATAGATATAGATAGATATATAGAGAGAATTATACATAGATATATAGATTTCTCTTTCTCTCTCTCTCTCCCTCTCTCTCTTTCTCTCTCTCTCTCTCTCTATATATATATATATATTTATATATTTCATTTCATTTCCGATCTTTTAAATTTGAGTCTTCTCTCCCTTTACCTTAGTCTACTTAAAGGTTAGTCAATTTTGTTTATCTTGTTAAAAGAGAAGCAATTCAGTTTTGTTAATCTTTTTGCTGTTTTTATATAAATTATATATGGATATTACATATACATTTATATGTAAATAAATTATGCTTACACATAATATACATTTTATATGCACGTATACATATAAAAGGATATATATATGGATATATATAGAAAGAAAGAATGAAGAGGGAGAAAGAGAGGGAGGCAGAGAGAGGGAGAATTGTTAAAACCTCTTGATGATTTACTCTCTAGTCACTATATAATAACTTCATTCATCTCTTTACTGTTTTAGACTAAAGTTTATTTTTCTGATATAAGCATAGTAACCCCTGCTGTCTTGGTTAAATTATGCATGAAATGTCTATTTCTAGTCCTTCTCTTTCAATCTAGATGAGTTTATAAAGATGACATAAATCTCTTGTCTGCAGCATATAATGGGGGCTTGTTTTTCTCTATTTTTAATCCATCTATCCACTCTGTCTTTTTATTGGAGACATTAGTCTATTTACATTTATAATATTGTTAGATAAGGATTAACTATTGTCACTTTGTTTCTTAGCTGTTTTGTAGATCCTTTGTTCCTTTCTTCCTGTTATCATATGTGATTTGATTATTTTCTATAATGGTATGCTTTGATTATTTCCTCTTTATCCTTTATGTAGCTACTATGAGTTTTTGCTTTTTATATATTATGAGGTTTACAGAAAGTATTTTTTAATTATAAGGCTCTGTTAAGTTGATAACAAATAAAATTAGCTTGCATACAAAAATTCTATACTTTAACTTCCTCTACATATTTGATATTTTTAATGTTACAATTTATATTTTTAAATTGTGTAACCTTTAAAAATTATAGTTATAGTTATTTTAATATTTCCTATTTTAAGCTTTATGCTTAAGTTCTAAGTAATTTATACACCTCCTTGGTAGTTTTGGAGTATTGTGAATTTGATTATTAATTTATCTTTACAAGTATTTTTTATGTTACTAATTAGTGTCCTTTTGTTTTGGCTTGAATAAATTCCTTTTTTACTATTTGAAAGGCAGGCCTATTCATGAGCAAGTCCTTCAACCTTTGTTTGTCTGGATAAGTCTTATCTCTTCTATTTCTAAAGGAAACTTTTTTTTGCCTAAAATATTGGGTGATGGTTTTTATTTTGGGGAGGGTTTTCTCAGCACTTAGAATATATTATCCCACCCTAATCTGGACAGTAAGGTACTTTGCTAAGAAATCTTACAAGAATACCTTTGTGTATTCTTTTCTCTGATGCTTTAAAATTTTTTCTGTCTTTGATTTTGGAAAGTTTGTAATGTGTCTTGGTAAAGCCTCCTTTGAGTTAAGCTGTTCATAGTTACTTGAGCTTCATTAAGAGGGTTGTACCCGTCTCCAGATTTGGGAAGTTTTCAGCTGTCATTTATTTAAATAAAACTTTCTTCCTCCCACCTACTTATTCTTTCTGAAATTTCCAAAATGTAAAAATTAGTTCTCTTGGTGGTGTCTCACAAATCCCATATTTATTCTTTATTTATTTTTATTTTTTGCTTCTGACTGTGTATTTTTGAACAATCTGTAACAGATTTCACAGAATTTTTTTTTTTTTGGTTTACCAAGTCCATTACTTATATGCGCTATAGCGTTTTTAATATTTTTTATTCTTCAGCTCCAGAATTTGCTTGGATTTTTTTCTTAAAAATAATTTATATCTCTTTATTGAATCTCTCCTTCTGTTTATGTATTTTCTGGTTCTTTTAATTGTTTATCTGTTTTTTATTTGTTTGTTTTCTTTTCTGTAATTCACTGAGCTTCCTTAACATAATCGTTTTAATTTTTTCCCAGGAAATTTTTAGATACCCAATTCTTTGGGAGAAATTACTGGAATGTTATTGAGTTTCCTTGGTGGTGTCATGCTGCCTTGATTTTTTTGTTTTCCTTGAAATCTTACACTGCTGTCTTCACGTTTGAAGAAGCAGTTTTTACTGACTGGCTATTGGAAAGAAACATCTTCACCAATTAGCACAGCTGATGATTCTGCGGCTCTCTCAGACTTTTCCTCTGTTTCCTGTTGTATTAGTCTCTTCTTGCAATGCTGTGAGTAACTGCCTAAGACTGGGTAATTTATGAACAAAAATGATTTAATTGATTCATAGTTGTGCAAGCTGTATGTCGCAGGTGTCCATGTGAAGAGATCACCAAACAGGCTTTGTGTGAGCAATAAATATTTTTAATCACCTAGGTGCAGGTGGGCTGAGTCTGAAAGGATTTAGGATCTATGGGGTCAGTGAAGGGAGATGGGGTAGGGCCATTTTATAGGATTTGGGTAGGTAGTGGAAAATTACACTCAAAGGGGGTTGTTCTCTGGCAGACAGGGGCAGGAGTCACAAGGTGCTCAGTGGGGGAGCTTCTGAGCCAGAAGAAGCAATTTCACAGGGTAATGTCATCAGTTAAGGTAGGAACTGGCCATTTTCACTTCTTCTGTGATTCTTCACTTGCTTCAGGCCATCTAGATGTATATGTGCAGGCTTGGGCACAGAGGCCTGACATTCCTGTCTTTTTATATTAATAAGAAAAATAACATAAAATAGTATTGAAGTGTTGAGGCAGCGAAAAATTTTTTGGGGGTGGTATGGAGAGATAATGGGCGATGTTTCTCAGGGCTGCTTCGAGTGGGATTAGGGGCCATATGGGAACTTAGAGTGGCAGAGATTAAGCTGAAGGAAGATTTTGTGGCAAGGGGTGATATTGTGGGGTTGTTAGAAGAAACATTTGTCATATAGAATGATTGGTGATGGCCTGGATACGGTTTTGTATGAATTGAGAAATTAAACAGAAGACACAAGGTCTGAATAAGAGAAGGAGAAAAACAGGTATTAAAGGACTAAGAATTGGGAGGATCCAGGATATCCAATTAGGGAGTGTCTAAGGGGGTTCAGCATAATTACTTGCTTGGTTGGCAAGTTTTTAGGCTCTATCCTTGAGTTTTTTTTTATGTTGTCATATACCAGGCCAGATTGATTTAGGTAAAAACAACACTTTTCATTTAAAAATACACAGAGTCCCCTTTTCTTTAGCAGTGAGTAAGTCGAGGCCTTGGCAATTTTGGAGAAAAGAGAAATGCAAAGCCAGAAAATGTTTATTAAAGAATGACTAGAAACAGCTAGGAGACAGCGAGTGGCATTGATAGTGTGGTGGAGATAGCTGGGGAGAGGTACAGGGTGGCATAAGAATGGGAATGAGAATAAGACTGAGTATGAAAGTAAAGAATAGGACTTCATCAGGGTGAAAGTATTGGAGTGTACCCTGTCAGCAAAGATCATCTATCTACTCTAAGAGGGAGTGAAGATTGGTGGTTTGGGGATAGCACCAGAAGATATTAACTGTGATAGCTTGGAGAAACAGTGTAAACTGGCAGCATAAACAAGGGCAGGGCATTTATGAGTAGTTGAGAACAGTGAATAGGAATATGACTAGATGGAAGATAGTAGGGATGACAAGTTTTGGGGGCACAGTTCAAGTTGGGCTGGTGTCTGGAATGAGACTGGGGCCTAATGAAAAGGAGCGTTCATACAGGAGCTCAAATGGGCTGTACCTGGTAGTATCCCGAGGACAGGCCCAAATTCTGAGAAGGGAAAGTGGTAAAAGTATTGTCCAGTCCTTTTTAAGTTGCAGACTGAGCTTGGTGAGGTGTGTTTTTAAAAGAACATTAGTCCGTTTTACCTTTCCTGAAGATTGAGGACAGTAAGAAGTATGAAGGTTCCACTGAATACCAAGAGCCTGAGAAACTGCTTGGGTGATTTGACTAGTAAAGGCCTGTCTGTCATCAGACTCTATAGAGGTGGGAAGGCCAAAACGAGGAATTATGTCTGACAGAAGGTAAGAAATGACCATGGGCCACCATTCTCAGATCCTGTGGGAAAAGCCTTTACCTATCCAGTGAAAGTGTCTACCCAGACCAAGAGATATTTTAGTTTCCTGACTTGGGGCATGTGTGTAAAGTAAAGTTGCCAGTCCTGGGCAGGGGAAATCCCCGAGCTTGATGTATAGGGAAGGGAGGGGGCCTGAACAATCCCTGAGGAGTAGTAGAATAGCAGATGGAACACTGAGAAGTTATTTCCTTGAGGATAGATTTCCACAATGGAAAGGAAATGAGACGTTCTAAGAGGCGGGCTAGCTGCTTATAACCTACATGGAAGAGGTTATGGAATGATGACAGAATAGAATGGGCCTGTGAGGCTGGAAGGAGATATTTTCCTTGGTTCGAGAACCATTTGCCTTGTGTGGGAAGAGATTGATGGTGGAAGTTTCAGTGGGGAAGTAGGTGGGAGTGACCTATGAGAAGGAGAAAAACTGGCCATGAGGGGCAGAAGTTGGAATGCTAACTGCTTTTTTGGCTACCTTATCAGCATAAGCGTTGCCCTGAGCAATGGGATCTGATGCCTTTTGATGGCCTTTGCAGTGAATGACTCCAGCTTCCTTTGGAAGTGAAGCGGCCTTGAGAAGAGTTTTTATTAAAGAGGCATTAATGAAGGAGGACTCTTGCATAGTGAGGAAACCTCTTTCAGCCTATATAACAGCATGGTGCTGCAGGATATGGGAGGCGTCTTTAGAGTAAGTATAAATATTGATGTGTAGTCCCTTTGCAAAAATGAGGGCCCAAGTTAAGGAAATGAGTTCGGCTTGCTGAGAGGTAGTGGAGGGGAGCAGAGTAGTAGCCTCAATGATAGATGTGGAAGATACTGTAGCATAACCTGCCTTTGCTGGTGAGTGAGATTAGGCCTGGAGAAGGAAATATGGGGAAATGGAGTAAATGCCAGGTGGATCAGAGGGATACAGTCATGGGGGTCAAGTGTGGTATCCAGAATATTGTAGGAGGCCGGATTGAAGTCCAGGCCAGGAACAATGGTAATTGTGGGGGACTCAACAAACAGTAAGTATAGCTGAAGGAGCCGGGGAGCAGAAAGTATATGCATCAGGTGTGAGGAAGAAAATAGATTTTGTAAGTTATGAGAACTGTAGAAAGTGAGTTGAGAATAGTTTGTGATTTTGAGGGTCTCTAAAAGTATTAGGGTGGTGGCAGCTGCCGCATGGTGCAGCTGCCGCATGGAGACATGACGGCCAGCCTAAAATAGTAAAGTCAAGTTGTTTGGACAAAAAGGCTACAGGGCATGGTTCCAGCCCTTGTGTAAGAATTCTGACTGCACAGCCCTGCACTTTGGCTGTGTGTAATGAAAAGGGTTGGGATAAGTCAGGGAGAGTTATTGTGGGAGCAGTCTCTAAAGCTGTCTTCAAGGAATGGAAAGAGAAATGGGAAAAGGATTTAGGATCTATGGGGTCAGCTAGATTTCCTTTTGTGAGCTTATATAATGGTATTGTTAGGATGGCAAAACCGGGTATCCAAAGGCCAAAGTATCCAACCATGCCCAGGAAGGAAAGGAGTTGTTTTGTAGAAGGGGTTGGGGTTTGGGAGATTAGCCAGAACTTGATCAGCAGGGAGAGCATGTGTGTTTTCATGAAGAATTATTCTGAGATAACTAACAGATGAAGAAGAAATTTCGGCTTGACTGAAGTAATGGGGGCTGTCTGTGAAGCCTTGAGGCAGTACAGCCCAAGTAATTTGCTGAGCCTGATGGGTGTCAGGGTCAGTCTAAGTGAAAGCAAAGAGAGTCTGGGATGAAGGGTGCAAAGGAATAGTAAAGAAAGCATGTTTGCGTTGCAGAACAGAATAATGGGTTGTGGAGGGAGGTATTGAGGATAGGAGAGTATGTGGGTTTGGCACCATGGGGTGGATAGGCAAAGCAATTTTGTTGATAAGGTGCAAATCCTGAAGTAACTTGTAAGACTTGTCCAGTTTTTTGACAGGTAAAATGGGGAATAGTAAGGAGAGTTTATAGGCTTTAAAAAGCCATGCTGTAACAGGCAAGTGATAACGGGCTTTAATCCTTTTAAAGCATGCTGTGGGATAGAATATTGGCATTGAGAGGGGTAAGGGTGATTAGGTTTTAATGGTATGAAAAGGGGTGCATGATCAGTCACTAAGGTGGAAGTAGAGGTGTCTCATACTTGTGGATTAAGGTGGGGAGATACAAGGGGAGGATGAGAAGGAGGCTTTGAACTGGGGAAAAGGGCAGGAATGAGGTGTGGCTGTAGCCTAGGAATAGTCAGGGAAGCAGATAATTTACTTAAAATGTCTCGACATAATAAGGGAGCTGGGCAGGTGAGGGTAACTAAAAAGGAGTGCGTAAGTTGGCATCAGTGTTGGGGAGTTTTAAGAGGTGTAGAAGCCTGGTCATCAATAACTACAACAGTTATGGAGGCAAGGGAAACAGGTCCTTGGAGAGAAGGTAATATGGAGTGGGTAGCCTCCCTGTTAAGAAGAGGACAGACTTACCCTCCAGTGTAAGAGTTACGGAAAGCATCTGTGATGGTCCAGGAGGTTTCTGAGGTGATCAGGCAGCGTCAGTCTTCAGCCTCTAAGCCGAGAAGATCTGGGAAGGAGTCACTCAGAGAACCTTGGGCCAGAGTTCCAGGAGCTCTGGGAGTGGCTGCCGGGCAAGTTGGGCAGTCCGATTTCCAGTGGGGTCCCATACAGATGGACACAGCTTAGGAGGAATCCCAGGCTGCGGGCATTCCTTGGCTCAGTGGCCAGATTTCTGGCACTTGAAGCAAGGGCCTGATGGAGGAGGTCCTGTAGGAATGCTTGACTGCTGCAGCTTAGGCATGTGTGGCTTGGGCATTTTGAAGTTCTTATGTGCTGGAGATGTGGCTGGGGTTTCTCTCACAGTGGAGGCAAGTAATTGTAACCCTTCTCTATTATTGTACACCTTGAAAGCAAGGTTAATTAAGTCCTGTTGTGGGGTCTGAGGGCCAGAATTTAATTTTTGTAGTTTTATTTAATGTTTGGAGCAGATTGGGTAATAAAATGCATATTGAAAATAAGATGGCCTTCTGACCTTTTAGGGTCTAGGGCTGTAAAGTGCCTAAGGGTTGCTGCCAAATGATCCATGAAAGGGGCTCGGTTTTTACATTTGATGAAAAAGAGTTTAAATGCTAACTGATTTGGGAGAGGTCAGATAAAGAAAAAGGAGCATTAACCTTGACTATGCCTTTAGCTCCAGCCACCTTTAAGAGGAAATTGTTGGGCAGGTGGGGGAGAGCTAGTTGTAGAATGAAACCGTAAGCTGGACTGGGTGTGAGGAGGGGAGGTGATAGAAGGATTGTAGAGTGGGGGAGAATTATAGGCTCAGGAAGAATTGGAGCCTGATTCAGCCTGGCAGGGACTGACCTGAGGAACAGTCTGGGGAGGAGGGGAAAGGTCAGATGCGTTGGTAGAAAAGGAAGACTGAAAAGACTCAGCGATGCTTGGGGTTGGGACTGAGGGGACAGGCAGAAGGGAAAGAAGGAAGATTTGGGATAAGTTTCACTGGGAACAGAAACTAGGGAGGTACTGGTGTGTAAAAGAATGCCTGGATGTCAGGCACCTCAGACGATTTACCCATTTTACGACAAGAATTATCTAGATCTTGTAGGATGGAGAAATCAAAACTGCTGTTTTTTGGCTATTTGGAACCACTGTCGAGTTTGTATTGGGGTCAAGTGGTATTGCAGAAGAAAATAAGGTGTTTAGGTTTTAGGTCACATGTGAGTTGAAGAGGTTTTAAGTTCTTGAGAACACAGGCTAAGGGAGAAGAAGGAGGAATGGAGGGTGGAAGGTTGCCTATAGTGAAGGAGGTAAGCCCAGATAAAAGAGAGGGTAGAGACTCGGAGATAATTGGTGGGGGGTGCTTGTCCCCAGGAAAGTGGTGCTTGCCACCACGGGTGAAGGATCAAGGCAGGCGTCCCTCTGATCAGACACCTCTGAAACGTCAGAGGTCATCAGTTAAAGCAGGAACTGGCCATTTTCACTTCTTTTGTGATTCTTCACTTACTTCAAGCCATCTGGATGTATTCATGGAGGTCACAGGGTATATGATGACTTAGCTTGGGCTCAGAGGCCTGACATTCCTGTCTTCTTATATAAATAAGAAAAATAACATTAAATAGTATTGAAGTGTTGGGGCAGCGAAAATTTTTTTGGGGGTGGTATGGAGAGATAATGGGTGATGTTTCTCAGGGTTGCTTCCAGTGGGATTAGGGGTGGCAATGGGAACCTAGAGTGAGAGAGATCAAGCTGAAGGAAATTTTTGTTGTAAGAGGTGATATGGTGGGGTTGTTAGAAGGAGCATTTGTTGTATAGAATGATTGGTGTTGTCCTGGATATGGTTTTGCATGAATTGAGAAACTAAATGGAAGACACAGGGTCTGAATAAGAGAAGGAGAAAAGAGGTATTAAAGGACTAAGAATTGGGAGGACCCAGGACATCCAATTAGAGAGTGCCCAAGAGGGTTCACTGTAATTACTTTTTCACCTGTGGAATTTGCATTTTGATTGTGGTGCTAAATGGCTGAGAAGTTAAGAAACACTTTGACAATTTCACTTGGCTGAGTGGACAAAACTTGGAATTTAGAGTTTGACCAGGAGAAGAAGCTATGTTAATAATGGAGTATATTTGGATAGGTCCCTGAAAGGCAACATAGAGTAAAGAAGTCATAAAAGTAAAGAAGTCACTTTGAATCTTGTCAATTCATGACTGAATTAATGTGATCCAATCCAAGCCTATCTGTCTTATGGGATAAAAAGATAAATACTTTTGGGGGAAGTTAACACCATCCAGAGAATTAAATTTTCTTTACAGTATTTCTATTGCAATGTCTACAATGCAATTTAAAAAATAATGAAGCATACAAGGAAGCGAGGGCTGATGAGATATTAATAGAAAAAATAAAAGAAACAATGAAAACAGACCTATAAGAGATCAAATAGTAATCACACATTTGACTTTTAAAAAGGTGTTATTAATAATAGGATAAAAAATGGCACATAACTAAAAAAATGAAAAAGAATTAAATGGAAATAAAGGGTTTAATAGTGGATAAGAGGAAGCTGAAGGAGTAATTGCTAACCTGTAATATGGGTCAGAAGAAAATTGCCTGACTGAAGCAAATATATAAAATAATAGAAAGTTAGAAGAATAAGACATATAAGTATGCTGAACAGGAAAAACGGTGCATAATTGGTGCCCAAGGAAAAGAAGAATAAGTAGAGAAGAACAAATATTTCAGATGATAATGATTGAGATATTTTTAAAACTGATGATATCTAGCCACAGATTCAAGAGAATCTTTGATCTTCAAGTAGAATAAATACAAAACAAAAACAATTTTAAAAATATACATATATAATTGTAAAGTCTAAAAACCAAAGGCAAAGAGAAAATTTTAAAAGCATTTATTCAAAAAGGCATACTGATTTCAAAGAGTGACAGCTGACTTCATAACACAAACAATAGAATGTAGGCAGTACTTATTTAGGTAGATTTACTTTAAAATAATATAATAACACTATGTAAGGGATGAAAAATGATTTTTTTCTCATTCTTTGCCTGATTATTGCTGAGGCTCGTATAATAAAAGACAGATTAATAAGACAATAATGTACATGTTTATTTAATATAAGTTTTATGTGACTTGGAAACCTTCACAGACTCAAAGAAACAATAAAACCTTTGTATTTTTATGCTGTTTCATAAATAAGTGTGTAATTGTGAGGAAATATGATTGAACAAAAAGGTTGTGATATAATCTAACAAACTAGAGGAAGTTTACCTGGTTGTACAAAATTTACTCTGTGTCCCTGTGTCTTCAGAGATAAGGACATTTTTTCTCTTTTGAGTATAGGGAGGGTATCTGTGACATGACAGTCTTGTGACTTACATGCAGGCTTGGGCTCAGAGGCCTAACACTGTAAAGTACACATGGCAGAGGAGGCCTCAGGAAACTCACAAACATGGTGAAAGGCAAAGGGAAAGCAGGCACATCTTCATATGGTGAAGCGAGAGAGAGAGAGAGCAAAGGGAGAAAGTGCTACACACTTTTAAACAATCAGATCTCATCAGAACTCACTCACTACCATGAGAACAGCAAGGGGGATGTCTGGCCCATGATTCAATCACCTGTCGCCAGGCTCCTCCTCCAACATTGAGGATTACAATTCTAAATGAGATTTAGGTGGGGACACAAAGCCAAACGATATTATTCTACCCCTGGCCCCCCCGAAATCTCATGTTCTTCTCACATTTCAAAACACAATCATGCCTTCCCAACAGCCCCTAAAAGTTTTAACTCATTCCAGCTTAACTCAAAAGTCCAAGTTCAAGGTCTCATCTGAGACAAGGCAAGTCCCTTATGCCTACTTGCCTGTAAAATAAAACACAAGTTAATTGCCTCCAAGGTATAATGGGGTTACAGGAGTTGGGTAAATTGGCTAAAAAAGGAGGCCACAGGCCCCATGCAAATCCAAGGGCAGTCATTAAATATTAAAGCTCCAAAATAATCTTCTTTGACTCCATGTCTCACATCCAGGCCACACTGATGCAAAAGGTGGGCTTCCAAGGTATTGGGCATCTCCACCCCTGTGGCTCTTTGGGGTTCAGTCCCCACAGCTGCTTTCAAGGGCTGTTATTGAGTGCCTGCAGCTTTTCCATGCACATGGCGCAAGCTGTCAATGGACCTACCTTTCTGGGACCTGAAGGATGGTTGCTGTTTTCTTACAGCTCCATTAGGCAGTGTCCCAGTGGAGACTGTGTGGAGGCTCCAACCCCACATTTCCCTTCTTCACTGCCCTGATAAAGACTCTCTAAGTGGGCTCTGTTCCTGCAGCAGACATTTTCCTGGACATCCAGGGATTTCCATACATCCTTTTTAAGGTAGAGGCTCCCAAAACTCACTTCTCACACTCTGCACACCCACAGGCTTTAAACCACACGGAAGCTGTCAAGGCTTATGGCTTGTATGCTCTGACGCAACAGGCCAAGCTATACCTTGGGCCCTTTTAGCAGTGGCTGAAGCTTGAGCAGTTGCAATGCAGGATGACATGTCTTGAGGCTGCACAAAGTAGTGGGACCTTGGGTCTGGCCCACAAAACCATTCTTCCCTCCTAGACCTCCTGGTATGTAATGGGAGAGGCTGCTGCAAAGTTCTCTGAAATACTTTGAAGGCATTTTCTCCTTTATCTTGGCTATCAACATTTGGCTCCTCTTTACATATGCAAATTTCTACAGCTAGCTTGAATTTCTCTCCAGAAAATGAGTTTTTCTTTTTTACTACGTGCTCAGGCTGTAAATTTTCCAAACTTTTACACTCTGCTTCCCTTTTATATATAAGTTTCAGTTTCAGATCATGTCTTTGCTCATGCATAACAAAAGTGACCTTAGCTTCAGTTCTTAATAAGTTCCTCATCTCCATCTGATACCACCTCAGCCTGGACTTCATTGTTTGTATCACTATCAGCAGTTTAGTAAAAACCATTCAACCACTCTCTAGGAAGCTCCAAACTTTCTCTCATCTTTCTTTTTCTGAACCCTCCCCAATCTTACAACCTCTGCCCATTATGCAGTTACAAAGTCGCTATCAACATTTTCAATTGTCTTTATAGCAATGCCCCAATTCTATGGTAACAATTTTCTGTTGGTTTGTCCTCTCTTTGCTTTAAAAAACTTAGCAATGACTCACTTCTATGGTAACAATTTTCTATTGGTCTGTCTTCTCATTGCTTTAAAAAACTATCTGAGACTGGGTAATTTATGAAGAAAAAAATTTAATTAACAGTTCCACCAGCTACACAGGAAGTATAGCTGGGAGACCTCAGAAAACTTACAATTATGGCAGAAAGTGAAGGGGAAGCAGGCACATGGTCACGTGCGGAGCCGGAGAGATAGAGCTAATGAGGAAGTGCTACACACTTTTAAACAACCAGATCTTGTGAGAACTCACTCACTGTCATGAGAAAAGCAAGAGGGTAGTCTGCCCCATGACCCAATCATCTCTTACCATGCCCCTCCTCCAACATTAAAGATTACAATTTGATATGCAATTTGAGTGGGGACACAGAACCAAACCATACCACCTGAAAATGCATCTCTCCATACTTCTTGTTTCCTCTTGGGGGAAAGTTATAAAAATTGTATGCTTTCTCTTGTTCCCACAAAGCAAGACCAGGTGGCAAGAGCCTTCTGTTTGTTTTCCCTAAGGTGAAGTACTGAAATGCTCAAGTTTTGTACCGTCTTTTAGTCTTTCAGAATTGGGCTGGATATCTAAGACACTTGCATTTCCTGTTGATGAAGATGTGCTCAAAGAGCTGACTTGGGGAGACAGGACAAGGTTCACAGAGAATTTGGGGTGCTCATGGGTCATTTGGGGTAGTCCACAGGTGAGGAGTTCAAAGTGGCTTGTGTGTGCGATTCCTGATTGAGTTCATGAAACAGTTAATGGAGTCTGTGGCTTTTCTTTCCTGCTCTCAACCTCTCCCAACTACTTAGCAATGTTGATCATCTAAATATCCTGGGTGGGACTAGAAGAAAGTAGGTTTCTTTGCAGCATTAAACAGAGCTGGATGGAGAAGTTTCTGCAAACTGTTAAAGCAAAAAAAAAAAAAAAAAAAAAAAAAAAAAAAAAAAAAAAAGTAAAATAGATGCATTGAAGATGGTGGGAATAGTTTTATTTTACTCATGTACCCATGCAGCACAGGTCAGTACCAAGAGAGACCCCTATGGCTTATGACCTCCAGAGGGAAAGTGAAAGTGAAGTGAGTGAACACTGTGATGATTTAACTCTGGAAATATCTCTTTTGATTCAAAATATACTTTATCAATGAAAGCAAGTTCCACCTTACCCTAGAGCATTTATCTGAATATCAAAACATCTTCAAGTTCTTTAAATTATCTTAATGAGTAATAATATTTATTTACTTAATTTGTTTATGTATTTATTTAGCAAATATTTACAGAGTACCTACTTCATGTCAGCTACTTTCTGGGCAGTAAATTATATTTTTCCTACATAAAACTAAGGATTTAATGACTATTCTCACAAATATTTCTCCACCAGACAAACCTTTCCTGATACTAAAACTATATGAGTAGTATACATTTGTAGCATCATATACTTTTTATTTAATTAATCACTATTGCAATTTAATAACTACTGGTTTCATGTTTGATTCCCTAGTGTCATTTTCATCTTTATATCCCTAGACACTAATATTGTCACTTGTGCAGAGTAAAGGCTTAAAAAAGTTTGTTGAATGAATTAATAATGTAATTTATATTTTTAATATCTCTGTAACAAATGATTACTCACATTTGACATATGAAGAATTTATGTTTTTGAGAGTATTAGTTCAAAGTTGTACCTGATTTCAAGGTATGTGCTCTCATACACTATACACTATTGACTAAATCAGTTGTTAGTTCTATCAGTGTAATGTATTTTCATCTACAGGTTTAAAGTACATCATTATTAATTTTAGAAGGATTGTGGTCTTGTTGAACATATATAAGTACATTATCAAACAAAAAGAGGTGAAAAGTGATAGCACAAGGATACAATAGTTATTTCAATGTAGTATAATATTAATTACAGAAATAGATGAAATCGACAAATTAAAACTTTTAAATTAATGAATATTCTAGGGTATCTAACTATTCTCATGCATTATATCTTTAATTAAAGAATAACAGTATGTTTGCTAAGTAGAAGTAATTTGTTTTTATTTTGTATGCTTATTTTAACAATTTCAACTCAAGGCTATATTAATGCATAATTATATAACCTAATAAGGTATAAGAAATTAGTGCAAAATCAAGTATTCTAATGTGTTTTAAATTCATTTTAGAAGTTATATGTTAATACATATATCTGTGTGTGTGTGTGTGTGTGTGTTTGTGCATGTATATATGTAATCTGAATTTGGAAAAGGTTAAACAACTTTTTTAAAATTATACTTTAAGTTCTGGGATACATGTTCAGAATAAGCACGTTTGTTACATAGGTATACACATGCCATGGTGGTTTGCTGCACCCATCAACCTGTCATCTCCATTAGGTATTTCTCCTAATGTTATCTCTCCCTTAGGCCCCCACCTCCCTACAGGCCCCACTGTGTGATGTTCCCCTCCTTGTGTCCATGTGTTCTCACTGTTAAACTCCCACTTACGAGTGAGAATATTCAGTGTTTGGTTTTCTGTTCCTGTATTAGTTTGCTGAGAATGATGCTTTCCAGCTTCATCAATGCCCCTGCAAGGGACAGGAACTCATCCTTTTTTATGGCTGCATAGTATTCCATGGTGTATATGTGCCACATTTTCTTTATGCAGTCTATCATTGATGGGCATTTGGGTTGGTTCCAAGTGTTTGCTCTTGTGAAGGCTGCTGCGATAAACATATGTGCACATGAGTCTTTATAGTAGAATGATTTATAATCTTTTGGGTATATACCCAGTAATGGGATTACTGGGTCAGATGGTATTTCTAGTTCTAGATCCTGGAGGAATTGCCACACTGTATTCCACAACAGTTGAACTAATTTACATTCCCACCATCAGTATAAAAGCATTCCTATTTCTCTACATCCTCTCCAGTATCTGTTGTTTCCTGACTTTTTAATGATCGCTATTCTAACTGGCATGAGACAGTATCTCATTGTGGTTTTGATTTGCATTTCTCTAATAATCAGTGATGATGAGCTTTTATTTCATATGTTTGTTGGCTGCATAAAAGTCTTCTTTTGAGAAGTGTCTGTTCATATCCTTCACCCACTTTTTGATGGAGTTGTTTGTTTTTTCTAATAAATTTGTTCAAGTTCCTTGTAGATTCTGGATATTAGCCCTTTGTTAGGTGGATAGATTGCAAAAATTTTCTCCCATTCTCTAGGTTGCCTGTTCACCCATGATAGTTTCTTTTGCTGCACAGAAGCTCTTTAGTTTAATTAGATCCCATTTGTCAATTTTGGCTTTTGTTGCCTTTGCTTTTGATGTTTTAGTCATGAAGTCTTTGCCCATGCCTATGTCCTGAATGGTAATGCCTCGGTTTTCTTCTAGGGTTTTTATGGTTTAGGTCTTATGTTTAAGTCTTTAATCCATCTTAATTTTTGTAAAATGTGTAAGGAAGTGTCCAGTTTTAGTTTTCAGGATATGGCTAGCCAGTTTTTCCAACCTCATTTATTAAATAGGGAATCCTTTCCCCATTGTGTGTTTTTGTCAGGTTTGTCAAAGATCAGATGGTTGTAGATATGTGGCATTATTTCTCAGGCCTCTGTTTTATTCCATTGGTCTGTATATCTGTTTTGGTACCAGTACAATGCTGTTTTGGTTACTGTAGCCTTGTAGTATAGTTTGAAGTCAGGTAGCATGATGCCTCCAGCTTTGTTATTTTTGCTTAGGATTGTCTTGGCTATATGGGCTCTCTTTTGGTTTCATATGAAATTAAAGTAGATTTTTCTAATTCTGTGAAGAAAATCCATGGTAGCTTGATGTTGATATAATTGGATCTATAAATTACTTTGGGCAGTATGACCTTTTTCACCATATTGATTCTTCCTGTCCATAAGCATGGAATATTTTTCCATTTGTTTGTGTCCTCTCTTACTTCCTTGAGCAGTGGATTGTAGTTCTCCTTGAAAATGTCCTTCACATCACTTATAAGTTGTATCCCTAGGCATTTTATTCTCTTGGTAGCAATTGTGAATGGGAGGTCACTCATGATTTGGCTCTCTGTTTGTCTATTATTGCTGCAGAGGAATGCTTTTGATTTTTGCTCATTAATTTTGTATCCTGAGACATTGCTGAGGTTGCTTATCAACTTATGGAGACTTGGGGCTGAGGTGATAGAGTGTTCTAAATATACAATCATCTGCAAACAGAGACAATTTGACTTCCTCTCTTTCTATTTGAATAGGTTTTCTTCCTTTCTCTTGCCTGATTGCCCTGGCCAGAACTTCCAATACTATGTTGAAAAGGAGTGGTGAGAGAGGGCATCCTTGTCTTGTGATGGTTTTCAAAGGGAATGCTTCCAGTTTTTGCGCAATCAGTATAACATTGGCTGGGGGTTTGGCACAAATAGCTCTTATTATTTTGAGATATGTTCCATCAGTAACTAGTTTATTGAGAGTTTTCAGCATGAAGGGGTGTTGAATTGTATCGAAGGCCTTTTCTGCATCTATTCAGATAATCATGAGGTTTTTGTCATTGGTTCTGTTTATGTGATGCATTCCATTTATTGACTTGATTGTGGTGGATAAGCTTTTTGGTGTGCTGCTGGATTTGGTTTGCCAGTGTTTTATTGAGGATTTTTGCAAATATGTTCATCAGGAATATTGGCTTGAAATTTTCTTTCTTTGTCGTGTCTCTGCCAGGTTTTGGTATCAGGATAATGGTGGCTTCAAAAAATGAGTTAGGGAGGAGTCCCTCTTTTTTATTGTTTGTATTAGTTTCAGAAGGAACGGTGCCAGCTCCTCTTTGTACCTCTGGTAGAATTCGGCTGTGAATGCATCTGGTCCTGGTGATTTTTGGTTGGTAATCTTATTAATTGCTGCCTCAATTTCGGAACGTGTTGAGGGATTCAAATTCTTCCTGGTTTCGTCTTGAGAGGATGTATGTTTCCAGGAATTTATCTATTTCTTCTAGATTTTCTAGTGTATTTATCTAGAGGTGTTTATAGCATTCTCTGATGATAGTTTGTATTTCTGTGGGATCACGGGTGATATCCCCTTTATTATTTTTTCTTGTGTCTATTTGATGGTTCTCTCTTTTCTTCTTTATTAGTCTGGCTAGCTGACTTTCTATTTTGTTCATCTTTAAAGAAAAAAAAAAAACAAAAACAGCACCTGGATTCAGTGATTTTTGAAGGGTTTTTCTTGTCTCTATCTCCACTCTGATCTTATGTGTTTCTTGTTTTATGCTAGATTTTGAATTAGAGAATTGCTTCTCTAATTCTTTTAATTTTGATGTTAGAGTGTCAATTTTAGATCTTTCCTGCTTTCTCATGTGGGCATTTAGTGCTATAAAATTCCCTCTAAACTCTGCTTTATATGTGTCTCAGAGATTCTGGTACATTGTGTCTTTGTTCTCATTGGTTTCAAAGAATTCTCTGTCGCTTTCAGGTACACCTATCAAACGTAGGTTTGGTCTTTTAACATAGTCCTATGTTTCCTGGAGGCTTTGTTTGTTCCTTTTCATTCTTTTTTCTCTAATCTTGTTTTCATGCTTTATTTCATTAAGTTCATCTTCAATCTCTGATATATTTTCTTCCGGTTGATTGATTCGGCTATTGATACTTGTGTATCCTCTGTTTTTCAGCTCCATCAGGTCATTTATATTCTTCTCTATACTGGTTATTCTAGTTAGCAATTCCTCTAATCTTTTTTCAAGGTTCTGAACTTCCTTGCTTTGGGTTAGAACATGCTCCTTTAGCTAGGATAAGTTTGTTATTCCCCATCTTCTGAAGCCTACTTCTGTCAATTCTTCAAACTCATTCTTCATCCAGTTTTGTTCCTTTGCTGGCAAGGAGTTGTGATCCTTTGGAGGAAAAGAGACATTCTGGTTTTTGGAATTTTCAGTCTTTTTGCCCTGTTTTTTTTTTTTTTCCTCATCTTCATGGATTTATCTACCTTTGGTCTTTGATGTTGGTGACCTTTGGATGGGGTTTTTGAGCGGTCATCCTTTTTTTGATGTTGATGCTATTCTTTTCTGTTTGTTAGTTTTCCTTCTAACAGTCGGTCCCCTCTGCTGCAGGTCTGCTGGAGCTTGCTGGAGGTCCATTCCAGACCCTGTTTGCCTGGGTATTACCAGTGGAGGCTGCAGAACATCAAAGATTTCTGCCTGTTCCTTCCTGTGGAAGTTTCATCCCAGAGGAGCACCCACTGGATTCCAGCCAGGGCTCTCCTTTATGACATGTCTGTCGACCCCTGCAGGGAGGTATCTCCCAGTCAAGAGGCAGGGGGATCAGGGACCCACTTGAGGAGGCAGTCTGTCTCTTAGCAGAGCTCGAGTACTATGCTGGGAGATTATTGCTTTTTTCAGAGCTGGCAGGCAGGAACGTTTAAGTCTGCTGAAGCTGCACCCACAGCCGCCCCTTCCTGCAGGTACTCAGTCCCAGGGAGATGGGAGTTTTATCTATAAGCTCCTGACTGGGGCTGCTCCCTTTCTTCCAGAGATGTCCTCCCCTGAGAAGAGGAATCTAGAGAGGCAGTCTGGCTCCAATGGCTTTGCGGAGCTGCAGTGAGTTCTGCCCTGTTCAAACTTCCCTATGGCTTTGTTTACACTGTGAAGGGAAAGCAGCCTACTCAAGTCTCTGTAATGGCAGATGCCCCTCACCCCACCAAGCTCAAGCATCCCAGGTTGACTTCAGACTGTTGTGCTAGCAGCAAGAATTTCAAGCCAGTGGATCTCAGCTTGCTGGGCTCTATGGGAGTGGGATCCGATGAACAGGAGCACTTGGCTCTCTGGCTTCAGCCCCCTTTCCAGGGAAGTGAAAGGTTCTGTCTCGCTGGCATTCCCGGCACCACTGGGGTATGAAAAAAAACATACTTCTGCAGCTAGCTGAGTGCCTGCCCAAATGGCTGCCCAGTTTTGTGCTTGAAACCCAGGGACCTGGTGGTGTAGGCACCTGAGAGAATCTCCTGGTCTGCAGTTTGCGAATACCATGGCAAAAGCATAGTATCTGGACCAGAATACACTGTTTCTCATGGCACAGTCCCTCATTGCTTCCCTTGCCTAGGGGAGGGAGTTCCCTGGCCCCTTGGGCTTCCCAAGTGAGGCAATGCCCCACCCTGCTTCTGCTCTGCCTCTGTTGGCTGCACCCACTGTCTAACCACTCCCAGTGAGATGAGCTAAGTACCTCAGTTGGAAATGCAGAAATCACCCGTCTTCTGCATTGATCTCGCTGGGAGCTGCAGATTGGAGCTAATCCTATTTGGCCATCTTGCCAGTCACCACTAAACAATTTTTATAAAAAAAATTCTTCTTTTTTATTCTTTATTTAAAACAACATTTAGGGGGAAAATAGCTGAATAAATGGAATGGGGAAAATTGGATATTCATATGAAAAAGAATGAAATGATTCTTGTCACTCAACATATATAACATCAACTCAAAAAGGATGAAAGACAAATCTAAGGTCCGAATCTATGAAACAACTGGAAGAAAACATTGGAGAAATGCTTTAGCACATTGGTCTGGGCAAAGATATTTTGGGTAGGACTTCAAAAGCACAGGCAACTAAAGCAAATATATTTACATGGGAGTACATTAAGCTAAGAAGCTTCTGCACATTACAGTAAATAACCAATAAAGTAAAGAGACTTTCTGTAGAATAAGTGAGAATATTTGCAAACTCCCCATCTGACAAGAGATTTGTAACCAGAATATTACAAGAACTCAAACAACTCAATAGCAATATAAACAAATGATCTGATTTTAAAAATGGGCAAAAGATCCCAAGATATTTATGAGAAGAAGACATACAAATATCCAACAGACATATAAAAGATGTTTAACATCACTGATAATCAGGGAAATGCAAATCAAAACCACAATAAGATATTATCTTACCTTAGTTAAAATGACTATTACCAAAAGTCAAAAAATAATAAGTGCTGGCAAGGATGTAGAGGAAGAAAAATACTTGTACACTGTAGGTGAAAATGCAAATTAGTAAAGCCACTATAAAAAACAGTATGTGGGTTCCTCAAAAAATTAAAAATAGACCTAGCATATGATTCAGTAATCCCACTGCTGAGTAAATATCCAAAAGAAAGAAAATCAGTGTGTTAAGATGATATCTGCTGATATGGTTTCTCTCTGAGTCTCCATCCAAATCTCATCTCAACTTGTAATCCTTTTGTGATCAGGGAGTGACCTATAGGAGGTGACTGGATCATGGGGACAGTTTTTCTTATGATGTTCTCATAATATTGAGGGAGTTCTCATAAGATCTGATGGTTTAAAAGTTTTGGCAGACCTGGGTACAGTGGCATGTGCCTGTAATTCTAGCACTTTGATTGACTGAGGTAGGTGTATCACTTGAGATCAGCAGTTTGAGACCCGACTGGCCAACATGGTGAAACCCTGTCTCTACTAAAACGACAAAAAGTAGCCAGGTGTGGTGGCAGGCACCTGTAATCCCAGCTACTACAGGGGTTGAGTGAGCTGATACTGCACCACTGCACTCTAGTCTGAGCAACATGGTGAGACTCCACATCAAAAAAATAAAGTAAAAGTTTGGCAGTTTCTCTCTTGCTCTCTTTCTCCTGTCACCACGTAATACATGCCTTGTTTCCCCTTTGCCTTTCACCACAATTGTAAGTTTCCTGAGGCTTTCCCAGCCAGGAAGAACTGTGAGTCAATTAACACTCTTACTTTATAAATTACCCAGTCTCAGGTAGTTCTTTATAATAAAGTAAAAATAGACTAATACAGAAAATTGAGAGAAGTCAGTGTTACAATAAAAATAGTTGAATATGTGGAAGCAACTTTGGAACTGGGTAATGGAGAGTGGTTCGAACAGTTTGGAGGGCTCAGAAGAAGAAAAGAAGATGTGTAAAAGTTTGTAAATTCCTAGAGACTTGTTTAATGATTTTGAGCAAAATGCTGATAATGATACAGACAATGAAATCTAGGCTGAGTTGGTCTCAGATGGAGATGAAGAACTTATTGGGGACTAGAGTAATGGTTGCTCTTGCTATGCTTTAGCAAAGAGACTGGTGGCATTTTTCCCTGGCTTTAAAAATCTGTGGAACTTTGAACTTGAGAGAGATGATTTACAGTATCTGGCATAAGAAATTTCTAAGCTGCAAAGTGTTCAAGAGGTGATTTGGCTGCTCCTAAGAGCATAAAGTCATATGTATTCACAAAGAGGTGATATGAAATTGGAACTTATGTTTAAAAGGGAAGCAGAGTATAAAAGTTTAGAAAACTTGCAGCCTGACCATGTGGTAGAAAAGAAAAAAACATCTTTTGGGGATAAATTCAATCTGGCTGCAGAAATTTGCATAAGTAA
The DNA here is from genome assembly GCF_000001405.40 of Homo sapiens. NCBI lineage: Eukaryota > Metazoa > Chordata > Mammalia > Primates > Hominidae > Homo > Homo sapiens. The sequence goes on along the minus strand of NC_000001.11, from coordinate 104,584,005 downwards.
TGAGGACCCAAGTGTTAATCACCAAGCCAATGGGAAAAATGTCTCCAGGGCATTTCAGAGATCTTCATGGCAGCCCCTTTTATCACAGTCCCAGAGGCCTAGGATAGAAAAATGGTTTCTTGGGGCAGGCCCAGGGCCCTGCTGCTGTGTTAAGCCTCACGACACAGCGCTTGGCATCCCAACCACTTTAGCTCCATCTGTGGCTAAAAGGGGCCACGTTACAGCTCAGATCCTTACATCAGAGGGTGCAAGCCCCAAGCCTTGGTGATTCCCAAATTTTGTTGGGTCTGTGTGTGAGCAGAAGACACGAATTGAGGTTTGGGGACCTCCACCTGGATTGAGGATGTATGGAAATACCTGGCTGTCCAGGCAGAAATCTGCTGCAGGGGCAGAACCCTAATGGAAAATCTCTACTAGGGCAATGCAGAGGAAAAATGTGGGATCAGAGCCCCACAAAGAGTCCCTTGTGGGGTACTGCTTAGTGGAGCTGTGAGGAGAAGACTACCATCTTCCAGACCCCAGAACTGTAGGTCCACCAACAGCTTACACCATGCACCTAGAAAAGTTGCTGGTCTCAATGCCAGCCTGTGAAAGCAGCCCTGAGGGATGTACCCTGCAGAGTTACAGAGGCAGAGCTACCGAGGCAGAGCTACCAAGGGCCTTGGGAGCCCTCCTCTTGTATCACCTTGCCCTGGATATGAGACATGGGGTCAAAACAGATTATTTTGGACTTATAAGATGTAATAGCTGCCCTGCTGCATTTTGGACTTGCATGGGGCCTGTCGCCTCTTTGTTTTGGCTGATTTTTCCCATTTTTAACAGGAACATTTATCCAATGCCTGTAACCCTATTGTATCTTGGATGTAACTAACTTTTCTTTTATTTTACAGGCTCATAGGTAGAAAGGACTTGCCTTGCCTCAGATGAGACTTTGGACTTGGGACTTTTCAGTTAATGCTGGAATGAGTTAAGACTTTGTGGGAATGTTGGGAAGGCATGATTGTCTTTTGAGGTATAAAAATAACAAGGGATTTGAGAAGGACCAGTGGCAGAATATGTTTTGGCTCTGTGTACTCACCCAAATCTCACCTCAAATTGTAATCTCCTCAGTAGTAGTACCAGGAATGGTGCTAGAGGAACAGAAAATTAAGGATGGAGTTTTTGTGTTAGTTTTGGGGTTTCTAGAGTTGGTTGTTTACTATGATTAGACCCAAAGATGCTATGGACTTTACTTTTAATAGTATGGAAAACAATAATAGTTCTTTGCATGAACTCTTTAGAGAGTTAGCAAGATAAATGCATTTGACACTCCTGATTCACCACTCATGAGAGGCAAGCAGTTTAATGACTCTATACATAATACTTTTGACCATATGTGGAGAACCAAGAAACGTAATGAAGCTGGTTGGTTGCTCCTAAATTCAGTGGTCAAAGTGATGAAAGAAAATGACAAACTTAGGAAATCTAACTCCCGGCTTCAGAAGCAGATACTGAGCTTCAAATCTGCTAAGATTGCCCTGAGTGAGAGTCTTATCTCTTGTAGAGAAAGAGCTGAAATCGTGGGAAAACAGACATAAGCTCTTTTTTTTTTTTTTCTTTTTTTTGACGGAGTCTCGCCCTGTCACCCAGGCTGGAGTGCAGTGGCATGATCTTGGCTTACTGCAATCCTGCCTCCTGGGTTCAAGCGATTCTTCTGCCTCAGCCTCCTGAGTAGCTTGGAGTACAGGTGCACACCACCATGCACAGCTAATTTTTGTATTTTTAGAGATGGGGTTTCACCATATTGGCCAGGCTTGTCTCGAACTCCTGACCTCGTGATCCGCCTGCCTTGGCCTCCCAAAGTGCTGGGATTACAGGTGGGAGCCACCACACCCGGCCCAGACACAAGCTCTTATCATGCATGTGGCTGACCTGCAATGAAAGCTGCATGCCCAGCCTCACCAGGTGTCTACTCTTAAAGTGAGGGCATTGATTAAAAATGAATGGGACCCTGCTGCTTGAAATGGCAGTGTGTGAAAGGACCCTGATGAAGCTGGGGACATTGAGTTTGTAAATTCTGGTCAAAGTTGTTTTTCTTTTTTTCTTCCCCAGAAGAAACAAACAGCTTCCCCTTTACCAGAAGAAACAGCTTCCCCATCCCCAGTAGTGGCAACATCTTCCTCTGACCTATGCTGTTATCAGCCTTTCCCTCTTTTTCTGAGGAGATAAACTCTGCACTGCCTGAGGCAATGTGATGGCCTCCCTTGAGGCAGTTGCCAAGCAGAGTGATGTTGATTCTCCTCAGGAGCTACTCCCAACACCCCTGTTTGCTTTTAGACCTATAACTAAAGTCCTAGCAGATCCCTAGAGGTGAGGTTGAGAGTGTGATCCATAAGGAGGCATGCTACACTCAAAAATAACTGCTTGAGTTTTCTAATTTATATAAACAGAAATCTGGAGAATAGGCATGGGAATGGATATTAAGGGTGTGTGATAATGGTGGAAGAAACATAGAGTTGGATCTGGCTGAATTTTTTGATTTGGGCCCTCTAAGTAGGGACTCTGCACTTAATGTTGTAGCTTGGGGAGTTAAAAAAAATGTTCTAATAGTTTATTTGCTTGGTTAGCTGGAATATGGATTAAAAGATGGCCCACTATAAGTGAGCTGGAAATGCCTTATCTCCCTTAGCTTAATGAAGAGGAAGGATCCAAAGGCTTAGGAAGATTGGGATAATGCAGTGAATTAGTCACTTTTGACCCACTCATTCCAGCTGGGTGGGTCCAGAAGATACACCCTTTACCAATGCCTTGTGCAACAGATTTGTGAGGGCAGCACCTGCATTTTTGACGAGCCCTGTAATTGTTCTTCTCTGTATGTCAGATCTAACAGCGGGAACCACAGTCACTCAACTACAAAATTTAAATACTATGGAAATAATTGAATCCCGAGGTGGTAGGCGTCAAGTGGCAGCACCCAACCATGTAAGGCAAGGTAGGTGTAGTTAGCTACTCTAATGGAAAGCAGAGGCAAAGCAGCAATCAGAATAGTCTGACCCATGTAGAGCTCTGGCATTGATTAATTAATCGTGGAGTTCTTAGAAATGAAATTGATAGAAAACCTGCTGCATTCTTATTTAATTCATATGAGTAGGAAACTTTTAGGGCAAATGGACCATAGACTAATTTGAATTATAAGAACAGAGAACCACAGCCTCTCAATTTCCAGACTTGAGCCAATTTACAGACTCAGAACCCCTTGAATAAAGGGGATGCAAGGTCCCCTTGAGGAAGGATGGAAGGACCCCACTATGTTACTGACAATTTTTTCAACGAATCTTTCTCCCATCCTTCCCTCAAAAGACCTTCAGCCTTTTACCAGGGTAACTGTGCGTTGTTGAAAAGAAAATGATCAGACATTTCAGGGAGTACTGGACACTGGCTCTGAGCTGATATTGATTTCAGAAGACCCAAAACATCACTGCGGTCTTACAGTTAAAGTAGGGGCTTTTGGAGGTCAGGTAATTAGTAGCGTTTTAGCTCAGGTCTTACTTACAGTGGGTCCAGAGGTTTCCCTGACTCATCCTATGTTCAGTTCCCCAGTGTCTGAATGCATAATTGGCATAGACATACTTAGCATCTTGCAGAACCCCCACACTGGCTCTCTGACTGGTAGGGTTAGGGCTATTATGGAGGGAAAGGCAAAATAGAAGCCATTAGAACTGTCTCTACCTAGAAAAAATAGAAAATCAAAAACAATATCACATCCTTGGAGGGATTGCAGAGATTAGTGCAACCATCAAGGACTTGAAAGACGCATGGGTGGTGATTTCCACCACATCCTCTTTCAATGCTCCCATTTGGCCTATTGAGAAGACAGATGAATGTTGGGGAATAATAGTGGAATATCATACACTTAACCAAGTGGTGACTCCAATTGCAGCTGCTGTACCAAATGTGGTTTCATTTCTTGAGCAAATAAACACATTTCCTGGTACCTGGTATGCATCCATTGATTTGGCAAATACCCTTTCCTCCATTCCTGTCCATAAGGCCCAACAGAAGCAATTTGCCTTCAGCTGGCAAGGCCAGCAATATACCTTTACTGTCCTACCTCAGGGGTATAGAATTCTCTGGCTTTGTGCCATAATTTGATTTGGAGAGATCTTGATCACTTTTTTGCCTCCTCAAGATATCACACTGGTCCATTACATTGATGATATTATACTGATTGGATCCGGTGAGCAAGAAGCAGCAAACACACTGGACTTATTGGTGAGATATTTGCATGCCAGAGTATGGGAAATAAATCCGACTAAACTTCAGGGACCTTCTACCTCAGTATAATTTCTAGAGGTCCATTGGTGTGGGGCCTGTTGAGATATTCCTTCTAAGGTGAAGGATAAGTTGTTGTGTTTGGCCCCTCCTACAACCAAGAAAGAGGCACAACACCCAGTGGGCCTATTTGGATTTGGGGAGCAACTCATTCCTCATTTGTGTGTGTTACTCCAGTCCATTTATTAAGTGACCCAAAAGGTTCTCAGTTTTTAGTGGGGTCCAGAACAGGAGAAGGCTCTGAAACAGGTCCAGGTGCTGTGCAAGCTGCTCTGCCATCTGGGTCATATGACCCAGCAGATCAAATGGTGCTTGAAGGTAGGTGGAAGATAGGGATGCTGCTTAGAGCCTTTGGCAGGTCCCCACAGGTGAATCACAGCAGAGGCCTCTAGGATTTTTGTGCAAGGCCCTGCCATACTTTGCAGATAACTACTCTCTTTTTGAGAGAAAACTCTTGGCCTGTTATTGGGCTTTGGTGGAAACTGAATGTTTGACTATGGGTCATCAAGTCACCATGCCAACTGAACTGCCTATCATGAACTGGGTGCTTTCTGACTCATCTAACCATAAAGTGGGTCATGCACAGCAGCATTCCTTCATCAAATGGAAGTGGTATATGTGATCAGGATCGTGCAGGTCCTGAAGACACAAGTAAGTTACATGAGGCAGTGGCTCAAATGCCCATGGTCTCCACTCCTGCCACCCTGCCTTCTCTCCCCCAGCCTGCACCGATAGTCTTATGGGAAATTCCCTACAATCAGTTGACAGAAGAAGAGAAGACTAGGTCCTGGTTTACAGATGGTTCTTCACCATAGGCAGACACCACCCAAAAGTGGACAGCTGCAGCAATACAGACCCTTTCTAGGACATCCCTGAAGAACAGCAGTGAAGGGAAATCTCCTCACTGGGCAGAACTTCAAGCAGTGCAGCTGGTTATGCACTTTGCAAGGAAGGAGAAATGGCTAGATGTGCAATTATATACTGATTTATGGGCTGTAGCCAATGGTTTGGCTGGATAATCAGAGACTTGGAAGAAGCATCATTGGAAAATTGGTGACAAACATTTTGGGAAAAGGTATGTGTATGGACCTCTCTGAGTGGTCAAAGCTGTGAAGATGGCTGGGCGCGGTGGCTCACGCTTGTAATCCCAGCACTTTGGGAAGTTAAGGTGGGCGGATCATGAGGTCAAGAGATTGAGACCATCCTGCCCAACACAGTGAAACCTCATCTCTACTAAAAATACAAAAACATTAGCCGGGCATGGTGACGGGCGCCTGTATTCCCAGCTACTCAGGAGGCTGAGGCAGGAGAATGGTGTGAACCCAGGAGGTGGAGCTTTCAGTGAGCTGAGATCGTGCCACTGTACACCAGCCTGGGCAACAGAGTGAGACTCTGTCTCAAAAAAAAAACCAAAAAAAAAAAAACTGTGAACATATTTTTTATCCCATGTGAGTGCTCACCAATGGGTGACCTCAGCAGAGGAGCAGCATAATAATCAAGTGGATAAGATGACCCATTCTGTGGACACCACTCAGCCTTTTTCCCCAGGCACTCCTGTCATCAGGACCAATGAACAAACTGGCCGTGGTAGCAGGGATGAAAGTTACACATGGTCTCAGTAACACGGAGTTTTTTTTCATTATATATAATTTTTTTTACAATTATATTTTACATAAGTGAATCATTTGTTATATTTATCTATGTATTTCCATTTTCAGTACTCATGATTTCTTTATCCTTTTGAATAGATCCAAATTTCCTTTAGATATAATTTTTCTTACATTAGAAGAACTTCCTTTAACATTTCTCATAGTGAAGGTCTCCTGGTTATGGCTTCTTTCAACTATTAAACATATAAAAACTTAATTTGTTTTTTGTTGCCTATGAGAAATATGCTTTGTTTCTCTGTACCTAATGTGTCTTTTGCTTAAAAAGGTCTGCTTTTAAGACTTTCCCTTTATCACTAATATTAAGCAATTTAATTATGATATGCCTAGGTGCAGTTTTCTTACAATTCTAGTGCTTGATGTCAGTTTAACGTTTTTATCAAATTGGTTGATGCCAACTTCTATTTATTCATGTATTTTTCTGCCCCATGCCCTGCCTCTTTTCCAGGGAGGCTCCAATTACTTGTACATTAGACCACTAGAAATTGGGCCAAATCTCACTCATGCTTTACTCATTTGGCTTTTAGGCTTAGTCTTCCCATATTTCATTTTGGATAGGACTAATTGCTATGTGTTAAAAGTCACTATCTTTCTTTTTGCAATATCTCTTTTGCTACTAATTCTATCCCTCACTTTTTCCGTATACAGACATCATAGACTTTAGCTGTTTAGGGTATTTTTTTTTTTTTTTACCTTCAGTGCATCTGCTTACACATGTTCAATCTTTCTGATATTCTCTTGACCATATAAAATACACTTATAATACTTTTAAGGACCTTGTGTAATAGATCCCTTATTTATCCCATTTGTTAATTGCTATTGATTATCATTTTTCCTCTTTATTTGACCTAGTTCTCTCTCTCTCTCTCTCTCTCTCTCTCTCTCTGGCAGGTAGAAACAGGAACTCTTCATTGTTGTGTGTTAATCTTGAGAATTGTAACTTCTAATCCTTTTGACTGTTTGTTTTCCCAGCCTTAGGTAGTTTGCTCAAGTTATACACTGATTATCACTTAGCACAAATATCAAGAAAACCTTCCGCAGGTCAATCAAGATCTACTTTTGTATAGCTTCTTTCTCACAATCTGCCATGTGAATTCTCCCTGCCTTCATCTACCTTGTCTCCCATACCCATCTCCACAACTAAAAAGGTCCATTCTGCTCTGTTTGGGTACCCTCTTCTATACACGTAATCTAGAATTTCTCCAGGCAGTAAGCTGGGGAAATCTTAGGCTCACCTCACTTGTTTCTTATCTTTCCGTGTCATTGTTCTTTGCTGGCTGATGTTTAATGTTTTGAAAACCATTACTTCATATATTTTGTCTAGACTTTCAGTTTTATATGAAAGGGCAAATGTTATCTCTGTTACTCTATCCTGGTCTGTGCATGGCTTTTTTTCTCCATTTTTCATGACCTTATTATATCTTTCAATTCATTTTAAAATTACCTCAACATACATGTTTCGTGCATTTTAAAGATTTATTATTGGGTTCATTTTAGTTTTATTTTTTCTCTTTTCTCATTCTTAGAAATACACACAATCACACTCACATATAATATATAATTACATATTTTAAGTAGTCATGATCATTATTAAAATATCATTTAAACAGGTATCCTATTCAGCCACTTTGTGAATTTTTAATCAAAGATTTTTAACAATAGACTGCATATAAACTTGGCTTAGAAATAAAGACAAACCTTATAATCTGCAAATACTATCATATTGCTTTTTGGATTTTAATTCATATTTTTATGAATATTTTACTTCTCGTTAGAGATTTTCTGCTTCATTTATATTTTTTATCCAGGCTCTCTCTCTCTCTCTCTGTTTGTCCTTCTTTTTTTCACTCCTTTGAAAAAACACTCTAACATTTACACAATTGCTTCCACTCGGATCCTAGACCCCCAATACAGAACTAGATAGAGTATATAAAGGTATTTCAGAACAGCTGTGATATACTAGACATCTAATCACCAAACATGCAGAAAACTTTGTTTCATTTCAAATTATATTTCACAAATTGTGTAGGTATAATCTTCCATTTTCTTAATAAAATTAACTTAGTTAAAATTCAACAACTAGGCTTATTTCAAGTTCCTTTCATTAATGGGATTATATAGAAGATCTATCACTTCCTCTGTCTTAAATGGAAGAACTGTAATTGGCATTAGTCTCTTGGCTGCTTCTGTCTCATTTAGGACTTGAATTCATAAAGATATATGATTTCAATTTGCTTTATTTTTATATTTCTGGTTCACAAAAATAGGGTTTCCTTTTGTTATAAGCAAATCTGCCTTTTGACACATTATATCAATTATTGATTGGTGTTTGAATAAGTAGCAAAACGTGAATGGACATAACTCTTTTGAATGACATTCATGGCTCATTACAAAATTTTGTTTGTGAAGATCACACTTGAGTGTGTGAATGTGGGTCAAATCTATAAAACAGAAACCAAATATTTATAATGAAGACACATATGGTGGAGTCTGGGAGTGACATTGATTTTATATCAGCTAACATGTGAAGTCATTTCATCTGCCATTTTTTCCATTTGTATTATTTCTATACAATTTGACTTCAGTTGTGCAGTTCATAATGTAGTATACCCAAATTGCAATTAATAGAATTCTCAAGGAATATTTGCTAAAATGATTGATCATACTTAAATAGTGTACTTCATTTCCAATGCCCCACATATTATGCTAGAATGTTTTCTTTGTAAAGTGGTAATGACCTATGTAAGGATTCATCGCATATCTAAAACCGACTCTGGATATTTTTACTATACTACTCTCAGATTGCAAAGTCTCCAGTACTTTCTTACTGACTTTCACATTACATTATACAAATGCCTCTATTACCGTTACCCATTGAAACTGTTATATTTACTTCACAGGCTAGGAGTTTTTTTGGTCACAGTTTAAGTACATTAAAATGAAAGATATAAATGAAATTAAAGGATCTTAAATATGTGTTTACTGGGCAAGTTAGTTTTATAGGAATCAAAAAGTTTACACTTGCATTTCTTATCTCAGAGAAACTCATTTAACAAAAATAAGCATATTTTATATGCTGTTTTCCCATTGATTATTGTTTATTATTAATTAACTCAGTGTAACTCTTCCCATTTATAAGGGTTATCTGAGCATTAATGTGAAACTGTTGAAATATGCTGAATTATCACTGACACAGCATTTTCCACAAGCTATAAAATACAGGACACAGAAAAACCGATTAGTCACCATGACAGAATGAACACTTGAGAATGACTTTTCTTTGCATATCATTAAAAAAATCAATTAGACAAATGCATAGAGATCGATATTATTTAGTGTAGAAAAACAAAGAAAAAGAACAAAACTCTGCCATCACTGCCTTCTAAATTTTTTGCTTTAGGCTGGCAATCTTGAAAGAAGGCACTTAGAAAAAGATGTAGTAAAGGTCACCTTCAGCTGCAAGAATTACCATTGCCCTTTTGCTTCTTTCAAGAAGCCTGATGCTATCAAATCCAATACACAATGAAAAGGTACATCATTGGACTATTGTGATATTTTATAAATCAAATTTGAAGATTGCTCTTTGACAATAATCAAAAAAGGGGTATTTTCTTGTGTCCTTTTTTCTCTTACCTACAATTTATTACTGAGTTGTCTTTTTGGGTTTTTTGTTTTTCTAGTTTTGTGGTTGCTTGTAAAATGTCAAACCCAGCATTTGGAATTTTTTTGAGACCCATAAGTGTCAAATAGTACTATATTGAATCTGTATTTAAAAACATCTAATACAAATCAATTGTATAATTTTATATGTTATTGAGGAGCCAAAGAGAAAATTTTTCACCTTTATTATAAGGCATAGTTTTATGAAACTTTAAACAGGAAGTAAGTTTATACCATTTCAATAAGTAGCAGTATTATAAGAAATTATACAGAAAGAGCTCACTTAGTGTTTTGAGTAAAGTTTAGTATTCAAGATTTAAATGTTCCTGACAATTGACTTTGAAGTTGATTTTGGAGTGGTGTGTTCTTTTGATCAAAGACACTATAAATTATTTTTAAATAACAAAAAATAAATTCAGACATTAATCAAAGAAACAAAAACACCACTATCTTAACAGTATTATGCTATAACAAGCTGTCAAAGTCTTGCATTAAACTCTTTGTTATTAATTTAAATATTCTACTAACAACCCAGTTTATGTTATGTAATTTCCATTAAAAAATAAGGATAATGAAATTTAAAGAGGTTTAATTAGTTACACAAGTTGGAACTTATATATGGCTAAATTGAGATTTGATTTAATTTTTTGTTTGATTTTAAAATCTAAACTCTTTCAACTGGAATAATTTAAGAAAAAAATATTTAAACCAGAGTCAATTTAAATAGAAAAATTAACTTTATTCACCAAATATTATTACCTGTATTTTAGTCATTACACATCGTGGATTTATGACAAACTGCCATAGGAAAGGGTTGAAATATAATAAATAATTTAGAGAAACAAGATTTTTAAAATGTGTGCTTATTTATATAACATTAAAATTTAATTTAAAACAAAAATAAAAAAATTAAAACACTAAAGTCCCTACTCAGGGCTTTTTAAAAATAAATATTAACTTTTGAGACCCAACTCCAAGATTCAGTAGGAGGCTGGTGGGGCCCTGGAATCTATATTTTTATCATAAGTTCCAGGTGATATAGATAACTAGTTCATAGACAATATTTTGAGAACCATTATTCTAGAATACAAATATTATGAAATAAGAACTTCCTTTACTAAACATATGCAAGTATTAGAGAAAGAAATAGTTGCATTGTTCTGTTACTGATAATCTGATTATCAGAATGTCTGCAGAATTGAAGTCAGACTTCACACAAATAATTAAAAAAATAAAAATGAAAATAAAAGGGGGCAGTCACTGAAACAGTGTGTCATACTTTATTCTGTCAGATTCTGACTAGAAATTGACAGACATACTTATCTATCTAGGACTTTGAAAGGAGCACAGGTATTTATCTCCATAAAACCTCAATAACAGAAATAGATTGTAACCTTTGTGAGCTGCCTTGGGAGACATGGACATATAAGATTTCCCCTTCCCTCATTGCTCAATAAGTAAAAATGCAGTTTGGAAAATTTCTCCATTACTGACATAAAATAGAGCTTTTGAACCATTTCAGAGTATGTCACTGCATAAATAGAACTGCAGAAACCAAAGAATTATTTGTATAAATACTGCCTACCATAGTAATGGAGTGTTTTTAATTACATGTACAAAAAGAATATAACATATGATTATATCTATCAATTTATTCACATGCTGTGAATAGATATAGGTAAATGTGGCTTTTAAAAAATTTTTGCATAATATAATTTGAAATTAATTATTTATAAATTACCTTTACCTTTTGATTTTTGTTTTCTCCCAACCATTCATATATATGTTATTTCATCAATTATCATAAACAGCAAAATTGGTACATCACCTTTGGTATACATCTTTATTTTTCTTTTTTTGTTATTCATAGTTATAAGTTTGTTTTACTTTCTATTCTATTATCTCTACCTATGATTATAAACTAACATGTGTGTTGAATACCTAAATCAGATCTACAAATGTTATATTTATATTACAATCTGTAATGAGTTAGATTTTGAAATTAGAGTTCACATATAAATGTACTTTTTTCATTTAGTGTTAAGTATAATCTATATTATCAAATTACTATTGTAATTTAAAAATACAAATCTATCACTTTACGCATGAATAACAATATGCAAGTATATACTGCAAAAGACATGCAAAGTTTATATATTTGATGTAGGACTCATTGAATATAGGTGTATAAACACTTTTATATTTATTATTTGATATATGTTCACAAAACAAAATTTTGCCTTAAAGGTAATATATTTTAAAAGTATTTTAATGTTTGTAATATTTTGTGTGTGGAATCCTTATGACATCCTTACTTAAAACTGGATCCCAGAATATAAAATACCTAATACCTGTCAAAGAAGTGATGATATCTACTAATAATTTTGAGTTTGGGATTCAGTTGTTTCTATTGTTGTTTTTAATATCTTTTGTTATCTCTTAAGGTTATTTCAATGTTTTGTCTTATGTTTATCTGTATAAAGGTTTTAATAATATACATTTTTAGTGAAGCAATTGATAAGTCAGCAATTAATCAAGAGGAAAAGCCACTAATTACCTGATTAATGTAAACTGGTATTGGGGAGTGACTAACCTACAGGGCAACATGAATAGAAAGGGAAAAGGTGACAAGAATTAAAAAAAGGAAATTAAAAAAGAAGAAAATGATAACAATAAATATTTCAAAAACAAGAGAAAACCAAATGATAGCAGGGGGCGGTGGGGGGAAGAGTAATACATAAAAACAATGAGGTATATTGACAGAGCTAATAATGTATACATCTGACCAAAACAGCCTTAACATTACTTTTAGTCTGACTAAGCTTTTGGCCAGTAGGTTTCTGACTACAGGGCTCTGACTTCAACCTTAGAGCATTTAAATTTGAAATTGTGAATTTTTTCTGCCCTTTGAGATGTATATCTCTTCCCAGCCTCTTTCCAGTTACAACCCAGCAACCTATTTATCAAGGACCTAGGAGAACCATGCCTTTGACGTGTAATTCATCAAGAGAAAGAGATTGCCCCTTCTCCCAATCTCTATAGGAGGGTAGGAATTGAACTTCCGTAAACATCAATTAGCAAACACAGATGGCATAATCACATTGAGCAATACCTCCCCTAATGTCTGCCAATACTTCTCCGCCATCTTCCGATTTTCATTTCAAAGGATTTCAATATCTCTTCCCTATTGGAGTACTCCTGACCTCTATTTTAATAGCCTCGAAGATCTTCCTTGCCTGTTTAACTTGTCTACTGCAAGTTTTCTTTGACAAGTGTTACCAATACAATATATCATACTCTGATTTAAAAAATAAAATAAAATACAGGGGGAGTTTTGTTATTTCCTTTCTCCTTTTGTTTTTCTATTTCTCCTGTATATCCCTCCTCATTTCTTCCCTTTTTAAAATTTTTAATATTTGTGAGTACATAGTATTTGTATATATTTATAGGGCACATGAAATACTTTGATACAGTCATACAATGTATAATAATCAAAGTAGGGTGTAAATCATCTCAAACATATATCCTTTTTTTGTGTTACAAACAATCAAATTATGGATTAGTTTAGATGTACAATAAATTATTGTGACTGTAGTTATCCTGTTGTGCTATCAAATGCTAGATCTTACTCATTCTATCTAACTATATTTTTGTACCCATTGACATCCCCACTCCCACTCCCACACTACCCTTTCCAGCATCTGTTTGCCATTTGATTCTTTATCTTCTTGAATTCAATTGTTTTAATATTTAGCTGCCCAAAATAAGTGAGAACACACAAAATTTCTCTCTAGGCTTGGCTTATTTCAGTTAACATAATGTTCTCCAGTTGCATTGATGTTGCTGCAAATGACAAAATCTCATCTTTTTAATGGCTGAATAGTACTCTATTGTTTATATATACCACATTTTCTTTATCCATTCATCTGTTGATAGGTTGTTTCCAAATCTTGGCTATTATAAGTAGTGCTGCAATAAACATGGAAATGCAGATATATCTTAAATATTCTAACTCTCTTTCTTTTAGAGATCATATCTAGCAGTGAGATTGCTGAATCATAAAGTAGCTCTGTTTTTAGTTTTTTAAGTAACCTCCATACTGTTCTCCATATTGGATGTACTAATTTACATTTCCACTAACATGTATAAGGGTTCCCTTTTCTCCACATCCTCTCCAGAAATTGTTACTGCCTGCCTTCTAGATAAGAGCCATTTTAACTGGGGAAAGATCATATCTCATTGTAGTTTTGATATGCATTTCTCTGATTGTCAATGATATTTATCACCTTTTCATATACCTGGTTGCCAGTTGTACAGCTTCTTTGGAGAATTGTCTATTGAGATTTTTTTTGCCTATTTTTTAATCAGATTTTTTATTCCATTGTGGTCAGAAAAGATTATTGATATTAGTTCAATTTTTTGGAATGTTTTAAGACTTATATTATAACCTAACACATAAGCTATCCTTGAGAGTGATATATGTGCTGAGGAGAAGAATGCGTATTCTGTAGTCATTACTATGAAATATTTTATAAATATCTGTTAGGCCTATTTGGTCTATACTGCAGGTTAAGAAACATCATTCCTTTGGTGATTTTCTGTCTGGATGATGTATTTTCTGTGTGGACGATTTGTGCAATGTAGAAAATAAAGTGTCAAACTCTTAAACTATTCTTCTTTTGGAGTCTTTCTCTTTAGTTCTAATAATATTTGCATTATATATCTGAGTGCTCCAGTGTTGGGTGCATATATTTTTATATCCTCCTGCTGAATTGACACCTTTATCATTATATAATGACCTTATTTGGCTCTTTTCATGACTTTTGTCTTACAAGCTCTTTCGTCTGATATTAGCATAGGTACTCCTACTTAGTTTTCCACCTGCATGAAATATGTATTTTCATCCATTTATTTTCAGTCTGTGTATTCATAGTTGAAGTACATTTCTTGCAGGCAGATTGTTGGGTCTTGTGATCTAAGTTTTTGGTCACTGCAGCCACATCTGCATTGGGTTGCACTCCAAGCACAGCGACACTGTGGCTCTTGCAGACTCATAGTGATACCATATTGGTGGTCTTATAGAAGACCCAGAAAAATTATCTGGATTACCAGGCAGCAATTGTTGTTCTCTTCCCTTACTTTTTTCCAAACAAACAGAATCTCTCTCTCTGTGCTGAACTACCCGGAGATTGGGGAGGGGTGACACAAGCACCCCAGTTGCCACCACCACTGGGACTTTGCTGAATCAGACCTGAAACCAGCACAGCACTGGGTCTCATCCAAGGCTAGTGGTAACCACTGTCTACCTGCCATATTTCTACCCAAGGCTCTAGGGCTATACAATCAGCAGGTGTTGAAGCCAGCCACGTTTGTGTCCTTCCCTTCAGAGCAGTGAGTTTCCCATGGTTTGGGGCAGGTCTAGATATGCTGCCTGAAAGTCAGAACCTAGTATCACAAAACTTATCAATCTACCTGGTGCTCTGTTCTACTATGGCTGAGTGGGCACCTGAGCCACCAGACAAAGTCTTTATCTCTCTTCCCTCCCCCTTCCAGAAAGAAAGAAATCTCTCCCTGTGCCACCACTACCCCAGGCCAATCACATGTATTGCCTGGCTGCCACTGATATTCATTCAAAGCCTAAGGGCTCTTCTGTCAGCTGATGGTGAATAGGCTTGGGAAAACACCCTTCAGGGCTATGGCCTCTCCTCTGGCCCAGGGCAGGTTCAGAAATGCCATCTAAGAGCCAAGGCCTGGAATTGGAAAACCCAAGAGCCCACTTGGTCCCATACCCCACTGTGGCAGAGCTGATACTCCAGCTTATTTGAGGGTCTTATGACGGTAATGTTTTGTGTGGATAGTTGTTCAATTGGGTGTTCCTGTGGGAAGGACAACTGGTGCAAATTTTATTCAGCCATATTGCTACACTTCCACCCTCTCCACCCTTCTTTTTTTATTTAAATTTAGTATATATGTTGAAAAGTCACTATCTGGTAAAAAAAAAAAAGTGATTGACTCAGCTATGCCAAATAACTGCTGAAAATGACAGCTGGGCCTTCGGAATTATCCTTTTTAAATCTCAAGTTCTAGCTCTGGTGAAAAAGTCTTTTCCTGGC
The DNA here is from genome assembly GCF_000001405.40 of Homo sapiens. Classification (NCBI taxonomy): domain Eukaryota; kingdom Metazoa; phylum Chordata; class Mammalia; order Primates; family Hominidae; genus Homo; species Homo sapiens. The sequence continues at coordinate 104,568,254 of NC_000001.11, read as the reverse complement.
AAACAGTCTACTCTATGATATCATAGAAGTAATAGAAATTTTGGATAAAGTCTCAATATTAGCCTCTATTTTATATAAATAAATAATACTTTATGTACTTGAAAGTGATTTTTAAAGAAATTTACTCCTTATTAATTATATATTCTAAATAACCTCACTGGGACTAATTGCAATGTCTTTAGATTATTTTGAAACAAACTGTTTTTTATATTAGATGTCTATTAAATATGTGTGATTTCTTAAAAAATAATTATAGAAGGTAAAAATTATATGTATTAACATATTCTAATTAATTATAATGGCCAGTTGTTTCCTTTCCTTTAGAACCAATGACTGGTTAATATAAGTATGCTAAAGGTTTGTGAGGTTTTTGAATAAAACATATGTTAGAAAACATTAAAATGTGTCGGAGTTTTATTTTTTAATATTGAAAAATAAATATTCCTGTCTAGCTTAATTTTTAGTGCCTTAAATAGATCAGATTTTTAAAAATGAACACTTCCTTATTATGCTCAATTTATTTTTCAATTATATTGTCCCTTTTTAAAGGAAACATTATACAAATTAAACTTAATAGTATTTAATTGAGCAAACAACAGCTTGTGAATTCCGTGGGCCCCAGAACTAGAATAGGTTCAGAGCTACTCCAGGGCTCCCATATAGCTAAAGAATTTGTTTGAACAGAAAAAGCAAAATAATATACAAAAAAGAAAGTGAGGTACAGAAACAGGTAGTTGGCCACTTGGCTGCTGTTATTGGCTGAGAGTCAGCTACTTTTTGCAAAAACAAATTCCTGAATTAAGTCTTCAGTTTGTTTTGTAATAAACTGCAACCTAACTCAGTAGTTATTACCTAGAACTCATATGGAGGATTATAATACCCACATTTAGTTTAATTTAAGACTCTTATTAACTTGCACTAACATCTTAATCAACCATAAAATTAAATCTATTTTATTCAGTCTTCTTTTTATATGATTTAAACTTTATCCTAATGACTATTGTTTTCATTTTTGAAAATCTATTCAATTAACTTTTTCCTATTTCTTTAATTTTCCATTGTATGCTATGAAATGCTATAGCTTAACATAGACAAATATTTTTGAACTTTTTACCTGGTTGATCTATTTGTTTTAGGCAATGCTTTTATTATTAATAACTTTTATTGTTAATAAATTTTATTTTATTACATTTTAAAATTTTGCCCGGGTTCTATGCAATTATTCCTTAACATGAAGTCAAAGTTGTCATATAGAATTTATGTAATTATATAAAACATGGTTGTCATTAATTTTATGATATTACTCCAGCTCTGTTGTCAAAATACTATTTGTGAATTTGCATTCTTTGTGAGCAATAGCTTTAGAAAAATAATCATCACTCATAAATTTAAAATGTAAAAACTAAGATGTCTGTAACAACAATAGAAAAAAACTTCAGACACTCTGGAAACTTTACTGAAATATTTATACAAAATAATAAAAAGTTAATATAGTGATAAAAGTTACAATGATGAATCACAGTCTAATGGTCAGTATGTGCTGAGAGCTTTCATATTTCAACTCATTCAATCCTTTAAATAACACTATGGATTATTATCCTTATTATACGAATATGAGACCTAAGATAATTCTATGGTTTGAATGTTTGCCCCCTTCCAAACTCCAAAACTCATGTGAAAACTTAATCCTCATTGTGGCAGTATTGCAAACTGGGGCCTTTAAAAGGTCATTGAGTCATGAGAACTTTGCCCTTATGAATGAATTAACCTATTTAATGGGTAAATGAATTAATGAGTTATTATGTGAGTGGAACTAGTTGCTTTGTAAGAAGAGGAGGAGAGAGATGAACTAGCACACTCAGCTCCCTTGCCATATGGTCCCTGTGCCAAGAATCCCCATCAGCAAGAAGAGTCTCACCAGATGTGGTCATTTGTTGATGAAATTCTTAGCTTCCATAACTATAAAAATTGCATTCCTTTTCACTATAATTACTCAGTTTCAGGTATTCTGCTATAAGCAAAAGAAAATAAACTAAGACATGTTATGAGAGATAACTTTATGCAGTGTAAACATGAGAATAACTATTATAAAAAGTTTATAGGTGATCCTAAGAAATACATGCCACCTTTGATATATATACATATATATGTTTTAATAAATTATTTGTAATATACTTAATTGATTTTTATTAAGTTGAATGATTCTATTAACTGTACCTGGAGTTAAAAACATAATTTTTCTATATTTTTCATTTTTGCCATACTTTAAAAAAAGTTTCAAGCAAAGCCATTAGCTAGGCTTTAGTTGTCTCTTATAACACAAGGTGGCATAGCAGTATACCAGAACTTATTATGTGATAGCACTGGTCAACTATCAGAATAACTACTTTATTATTTTCTTTATTTTGCTTTGCAGATTTTACATATTTACAAATCGAAAATTCATGACAATCCAGCCTTGAGCAAATATATCAGCACTGTTTTCCAACAGCATGTGCCACTTCATGTCTCTGCGTCACAATTAGGGATCCTTTATGCTATTATTGTAATTGTTTGGGGGCATCACAAACTATGCCCATATAAGACTGCAAACTTAATCGATAAATATGTTGTGTGTTTTGACTGCTTTACTGGCTGGCCATTCACCTATCTCTCTCCCGCTCAGCCTCTCTATTCTGTAAAACACAAAAAAATTAAAATGAAGCCAATAAATAACCCTACAATGGCCACTAAGTGTTCAAGTGAAGGGAAGAGTTGTACATTTCTCACTTGCAGTCAAAAGCTAAAATTTATTGAGCTTAGTGAGAAAGACTAGTTGAAAGCCAAGATAGGCTGAAAGCTAGGACTCTTGTGCCAATCAGTTAGCCAAGTTGTGAATGCAAAGGAAAAGTTTTTAAAGAAAATTGAAAGTTCTTTTTCAGTGAACACACAAATAATAAGAAAATAAAAAAGCCTTACTACCGATGTGGTGAAAGTTTGAGTGGTCTGGATAGAAGATCAAACCAGCCACAATACTCCCTAAACCGAAGTCTAATCCGTAGCCAGGTCTTAAGTGCCTTCAATTCTATGAAAGCTAAGAGAAGTAAGGAAGCCGAACAAGAAAATTTGGAATGAGACAGAGGTTTAAGAAAATGTGTCATCTTCATGACACGGAAGTGCAAGGTAAAACAACAAGTACTGATGTAGGAACTATAGCAAGTTATACAGAAAATGAAGCTAAGGTAATTAGGGAAGATGGCTACACTAAACAATAGGTTTTCAATGTCGCTGAAACTTTTATTGGAGGAAGATGCCATCTAGGACTTGCATAGCTAGAGAGAAGAAATCAATGTCTGCCTAGAAAACTTCAAAGAGACTCTCTTGTTGGAGACAAATGTAGCTGGTAACATTAAGTTAAAGCCAATGCTTATTTGCCTTCCTGAAAATCTCAGGGCCCATAAAAACTATATTAAATTTACTCTGCCTGCCCTTTAGAAATTAAACGACAAAGCCTGTTTGGCAACACATCTATTTACAGCATGGTTCACTGAATATTTTAAGCCTAATGGTGAGACCTACTGTTTAGAAAGAAATAATTTTTTTTCAAAATATTACTTCTCGTTGACAATGTACCTAGTCACTCAAGAAATCTGATGGAGATGTATGAAGAGATTAATGTTGTTTTCATCCATGCTAACCTGTTATCCATACTGCAGCCCATGGATCAAGGAGCAATTTTGACTTTCAAGTCATATCATTTAAGAAAATATTTTGTAAGACTATAGCTACCATAATGATTCTTCTGATGGATCTGGGCAAAGTAAATTAAAACTTTTCTGGAAATGATTAATAAATTATAGATGCCATTAAAGACATTCATGATTTTGAGGGAAGTTCAAGGTATCAACCTTAACAGTAATTTGGAAGATGTTGATTCTAAGGCTTATTGATGGTGTTGAGAGGTTCAAGATTTCAGAAAAGGAAGTAACTACAGATGTTGTGGAAATAGCAAGATAGCTAGAATTAGAAGCGGAGGCTGAAGAGTTGACCAAATTGCTGCAATCTCATGATAAAACTTTAATGTATGAAGAGTAGCCTCTTATGAATGAGCAAATAATGTGGTTACTTGATTAGCTTCCATTCCTAGTGAAAATTGTTGAGATGACAACAAAACATTTAAAATATTTCACAAATTTTATTGATAAAGAAAGCATAGAGTTAGAAAGGATTGACTCCAACTGTGTGTAAAATGCTATAAAACAGTGTCACATGCTACAGAGACATCATTTATGATAGAGTCAATTGGTGAAGCAAATTTTGTCTTCCTTTAAGAAATTGCCATGGCCACTAAAACCTTCAGCAACTACTACCCTAATCAGTCAGCACTCATCAACCTTGAATCAACCTTGAGTCAAGTAATGAAATTATGACCCACTGGAGGCTCAAGTGGTTGTTAGCAACTGATAGCAATAAAGTATTTTTTTAAATTAAGGCATGTAAAATTTTTAGACATAATGCTATTGCACACTTAATAAACTACAGTATAGTATAAACATAACTTTTATATGCACTGAGAAACCAAAAAGTTTACATGACATCATTTATTGAAATATTTATTTTATTGCAGCAATCTGGAACAAAATCCATGATATCTCTCAGGTATGCCAGTATGAATCCACTGCTTACTAATTCATCAATAGGTTACACATAATATGAAAATCTTGTTCATTATTTATTTTTCTCCTGCCAAATAAAGGTCTTAGAACTCTGTGGGTGTTTTTAATTTTATATAAATAAATTTTATGAAAATCTACTACCATAAACTATATTCCTTATAAAAGATTAACTACCTTACACCCTCCCTCCCTACCTGGAATATTAAAAGCTTTCACATAAACAGATGTTTTGATTCCTTCAGTTTATTCCACACCCTGAGAATTCCTTAGTATCATGGTCTTTCCTTTTGTTTTAACTTTTTTTTTAAGTTCAGGGGTACATGTGCAGATTTGTTATATAAGTAAACTTATGTCATGGGGATTTGTTTTACAGATTATTTCATCATCCAGGAATTAATCCCAGTACCCAATAGTTATCTTTCCTGCTCTTCTCCCTCCTCCCATCCTTCACCCTCAAATGGACTCCAGTACCTGTTGTTCAATTCTTTGGGCTCATTAGTTTTCATCATTTAGCTCCCACTTGTAAGTGAGAACATGTGGTATTTGGTTTTCTGTTTCTGCCTTAGTTAACAAAAGATTATAGCCTCCAGCTCCATTCATGTTCCTGCAAAATACATGATCTCATTCTTTTCTTTATGACTGCATGCTTTTCCATGGTGTAGCTGTGCCATATTTTCTTTATCCAATCTGTTACTGATGGACATTTAGGTTGATTCCATGTCTTTGCCATTGTGAAGAGTGCTGCAGTAAACATTCACATGCATGAGTCTTTATGGTAGAATGATTTATATTTCTTTGGGTATATACCAAGTAATGGGATTGCTGGGTCAAGTGGTATTTCTGCTTTTAACTTTTTGAAGAATTGCTATACCACTTTCCACCGTAGTTGAACTAATTTACACACCCACGAACAGTGTATAAGTATTCCCTTTTCTCCCTAACCTCACCAGCATCTGTTATTTTTTGACTTTTTGTTAATAGCCATTCTGACTGGTGTGAGATGGTATCTCATTGGAGTTTTGACTTGCATTTCTCTAATGATCAGTGATATTAAGCTTTTTATCATAGGCTTGTTGGCCACATGCATTTCTTCTTTTGGAAAGTGTCTGGTCATGTTCTTTGCCTACTTTTTAATGGGATTGTTTGTTTTCTCTAGTAAATTTGTTTAAATTTGTTATAGATGCTGGCTATTAGACCTTTTTCACATGCACAATGTATTAGGGATATATATATATATATATATACATATATATACACACACATATACTATTTAGTATATATATACTATTTAGTATATATATATACTATATAGTGTATATATATACACTATTAGTATATTATTATTCTATATTATCAGTATATATTATATATACTATTAGTGTGTGTGTGTGTGTGTATATATATATATATATATGTAAAGGAGAGTTTATAAAGTATTAGCTCACACAATCACAAGGTCTCACAATAGACCGTCTGCAGGGTGAGGAGAAAGGAGAGCAAGTCCGAGTCCCAAAATTTAAGAATTTGGAGTCTGAGTTTGAGGGCAGGAAGCATCCAGAATGAGAGAAAGATGTAGGCCTGGAGACTAGGCCAGTCTCTCCTTTTACATTTTTCTGCCTGCTTATATTCTAACTGCGCTGGCAGCTGTTTAGATTGTGACCACCCGGATTAAAGGTGGGTCTGCCTCTCCCAGCCCATTGACTCAAAATGTTCATCTCTTTGGGCAACACCCTCACAGACACACCCAGGATCATTACTTTGTATCCTTCAATTCAATCAAGTTGACACTCAGTATCAACCATCACAAGTCCACCCCTTGTCAACTTGAACCCATACACATCTCCTGGGATCATACATAGTCTTTAAATAAAGAAAATAATAAGGTCACAATTATACCTAACATAATAAAACTATCCTTCATACAACCAGAAATGCACCAATCCCCAACCCAAATACTATTGCATAAAGTTAACAATACTTAAATGCTGATGTGAAGTCAATAAATCTTATGTCACATGATAAAAGAAAAATAAAATAAAATGAAGGTATTTTCTTAGTACAAGTGTATACATGCACAAACATGTTTTTAATAAAAGAAGGAGAAAAACTCATGACTGTTACAATCCTCATTTCTGTAGCTGGTCATGTGGTCTTAGCTGGTATTGCTGACTACCTTTTACTAGACATTCTGTATTCCCTTTGCTTTCAGCAAGCACCTCAGCAGATTGTGTTTGTGTTTTCTTTTTTTTTTTTCCTGGTGGACCTAAATCTTCATTCCTGAAGGGTTTGGGTCATTTGCAGTCCTGCCTGGATTGGGCTGTTGTAGTTTCCCATTGACCTTAATCACAGAGCATGGTAATACTAAGAGATGTTCTAATGGGTCTCCTGTATTCCATGCATACTCTTCCTTACTTCTGTTGTTGGTCTTGATAGTCCAGGTCAATCACCACAGCCAACACTGTAACTCCCTTCTTAGCCTGTTGACTTAAAGGTAGGAGGAGCCCAAAGTGCTCAGGTGGCTATCTTAACTTCCATTTCAATGGAATTGTTGTTGTGTCTCCTGGTGGCAGCATTCCTGTCTCTGAGACTAAGACCTCTTGGCCAGCAGAACCTAATGTCGATGGAACAGGAAGGAAAAATTTTGCTAGTGGATCACTAGGGGTGATGATGAGTGGTGCCACTTCCACTCCTTGATTTCTGGACCCATGAATCCTTGCTATGGGAGAAACAGTACCCTATTTTGGACACTGAGTCAGAGCATACATGGCCCTCTGGAGAACTTTGCCCCAGCCCTGCAAAGTATTGTAATCTAGTTGGCATTGCAATTGTGACTTCAAAAGGCCATTCCACCATTCTATCAATCCCGCTGTTTCAGGATGATGAGGAACATGGTAAGACCAGTGAATTTCATAAGCATGAGCCCACTGCCACACTTCTTTAGCCATAAATTGAGTATCTTGGTCAGTGACAATGCTGTGTTGAATACCATCATGGTGGATAAGGCATTCCGTGAGTGCACGGATGATAGTCTTGGCAGAAGCACTGTGTGCAGGATATGCGAACCCATATCTGGAGTAAGTGTCTATTCCCATGAGGACAAATCTCTGCCCTTTCCACAACATAAGAGGTCATAATCAACCTGCCACCAAGTAGCTGGCTGATTATCCCTAGGAATGGTGTCATATCGAGGGCTCAGTGTTGGTCGCTGCTGCTGGCAAACTAGGCACTCAACACTGGCTGTAGCCAGGTCAGCTTTCGTAAGTGGAAGTCCATGTTGCTGAGCCCATGCATAACCTCCATCCCTGCCACCATGGACACTGTGTTCGTGGGCCCATTAGGCAATGACAGGGGTGAGAGACGTGGGGAAAGAGGCTGAGTTGTGTTCACAGAATGGGTCATTCTATTCACTTGATTATTAAAATCCTCCTCTGCTAAGGTCATCTTTTGGTGAGTACTCACATGGGATACAAATATCTTCACAGTTTTTGACTACTCAGAGAGGTCCATCTGCATACCTCTTCCCCAGATTTCTTTGTCACTAGTTTTCCAATCGGGCTTCTTCCAAGTCCTTGATTATCCAGCCAAACCATTGGCTACAGCCCACGTATCAGTATATAATCACATATCTGGCCATTTCTCTTTCCATGCAAAGTGCACAACCAGGTGCACTGCTTGAAGTTCTGCCCACTTGAAAGATTTCCCTTCACTGCTGTCCTTTAGGGATGTCCTAGAAAAAGGCTGTAGTGCTGCAGCTGTCCACTTTCGGGTGGTGCCTGCATATCATGCAGAATCATCTGTGAACCAGGCCCCAGACTTCTCTTCCTCTGCCAACTGATCATAAGGAACTCCCCATGAGGCAATTAGTGCAGGGGAGGGAAGGCAGGGTGGCAGGAGTGGAGACCATGAGTATTTGAGCCTCTTTCTCCTGTGAATTACATGTGCCTTCAGGACCTGCTTGAGCCCGATCACATATATACCACTTCCATATGATGATGGAATGCTGCTGTGCATGACCCACTTTATGGCTAGATGGGTCAGAAAGCACCCAGTTCATGATAGGCAGTTCAGGTCGCATGGTCACTTAATGACCCACAGTCAAACATTCAGTTTCCACCAAAGCCTAGTAACAGGCCAAGAGTTGTCTCTCAAAAGGAGAGTAGTTATCTGCAGAAGATGGCAGGGTCTTGCTTCAAACTCCTAGAGGCCTTCATTGTGATTCACCTATGGGGGCCTACCAAAGGCTCCAAACAGCATCCCTATCTGCCACTGACACCTCAAGCACCATTGGATCTGCTGGGTCATATGGCCCAAGAGGCAGAGCAGCTTGCACAACAACCTGGTCCTGTTGTAGAGCCTTCTCTTGTTCTGGACCCCATTCAAAACTGCAGCCTTTTTGGTAACTCAATAAATGGGCCAGAGTAACACATCCAAATGAAGAATGTGTTTCCTCCAAAATCCAAATAGGCCCACTAGGTATTGTGGCTCTTTCTTGGATGTAGGAGGGGCCCAATGCAGCAACTTATCCTTCACCTTAGAAGGAATATCTTGATAGGCCCCACACAACTGGGCCCCTAGGAAATTTACTGAGATAGAAATTTAGCTGGATTTATTTCCTGAATTTAGATTGAATTTTTTTCCCATACTCTGGCAAACAAATGTCTCATCGATAAGATCACTGTGGTGACTTCTTGCTCAGTGGATCCAATCAGCATAATGTCATTAATGTAATAGACTAGTGTGATATCCTGCAGAAGCAAAAAGGGATCAAGGTCTCTTTGAATAGGATTATGACACAAAGCCAGAGAGTTAATATACTCCAGAGGTAGGACAATAAATGTATACTGCTAGCCTTGCCAGCTGAAGGCAAATTTCTTCTGGTGGGTCTTATGGATGGGAATGGAGAAAAAGGCATTTGTCAAGTGTGAGAATCACCACCTTTGAGTCTTTCAAGTCCTTGATGGTGGCACTAATCTGCAATTCCTCCCGGGATGCAATATTGTTTTTGATTTACTATTTTCCTAGGTTGAGGCAGCTCTAGCAGCTTTCATTTGGCCTTTCTCACCATAATAGCCCTCACCCTACCAGTCAGGGAGCCAATGTGGGGGTTCTGCCAGCTGCTAAATATGTCTATGCCAATTATACATGCTGGCACTGGGGAAATGACCACAGGATGAGTCCGGGGACCCACTGGACCCACTGTAAGTCAGACCTGAGCTAAAACTCCATTAATTACCTGATCTCCATAAGCCCCTACTTTAACTCAAAGGACCACAGTGATGTTTTGGGTCCACTGGAATCAACATCAGCTAAGAGCCAGTGTCTAGTAGTCACTGAAATGTCTGATCATTTTCTTTTCCCCAATGCAGTTACCCTGGTAAAAGGCTGGAAGTCTACTTGGGGAAGAATGGGAGAAAGATTCTCTGCATACATTGTCAGTAATGCAGTGGGGTCTGCCCTCAAGGGGAACCAGCCTCCCTGTAATTTATATTAGTCTTTTATCCATTTGACCTAGAAGTTTTTTGCTTATATAAGTTAAGTAGAAATGCAGCAGGCTTCCTATCAATTTCACTTCTAGGAACACCGTGATTAATTAACCAGGACTAGAGCTCTACATGAGTAAGATTATTCTAATTGCTGCTTTGCCTCTGCTTTCCACTACGGTAGCTATGCCCACCTTGCCTTTGACGGCTGAGTGCCACCACTTGCCCCCTGCCATCTCAGGATTCAATTATTCTCCTTGGATTTAAATGTTGAGGTTAAGTGATTGTAGTTCCCACTGTTAAATCTGACATACAAAAAGGAGCAATTACAGGGCTTCTCAATGATGCAGGTGCTGCCCTCACAAATCTATTTCACAAATTATTGGTCAAGAGTATATCTTCTGTACCCTCCCAGCTGGGATGAGTATGTCTAAAGTGACTAATTCTCTCCACCATCCCAACCTCCCTAAGCCTTTGGGTCCTTTCCTCTACATTAAACCAAGGGAGATTAGGCATTTTTTTTAGCTTGCTCACAGTCTCCCATCTTTTAATCCATATTTCAGCTAACCAAGCAAATAAAGTATTAGAACCTTTTTTTTTCTTCCTGAGCTGCAACATCAAATGCAGAGTCTCTAGTGGGCCCAAATCAATAAGTTCAGCCAATTTTATGTTCCTTCCATCATTATCCCACACCCTTAATATCCTTCCCATGCCTATTCTTCAGATTTCTGTTTTATCAAGTAGAAAACTCAGGAAGTTCTTTTCGAGTGTAGCACATCTCCTCATTGGTAACACTCTCAACCTTACCACTAGACTCTGACTGGGACTTATGTCTAGTTATAGGTCTAGAAGGAAACAGGGGTGTTGGGGGTGGCTCCTGAGGAGAATCCACATTATTTTGCCCTGCAACTGCTTCAGGGGAAGCCACCACTGTTGCCTCAGGCAGCACAGAGTTTATCTCCTCAGACGAAGTTGGACAGGCTGATGGCAATGTGGATCGGGGAGGGAAGTTGCCACTACTGGGGATGGAGAAACTGTTTCTTCTGGCAAAAATGGTTCATCAGAGTTTACAAACTCAGTGTCCTCAGCTTCATCAGGGTCCCCCTACACGTTTCCATCCCATGTTGAAAGGTCCCATTCTTTTTCAATCAATGTCCTGGCTTTAACAGTAGACACCTGGTGAGGCTGTGCATGCACCGTTCATTGCAAGTCAGCCACTTGCATGATAAGGGCTCATGTCTGTTTTCCACAATTTCAGCTTTTTCTGTATGGGAGATAAGACTCTCACTCAAGGCAATTTTAGCAGATTTGAGGCTCAGTGTCTGCTTCTGAAGCTGGGAGATAGAATCCCTGCATTCGTCCTTTTTTTTTTTTTAATCACTTTGTCCACTGAACTTAGGAGCAACCAACCAGCTTCATTATGTTCCTTGGTTCTCCACATATAGTCAAAGGCATTATGTATAGCGTCACTAAACTCCTTGCCTCTCATGAAAGGTGAATCAGTAGTGTCAAATGCATTTATTTTGCATAACTCTCTAAACAGTTCACACCAAGGACTATTAGTATTCTTCATACTATTAGAAGAAGAGCCTTTAGCATTTGGGGGCCTAATCATATTAGGCAGCCAACTCCAGAAACCCCAAAACCAATGGAAGAGCTCCATCCTTAATAGTTTTTCCTCTAGAATGACTCCTGGTACTAAAATTTTATTAGTCAGTGTTTTCTAGACAGAACTAATGGAATATATATATATATATATATATATAGTCCATTATATACATAATATATAAATTATATGAAATATATTATATATTATATTACATTATATTATTATATATGATATATAATAGATCATATATAACATATATCATATATAATATGTAAATTATATCATATATAATATATCATATATAATATGTAAATTATATATTATATATCATATATAATATGTAAATTACATCATATATAATATATCATATATAATATGTAAATTATATCATATATAATATATAAATTATGTTGTATATATATAATATATAAATTATGTTGTATATTATAATATATAAATTATGTTGTATATTATATATAATATATAAATTATATTATATGTATTATATACATAAATTATATATAATATATAAAGGGAAGTTTGTTAATTATTAACTCACATGATTACAAGGTTCCACAATAGGCCACCTACTGGCTGAGGAGGAAGGAGAGGCAGTTTGAGTTCCACAACTGAAGAACTTGAAGTGCAATTTTCGAGGGCAGGAAGCATCCAGCACAGGAGAAAGATGTAGACCAGAAAGCTAGGCCAGTTTCTCCTTTCGCATTTTTCTGCCTGCTTATATACTGGCCATGCTGGCAGCTGATTAAATTGTGCCTTCCTAGATTAAGGGTAGGTCTCATCCCACTGACTCAAATGTTAATCTCTTTTGGCAACACCCTTATAGCACACCCAGGATCAGTACTTTGTATCTTTCAATCCAATCAAGTTAATACTCAATATTAACCATCACACACAGTTTACAAAAATTTTATCTAATTCTGTAGGTGGTCTGTTCACTCTGTTGATAGTTTCTTTTGTTGTGCATAAGCTCTTTAGTTTAATTAGGTTCAATTTGTCAATTTTTGTTTTTGTTGCAATTCCTCTTCGTAACTTCATGGTGAAATCTTTGCCCATTCCTGTGTCCAGAATGGTATTTCCTAGGTTTTTCACTAGGGTTATTACAGTTTTAAGTTTTATATTTAAGCCTAACCCATCTTGGGTTCGTTCTTGTATATAGTGTAAGAAAGGGGTCCAGTTTCAATCTTCTGCATAAGGCTAGCCAGTTAGCCCAGCACCATTTATTGAACGGAGAGGGTTTTTGTTTTGTTTTGTTTTCTTCCCCCATTGCTTGCTTTTGTCAGCTTTGTTGAAGATCAGATAGTTGTAGATGTGTGGTCTTATTTCTGGGCCCTCTATTCTGTTCCATTAGTCTATGCAACTGTTTTTGTGCCAGTACCATGCTGCTTTGGTTACTGTAGCAGTGTAGTATAGTTTGAAGTCAAGTAACATGGTATCTTCAGCTTTGTTCTTTTTGCTTAGGATTGCCTTGGCTATTCAGGCTTTTTTTTTGTTTGTTTTATATAAATTTTAAACTATTTTTTATTTTTTTCCAGTTCTGTGAAGAATGTCATTGGTAGTTTAAAAGAAATACCATTAAGCTTATACATTGCTTTGGGCTGTATGGCCATTTTAATGATATTCCTTCTATCCATTAGCATGAAATGTTTTTCCATTTGTTTATTTGTTTGTATCACCTATGATTTCTTTGAGCAGTATTTTGTAGTTATCCCTGGCTGGCTTTATTCCTATGTATTTTACCATTTTTGTGGCAATTATTAATGTTATTGTACCAAATAACAAAATCCTGATTTGGTTCTCGGCTTGACTTGTTAGTGTATAAAAGTGCTAGCGATTTTTGCAAATCGATTTTGTATCCTGAAACTTTGAAGTTGTTTCTAAGCTTAAGAAGATTTTGGGCCAAGACTATGGGTTTTTTTTAGATACAGGATTGTCTGCAAACATAAATAGTTGTACTTTCTTTCTTTCTATTTAAATGTCATTTATTTCTCTCTTGCTTGGTTGCTCTGGCCCAGACTTTCAAAACTATGTTGAATAGGAGTGGTGAGAGAGAGCATCCTTGTCTTGTGCCCGTTTTCAAGGGGAATGCTTCCAGCTTTTGCCCCTTCAGTATGATATTGGTTGCCTGTTTGCTACAGATGTCTATTATTATTTTAAGGCCTATTTTTTTCAACACCTAGTTTATTGACAGTTTTTATTATGAGGAATTTAAAGTTTATCAAAAGGCTTTTTTATTATCATGTGATTTTTTTCCCCTTCTATTGACGTGATGAATCACATTTATTGATTTGAGTATGTTGAACCAACCTTATGTCCCAGAGAAAAACCTACTTGATCATAATAGATTAGCTTTTTGATGCGCTGCTGGATTCAGTTTGCCAGTATTTTGTTGATAGCTTCACATCAATATTAATCAAAGATATTGGCCTGAAGTTTTTTTGTGTGTGTGGGTGTGTCTGCCAGGTTTTGGTATCAGAATGATTCTAGCTTCACAGGATGATTTGGGGAGGAGTTTCTCCTTCTAATTCTTTTTTGGAATAGTTTCAGCAGAAATGATACCAACTTTTCTTTGTATATCTGGTATAATTTAACTGTGACTCTGCCTGGTCATGGGATTTTTTTTTGGTGGGAGGCTATTTATTACTGACTTTATTTTG